>NC_000019.10:20060000-21522993 GCF_000001405.40 Homo sapiens
AAGCTGTTATTGCTCACACAAAACCTGTTTGGTGGTCTCTTCACATGGACGTGCATGAAAAGTACACAGTTTATTTGGGTCAAGTTTATGGATTACAACCTGAGAGCAAAGATTCAAGTTGTCTGAAACCTCTACTGTGATCAGCAGCAGTTACAGGAAGATTTGTAAAGACAACAAGAGAGGAACAGAGAGTGGGCTGATACAAAGTTGATTGTCAGAAATTGTTATTTATTTACAGAAATAACATTGATTATTAATTAGATATATATCATTATGGTTTAGGGTATGGGATATAGTGTCCAATGTGGCATTATTAGTTTAATTTTTACCTACCTGTGCCAATAGTGAACAGTTTCAAGAGATGAATATATAGTTCAAAGGGGGGAGAAATACATAACTACACTTTCTTTTAACTCTCTCTGAGTTTGAAGTTCGTAGAAATGTGATTTAGCCTCTCTAGAAGTGACTGTAGAGGACTGTAAGTACCAACTAGGCAGATACACAATTCTGTCTGCATATTTAGGGAACAGCATGCACTGTGCTACACAACTGTCAGTTGACTAGAATCCTCAGAGAGAAAGTCCCTTTTAGAGTACATTCTGGTTGGCACCTTCTGTGTGTACATCATGTCTGGTAATTCTAGACAGTGTTTGGAAACATTAATTAAAAGAAAAATATTCTCCATCCCCAGAGAAACTCCACAATAATAGAACAGAAAGAAAATGGTTTTATTACACAATTAAACTTGAATGTGACATGCATCATCATCAGTCTGCTTAACAGATCGCAAAAACATAAAGATGGTCACCATAATTAGTCCACAAGTAGAAGAATTTACAGCACCATGTCATACATAGTTCATGCTAAATTCACCTGGAGAATGATGAGGCCATTTGTGTATGCTAATTGCTTATATTCAATGACAAATAAACTTTTCCCATCTTCATTGATGCAATAACATCGATAAAGCTGGAGATCATTATTCTTAGAAAACTAATGCAGAGCCTGGGCACGGTGGTTTATGCGTGTAATTCCGGCACTTTGGGAGGCCGAGGTGGGTGGATCACCTGAGGTCAGGGGTTTGAGACAAGCCTGGCCAATATGGTGAAACCCCGTCTCTACTAAAAATAGAAAAATTAGCCAGGCATGGTGGTGCGTGCCTGTAGTGTCAACTACTTGGGAGGCTGAGGCAGGAGAGTCGCTTGAACCCGGGAGGCAGAGGTTGTAGTGAGCCGAGATTGCACCACTGCACTCCAGCCTGAGTGACAGAGTGAGATTCCATCTCAAAAAAAAAAAGAAAATTTTTTTATTTATTTACAGAAATAACATTGATTATTGATTAGATATATATCATATATCATATATATATCATATATCATATATATATCCTTATGGTTTACAGTATGGGATATAGTGTCCAATGTGGCATTATTAGTTTAATTTATACTACTCGTGCCAATAGTGAACAGTTTCAAGAGATGAATACATAGTTCAAAAGGGGAGAAAGACATAACTGTACTTCTATTTTAATGTCTGTCTGAGCTTGATAACAAAAAGACTTCCATTTTTCAGACAAAAGTTTTTTATTTCCCAAATCTCAAGACCTCAATTCAAAATTTGGAGCTACAGATTTAGAGCCTGAATTGCTGGAGTTGCAGCAGGTGTTACCTGCACGTTTGTTGGGATTTTAGCATGAGGAGGAAGGGGAAAGTGGAGATTCTCATGTCTACATGTCTACTCAATGCACACATGTTATTCTGATTAAGTTTCTGGGCTTTATAGTATCTGAATCAGTTTCAGGTCTAAAGACACAAGAGTCAGTGAAAGAGGTAAAATAATTGATTGCTACTCTCTGAAACTTGGAGAAATGTGGTCTAGCCTCTCTAGAAGTGACTGTAGAGGACTATAGATACCAAATCAGCAGAGACACAATTCTGCCTGCATATTTAGGGGATGGCATGCACTGTGCTACACAACTATGAGATGACTGGAAGCCTGAGAGGGAAACTCTCCTCTAGAGTAAATTCTGGTTGACACCTTATGTGTTTATATCATGTCTGGTAATTCTAGACAATGTTTGCAAACAATCCTTAAAAGAAAAATTGGGCTGGGCATGGTGGCTCACTCCTGTACCACTGCACTCTAGCCTGGGTGACAGAGTGAGACCTTCTCAAGAAAAAAAAGAAAACAGCAAAAAAGAAAAATTTTATCCAGCCCCAGAGAAACTCCACAATAATAGAAGAGAAAGAAAATGGTTTTATTACACAATTAAACTTGAATGTGACATGCATCATAGTCAATCTGCTTAACAGTTCACAAAGACAGAAGGATGGTCACCATAATTGGTCCACAAGTAGAAGAATTTCCAGCACCATGTCATACAGGGTTCATCCTAAATTCACCTGGAGAATGAAAAGGCCACCTGTGTATGCTAATTACTTACATTCAATGACAAATAAATTTTTCACATCTTCATAACAGGAGGTAGTTTTGCAGCTTGAAGCCAAGTGCCTGCTGAAGGTAGGCTTTCACTCTGCTACAAAAAAGTTTCAGTAGGATTCTATATTTTTGGCTATTTACATTTTAGAGCAGTGGCTCTGTACTCACTGGCACTTGGCTACAGCACTCCTGCTTGCTTTCTCCTGGTTGCTAGTGTCCTCTATTCACCTCTACCATCTGCCACTGAGGCACAGCCAACAGCACAGCTCACATTTTATGTGAACCCCATTTGCCACAGCAGCACTCTAGTGTCACATGAGCGAGTGAGGCCTGAGCTGCAGGAGGAGAGCCTGCAGGCCTCATGGGTAGAATTACACCTTCACAATAATGGAAATGGGAGTAGTGTTTCAGCCTCAGTTTCCACTTATAATGGTGACAAGGAAAAAATACTGCTGAATTTCCAGCCTGAGTCCAGATAGAGATAGCTCCAAAAGTTCTCACTGTGACAGCCCACCCCATTCAGACACCATGGGATACTAATACTAACAGGGCTTCTGAAACAGACAAAGCATTGGAGAGAAAAACAGATCTCCATCTGAGCGAGATTATTTTGAGAGAAGAAAGTTAAAAAGATTTTAAGAAAAAGCTCAGATTAGATATGAGATTGATCAAGTCAGTCAGAAAATATTCCCTTAAAAGAAATTTCTGTCTAAACACCCAAACCGCACAGCTACTCTCAGCATGAGAAACATGAGCAATATGAAGAAAGGTGGCAGAATTTCAGAAGAATTTTATAAAGTTTCTTTTCGATCTCTGCTGCTTTCTCATCTCCTAGCCATTGAATAGGGGTTCTATCTCTTTTTTACCCTCTCTCTTTTTGAATGTATTCAACAACGTTTACTTTGGTAATAGTGCATTATCAATACTAAAGCTAATTTTAATAACACTTTATAAATAAATAAAATTTGTCAATTTTGACCACTCCAGATTTACATATATATTTTGTAATCTCTTGTAATTTTTTGTCTGTATTTCATTTTTATCCATATTCTTTTTTTTAAACTATATTTGTAATGCTTTATTTCTTTTTTTTTTTTTTTTAATTGATCATTCTTGGGTGTTTCTCGCAGAGGGAGATTTGGCAGGGTCATAGGACAATAGTGGAGGGAAGGTCAGCAGATAAACAAGTGAACAAAGGTCTCTGGTTTTCCTAGGCAGAGGACCCTGCGGCCTTCCGCAGTGTTTGTGTCCCTGGGTACTTGAGATTAGGGAGTGGTGATGACTCTTAACCAGCATGTTGCCTTCAAGCATCTGTTTAACAAAGCACATCTTGCACCGCCCTTAATCCATTTAACCCTGAGTGGACACAGCACATGTTTCAGAGAGCACAGGGTTGAGGGTAAGGTCATAGATCAACAGGATCCCAAGGCAGAAGAATTTTTTTTTTTTTTTTTTTTTTTTTTTTTTTGAGACAGCGTCTGGCTCTGTCGCCCAGGCTGGAGTGCAGTGGCGCAATCTCGGCTCACTGCAAGCTCCGCCTCCTGGGTTCACGCCATTCTCCTGCCTCAGCCTCTCAAGTAGCTGGGACTACAGGAGCCCGCCACCGCTCCCGGCTAATTTTTTGTATTTTTAGTAGAGACGGGGTTTCACTGTGTTACCCAGGATGGTCTCGATCTCCTGACCTCATGATCCACCCGCCTCGGCCTCCCAAAGTGCTGGGATTACAGGCGTGAGCCACCACGCCCGGCCGAAGAATTTTTCTTAGTACAGAACAAGATGAAAAGTCTCCCATGTCTACTTCTTTCTACACAGACACAGCCACCATCCGATTTCTCAATCTTTTCCCCACCTTTCCCCCTTTTCTATTCCACAAAACCAACCTTGTGATCATGGCCTGTTCTCAATGAGCTGTTGGGTACACCTCCCAGACGGGGTGGTGGCCGGGCAGAGGGGCTCCTCACTTCCCAGTAGGGGCGGCCGGGCAGAGGCGCCCCTCACCTCCCGGACAGGGCGGCTGGCCTGGTGGGGGCTGACCCCCACCTCCCTCCCGGATGGGGTGGCTGCCGGGCAGAGACGCTCCTCACTTCCCAGACGGGGTGGCTGCCGGGCGGAGGGGCTCCTCACTTCTCAGACGGGGCGGCTGCCAGGCGGAGGGTCTCCTCACTTCTCAGACGGGGCGGCCGAGCAGAGGCGCTCCTCGCATCCCAGATGGGGTGGCGGGGCAGAGGCGCTCCCCACATCTCAGATGATGGGCGGCCGGGCAGAGACGCTCCTCACTTCCTAGATGGGATGACGGCCGGGCAGAGATGCTCCTCACTTTCCAGACTGGGCAGCCAGGCAGAGGGGCTCCTCACATGCCAGACGATGGGCGGCCAGGCAGAGACGCTCCTCACTTCCCAGACGGAGTGGCGGCCGGGCAGAGGCTGCAATCTCGGCACTTTGGGAGGCCAAGGCAGGCGGCTGGGAGGTGGAGGTTGTAGCCAGCCGAGATCACGCCACTGCACTCCAGCCTGGGCACCATTGAGCACTGAGTGAACGAGACTCCGTCTGCAATCCAGACACCTCGGGAGGCCGAGGCTGGCGGATCACTCGCGGTGAGGAGCTGGAGACCAGCCCGGCCAACACAGCGAAACCCCGTCTCCAAAAAAAAAATACGAAAACCAGTCAGGCGTGGTGGCGAGCGCCTGCAATCGCAGGCACTTGGCAGGCTGAGGCAGGAGAATCAGGCAGGGAGGTGCAGTGAGCCGAGATGGCAGCAGTACAGTCCAGCTTCTGCTCGGCATCAGAGGGAGACCATGGAAAGAGAGGGAGAGGGAGACCGTGGGGAGAGGGAAAGGGAGAGGGAGAGGGAGAGCCATTCTTTTTATTTTTTCAATTTGAAACACCCTTTAAGTAATTTCAAACTGTTATAGGAGATAGAAAGAAATCATTTTTGGGAGGCCGAGGCAGGTGGATGGATCACTTGAGGTCAGGAGTTCACCACCAGCCTGGACAACATGGTGAAATCCTGTCTCTGCTAAAAACACACACACACACACACAAAATTTAGGGAGTGCTGGCTCACGCCTGTAATCCCAACATTTTAGGAGGCCGAGGTGGGCAGATCACTTGAGGTCAGGAGTTCAAGACCAGCCTGGCCAACATGGTGAAACCCCATTTCTACTAAAAATACAAAAAAATTAGCTGGGTGTGGTGGTGCATACCTGTAGTCCCAGCTACTATGGAGGCTGAGGCAGGAGAATCACTTGAACCCAGAAGGCAGAGTAGTGTAACTGCCCAAGGGGTTCACCTTGCCCTTTGCCTAGACAGAGCCAATTCATCAAGACAGGAAAATTTGTGGAGGAAAAGTTAAATATTAAATTTGAACTCAATTGAAAATGGACACAACCAATGGTCACCAAGTCCTGGAACAGGTTGTGTGAGCCCCTTGATGCATTCATCCAGCACTGTTTTGGAGATATCTCTATTTCAATCTATTCCTTTTTTTTTTTTTTTTTTGAGACGGAGTCTCGCTCTGTCACCCAGGCTGGAGTGCAGTGGCGGGATCTCGGCTCACTGCAAGCTCCGCCTCCCGGGTTCACTCCATTCTCCTGCCTCAGCCTCCCAAGTAGCTGGGACTACAGGCGCCCGCCACTACGCCCGGCTAATTTTTTGTATTTTTAGTAGAGACGGGGTTTCACCGTTTTAGCCGGGATGGTCTCGATCTCCTGACCTCGTGATCCGCCCGCCTCGGCCTCCCAAAGTGCTGGGATTACAGGCGTGAGCCACCGCGCCCGGCTCAATCTATTCCTATATATTAGTTGTTGAAAAACAATAGAGAATTGCAAAAGCAAGTTGACTTTTTTGTGTTGCTTGAGCCCAATCATGAACGACTCTCTTGACTGGGCCTTATGCCAAACAACTCATTACCAAAGAGCTAGGGTCCCAGAGTGTGCCCAAGCTTCATGAGACCTCTCCTCATCTGTGCATAGATGAGTGTCTGATTCTGGAGCCCAGACTGTTGCTTCCCACTCTGGTGGTGAATCCTCCATAGTCTGGCGAGCATAATATATATATCTCTTTTCCCTTCTCCTCTTTCCATTGCAATTTGCTTATTGTATCAATCTGCTTATTTCATTGATTTGCTTATCTCATTTGCTTATTATATCTGCATTTCCATTTATGTAGGATAAAGCTTGTTGACCTTTAAAGGTATTGTGTGTGTGTCTTTTCTTCTCCCCTTGCGCGTTTCCCACACAGAACATTTTTGGCATCACAAACAGGATTTGAAAACCAAACTGCCACTTTTTTGCCACAATGACAGAGCTGGAAACTCGAGGAATTCCCATATCCAGGAATGGGAACTCCCCCAGTTCTCACCTTTGGGGACTGAATGGTTAAGGGGAACTGGTCTTTGTGGGAACTGAGAATCTAAATTAGTGCAATTTAAACCTTTGACTGTGCGGGAAGTGCTGCAGGGGATTCCAGTGAGCAAAGGAGATGCTGAGGGATCTCCCGGAGTGGATGGTGTTTGCTTACTGCTTATAAGTTAATGTATCAAGATAGGGGCTGGTTGCTACAAGAGAAAAGGTAAGCTGGAAAAAAAAATGCTAATCCGACTTCCAGACTGACCCTGGCCCAAAGCCAGGCCTATGTCTTGACTGATCAGGCTCAAAGATATCAGCCTATTGATGAAAAAAGCAGCTGTCCCAATGGTCTTATCAGGGTAAAATTGAAGAACTAATCAGCTGGGGCCTGGAGCAGGTAAAAACCCAGCTCTTATCTCAAGGATAGGAAATTAACCTTAGTAAAATTCAAGGACAAGCACAAACTGTAAAATTCCTCGGCATTCTATGGAATGCAGGGAAATAGTCCATTTTACCAAAGGCCAAGGCTAAAATACTAGAATTTGCAACCCCTACCACTAAAAAGGAGGCCCAGAAATGTATTGGCTTGTTTGGATTCTGGAGACATGATATTCCTCACTTGGGTAACATTTTACAACCTCTGCATGCAGCCACTAGAAAACGCTATGACTTTCTTTGGGGAGAGAAAGAGAGCATGGCTTCTGAACAAGCTAAACAAGTGGGTCAACTGGCCCTGGGTCTATGACCTGTACGGGGTGGGCCAGTAGAACTGCAAGTAACTGTCCTAAATCAACATGCTAATTGGAGCCTTAGGCAGAAGCAAGATGGGAAGAGGGTACCTTTCAGGTTTTGGAACCAGAAACTGCCAGAGGATGACAAAGCTTATACCCGTTTCGAGAAGCAATTGTTAGCTTGCTATTGGGTTTTGCTGGAAACGAAACACCTCTGCTTCAACCATGATGTCTTTATGAGGCCTGAAATTCCTACTATGACTTGAGTCATGGGTTCCCCCAAAACTCACCAGATAGGGCATGCCCAAGAAAGTAGCATCATAGAATGGAAATGGTATGTACAAGAGCATGCTAAGCCAAAGCCAAAGCGTATCATTTTTACATGAGGATGTGCAAAACTTGCCAGCTCGGGAGATCACCAAGGAAGTCCTGCAGGTAGGGAAGGAAACCTCCCCCACCCAATGGGGCAACTCCTTTAAAGTGTAAAGCCCAATCTTGTATTAACACGAATAGACTTTCCCTTAGATACCTAACCTTGTTTTTAACATGAATAGACTCTCCCTTAGCTGAGAGAACCGGAAGAACTCCATTTGGCTCCTTCATTTACAAGACATCAAGTGCTCCTTACCCAGCCCCTTTCCTCAAGGACTTAACTTGTGCAAGCTGACTCTCAATATATCAAAGAGTGCAATTAACTGATAAGGTGCTGAGGCAAGCGAAGTCCGCTGGAATTTGCTCGGAGATGGTGCCATAAAGCCCCCGCATTTTGTCCGGTAGATAACACGCAGAGCCCCCGCACCTATCACTTTGTGATGAAATAAAAGCCCCTGCACCTGGAACTGTTTGTTTTCCTGTAACCATTTATCTTTTTAACTTTTTTTGTCTGTTTTTCTTCTGTAAGATTGCTGCAGCTAGAATTCCCCCTCCCCTCTGTAAACCCAAGTATAAAAGAAAATCTAGCCCCTTCTTCGGGGCTGAGAGAATTTCGTGCGTCAGCCATCTCTCGGTCGCCGGCTAATAAAGGACTCTTGAATTTGTCTCAAAGTGTGGCGATTTCTAACTCGCTCAGGTACAACAAAAGAACTAAGCCTAGAGGATCAGAAACATGCTTGATTTATGATGGATCCACCAAATACATTGGTGGGACCCGATGCTGGAAGGCTGTGGCTTATAACCCTGTTAAAAAGGTAAGCACTTCTGATGAAAGAAGGGGTGGGAGCAGCAAGTTAGCTGAACTAGTAGCCATCCTCTGAGCTATACAGGAGGAAGCCAGAGGGATTTGTCACTTTTTTCATGCGCGTCCGTGTGAAGAGACCACCAAACAGTCTTTGTGTGAGCAATAAAAGCTTTTAATCACCTGGGTACAGGCAGGCTGAGTCCAAAAAGAGAGTCAGCGAAGGGAGATAAGGGTGGGGACATTTTATAGGATTTGGGTAGATAAATTACAGTCAAAGGGGGGTTGTTCTCTGGTGGGCAGAGTGGGGGTCACAAGGTGCTCAGTAGGGGAGCTTTTGAGACAGGGTGAGCCAGGAGAAGGAATTTCACAAGACAATGTCATCAGTTAAGGCAGGAATGGGCCATTTTCACTTCTTTTGTGGTGGAATGTCATCAGTTAAGGCAGGAACAGGCCATCTGGATGTGTACAGGTCACAGGGGATATGATGGCTTAGCTTGGGCTCAGAGGCCTGACAACTTGTATACCAACACTTTATCAGTAGCAAATGGTCTTACTACCTGGATGCTCCAATGGTAATGAAACAAATTGTTAATTGGGAATAAAGAGGTTTGGGGAAAACAATACTGGGAAGATGTCTGAATCCTGGCACACACTACCATTATTGCTGTCTTCCATGTTGATGCCCATGCATCTCTGCTTTCTCTTGACAGACTATTTAATCACCAGGAAAATCAACAGGCCAAAATTTTTATTATAACTGCAAACTTGAATGCAGATGAATGGATTACAACGTGTTTCAAGCCTTGCAATGACAGGCATTATAATGGATGGTGGTATAATTTATAGCGATTAGTGGCCTAAATGTGCCACTTAAAAGATACAGAATGGTAGAATGGATAAGAATTTACCAACCAAATATCTGCTATCATCAAGAGACTCGGCCGGGCGCGGTGGCTCACGCCTGTAATCCCAGCACTTTGGGAGGCCGAGGCGGGTGGATCATGAGGTCAGGAGATCGAGACCATCCTGGCTAACAAGGTGAAACCCCGTCTCTACTAAAAATACAAAAAAAATTAGCCGGGCGCGGTGGCGGGCGCCTGTAGTCCCAGCTACTCGGGAGGCTGAGGCAGGAGAATGGCGTGAACCCGGGAAGCGGAGCTTGCAGTGAGCCGAGATTGCGCCACTGCAGTCCGCAGTCCCGCCTGGGCGACAGAGCGAGACTCCGTCTCAAAAAAAAAAAAAAAAAAAGAGACTCACCCAACACATAAAGACTCACATAAACTTAAGGCAAAGGGTTGGAAAAAGATAATCATGCAAATGTACCTTAAGAGCAAGCAGTAGTCGCCATTCTTACATCAGACAAAACAGATATTGAAACAAAAACGGTTAAAAGAAAGACAAAGAGGGACATTATATAATGATAAAGGGACAGGAAACTATCACAATTCTAAATATATGTGGACCTAACACTGGAGCTCCCAATTTATTAAACAATTACTACTAGACCTAAGAAATGAGATCAATGTCAATACAATGATAATGGGGAACTTCAATACTCTACTGACAGCACTAGACAAGTCATCAAGACAGAAAGTCAACAACAACAACAAAAAAACAATAGACTTAAGCTATAGCCTAGAACAAATGGACTTGAAAAATATTTACAGAACATTCTACCCAACAACTACAGAATATACATTTTATTCCTCAGAACATGAAACATTCTCCAAGATAGACATATGATAGGCCACAAAACAAGTCTCAATACATTTAAGACAATCAAAATTATATCAACTACTCTCTCAGACAACAATGGAATAAAAGTGAAAATCAACTTCAAATGCACCCTCACAACCATGCAAATACACGGAAATTAAATGAAAAATAAAATTTAGGATCAACCTGTTTCTGAATTTTTTTGTATGAAATCAAGATGGAAATTTAAAAATTAATTGAGCTGAATGATAATAATGACACAATCTATCAAAATGTCTGGGATACACCAAAAGTGGCGTTAAAAGGAAAGTTCATAGCATCAAGTGCCTACATCAAAAAGTCTGAAAGAGCATAAGTAGACAATCTAAAATAACACTTCAAGGAACTAGAGAAACAAGAACAAGCCAAACCCAAACCCAGCATAAGAAAAGAAATAACAAATATCAGAGCAGAACCCTAGGGGGAGGGGTGGCTGCAGTCTCTGTGGACAAGCAGACTTAGCCTTTCCTCCTGCTAGTTCTGAGCATTTCCAGCAGCTCAGATGAGTGTATTTGCCCCCAGCAAAACACTCCTCCTCCACCAAACGACAGTCAAAGTGCTTCATTAAAAGGGTTCTTCTCCCCATGCACTGGATGAGACCCCTCAACAGGGGTTGTCAGGCACCCTATACAGGAGTGATCCTACTGGCTTCAGGTTGGTGCCTCTTGAGGTCAGAGATCCCAGAGGAAGGTGCAGACACTCTTCTTTACTGCTCTGCAGCCTCCTTGAGTGACCTCTCCAGGCACTGGAGTGAACCAGATGAATAGGGCCTGAGGTGAACCCCTAGCAAGGTGCAGCAACCCTACAGAAGAGGGACCTGACCACTGAATGAAAAACAAACAAACAGAAAGCAGCAACAACAGCATCAACAAGAAAAAAATATACCCAGAAAAATCCCACCCAAGGCTGCACATGGTGGCTCACACCATAATCCAAATACTTTGGGAGGTTGAGGCGGGCAGAGCACTTGAGGTCAAGAGTTTGAGACCAGCCTGGCCAACGTGGTGAAACCTGGTCTCTACTAAAAAAAATACAAAAATTAGCCAGGCGTGGTGGTGCACGCCTGTTGTCCCAGCTACTTGGGAGTCTGAGACATGAGAATCACTTGAACCTTGGAGGCGGAAGTTGCAGGGAGCCAAGATCCTGCCACTGCACTCCAGCCTGGGTGACAGAGCAAGACTCTGTCTCAAACAAAACAAAACAAAACAAAAAAATCCAAGGGTCAGCAGCCTCAAAGATCAAAACTAGACAAACTCATGAAGATGAGAAAGAATCAACAAAAAAACATTGAGAGGCTAGAGTGCCTCTTCTCCAAATGATCAAAATGTTTCTTCAGCAAGGGTACAGAACTGGACAGAGGATGAGATGCAGGAATTGACAGAAGTAGGCTTCAGAAGATGGGTAATAAAAAAACTCTGCTGAGCCAAAGGAACATGTTCTAACCCAATATAAAGAAGCTAAGAACCTTGATAAAAGGTTAGAGGAGCCGGGCGCGGTGGCTCACGCCTGTAATCCCAGCACTCCGGGAGGCCGAGGCGGGCGGATCACGAGGTCAGGAGATGGAGACCATCCTGGCTAACAAGGTGAAACCCCGTCACTACTAAAAAATACAAAAAAAATTAGCCAGGCATGGTGGCGGGAGCCTGTAGTCCCAGCTACTCGGGAGGCAGAGGCAGGAGAATGGCGTGAACCCGGGAGGCGGAGCTTGCAGTGAGCTGAGATCACGCCACTGCACTCCAGACTGGGCGAAAGAGCAAGACTCCGTCTCAAAAAAAAAAAAAAAAAAAAAGGTTAGAGGAACTGCTAACTATAATAACAAGTTTGGAGAGGAACATAAATGATCTGATGGAGCTGAAAAACACAGCACGAGAACTTCATGAAGCATACAAAAGTATCAGTAGCCGAACTGACCAAGCAGAAGAAAGAATATCAGTATTTGAAGACCACCTTGTCAAAATAAGGCATGCAGACAAGATTAAAGAAAAAAGAATAAAAAGGAACAAAGAAAGCCTCTGACAAATATGGTGTTCTGTGAAGGAAACACATGAGGGTAGAAGAAAAGACACCTACACAATACCTTTAAGGGTAAACAAGCTTTATCCCACATAAATGGCAATGCAGATATAAGTAAATTTTTTTTTTTTTTTTGAGACGGAGTCTCACTCTGTCACCCAGGCTGGAGTGCAGTGGCGCGATCTCGGCTCACTGCAAGCTCCACCTCCCGGGTTCACGCCATTCTCCTGCCTCAACGTTCTGAGTAGCTGGGACCACAGGCACGTGCCACCATGCCCGGCTGATTTTTTGTATTTTTAGTAGAGACGGGGTTTCACCGTGGTCTCGATCTCCTGACCTCCTGATCCGACCGCGTTGGCCTCCCAAAGTGCTGGGATTACAAGCGTGAGCCACCGCGCCCGGCCAAGTAAATTGATATAAGAAAATTGCAATGGAAAGGGGAGAAGGAAAAAGATATATATATATACACACACACACACATAAATATATATATATACACACATATAAATATATATATACATACACACATAAATATATGTACATATATATACACTCACCAGACTATGGAGGATTCATCGCCACACCGGAATGCAACAACCTGGGCTCCAGAGTCAGCCACCCATCCATGCAAGGACAAGGAGAGGTCTCTTTAAGCTTTAGTGCGTTCTGGGGCTCTAGGTCATTTTGTAACAAGTTGTTTGGCATGAGGCACAGTGGAGGGCCCTTGAGACTGGGCTCAAGGAACACAAAAAGTTAACTTGTTTTTGCAATTGGCTATTGTTTTTCAATAACAATATAAAGGAATAGATTGAAATCGAGATTTCTCTGAAACAACTCTAGATGAATGCATCAAGGGGCTCGCAGAACCTATTCTCAGGCTTGGTGACCATCGTTTGTGTCCACATTCAATTCAATTCAAATTTAACTTTTTCTCCACCTTTGGCCTCAATTGGATACTCAATTGTAGGAAAATACCCTTACAGATACATAGGGAAGGCATAGTCGATATAGATTACAGATACAGGGTAAGGACAGGAGAATTAAAAGCACAATTAATAAAAACCACACCCAGCATGGCTTTCTAAGGAGAGTCATATTGTGAGAATTGCCAGGGATATACACACCACATTTAGCATGCAATATGGCACAAATCCCTCCTTGGGCTGCGGTAAGCATATCTAATGCCATTTGATTTTGCAACACAACAGTACTCAGCTGAGCAAATTTATCTGGTAACAACATAAGTCTAGTGCTAATATCATTAAGAGCTTTTTCTACATATAACCTTAATATTTTAGTTTGTTGCTGAAGCAGGATTGTACCAGTGGCAGGGGAGAATACTGTGATAGGGTACTGCCACCAGGGAGGCCAGGGAGGCTGGCACATTCATAACCAGTGATGTTTGTAAGTATCTAAATTACTTGGGAGAGGAATATTAACCCGGATGGTGAATGGAATTAATGGCTATCCCCAAGTTCATCTCCCTGTCCAGTGTGGGGACAGGTATCACCACTCATAGGATCTGCATACCCAGAGGGCTCCCCCAGGGGACAGCAATGGAGCTACTGTAATCACAGTGTACTCATGTATTATTAAAGTAGGAAAGAGATTGTGGTTCACTGGGGGCAATGTTGATTTGGAGTATGTGTTGACAATTGTCTGGAGAAACCCCAGAGTAATATTAGAGGAACCTTTTAAGGCCTCCAGACTAAGCGGGGGCTATAGGGAATCCAGGCACCAGCACAGCTGGTTTCCAAAATATACCATTCCAGGAATATTGGGCAGGATACCAAGGCTTTTGATGAAAGGAGAATGTGGAGTTCACCTTTTGTCTGACTTGGGCAAAGATAGATTGCTTAGTGTGGTCAAAGGAAGTACAGGTTGGACTACAAGTGTTGTTGTGACCCCGTTGGTAACTACATAGCCATTCAGAAATGTTGTCAGGATGATTCTCCAAGGTAGCCCATTCCTGGCGGCCTTTGGCAACTCGACGTATAGAAAACATTGTCTGTGATTGGCTTCTATTGCAGCGGTGGCTACCCAGTTCATGAATTTATTCTTGGCCTCAGACACAAAGACACAGGTGCTGACCATTAGTAGATAGATTATTCCCTGTAATAACAAAAAAGGATAGGAACATCATATTGTTTTTCATCTTTAGGAAATTGTACTATGCCTTCATTTTCTGTTTTCACAGCTACAAGGTCACCAGACTTAGGGGTGGGATCTGATGGATGCTGTACCCATATATTGGCTCCAGGATTTAAGCTACATGAACCAGTGGATCTGAATCCCCGAGTTCTGTATGTAGCCTCTGTTGGGACAGAGATTTCCTCAGGGGTTAATTGTTGACAAGGTACCACTAATAATTGAGCAACCCACATTTGTGGTTTTATAGCAAAAGAATCTGGAGTGGTATTGTATAAAACAACCTTTAACTCTCCCCAGTAATCACCATCAATTATACCACCAAACACTATAATGCCTCTCATTGCAAGGCTTGAACACATTGTAATCCATTCATCCACATTCAAATTTGCATTTATGGTGGAAATTTTGGCCTGTCGATCTTCCTGCTGATTAAATAGTCTGTCAAGAAAAGCAGAGATGCATGAGCATCATCATGGAAAACAGATCCAGGAGTGGTGGCCCAAGCCTGTACTTCTACCAATTTGGGAGGCTGAGGTGGGTTGTTCACGAGGTCAGGAGATTGAGACCACCCTGGTGAACACAGTGAAACCCCGCCTCTACTAGAGAAGTACAAAAATTAGCTGGGCGTGGCGGTGCATGCCTGTAATCCCAGCTACTCGGGAGGCTGAGGCAGGAGAATCACTTGAACCTGGGAGGCAGAGGTTGCAGTGAGCTGAGACTCAGCCACTGCACTCAAGCCTGGTGACCCGAGACTGAGCCACTGTACTCCAGCCTGGTGACAGAGCTAGACTCCGTGTCAAAAAAAATAAATTAATTAATACAGGAAAACAATGATAATGGTAGTGTGTACCAGAATTCATGTATCTTCCCAGTATTGTTTTCCCCATACCTCTTTATTCCCAATTAACCATTTGTTTTGTTGTCATTGGGGCATCCAGGTAGTAAGACCATTTGCTACTGAGCAAGAGTTGGTATACAAGTGACAAATCCTTCTTCCTTCCTTTCGAAGAGCTCAGAGGATGTCTACTAGTTCAGTTAACTGGCTGCTCCCACCCCTTTCTTCATCAGAAATGGTTATGTTTTTCGGTTGTTTGTTTTTGAGATGGAGTCTCAGTCTGTCACATAGGCTGGAGTGCAGTGGTGAGACCTCAGCTCATTGCAACCTCTGCCTCCTGGGATTCCAGTGATTCTCCTGCCTCAGCCCCCTGAGTAGCTGGGATTATAGATGCATGCCACCACACCTGGCTAGTTTTTGTATTTTTAGTAGAGATGGGGTTTCATCATGTTGGCCAGCCTGGTCTCAAACTTCTGACCTCGTGATCCACACATCTTGGCCTCCTGTGGATTTTGAGGGAACTCGTGACCTAAATCATAACAGGAAATTTAGGCCTCATAAAGACATCATGGTTAAAGCAGAGGTGTTTTGTTTCCAGTAAAGTCCAATAGCAAGCTAACAATTGTGCACAGGTGAGGAGAGCTGTCACGAAGCTTTGGCGCAGTCTGGGACCCTAGCTCTTTTGTAATGAGTTGTTTGGCACGAGGCTTAGTCATGAGGACCCTTCGCGACTGAGCTGAAGAAACACAAAAAGGTCACTTGTTTTTGGGATTGTCTGTTGTTTTTCAAGAACGAATGTATAGGAATAGATTGAAATACAGATTTCTCTGAAACAGCGCTGGATGAACGCCTCTAGGGGCTCACACAACCTGTTCCCGGACTTGGTGACCATTGTTTGTGTCCACGTTCAATTAGCACAAATTTATTATTTAACTTTGACTCCACACCAGACTATGGAGGATTCACCACCAGACCGGAAAGCAACAGGATGGGCTCCAGAGTTGGCCACCCATCGGTGCACAGACCAGGAGAGGTATAATGACGCTTCTGCGCGGTCTGGGAACCTAGCTCTTTTTGTAACGAGTTGTTCAGCATGAGGCCTAGTCACCAGGGCCCTTCATGACTGGTCTCAAGGAACACAGAAAGGTCAACTTGTTTTTGTGATTGTCTATTGTTTTTCTTTTTCTTTCTTTCTTTTTTTTTTTTTTTTTTGAGACGGAGTCTCGCTCTGTCGCCCAGGCTGGAGTGCAGTGGCGCGATCTCGGCTCACTCCAAGTTCCGCCTCCCAGGTTCACACCATTCTCCTGCCTCAGCTTCCCGACTAGCTGGGACTACAGGCGCCTGCCACCAGGCCTGGCTAATTTTTTGTATTTCTAGTAGAGACGGGGTTTCAGCGTGTTAGCCAGCATGGTCTTGATCTCCTGACCTCGTGACCCGCCCGCCTCAGCCTCCCAAAGTGCTGAGATTACAGGCGTGAGCCACCGCGCCCGGCCTTGTCTATTGTTTTTCAATAACGAATGTATAGGAATAGATTGAATAGATTGACATAGAGATTTCTCTAAAATAGCACTGGATGAACGCCTCAAGGGGCTCACACAACCTCTTCCAGGACTTGGTGACCATTGTTTGTGTCCACGTTCAATTGAGTTCAAATTAAATATTTAACTTTTCCTCCACAAATTCCCCTGTCTTGATGAATTGGTTTTGTCTGGGCAAAGGGCAAGGTAAACTCCTTGGGCGGTTACACAACCTCCACCTCCTAGGTTCAAGAGATTCTCCTGCCTCAGCCTTCGGTGTAGCTGGGACTACAGGTGTGCACCAGCACGCCCAGGTAAGGTTTTGTATTTTTAGTAGAAATGGGGTTTCACCGTGTTGGCCAGGGTGGTCTTGAACTCCTGACCTCAAGTGATTCGCCCTCTTTGGCTTCCCAAAGTGCTGGAATTACAGGCGTGAGCCACCGCGCCTGGCCCTAAATGATTTCCTTTCTGTCTCCTATAACAGTTTGAAATTACTTAAAAGTTGTTTCAAATTGAAAAAATAAAAAGAATGTAGATAAAAATAAAATATAAAAAGTTAAAAAAATTACATTAGATTACAAAATATATATGATGTATATGTAAGTCTCGAGAGGTCAAAAATGACAAATTTGATTTACTTACAAGGTTTTATTAAAATTAGCTTTCGTATTGATAATACACTATTACCAAAGTAAAAGTTTTCTCTTGAACAAAAATTTTTTGTATTATTAATATGACAGCCAAATACTTCTGTTCACCTTTTGAATACATTCAAAAAGAGAAAGAGTAAAAAAGAATTTTCCCATGCTCTCCGGTGGGCCTGGCTCAGCTCAAGGAGGAAGCCCGGCCTGAAAAGGCTGCAGCTGAGGCTGTGACTCTTTCTTCACTCAGCCCAGCATGTGATCACATCTTCTGTCACTCAGGGACTGAGGAGGCGGGGCCTTAAGCATTATCCAATCAGGGACGCTGGGTTGGAAACCGTCCAATCATGCAGGCAGCTGGAGCGAAGAGGAAGGCTTTCGGGTTTGGCGCGGCCATTTGTCTCTTGCTGCAGCTGGTGCTCCAAATCTGGTCTTAGCTGCTTCGTGTCTTCTTCTCCAGCCTCTGTGGCCCTGTGACCTGCAGGTATTGGGAGATCCACAGCTGAGGGACCCCCGGAAGCCTAGAAATGGTGAGAGTGCCTTTCCAGCATTCCGAGAGAGGGGAGGGACTGGTTGGAACCGATGGGAAGTGGCTGTGGCGGGACTTAGGCCTCCCCGCAGTCAGCTCCACAATCTGCGACCGACTTCTCCTTGCCCAGTTCGGCCTCAGTCCCCTTCAGCCATAAGATGGCAACAGCGCCGACAGCCGGGCCCCGCGGCGTCCTGTCTCTTCCCTGCCCTGGCCTGGAGCCCTCTCTGGGCAGCTCTGCACCCACAGCGCTGCGTCTCTCCCAGATTGTGCAGGGAGCACGGGAGGGTTCTCGGGGGAGAATCCTGACTCGGGGTGCAGGTTCATGAATGGGAAGAGCTTTGGTCCATGGGGTTGACAGTTTCTCTTTTCTCCTATTAAAAACTTATGGGGCCGGTCGCTGTGGTTCATGCCTGTAATCCCAGCATTTTGGGAGGTCGAGGCGAGCGGATCACTTGAGGTAAAGGGTTGTTAGTACAACGTAGTTCTTCTTCAAAGACGCAACTTCCTGGTCATAAGTTGGAAAAGTTGTAAATCACCCCTACCCCTTCTTCTCCCTTCTCCTTTTCTCACAAATCGCGCATTACCCGATTTGGAAAAAGCTTGAGTGTAAGCCAACCGGGATCAGCTTAGATTGTGCGGTCTGACCCCAGCCAATGGAGGGAAAACAAAAACAGAACTGCATTAGGGCTAATAACCCCTTCCCGGCCAGGCGCGGTGGCTCCTGCCTGTAATTTCAGCACTTTGGGGCGCCGAGGCGGGCGGATCACGTGGTCAAATTTCTAGACCAGCCTATCCAACGTGGTGAAACCTCTCTCTACTAAAAATACAAAAATTAGCCTGGAGTGGTGCCAAGCGCCTGTAATCCCAGCAACTTGGGAGGCTGAGGCCCGAGAATTGCTTGAACTCGGGAGGCAGAGGTTGCAGTGAGCTGAGATCCCTCCATCGCGCTCCAGCATGCGCGACAGAGGGAGAGTCCTCAAAAAAAAAAAAAAAAAAAAAAGTAAGCATCTTAAAATTTCCATCCTTTATGTAAACACTGTGTTTTAGTAACTTCACTGTATTTTCCAACACTTAGTTTCAAAAACCCAGTGAATAACTCTGGCATGGAAATTAAAGCTTGAACCTAGTGATTCCGAGCTAAGGCTAATATTAAGCCTGCAAAAGGAGGGTTTTTTTTTTTTTTTTGAGATGGAGTTTGTCCAGGCAGATGCAGTTAAGATTAAGATGAAAGGAAACTGGATGGGTCTTACTGATAATGATGTTATTGTTTTGAGGCACTTGTTTGACTTTGTAAAATAAAAACGTTAGATTTATGGAAAAAAATGAATTCCAAAAACATATTGCAACAGGAGGAAGTACCAACAAAGTATAACGTCTTTATGGCTTGCAAAAACGTAGGCAGAAAAGTGCTTTCTTCCCTAGGGAGGAGCAAAGAAGTTTAGAAAGGAGGTGGGAGGGGAATGGCAAATGGAGGGTGCAAAAGTCAGATTTTATATCAGAGAATGTCTTACTCTGAAATCAGCATGTTCTTAGGAGGGATGTAAAATGTGGTTGTATGTTGACTCAGACTGAGGGTAGCTCAAAGTTCAGGAGCTTGAGGGAGGCATATAAGCTTAAGAAAAGTTTCATTGAGAAATATTTTGTTTTAGGCCAGGCGCGGTGGCTCACGCCTGTAATCTCATCTGCTCGGCCACCCTGTCCCGGCCCTGAAGCGATGTAAGCAAGAAGCTGCCCTGCTGGAACTGCTCCTTCGGGAGACTGCTGATTTTGGCATTCTTTTTCCTTTCATCGTATTTCCTCTTTTTTTTTTTTTTTGAGATGAAGTTTCTCTCTTATTGCCCAGGCTGGAGTGCAATGGCACAATCTCGGCTCACTGCAACCTCCGCCTCCTGGGTTCAAGCGATTCTCCTGCCTCAGCCTCCCGAGTAGCTGGGATTACAGGCATGCACCACCACACCTGGCTAATTTTGTATTTTTAGTAGAGACAGAGTTTCTCCATGTTGAGGCTGCAAGAATTGCAGGTCAGCAAGAATTGCTGCCCAGGGGCAGCACATAATGGGACTAGTACCACCGTCCTGACGGTGTGCTGTTGATGAGCACGATGCAATTCTTCACCAGGGTCTTGGTACGGACTAGCTCGTTATTAGATGTATTGTAGACAACATGGACGATCCTTGTTTTACCAGTACAACACTCTGAGCCACAGGAGAAATTCCCCCGTCCAGCCTCAGGGCACCGTATTTCTTCTTACCTCCCCACAAACGGACTGTGTGGATGCGGCGGGGGCCAATCTTGGTGTTGGCAGCCGGGCGCCACAACTCATCCTTCTGCTTCTTGTGGTAGGGCTTTCTCTTGCCCCTGGACTTGCAGCGTTTGTGCCAGTTGTCCCAAGAGATGCCCATCTCTCAGCGCTGGCTGGAAAGAGTTCTCTTTTCTTTGATCTATGCATTTCTTCCATTTGGCTTTTCCTGGGCCACATCTTATACATTAAACCGGTAAACATCACTACAGTGTTTTCCTGAGTTCTGTGAATAGCTCTAGCAAATTATTTGGGTGTCCCCAATTTTCAAACAATAGGTGAGAAGCATAGATGGGCCATGGGGTTTGTGACTGGCATCTGCAGTGAGGACAATGTTGTGGGACTGAGCACTGAAACGGGGTCTGTGCTGACTCTGGGTGGTGTCAGATTTCAAATGTTAGATAATGAGTTGTTGTTGGAGAGTTGTTTGACGTTCAGCAAACTCTGCAGATTTGGTGCCAGCAAAAGATATCACGGAGGCCTGGCCTGGAATAAAACTCTGGGTGTTTGGGAATAGGAGGCTCTCCTGTACACAGGCTGTCACACTGCCCATTGTCCTGTGATTCCAGATCTTCTCCCAGGGTGACAGAGGACTGAAAACTTAGAGGAAAAGAGCTCTGATGACAGACACCCCCCTTTTCTTGCAAGTGCCACAATAGGATTCCCACCTACTCACAAACACACACACTAGACATAGACGTGCCCATACTCCTCCCAGGACTAGGCACCACCTTCAGGAACTTCATTATGCCATTTTTTTTTCTTTTTCTGAGACAGAGTCTTGCTCTTTTGCCCAGGCTGGAGTGCAGTGGTGCCATCTCGGCTCACTTCAACCTCTGCCTCCCAGGTTCCAACGATTCTTCTGCCTCAGCCTCCCAAGTGGCTGGGATTACAAGTGAGTGCCACCACACCCAGCTAATTTTTGTATTTTTAGTAGAGACTTGGTTTCACCATGTTGGCCACGCTGGTCTCAAAATCCTGACCTCATGATCCACCCACCTTGCCCTCCCAAAGTGCCGGGATTACAGGCATAAGCCATCGCACCCAGCCAGCATTTTTGATCCTAGTGTTTCTTGCCAAGAACCCACAAGTGTCTACAAGTCTCCTGGCATATCCCCACCCCCAGACACTGAATCTGCAGCAGCAACCTATTTTCTCCATCAACCTAAAGGTCTGGACCTCCTCTTTATAATCTCATCTGCCTGCATGCATACAGAAATAAATCAGAGTGTGGCCCCACCTGGGCCACTATCTGTAGCGAAAATCAGTCTGTTCATCTACATTGCAGTCTTTCCCACACAGGGATTTGTTTTTTTTCTTTCTTTCTTTCTTCTTTTTTTTTTTTTGAGATGGCGTCTCGCTCTGTCATCCAGGCTGGAGTGCAGTGGCGAGATCTCGGCTCACTGCAAGGTCTGCCTCCCAGGTTCACACTATTCTCCTGCCTCAGCCTGCTGAGCAGCTGGGACTACAGGCACGTGCCACTACCCCCGGCTAATTTTTTGTATTTTTAGTAGAGACGGGGTTTCACCATGTTAGCCAGGAGGGTCTCGATCTCCTGACCTCGTGATCCACCCGCCTCGGCCTCCTAAAGTGCTGGGATTACAGGCGTGAGCCACCGCGCCTGGCCTGTTTTTTTTTCTTGTAGCTTTTATTTTTGGTTTAGGGTACACATATGGGTTTGTTATACAGCTAAAATTATGTCATGGGGGTTTGGTGTGCAGATTTTATCACTGAGATACTACGTATAGCACCAAACATGTCTGTTTTCTGATCCTCATGGTCCTCCCACTCTCCACCCTCTACTAGGTCTCAGTGTCTGTTATTCTCCTGTTGTGTTCATGTGTTCTTATTATTTAGCTCTTACTTATAAATAATAACATGCATTTGGTTTTCTGTTTCTGCATTTGTGGGGAAAAGAGAGATCAGACTGTTACTGTGTCTATGTAGAAAGAAGTAGACATAAGAGACTCCATTTTGTTCTGTACTAAGAAAAATTCTTCTGCCTTGAGATACTGTTAATCTGTAACCCTACCCGCTACCCTGTGCTTGCAGGAACATGTGCTGTGTCCACTCAAGGTTTAATGGATTTAGGGCTATGCAGGATGTGCTTTGTTAAACAAATGCTTGAAGGCAGCATGCTTGTTAAAAGTCATCACCACTCCCTAATCTCAAGTGCCCAGGGACACAAAACACTGTGGAAGGCCGCAGGGACCTCTGCCTAGGAAAGCCAGGTATTGTGCAAGGTTTTTCCCCATGTGATAGTCTGAAATATGACCTCATGGCAAGGGAAAGACCTGACCATCCCCCAGCCCGACACCCATAAAGGGTCTGTGCTGAGGAGGATTAGTAAAAGAGAAAGTCCTCTTTGCAGTTGAGATAAGAGGAAGGCATCTGTCTCCTGCTCCTCCCTGGGCAATGGAATGTCTCAGTGTAAAACCTGATTGTATATTCCATCTACTGAGATAGGAGAAAACCCCCTTAACGCTGGAGGTGAGACGTGCTGGTGGCAATACTGCTCTTTAATGCACCAGATATGTTTATGTATGTGCACATCAAAACACAGCACATTTTCTAACCTTGTTTCTGACACTGAGACATTTCTTCACGTTTTCCTGCTGACCCTTCCCCCGCTATTACCCTATTGTCCTGCCACATCTCCCTCTCTGAGATGGTAGTGATAATGATCAGTAAATAACTAGGGAACTCAGAGACTGGTGCCGGTGCCGGTCCTCCATCTGCTGAGCTCTTGTCCCCTGGGCCCACTTTTCTTTCTCTATACTTTGTCTCTGTGTCTCTTTCTTTTCTCAGTCTCTAGTCCCACCCGATGAGAAATACTCACAGGTGTGGAGGGGCAGGCCACCCCTTTAGCATTAGTTTTCTTTTTTTTTTGTTTTTTGTTTTGTTTTTTGAGATGAAGTTTTGCTCTTGTTGCCCAGGCTGCAGTGTAATGTTGCGATCTCGGCTCATTGCAACCTTTGACTCCTGGGTTCTAGCGATTCTCCTGCCTCAGCCTCCCAAGTAGCTAGTATTATAGGCGTGCACCACCACGTTTGGCTAATTTTGTGTTTTTAGTAGCAACAGGGTTTCTCCATGTTGGTCAGGATGGTCTTAAGCTCCCGACCTCAGGTGATTATCCCACTTCAGCCTCCCAAAGTGCTGGGATTACAGGCCTGAGCCACCACGCCCAGGCTCTGCATTAGTTTTCTAAGAATAATGATCTCCAGCATCATCGATGTTATTGCAAAGGACATAATCATTTCTTTTAATGGCCACAGAGTATTCATGATGTTTATGTATCATATTTTGTTTTTACTAAATCTTTTATTTTTGGAGACAGGGTCTTACTTATTGTTCAGGCTAGAGTGCTGTGGCATGATACTGACATACATTAGCCTGAACCTTTCAGGCTCAAGCAATTCTCTCCTACCTCATCCTCACAAGTAGCTGGGACTACACATTTGCGTTACCACCCCTGGCCAATTTTTCTTTTTGTATTTTTTGTGGAGACAGGATTTTGCCATGTTGCTTAGGCTGGTCCCAAACTTCTAAACTCAGGCAATCCAACTGCCTTGGCCTCCCAAAATGCTGGGAGGACGGGCATGAGCCACCACATTTGACCATACCATATTTTCTTTTTTTTTTTTTGAGACGGAGTCTCCCAGGCTGGAGTGCAGTGGTGCGATCTTGGCTCACTGCAAACTCCACCTCCCAGGTTCAAGCAATTCTCCTGCCTCAGCCTTCTGTGTAGCTGGGACTACAGGTGCTGGCCACCACGCATGGCAAATTTTTTTTGTATTTTTAGTAGAGACGGGGTTTCACCATATTGGTCAGGCTGGTCTCGAACTCCTGACCTCTGGTGATCCGCCCGGGTCAGCCTCCCAAAGTGCTGGGATTACAGGCATGAGCCACTGCGCCAGGCTGACCATACCATATTTTCTTTATCCAGTCTACCATTGATAGGCATTTACAGCCTGTCCATGTCTTTGCTATTGTGAATAGTGCTGCAATGAACATGCATGTGGGTATGTCTTTATGATATAATAATTTATATTTCTTTGGCTATATACCCAGTTGTGGGGCTCCTGGGTCAAATGAGGATTCTGTTTTTAGTTCTGTGAGGAATCGCCACACTGCTTTTTACAGTTTTTGAACTAATTTACACTCCCACCAGAAGAGTATAAGCATTCCCTTTTCTCTGCAACCTTGCCAGCATCTGTTATTTTTTGACTTTTTAAAAATAGCCATTCTGACTGGTGTGTGGTGGTGTCTCATTGTGATTTTTCTTTTAATTTCTCTAATGATTAGCGATGACCACTTTTTTTCATATGCTAGTTAGCTTCATATATGTCTTCTTTTGAAAAGCATCTGTTCATATATTTTGCCTAATTTTTAATGAGGTTGTTCGGTTTTTTCTTGTAAGCTTGTAGGTTGTCTGTTTACTCTGTTGATAGTTTCCTTTCTGTTAGGAAGCTCTTAAGTTCAAATGGGTCCCATTGGTCAATTTTTGCTTTTGTTGCAGTAGCTTTTGGTAGCTTCCTCATGAAGTCTTTCCCAGTTTTTATGTCTAGAATGGTATTTCCTAGGTTATCATGGCTGGGTTTCTTATAATTTTAAGTTTTTCATTTAATTTTTTAATTTATCTTCAGTTGATTTTTGTAAATCAAAATGAAATGAAAGGGTCCAGTTTCTGTCTTCTACATAGTGTTAGGTATTTATTCCAGCACCATTTATGAAACAATTCTTCCCACATTCCTCTTGACAGCTTTGTCAGAAATCTGATGGCGGTAGGAGGGTGGCATTATTTCTGGCCTCTCTGTTCTGTTGCATTGGTCTTTTTTTTTTAGACGGAGTCTCGCTCTTTGGCCGAGACTGGAGTGCAGTGGCCCGATCTCGGCTCACTGCAAGCTCCGCCTCCCGGGTTCATGCCATTCTCCTGCCTCAGCCTCCCGAATAGCTGGGACTACAGGTGCCTGCCACCGCGCCCGGCTAATTTTTTTGTATTTTTAGTAGAGATGGGGTTTCACCGGGCTAGCCAGGATGGTCTCGATCTCCTGACCTCGTGATCTGCCCGCCTCGGCCTCCCAAAGTGCTGGGATTACAGGCTTGAGCCACCGCGCCCGGCCAGTTGCATTGGTCTTATGCATTAATAAGTTTCATATAATATCTTTCTCTCTTTTGGTTTTTCCCTCATAAACCTTCTTTCAAGTGCATACATTGTACAAATTTCAGATGTCCAAGAGTTCAAAACTCTTTGAAAACTTCCAAAAATGTTTTTGCTATTCCCTCTTTTTGTAAGGAATTTAGATTATATGTAGATATTTTTCTTTGTTTTATTGAAATATATGTAAATCATATTAACAGCTAAATAAACCTTTTGTCATTTTTTCTGACTCCAGATTATCTTTATCTAGTACTTCAGATTTATTACTTTGTTTTTGCTTCCAAAATGTTTATTTTTTTCATTTTTAGTCCTTTAGACAGATTTGTTTAGATAAAAGCTCATTTTAATAGCATACAGAAGCTTAGCACAAAGAGAATTAAATTTAGCAATACAGAATGATAAAGACTAAAAGATACTAAATTTCTTTGTCAGAAACCTGATGATCCAAGGTAATTATCCAATATTTGCAGGCTGAAGCACTTGTACTGCAAAAGCAAGAACAGTTCAGTGCATAAACTGAACAGTGCAGTCTGTAGTTGTACCTTGCTTTCTATTACTTCATAACAATTAGTATAGTTATGTGTAATGTTTGCAGACTACCTGCATTCATATAAATTAAACAGTATTTTCTTTTCTTTTTTTTTTTTTTTTTTTTTTGAGACAGAGTCTCACTCTTGCCCAGGCTGGAGTTCAGTGGCGTAATTTCAGCTCACTGCAACCGCTGCCTCCCGGGTTGAAGTGATTCTCCTGCCTCAGCCTCCAGAATAGCTGGGATTACAGGTGTGCCCAACCATGCCTGTCTAAATTATTGTATTTATAGTAGGGATGGTGTGTTATCATGTTCACCAGCTTAATCTTGAATCCTTGACCTCAGGTGATCCACCCGCCTCAGCCTCCTAAAGTGCTGGGATTACAGGGGTGAGCCATAAACAGTATTTTCTACAATAGTATGAGTACAAAGCTGCACTACTTACTTTGAATTAATCACTTAAATGGTTATTTTAATATCATTATTTACACTTCTGAAATATAAAATGTTTTAACTGAAGTATAGTTTTAATTTTTAAAACTATAATTTTAAACTATACACATACTATATACATACTATATACATTATGACTAGTTCATTAAAATGATTTATACTTACTTAAGTCTAATATCCAAATAAAATTTATACCAAATTGTTACATTAAGTAGATATTAGTGTGACATGTTTATTACTTTATTCAATAGGGATTATTATGAGTAAACACAATTTTAATATCTTTTATTTCACTAAATTGGTATGCTGCTATTACAGGACAAATAAAGACAGGTGATGTGGCCACCCAAAAACTATAATGGTTCTTCAGTTTGCTATGTTGCAAGCTCTAATATGTTCCACTATATGAACACAGTCAGATTCTATTTCTTCATCAAAAAGTGTTGCTTGAAGTTGTCAGATGTATTTCAATATAGAACCTCCATTCAATGGCTAGGAGATGAGGGAACAGCAGAGATGGAAAAGAAACTTTATAAAATTATTCTTAAGATCTGCCTCCTTCATAATGCTCATTTCTCATGCTGAGAGTAGCTTGCACTTTGGGTGTTTAGAGAGAGATTTCTTTTAGGGGAATATTTTCTGACTGACATGATCAATCTTATATCTAATCTGAGCTTTTTCTTAGATTATTTTAACTTTTTTCTCAAAATAATCTTGCTCAGATGGAGATAATGTTTTTCTCTCCAATGCTTTGGGTGTCTGTTTCAGAAGATCTATTTGTATCACATGGTTTCTGAATAAGCTGGGCTGTCACAGTGAGAGCTTTTGGAGCTATCTCTATCTGGACTCATGCTGGAAATTCAGCAGTATTTTTTCCTTGTCACCATTATAAGTAGAAAGGAGTTGAAACACTGCTCCCATTTCCATTACTGTGAAGGTGAAATTTTACCCAGGAGGCCTGCAGGCTCTCCTCCTGCAGCTCAGGCTTCACTCTCTGATGTGACACTGGAGTGCTGCTGTGGCAAATTGGGTTCACACAAAAGGTGAGCTGTGCTCTGGGCTGTGCCTCAGTGGCAGATGGTAGAGGTAAATAGAGGACACTAGCTTTCGTGCGTGTCTATGTGAAGAGACCACCAAACAGGCTTTGTGTGAGCAATAAAGCTTTTGATCACCTGGGTGCAGTTGGGCTGAGTCCGAAAAGAGAGTCAGCAAAGGGAGATAAGTGTGGGGCCATTTTATAGGATTTCGGTAGGTAAAGGAAAATTAAAGTCAAAGGGGGTTTGTTCTCTGGTGGACAGGAATGGGGGTCGCAAGGTGCTCAGTGGGGGTGCTTTTTGAGCCAGGATGAGCCAGGAAAAGGACTTTCACAAAGTGATGTCAACAGTTAAGGCAAGGACCGGCCATTTACACTTCCTTTGTGGTGGAATGTCATCAGTTAAGGTGGGGCAGGGCATATTCACTTCTTTTGTGATTCTTCAGTTACTTCAGACCATCTGGGCATATACGTGCAGGTCACAGGGGATGCGATGGCTTGGCTTGGGCTCAGAGGCCTGACATTCCTGCCTTCTTATATTAATAAGAAAAATAAAACAAAATAGTGTTGAAGTGTTGGGGCGGCAAAAATTTTTGGGGGGTGGTATGGAGAGAGAATGGGCGATGTTTCTCAGGGCTGCTTCAAGCGGGATTGGGGGGGCGTGGGAACCTAGAGTGGGAGAGATTAAGCTGAAGGGAGGTCTTGTGGTAAGGGGTGATATTGTGGGGATGTTAGAAGAAACATTTGTCGTATAGAAAGATTGGTGATGGCCTGGATACGGTTTTGGATCAATTGAGAAACTAAACAGAAGATACAAGGTTCAAATAAAGGAAGGAGAAAAATGGGTATTAAAGGACTAAGAATTGGGAGGACCCAAGACATCCAATTAGAGAGTGCCCAAGGGGGTTCAGCGTAATTACTTGCTTGGTTGGCAAGTTTTTGGGCTCTATCCTTGAGTTTTTTTATGTTGTCATACACCAGGCCAGATTGATTTAGGTAAAAACAACACTCTTCATTTAAGAATATGCAGGGTCCTCCTTTTTCAGCAGTGAGTAAGTCAAGGCCTCGGCAGTTTTGGAGGACAACTGCAGCTAAAGAGTCAACTTGGGCCTGGAGGACTGATAAAGTTTGTGATATGTCTGTGATGCTAGCAGAGAAGTCATTACACAGGCTACAGAAGGTCGTGACAGAGGTTGAAATGCCTGCTATTCCAGTACCAAGAGCAATAGTGGAGGCAGAAAGTCCTAAACGGACCATCAAGGGAATTAGTGGAAGAACTCTTTTTTGTCATGTTGGTGTCATGAGGGGAACAGGGAGCTCTTCGGTCCTATTTGCAAATTGAATTTTGGGGGTAAGGAAGACTAGTGTACATGTGCCTGTCCAATTAGCAGGTAGACACATGTAGGTAGAGGATCCACAGAGGAAGAAGAGACCTTGTGTGAGGCAAAACTGGAGATGTAAAGTAAAAAGATGAGAAGGAGTGCTGAAAGGGGTGTCTTGTACCCAGACTCCTAGGGATCCAGCTAGGGCGGCAGCTGTCAGAGGTTGTAATGGGGACTGATGGGGTAACTGCATAGAGGGGGAGTTTTGATTTTCATGGTGTATGAGAAAACATTGAGTATCTATGAGCAACCTTTCACTGTTATTTTCGGGGCTGGGTATAAGTAAACGAGAAGAGGGCCTGGGAGGAGAGTCTGACGAGCAAGGGGAAGGTAGCCAAGGATGGAGTGAAATACAGGGCAAGTGTCTTCCTAAGCAATAATTGCTGCGAATTTTTTTAAGTTTGCCTGTATTGATAGAGGGCTTGTCTGTAATATGCAGCTGGAAGGCTCCAGTTGTTTCAGTGATGTGTGTAGTTGGGCTTCGGAGATGAAGAGTAAAGGAACATCGAGAAGGTAAAAGATTACCTAGGGGAATTCCAGTGGGTCTTTGCGGAGAGATACATAAAGGAGTGGCCACTGGAATAGTAATTTGTGTTGTGAGAGGTCCAAATAGGGGGGAAGTAGAGTTAATATAAGGAGAAAGGTTTTTTAAATAAGTGCGAAGGAGGGCGGCAGCTTGCTGATGTGAAATGTCTGGGGAAGTCTTGCTGGACCTGTCCAGAAAGTAAATGAGTTCTTCAGGAGGGTAAAGTTGAGGGCTGTTAAAGGAAGTTCGGAGGTGTAGGGAGACGGGGGGTGTTGCCCAGTCTGTCTGTAAGGTGGGGACAGCTGTGTAGGCACTGGAAGAAAGGGAAATGCAAAGGCAGCAGTTGTTCGCCAAGGAGGGATTAGAAGCGGCTAGGAGAGAATGGGTAAGGTTGATACTGTGGTGGAGATAGCTGGGGAGAGGTAGAGGGTGACATAAGAATGGGAATGAGAATAAGAGTGAGCATAAAAGTAAAGAGTAGAACTTCATCAGGGTTGGAAGTATTGGAGGGTGCCCTGCCAGCAAAGATCATCTATCCACTCTAAGAGGGAGTTAAGAGTGGTGGTTTGGGGATAGCACCAAGAGATATCAGCTGTAATGGCTTGAAGAAACAGTGTAAACTGGCAGTGTAAACAAGAGTAGGGCATTTATAAGTAGTTGAGAATGGAGAATAGGAGTATGACCGGACAGAAGATAGTAGGGATGACTAGTTTTTGGGGCTCGGCCTAAGTGGTGGGGGTGACTTCGTAAAGCCCTGTTGCAAAAAGTAGGGTAAGGACGAACAGACCTAATAGAATGAAGGGATGTATTAGGCTCATAAGGGTTATTACTGTTCTTCAGAAATACGAGTGAGTTTAAGGGAAGTGGGGGAGAGTACTTAAGTGGGGGAGAGTACTTGTGACTTCTAGGAGGAAGAGGAGGGATTAGGCTGGCTGTCCGATGGACACAGCTTTATTCTGGAATGGTGAACCCAGTGGGGAGGATCCTGCAGGCGGACGGCAGTCGGGGACTATAGATGACTAAGTAGGGTCCCGTCCATCGAGGTTGTAGAGTTTGAGGGGTCAGATTCTTAACAACAACTGATCGTCCAGCTAGGTTGTCTTCATATGGCTGGCGATCTGGAGTAGGTAAGAGAAGATTAGAAGCCTGGTGAATTTCCTGTCTAGCCTGCTGGAGGACTGGAAGATAGTCACCTAGAGGGCTGGTGTCTGGGATGAGGCTGGGGCCAAGCAAGAAAGTGCGTCCATATAAAAGTTCAAATGGACTGTACCCTGTAGCATCTCGAGGACAGGCTCTGATTCTGAGAAGAGCAAGAGGTAAAAGTACTGTCCAATCTTTTTTAAGTTGGAGGCTGAGCTTGGTGAGGTGTGGCTTTAAAAGACCATTAGTCCGTTCTACCTTTCCTGAAGATTGAGGATGGTAAGGGATATGAAGTTTCCACTGAATACCAAGAGCCTGAGAAACTGCTTGGGTGATTTGGCTAGTAAAGGCTGGTCCGTTATCAGACTGTATAGAGGTGGGAAGGCCAAACCGAGGAATTATGTCTGACAGAAGGGAAGAAATGACCGCGGTGGCCTTTCAGACCCTGTGGGGAAGGCCTCTACCCATCCAGTGAAAGTGTCTACCCAGACTAAGATATTTTAGTTTTCTGACTCGAGGCATGTGAGTAAAGTCAATTTGCCAGTCCTGGGCAGGGGCAAATCCCCGAGCTTGATGTGTAGGGAAGGGAGGGGGCCTGAACAATCCCTGAGGGGTAGTAGAATAGCAGATGGAACACTGAGAAGTGATCTCCTTGAGGATAGATTTCCATGATGGAAAGGAAATGAGAGGTTCTAAGAGACGGTCTAGCGGCTTGTAACCTACATGGAAGAGGTTATGAAATGATGACAGAATAGAATGGGCCTGTGAGGCTGGAAGAAGATATTTTCCTTGGTCTAAGAACCATTTGCCTTGTGTGGGAAGAGATTGATAGGTGGAAGTTTCCGTGGGGGAGTAGGTGGGAGTGACTGAAGCGAAGGAGAAAAACTGGCTGTGAGGGACAGAAGTTGGAGAGCTAGCTGCTTGTCTAGCCACTTTATCAGCATAAGCATTGCCTAGAGCAATGGGATCTGATGCCTTTTGATGCCCCTTGCAGTGAATGACCCCAGCTTCTTTTGGAAGTAAAGTGGTCTTGAGCAGAGTTTTTATTAAAGAGGCATTAATGATGGAGGACCCTTGTGTAGTGAGGAAACCTCTTTCAGCCCATATGACTGCATGGTGCTGCAGAATATGAAAGGCATATTTAGAATCAGTATAGATATTGATGCGTAGTCCTTTTGCAAGAGTGAGGGCTTGAGTTAAGGTAACTAGTTCGGCTTGCTGAGAGGTAGTGGAGGGAGGCAGAGCGGTAGCCTCAATGATAGATGTGGAAGATACTATAGCATAGCCTGCCTTTGCTGGTGAGTGGTGATTAGGCCTGGTGGAACTGCCATCAATAAACCAAGTGTGATCAGGGTGAGAAACAGGGAAGAAGGAAATTTGGGGAAATGTGAATGTCAGGTGGATCAGAGAGATGCAGTCATGAGGGTCAGGTGTGGTATCCGGAATAATGTGGGAGGCCGCATTTAAGTCCAGGCCAGGAACAATGGTAATTGTGGGAGACTCAACAAAGAGTGAGTATAGCAGAAGGAGCCGGGGAGCAGAAAGTATATGTGTCAGGTGTGAGGAAGAAAATAGATTTTGGAAATTATGAGAGCTGTAGAGAGTGAGTTGAGCATAGTTTGTGATTTTGAGGGCCTCTACAAGTATTAGGGCAGCAGCAGCGGCTGCACGGAGACATGATGGCCAGCCTAAAACAGTAAGGTCAAGTTGTTTGGACAAAAAGGCTACAGGATGCGATCCTGGTCCTTGTGTAAGAATTCAGACTGCACAGCCCTGCACTTCGGCTGTGTGTAATGAAAAGGGTTGGGATGAGTCAGGGAGAGCTAGAATAGGGGCAGTCTCTAAAGCTGTCTTCAAGGAATGGAAAGAGGAGTGGGGAAAGGATTTAGGATCTATGGGGTCAGCTAGGTTTCCTTTTGTGAGTTTATATAATTGTTTTGTTAGGTTGGCAAAACCAGGTATCCAAAGGTGAAAGTATCCAACCATGCCGAGGAAGGAAAGGAGTTGTTGTTTTGTAGAAGGGATTGGGGTTTGAGAGATTAGTCGGATACGATCGGCAGGGAGAGCATGTGTGTTCTTATGAAGAATTATGCCGAGGTAGGTAACGGATGGAGAAGAAATTTGAGCTTTGGAGGGGGATACCCGATATCCTTTGGAGAATAAACACTGAAGGAGCAGAAGTGTGTCTTGTTGAGAAGATTCAAAGGAGGGGCTACAAAGAAGAAGGTCATCAATATATTGAATAAGGTGAGAAGCGGAGGGGTGGAAGGAAAGTAGATCATGAGAAAGAGCTTGGCTGAAGTAATGAGGGCTGTCCCTGAAACCCTGCGGCAGCACAGCCCAGGTAAGCTGCTGGGACTGATGGGTGTCAGGGTCAGTCCAGGTGAAAGCAAAGAGAGGCTGGGACGAGGGGTGCAGGGGAATAGTGAAAAAAGCATCTTTAAGATCAAGCATGGAATAGTGAGTTGTGGAGGAAGGTATTGAGGACAAAAGAGTGTACGGGTTGGGCACCACAGGGTGGATAGGCAAAACAATTTGGTTGATAAGACGCAGATCCTGAACTAATCTGTAAGACTTATCCGGTTTTTGGACAGGTAAAATGGGGGAATTGTAAGGAGAGTTTATAGGTTTTAGAAGCCCATGCTGTAGCAGGTGAGTGATAACAGGCTTTAATCATTTTAAAGCATGCTGTGGGATGGAATATTGGTGTTGAGCAGGGTAAGGGTGATTAGGTTTTAATGGGATGGTAATGGGCATGTGATCGGTTGCCAGGGAAGGAGTAGAGATGTCCCATACTTGTGGGCTAAGGTGGGGGGATATGAGAGGAAGATGCGAAGGAGGCTTTTGGTTGGGGAGAAGGGCGGCAATGAGATGTGGCTGTAGTCCAGGAACAGTCAGGGAAGCAGATAATTTGGTTAAAATATCTTGGCCTAATAAGGGAACTGGGCAGGTGGGGATAACTAAAAAAGAGTGCATAAAAGAGTGTTGTCCAAGTTGGCACCAGAGTGGGGGAGTTTTCAGGGGTTTTGAAGCTTGGCCGTCAATACTCACAACAGTTATGGGGGCAAGGAAAACAGGCCCTTGAAAAGAAGGCAATGTGGAGTGGGTAGCCCCCGTATCGATTAAACAGGGGATGGACTTACCCTCCACTGTGAGAGTTACCCAAAGCTCGGCGTCCATGATGGTCCAGGGGGCTTCCGAGGCGATCGGGCAATGTCAATCTTCAGTTGCTAAGCCAAGCAGATCTGGGAAGGAGTCAGTCAGAGAGCCTTGGGCTAGAGCTTTAGGGGTTCTAGGAGTGGCTGCCGGGTGAGCTGGGCAGTCTGATTTGCAGTGAGTCCCTGCACAGATGGGACATGGCTTGGGAGGAATCCCGGGCTGCGGGCATTCCTTGGCCCAGTGGCCAGATTTCTGGCACTTGAAGCAAGATCCTGATGGAGGAAGTCTTGTAGGAATGCTTGACTGCTGTGGCTTAGGCATTCTGAAGTTCTCCTATGCAGGAGGTGTGGCTGGGTTTTGTCTCACAGTAGGGGCAAGTAACTGTAACTCAGAAATGCATTGCCGTCTGGCTGCTTCCTCCCTATTATTGTGCACCTTGAAGGTGAGGTTGATTAATTCCTGTTGTGGGGTTTGAGGGCCAGATTCTAATTTTTGAAGTTTTTTTGTAATGTCAGGAGCTGACTGGGTGATAAAATGCATATTGAGAATAAGGCGGCCTTCTGGCCCCTCTGGGTCTAGGGCGGTAAAGCGTCTAAGGGTTGCTGCTAAGCGGGCCACGACCTGGGCTGGGTTTTCATCTTCACCTTGGGTAGTTTCTTTAAGTTTGTCATAATTAACAGCTTTGTAAGCTGCTTTTTTAAGCCCTTCAACTAGGCAGGAAACCATGTAATCTCGCCTAGCTATACCTGGGGAATTTGCCTGATGGTTCCATTGGGGATCCTCTCGGGGAACTGCTCTAATGCCTTCCTGGAGGTCTGGCTCGTGAAGCCGGCGGTTATCAGCATGAGATTGGGCTAGAGAAGAAACTCTTTCCCATTCATCTGGGGAGAGGGTAGAAGTCAGGATGACATTTAAGTCACTCCAGGTTAAGTTGTAGGACAGAGTTAGACATTGGAATTCCTGTGTATATTTAGTGGGGTCTGATGAGAAAGAGCCTAAACATTGACTGATCTGAGAAAGGTCTGATAGAGAAAAAGGTACATGTACCCTGACTATGCCTTCAGCTCCAGCCACCTCTCTAAGAGGAAATTGTTGGGCAGGTGGGGAAGAGCTAGTCGCGGAACTAAACTGTAAGCCGGACCGGGTGTGAGGAGGGGAGGTGATAGAAGGATTATAGGGTGGAGGAGTGGAGGCTGAGGAAGAATTGGGACTTAGCTCGGCCTGGCAATGAGCAGCCTGGGGAGGAGGGGAAAGGTCAGATGGGTCTGTAGAAAAGGAAGACTGGAAAGACTCAGCGATGCTTGGGGTTGGGACTGAGGGGACAGGCGGGAGGGAAAGAAGGAGGATCTGGGAGGAATCGCATTGGGAACAGAGGCTAGGGAGGGAACGAAGTGTGAAAAATGCCTGGACGTAAGGCACCTCAGACCATTTGCCCATTTTTCGACAAAAATTATTTAGGTCTTGTAGGATGAAGAAATCGAAAGTGCCGTTTTCTGGCCATTTAGAGCCACTGTCGATTTGTATTGGGGCCAAGCAGTGTTGCAGAAGAAAATAAGGCATTTAGGTTTTAGGTCAGGTGTGAGTTGAAGAGGTTTTAAGTTCTTGAGGACACAGGCTAAAGGAGAAGGAGGAATGGAGGGTGGAAGGTTGCCCATAGTAAAGGAGGCAAACCAAGAGAAAAGAGAGCATAGAGACACGGAGGGAAGGGGTTCGGAGGTTCTTACCCTCCAGAAAAGCAGGAAGGGGGGTCAGGGCATGGAAATAAGGGATTGGGGCACAGAGATAAGAGGTTGGGCTGCAGAAATAAGGGATTGGGGCACAGATAAGAGGTTGGGGTGCAGAAATAAGGGATTGGGGCACAGAGATAAGAGATAAGAGATTGGGGCACAGAAATAAGGGATTGGGGGTTCTTGCCCCCTAGAAAAGTGGGACTTGCCGCTAAGGGTGAAGGAGAAGGGGTTGAGGGGTTCTTGCCCCTGCCCCAGAAAAGCAGAGAAGGGGTAGAGACAAGGAGAGAAGGGGTTGAGGGGTACTTGTCCCTTCCCCAGAAAAGCGGGACTTGCCGCTAAGGGTGAAGGACCAAGGCAGGTGTCCCTGTGTGGTCTGACACCCTTGAAACGTGAGTGTATAATCAGAGAGGCATCCCTGCAATGATTAAACACCAAGGGAAGGCTGCCTTCCCAGTCCGTGACCGGTGCCGGAGTTTTGGGTCCATGGATAAAACGTGTCTCCTTTGTCTCTACCAGAAAATGAAAGGAATTGAAATTAAGAGAAGGGAGAGATTGAAGTGTGGCGCCAAGATTGGAAGGAGAAAGAGGTTGAGGGATAGTGAGGGAGGTTGGAGAAGAGAGTAAAAAGAGGCCGCTTACCGGATTTGAAATTGGTGAGATGTTTCTTGGGCTGGTCGGTCTGAGGACCTGAGGTCATAGGTGAATCTTTCTCATGGAGCAAAGAACAGAGGACAGGGGATTGATCTCCCAAGGGAGGTCCCCTGATCCGAATCATGGCACCAAATTTCATGCATGTCCGTGTGAAGAGACCACCAAACAGGCTTTGTGTGAGCAATAAAGCTTTTAATCACCTGAGTGCAGGTGGGCTGATTCCGAAAAGAGAGTCAGCGAAGGGAGATAAGGGTGGGGCCATTTTATAGGATTTGGGTAGGTAAAGGAAAATTACAGTCAAAGGGGGTTTGTTCTCTGGTGGGCAGGAGTGGGGGTCGCAAGGTGCTCAGTGGGGGTGCTTTTTGAGCCAGGATGAGCCAGGAAAAGGACTTTCACAAGGTAATGTCATCAGTTAAGGCAAGGACTGGCCATTTACACTTCTGTGGTGGAATGTCATCAGTTAAGGTGGGGCAGGGCATATTCACTTCTTTTGTGATTCTTCAGTTACTTCAGACCATCTGGGCATATACGTGCAGGTCACAGGGGATGCGATGGCTTGGCTTGGGCTCAGAGGCCTGACACTAGCAACCAGGAGAAAGCAAGCAGGAGTGCTGTAGCCCCCTGCCAGAGTGTACAGAGCCACTGCTCTAAGTAGCCAAAATGATAGAACCCTATTTAACCTTTTTTGTAGCAGAGTGAAACCCTACCTTCAGCAGGCACTTGGCTTCAAGCAGCTAAACCACCTCCTGTTATGAAGATGGGAAATGTTTATTTGTCATTGAATATGAGCAATTAGCATACACACATGGCCTCGTCAATCTCCAGGTGAATTTAGGATGAACTATATATGACGTGGTGCTGGAAATTCTTCTACTTGTGGACTAATTATGGTGACCATCTTTCTATCTTTGCAGTCACTTAAGCAGATTGACTATGATGCATGTCACACTTAATTGTGTAATAAAACAGTTTTCTTTCTGTACTATTATTGTGGCATTTCTCTGGGGCTGGAGACATGTTTTCTTTATTGTTTCCAAATACTGTCTAGAATTACCAGACATGATATAAACACATAAGGTGCCAATGAGAATTTACTCTAGAGGGGACTTTTCCTCTCAGGCTTCCAGTTGACTGACACTTGTGCAGCACAGTGCACGCTGTCCCCTAAAGATGCAGGCAGAATTGTGTCTCAGCCTATTTATTAATCTATAGTCATCTACAGTCACTTCTAGAGAGGCTAGATCAGATTTCTATAAATTTCACAGGGCAGCAATCAGTTATTTTACCTCTTTGACTCTTGTATTTTCAGACCTGAAACGGATTCAGAGACCATGGGGCCCACAAACCCAATTAGAGTAACGTGTGCATTGAGTAGACATGTAGATAAGAGATTCTCCACTTTCTTCTTTCTACTCTGCTAAAATGCTCACAAATGTGCTATAAACATGCTGCCACTCCATCCATTCTTGCCCTAAATCTGCAGCTCCATATTTTGAATCCAGGTCTTGAGATTTGGGAAATAAAAAACTTTATCTGAAAAGTGCAAGTACTTTTTCTCCCTTTGAACTATGTATTCAAATGTATGTATCTGTTGAAACTGTTCACAATTGCCACAAGTAGTTATAAATTAAACTAATGCCACATTGGACACTATATCCCATACCCTAAACCATAACAATATATATCTAATCAATAATCAATGTTATTTCTGTAAACAAATATAAATTTCTGATAAACAACTTTGTGTCAGCCCACTCTGTGTTTCTCTTATTGTCTTTACAAATCTTCTTGTAACTGCTGCTAATCAAAGTGTAGATTTCAGGCAACTTGAATATTTGCTCCCAGGTTATAATCCATAAACTTGACCCAAATAAGCTGTCTACTTATATTCACGTTGTGTCAGCTTTTTGTTTTTTTCATGTAGACTTATCATTTAGAATGTGCTAGAACAGCCTCTATTAGGGGATCTCTTCACCAAAGGATGCAAAGCCAGGTGGATCCTACCTAGAATCTGTAGATAAGGTCTGTCCTCTGCCAGGAATTTACAAAAAAGGGTGGGAGTTTGGATAAAGAATGTACAGAAAACTAACAAAAGGCATTTTCTGTATTGTGAGATGTCAGCAAAGACAGCTTACAGCCCCCATTTGGGAGTGTGGCATTTTGAGATTTTCACATCTTGTTCATTGACCTGCTACAGTGATGTGAGAGGCTCCAGGAGGAACTAGCATCTGATGGCAGAATCTGTAAATGTAAATAAGCATCTTAGGAGTGAGAGATCAAGGCCACAAAATATCCAGAGCCATGACCACAACTATATTTACCTGTAAAATGTGATACTGGAGTAGAGTATTTTTGTTCTTTCTCTTATCCAAGAGCTAGCAAATCAGGACAGGAGATCCAGGTTCTGGAGCTCCACCAAGGCAGTTCCATTTTCTATTCAGAATCAGCCTCAGTTCCTCCAGCCTGGCTTATCATTGGGCCATGAGCCCAGGGTCACTGAGAATTCTGTCACAATCATCTAGATGTCTTTGAGGCATTGGAGGATGTCAGAGCAGAATTGTGTCAGGCTGACAAGAATGGTTTTTTCTTCTGTCTCAGTGTAAGAGAAACGAGTCATCCTGTGTTTGTTCCTCCTGTCATACAAGAGGTGTCTTTGGTACCCAGATGAGAGTTTCTCCAGTTTCCTGGTACTTGGATGATAAACACGGAGATCTGGAGACCCAAATAGATAAGCTAGTTGCTTCCATTTCATATGGCCATTAAAAAAAATACATGAAGCAGTCATGGTTCCAACAATCCAGAAACTTTTAGTCTAGACTAGCAACTGGATAAATAATTGAATTATGCAACATATGGTTGGTACAACAAATACACGTGTCCAAAATACTGGGCTTTATTTAGGCCACTTTCTTTATGTTGTTGTGACTTCTGATGTCTACACCCGAAGGGCTATTTATGAACAGAAGAAATATTATTATGCTTTTTTTTTTTGAGATGGTGTCTCACTGTGTCACCCAGACTGGAATTCAGTGGCATGATTTCAGCTCACTGAAACCTCTGCCACCAGGGTTCAAGCGATTCTCTTCCTTCAGCATCCTGAGTAGCTGGGATTACAGATGCCTGCCACTGCACACGTTTGAGCAGACCAATTATGAGGCAATTCTCCTAACTCTGCTTCCAGAAGAGTCTCCCTATCAATTACTGAATACCCATTGTGGTTTTTTCCCTCAATCACATGGGAGGAACGGTCTATCATCCTGTCCTGAAGGGAGTTCCTCCTAGGTCAGCTCAGACTTTTGTATGGTAATGAAGATTTAAATCCCCTGTTAGGAAACCTGCTGGACACTGGTGTGGCCTTCTTAGCCTTACTCTTTTGTCTTGGACAACTGTCCTCCAGATCTGTCACTATCTGAGGCGTCCCACGACAGGCAGTCACTAGATACTTCTCCCAGCCACTAAGTTGTGACTGGAGAACTTTGCTGTCTTCACATGCTTTTCTAATTATGCCTGAAAGCCCAAATCCTTTGTTAGGGAGAGACATCCTAGCAAAAGCAGGGGCCATTGTACACTAGAATTAGGAGAAGGAAAAAGGGTAAATATATATACAGACTCTAAGTATGCTTACTTAGTCCTCCATGCCCATGCAGCAATATAGAGAGAAGGGGAATTCCTAACTTCCAAGGGAACACCTATCAAACATCAGGAAGCCATTAGGAGAGTATTATTGGCTGTACAGAAACCTAAAGAGGTGGCAGTCTTATACTGCTGGGGTCATCAGAAAGGAAATGAAAAGGAAATAGAAGTGAACCGCCAAGCGGATACTGAAGCCAAAAGAGCTGCAAGGTGGGACCCTCTATTAGAAATGATTATAGAAAGACCCCTAGTATGGGGTAATCCCCTCCAGGAAACCAAGCCCCAGTACTCAGCAGAAGAGATAGAATGGGGAACCTCAGGAGGACATAGTTTCCTCCCCTCAGGATGGCTAGCCACCAAAGAAGGAAAAATACTTTTGCCTGCAGCTAACCAATGGAAATTACTTAAAACCCTTCACCAAACCTTTTACTTAGGCATTGATAGCACCCATCAGATAGCCAAATCATTATTTACTGGACCAAGCCTTTTCAAAACTATCAAGCAGATAGTCAGGGCCTGTAAAGTGTGCCAAAAAAATAATCCCCTGCACTGCAGGCCATACATTTCAATCCCTGTATCATTAACCTCCTTGTTAAGTTTGTCTCTTCCAGAAGCAAAGCTGTAAAACTAAAAATGTTCTTCAACTGGAGCCTCAGGTGCAGTCCATGACTAAGATCTACCATGGACCCCTGGACTGGCCTGCTAGCCCATGCTCCAATGTTGATGACATTGAAGGCACCCCTCCCCAGGAAATCTCAACTGCATGACCCCTACTACACCGCAATTCAGCAGGAAGAAGTTAAGAGCAGTCATTGGCCAACCTCCCCAACAGCATTTGGGTTTTCCTCTTGAGAGGGGGATGACTGAGAGACAGGACTAACTGGATTTCCTATGCCTGCTAAGAATTCCTAAGCCTAGCTGGGGAAGGTGACTGCACCTGCCTTTAAACATGGGACTTGTAACTCAGCTCACATCTGACAAATCAGGTAGTAAAGAGAGCTCACGAAAATACCAATTAGACTAAAAACAAGAGGTAAAGAAATAATCAAATCATGTATCACCTGAGAGCAGAGGGGGAGGGACAGTGATTGGGATATAAACCCCAGGCATTTGAGTCGGGAGTGCACAACCCCCTTTGGATCCCCTCCCATTGTATGGGAGTTCTGTTTTCACTCTATTAAATCTTGCAACTGCACACTCTTCTGGTCTGTTTGTTACGGCTCCAGCTGAGCTTTCACTTGCCGTCGACCACTGCTGTTTGCCGCCATCCCAGACCCACTGAAGACTTCCACCCCTCCCCCTCCGGATCCAGCAGGGTGTCCGCTGTGCTCCTTTGCCACTCCCGATTAGGCTAAAGGCTCGCCATTGTTCCTGCATGGCTAAGTGCTCGGGTTCATCCTAACTGCACTGAACACTAGTCGCTGGGTTCCACGGTTCTCTTCCATGACCCACGGCTTCTAATAGAATTATAAGACTCACCGCATGGCCCAAGGTTCCATTCCTTGGAATCCATGAGGCCAAGAACCCCAGGTCAGAGAACAAAGGGCTTGCAGCCATTTTGTGAGCAGCTGCCACCATCTTGGGAGTGGCCTGCCACCATCTTGGGAGCTCTAAGAACAAAGACCCACCCCTTAACTAAATTGCTGGTGTCTGTGCTAGAAAAGGGCACTTGAGGATGGGAAAGGAGAAACTTTTATTTTTATCTTCATGGAGCAGCTTATTGTTTTTGAATCTCTAATTGTTTTTGAATCTCTTCTATTTTAAAGGACATAAATGGGTGGACTTTTTCTGTCTTTGTTTTTCTGCCATTTGTTGTCATGCTAGGAGGTAGACATGTGGCACTGACACCTTTAAAGGCATATTCTCCAGATGCAGGTGTAATTTCTCCAGAGAATGTCATTTGATAAGGAATTCCAGAGAAGGAGGAGAAAGAAAAAAAAATGGCTTTTCTTCAGGTAAACATGTCTCAGATGCAGAGCTGTGTCCACTTTGCCTCCTGGACTGCCATGCATTTAGCACTCAGAAAACTTTACATCTGTACATGTGTTTATCCTCCCTAATGAGTTTGGTTGAACTACTTAAAATTCTTATGGTAGTCAAGGGTCTCTGAAAAATATTTCTTTCCTATATTCCAGAGCCTTCTCTACATTCTCCATGTCATAGCTTCTTATATGCCATGCAGAATTCTTAGCAAGAATTTATGATCCTCAATGTGGGATACAGTAAATTTGTCCTCAAAGGTTTCAGCTTGTTAACTTCCTTTAAAATTGAAGAGGGGAAATTAAGTACAATGAGTTCTGAGGTTCTCTTCAAAGAACCAAAATGTCAGTATGTTCATCTTTCCTGTTCTTTGTTCTCTATTTTAAAGTTCAACTTCCTCGATCTTAATGTCTCCTTGCTCCTAGTTTCAGTAAACAATCCCTTCTAACTCATGTATTTAGGGTCGTTAGTCATCCCTAGTCACCTGCTCTGTCCTGAGTCACTCCTACTCACCTGACTTATACCCATCCTTCCTGCTGACTATTCATCCCACCACTCTGGCTCTTACCATTGCTCTCTTTAAAATAGCCAATCAGAATTAGCTTAGACTGTGGTCCAACCCTAGCCAATAGCAGAAAGACACAGCAATAGGGACTAGTGGTGTTAGCGATAAGGCCCCCTTCCCCTCCCTTGCCCAAGTGTACTCTTGCCATTGCTCCATCTGTGAGACACACCCTTCTATAGAAGTATATTTGCCTTGCTGAGATGTTCTCTTTTTGAGTGCTCATTTTCCCTGAGACTCTGAGCAATTGTTTCCAACATGCAATCTTAAAAATGTTTCCTTTGTAGCTGTTGAACATGAAAAGATATGGATACTCAAGATTTCTACTGGGGAAAACTGTGGTCCTTAGTTAAGATGGAGAATATGTCATGTTGAGGCTCCATCTGTGTTCCATTAGCTCTATGCAGAACAGGATTAAGAAAATGCTTATTTAAATGGAATGGCATTTATTACCCAGAAAGTTCTGAAAAAAGTATTAGGAGATAGCTGCTCTCTAGGGTGCTAAATGACGCCTACTTAAAATTCCTACTAAAAATTACAGAACATAGGAGTTATCTGTACTTTGAAGTTTGTATAAAACATGTTCCTTTATGGTTAAATTCATATTTTACTTACTTTTTTTGGGAGGAATATGTTGGGGTGGCCAGACCAAACACCAGGTCGTGGGGGTGACAAAGTCTGATGGACTCAATCCTTTGAGTCCTTTGAGAAAAAGACAGTTTGAGAGAGAAAGGTGGGACACCAGGGGGCCATTGCGATCCTCGAGGCTGTGAAGGCCCAGAGCTCTGGGAGCCCACGCTGTTTATTGGTAATCCAACAGAGAAACAGGTGGTGAGAATGTGGAGGTCGAAAGGACAGGCACATGATCTACAGCTGTGAAGGTTTAGCATTTATAAGGAACCTGTTCTGCTACTTGAGATAATGGGAATAGGAGCCTAGGAGGGCTAGAAGCAAGGAACCAGCAAGTCTAGACACATTCCAGAGGACATTATGTCAGTCATGCAAGCCCTGCCTCAGCTTTCTTCCCAACCCTCAACTTTTTTCTCAACAGGAATATTTCAACAGTGATGCTGTATTCTTCTGTGCGCATTAGCACATCATAAAATTTGTCCTAGTGCACTTAATGGTGAATGATTCACTTGGTGAAATAGCTCTGTAACAGATTTCTTTCACTATAGAGTTAATTATTTTAAGTATCTTTGTGCAGCTGATATGTATAAACCAGCACATTTAATCTGGCAGCTGTCCTTTTTTCTTATTTTTTCTACATATTTTTGTTTGGAAAATGAAGGCTCTTTGTTTACAGGCCAGAAAAACTGGGAAAAACAAAGGTTCTTCCACTTGGTGGATGTTTGACAAAATATCCTTCTTGGGCCAAAAACATTGACATTATTCGTGAGCTTGTTAGAAATTCAAAAAATCAGACTTTATTTCAGATCTTCTGGAAAAAAAAAAAGAACCTGCATAACAAGGTCTTCAGCTTATTGTACATATTAAAATTTGAGAGGTGCCTTCTAAGTCACCGTGTCTTTTCTGTCTGAAAAATATTCACAACTCATTCCGTATGATCTAAATATAGCACTCAAAAATGTACATGTTCATGTTCATGCCCTTAATTTTATAATTTATTATCTAGAAAAATATCATATATGAACTGATGTTGTGGATCCTATTCTGCTCTTTTTTCTCAGGCAATATATTAGAAAATATTTTTGTGTTGGAAATTGTTTTATTGGATAATTTAGTGAGTCTTGTAAGTCAGAACCAATTCTCTTTACTCTCCAATTTCACCTTAACTCAAATTACAAACTTTGCCCATGACCACTTGGTAAAAATGTGTGTGTGTATATGTGTGTTTTTCAGGGACCATTGGAATTTAGAGATGTGGCCATAGAATTCTCTCTGGAGGAGTGGCATTGCCTGGACACTGCACAGCAGAATTTATATAGGGATGTGATGTTAGAGAACTACAGACACCTGGTCTTCCTTGGTGAGGATAAGTGGAATACATAATTCATAATATACCCTAAAGGTTGTTTTTATGTTTTTTTGTGGAATGATTTTTAGTAATGTATTGTTTGCATAAGAGAGTTTTAGATCCCCCTTTTCCTGAAAATCTTCAGAATTTCTTTTAGAAGTGAATTTCTTCAAGATGTTTCATCTTAATTTAAACTTTCCACTTTCCTGAGATGAGCTGTATTCTTCACTCTAAATTAGTGGTAATTCCAGAAATTTAGTGGCATAAAATATTGTTACCTCCACCTGAAAATCTAATTGCCACCACCAACTTTTGATTCAGTAGCACCAGGTAATAAAATTTAAAAACCTACAAATTAGGACAAGGCGCAGTGGCTCACACCTGTAATCCCAGCACTTTGGGAGGCTGAGGTGGGCAGGTCGCCTGAGGTCAGCAGTTTGAGACTAGCCTAACCAACATAAAGAAACTCTGTCTCTACTAAAAACATGAAATTAGCTTGGCATGGTGGCACATGCCTGTAATCCCAGCTACTCTGAAGGCTGAGGCAGGAGAATTTGTTGAACCTGAAAGGCAGATATTTCACTGAGCTGAGATTGCACCATTGCACACCAGCCTGGGTAACAAGAGAAACTCCGTCTGAAAAAACAAAAAACAAACAAAAAACAAAACAAAACAAAACAAAAAACCACACACACACAAAAGAAACCTATGATTTGAAAGTATTTTCTAAATCTTTTGAAATTTTTTTTATAACTCTATTTTGGAATTTACTAGACTATTTTATCACATCTTCTCTGCTGAGCACAGTACTAGCTTGTAATTGGAGAATATGAGGAAGATTCATGTTATTTATTTTTAATAAAACAGGTATTGTTGTCACTAAGCCAGACCTGATCACCTGTCTGGAGCAAGGAAAAAAACCCTTCACTGTGAAGAGACATGAGATGATTGCCAAATCCCCAGGTAGGTGCGAGTGAAAATGAATACAACAGACAACACAGATAAGAGGTCCCAAGGTCAAAGAGAAAGCCGGTCCTTAAAATGTGATTTAGGAAGCTGTGTTCCAAAGAGAATAGTTCCTGGGATTCTGTTTTTTGTTTTGTTTTTAATTTGGCTCTCACAAAGGGACATCTTCTGTCTTATGCTTTTAAATTTTCTAAGGATTCTACTTTTCTTTCGGTGAGCTTCCTTCAACTTCACAGTGAGAGCCAGAGTCCTCTTCATGGCATATAAGAGACTGCACAATCTGGCTGCTTTTACATCGTCTTGGGGACACAGAAATATCTGCATGACTTTGAGAAACTAAACTGTTTTTAGTCTTTTTGCATCAGGCCTGAAATGTGTGAGGGCAGTAGTATCAGTTTCATTTCTTTGTTCATTTTTCTGCATGGTCCATTCTGTTTTTATTACTATATAGTCTTAAAATATCATTTGAAAGTATAAGTATGATATACTTCTGCTCTGTTCTTTTTGTCAAGATTGCTTTGGCTATTCAAAGTTTATTTTAGTTTCATGTAAATTTTAGAATTGTATTTTCCATTTCTGTGAAAAAGATACCACTGCAATTTTGCTAGGAAGTTTATTGAATCTATAGATCACTTTGGATAATATGGCACTTGAATAATATTTATTCTTTCAATCTATAGACATAAAATATTTTAAAATTTATTTGGAACTTCTCTAATTTTTTCTTTTTTTTTTTTTTTTTTTTTTTGGTAAAGAGTTTTTACCTCCATGGTTAATTTTTTTTCTCAGAAATTTATTCAATGCTATAGTAAATAAGATTTTTTCTTTTTATTTTATGAGAGTTTAAGTATATAAAGCTGTACATATACTTGTATGTTAATTTTATGTTTTGCTAATTTACTGAGTATTTATTATTTGAGACAGTTTTTACTCTGTTTATGATTTTTAAAATATAAGATTGTATGATCTAGAAACAGCAACTTTTTACTTATTTTTCTTCAATTTCAATGGATTTTTTATTTATTTCACTAATTCTTCTGCCACATATTTCCAGTGCTACATTAAAATAGAAGCATTGACAATGAGCACAATATAGTTTTGCATTGCTGTCTGAATTTGATGAAGCAAATACCTCTTCAGGTTTTCTTTTTTTGAGACGGAGTCTTGCTCTGTCACCCAGGCTGGAGTGCAGTGGCGCGATTTCGCTCATTGCAAGCTCCGCCTCCCAGGTTCACGCCATTCTCCTGCCTCAGCTTCCCGAGTAGCTGGGACTACAGGCACCCGCCACCACGCCCAGCTAATTTTTTGTATTTTTAGTAGACACGGGGTTTCACCGTGTTAGCCTGGATGGTCTCGATCTTCTGACCTCGTGATCCACCCGCCTTGGCCTCCCAAAGTGCTAGGATTACAGGCGTGAGCCACTGCGCCCGGCCCAGGTTTTCATAAATTGGTTTTAGAAGGTAAAGATCTTTTGTTGGGCCCTTAGTGTGATGAGATGCCCTCTGAATTGATAGTGAAGAGGGGTTGTAGCTTGGTCACAAGGCTGCTGGGTCTGCACTAGGGTCCACCTTTAGTTGGCTTGTTACAGGGGCTTGGGTTGTTGTAATTCTCATTTTATTTTTGGACAGGCTGAATATCCTTCAGGACTTTGCTCTGTAGGGCAGACACTAGGGCATGTTTTTGCAGTCGGGTCTGCATATGGTGGGCCTTGTATCAGGATGTGGATGAGTATGGCTCTGACTGAGTACCAGACAGCATTTCCTCAGGTAACTGTGTGGGTTTCTATGTGGGCAGAATTGGCCATGATCTGTGGCTCAGGTAACTGACACTGAGTCATTGAACCGCTTCAGGGACCCCAGTAAAGGCCAATGTCTTCATGCCTGCCTGTATAGCTATAATTGGGTGCCTTTCTCCAGGTCTCTGGAGTGGCAGAACCTCAGCCAGACTGTGGCTGGGAGGAGTTTGGGATGGTTACAGAGTAAGTTCTGAATTCTCAGCGGGACCAAGTTGGGTAAATAAACCCGATCCTGGTCTGTAGCCAAGAACAGCGGCCCTTTAGTTTCCCACCTAAATGAGGGCCTGCCTTCTGACTAGAAGGCTTCTCAATCTTTAGCTTTAACAGCATTTCACAACTCCCTCCCTGGATCTCAAATCTCTCTTAGAGGCCCTTATTTTGGAATGGCATCTTGCTGCATAATGCATGCAGGTCTCAAAATCCTGGCCTGAAGCAGTTCTGTAACCTTAATGTTCCATGTAGCTGTCATTACAGGTGTGAACCATAATACCTTTTTCTCTCATAAAGGCATTTTTGTCAGGGATGGCTGACTTTTTTTTGCTGTAAGGGGATATGAAAATAGGACAATTTAACTCTTTCCTTCTTACTGATGTCACTCTCCATATACATTTTTACTTTCTATTTTCTATTTCAAATTTGTCTGCAATTTTAGTTTCAGATATTTAGGACAATATGCCAGAATTTGATGGTATACTTGAAGTGAATTACATAATTATTGGGCACCCAATATTTAACTAAATATGATAAATAACTAAAATAGTTACTTATAAATCGAAGCTTTGCTGCAGGCAAAAAGGAATTATAGGATTTTCATCTACTTTTTTCAGCCTATATCTAAATAATATAGATTATTTCCTAATATTTGTTTTACATATCAGAGGGTCTAACCCTATTCTGGAAAAAAAATATATATTTTTTCTATATTTAACAATGTAAGTCTACTCTTTTCTTCTAAAGTTGGATTACAGCAGTTGCGTTTTGTGTAAGAATACCATATATTTAAAACATTTGTTTTTTAACAAATCTAGTTTTAAATGCTAATTTATTAAAAGTTTCTCATTAGAATCTTCTATTTATAATTATGCTGCATATTCTCTGAAATTTTACTGCCACAGAGTGCATGCCAATGATTCAAAATACCTGTATATGATGAATACATAGTGATGGTTAAATATTGCAGTTACTTAGACAAATTGTTAAAAAAAATTTTTTGGAGAAGTAGTTACTCTCTCTCACCCAGGTTGGAGTGCAGTGGTGCAATCCTGGCTCACTGCAACCTTCACCTCCTGGGTTCAAGCAATTCTTGTGCCTCAGCCTCCCAAATAGCTGTTATTACAGGCACTTGCCACCACTCCCGGCTAATTTTTGTATTTTTAGTAGAGATGAGGATGGGGTTTCACCACGTTGGCCAGGCTGGTCTTAAAACTCCTTACCTCATGTGATCCACTGGCCTTGGCCTCCCAAAGTTGCTGAGATTACAGGCATGAGCCACCGTGCCTGGCCTGACTACTTTTTTTAAATGATACATTAATGTAGCATACCAGATTTTATGAGTAAACATTCTTTTATTATTGTTTGTAGTTCTATATTAGTGTGTTTCTTCAGTGTAGGTTTCTCTTTTTTTTTTTTTTTTTTGAGATGGAGTCTCATTCTGTCATCCAGGTTAAAGTGCAGTGGCACAATCTCAGCACAATCTCTGCCTTCTGAGTTCATGCCATTCTTCTGCATCAGCTTCCCGAGTAGCTGGGACTACAGGCGTGCCACCACAACTGGCTAATTTTTGTATTGTTATTAGCAACGGTGTTTCACCATATTGGCCAGGCTGGTCTCGAGCTCCTGACCTCGTGATCTGCCCACCTCAGCCTCCCAAAGTGCTGGGATTACAGTCTTGAGCCACCGTGCCCGGCTTCAGTGTAGGTTTCTTAACATCAGTTTATTGTGTCTATTGGTTTTACTTATGTAGTAAGTAGAGAATTTGCAATTCTTTTTGTATGCTTTAAGTCAATTTGAGGTTTAGCTAAGAGATAAATTATGCATCTCTATCACAGTCAGATTACATATGTATGTGTGTTTATCTATAAATATTTAGACAATTTGCAATTCTGTTTGTACACTTTAAGTCCATTTGAGGTTTAAGAGATAAATTGTGCATGTCTATCACAATCAGATTACATAAGTATGTGTGTTTGTCTGTAAATATGACCCCAATTTTAGATATTTTTTCTTAGCTGAATTTCAATGGGAGTTTTATCTTGTCTAAGTGAGTAGTCATGGAGATAGTCTTACTTTCACCATGTGTTTAATAATTAATATATATTTTTCCTTTTGTGAGAGAAACACTTTTGTGATCTGAAGGTAATTTTCAGAAAGATGTATAATTCTGGATTTTTTTTCAATTTTTCTTTAAAAGCATTGTTTTAAAAACACATAACATAAAATTTACCATCTTAAATTTATTAAAGTGTACATCACAGGGTCAGGCATGGTTGTGGCTCTCGTCTGTAATCCCAGGACTTCGGGAGGCCAAGACAGGAGGATTCCTGTAGCCCAAAGGTTTGAGACCAGCCTGGGCAACATATGGAGACCCATTTCTGTAAAAAAAAAAAAATTAATAATAGCCAGGCATGGTGGTGTGCAGCTGTGGTCCCAGCTACATGGGAGATTGAAGGGGAGTCAAAATTGTGCCTCTACACTCCAGCTTGGGTGACAGAGTGAGACTCTGTCTCCAAAAAAAAAAGCTGTTTATTTCAGGCATGTTGTTATGCAAAAGACTTCTAGAAACTTTACATCTTGCAAAACTAAAACTTAGTACCCATTAAGAAACAACTGCTCATTTTACCCTCTCTCCAGCCCTTGACAGACAAACCTTCCACTTTCTGATTTTATGATTTTGACTACTTATTTCATATAAGTGAAATCATACAGTATCCATAATTTTGTTACTGTATTAATTCAAGTGACACAATATTCTCAATGTTCATCTTAAAATGTGACAAGATTGTTCTTTTTAAGGTGGAATAATATTCCATTGTATGTATATGTTACTTTTTTTGATGTTTATAAATCGGGAGACATCTGGATTGCTTTGGGCTTTTGGCTTTTGTGAATACATATACAATAAACATGGATTTTCAAATATGTTTTCCAGGTCCTGTGTTGTTTTGCTTTGTTTTATTTTTTTTGAGATGGAGTCTTGCTCTGTTGCCCAGGCTGGAGTGCAGTGGTGTGATCTTGGCTCACTGCAACCCCTGCCTCCTGGGTTCAAGCAATTCTCCTGCTTCAGCCTCCCTAGTAACTGGGATTACAGGCACCCACTACCATGCCTAGCTGATTTTTTGTATTTTTGGTAGAGACGGGGCCAGGCTGGTCTCAGACTCCTGACGTCAGGTGATCTGCCCCCTCAGCCTCCCAAGTTGCTAGATTTACAGGCTTGAACCACTGCACCTGGACTTTGTTACATATTTTGGATATAGATTTCTAAATGAGGAACATTTATAACTTTTTAAAATAATGGCTGTATCTTTGTTTTCCACCAACGTTTAACATGGGTTTCATTTTTATTGCATCATCAAGAGATTCGATGTTTTCTAAAAAATTTATAGTGGCCATTCTAATGGGTGTGAGGTGATTTTGTTTGTCATTGTGGGTTTTTCTTTTTCAGTTCTCTATAAATAGTTTTTTGTGCCCTTTCAAATGCTTTTTCTCATTTGTGTACTTTTCTAATGAAAACTTGTTTATCTATTTCTAAATTAAGTTATTCACCTTTATTGTTTAGTTTTAAGGGTTGTTTATATATTTTGAATATTAACTTCTTTCACATGTAATTTGCAAATGTTTTCACCCATTTTCTAAAGGACGTTGTTACTCTTGAATTGTTTTTTAATATGCAGAAATTTTGATGTCTAGTGTAGTTAAACTTTTCTGTTATTTCATTTATTGCTCATGCATTTAATTTCTTATCTAAGAAAATGGTGCCATGACCAATGTGATGTCTTTTTCCTATATTTTTTTGAAAGGATTTGTTAGTTATTTTATTTCTCAGTATTTTATTTAAATACTGAGATCTCTGTGCCTCAGCCTCCCAAAGTGCTGGGATTACAGGCATGAGCCACTGTGCCTGGCCTCCTTTATTTTTGAGATAGGGTCTCACTCTGTCAACCAGGCTAACTTGCAAGGCTCAGTGCTACCCAAACCTCCCAAATTCAGGTGATGATCTCATTTCAGCCTTTCAAGTAGCTGGGTTACAAGTAGGTGCCATCAAACCCTGCTAGCTTTTCTGTATTTTTTGTAGAGACAGAGTTTTGCCATGTTGCCCAGGCTGGCCTTGAACTCCTGGGATCAAGTGATCAGCCTATCTTAGCCTTCCACAGTACTAAGATTACATTTTATTTTATTAAGTAGTTTAATTAATTCATACTTAAAATGATTGCTTAAAGAAAAATTACCAGTTATATAATTATTGTGTTATGTGTTTCTAATAGTTATGTTCTCATTTCCTATTTTATTTTCTTAATTTTCATTTAATTTTGTACTGGTATGCTTTATTTTTTATTTGCTTTTGTATACTTTCTATAAATTTTATCTTTGTAATCATCTTGAAATGTGGAGATTACATACATCTTAAAGTTAAAACTATATTTTAATCTTATAAGAACTTCAATTGAATACAAAAACTATGCCTCTATATTTTCAGCTTATAATTGATATTAAAATTATTTTATATGCTGTATTTATTAACAGATTTATGCAGATTTTTTTTTTTGGGATGGAGTCTCACTCTATTGCCCAGGCTGGAGTACAGTGGCATGATCTCAGCTCACTGCAACATCTGCCTCCCAGGTTCAAGTGATTCTCCTTCCTCAGCCTCCTGTGTAGCTGGGATTACAGGCATGCACCACCATGCCCGCCTAATTTTTGTATTTTTAGTAGAGAGAGCGTTTCACAATGTTGGCCAGGCTGGTCGCAAGCTTCTGACCTTGTGATTCACCCGCCTCATCCTCCCAAAGTGCTGGGATTACAGGCATGAGCCGATGTGCCCAGTCGATTTATTCAGATTCACATATTGTTTTTTATATTCTATAAAAAAGAACTTTAAAGGTTTCATGTATAATAATTTTGATTTTTTTTTTTTTTTTGAGACTGAGTCTTACTCTTGCCCAGGATGAAGAGCAGTGAAGGGCAGTGGGCACTATTGCACCTGGCCTTTTTATTATTATTATTTTTTTGAGATGGAGTCTTTCTCTGGCACCCAGGCTGGAGTGGCATGGCATGATTTTGGCAAACTGCAGCCTCTGCCTCCTGGGTTCAAGCAATTCTCTTGCCTCAGCGTCCTGACTAGCTGGGACTACAGGTGTGTGCCACCACACCTGGGTAATTTTTGCATTTTTAGTAGAGACGGGGTTTCACCATGTTGTTTAGGCTGGTCTCAGACTCTTGATCTCAGGCAATCCACCCACCTCGGCCTCCCAAAGTGTTGGGATTACAGGCATGAGCCAGCATGCACAACCTCTTGTAGTACATCTTGTAGGACTGCGCAAATGCTGATGAACCCTCTTAACTTTTATTTTGGAAAGTCTTTATCTTCTTTTTGAAGTAAAATAATTTAAAATCGAGTATTGCTGGTTAGAAATGTTTTTTTGTTACATCAAAATTTGGGAAGTTCTCAACTTTTTTGTTTTTTTTAATCTTCAAGTACTTCTGTATTTCTTTTTCCCTATATTCTAAGATTTCTTTTATGAATACATTGATCTACTTGACGGTATCCAATAAGTTTTGTGTTCCATGTTTTACTGCTTTTTTTGCAATTTAATATTTTTGTGTTATATATTTTTGGGTATGTCACATCACAGCAATTAATTGTGGTTTGATTTTTTTGTTTATAATTGTATATGACAATATTTAACTCTGTACCACTTAAGACAGTGTGGAGCAAAATTAAATATGAATAAGCCATATGTCTATTACCAATATAATTATTTCTGTTTCTTTTCCTGTATAAATATTATCCCTGTAGTTTTGTGTCACTTGTGTGTTTGTTGTGTAGGTTTGTTGTAACGGTTTTTTATTTTTTTTTCTTTTTTTTTTCTCCTTTGAGAGGGAGTTTCACTCATGTTACCCAGGCTGGAGTACAATGGCAGGATCTCAGCTCACTATACAACCTCTGCCTCCTGGGTTCAAGCCCTTCTCCTGCCTCAGCCTTCCAAGTAGCTGGGATTACATTCGTGCACTACAACGCCCGCCTAATTTCATTCATACTTTAGTAGAGACAGGGTTTCACTATGTTGGTCAGGCTGGTCTTGAACTCCTGACCTCAGGTGATCTGCCCACCTTGGCCTCCCAAAGTGCTGGGATACAGGCGTAAGCCACCGCACGCAGCTTGTAACAGTGTTTTTAATCCTGTCTAGGTGAGTAGTCATAAAAACTCTCCTAATCTTGCCGTGTGCGGTGGCTCACGATTGTAATCCCAGCACTTTGGGAGGCCAAGACGGGCGGATCATGAGGTCAGGAAATTGAGACCATCCTGGCTAACACGGTGAAACCCGTCTGTACTAAAAATACAAAAAATTCGCCGGGCGTGTTGGCGGGCGCTTATAGTCCCAGCTACTAGGGAGGCTGAGGCAGGAGAATGGAGTGAACCCGGGAGGCAGAGCTTGCAGTGAGCGGAGATCGCGCCACTGCACTCCAGCCTGAGGGACAGAGTGAGACCTGGTCTCAAAAACACTCCTAATTTCAACATCAATTTCCTTGTGAATCTATCTTATTTTTGTGTGTCAGAAACACTTTTGGATTTGAAGATAATTTCAAAACAATACTAACTCTGTATTTTTTTAAGGTATTATTGTTTACTTATGTGTTATGTGTCAAAAAATAATAAAATTTATAATAAAATATTTCTAGGCCGGGCGGGGTGGCTTACGCCTGTAATCGCATCACTTTCAGAGGCTGAGGCGGGCAGATCACAAGGTCAGAAGATCGTGACCATCCTGGCCACCATGGGGAAACATGGTCTCTACTATAATACAAAAAATTAGCCAAGTGTGTTGGCATGCACCTGTAATGCCAGCTACTGAGGAGGCTGAGACAGGGGAATTGGTTAAACCCGGGAAGTGGAGGTTGCAGTGAACCGATATTGTGCCACTGCAGTTTAGCCTGGGAGACAGAATGAGAAGTATATATTTCTAAATATTCAGTTTGTTCATATTAATTATATTGACATTGTTATGCAACATATCACTAGAATGTTTTTATCTTGCAAAGCTAAATCTCTATACACATTAAACAACTACCAATTCTTCCCATTTCGTGGCACTCTTCAAACACCACATTGTTTTCTGTTTCAAAGAGCATAACTGATTTATATATCTTATACAATATCTGTCTGTTTGTGGCTGGCTCATTTTGCATAATGTCATCAATATTTATCTTAATAATTGTTAGAATATGTGTTGTATCATTTCTATATATTTGTACATTTATTAATTATTTGTATTATTATTTTATACTCTAATTCCGTTTTTGTCATAGAAAGTAATCTATTTTCAGCTTTAAAAAATGTGTTATGACTTTGTTTTTGGCCTAACAGGTGGTCCATAAAGAAGAAAGTTGTATGAGCTATTGAGAAGGCTGTGTATCCTGATGTTGTTGAGGAGTGTTCTCTATACCTTCATTAGAAATAATTGTTTTTTACTGCCTTCTAGTCCCCTGTTCCCTTACTAATATTCTGTCTTGTTTTATTATTATAACAGAAAATGCATTACTGAAATAGCCTATTATAATTATATTTCTCTCTATGTGTTTATTCCGTTTTCTTACTATTTGCTTTATATATTTGAAACCCTAATTTGAGACACACACGCACACAAATACACACATGGATAAACAAATTTGTCATAGGTCCCCAGCGAATGAATCTACATATTGTTTAACATCTTTTTGAAGTTTTGACTTAAATTACATTTTATAAAATATGACAGTTTTTGACTTAAGATGTAGCTTGTGTAATACTATTGTGACCTCTTCTGCTCTCATTTGGTTAATATTTACATGACATTTCTACTTCCATCTTGCCACTTTCAGTCTTTTTTTGTTATTAGATCTCAACTGACTCTTGTAGAAAGGCAAGTTAAATCTTGATTTCACAAAATTTTTAATAAACTTTTTTATTGAAAGAATGTCTCTTGATTGGAAAGATAATTATACATATAAAATTTTAAATAGTTTTCTGAAAGAGAAAAGCTTACTAATGTTATTTTATTTTTTGTTTTATTTGATTCTTGTATCTTTGTCTCTCATTTTCCTTTCTGTTTTTTTTTTTTGTATTAATATGCTTTCAGGTTTTTAAAAATTTTCTTTTGTGTATCTTTACAGATATTTTCTTAGTGGTACCATGGGGGATTCTATAAAAACTCTAAAAGATCCAACAATATATTTGAATGTGGTAAAAAAATAACTTAAGTTATATGCAAAAATTCTTCATCATTACATCTGCTGCTCCGAAAATGCTCTTATATGTGAATTTTGAAATTTTACTTATATATGTGTTTGTTATAAGTATCTTTATGTGTATCCTAGTTTGTTTGTTCAGCTTTTTTATGTTTACATCATTTTTCTTTTGATAAATTTTTCAGTTACTTTTTGTAATTTTTATATCCAAAATTTTTATTTTTTGCTATTTTAATATTTCTTGTTATCCTCATTTTCCTGATCTTCAGTAGTTGTCTGTGTTTCCATTTCACTTACTGTATATTATTATGTTTTATTTATTTCTGTATTTATTTTATCTGAGATGGAGTCATTTTCTGTCAAGCTGGAAGCAGTGGTGCAATCTCGGCTGACTGCAACCTCTGCCTCCTAGGTTCAAGCGATTCTCCTGCTTCAGTCTCCTGAGTAGCTGGGTACAGGTGCTTTCCACTATGACTGGCTAAGTTTTTGTATTTTTAGTACAGACAGGGTTTCACCATGTTGGCTATGCTGACCTTGAACTCCTGACCTCAAATGATTCACACACCTCAGGCTCCTAAATTGCTGGTATTACAGGCGTGAACCACTGTGCCCAGCATATTTTATTTTATTTTTGAGACAGTCTTGCTCTGTTGCCCAGGCTGCAGTGCAGTGGTACAATCTCCACTCACTGCAACCATCCCCTCCCAGGTTCAAGCAATTCTTGTGTGTCAGCCTCCCAAGCAGCTTGGATTACAGGCTTATGCCACCATGCCCAGTTAATTTTTGAGTTTTTAGTAGATACAGGGTTTCACCATGTTCTCTAGGCTGGTCTCATACTCCTGACCTCATGTGATTTTCCCACCTTAACCTCTCTGTGTTGAAATTACAGGAATGACCACCAACCCTGGCCTGTTCAATTTATTTGGAATTTTAAAAATTACTTTATATGCTTTTTATAGTTGCTTTTGAAATGTTTTTCATTGGGCCATGTTTCTCTAATATTTTGTGTACATTGCAATCTTTGATTGAGATTTGGACATTGACAAAAAGCTACCTGTTACAATCTTTTTATAATATAGCTTTGTCCTGGCATAGTCTGAAATCAATAGTCTTGGCTAGAGATTCTGGGAATTTCTCAAACATGTTCTTAGGATGTGTCTTGTCTAAATTTTGTGTTTATTGTTTAGTTAAATGGCTTATTTTTTTTAATAATCAGTAATCACTTGCTGCAGCCATTCCCTGTTTGGGGTACTGCAGTTTCTCTGCTTCTCTAACATTTATCTTTAGACTCAGTAGACTCAAACTGTCATTCCAATGTATATCACCACTTCTTTAAGCGTTTTATGTCATGGGAGACATTAACCAGTGTCTAAGAAGCACATAGAAGCCAGAAATAAAGATGTATGTGCCAATGTTTTTCTTTAAAAAAAAAAAAAAAAGAATTGGCAACTTACATTTGTGTGTGTGTGTGTGTGTGTGTGTGTGTGTGTGAGAGAGAGAGAGAGAGACAGAATGTCATTCTGTTCCCTATGCTGAAGTGCACTGGCATGATCTTGGCCCACCACATTCTCTACCTCCACAGTTCAAGCAATTCTCCTGCCTAAGCCTCCCAAGTAGCTAGGATTACAGGTACCTGTTACCATGCCTGGCTAATATTTTGTATTTTTAGTACAGATGGGGTTTCATGATGTTGGTCAGGCTGGTCTCAACCTCCTGACTTCAGGTGATCCACCTGCCTTGGTCTCCCAAAGTGCTGGGATTAAAGGCATGAGCCTGGGTGGAAATTTCTTTTTCTTTGTTTCGTTTCTTTTCTTTTTTTTCCTTTCTTTTCTTTTCTTTTCTCCTTCCTTCCTTCCTTCCTTCCTTTCTTCCTTCCCTCCTTCCCTCCCTCCCTCCCTCCTTCCTTCTTCTGGCTCTGCTGCCCAGGGTGGAGTGCAGTGGTGTGATCTTGGGTCACCGCAATCTCCGCCTCCCAGGCTCAAGCAATTCTCTGCCTCAGCTTCCCAAGTAGCTGGGATTTGCCCACCACCATGCCTGGTTAATTTTGTTTGTAAATGTAACCTGTATTTATCAGAATCTAGCAATTGAAGTAATGTGTTCTTATTGTTTCTTTCAGTTATGTGTTTTCATTTTGCCCAAGATGAGGTTAATTTTGTTTGTAAATGTAACCTGTATTTATCAGAATCTAGCAATTGAAGTAATGTGTTCTTATTGTTTCTTTCAGTTATGTGTTTTCATTTTGCCCAAGACCTTTGTCCAGAGCAGAGCCTAAAAGATTCCTTCCAAAAAGTGATAGTGACAAGATATGAAAAACGTGAATATGGCAATTTAGAGTTAAAAAAAGGTTGTGAAAGTGTGGATGAGGGTAAAGTACACAAAAGAGGTTATAATGGACTTAACCAATGTTTGACAGCTACCCAGAGCAAAGTATTTCAATGTGATACATATGTGAAAGTCTCTCATATATTTTCAAATTCAAACAGACATAAGATAAGAGATACTGGAAAAAAACCTTTCAAATGTATAGAATGTGGCAAAGCTTTCAACCAGTCCTCAACCCTTGCTACACATAAGAAAATTCATACTGGAGAGATAACCTGCAAATGTGAAGAATGTGGCAAAGCCTTCAACAGGTCCTCACACCTTACTTCACATAAGAGAATTCATACTGGAGAGAAACGGTACAAATGTGAAGATTGTGGCAAAGAATTAAAGTATTCCTCTACCCTTACTGCACATAAGAGAATTCATACTGGAGAGAAACGGTACAAATGTGAAGATTGTGGCAAAGAATTAAAGTATTCCTCTACCCTTACTGCACATAAGAGAATTCATACTGGAGAGAAACCCTACAAGTGTGATAAATGTGGCAGAGCATTTATTTCATCCTCGATCCTTTATGTACATAAGATAAGTCATACTGAAGAGAAACCCTACAAATGTGAAGAATGTGGCAAAGCCTTCAAGCTCTCCTCAATCCTTAGTACACATAAGAGAATCCATACTGGAGAGAAACCCTACAAATGTGAAGAATGTGGCAAAGCCTTCAGGCGCTCCTTAGTCCTTCGTACACATAAGAGAATTCATACTGGAGAGAAACCCTACAAGTGTGATAAATGTGGCAAAGCATTTATTTCATCCTCACTCCTTTATAAACATAAGATAAGTCATAGTGAAAAGAAACCCTACAAATGTGAAGAATGTGGCAAAGCCTTCAAGCGCTCCTCAACACTTACTATACATAAGATAAGTCATACTGAAGAGAAACCCTACAAATGTCAAGAATGTGACAAAGTCTTCAAACGCTCCTCAGCCCTTAGCACACATAAGATAATTCATAGTGGAGAGAAACCCTACAAATGTGAAGAATGTGGCAAAGCCTTCAAGCGCTCCTCAAACCTTACTACACATAAGATAAGTCATACTGAAGAGAAACTCTACAAATGTCAAGAATGTGACAAAGCCTTCAAGTACTCCTCAGCCCTTAGCACACATAAGATAATTCACAGTGGAGAGAATCCCTACAAATGTGAAGAATGTGGCAAAGCCTTCAAGCGCTCCTCAGTCCTTAGTAAACATAAGATAATTCATACTGGAGCGAAACCCTACAAATGTGAAGAATGTGGCAAAGCCTTTAAGCGCTCCTCACAGCTTACTAGTCATAAGATAAGTCATACTGGAGAGAAACCCTACAAATGTGAAGAATGTGGCAAAGCTTTTAACTTGTCCTCAGACCTTAATACACATAAGAGGATTCATATTGGACAGAAAGCCTACATAGTGAAGAACATGGCAAATCTTTGAAATATTCCTCAACCCTTAATAAACATAAGATAATTCATACTGGAGAGAAACCGTATAAATGTGATGACTGTTGGAAAGCCTTTGACCACCCCTCTACTCTTACTAAATATGAGAATTTATATGAAACATAACTCCTACAAAAATAAAGAATGTGACAAATCATTTTAAGGAAGTTCTCAACCCTTACTACACATAATTCATACTGGACGGAAACTCTACAGGTGTGAAAAATGCAGCAAAGCCTATAACAAGTTCTCAATTCTTTTTTTTTTTTTTTAAGAAGGAGTTTCATGCTTCTCACCCAGCCTGGAGTGCAATGGCACGATCTCTGCTCACTGCAACCTCTTCCTCCTGGTTCAAGCCATTAACCTGCTTCAGCCTCCACCACCATGCCCAACTAATTTTTGTATTTTTGGTAGAGACAGGGTTTTGCCATATTTAACAGGCTGGTCTCCAACTGTGATTCACACACCTTGGCCTCCTAAAATGCTGGGATTACAGTCATGAGCATCCATGCCCAGCCACAAGTTCTCAGTTCTTAAGAGACATGGTGATAATTCATGCTGAAGAGGAACTTTACAAACTTGAAAGATGTGACAGTGCTTTTACCACCACCTCCAACTTTTCTGTACATAAAGATGATTATACTAGTGTGAAACCCTAGAAATAATAGAAAATTTGACAAATCCTTTATATGGTTGCAAGACTTGATTGTAGGTAAGATAATTCATACTGGCAAAACTCCTACAAGTGTGAAGAATGTGGGAAAACTTTTTAATCAGTGCATACACCTTATTTCACAGGAAAGCTAGTATCCTTGAGAAAAATTGCACAATTATAAAAAATATGGAAAACCCATTAATGCCTACTCACATCTTACCCAACAGAAGGTGGTTCACAGTTAATGAAAGCATTTAAAGTGCAATTATGCTCAAGAAATCTTTCAGAAAATAGAAGCCTTTAAAGTGAAGAAGAGTATTCTGAAGACAACCATTACACATATAAAGGGGGTTGTATTACCTTTACTTGCATCACAGATTTCATTGCACACATTTTGTACTAGAGGAAAACCCTGAAGCAGTTGCTCCAGCTTTGTTCAACAACAGGGAATTTATGTTAGAGAAGAATCCTGCAAATGTAGTGAATTTGGAAACAAATTTTTTTTCAAAAACTACAGCTTAGAAAACACCAGAGAGTTGATACTAAAATATATGTTTGCAGAAACAGTAAATATAAAAAATATTTAATTCAAAATGAATTCCATGTAAATATCAGAGAATTTACAGTAGAATAAGGCACTGATACTTCAGACATTACACTAAAACAGTGTTGAGTATAAAAAAGAATCCACAACAAAAATTGTTAGATAAATTATATATAGCTTTAAAAGGTTTTTTGAAGCATTGTAATTACATTGAAAGTATACTTGCTTTCTTGAGAAAAAATTTTTGAAAAGTGAATAAGGTAATAGAGCTTTCAAATTTATGCTGTTACTTTATTTCTATTCACATGTGAAAGCATGTGATCAATTGATGCTGCATCAGAGATATTACAGATTCTTTATTGGGCATTCCTTATAACCTTTTCTATTAAAGAGAAAGGATATTAAAATGTAAGATGCATGATGAAAATATAAGTGGACAGGCTGTTCGTATTTGACCTATATTAAGTAATGTATAAGGTAGTGTTCAGAGTAATACTTTTCTACATTATAGTGAGAGAAATTATGAATTACAGTTAAAGGTATATTAAATTACTGTATTATTTTACTAATTTTATGTAATAAAATACACTACATTAAAAAATTGTTAGATTGTGTGTGAAGTTAATTTTGTTGTATCCATTTATTTTTTTTTTTGAGATGGAGTCCACTTTCTCATCCAGGCTGGAGTGCAGCAGCGCAATCTCTGTGTGATCATTGCAACCTTCACCTCCCAAGTTCAAGCGATTCTCCTGCCTCAGTCTCCCAAGTAGCAAGGACTACAGGTGTGTGCCACCATGCCCGGCTAATTGTTTCACCATATCAGTCGGGCTAGTTTCGACCTCTTGAGCTCAAGTGATCCACCTGCCCCGGCTTCCCAAAGTGCTGAGATTGGCCTAGTTTTATTTTATTTTTTACCATATTAAGACTATTTTGCATTTAATGAAGCCATATTATGCCACTAACTTTAACCTATCCCACCTTACTCAAGGGTATAGTTACAAGATGGTAGCAGTATACTATTTGGTATATAGTAGAATAACATCATTAGTAATCACTTTGCCAGTGGCTTTAAATTAATTGAGTTGAAGAATATTTTTCCCATAGGTTAAATTTTTATTCTTACAGAAATTTATTCTTAGTATTTGTGGGTATATAGTATGTGTTTACGTTTATGCTTTATATGGCATACTGTGATTCAGGACTACAATATGTAGTAATTACATTAGGGTAAATAAGGTATCCATCACGTCTAGCATTTATCCTTTGTATTACAGTGTAATTATACACTTTTAGTTATTTGAAAATGTACAATTAAATTTTAATTGACTACAGGGTTATTTTTATGGTCGTAATAAAAATTATACAGAAATATAAAAAGAATATGGCCAGATGAAGTGGCTCATGCCTGTAATCCCAACCATTTGGGAGGCTGAGGCAGCTGGATTGCCTGACGTCAAGATTTCAAGACCAGCCTGGCCAACATGGGGAACCCCTGTCTCTAAAAATATAAAAATTAGCCAGGCATAGGAGCACCTGCGTGGAGGCTGAAGCAGGAGAATAGCTTGAACAAGGGAGGTGGAGTTTACAGTGATCCGAGATTGCACCACTGCATTCCAGCCTAGGCAACATTTCTGAGTCCTGAAAAATTATTAATAAATATTTGTTACATAGTTTTCTATAAACTTGTGGTTTCTCTGCCTGCAAACACAAGAGTTTTAGTTTTAATTTTCATAGAGTGAAATATCCACATATTACTCTGAAGGTAAACCTTAGGTGTAAGAAAAATATAAAGTGAGTAAGTGTATTTGTGAGTTTGCTTTGGTACATATTTTCAGAAGAAAAGCACAATTATTGAAACAAAACAACTTATTTTAATTTGGTGAATAACAGAAAACACCTTCAAAATGTTGAAAGCAAATCTACACTTTCTGCTTTGTATTGAATTTATTAATGTAAAATTTTATAGCTTATGTTTCAAATTCTTTCCAGAATCTGCCTATTGAAGCACAGGCAATTTTGTCTCCATAAATAACACTCTTGAGTACAACAATAAAAGCCCTCTTCAAACAAACAAATTATTTATAACACTTATTTTAATGAAAATGTAACCAAAAGTATATAATTGGGTATATTTTTGTTGTTCTATGTGTGTGCGAATGTATAAATTGGTACATAAGGACAAAATAATTTAAGCCAGAAAAAAAGATGTTAGCTAATATTTGTAATGAATAAAACTGGAAAGTAGTTAATTATTATTTGCACATAATGTCTTTGTTTACGTAGATAACAAAACAGCAGAAAGACTATTTTAAAATTTTATTCAAGTGGGTAGGTAACATTCTAAGATAATACGCTGGATTCCCAGTCTGTTGCACACCTGCTGTGTAATACTTTTTCCTTGAGTGTAAAAAAATGTGCAACTGGTGGGAAAATCACTCAAGAAATTAGGTTACTCATGTGTTGACTTTGTGTTTATCAAAATGGAGATTGTCCTGACTGTGCTAAACTTAATCAGAGGTGCTTTTAAGAGAAAGACACATCATAGAAAAACACCCCTGCTTGCCTGAAAGTAAGTGACTTCTAGGTGGGCCATGTTGCAAGCTGCTTATGGTGACCACATGGCAGAAAACATATTTGTACATTGTTATCATTCCTGCCCTTCTGCATGTTGCTTCCAGTAGGGAGAATCTAAGGATCCTATGACAGGGAAAAAAAGGAAATCTCATTCATGCAAGAAATAATCACCTCTCACCTGGGATAGCTTAAGAGAAGCAGGAGACCACAACAGAACCACATAAATGGGAGGAAAATGGTAACCTGGGTAAAAGTGCTCTCTGGCATTATGGAACAACATTTAGTAAGCTGTAGTGAATGGTCAGCCTCTGGGATACCAATAGTTTACCAACAAGGCTGAACTCATTCTAATTCAATCAGCATGTCTGCATTTACACTATCCATTACAGAAATACCATGAAGACCAGTGGGTAATGTCCTAGAATTGAACTTATTTCAAATCATACCTAATTGTTTTTCACATTTGAAAAACCTTAAAAACAATGAATTCATAAATAATTAACTTCTAATTATAGAGGATTCTACTATACTGTAATACAAGATTAAAGTGTAAACACCTTAAGATTTCTTGAATGCATGATTGGTTATGTAGTTTATTTTAAATAATTAACGTGATAAAAGTAACAAATAGATAAAACATTGGAAACGGACAAAATTAATAAAAACCACATCTTTTCAATGGCTTGGCGTAATTGCTATGCTTTTGGAAATGGCCAGATTACTAACAAGAAACAAAAACAAGATTTTGGCTTTGCTCAGTCATTGTTTTTGACCTTCTGAAATCTAAAATCCAGGCCAAAGTGTTGAATGGGAGTATTTTATAGGTGGCTTCCTTGGGTTTCCAATGCAATGAAGGGAAAACTTTGATAGGCAGGAAAATGCACACTATATACACACATTGCTCTTCTCTGATTTGCTTTAACATTGAAAAATTGAAGATTGTAAATGTAGTCTCAATTAGAGTAAATTAACAAAAGATTTGTTTTTCAAAAAGCAAATGTATAAAATTAATGGGTAACAGATGCCATTAGCTGCTAAAAAATAGTATGACTAAATTCAGTAAGTATCTAGCCATGCAAATAACAGCCCAATTAAATGAAGACCCTCATAGGTGCATGTGGAAAGCATTGCTGTGCAGTGTGGTGCCTCCACTCAGCATTTTCTTCTACCTCTTCACAGAGAAACCAGTTTCCCCTGAGTGACTAAGGATGCATACTGGGAGCTGAGAATGCTGTGTTCAGAGTGATTACTGAAAACATGGTTAACACACTTCTTCCATATGATAATAAAATGATATAAATCTTTCTCTGCCTCGGAAAAGCTTTTAGTAAAAGATTATTCAATTTAGGTTCATGAAAAATGTTAAATTCCAGATAATTTAGACACTTAAATGTCAATGAAATCCCATAAAACATATTTGAACAGTGTTTGACACGAGTCGCACCGAAACAAATGCTCTTCACGATCATTGTTAAAGTAGCAATAGCGCCACGTGCTTTCCTGGGAACTGCTGGCCTGTTTTCCACTCATACAAAGTGGAGAAGGCTTTGAAATAGCAAAGGAGGGTGACATAAATTGAATACTTATATGAAATTTTTAATTAAAAATAGCATTTGATGTTATACAACTATAAGTGAGACTATTAGTGTGATGTCATATTCTTAATTATATTGACAAAATAACCATTCACAGTATTCCTATTTAAAATAACATGTTTTGTCGGCTGTATATTTGCTAGCTTTTGGTTAAATAGTACCAGAGCTCAATAGCAATCAACAAAATGAATCTTTATTTTACCGCAAGCATTAGTGATGCATATGCCTGTTTTTCTTAAAGTTCATTAGCTTTTTGCCTTTTCCGGTTGCAGCGCCGCGCGGTGAGGTTCTCTAGTCCACGCTCGCAGCCATGCCGTCCAAGGGCCCGCTGCAATCGGTGCAAGTCTTCGGACGCAAGAAGACAGCCACAGCTGTGGCGCACTGCAGACGCGGCAATGGTCTCATCAAGGTGAACGGGCAGCCCCTGGAGATGACTGAGCCGCGCATGCTACAATACGAGCTGCTGGAGCCAGTTCTGCTTCTTGGCAAGGAGCGATTTGCTGGTGTGGACATCCGTGTCCGTGTGAAGGGTGGTGCTCATGTGGCCCAGATTTATGCTATCCGTCAGTCCACCTCCAAAGCCCTGGTGGCCTATTACCAGAAATATGTGGATGAGGCTTCCAAGAAGGAGATCAAAGACATCCTCATCCAGTATGACCGGACCCTGCTGGTAGCTGATCCCCGTCGCTGCAAGTCCAAAAAGTTTGGAGGTCCTGGTGCCCGTGCTTGCTACCAGAAATCCTACCGATAAGCCCATCATGACTATCAAAATTCACCTGTATAATAAACAGTTTTTGAGGGATTTTAAAGTTTCCAGGAAAAAAAAAGTTCATTAGCTTTTTATGAAGGATTTATCCTTTTTTTTCAGTGTGCTGTTTATTGCTGAGAAGTGGCTGCCCTGCCAGAAAACTGCTATTCTCAGCTGTAACCACATTGACTAATAGTGAGTGGAAGTGCAGTGGATAAAAAGCAAATGTGTCTTCTCTGTATCTTTTTTCATTTATTGGCTGAAGAACAGGAGGATGCGGAAGATGGAAGAAAATATAATCTCTGAAAGATAATGAAGAAGCTCTCCTAAATAGAAGAAAACCTCATAGGGGATTTTTTTTTCATCATTTTACTCTCTGCTTCTATGCGTTTAAATTTTTTTTTTTTTTTTTTGAGACAGTCTCGCTCTGTTGACCAGGCCAGAGTGCAGCGGCATGATCCCGACTAACTGCTCCCTCCACCTCCTGGGTTCAAGCGATTCTGCCTCAGCCTTCTGAGTAGCTGGGATTACAGGTGTGTGCCACCACGCCTGACTAATTTTTGCATTTTTAGTTGTGGTGCGGTTTCCTCATGTTGGTGAGGCTGGTCTCGAGCTCCTGGCCTCGTGATTTGTTCACCTTGGCCTTCCAAAGTGCTGGGATTACGTGCATGAGCCCCTGCACCTGGTGAGTTTAATTTTTTTTTTTTTACACTTTACATAGAAATAGGATTATGTGGACTGGGCACGGTGGTCTATAATCAGCACTTTCAGAGGCTGAGGTGGGTGGACCACTTGAGGTTAGGAGTTTGAGGCCAGCCTGGCCAACACGGCAAAACACTGTCTCTACTAAAAATATAAAAATTAGCCAGGAGTGGTGGTGTGCGCCTGTAATCCCAGGTATGGGGGAGGCTGAGGCAGGAAAATCGCTTGAAACCAGGAGGCAGATGTTGCAGTGAGCCGAGATGGTACCACTGAACCATCGCGTGCCTAGGCAAAACTCCATTTCAAAAACAAAACAAAAAAATTTTGTGTGTGTGTTTTCCTGTGCTGGCTTATTTTACTTAGCATAATATCGTTCAGGTTCATGAATGTTGTTGCAAATAACAAGACTCTTATTTTTAAGGACTGAATAGCATTGCATTGTGTACATACACCACATTTTCTTTTTCCATTTACCTATTGATGGACATCTAGGTTGATTCCATACCTTAGGTATTGTGAGTAATCTGCTTCTTTCCTTCTCTTTTGTTTTGTTTTTGTTTTGTTTCAGATGGAGTCTCATTCTGTCGCTCAAGCTGAAGGGCAGTGCCGTGATCTTGACCCACTGCAACCTCCGCCTCCAAGGTTCAAGCAATTCTAGTGCCTCAGCATTCCAAGTAGCTGAGATTACAGGTGTGCACCACCAAACCCGGCTAATTTTTGTATTTTTAGTAGAGGCAGGCTTTCACCATGTTGACCAGGCTGATTAGTTTGTATATTTCTTTCTTCCTTTCCTTTTTTATTTCTAGAAGCATGTTAATTTTAAAATATAAATTATGACATGTAAAAGCCTTCATTTCTCTGTCTTTGATTACTATTATGGCTGATGAAAAAATAAGCTTTTTTGAAATTTCCTGGATAAAAGTTATTACTTTATATTAACATAACTTGAGACAATGTAGAAATGAAAATGAACATTTGATAGTAAAACAGCAATTATCTAGCTCCTGGTAGTCATTTAGTCTCTCACCCGCTCTTTAGAACTTCCACCAAGACAAGAACTCTATTTTTTTTCCAAGAATGTGTGATGTAAAATCACACTCTTATCTTTTTGTTTTTGTGGCAGAAGTTGGGTATTTAAGGTTATGAAAAAAAAGTATAGGTCTCCTTTTAGTAGACAGGTGATGATGGAAGCAAATATAATAGTACATGGTATTTGGCCACATTTCAAATGGGTGATAGTGAACATTCACTGAAGTGTCATAGATGGCTCTTATTTGCCAGGTCAAATCTTCTTTGCGAGAAAGTCTCAGCCAACTGTTGTCAAGCATTTCTGGTGGTTCCTAGATACATGAACAAAACCTCACTAGACTGGTTTACTGAGAGCAGAATTAAAAACACCCGGGTGCCAGGTTATTAAAAACATTTTTACATTTTTACATTTATGGAAAAAAAAATGTGATGTGGTGTGTGGCTTGGTTTGAATACATCTTCACTGAGCTAAGTAGCTGATTGAATTTACCTAACCTGAAGGAAAAAAAAAGAAAAAAGAAAAAACCTACACTGAAAAAACACACATGGAACTGCAAGACAGTGATTAAGAAAAATGTTTACTCATAAACTCTGGTACGCAACATCGATGTATCATTAAAAAAGTTTGTCAGTTTGGGCATGGTGTCTCACGTCTGCTATCTCATCACTTTGGGAGGCCAATGCAGGTGTATCACCTCAGGTCATGAGTTCAAGACCAGCCTGGCCAATGTGGTGAAACCCCTTCTCTAGTAAAAATACAAAAATTAGCTGGGCATGGTGGCACATGACTGTAATCCTAGCTACTTGGCAGGCTGAGGCATGAGAATTGCTTGAACCTGGGAAATGGAGGCAGCAATAAGCCAAGATCACACCACTGCACTCCAGCCTGGGTGACAGATCATGTCTCTGTCAAAAAAAAAAAAAAAAAAAAAAAAATATATATATATATATATATATATATATAGTCTAGGTAACTGTAATATGTAACTGTTACGGTGTACTCACCAACTGCAGATCTTTTGAATCATTGGCATGCACTGTGTGGCAGTAAAATTTCAGAGAATATGCAGTATATTTATACATAGAAGATTCTAATAAGAAACTTTCCATAAGGAAGCCTTTAAAAGAAACTTGAGTTACTTTTTATGTTTTAAATGTATGCTATTCTTACACAAAATGAAACTGCTGCAATCCAACTTTAGAAGCAAAGAATAGTCTTACATTGTTAAATATAGAAAATATATAACTATTTTAAGAATAGTGTTAGAACCTCTGATATGTAAAACAAATATTAGGAAAAAACTATGGTATTATTTGATATAGGCTGAAGTAAGTAGATGAAAATTCTATAATTCCTTTTTGCCTGCAGCAAATTTAAATTTATAAGTAATTATTTTAGTAAATATGGAGTGCCTACTAATTATCTAATTTATTTCAGGCATACCATGCAAATTCTAGCATATTGTCCTAACTGTATAAATCTAAAATTATAGACAAATTTGATATAGAAAATAGAAAGTAAAAATGTATAGGGAGAGTGACATCAGTAAGATGAAAAGACTAAAAGTGCTCATTTTCATCTCCCCTTACAGCAAAACAATGTCAGCCTTCCCTGGCATGCCTTTATTAGAGAACGAGACATTATGGCTCACACCTGTAATGACAGCTACATGGTACATTAAGGTTATGGAACTGCTTCAGGCCAGGATATGGAGACCAGCCTGGGTTATGTAGCAAGACGCCATCTCCAAAATAATGTCTCTAAGAGTTATTTGAGATCCAGGGTTGCAGTTGTGAAACACTGTTAAAGCTTAAGATTGAGAAGTGTTCTATTCAGAAGGCAGGTCCTCATTCATGTGGGAAACTACAGGACCGCTCTTCCTGGCTACAGACCAGGATCGGGTTCACCCAACTTGGTCCCAGTAAGAATTCAGAACTTACTCTGTAACCATCCCAAATTCCTCCCAGGTACAGTCTGGCAGAGGTCTTGCCATTCCAGACACTTGGGAGGAAGGTACTCGTTTACAGCCATGTAGACAGGCCTGCAGAACTTGGCCTTTACTGTGGTCCTTGAAGCAGTTTAATGACTCAGTTTCACTTACCTGAGCCACAGTTCATGGCCAGTTCTGCCTACATAGAAACCTACCCAATTACCTCAGGAAATGCTCTCTCATATACAGTGAAAGCCACACTCATCCACATCCTGATACAAGGCCCACCATATGCAGAGCTGACTGAAAAAACATGCCCTAGTGTCTGCCCTATGGAGCAAAGTCCTGAAGGATATGCAGTGTGCTCAAAAATAAACTGGGAATTACAACTACCCAAGCCCCTGTAACAAGCCAACTGAAGGTGGACCCTAGTGCAGACCCAGCAGCCTTGTGATAAAGCTGCAACCCCTCTTCACTACAAATTCAGAGGGCATCTCATCACTCTAAGGGCCCAACAAAAGAAGATCTTTACCTTATAAAATCAGTATATGAAACCCTGAAGAGGTGTTTGCTCCATCAAATTCAGACACCAATACAAAGCTATATTGTGCCTATTGCCAATGCTTCTATTTTAATGTAGCACTGGAAGTATGTGGCCGAAGAACTAGTCAAAGAAATAAAAAAATCCATTGAAATTGAAGAAAAATAATTAAGGTGCTGCTGTTTGTAGATCATACAATCTTATATTTAAAAAAAACCATAAACAGTACATTAAAACCTGTCTAAACTAATAAATACACTCAGTAAGTTAGCAAAATATAAAATTAACATACAAGTATATGTATGGTTTCACACACTTAAACTATCTAATAAAATAGAGGAAGAAAATAATCTTATTTATTTATTTATTTTGAGACAGTCTCAGTCTCTCTCCAGGCTGGAGTGCAATGGTGCGATCTCGGCTCACTGCCCCAATGTCAGTGAAATAAATGGTTAATTGGGAATAGAGGGGCTTGGGGAAAGCAATACTGGGAAGATATCTCAATCCTGGCACACACTACCATTATTACTGTTTTCCTTTTTTTTTTTTTGACACGGAGTCTAGCTCTGCCACCAGACTGGAGTGCAGTGGTGCAATCTAGGCTCACTGTAACCTCTGCCTCCCAGGTTCAAGTGATTCCCCTGCCTCATCCTCCCAAGTAGTTGAGACTACAGGCACATGCCACCATGCCCAGCTAATTTTTTGTATTTTTAGTAGAGACGGGATTTCACTGTGTTAGCCAGGATGGTCTCGATCTCCAGACCTCATGATTTGCCTGCCTCAGCCTCCCAAAGTGTTAGGATTACAGGCATGAGCCACTGCAAAAATTTTATTTTCTAAAGCATTAAATCATAAATTTCTGAGGAAAAAATTAACCAAGGAGGGAAAAAATCTTTACAATAAAGAAAAAATAAAAAAATTAGAGAAGATACAAATAAATTTTAAAATACTTTGTCTATGGATTGACATAATATTATTAAAGTACCACATTATCCAAAGTAATCTATAGATTCAATAAACTTCCTATCAAAATTGCAGTGATTTTTTTTCACAGTAATGGAAAATACAATTCTAAAATTTACATGAAACTAAAATAAACTTTGAATTGCCAAAGCAATCATGAAGAAAAAGAACAGAGCAGGAGGATATCATACTTAAAATTTCAAACTATATTTCAAGACTATATAGTAATAAAAACAGAATGTACTGTGCAGAGAAATGAATTAAAAAAATGCAACAGAAACTACTACTCTCACACATTTCAGACTTGATGCAAAAAGTGATCTAATGCATAATTTTCTTTTTTTTTTTTTTTTTTTTTTTTGAGACGGAGTCTCACTCTGTCACCCAGGCTGGAGTGCAGTGGCATAATCTCTGCTCACTGCAACATCTGCCTCCAGGGTTCAAGTGATTCTCATGCCTCAGCCTGCCTAGTAGCTGGGATTACAGGCACCCACCACCATGCCTGGCTGATTTTTGTATTTTTAGTAGAAACAAGGTTTCACCATATTGGCCAGGCTAGTCTCAAACTCCTGACCTCAGGTGATCCACCTGCCTCGGCCTCCCAAAAGTGCTGGGATTACAGGCGTGAGCCACCACGCCCAGTCTATGCAGTCTGTTATATGTCATGAAGATGAATTTGGCTCTCCCTGTGAAGCTGAAAGAAGCTCAGCGAAAGAAAAGTAGAATCCTTATTTAAAAGCATCAGACAGAAGATGCCCCTTTGTGAGAGCCAATTAAAAACAAAAAAATAAACAAACAAACAAAAGCAGCTTTCCACGAATGATTTCCTTTGGAACACAGCTTCCCAAATCACATTTAAGGACTGACTTTCTCTTTGACCTTGGGACCTCTTATCTGTGTTGTCTGTTGTATTCATTTTCTTCTTTTTTTTTTTTGTTTTTTTTGAGATGACTCTGTCACCCAAAATGGAGTGCAGTGGCATAATCTTGGCTCACTGCAACCTCTACCTTCTGGGTTCAAAGCGATTCTCCTGCATCAGCCTCCTGTGTAGCTGAGGTTACAGGCGCATGACACTATGCTTGGCTAATTATTGTATTTTTAGTAGAGACGTGGTTTCACTGTGTTGGTTAGGCTGGTTTCAAACTATTGACCTTGTAATTCACCTGCCTAGGCCTCCCAAATTGCTGGGATTACAAGTGTGAGCCACTGAACCCAGCCTGTTGTATTCATTTTCACTCTACCTATCTGGGGGTTTGGCAATCATCTCATGTCTCTTCATAGTCAAAGGTTTTTTTTCCTTGACAACAATACCTGTTTATTAAAAATAAATACCATGAATCTTGCTCATATTCTTCAATTAGAAGCTAGTAATGTGCTAAGCAGAGAGGATGTAATAAAATAGTCTAGTAAATTAATACCAAAATACTAATTCATAATAGAAATTTCTAAATATTTAGAAAATACTTTCACTTTTTAGGTTTCTTAATTTTACTACCTGGTACTACTGAATCAAAAATTGGTGGTGGCAATTAGATTTTCAGGTGGGGGCAACAATATTTCATGCCAGTAAATTTTGGAATTGCCACTAATTTAGAGTGAAGAATACACTCAACTGAGGAATGTGGAAAGTTTGGATTAAGATGAAACATCTTGAAGAAATTATCTTCTAAATGAAAGAATCCTGAAGATTTTCTGGAAAAGGGGCATCTGAAACACTTTTATGCAAAGAATAAAGTACCCAGAAACATTCCACAAAAAAGGGAAATAAAACTTTTAGGGTATATTATGAATTATGTATTAAAGTTATACTCACAAAGGAAGACCAAGTTTCTGTAGTTCTGAAACTTCACATCCCTATATAAATTCCGCTGTGCAGTGTCCAGGCAATGCCACTCCTCCAGAGAGAATTCTATGGCCACGTCTCTAAACTGCAATGGTCCCTGGAAAACACACACACACACATTTTTACCAAGTGGCCATAGGTGGAATTTTTAATTTGACTTAAGGTGAAATGAAAGATAAAAGACAAATGGTTCTGACTTATAAGACTCACTAAAATTATCCAATAAAATAATTTTCATCACAGAAATATTATTTAATGTATTCTCTAACTCTGAGAAAAAACAGCAGCATAAGATACACAACATCAGTTCATATGTGATATTTTTCTAGATAATAAAGTATAAAATTAAAGGCATAAACGTACATTTTTGAGTGCTATTTCATCATATGAAATGAGTTGTGAATATTTTTCAAAAGGAAAAGATGAGTTAGAAGGCACCTCAAATTTTAATATATACAATAAGCTGAAGACCTTCTCATGCAGGTTTTTTTAATATTTTTCCGCAGAAGAGCTGGAATAAAGTCTGATTTATTTATTTATTTTTAGTTTTTTGGAGATGGAGTTTCATGCTTGTTGCCCAGGCTGGAGTGCAATGGTGCAATCTTGGTTAACTGCAACCTCCACCTCCCAGATTCAAGCAATTGTCTTGCATCAACCTCCTGAGTAGCTGGGATTGCAGGAATGTGCCACCATGCCTGGCTAATTTTTTTTTTTTTTTTTTGTATTTTTAGTAGAGATGGGGTTTTTCCATGTTTGTCAGGCTGGTCTCAAACTCCTGACCTCAGGTGATCTGCCCACCTCGGCCTCCCAAAGTGCTGGGAATATAGGCATGGGCCACCACACCTGGCCAATTTTTTGAATTTCTAACAGGCTCATCAGTAATGCCAATGTTTTTGGCTCAAGAAGGATATGTTGTCAAACATCCAGGAAGTGGAAGTGTCGGTGTTTTTCCCACTTTTTCTAGCCTGTAAACAAAGATAAGAGTCTTCATTTTCCAAAGAAAAATATGTAGAAAAAAATAAGAAAAAAGGGCAGCTGCCAGATTGAATGTGATGGTTTATGCACGCCAGCGGCATAAACATACCTAATAATACAGCGAAAAATAATTATAGTGAAAAATCAGAAAGCTATTTCACCAATCGAATCATTAACTATTAACTGCACTAGGACAAATTTTTATTGTGTGCTAATGCACCCAGAAGAACACAGCATCACTCTTGAAATATTCCTCCCCAAAAAAGTAAATTATAGTCTGAATTTATGCAAACTTCAAAACACAGATAATGCCTATGTTCTGTAATTTTTAGTAGTAATTTTAAGTAGGCTTCATTTAACACCCTAGAGAGCAGGTATCTCCTAATAATTTTTTTCAGAACTTTCTGGGTAATAAATGCCATCCCATTTAAATAAGCATTTTTTTTTTTTTTTTGAGACAGAGTTTCGCTCTTGTCACCCAGGCTGGAGTGCAATGATGCAATCTCAGCTCACTGCAACCTCCACCTCCTGGGTTCAAGCGATTCTCCTGCCTCAGCCTCTCAAGTAGCTGGGATTACAGGCATGCGCCACAATGACCGGCTATGTTTTTGTTTTGTTTTGTTTTTTTGTATTTTTAGTAGAGATGGGGTTTCACCATGTTGGTCCGGCTGGTCTCGAACTCCTGACCTCAGGTGACCCACCTGCCTCAGCCTCCCAAAGTGCTAGGACTACAGGTGTGAGCCACTGCATCCAGCCTAAATAAGCATTTTCTTAATCCTGTTCTGCATAGAGCTAATTTAACACAGAGATGGACCCTAAACATTACATGTCCACCATCTTTACTAAGGACCACAGTTTTCCCCAATAGAAATCTTGAGTATCCACAAAGGGAACATTTTTAATGTTATGGGTCATAAATTCTTGCTGAGAATTTTGCATGGCATATAAGAAGCTATCACGTTGAGAATGTAGAGAAGGCTCTGGGATATAGGAAAGAAACATTTTTCAGAGACCCTTGACTATCATAATTTTAACAAGTAGTTAAACCAAACTCATTAGGGAGCAAAAACACAAGCAGAGAAGGAAAGGTTTGTGAGTAGTAAATTCATGGCAGTCCAGGAGGCAGAGTGGACACAGTTCTTCATCTGACACCTGTTTACTTAAAGAAAAGCCATTTTTTTTTCTTTCTCATTTTTCTCTGGAATTTTTTCTGAGATGAGATTCTCTGAACAAATTACACCCCCAGCTTGAGAATATGCCTTTAAAAGTGTCAGTGCCACATGTTTACCTGCTAGCATGACATCAACTGGCAGAAAAACAAAGACAGAAAAAGTCCACCCATTTCTGTCCTTTAAAACAATGAGACTCAGAAACAATGAGCTGCTCCATGAAAATAAAAATGTATCTCTTTTGCTGTCCTCAGGTGCCCTCCCCTGCCACAGACACCAGTAATTTCTGCTACAGTAATGGAAATATGCACCACACTGACCTGTCCCTACCAAATTCAAACAGAACAGGCCCTGTGACCACCCTTTAGTGCAAAGGTGGAACTTAACTCTCATGAATGTGTTTTGAAGCAATCATACTTGATTCTGGTCTCACCTTAGAGCCATATGAGGCCCTTCGTTAAAACAACATGGATGCTTCCACCCAGAACAATAAACAAGCTGTGGAGAGGGCATAAGAGATTTCTGCAAATTAGCCATGTGATCCTAATGAGAAGCCTGGGCTGATAATCACTAAGTTAATCATTGCCTCTCAAGCTTTAACGAGCTTCTAAATCACTTGGTAATTTTGGCCCCACTTTATGTAAAGTGATTCTGGAAGCTTGAAAAGGGTCCAGGAATGGTTGTTTTATACAAGTCCCCTGTGAATGCTGATGTTGCTCCCCCGGGCTCATTATTAGCATTAGTCAGAGAAGCAGGCACAGCTCAGGGTCCCTTACCCTTAGCACTTTTGTCACAACCAAATGCTTCTGGCACAAATAAGGACAACCCATCTCCATCCTAAAGTTTTATATTATTTGCTGGCTCTTTAAAGTTTACAGATGAAACAGAGACCTGGAATCTACACTTCAATTAGCAGCAATTACAAAAGGATTTGTAAAGACAACAAGAGAGGGACAGAGAGTGGGCTGATACAAAGTTGTCTGTTAGAAATTTTTATTTATTTAAACAAATAACTTTGATTATTGATTAGATATATATCATTATGGTTTAGGGTATGAAATATAATGTCCAATATGGCATTATTATTTTAATTTATAACTACTTGTGGCAATAGCAAACATTTTCAAGAAATGAATAAATAGTTCAAAGTGGGAGAAAGACATAACTGCACTTTCACTTTAATGTCTCTCTGAGTTTGATAACCAGAAAGACTTGCATTTTTCAGATAAAAGTTTTTTATTTCCCAAATCTCAAGACCTGGATTCAAAATTTGGAGCTACAGATTTAGGGCCTGAATGGCTGGAGTTGCAGCAGGTGTTAACTGCACATTTGTGGGCATTTTGGCAAGAGGAGGAATGGGAAAGTGGAGATTCTCATGTCTATATGTCTAATCAATGCACAGATGCTACTGTGATTGGGTTTCTGGGCTCCATAGTCACTGAATTGCTTTCAGGTTTGAAGATAAAAGAGTCATTGAAAAAGGTGAAATGACTGATTGCTGCCCGTGAAGTTTGTAGAAATTTGGTCTAGCTTCTCTAGAAATGACTGTAGAGGACTACAGATAACAAATAGGCTGAGACACAATTCTGCCTGCATATTTAAGGGACAGCATGCACTGTGCTGTGCACGTGTCTGTTAACTGGAAGCCTGAGAGAAAAAGTCCCCTCTAGAGTAAATTCTGGTTGGCACCTTATGTGTTTATATCATGTCTGGTAATTCTAGACAGTGTTTGGAAACAATAATTAAAAGAAAATTTTTCTCCAGTCCCAGAGAAACTCCACAATAATAGAACAGAAAGAAAATGCTTTTATTACACAATTAAACTTGAATGTGATGTCCATATACTCAATCTGCTTAAGAGACTGCAAAGACAGAAAGATGGTCACCATAATTAGTTCACAAGTAGAAGAATTTGCAGCACCATGTCATACATCGTTCATCCTAAATTCACCTGGAGATTGAAGAGGCCATCTGTGTATACTAATTGCTTATATTCAATGATGATAAACTTTTCACATCCTCATAACAGGAGGTAGTTTAGTAGCTTGAAGCCAGGTGTCTGCTGAAGCTAGGCTTTCACTCTGCTACAAAAATGGTTGAATAGTGTTCTATCTTTTTGGCTATTTACATTTTAGAGCTGTGGCTCTGTACTCCCTGGCACTGGGCTACAGCACTCCTGCTCACTTTCTCCTGGTTGCTACTGTCTTCTCTTGACTTCTACCATCTGCCACTGAGGCACAGCCCAGAGCACAGCTCACATTTTATGTGAATCCCATTTGCCACAGCAGCACTATAGTGTCACATCAGAGAGGGAAGCCTGAGCTGCAGGAGGAGAGCCTGCAGGCCTCCTGGGTAGAATTACACCTTCACAATAATCAAAATAAGACCAGTGTTTCAGTCTCAGGTTCTACTTATAATGGTGACAAGGAAATAATGCTGCTAAATTTCCAGCATGAGTCCAAATAGAGATAGCTCCAAAAGTTCTTTCTGTGACAGCCCACCTCATTGAGACACCATGGAATACTAATAGGGCTTCTGAAACAGACAAAGCATTGGAGAGAAAAACAGATCTCCATCTGGGCAAGATGATTTTGACAGAAGTTAAAACGATCTTAAGAAAAAGCTCAGGCTGTCTCTGTCTCTCCCTCTCCCTCTCCCTCTCCCTCCTTTCCACGGTCTCCCTCTGATGCCGAGCCGAAGCTGGACTGTACTGCTGCCATATCTGCTCACTGCAACCTCCCTGCCTGATTCTCCTGCCTCAGCCTGCCGAGTGCCTGCGATTGCAGGTGCGCACCGCCACGCCTGACTGGTTTTCGTACTTTTTTGGTGGAGACGGGGTTTCACTGTGTTGGCCGGGCTGGTCTCCAGCTCCTAACCGCGAGTGATCCGCCAGCCTGGGCCTCCCAAGGTGCCGGGATTGCAGACGGAGTCTGGTTCACTCAGTGCTCAATGGTGCCTAGACTAGAGTGCAGTGGTGTGATCTCGGCTCGCTACAACCTCCACCTCCCAGCCGCCTGCCTTGGCCTCCCAAAGTGCCGAGATTGCAGCCTCTGCCCGGCCGCCACCCCATCTGGGAAGTGAGGAGCGTCTCTGCCTGGCCGCCCATCGTCTGGGATGTGAGGAGCCCCTCTGCCTGGCTGCCCAGTCTGGAAAGTGAGGAGGTCTCTTCCCGGCCGCCATCCCATCTAGGAAGTGAGGAGCGTCTCTGCCCGGCCGCCCATCATCTGAGATGTGCGAGCGCCTCTGCCCCGCCGCCCCGTCTGAGAAGTGAGGAGCCCCTCCGCCCGGCAGCCGCCCCGTCTGGGAAGTGAGGAGCGTCTCCGCCCAGCAGCCACCCCATCCAGGAGGGAGGTGGGGGTCAGCCCCCGCCCGGCCAGCCGCCCCGTCCGGGAGGTGAGGGGCGCCTCTGCCCGGCCGCCCCTACTGGGAAGTGAGGAGCCCCTCTGCCCGGCCACCACCCCGTCTGGGAGGTGTACCCAACAGCTCATTGAGAACGGGCCAGGATGACAATGGCGGTTTTGTGGAATAGAAAGGGGGGAAAGGTGGGGAAAAGATTGAGAAATCGGATGGTTGCCGTGTCTGTGTAGAAAGAAGTAGACATGGGAGACTTTTCATTTTGTTCTGTACTAAGAAAAATTCTTCTGCCTTGGGATTCTGTTGATCTGTGACCTTACCCCCAACCCTGTGCTCTCTGAAACATGTGCTGTGTCCACTCAGGGTTAAATGGATTAAGGGCGGTGCAAGATGTGCTTTGTTAAACAGATGCTTGAAGGCAGCATGCTCGTTAAGAGTCATCACCACTCCCTAATCTCAAGTACCCAGGGACACAAACACTGCGGAAGGCCGCAGGGTCCTCTGCCTAGGAAAACCAGAGACCTTTGTTCACTTGTTTATCTGCTGACCTTCCCTCCACTGTTGTCCTATGACCCTGCCAAATCCCCCTCTGCGAGAAACACCCAAGAATGATCAATTAAAAAAAAAAAAGAAAAAAGAAAAAAGAAAAAATACACCCTGGCAGAAAACTTCTCGAATGTAAGTAAAGTGGGAGTTTTCAACTTGCCCACCTCCTTACAAAAACATGCAATAAGAATGTGCTAGATATAAAGCTTACAAATGTGAGAAATACGGGAAGTTTTTCAATTTTAACAAATACTTTCAAAGTCATGTGAAAATTCTCACTAGAAAGAAATCCAATAAAGGCAAGTTGAGGCATTAAAAAAAAAAAAAGAAAAAGCTCAGAATACATATAAGATTGACTAAGTCAGCCAGAAAATAATCCCCTAAAAGAAATTTCTCTCTAAACACCCAATGTGCACAGCTACTCTCAGCATGAGAAACATGAGCTTTATGAAGAAAGGTGGCAGATTTTCAGAAGAATTTTATAAAAGTTTCTTTTCCATCTCTGCTGCTGTCTCATCTCCTAGCCATTGAATGGGGGTTCTATATTGAAATACATCTGACAACTTCCAACAACACTTTTTGATCAAGAAATAGAATTTGACTATGTTCGTATAGTGGAATATATTAGAACTTGTAACATAGCTAACTGAATAGCTATTATGGTGTTTGGGTGGCCACATCACCTGTCTTTATTTGTCCGGTAATAGCAGCATTCCAATTTAAAGAAATAAAAGATACCAAAATTGTGTTTACTTTTAATTATTCCTATTGAATAAAGTAATAAGCATGTCAGACTGATATCTATCATAACAATAAATTTTGTTTGGATATTATATTAGATATAAATATTTAAGTATGAATACTTTTAATGAACTAGTCATAATGTATGTAGCATTTTTAAAAATTGTAACTATACTTCAGTTAAAACACTTTATATTTCAAAAGCATAAATAACAATATTAAAATAACAATTTAGGTGATTCATTCAAAGTAAGTATTGGGGCTTTATGTTCATACTATTGTAGAAAATACTGCTTATGGCTGATGCCTGTAATCCCAGCACATTGGGAGGCTGAGGTGGGTAGATCACCTGAGGTCAGGAGTTCCTGATCCCATCTTTACTAAAAATACAAAACTTACCCAGGGTGGTTGTGCACACTTGTAATCCCAGCTACTTGGGAGGCTGAGGCAGGAGAATTGCTTGAACAAGGGAGGAAATGGTTGCAGTGAGCCGTGATCATGCCACTGAACCCCAGCCTGGGCAAGAGAGTGAGACTGTCTCAAAAAAAAAAAAACTGTTTAATTTTTATGAATGCAGGTTTTCTGCAAACACTACACATAACTATGCTAATTGTTCTGAAGTAATAAATAGAAAGCAAGGCACAACTACAGACTCCACTGTTCAGTTTATGCACTGAACTGTTCTTGCTTTTGCAGTGTAAGTATTTCTGCCTGCAAATACTGGATAATTACCTTGGATCATCAGATTTCTATCAAAGGAATTTAGTATCTTTTAGTCTTTATCATTTTGTATTGCTAAATTTATCTGTGTGTTAAGCTTCTATGTGCTCTTAAAATGAGGTTTTATCTAAACAAACCTGTGTCTACTTTAAAAGACTAAACATGAAAAAACTAAACTTTTCAGAACCAAAAACAAAGCAATAAATCTGAAGTACTAGATAGTCTGGAGTGAGATTTATTTAGCTTTTTTTTTTTTTTGAGATGGAGTCTCGCTCTGTCACCGAGGCTGGAGTGCAGTGGCACGAACTCGGCTCACTGCAAAAGCTCTGCCTCCCAGCTTCATGCCATTCTCCTACCTCAGCCTCCCAAGTAGCTGGGATTACAGGCAACTGCCACCACGCCCAGCTAATTTTTTTGTATTTTTAGTAGAGACGGGGTTTCACCGTGTTAGCCAGGATGGTCTTGATCTCCTGACCTCGTGATCTGCCTGCCTCGGCCTCCCAAAGTGCTGGGATTACAGGCATGCAAAACCGCGCCCTGCCCTTATTTAGCTCTTAATATGATTTACATATATTTCAAAAAAGCAGAGAAAAATATCTACATATAATCTAAATCCCTTAAGAAAAGAGAGAATAGCAAAAAAATTTTTGGAACTTTTTAAAGAGTTTTGAACTCTTGGACATCTGAATTTTGCACACTATATGCACTTGAAAGAATGTTAATGGGGAAAAAGCAGAAGAGAAAAAGACGTTATAAAAAAATCCATGAGTGCACAACACCTATGAAACAGAATAGAGAGCCCAGAAATAATGCCTTTCACCTGCAACCATCAGATTTCTGACAAAGCTGACAAGAGGAATGTGGGAAGAATTCTCTCTTTCATAAATGGTGCTGGAATAACTATCTACCACTATGTAGAAGACTGAAGTGGACCCCTTCATTACACCATATAAAAAAATCAACTGAAGATAAATTAAGGACTTAAATGTAAAACTTAAAATTATAAGAAACCCTGCAAGATAACCTAGGAAATAGCATTCTAGACACAGAAACAGGTAAAGACTTCATGATGAAGCTACCAAAAGCAACTGCAACAGAAGCAAATTGACAAATGGGATGTATTTAAACTTAAGAGCTTCTTCACAGCAAAGGAAACTATCAACAGAGTAAACAGACAAACTAGAGAATAAAAGAATATATTTGTAAATTTTGCCTCTGAAAAAGGTCTAATATACAGAATTTATTAGGAACTTAAACAAGTTTACAAGAAAAAAACACACTCATTAAAAAGTATGCAAAAAACATGAACAGATGCCTTTCAATAGAAGATACACATAGGGCTAACAAGCATATGAAAAAAAAATGCTCATTGCTAATCATTAGAGAAATTAGAAGAGAAACCACAGGCTGGGTGCGGTGGCTCACGCCTGTAATCCCAGCACTTTGGGAGGCCAAGGCAGGCAGATTACAAGGTCAGGAGATCAAGATCATCCTGGCTAACATGGTGAAACCCTGTCTCTACTAAAAATACAAAAATCAGCCAGGTGTGGCAGTGTGCACCTGTAGTCCCAGCTACTCAGGAGGCTGAGGCAGGAGAATTGCTTGAATCTGGTAGGCAGAGGTTGCAGTGAGCTGAGATCACACCACTGCACTCCTGCCTGGGCAACAGAGCAAGACTCCGTCTCAAACACACACACACAGACACACACACACACACACACACACACACACACACGCAGAGAAACCACAATGAGATACCACCTCATACCAGTCAGAATGGCTATTTTTAAAAAGTCAAAAGATAACAGATGCTGACAAAGTTGCAGAGAAAAGGGAATGCTTATACTCCTCTGGTGGGAGTGTAAATTATTTCAACAACTGTAAAAATCAGTGTGACAATTCCTCACAGAATGAAAAACAGAATTATCATTCGACTGGGAAACCTCATAATTGAGTATATACCCAAAGAAATATGAAATATTATAAAGACACATCCACATGCATGTTCACTGCAGCACTATTCACAATAGCAAAGACACGGACAGACTAAATGCCTATCAATGGCAGACTGGATCAAGAAAATATGGTATGGTCAGATGCGGTGGCTCATGCCTGTAATTCCAGCCGTTTGGGAGGCTGAGGCAGGTGGATTGCCTGAGCTTAGAAGTTTGAGACCACTCTGGGCAACATGGCAAAATTTTGTCTCCACAGAAGATACAAAAAAAAAAAAAAAAAAATGGCCAGGCTTGGTAACACCCGCATGTAGTCCCAGCTACTTGGGAGGATGAGGTAGGAGAGAATTGTTTGAGCCTGGGAAGTTGAGGATAAGGTAAGCCAATATCACACCACAGCACTCTAGCCTGGGCAATAAGTGAGACCCTGACTCCAAAAACAAAAGATTTAGTAAAAACAAAATATGGTACATAAGCATCCTGGACTACTCTGTGGCCATTAAAAACAAATAACCATGTCCTTTGCAGTAACATTGATGAAGCTGGAGACCATTATTCTTACAAAACAAATGCAGAGGCTGGGTGTAGTGGCTCATGTCTGTAATCCCAACACTTTGGGAAACCAAGGTGAGTGGATCACCTGAAGTCAGGAGTTTGAGACCAGCCTAACCAACATGGAGAAATCCCATCTATACTAAAAATACAAAATTAGCAGAGCATGGAGACGCGTGCCTGTAATCCCAGCTACTCAGGAGGCTGAGGCAGGAGAATGGCTTGAACCTGGGAGGCAGAGGTGAGCTGAGAACACACCATTGCATTCCAGCTTGGGCAACAAGAGCAAAAACAAACAAGCAAAAATATCTCAAAAACAAAGAAACAAAACAAAAAAAGAAAATAATACAGGAACAGAAAATCAAATGCATGTCATTATTTATAAGTAAGAGCTAAATAATAAGAACACATGAACACAAAGAGGAGAAAAACAGGCACTGAGGCCTAGTAGAGGGTGGAGGGTGAGAGGAGTAAGAGGATCAGAAAACATACCTGTTTGGTGCTATGGGTAGTACCTCAGTGACAAAATAATCTGCATACCAAATCCCCATGACATAATTTCAGCTGTATAACAAACCCACATGTGTACATCGAACCAAAAATAAAAGCTAAAAGAAAAAAAACTCCCCGAGTGGGAGAGAGTGCAATGTAGGTGAAAGAACTTATTTTTGCTACAGATAATGGCCCAGGTAGGGCTGTACTCTGATTTACTTCTGTGTGAATACAGGCAGATGAGATTATGAACAAGTGGTCCAGACCCTAGGATGGTGGAGAAAACAGGTTGCTGCTGCAGATTCAGTGTCTGGGGGTGGGGTTATGCCAGGAGACTTGTAGATACTGTGGGTCCTTTTCAAGAAACACTGGGTTCAAAAATGCCGTGGTGAAGTTCCTGAGGGTGGTGCCGAGTCCTAGGAGGAGTGTGGACATGTCAATGTCTAGTGTGTGTGTTTGTGAGTGGGTGGGAATACTATGGTGGCACCTGTGGGAAAAGGGCGTCTGTCATGGGAGTTTCTCTCCGCTAAGTTTTCAGTCCACAGTTGCCCTCGGAGAAGACCTGGAATCACAGGACAATGGGCAGTGTGACAGCCTGTGTACAGGAGAGCAGAGCCTCCCATTCCCAGACACCCAGAGTTTTATTCCAGGCCAGGCCTCCATGATATCTTTTTTTCTGGCACCAAATCTGTAGCATTTGCTGAACATCAAACAATTCTCCAACACCAACTTACGGTCTAACATTTGAATTCTGACACCACCCACAGTCAGTACAGACCCTGATTCAGGGCTCGGTCCCACAACATTGTCCTCAATGCAGATGCCAGTCATAAACCCCATGGGCCCATGTATGTGTCTGAGCTACTGTTTAAAAACGGGAGACGGCCGGGCGCGGTGGCTCACGCCTGTAATCCCAGCACTTTGGGAGGCCGAGACGGGCGGATCACGAGGTCAGGAGATCGAGACCATCCTGGCTAACACGGTGAAACCCCGTCTCTACTAAAAATACAAAAATTAGCCGGGCATGGTGGCGCGCGCCTGTAGTCCCAGCTACACGGGAGGCTGAGGCAGGAGAATGGCGTGAACCCGGGAGGCGGAGCTTGCAGTGAGTCGAGATCGCGCCACTGCACTCCAGCCTGGGCGACAGAGCGAAACTCCGTCTCAAAAAAAAAAAAAATAAAAATAAAAAAAAATAAAAATAAAAACGGGAGACTCCCATAACGTCCCTGAAGTTCAATAATTTCATAGAGCTACTCACAGAACTCAGCAGGAAACTGTAGTTACCTTTACCGGTTTAATATATAAGATGAAGGCCAGGAAAAGTCAAATGGAAAAAATGCACAGAACAAATAAAAGAGATGGAAAAAGATGAAACACATAATCCTAAAAAATATTTGTGATTAATAAAATCATCCTAGGTCGGGCGCGGTGGCTCACGCTTGTAATCCCAGCACTTTGGGGGGCCGAGGCGGGCGGATCACAAGGTCAGGAGATTGAGACCATCCTGGCTAACACGGTGAAACCCTGTCTCTACTAAAAATACAAAAAATTAGCGGGGCATGGTGGCAAGCGCCTGTAGTCCCAGCTACTCAAGAGGCTGAGGCAGGAGAATGGCTTGAACCCAGGAGGCGGAGCTTGCAGTGAGCCGAGATGGTGCCACTGCACTCCAGCCTGGGCGACAGAGCGAGACTCTGTCTCAAAAAAATAAATAAATAAATAAATAAATAATTTAAAATGTCTCCATCCTTTGTGTGCTCCAGGAACAGTTTATGGAAGGAAACACCCTTCCCATTATGACTTAAGTGGTGCTCTCTTTTCTTTCCTAAAACACAGGCTGACACACACACTGCACATTTTCTCCTTTTTTTTTTTTGAGATGGAGTCTCTCTCTGTCGCTGAGGCTGGAGTGCAGTGGCGCGATCTCGGTTTTCTGCAAGCGCTGCCTCCCAGGTTCACGCCGTTCTCCTGCCTCAGCCTCCGGAGTAGCTGGGACTACAGGCGCCCAACACCACACCCAGCTAACTTTTTTTTTTTTTTGTATTTTTAGTGAAGACGGGGTTTCACCCTGTTAGCCAGGATGGTCTCGATCTCCTGACCTCGTGATCCGCCCGCCTCGGCCTCCCAAAGTGCGGGGATTACAGGCGTGAGCCACCGCGCCGAGCCTGGAATTCATTTTTTTTTTTAAACATAAATCTAATGTTTTTATTTTACAAAGTTTAGAAATTGCCTCAAAACAATAAAAACTTCATCATCAGTAAGACCTCCCCAGTTTCCTTTCATCTTAACCTTAACTGCATCTGCCTGTGGGATCCCAGCTTTCCAGGGCTCTGTAGCTTCTCTCAGGATAAAGGCTTCTTCTATGGCTGGGGTGAGCAGGCTGAGACAGCTGCATGGGTGGCTCCTCAGAAAGAACTAACTGGGCCTTTAATAACTTCCTCTTGCATGCTTAATATTAGCCCTAGCTTGGAGTTACTAGGTTCAAGCTTTAATTTCCATGTCAGAGTTATTCACTTGGTTTTCAAAACTAAGTGTTTGAAAAATCCAGTGAAATTACTCACAGCGTTTACATAAGAAAAGGAAATTTTAAGGTGCTTACTTTTTTTTTTTTTTTTTTGAGATGGAATCTCGCTCTGTCACCCACACTGGAATGCAATGGCTGGATCTCAGCTCACTGCAACCTCCACCTCCTGGGTAAAAGCTATTCTTCTGCCTCACCCTCCCAAGTAGGTGGGACTACAGGCATGCTCCACCACACCCAGCTAATTTTTGTATTTTTAGTAGAGACAGGGTTTCACCATGTTGGGCAGGCGGGTCTCAAACTCCTGACCTCAAGGAATCAACCCGCATTGGCCTCCCAATGTGCTGGAATTACAGGCGTGAGCTACTGCACCTGGCTAAGGTGCTTGCATTTTATGCCTCCATAAGAAAAACAAATATATCTACTTCTTTCAGACAATATATGTATTATTTTATTATTTATATTAAAAAATAATGTAGTAAAAAATTAGTCATATGGGAATGCTTCTAAAAGTTACCACGTTTCATCACATGCAATTTAGCACTAAACTCAGAAATCAAGACAACAGGATATAGAATGGAGATATTCACTGTCACAAATTTACCCTGCAAAAAGAGGAACTGATGTTTTGATGAATCTGTGTAACTCATTCACCACATTTTCCTATGAAAATATATTCATTGTCTAGAGCCAAAATGGAAGAGAGATTTTCCCTATTTTTTCCCTTGGTAGCTAGCATTATAAAGCTAAGGCTTAGAATTCTGTCTGAAATCACTAAGACATAAAAACCACACCCAAGAAAATTCCTAAACTCACTCTTGGAAAGAAAAATGTAAATGAGTTATTAACAAATGGAATATATGATTAAATATTAATTTTTTGAAACTCATCTTTTATTTTCTTTGTAAATATTTTCTTACCTTTCAAGCCCTACTAATAAAATGCAAATTACAGATAAAAAACTGATTCAGGTGGGTGCTGTGGCTCACTTTAATGCCAGCACTTTGGGAGGCCAAGGCAGGCAGATCAATTAAGATTAAAAGTTTGAGTGGGGCACGGTGGCTCATGCCTGTAATCCTAGCACTTTGGGAGGCCTAGGTGGGCGGATCACCTGAGGTTGGGAGTTCGAGGCCAGCCTGACCAACATGGAGAAACCCCATATCTACTGAAAATATAAAAATTAGCTGGGCATGGTGGCACATGCCCAAGGCTGAGGCAGGAGAATCTGGGAGGCTGAACCTGGGAGGCAGAGGTTGTGGTGAGCCAAGATCACGTCATCGCACTCCAGCCTGGGCAACAAGAGCAAAAATCCATCTCAAAAAAAAAAAAAAAATGACTAAAAGTTTGGGACCAGCCTGGTCCATCTCTACTAAAAATACAAAAACTAGCCAAATACAGTGGTGCACACGTGTAGTCCTAGCTACTCCGGAGGCTGAGGCATGAGAATCACTTGAACCCAGAAGGTAGAGGTTGCAGTGTGCCAAGATCAAGTCACTGCATTCCAACCTGTGCAACAGAGTCAGACTGTCTTAAAAAAAAAAAAAAAAAGGCAGAATCAACAACAACAACAAAAACACCTGAGGTCAAAATAAGTGAACAAATCTTTCAAGGTAGATATCCAATCACTCACCCCATCCTGTTCACATGCTCAATAACCACCCTCCCAGGAGACACAGCGCAGACACAGCGTGACTGCCCCAGCTGCATTTTACTATGTAAGTTTTTACCCCATCTCACTGGGGTCATTTTCTTTTGTCTTTTGAAGGTTTTTTTCACAAACTTTTTACTATTTTTCTTTCACTCCCCCCAAGAGCATCCAGGGGGCAGAAATTATTTGTTTTCCCCTCAATACCAGCATCTGATTGGCTCACCAACAATGTGTCTCCAAGAAATGGAAGTTAGGTTGGGTCAAGACAATCTTCATGTCTCAAGGGGCTAGCTTTTCAAAAAAAAAAAAAAAAGTATATCAGGAGATGCCTTTCAGCCCCAAGGCTGCCACCTGCTCCCTTGAGAGGCTACACTCTATACTTCAGGTGGTCCTAAGGGAGAAAGTGACCCAAGAGCTAATATCCATTAGACATTTTAGCAGACATAGCCATAGTGGGTATCTTGGTTTATCTCCAGAAAGTACTAAAACCCAGGCCCAGAATAAAACTGAAGGTTAGCAGAGGTCACATCACCCTATAATGTTTCCAGAGGGTAATGTTAACCTAAAAACATTCTGGTAAGTTCTCTGGAAAAATAAAAGAAAAAAAGGTACAGATATTTTTTACAATACAGTGTCAGGGGATTATTCTTTGCTTTCTTCTCATGGGAAATATTTAAAAATAGAAAACAAATCTTTTCAATAGTGCTATGCAATGCTTTAAACAATGATTGAGGAACGTGGGGTACAGGAGGCCCTGCTGGGGACACATGTGAAAAATGCCAGAGAAAATCAGCCCCTTGTGGGTTGTGAAAATAATTAAGCGGCAGGCAATTAGACTGAGAAGGCTCTAGTCCTCAGATTCCTACTTGTAAAAAAATGTAAACTCAAGTTGATTTGTTAATAAATTACTACATTTGGGGAAACAAATTTCAGGCTTAAACAACTATAAACTGCCAAATAAGCTCTGATTACATAACCAGGAAATTTCCACCTTGATTATACAAATTAAGAAGCTACGTAAGTACACCTAACCAATTGTTGAATTTGGTTTTCTTCATCACTGATTTTACAAATGTCTTTCCTTCAAGCCCCTCCCATGGACCACAGACTACAAACTATAACTGGGTGCTCTACAATTCTTGAATCACTCTTTGATTAAATTACTTGATTTTTTGCAGTGACTCCCATAATTTTTTTTTTTTTTGTAAAGGACATATCATATTTATTCATACACATGCTGGAATTATTGGTGCAGACATTTAAATACATTTTCTTTGAGAAAGTCCTTTTTTTTTTTTTTTTGGATGGAGTTTCCCTCTTGTTGCCCAGGCTGGAGTGCAATGGTGCAATCTCAGCTCACAACAACCTCTGCCTCCTGGGTTCAAGCAATTCTCCTGCCTCAGCCTCCCAAGTAGCTGGGATTACAGGCATGCACCACCACGCCCAGCTAATTTTTTTTATTTTTAGTAGAGACGGGGTTTCTCCGTGTTGGTCAGGCTGGTCTTGAACTCCTGATCTCAGGTGATCTGCCCGCCTTGGCCTGCCACAGTGCTGGGATTACAGTCGTGAGCCACCACAGCTGGCCTGGGAAACTCCATTCTTTTTTTTTTTTTTTTTTTTTAAATTTATTTTTTTATTGATAATTCTTGGGTGTTTCTCACAGAGGGGGATTTGGCAGGGTCATGGGACAATAGTGGAGGGAAGGTCAGCAGATAAACAAGTGAACAAAGGTCTCTGGTTTTCCTAGGCAGAGGACCCTGCGGCCTTCCGCAGTGTTTGTGTCCCTGGGTACTTGAGATTAGGGAGTGGTGATGACTCTTAACGAGCATGCTGCCTTCAAGCATCTGTTTAACAAAGCACATCTTGCACCGCCCTTAATCCATTTAACCCTGAGTGGACACAGCACATGTTTCAGAGAGCACAGGGTTGGGGGTAAGGTCACAGATCAACAGGATCCCAAGGCAGAGGAATTTTTCTTAGTGCAGAACAAAATTAAAAGTCTCCCATGTCTACTTCTTTCTACACAGACACGGCAACCATCCGATTTCTCAATCTTTTCCCCACCTTTCCCGCCTTTCTATTCCACAAAGCCGCCATTGTCATCCTGGCCCGTTCTCAATGAGCTGTTGGGTACACCTCCCAGACGGGGTGGTGGCCGGGCAGAGGGGCTCCTCACTTCCCAGTAGGGGCGGCCGGGCAGAGGCGCCCCTCACCTCCCGGACGGGGCGGCTGGCCGGGCAGGGGGGCTGACCCCCCCCACCTCCCTCCCGGACGGGGCGGCTGGCCGGGCGGGGGGCTGACCCCCCAACCTCCCTCCCGGACGGGGCGGCTGGCCGGGCGGGGGGCTGACCCCCCCACCTCCCTCCCGGACGGGCGGCTGGCCGGGCAGAGGCGCCCCTCACCTCCCGGACGGGGCGGCTGGCCGGGCGGGGGGCCGACCCCCCCACCTCCCTCCCGGACGGGGCGGCTGGCCGGGCAGAGGGGCTCCTCACTTCCCAGTAGGGGCGGCCGGGCAGAGGCGCCCCTCACCTCCCAGACGGGGCGGCTGGCCGGGCGGAGGGCTGATCCCCCCACCTCCCTCCCGGACAGGGCGGCTGGCCGGGCGGGGGGCTGACCCCCCCACCTCCCTCCCGGACGGGGCGGCTGGCCGGGCAGAGGGGCTCCTCACTTCCCAGTAGGGGCGGCTGGGCAGAGGCGCCCCTCACCTCCCAGACGGGACGGCTGGCCGGGCGGAGGGCTGACCCCCCCACCTCCCTCCCGGACGGGGCGGCTGGCCAGGCGGGGGGCTGACCCCCCTACCTCCCTACCGGACGGGGCGGCTGGCCGGGTGGGGGGGCTGACCCCCCCACCTCCCTCCCGGATGGCACGGCTGGCCAGGCGGGGGGCTGACCCCCCCACCTCCCTCCCGGATGGCACGGCTGGCCGGGCGTGGGGGCTGACCCCCCACCTCCCTCCCGGATGGGGCGGCTGGCCGGGCGGGGGGCTGACCCCCCCCCCCCCACCTCCTTCCCGGACGGGGTGGCTGCCGGGCGGAGACGCTCCTCACTTCCCAGATGGGGTGGCTGCCGGGCGGAGAGGCTCCTCACTTCTCAGACGGGGCAGCTGCCGGGCGGAGGGGCTCCTCACTTCTCAGACGGGGTGGTTGCCAGGCAGAGGGTCTCCTCACTTCTCAGACGGGGCGGCCGGGCAGAGACGCTCCTCACCTCCCAGACGGGGTCTCGGCCGGGCAGAGGCGCTCCTCACATCCCAGATGGGGCGGCGGGGCAGAGGCGCTCCCCACATCTCAGACGATGGGCGGCCGGGCAGAGACGCTCCTCACTTCCTAGATGTGATGGCGGCTGGGAAGAGGCGCTCCTCACTTCCTAGATGGGATGGCGGCCGGGCGTAGACGCTCCTCACTTTCCAGACTGGGCAGCCAGGCAGAGGGGCTCCTCACATCCCAGACGATGGGCGGCCAGGCAGAGACACTCCTCACTTCCCAGACGGGGTGGCAGCCGGGCAGAGGCTGCAATCTCGGCACTTTGGGAGGCCAAGGCAGGCAGCTGCTCCTTGCCCTCGGGCCCCGCGGGGCCCGTCCGCTCCTCCAGCCGCTGCCTCCCGGGCGGCGCTCGCCGGCGCCGACTCCCATAATTTACTTTTTCTAGACAGAGTCTTTCTCTGTCGCCCAGGCTGGAGGGAAGTGGCATGACCTCAGCTCACTGAAACCTACTCCTTCCGGGTTCAAGCGATTCTCACCTCTGCCTTTGGAGTAGCTGGGACTACAGACATTCACCATCACACCCAGCCAATTTATGTATTTTTAGTAGAGATGGGGTTTCCCCATTTTGGCCAGGCTTATCTTGAACTCCTGACCTCAAGTGATCCACCCGCCTCGGCCTCCCAAAGTGCTGGGATTACAGACGTGAGCCACCGCGCCAGGCCCCATAAATTTTTTCTTTTCCTTCTTTCTTTTTTTTTTGAGACAGAGTCTCGCTCTGTTGCCAGGCTGGAATGCAGTAGCACGATCTTGTCTTACTGCAACTTCCGCCTCCCAGGTTCAAGCGAATTCTCCTGCCTCAGCCTCCTAGGTAGCTGGGACTACAGGCCCCCGCCGCTATGTTTGGCTAATTTTTGTGTTTTAGTAGAGACAGGGTTTCACCATGTTGGCCAGGATGGTCTCGATCTCTTGACTTTGTGATCCACCCGCCTCGGCCTCCCAAAGTGCTAGGATTACAGGCATGAGCCACCACACCTGGCCACCCGTCCCCATAAATTTTTAATAAGAGAAAACAGAAACTGTGAACCCCACAGACCAAAGCTCTTCCCATTCATGAACCCACACCCCGAGTCAGGGTTCCCCCCCAAAGATCCTCCTGGAGTCCCCGCACAATCTAGGAGAGACGTGGCACTGTGGGTGCAGGGCTGCCCTGAGAAGGTTTCAGGCCAGGGCACAGTCACCGCGCAGGGAAGAGACAGGACACCCCTGGACCGCCTGTCAGCGCAGCTGCCATCTTAGGGCTGAAGGGGACTGAGGCCGAGCTGGGCAAGGAGAACTTGTGGCACAGATTGTGGAGCTGACTGAGGAGAGGCCTGAGTCCTGCCACTGCCACTTGTCACCGGTTCCAACCATCCCCTCCCGCTCACTCAGGATGTCGGACCGGCACTCTCACTGTTTCTAGGCTTCCAGGAGGTCCTGGTGTCTTAGCTGTGGATCTCCCAATACCTGCAGGTCACAGGGCTATAGAGGTTGCGCCTCTAGGAGCAGAGGACACAGACTAGTGAAGAGGAGACCCAGAGCTCAGGCTGCAGCCAGAGACAAAGGCTGCAGCCAAACACTGAAGACGTCCTGTTCACTCCAGCTGCGTGCCTGATTGGGCAGTTTTCAGGCCAGCGTTTCTTTTTTCTTTTTTTTTTTTATTGATCATTCTTGGGTGTTTCTCGCAAAGGGGGATTTGGCAGGGTCATAGGACAATAGTGGAGGGAAGGTCAGCAGATAAACAAGTGAACAAAGGTCTCTGGTTTTCCTAGGCAGAGGACCCTGCGGCCTTCCGCAGTGTTTGTGTCCCTGGGTACTTGAGATTAGGGAGTGGTGATGACTCTTAACGAGCATGCTGCCTTCAAGCATCTGTTTAACAAAGCACATCTTGCACCGCCCTTAATCCATTTAACCCTGAGTGGACACAGCACATGTTTCAGAGAGCACAGGGTTGGGGGTAAGGTCATAGGTCAACAGGATCCCAAGGCAGAAGAATTTTTCTTAGTACAGAACAAAATGAAGTCTCCCATGTCTACCTCTTTCTACACAGACACAGCAACCATCCGATTTCTCAATCTTTTCCCCACCTTTCCCCCTTTTCTATTCCACAAAACTGCCATTGTCATCATGGCCCGTTCTCAATGAGCTGTTGGGTACACCTCCCAGACGGGGTGGTGGCCGGGCAGAGGGGCTCCTCACTTCCCAGTAGGGGCGGCCGGGCAGAGGCACCCCCCACCTCCCGGACGGGGCGGCTGGCTGGGCGGGGGGCTGACCCCCCCACCTCCCTCCCGGACGGGGCGTCAGCCCAGCGTTTCTGATTGGATAATGCTTAAGGCCCCCGCCCCCTCAGGCCCTGAGTAACAGAAAATGTGATCAGGACTGAGTGAAGAAAAAGTCACAGCCTAAGCTGCAGCGTTTTTCAGGCAGGGCTTCCTCCCTGAGCTGAGCCAGGCCCAACCCAGATCATGGGAAAATTCTATCTTTTTTTTTACTCTCTCTCTTTTTGAATATATTCAAAAGGTGAACAGAAGTATTTTGCTGTCATATTAATAATACATAAAATTTTTTTCAAGAGAAAATCAGCTTTTACTTTGGTAATAGTGTATTATCAATACTAAAGCTAATTTTAATAAACCTTATAAATAAATCAAATTTGTCATTTTTGACCACTCCGGTTTTACATGTATATTTTGTAATCTCTTGTAATTTTTAAAAACTGTTTACATTTTATTTTTATCCAAATTCTTTTTATTTTTTCAATTTGAAACCACCTTTAAGTAATTTCAAATTGTTATAGGAGATAGAAAGAAGTCATTTAGGGCCAGGTTCACTGGCAAGTGCCTGTAATCGCAACACTTTGGGAGGCCAAGGTGGGTGGATCACTTGAGGTCAGGAGTTCAAGACCAGCCTGGCCAACATGGTGAAACCCCATTTCTACTAAAAGTACAAATAACTAGCTGGGTGTGGTGCTGCACACCTGTAGACCCAGCTAGTCCGGAGGCTGAGGCAGGAGAATTGCTTAAACCCAGAAGGCGGAGGTTGTGTAACTGCCCAAGGGGTTCACCTTGCCCTATGTCTAGACAGAGCTGATTCATCAAGACTGGGTAATTTGTGGAGGAAAAGTTAAATACTAAATTTGAACTTAATTGAACGTGGACAAACTCAGTAGTCACCAAGTTCTCAAACAGGTTGTGTGAGGCCCTTGAGGCATTCATTCAGCGCTGTTTCAGAGAAATCTCTATTTCAATCTATTTCTATATATTAGTTGTTGAAAAACAATAGACAATCGCAAAAACAAGTTGACAGTTTTGTGTTCCTTGACCCCAGTTGCAAATGGCCCTCATGACTGGGCCTTATGCCAAACAACTCGTTACAAAAGAGCTAGGGTATCAGATTGTGCTGAAGCTTCATTAGACCCTCCTCATCTGTGCAGGAATGAGTAGCTGACTCTGGAGCCCAAGCTGTTGCTTCCCAGTCTGGTGGTGAATCCTCCATAGTCTGGTGAGTGTAAATATATATATCTCTTTTCCTTTCTCCTCTTCCCATTGCAATTTGCTTATTATATCAACATGCTTATTATATCAATCTGGTTATTACATTGATTTGCTTATTATATAATTTGCTAATTATATCTGCATTTCCATTTACGTGGCACAAAGCTTATTTACCCTTAAAGGTATTGTGTGTGTGTCTTTTCTTCTCCCCTTGAATGTTTCCCACACAGAATATTTTTGGCGTCACGAACAGGATTCAAAAACCAAACTGTGCCACTTTTTGGCCACAAGGACAGGGCTGGAAACTCGAGGAAATCCCAAATCCAGGGATGGGAACTCCCCAATATCACTGTCAATTCCTACAGGATTGAACGAAGGGGACGAATGCAGAAATGAAGACAAAGACAAAAGATTTGTTTTAAAAGAAGGGGTCAGGCAGGGCGCAGTGGCTCAGGCCTGTAATCCCAGCACTTTGAGAGGCCGAGGTGGGTGGATCGCGAGGTCAGGAGAGCGAAACCATCTTGGCTAACACGGTGAAACCCCGTCTCTACTAAAAATACAAAAAAATTTAGCCAGGTGTGGTGGCAGACACCTGTAGTCCCAGCTACCTGGGGGGGTGGGGGGGTGGGGCTGAGGCAGGAGAATGGCATGAACCCAGGAGGCAGAGCTTGCAGTAAGCCAAGATCGTGCCACTGCACTCCAGCCTGGGTGACAGAGCGAGATTCGGTCTCAGAAAAAAAAAAAAAAAGAAGGTATCAGGGGCTCCTTGCTTCTAGTGAGCAGAAGGCAGCCCTGTTTCTACAGGCCTTAGTATTTATTAGGTAGAATCAATAGGGAGGGAGAGGTAATGGTTGGTCAGCTGCTTGATTTATCACAGGTACATATAATTGCTTTCTTTGTACAACAGGCTTCAGATATTCCTATAGATAACCACAAGGAACACTGCGCCTGGGGCATAACTGCCCTCAGCACCCGTTCTGGCAGCAGATGCAGTTTGTCAGTTTTCCAACATCCTGCTTTCATGAGAAGAGTTTTCCCATATAGCCTCTGTCAGGCCTCTGAGCCCAAGCCAAATGAAATTTGGTGCCATGACTCGGCTCGGGGGACCTCCCTTGGGAGATCAATCCCCTGTCCTCCTGTTCTTTGCTCCGTGAGAATGACCCACCTGTGACCTCAGGTCCTCAGACCGACCAGCCCAAGAAACATCTCACCAATTTCAAATCCGGTAAGCGGCCTCTTTTTACTCTCTTCTCCAACCTCCCTCACTATCCCTCAACCTCTTTCTCCTTTCAATCTTGGCGCCACACTTCAATCTCTCCCTTCTCTTAATTTCAATTCCTTTCATTTTCTGGTAGAGACAAAGGAGACACGTTTTATCCATGGACCCAACTCCGGCACCGGTCATGGACTGGGAAGGCAGCCTTCCCTTGGTGTTTAATCATTGCAGGGACACCTCTCTGATTATACACTCACGTTTCAAGGGTGTCAGACCACACAGGGACACCTGCCTTGGTCCTTCACCCTTAGCGGCAAGTCCCGATTTTCTGAGGAAGGGACAAGTACCCCTCAACCCCTTCTCTCCTTGTCTCTACCCCTTCTCTGCTTTTCTGGGGCAGGGGCAAGAACCCCTCAACCCTTTCTCCTTCACCCTTAGCGGCAAGTCCCGCTTTCCTGGGGCAGGGGCAAGTACCCCTCAACCCCTTCTCCTTCACCCTTAGTGGCAAGTCCTGCTTTCCTAGGGGGCAAGAACCCCCCAATCGCTTATTTCCATACCCTAACCTCTTATCTCTGTGCCCCAATCCCTTATTTCTGCACCCTGACCTCTTATCTCTGTGCCCCAATCCCTTATTTCTGTGCCCCAACACCTTCTCTGCTTTTCTGGAGGGCAAGAACCCTCCACCCCTTCTCCGTGTCTCTACTCTTTTCTCTGGGCTTGCCTCCTTCACTATGGGTAAGCTTCCACCTTCCATTCCTCCTTCTTCTCCCTTAGCCTGTGTTCTCAAAAACTTAAAATCTCTTCAACTCACACCTGACCTAAAACCTAAATGCCTTTTCTTCTGCAATGCCACTTGACCCCAATACAAACTCGACAGTAGTTCCAAATAGCCAGAAAATGGCACTTTGAATTTTTTCATCCTGCAAAATCTAAATAATTCTTGTCGTAAAATAGGCAAATGGTCTGAGGTGCCTGATGTCCAGGCATTCTTTTACACATCAATCCCTTCCTAGTCTCTGTGCCCAGTGCAACTCGTCCCAAATCTTCCTTCTTTCTCTCCCACCTATCCCCTCAGTACCAACCCCAAGCATCACTGATTCTTTCTAATCTTCCTTTTCTACAGACCCATCTGACCTCTCTCTTCCTCCCCAGGCTGCTCCTCACCAGGCCGAGCTAGGTCCCAATTCTTCCTCAGCCTCCGCTCCTCCACCCTATAATCTTTTTATCACCTCCCCTGTAGGGGTGGGTTGCCCCTCCACACCTGTGGGTGTTTCTCATAAGGTGGAACAAGAGACTTAGGAAAGAAAAAGACACAAAGTATAGAGAAAGAAATAAGGGGACCCGGGGAACCAGCGTTCAGCATATGGAGGATCCCCCCAGCCTCTGAGTTCCCTTAGTATTTATTCATCATTCGTGGGTGTTTCTCCAAGAGGGGGATGTGTCAGGGTCACAAGACAATTGTGGGGAGAGGGTCAGCCGACAAACACGTGAACAAAGGTCTTTGCATCATAGACAAGGTAAAGGATTAAGTGCTGTGCTTTTAGATATGCATACACATAAACATCTCAATGCTTTACAAAGCAGTATTGCTGCCCGCATGTCCCACCTCCAGCCCTAAGGTGGTTTTTCCCTATCTCAGTAGATGGAACATACAATCGGGTTTTATACCGAGACATTCCATTGCCCAGGGACGGGCAGGAGACAGATGCCTTCCTCTTGTCTCAACTGCAAGAGGCATGCCTTCCTCTTATACTAATCCTCCTCAGCACAGACCCTTTACGGGTGTCGGGGTGTCGGGCGGGGGGACAGTCAGGTCTTTCCCTTCCCATGAGGCCATATTTCAGACTATCACATGGGGAGAAACCTTGGACAATACCTGGCTTTCCTAGGCAGAGGTCCCTGCGGCCTTCCGCAGTGTTTGTGTCCCTGGGTACTTGAGATTAGGGAGTGGTGATGACTCTTAACGAGCATGCTGCCTTCAAGCATCTGTTTAACAAAGCACATCTTGCACTGCCCTTAATCCATTTAACCCTGAGTTTGACACAGCACATGTTTCAGAGAGCACGGGGTTGGGGGTAAGGTCACAGAATCTCAAGGCAGAAGAATTTTTCTTAGTACATAACAAAATGGAGTCTCCCATGTCTATTTCTTTCTACACAGACACAGTGACAATCTGATCTCTCTTGCTTTTCCCCACATCCCCTCCTCACACCTGGTCCGGCTTACAGTTTCGTTCTGTCCCCCACCTGCCCAGCAATTTACTCTTAAAAAGGTGGCTGGAGCCAAAGGCATAGTCAAGGTTAATGCTCCTTTTTCTTTATCCCAAATCGGATAGCGTTTAGGCTCTTTTTCATCAAATATAAAAACCCAGCCCAGTTCATGACTTGTTTGGCAGCAACCCTGAGACACTTTACAGCCCTAGACCCTAAAAAGTCAAAAGGCCGTCTTATTCTCAAAATATTTTATTACCCAATCTGCTCCCGACATTAAATAAAACTCCAAAAATTAAATTCCGGCCCTCAAACCCCACAACAGGATTTAATTAACCTCGCCTTGAAGGTGTACAATAATAGAAAAAAATTGCAATTCCTTGCCTCCACTGTGAGACAAACCCCAGCCACATCTCCAGCACACAAGAACTTCCAAACACCTGAACCACAGTGGCCAGGCGTTCCTCCAGAACCTCCTCCCACAGGAGCTTGCTACACGTGCCGGAAATCTGGCCACTGGGCCAAGGAATGCCCGCTGCCCAGGATTCCTCCTAAGCTGCGTCCCATCTGTGTGGGACCCCACTGAAAATCGGACTGTTCGACTCACCTGGCAGCCACTCCCAGAGCCCCTGGAACTCTGGCCCAAGGCTCTCTGACTGACTCCTTCCCAGATCTTCTCAGCTTAGCGGCTGAAGACTGACACTGCCCGAACGCCTCGGAAGCCCCCTAGACCATCACGGATGCTGAGCTTCCGGTAACTTTCACAGTGGAAGGTAAACCCATCCCCTTCTTAATCAATACAGAGGCTACCCACTCCACATTACCTTCTTTTCAAGGGCCTGTTTCCCTTGCCTCCATAACTGTTGCGGGTATTGATGGCCAGGCTTCTAAACCTCTTAAAACTCCCCAACTCTGGTGCCAACTTAGACAATACTCTTTTAAGTACTCCTTTTTAGTTATCCCCACCTGCCCAGTTCCCTTATTAGGCTGAGACACTTTAACTAAATTATCTGCTTCCCTGCCTATTCCTGGACTACAACTATATCTCATTGCTGCCCTTCTTCCCAATCCAAAGCCTCCTTTGCATCCTCCTCTTGTATCCCCCCACCTTAACTCACAAATATAAGATACCTCTACTCCCTCCTTGGTGACCGATCATGTACCCCTTACCATCTCATTAAAACCTAATCACCCTTACCCCACTCAATGACAATATCCCATCCCGCAGCAGGCTTTAAAAAGATTAAAGCCTGTTATCACTCGCCTGCTACAGCATGGCCTTTTAAAGCCTATAAACTCTTCTTACAATTCCCCCATTTTACCTGTCCTAAAACCAGATAAGACTTACAATTTAGTTCAGGATCTGCGCCTTATCAACCAAATTGTTTTGCCTATCCACCCCGTGGTGCCAAACCCATATACTCTCCTATCCTCAATACCTGCCTCTACAACCCATTATTCTGTTCTAGATCTCAAACATGCTTTCTTTACTATTCCTTTGCACCCTTAATCCCAGCCTCTCTTCGCTTTCACTTGGACTGACCCTGACACCCATCAAGCTCAGCAAATTACCTAGGCTGTACTGCCGCAAAGCTTCACAGACAGCCCCCATTACTTCAATCAAGCCCAAATTTCTTCCTCATCTGTTACCTATCTCGGCATTTCTCATAAAAACCCACATGCTCTCCCTGCCAATCGTGTCCAACTGATCTCTCAAACCCAAGCACCTTCTACAAAACAACAACTACTTTCCTTCCTAGGTATGGTTAGCATGGTCAGAATTCTTACACAAGAGCCAGGACCACAACTTGTAGCCTTTCTGTCCAAACAACTTGACCTTACTGTTTTAGCCTAGCCCTCATGTCTGCGTGCAGCAGCTGCTGCTGCTTTAATACTTTTAGAGGCCCTCAAAATCACAAACTGTGCTCAACTCTCTCTCTACAGTTCTCATAACTTCCAAAATCTATTTTCTTCCTCATACCTGATGTATATACTTTCTGCTTCCCGGCTCCTTCAGCTTTACTCACTCTTTGTTGCATCTCCCACAATTACCATTGTTCCTGGCCCAGACTTCAATCCAGCCTCCCACATTATTCCTGGTACCACACCTGACCCCCATGACTGTATCTCTCTGATCCACCTGACATTCACATTTCCCCAAACTTCCTTCTTTCCTGTTCCTCACCCTGATCACACTTGATTTATTGATGGCGGTTACACCAGGCCTAATCGCCACACACCAGCAAAGGCAGGTGATGCTATAGTACAAGCCACTAGCTTGCCTCTTAGAACCTCTCATTTCCTTCCCATTGTGGAAATCTATCCTCAAGGAAATAACTTCTCAGTGTTCCATCTGCTATTCTACTACTCCTCAGGGATTATTCAGGCCCCCTCCCTTCCCTACACATCAAGCTCGAGGATTTGCCCCACCCAGGACTGGCAAATTAGCTTTACTCAACATGACCTGAGTCAGGTAACTAAAACACCTCTTAGTCTAGGTAGACACTTTCACTGGATAGGTACAGGCCTTTCCTACAGGGTCTGAGAAGGCCACCACAGTCATTTCTTCCATTCTGTTAGATATAATTCCTCAGTTTAGCCTTCCCGCCTCTATACAGTCTGATAACAGATGAGCCTTTATTAGTCAAATCAGCCAAGCAGTTTTTCAGGCTCTTAGTATTCAGTGAAACCTTTATATCCCTTATGGTCCTCCATCTTCAAGAAAAGTAGAATGGACTAAAGGTCTTTTAAAAACACACCTCACCAAGCTCAGCCACCAACTTAAAAAGGACTGGACAATACTTTTACCACTTTCCCTTCTCAGAATTCAGGCCTGTCCTCAGAATGCTACAGGGTACAGCCCATTTAAGCTCCTGTATAGACGCTCCTTTTTATTAGGCCCCAGTCTCATTCCAGACACCAGACCAACTTAGACTGTGCCCCCGAAAAACTTGTCATCCCTACTATCTTCTGTCTAGTCATACTCCTATTCACCTTTCTCAACTACTCATACATGCCCTGCTCTTGTTTACACTGCCAGTTTACACTGTTTTTCCAAGCCATCACAGCTGATATCTCCTGGTGCTATCCCCAAACTGCCACTCTTAACTCTTGAAGTAAATAAATAATCTTTGCTGGCAGGACTATGCTGAATCTCCTTAGGCATTCTCTAATCAGATATCCTGAGTCATCCCAATTCTTAGACCTTTTATACCTGTTTTTCTCCTTCTGTTATTCCATTTAGTTTCTCAATTCATCCAAAACCATATCCAGGCCATCACCAATCATTCTATACGACAAATGTTTCTTCTAACAACCCCACAATATCACCCCTTACCACAAGACCTCCCTTCAGCTTAATCTCTCCCACTCTAGGTTCCCACGCCGCCCCAATCCCGCTTGAAGCAGCCCTGAGAAACATCGCCCATTCTCTCTCCATATCACCCCCCAAAAATTTTCACCGCCCCAACACTTCAACACCATTTTGTTTTATTTTTCTTATTAATATAAGAAGGCAGGAATGTCAGGCCTCTGAGCCCAAGCCAAGCCATCGCATCCCCTGTGACTTGCATGTATATGCCCAGATGGCCTGAAGTAACTGAAAAATCACAAAAGAAGTGAATATGCCCTGCCCCACCTTAACTGATGACATTCCACCACAAAAGAAGTGTAAATGGCCTGTCCTTGCTTTAAGTGATGACATTACCTTGTGAAAGTCATTTTCCTGGCTCATCCTGGCTCAAAAAGCACCCCCACTGAGCACCTTGCGACCCCCACTCTTGCCCGCCAGAGAACAAACCCCCTTTGACTGGAATTTTCCTTTATCTACCCAAATCCTATAAAACGGCCCCACCCTTATCTCCCTTCACTGACTCTCTTTTCAGACTCAGCCCACCTGCACCCAGGTGAAATAAACAGCCATGTTGCTCACACAAAGCCTGTTTGGTGGTCTCTTCACACGGATGTGCATGAAAGCCTCCAGTGGTATACTGAGTTGGTCAGGACCCCCATTTTCTCTGCGTCCAACATCCCCAGTTCTCCTCTTTGGTGATTGAGTGGTTCAGGGAAACTGGCCTTTGTAAGAACTGAGAATCTAAATTAATGCAATTTAAACCTTTGACTGTGTATGTGAGAGGAGAGAAAGACCCTCTCACATTGTTTTATATTGTTTTATATTCAGTAAAAACAACAAGGAAGTAAAACCAAAGACAGGCAGCCTGGCGCCAGGCCTGAAACCAGGCCTGGGCCCACCTGGCCTAAACCCAGTAGTTAAAAATCAACTTATGATTTAGAAGCTGATGTTATTCATAGATTCCTTACATTGTATAGAAGAACACGGTGAAACTCCCTGCCCTGTTCTGTTCCTCCCTGACCACCGGTGCATGCAGCCCCTGTCATGTACCCCTTGCTTGCTCACATCAATCACGACCCTTTCATGTGAAATCTTTAGTGTTGTGAGCCCTTAAAAGGGCAGAAATTGTGCACTCAGGGAGCTCAGATTTTGAGACAGTAGCTGGCCGATGCTCCCAGCTGAATAAAGCCCTTCCTTCTACAACTCGGTGTCTGAGAGATTTTGTCTGCGGCTCATCCTGCTACATGTGAAGTGCAGCAGGGGATTCCAGTCAGCAAAGGAGATGCTGAAGGATCTCCCCGAGTGAATGGTGTTTGCTTACTCTTTATAAGTTAATGTATCAGGATAGGGGATAGTTGCTACAAGAGAAATAAGAGCTGGAAAAGAAAAATGCCAATCCAACTGCCAGACTGACCCTGGCCCAATGCCAGGCCTATGTCTTAACTGTTCAGACTCAAAGATATCAGCCTATTGATGAAAAAAGTGGCTGTCCCAATGGCCCCATCAGGGTAAAATTGAAGAACTAGTCAGTCAGGTCTTGGAGCAGGTAAAAACACAGCTCCTATCTCAAGGATGGGAAATTAACCTTAGTAAAATTCAAGGACAAATTGTAAAATTCCTTGGCATCCTGCACAAACTATAAAATTCCTTGGCATCCTATGAAATGCAGGGAAATAGTCCATTTTACCAAAGACTAAGGCTAAAATACTAAAAATTGCAACCCTTACCACTAAAAAGGAGGACTAGAAATTTATTGGCTTGTTTGGATTCGGGAGACATTATATTCACCACTTGGGTAACATTTTACAACCTCTGCATGCAGTCACTAGAAAATGCTGTGACTTTCACTGGGGAGAGAAAGAGAGCATGGCTTTTGAACAAGCTAAACAAGCAGTGCAACTGGCCCTGGACCTATGGCCCATATGAGATGGGCCAGTAGAACTGCAAATAACTGTCCTAAATCAACATGCTAATTGGAGCCTTAGGCAGAAACAAGATGGGAAGAGGGTACACTTTGGGTTTTGAACCCAGAAATTGCCAGAGGCCAGCAAAGCTTATACCCCTTTCAAGAAGCAATTGTTACCTTGCTATTGGGCTTTGCTGGAAATGGAACACCTCTGCTTCAACCGTGATGTCTTTATAAGGTCTGAAATTCCTATTATGACTTGAGTCATGAGTTCCCCCAAAACTCACCAAATAGGGCATGCCCAAGAAAGTAACATCATAAAATGGAAATACAACATAGAAGACCAGGCTAAGCCAAAACCAAAGGGGGTATCATTTTTACATGAGGATGTACAAAACTTGCCAGCTCAGGAAACCACTGAGGAAGTGCTGCACATAGGGAAGGAAACCGCCCCTCCCCCCACTCAATGGTGCAGTTCCTTTAAAGAACTAAGCCCAGAGGATCAGAAACATGCTTGGTTTACTGATCGATCCAGCAAACATATTGGTGGGACCCAATGCTGGAAGGGCATGGCTTATAATCCTGTTAAAAACGTAAGCATTTCTGATGAAGGAAGGGGTGGGAGCAGCCAGTTAGCTGAACTAGTAGCCAACCTCCAAGATATTCAGGAGGAAGCCAGAGGGATTTGTCACTTGTATACCAACTCTTGGTCAGTAGCAAATGGTCTTACTACCTGGATGCTCCAATAGTGACAAAACAAATGGTTAATTGGGAATAAAGAGGTTTGGGGAAAAAAATACTGAGAAGATATCTGAATCCTGGTGCACACTACCATTGTTGCTGTTTTCCATGTTGATGCTCATCCATCTCTGCTTTCTCTTGACAGACTATTTAATCACCAGGAAGATCAACAGGCCAAAATTTTTATTATAACTGCAAACTTGAATGCGGATGAATTGATTTCCTGTTCAAGCCTTGCAATGACTGGCATTATAATGTGTGGTGGTATAATTGATAGTGATTAGTGGCCTAAATATTCCACTTAAAAGATACAGAATGGTAGAATGGAGAAGAGTTTACCAACCAAATATCTGCGGTCTTTAAGAGACTCACCCAACACATAAAAACTCACATAAAGTTAAGGTAAAGGGTTGGGAAAAGATAGTCATGCAAATGTACCCCAAAAGCAAGCAGTAGTAGCCATTCTTACATCAGACAAAACAGACATTAAAGCAAAAACAGTTAAAAATAAAAAAAGACAAAGAGGGACATTATATAATGATAAAAGGACTAGTCCAACAGGAAAATATCACAATTCTAAATATATATGCACCTAACACTGGAGCTCCCAGTTTATTAAACAATTACTACTAGACCTAAGAAATGAGATAAATGGCAACACAATAATAATGGGGAACTTCAATACTCTACTGACAGCACTAGACAAGTCATCATGACAGAAAGTCAACAACAACAACAACAACAAAAACAATGGACTTAAACTATACCGTAGAACAAATGGACTTGACAAATATTTACAGAACATTCCACACAACAACTGCAGAATATACATTTCATTCATCAGCATATGAATCATTCCCTAAGACAGACATATGATGGGCCACAAAACAAGTCTCGATAAATTTAAGACAATCAAAATTATATCAACTACTCTGTCAGACTACAGTGGAATAAAAGTGAAAACTCCAAGTGAACCCTCAAAACCATGCAAATCCATGGAAATTAAATAAATACATGGAAATTAAATAAAAATAAAATTTAGGATCAACTTGTTTCTGAATGATTGTTGTATGAAATCAAGATGGAAATTTAAAAATTCTTTGAGCTGAACGATAATAATGACAATCTATTAAAATGTCTGGGATACAGCAAAAGTCGTGCTAAAAGGAAAGTTCATAGCATCAAGTGCCTACTAAAAAGTCTGAAAGCTCATAAGTAGACAATCTAAGATAACACCTCAAGGAACTAGAGAAACAAGAACAAGCCAAACCCAAACCCAGTAGAAAAAAAGAAATAACAAAGATCAGAGCAGAACCCTAGGGGGAGGGGTGGCTGCAGTCTCTGTGGACCAGCAGACTTAGCCTTTCCTCCTGCTAGTTTTGAAGAATTTGAGCAGCCCAGATGAGTGGATTTTCCCCCAGTGAAACACCCCCCTCCACCAAAGGACAGTCAAAGTGCTTCATTAAATGAGTTCTGCTTCCTGTGCCACCCAACTGGATGAGACCCTTCAACAGGGATTGTCAGACACCCTATAGAGGAGCAATTCTACTGGCATCAGGTTTGTGCCTCTTGAGGTCAGAGATCCCAGAGGAAGGAGCGGGCACTCTTCTTTGCTGTTCTCCAACTTCCTTGAGTGACATCTCCAGGCACGGCGGTGAACCAGATGAATAGGTCCTGAAGTTAGCCCCTAGCAAACTGCAGCAGCGCTACAGAAGATGGACCTGACCATTGAAAGAAAAACAAACAGAAAGCAACAATGCATCAACAAGAAAAAAATGTACCCACAAAAACCTCATCCAAAGCCACACATGGTGGCTCACACCTGTAACCCAATACTTTGGGAGGCCGAGGCAGTGGGCAGAGCACTTGAGGTCACGAGTTCGAGACTAGCCTGGCCAACATGGTGAAACCTTGTCTCTACTAAAAAATACAAAAAAAAATAGCCAGGCGTGGTGGTGCATGCCTGTAGTCCCAGCTACTAGGTAGTCTGAGACATGAGAATCACTTGAACCTGGGAGGCAGAATTTGCAGTGAGCTGCGATTGTGCCACTGCACTCCAGCCTGAGTGACAGAGAGAGAGACTGTTAAAAAAAAAAAATCCAAGTGTCAGAAGCCTCAAAGATCGAAACTAGACAAACTCATGAAGATGAGAAAGAATCAACAAAAAACAGCTGAAAGGCCAGAGTGCCTCTTCTCTTCCAAATGATCAAAATGTCTCTTCAGCAAGGTGCAGAACTGGACAGAAGATGAGATGCATGAATTGATAGAAGTAGGCTTCAGAAGATGGTTAATAACAAACTCTGCTGAGCTAAAGAAACATGTTCAAACCCAATTTGAAGAAGCTAAGAACCTCGATAAAAGGTTAGAGGAACTGTTAACTAGAATAACCAGTTTGGAGAGGAACATAAGAGGATGAGATGCATGAATTCACAGAAGTAGGCTTCAGAAGACGGTTAATAACAAACTCTGCTGAGCTAAAGAAACATGTTTGAACCCAATTTGAAGAAGCTAAGAACCTTGATAAAAGGTTAGAGGAACTGCTAACTAGAATAACCAGTTTGGAGAGGAACATAAGAGGATGAGATGCATGAATTCACAGAAGTAGGCCTCAGAAGATGGTTAATAACAAACTCTGCTGAGCTAAAGAAACATGTTCGAACCCAATTTGAAGAAGCTAAGAACCTTGATAAAAGGTTAGAGGAACTGCTAACTAGAATAAACAGTTTGGAGAGGAACATAAATGACCTGATGGAGCTGAAATGTTTGGCATGAGGCCCAGTCACTAGGGCCCTTTGCGACTGGGCTCAAGGAACACAAAAACGTTATCTTGTTTTTCAATAACTAACATATAGGAATAGATTGAAACAGAGATTTCTCTGAAATGACACTACATGAATGCCTCAATGAATGCCTCAAGGGGGTCACACAACCGGTTCTGAGACTTGGTGACCATTGTTTGTGTCTGTGTTCAATTTATTTCAAAATTAATATTTAACTTTTCCTCCACAAATTCCCCTGTCTTGATGAATGGGCTCTGTCTAGGCAAAAGGCCTGTCTTTATGAATCAGCTCTGTCTAGACAAAAGGCAAGGTAAAACCCTTGGGCTGTTACACAACCTCCGCCTCCTGGGTTCAAGCGATTCTCTTGCCTCAGCCTCCGGAGTAGCTGGGACTACAAGTGCACACCAGCACACCCAGATAATTTTTTGTATTTTTAGTAGAAATGGGGTTTCACCATGTTGGCCAGGCTGGTCTTGAACTCCTGACTCAAGTTATCCGCCCACCTTGGCCTCCCAAAGTGCTGGAATTAGAGGCGTGAGCCACTGCGCCTGGTTCTAAATGATTTCTATTTCCTGTAACAATTTGAAATTACTTAAAGGTTGTTTCAAATTGAAAAAAAGAATGTAGATAAAATATAAAAAGTTAAAAAAATTACAAGTGATTATGAAATATATGTGTAAATCTCGAGAGGTCAAAAGTGACAAATCTGATTTATATATAAGGTTTTATTAAAATTAGCTTTAGTATTGATAATACACTATTACCAAAGTAAAAGTTGATTTTCTAACAAAAATTTTATGTATTATTAATATGACAGCAAAATACTTCTGTTCACCTTTTGAATACATGCAAAAAGAGAGAGAGTAAAAAAGAGATAGAATTTTCCCTTGCTCTAGGGTGGGCCTGGCTCAGCTCAGGGAGGAAGCCCTGCCTGAAAAGGCTGCAGCTTAGGCTGTTACTCTTTCATCACTCAGCCCAGCATCTGATCACATCCTCTGTCACTCAGGGACTGAGTGGGCGGGGCCTTAAGCATTATCCAATCAGAGACGCTGGGCTGGAAACCGTCCAATCAGGCAGGCAGCTGGAGCAAAGAGGACGGCTTCCGGGTTTGGCGCGGCCTTTGTCTCTCGCTGCATCTGGAGCTCTAGGTCGCCTCTTCGCTACTCTGTGTCCTCTGCTCCTAGAGGCCCACCCTCTGTGGCCCTGTGTCCTGTAGGTATTGGGAGATCCACAGCCAAGATGCCGGGACCCCTTAGAAGCCTAGAAATGGTGAGAGTGCCCATTGGACATCCTGAGAGAGGGGAGGGACTGGTTGATGGGAAGTGGCTGTGGAGGGACTCAGGCCTCCCCGTAGTCAGCTCCACAATCTGCGTCCGGACTTCTCCTTACCCAGCTCGGCCTCAGTCCCCTTCAGCCATAAGATGGTGGCTGCGCTGACAGCCGGTCCCGGGGCGTCCTGTCTCTTCCCTGCGCAGTGACCGTGCCCTGGCCTGGCGCCCTCTCTGTGCAGCAGCTCTCCACCCGCAGCTTCGGGTCTCTCCCAGATGGTGCGGGAACCACGAGAAGGTCATCAGGGGAGAATCTTGACTCGGGGTGCGGGTTCACGATTCGGAAGAGCTTTGGTCCGTGGGGTTCACAGTTTCTCTTTTCTTTTGTTAAAAATTTATGGGGCCGGGCGCGGTGGTTGACGTCTGTAATCCCAGCATTTTGGGAGGCGAAGGCTGGCGGATCACTTGAGGTAAAGGGTTGCTAGGACAACTAAATTCCTCTTCAAAGACTCAACTTCCTGATCAGAAGTTGTAAAAGTTGTAAAACAACCCTACCCCTTTTTCTCCCTTTTCCTTTTCTCGCAAATCGCTCGTTTATCCTATTTGGAAAAAGTTTGGGTCTAAGCCAACCGGGATCAGCTTAGATTGTGCGGTCTGACCCCAGCCAATAGGGGAAGGACACAAAAACAAAAACTACGTTGGGGTTAAAAACCCATTCCTGGTCGGGCGCGGTGGCTCACGCCTGTAATCCCAGCATTTTGAGAGACCTAGGCGGGAGGATCTTGTGGTCAGGAGTTCTAGACCATCCTGGCCAACACCGTGAACCCCGTCTCTACTAAAAATACAAAAATTAGCCAGGTGTGGTGGCAGGCACCTGTAATCCCAGCTACTTGGGAGGCTGAGGCACGAGAATTGGTTGAACCCAGGAGGCGGAGGTTGCAGTGAGCTGAGACCGCGCCATCGTACTTAAGTGTGCGTGACAGAGCAAGACTCCTTCACACACACAAAAGAAGGGCCAGGCGCAGTGGCTCACGCCTGTAATCCCAGCACTTTGGGAGGCCAAGGCAGGCGGATCACCTGAGTTCGGGAGTTCGAGACCGGCCTGACTAACATGGAGAAACCCTGTCTCTATTAAAAATACAAAATTAGCTGGGCTTGGTGGCGCATGCCTGTAATCCCAGCTACTCGGGAGGCTGAGGCAGGAGAGTTGCTTGAACCCGGGAGGAGGAGGTTGCGGTGAGCCGAGATCGTGCCATTGCACTCCAGCCTGGGCAACAACAGCGAAACTCCGTCTCAAAAAAAAAAAAAAGTAAGAATCTTAAAATTTTCTTCCTTTATGTAAACACTGTTTGAGTAATTTCACTGGATTTTTCAAACACTTAGTTTCAAAAACCAAGTGAATAACACTGACATGGAAATTAAAGCTTGAACCTAGTAATTCCAAGCTAAGGCTAATATGAAGTCTGCAAAAGGAGGGGGTTAAAAAAAATTTTTTTTTTTTGAGACAGTCTTGCTTTGTGGCCCAGGCTGGAGTGCAGTGGCGCGATCTCGGCTCACTGCAACCTCCGCCTCCGGGGTTCAAGCAGTTCTCCTGCCTCAGCCTCCCAAGTAGCTGGGACTACAGGCACTCGCCACCACGCCCGGCTAATTTTTGTATTTTTAGCAGAGACGGGGTTTCACCATATTGGCCAGGCTGGTGTCGAACTCCTGACCTTGTGATCCGCCTACCTCAGCCTCCCGAAGTGGTGGGGTTACTACATTTTTTTTATTTTGACATGGAGTTTAGCTCTTATTACCCAGTCTGGAGTGCAATGGTATGATCTCGGCTCACCGCATCCTCTACCTCCTGGGTTCAAGGGATTTTCCTACCTCAGCCTCTGGAGTTACTGGGATTGCAGGCACGCGCCGTCACGCCCGGCTAATTATGTGTGTTTACTAGGGGTTTCTCCATGTTGGTCAGGCTGGTCTCTAACTCCCAACCTCAGGTGATCCATCCGCCTTGGCCTCCCAAAGTGCTGGGATTACATGCTTGCGCCACCGCGCCCGGCCAACAGGAGGTTATTAAAGGCCTAGTTAGTTTTTTCTGGGGAGCCTCGCCTGCAGATGTCCCAGCCTGCTCACCCCACCCATGGAAGGAGCCTTTATCCTGAGAGAAGCTACGGAGCCCTGGAAAGCTGGAGCCCCACAGGTAGTTAAGATTAAGGTGAAAGGAAACTGGGAGGGTCTTACTGATAATAAAGCTATTGTTTTGAGGCACTTTTTAGACTTTTTAAGATAAAAACGTCAGATTTATGTAAAAAAATGAATTAGTATTGGAACAGGAGAAAGTACCAACTAATTATAAGGTCTCTGTGGCTTGCAAAAATGTAGGCAGAAAAGGGCTTTTTTCCTAGGGAGGAGCAAACGAGATTAGAAAAAAGCGGGGAGGGGAATGACAAATGGAGGGTGAAAAAGTCAGATTTTAGCTCAGAGAATGTCTTACCCTGAAATCACCGTGTTCTTAGAAGGGACATAAGATGGGGTTGTATGTTTTTTTTTTTTTTTTTTTTTTGAGACAGTCTCACTCCGTCGCCCAGGCTGGAGTGCAGTGGCGCGATCTCGGCTCACTGCAAGCTCCGCCTCCCGGGTTCACGCCATTCTCCTGCCTCAGCCTCCCGAGTAGCTGGGACTACAGGCGCCCGCCACCACGCCCGGCTAATTTTTTTGTATTTTTAGTAGAGACGGGTTTCACCGTGTTAGCCAGGATGGTCTCGATCTCCTGACCTCTGACCTTGTGATCCGCCCGCCTCGGCCTCCCGAAGTGCTGGGATTACAGGCGTGAGCCACCGCGCCCGGCCAAAATGGGGTGTATGTTGACTCAGACTGAGGGTAGCTCAAAATTCAGGAGCCTGAGGGAGGGAGATAAATAAAGTTTGATTAAGAAATATTTTATTTTAGGCCAGGCGCGATGGCTCACGCTTGTAATCCTAGCACCTTGGGAGGCTGAGGCAGGCCGAACACCTGAGGTCACAGCCTGGCCAACACGGTGAAAACATGGTGTCTACTAAAAATACAAAAATTAGCCAAGCGTCTTGGCAGGTACATGTAATGCCAGCTACTTGGGAGGCTGAGGCAGGAGAATTGCTTGAACCTGGGAGGTGAAGGTTGCAGTGAGCAGTGAGTCAAGATGGTGCCACTGCACTCCAGCCTGGGCAGCAGAGTGAGACTTCATCACAAGAAAAAAAAAAGAAATTTGACCACTGAAGACATATTCAGCTGATTTTTCTAATGAGAAAAAGGAGAAAATGTGCAGTGTATGTCTGGCTGTGTGACAGGTAAGAAAAGAGAGCACCATCTAAGTCATAATGGGAAGGGTGTTTCTGTCCATCAGCTTTTTCTGGAGTACACAACAAATGGAGAATTTTATTAATCACAAATGTTTTCCATGATTATCTATGTGTTTCATCTTTCCTCATGTCTTTTCTTTGTTGTATGCATTTCTTCCTTTTGGCTTTTCCTGGGCTGCATCTTATATATTAAACCGGTAAACATAACTACAGTGTTTTGTTCAGTTCTGTGAATAGCTCTACCAAATTATTGAACTTCAGGAAGGTTTCAGGAGTCCCGAGTTTTCAAACATTAGTTCAAAAGAATAGATGGGCCCATAGGGTTTGTGACTGGCATCTGCAGTGAGGACAATGTTGTGGGACCGAGGGTCTATGCTGACTTTAGGTGCTGTCAGAATTCAAATATTAGGCAATAAGTTTGTGTTGGAGAAATGTTTGATGTTCAGCAAACTCTACAGATATGGTGCCAGTAAAAAGATATCACAGAGGCCTGGCCTGGAACAAAACTCTGGGTGTTTGGGATTGGGAGGCTCCACTCTCCTGTACACAGGCTGTCACACTGCCCATTGTCCTGTGATTCCAGGTCTTCTCCCAGGGTGACAGAGGACTGAAAACTTAGAGAAAAGGAGCTCTGATTACAGACCCCCTTTTATTGCAGCTATCACCACGGTGTTCCCACCCACTCACAAACACACACACTAGACATTAACGTGTCCACACTCCTCCCAGGACTAGGCATCACCCTCAGAAACTTCACCACGGCATTTTTGATCCTAGTGTTTCTTGTGTTTCTTGTCAAGAACCCACAAGTCTCTACAAGTCTACTGGCATGTCTCCACCCCAGACACTGAATCTGCAGCAGCAACCTGTTTTCTCCACCATCCTAGGATCTGGGCCACATGTTTATAATTTCATCTGCCTACATGCACACAGAAATAAATCAGAGTACAGCCCCACCTGGGCCACTATCTGTAGTGAAAATCATTCCATTCACCTACATTGCACTCTCTCCCACCCAGGAATTATTTTTTTTCTTTTAGCTTTTATTTTTGGTTCGATGTACACATGTGGGTTTGTTATACAGTTAAAATTATGTCATGGGGATTTGTTGTGCAGATTATTTTGTCACTGAGGTACTACCCATAGCACCAAACAGGTGTGTTTTCTGATCCTCTTAGTCCTCACACCCTCCACCCTCAACTAGGCCTCAGTGTCTGTTGTTCTCCTCTTTGTGTTCATGTGTTCTTATTATTTAGCTCTTAATAACATGCATTTGGTTTTCTGTTTCTACGTTAGTTTCCTTTTTTTTTTTTCCTTTCATTTTGTTTTGTCTTTTGAGCTGGACTTTTGCTCTTGTTGTCCAGGCTGGAGTGCAATGGTGCAACCTCGGCTCACCACAACCTCAACTTCCTGGTTCAAGTGATTCTCCTGCCTCAGCCTCCCAAGTAGCTGGGATTACAAGCATGCACCACCATGTCTAGCTAATTTTGTACTTTTAGTAGAGACAGGATTTCTCCACGTGGGTCAGGCTGATCATAAAGTTCCAACCTCAGGTGATTACCCGGCCTCAGCCTCCCAAAGTGTTGGGATTACAGGTGTGAGCCACTGCACCTAGCTTTTGCCTACTTTTTTTTTTTGAGAGAGAGTTTTGCTCTTGTTGCCCAGACTGGATTGCAATAGCGTAATCTTGACCAACTGCAACCTTCACCTTCGAGTGATTCTCCTGCCTCAGCCTCCTGAGTAGCTGGGATTACAGGCACCTGCACCACTCCCAGCTAATTTTTTGTACTTTTAGTAGAAAGGGGGTTTCACCATGTTGGCCAGGCTGGTTTTGAACTCCTGTCCTCAAGTGTTCTGCCTGCCTTGGCTTTCCAAAGTGCTGGGATTACATGCATGAGCCACCATGCCCGGCCTGCCTACTTTTTAATGAGGTTGTTTGTTTTTTTCTTGTAAACTTGTTTAAGTTCTTTTTTTTTTTTTGTGAGATGGAGTCGCTTAGACTGGAGTGCAGTGGCACTATCTCGGCTCACTGCAACCTCTGCCTCCTGGGTTGGAGTGATTCTCCTGCCTCAGCCTTCTGAGTAGCTGGGATTACAGACATGTGCCACCACCACACCCTGCTAATTTTTGTATTTTTAGTAGAGACGAGGTTTCACCCTGTTGGTCAGGCTGGTCTTGAACTCCTGACCTCGTGATACACCCGCCTTGGCCTCCCAAAGTGCTGGGATTACAGTCATGAGTCACCACGCCCAGCCAAGTTCTTAATAAATTCTGGATATTAGGCCTTTGTCAGAGGCAAAGTTTGTAAATATTTTTGTTTATTTTGTAGATTGTTTACTCTGTTGATAGTTTCCTTTGCTGTAAAGAAGCTCTGAAGTTCAAATAGGTCTCATTTGTCAATTTTTGCTTTTGTTGCAGTTGCTTTGGGTAGCTTCCTCATGAAGTCTTTGCCAGTTTCTGTGTCTAGAATGGTATTTCCTAGGTTATCTTGCAGGGTTTCTCATAATTTTGTTTTACATTTAAGTCTTTAATTTATCTTGAGTTGATTTTTGCATATGGTGTAACGAAGGGGTCCAGCTTTAGTCTTCTAAAAAATGCTGGCTAGTTATTCTAGCACCATTTATTAAAGAGAGAATCCTTCCCACATTTCTCTTGTCAGCTTTGTCAAAAATCTGATGATTATAGGAGGGTGACATTATTTCTGGGCTCTCTATTCTATTTCATTGGTCTTGTGCACTCATGGATTTTATATAACATCTTTCTCTCTTCTGGTTTTAACCCCACTAACGTTCTTTCAAGCGCATACAGTATGCAAAACTCAGGTGTCCAAGAGTTCAAAACTCCTTAAAAACTTCCAAAAAAAGGCCAGGTGTGGTGGCTCATGCCTGTAATCCCAGCACTTTTGGAGGCTGAGGTGGGTGGATCACGAGGTCAGGAGATAGAGATCATCCTGGCTAACATAGTGATACCCATCTCTACTAAAAATACAAAAAAAAATTAGTCAGGCGTGGTGGCGGGCGCCTGTAGTCCCAGCTACTTGGGAGGCTGAGGCAGGAGAATGGCGTGAACATGGGAGGTGGGGCTTGCAGTGAGCTGAGATAGTGCCACTGCACTCCAGCCTGGGGGACAGAGCGAGACTCCGTCTCAAAAAAAAAAAAACTTCCAAAAAAATTTTTGCCATTGTCTCATTTCTTAAGGGATTTAGATTATATATAGTTATTTTTCTCTGATTTTTAAAAATATATGTAAATTATATTAACAGCTAAATACCTTTTGTCTTTTTTCTGACTCCAGATTATCTAGAACTTCAGATTTATTGCTTTGTTTTTGGTTCCAAAAAGTTTATTTTTTAATTTTTAGTCCTTTAAATAGACACAGATTTATTTAGATAAAAGCTAATTTTAAGGGCACACAGAAGCTTAGCACAAAGATAGGATCAAATTTAGCAATACATAATGGTAAACATTAAAAGATACTATGTTTCTTTGACAGAAACCAGATTATCCAAGGAAATTATCCAATATTTGCAGGCTGAAGTACTTATACTGCAAAAAGAAGAACAGTTCAGTGCGTAAACTGAACAGTGGAGTCTGTAGTTGTGCCTGGCTTTCTATTTATTACTTCAGAATAATTAGCATAGTTATGTGTAATGTTTGTAGACAAGCTGCATTTATATACATTTAACAGTATTTTGTTTTTCTTTCTTTCTTTCTTCTTTTTTTTTTTTGAGAGAGTCTCTGTTGCCCAAGCTGCAGTGCAGTGGCATGATCTCATCTCACTGCAACTGCTGCCTCCCGGGTTCAAGCGATTCTCCTGCCTCAGCCTTCCGAGTAGCTGGGATTACAGGCATGCATCACTGTTCCTGGCTAAGTTTTTGTATTTATAGTAGAGATGGTTGTCACCATGTTCGCCAGTTTGATCTTGAACTTTTCACCTCAGGTGATCCACCCATTTCAGCTTCCCATAGTGCTAAGATTACAGGTGTGAGCCATAAACAGTATTTTCTAAAATAGTATGAATATAAAGCCACAATACTTACTTTGAATGAATCACTTAAATGGTTATTTTAATATTGTAATTTATACTTTTGAAATATAGTGTTTTGGCTGAAGTATAGTTTTAATTATTAAAAATGCTACATATATTATGACTAGTGAGTAAACACAATTTTAGTGTCTTTTATTTCATTAAATTGGTATGCTGCTATTACAGGACAAATAAAGACATGTGATGTGGCCACCCAAAAACCATAATAGCTCTTCAGTTTGCTATGTTGCAAGTTCTAATATATTCCACTATATGAACATAGTCAGATTCTATTTCTTCATCAAAAAGTGTTGTTGGAAGTTGTCAGATGTATTTCAATATAGAACCTCCATTCAATGGCTAGGAGATGACAGAACAGCAGAGATGGGAAAGAAACTTTATAAAAATTCTTCTGAAAATCTGCCACCTTTCTTCATAATGCTCATGTTTCTCTTGCTGAGAGTAGCTGTGCGCTTTGGGTGTTTAGAGAGAAATTGCTTTTAGGAGAATATTTTCTGGCAGACATGATCAATTTTATATCTAATCTGAGCTTTTTCCTAATATCATTTTAACTTTTTTCTCTCCAGTGCTTTGGGTGTCTGTTTCAGAAGCCCTATTAATTTTTTTTTTTTTTTTTTTATTGATCATTCTTGGGTGTTTCTCGCAGAGGGGGATTTGGCAGGGTCATAGGACAACAGTGGAGGGAAGGTCAGCAGATAAACAAGTGAACAAAGGTCTCTGGTTTTCCTAGGCAGAGGACCCTGCGGCCTTCCGCAGTGTTTGTGTCCCTGGGTACTTGAGATTAGGGAGTGGTGATGACTCTTAATGAGCATGCTGCCTTCAAGCATCTGTTTAACAAAGCACATCTTGCACCGCCCTTAATCCATTTAACACTGAGTGGACACAGCACATGTTTCAGAGAGCACAGGGTTGGGGGTAAGGTCAGAGATCAACAGGATCCCAAGGCAGAAGAATTTTTCTTAGTACAGACCAAAATGAAAAGTCTCCCATGTCTACTTCTTTCTACACAGACACGGCAACCATCCGATTTCTCAGTCTTTTCCGCACCTTTCCCCCCTTTCTATTCCACAAAACAGCCATTGTCATCATGGCCCGTTCTCAATGAGCTGTTGGGTACACCTCCCAGATGGGGTGGTGGCCGGGCAGAGGGGCTCCTCACTTCCCAGTAGGGGCGGCTGGGCAGAGGCGCCCCTCACCTCCCGGATGGGGCGGCTGGCCGGGCAGGGGACTGACCCCACCTCCCTCCCGGACGGGGCGGCTGGCCTGGCGGGGGCTGACCCCCACCTCCCTCCCGGACGGGGTGGCTGCCGGGCGGAGATGCTACTCACTTCCCAGATGGGGCGGCTGCCAGGCAGAGGGTCTCCTCACCTCTCAGATGGGGCGGCCAGGCAGAGACGCTCCTCACCTCCCAGACGGGGTCGCGGCTGGGCAGAGGCGCTCCTCATATCCCAGACGGGGCAGCGGGGCAGAGGCGCTCCCCACATCTCATACGATGGGCGGCCGGGCAGAGACGCTCCTTGCTTCCTAGATGGGATGGTGGCTGGGAAGAGGTGCTCGTCACTTCCTAGATGGGATGGCGGCCGGGCAGAGACCCTCCTCACTTTCAGACTGGGCAGCCAGGCAGAGGGGCCCCTCACATCCCAGACGATGGGCGGCCAGGCAGAGACGCTCCTCACTTCCCAGACGGGGTGGCGGCCGGGCAGAGGCTGCAATCTCGGTACTTTGGGAGGCCAAGGCAGGCGGCTGGGAGGTGGAGGTTGTAGCCAGCTGAGATCACGCCACTGCACTCCAGCCTGGGCAACATTGAGCACTGAGTGAACGAGACTCCGTCTGCAATCCCGGCACCTCAGGAGGCCGAGGCTGGCGGATCACTCGCGGTTAGGAGCTGGAGACCAGCCCGGCCAACACAGCGAAACCCCGTCTCCACCAAAAAAGTACGAAAACCAGTCAGGCGTGGCGGCGCGCACCTGCAATCGCAGGCACTCGGCAGGCTGAGGCAGGAGAATCAGGCAGGGAGGTTGCAGTGAGCCGAGATGGCAGCAGTACAGTCCAGCTTCGGCTCGGCATCAGAGGGAGACTGTGGGGAGAGGGAGAGGGACAGGGAGAGGGAGAGTCGAAGCCCTATTAATTAATCCCATGATTTCTGATTAAGCTAGGCTGTCACAGTGAGAACTTTTGGAGCTATCTCTATCTGGACTCATGCTGGAAATTCAGCAGTATTTTTTCCTTGTCACCATTATAAGTAGAAACTGAGGTTGAAACACTGCTCTCATTTTCATTATTGTGAATGTGTAATTCTACCCAGGAGGCCTGCAGGCTCTCCTCCTGCAGCTCAGGCCTCACTCTCTGATGTGACACTAGAGTGCTGCTGTGGCAAATGGGGTTCATATAAAATGTGAGCTGTGCTCTGGGCTGTGCCTCAGTGGCAGATGGTAGAGGTCAAGAGAGCATACTAGCAACCAGGAGAAAGCAAGCAGGAGTGCTGTAGCCCACTGCCAGTGAGTACAGAGCCACTCCTCTAAACTGTAACTAGCCAAAATATAGAACACTATTCAACCATTTTTGTAGCAGAGTGAAATCTTAGCTTCAGCAGGTACCTGACTTCAAGCTGCTAAAATAACTCCTGTTATGAAGATGTGAAAAGTTTATTTGTCATTGAATATAAGCAATTAGCATACACAGATGGCCTCTTCAATTTCCAGGTAGATTTAAGATGAACGATGTATGACATGGTGCTTTAAATTCTTCTACTTATGGACTAATTATGTTGACCATCTTTCTGTCATTGCAGTCTCTTAAGCAGATGGACTATGATGCATGTCACATTCAAGTTTAATTGTAAAATAAAAACGTTTGTTTTTTGAGATGGAGTTTCACTCTTATTGCCCAGGCTGGAGTGCAATGGTGCGATCTCAGCTCACTAACCCCGCCTCCCAGGTTCAAGTGATTCTCCTGCCTTAGCCTCCCTAGTAGCTGGGATTGCAGGCATGTGCCACCATGCCTGGTTAATTTTTGTATTTTTTAGTAGAGAGGGGGTTTGTCAGTGTTGGCCAGGCTGGTCTCAAACTCTTGACCTCAGGTGATCCACCCGCCTCGGCCTCCCAAAGTGCTGGGATTACAGGCACGAGCCACCACACCCAGCCAAAACGTTTTCTTTCTGTTCTATTATTGTGGAGTTTTTCTGGGGCTGTAAACATTTGTTCTTTTTTTTTGAGACGAAGTCTCTCATCCCCCAGGCTGGAGTGTGATGGCGCAAACTTGGCTCGCTGCAACCTCTGCCTCCTGGGTTCAAGAGATTCTCCTGCCTCGGCCCTTTGAGTAGCTGGGATTACAGGTGCCTGCCACCAGGCCCGGCTAATTTTTTTTTTGTATTTTTAGTAGAGATGGGTTTTACCATGTTGGCCAGGCTGGTCTAGAACTCTTGACCTCAGGTGATCCACCCGCCTAGGCCTCCCAAAGTCCTGGGATTATAGACATGAGCCACCATGTCCAGCGAAGAAAATTGTTCTTCTCTTTTTTTTCTTTTTGAGACAAAGTCTCACTCTGTCACCCAGGCTGGAGTGTGCTGTGGTGCCTTCTCGGCTCACTGCAAGCTCCACCTCCTGGGTTCATGCCATTCTCCTGCCTCAGCCTCCTGAATAGCTGGGACTACAGGCTCCCACCACCACACCTGGCTAATTTTTTGTATTTTTAGTAGAGATGGGGTTTCACTGTGTTAGTTAGATGGTCTCGATCTCCTGACCTCATGATCTGCCTGTCTCGGCCTCCCAAAGTGCTGGGATTACAGGTGTGAGCCACCGCGCCTGGCCAAAGAAAATTGTTCTTCTAATTATTGTTTCCAAACACTGTCTAGAATTACCAGACATGATATAAACACATAAGGTGCCAACCAGAATTTAGCAAGGCCTTTCCCTGTCAGGCTTCCAGTCAATTCACACTTGTGCAGCAAAGTGCATGCTGTCCCCTAAATATGCAGGCAGAATTGTGTCTCTATTTGTTATCTATAGTCCTGTACATTCACTTCTAGAGAGGCTAGATCAGATTTCTACAAATTTCATAGGGCAGCAATCAATCATTTTATCTCTTTCAATGACTCCTGTATCTTCAGACTTGAAACAGATTCAGAGACCATGGGGCCCACAAACCCAGTTAGAGTAACATGTGTGCATTGAGTAGACATGTTGACAAGAGAATCTCCACTTTCACCTTCCTCCTCTTGCTAAAATGCTCACAAATGTGCAGGTAACACCTGCTGCTCCTCCTGCCATTCAGGCCCTAAATCTACAGCTCTATATTTTGAATCCAGATCTTGAGATTTGGGAAATAAAAAACTTTTGTCTAAATAAAGCAGGTTCTTTTGGTTATCAAACTCAGAGACATGTTAAAATGAAAGTGCAGTTATGTCTTTCTCCCACTTTGAACGATGTATTCATCTATTGAAACTGTTCACTATTGGCACAAGTGACTATAAATTAAACTAATGATGCCACATTGGACACTATCCCATGCCCTAAAACATAATGATAGATATCTAATCAATAATCAATGTTATTTATGTAAATAAATAAAAACTTTTGACAAACAACTCTGCATCAGCCCACTTTCTGTCCCTGTCTTGTCTTGACATATCTTCCTGTAAATACTACTAATCAAAGTGTAGATTCCAGGCAACTTGAATCTTTGCTCCCAGGTTATAACCCTTAAGCTTGACCCAAATAAACTGTCTACTTATATTCATGTTATGTCACCTTTTTTTTAAATGTAGACTTATTATTTAGAATGTGTTAGAGCAGCCTCTATGAGAGCTCTCTTTTGACTGTACTCCACTTGGTGTAACACAAAAGGATGCAGAGCCAAGTTGATCCTACCTAGAATTTGCAGATAAGGTCTGCCCTCTGCCTGGGATTTAAAAAAAAAAGCCAGACTTTGGATAGAGAATGTACAGAAAATTAACAAAAGTCATTTTCTGCATTGTAAGTTGTCAAGATAGATATCTTACAGGCCCCATTTGGGAGTGTGGCATTTTGAGATTTTTCACATCTTGTTCATTGGCCTGCTACAGTGATGTGAGAGGCTCCAGGAGGAAATAGAATCTGATGGCAGAATCTGTAAGTGTAAATAATCATCTTAGGAGTGAGAGATCAAGGCCACAAAGTATCCAGAGCCTTGATCACAACTATAATTACCTGTAAAATGTGATACTGGAGTAGAGTATTTTTGTTTCTTTCTCTCATCCAAGAGCTAGCAAATCAGGACAGATGATGTAGGTTCTGGAGCTCCACCAAGGCAGTTGTTTTCTATTCAGAATCAGCCTGAGTTTCTCCAGATGGCTTATCATTGGGCCAACAGCCCTGGTTCACCAGGAATTCCCTCACAATCACCTAGGTGTCTTTGAGGCATTTGAGGATGTCCAGAGCAGAATTGTGTTAGGCTGACAAGAGTGGTTAATTCTGCTTCTGTCTCAGTGTAAGAGAAATGAGTCATCCTGTGTTCATTCATGCCCTCATACAAGAGGTGCCTTTTTTGGTACCCAGATCAGAGTTTCTCCAGTTTCCTGGTACTTGGATGATAAACAAGGAGGAGATCTGGAGACCCAAATAGATAAACTAGTTGCTTCCATTTCATATGGCCATTAAAAAAATACGTGAAGCAGTCATGGTTCCTACAGTCCAGAAACTTTTAGTCTAGACCAGCAACTGGATAAATAATTGAATTGTGCATTGTATGGTTGGCACAATATATAGATGTGTCCAGAACCTTGGGTTTTATTTAGGCCACTTTATGCCGTTATGACTTCTGAATTGTACACCTGAAGGGATATTTATGAATAGAATAATTGTTATTATAATTTTTTTTCTTTAGTCAGAATCTCACTGTGTTACCCAGGCATGAGTGCAGTGACATGATCTTGGCTCACCGCAATTTCTGCCACTTGGGTTCAAGCGATTCTCCTGCCTCAGCCTCCAAAGTAGCTGGGATTGCTGGCCCCAGCCACTGTGGTCAGGCTGGTCTTGAACTCCTGACCTCGTGATCCACCCACCTTGGCCTCACAAAGTGTTGGGATTACAGGTGTAAGGCAGTGCACCCAGCTGTATAATTTCTACTTTTTTTTACCTTCTAAAGTGTACATATTGATTTTCTAATAAAATTACCCTAGAAAACCTTAAGGGATTTGTTTAAATTGTGTATTAGTATATAGTATAAAGTTGACAGGGCAGTGGCTAGAAAAATTAAAATTATAGGAACTCTGGGATTTAAGTTTCTTTTAGGTAAGCTTAGAAGAAACAAAACTGGAAGTACCCCAGTGGCATAGAGAACAGAATTCTACATAAGTCCTCACACTGCCTGAGACCTGATCAGATTCATGCTTTTTGGAGGCGTTATTTAGGTCTGACCCTACCCTGGAGTCTTGCCTCACAGGACTGATTAGTAGAGATCAGAGTTTTGGCTGGTGAATCCTGCTGCCTTTCTAGAGCTGGTGCTCACAATTCCCTGAATCCCAAAAGCAGATGAAAGGGAAAAATAGTCCGGGCGCGGTGGCTCACGCCTGTAATCCCAGCACTTTGGGAGGCCAAGGCGGGCAGATCATGAGGTCAGGAAATCGAGACCATCCTGGCTAACACGGTGAAACCCCACCTCTACTAAGAATACAAAAAATTAGCTGGGTGTGGTGGTGGGCGCCTGTAGTCCCAGCTACTGAGGAGGCTGAGGCAGGAGAATGGCGTGAACCCAGGAGGCGGAGCTTGCAGTGAGCCCAGATCGCGCCACTGCACTCCAGCCTGGGTGGCAGCGAGACTCCATCTCAAAAAACAAAAAAAAAAAAAGGGAAAAATAAAGTACGTATTTTAGGGTCTTAGTTTTTAAATTTTCTGTTAAAGCCAGTGTTTGCAGAGACATTCTATTTAGCAACTTGTTTTCTATTCTTGCAGATCCAGTAGTTGCTCCACAAGTCACAGAAAAGTAAATATGAACAGAATAAAATTTTCTCTAAATTACATTAAATTATTCCTTTCTATCTCTTTCATCTGTCTATATTTTGCTTTTACAGTGTTTTAAAAAAATTCATGACAGAGAAACAGAAGAAGAAATAAAAATGCCGCACCCTTTACCTAAATCCTAAAGTTTATTAAACACTTAGTACCAGCTTTCAGGGTGTTATGAGAATTAAATCACAGAATGTGCTATGCCCAGCACAGTGCTCTGTATCATTCTCTTGAGCACAAAGTACCTGCTTAATAAACATTGCATTAGTACTTGTGTACATGTTGTTTTTTAAATACAGACTTACTCTGTCATTTCTGCCTTCAGTTTCCTCTATAAACTTTAAAGAGCCAGCGAAGCATATAAAACTTTAGGGTGGAGATGCGTTGTCCCTATTTGTATCAGAAGTATTTGGTTGTGAAAAGAGTGCTAAATGTAAGGGACCCTGTGCTGTTCCTGCTTTCTCTAACTAATGCTAATAATGAGCCAAGGGGAAGCAACTTCAGCATTGACAGGGGACTTGTTTAAAACACCCATTCATGGACCCTTTTCAAGCCTCCAGAATCACATTACATAAAGTGGACCCAAAATTACCAAGTGATTTATAAGCCCATTAAAGCTTGAGAGGCAATGCTTAGCTTAGTGATTACCAGCCCAGGCTTTTCCTTAGGAACACATGGCCAATTTGCAGAAACCTCTTGTGCCCTCCCCACAGCTTCTGTTTGTTCTGCATGGAAGCACTTATGTTGTTTTAATGAAGGGTCTCATGTGACTCTAAGGTGAGGCCAGAATCAAGTATGAGCACTTCAAAATACAATACAAAGGAGTTAAGTTCCACCTTTGCACTAAAGGGTGGTCACAGGGCCTGTTCTGTTTGGGTTTGGTACAGACAGGTCAGTGTGGTGCATAATTCCATTACTGGAAATTGCTGGTGTCTGTGGCAGGGAGGGCACCTGAGGACAGGAAATGAGAAACTTATATTTCTATCTTCATGGAGCAATTCATTGTTCCCTGAATCTCTTCTGTTTCAAAGGACAGAAATAGGTGGGCTTTTTCTGTCATTTTGCCAGTTGATGTCATGCCAGCAGGTAATCATGTGTTACTGATACCTTTAAAGGCATGTTCTCAAGATGCAGGTGTAATTTTTCCAGAGAATCTCATCTGAGAAGGAATTCCAGAGGAGGAGGAGGAGAAAAAAAAGTGGCTCTTCTTAAGGTAAACGTGTCTCAGATGAAGAGCTGTGTCCACTCTGCCTCCTGGACCCCCATGAGTTTAGTACTCACAAACCTTTACTTCTCTACTTGTGTTTTCCCTCCCTGAGTTTGGTTTTACTACTTAAAATTCTTATGATAGTCAAGGGTCTCTGAAAAATATTTCTTTCCTATATCCCAGAGCTTTCTCTGCATTCTCTATGTCATAGCTTCTTATATGCCATGCAGAATTCTCAGCAAGAATTTGTAATCTGCAATATTAAAAATGTTCCCTTTGTGGCTGTTGAACATGGAAAGATGTGGATACTCAAGATTTCTGTTGGGGAAAATTGTGGTCCTTAGTATAGATGAAGAACATGTAATGTTGAGGCTTCATCTGTATGTTCCATTAGCTCTATGCAGAACAGGATTAAGAAAATGCTTTTTTATATGGAATGGCATTTATTATCCAGAAAGTTCTGAAAGAAATTATTAGGAGATACCTGCTCTCTTGGGTGCTAAATGAAGCCTACTTAAAATTACTACTAAAAATTACAGAACATAGGAGTTATCAAAAACTTTGAAGTTAGCATAAAACATGTTTCTTTATGGTTAAATTCAGATTTTATTTACTTTCTTTGGGAGGAATATTTCAACAGTGATGCTGTGTTCTTCTGTGTGAATTAGGACATCATAAAAATTTATCGTAGTGCAGTTAATGGTTAATGATTCAGTTGGTGAAATAGCTCTCTGACAGATTTTTTTCACTATAGAGATAATTATTTTTCTATTCATTATTATGTTTATGCAGCTGATATGCATAAACCTCACATTAAATCTGGCAGCTTTCTTTTTTAAACATATTTTTCTTAGGGAAATGAAGCCTCTTATCTTTGTTTACAGGCTAGAAAATCTGAAAAAAACACAGGCTCTTGCACTTACTGCATTTGACAAAATATCATTTTTGGGACAAAAACATTAACATTATTGGTGAGCTTGTTAGAAATTCAAAAAATCAGACTTTATGCCAGATCTTTTGGAAAAAAAAATCCTGCATAAGAAGGACTTCAGCTTATTGTACATGTTAAAATTGGAGAGATGACTTCTAACTCAACATGTCTTTTCTGTCTGAAAAATATTCATAACTGATTCTGTATGATGTAAATATAGCACTCAAAAATGTACATGTTCATGTTCATGCCCTTTATTTTATACTTTATTATCTAGAAAAATATCATTATATGAACTAATGTTGTGGATCTTAGGCTGCTCTTTTTTTTCAGAGATAGAGAATACATTAGAAAATATTTCTGTATTGAAAATTATTTTATTGGATAATTTTAGTCAATCCTATAAGTAAGAATCAGTTCTCTTACTCTCTCATTTCACCTTAAATTAAAAATTCCACCAACGGCGACTTGGTGAAAATGTGTGTGTGTGTGTGTTTTTCAGGAATCATTGCAATTTAGAGATGTGGCTGTAGAATTCTCTCTGGAGGAGTGGCATTGCCTGGACACTGCACAGCAGAATTTATATAGGGATGTGATGTTAGAGAACTACAGACACCTGGTCTTCCTTGGTGAGGATAACTTAAATACATAATTCATAAAAAACCCCAAAAGTTTTATTTCTCTTTTTTGCAGAATGATTTTAGTAATTTATCCTTTGCATAAAAGAGTTCCAGATGTCCTTTTTCCAGAAAATCTTCAGAATTTGTTTATTTAGAAAAGAATTTCTTCAAGATGTTTCATCTTAATCCAAACTTTCCACATTGCTGAGTTGAGCTTTATTCTTCACTCTAAATTAGTGGTAATTTCAGAAATTTAGTGGCATAAAATAGTGTTGCCCTCAGCTGAAAATCTCATTGCCACCATCAGTTTTTGATTCAGTAGTATCAGGTAGTAAATTTAAAAAGCCTTCATGCAGGGCCAGGCGCAGTGGCTCATACCTGTAATTCCAGCACTTTGGGAGGCTGAGACGGGCAGATCACCTGAAGTTGGGAGTTTGAGACCAGCCTGACCAACATGGAGAAACCCCGCCTATACTAAAAATACAAAATTAGTCGTTTATGGTGGCATAGTCCTGTAATCCCAGCTACTCCGGAGGCTGAGGCAGGAGATTCCCTTGAACACAGGAGGCAGAGGTTTTGGTGAGCCGAGACTGAGCCATTGCACTCTAGCCTGGGCAAGAAGAGCAAATACCACTCTAATTTTGATAGGAAGTTTATTGAATCTATAGATCACTTTGGATAATGTGGCAATTTAAAAATCTATTTGGATCTTCTCTTCGTAGATTTTTATTGTAAAGATTTTTTACCTTCTTAGTAATTTTTTAAAGAAATTTATTATTTAATGGTATAGTAAATAAGATTTTTTCTTTCTCTATTTTATCAGATAGTTTAAGTGTTTGAGACCATACATATACTTGTATGTTAATTTTATGTTTTGCTAATTTGCTGAGTGTATTTGTCAGTTTAGAAAGGTTTTAAGGTATTGTTTATGTTTTTTTTTTTTTTTTTTTTTTTTGAGATGGAGTCTCGCTCTGTTGCCCAGGCTGGAGTGCAATGGCATGATCTCAGCTCACTGCAACCTCTGCCTCCTGGGTTCAAGCAATTCTCCTGTCTGAGCCTCCTGAGTAGCTGGTACTACTACAGGCACGTGCCGCTGCACCCAGCTTTTTGTATTTTAGTAGAAATGGGGTTTCACCATGTTGGCCAGGCTGGTCTCAAACTCCTGACCTTGTGATCCACCCATCTTGGCCTCCCAGAGTGCTAGGATTAGAGGTGTGAGCCACTGCAACTGGCCCTATTTATGGTTTTTAAAGTACTGCTTAATGTTTTTTAAATATAAGATTGTATGATCTATAAACAGCAACTTTTTACTTATTTTACTCCATCTCCAAAAAAAAAAAAAAGAAACCTTAAAGTTGAAAGTATTTTCTAAATATTTAGAAATTTGTTATGAATTAGTATTTTGGTATTAATTTACTAGAATATTTTATTACATTCTTTCTGCTGAGCACATTACTAGCTTGTAATTGAGAAATATAAGCAAGATTAATGCTATTTATTTTTAATGAAACAGGTATTATTGTCTCTAAGCCAGACCTGATCACCTGTCTGGAGCAAGGAATAAAACCTCTGACTATGAAGAGACATGAGATGATTGCCAAACCCCCAGGTAGGTGCGAATGAAAATGAACACAACAGACAATGCAGATAAGAGGTCCCAAGGTCAAAAAGAAAGCCAGTCCTTAAAATGTGATCTGGGAAGCTGTGTTCCAAAGGAAATAGTTCCTGGGCAGCTGTTTTATTTATTTATTTATTTATTTAATTTTTCTCTCACAAAGGGACATCTGTCTCATGCTTTTAAATTCTCTAAGGATTCTACTATTCTTTCGGTGAGCTTCCTTCAAGTTCACAGTGAGAGCGAAATTCCTCTTTATGGCATATAAGTGATTGCACAATCTGGCTGCTTTTCCGTTGCCTTGGGGACACACAAATATCTGCGTGATTTTGAGAAACTAAAACCCTTTTTTAAGTTGTCTTTTTGCTTCAGATCTGAAATGTGTGACAGTATTAGTTTTTGTTGCATTTTTTGTTCATTTTTTCTGCACAGTCCATTCTGTTTTTATTACTATATAGTCTTGAAATATAGTTTGAAATTATAAGTATGATATCCTTCTGCTTTGATCTTTTTCCTCAAGATTGCTTTGGCTATCAAAGTTATTTTAGTATCACGTAACTTTTAGAAATGTATTTTCCATTACTATGAAAAAAATACCACTGCAATTTTGATAGGAGGTTTATTGAATCTATAGATCACTCTGGTTAATACGGCAATTTTAAAATTTATTTGGATCTTCTCTAATATTTTCATAGGTTTTTTTTTTTTTTTTTGAGAAGGAGTCTTGCTCTGTTGCCCAGGCTGGAGTGCAGTGGTGTGATCTTGGTTCACTGCAAACTCTGCCTCCTGGGTTCAAGCAATTCTCTGCCTCAGCCTCCTGTGTAGCTGAGATTACAGGTGCATACAACCATGCCTGGCTAATTTTTTTTGTATTTTTTGTAGAGAGGGGTTTCACCATGTTGGCCAGGCTGGTCTTGAACTCCTGACCTTGTGATCCACCCACCTCAGCCTCCCAAAGTGCTGGGATTACAGGCATGAGCCACCCCGCCCGGCCCATAGTTTTTTTATTGTAAAGATTTTTTTACCTCCTTGGTTTTTTTCTAAGAAGTTTATTACTTAATGCTATAGTAAATAAGATTTTTTTCTTCCTCTATTTTATCAGTTTGTTTTAAGTGTATGAGACCATACATACACTTGTATGTTAATTTTATATTTTGCTAATTTACTGAGTGTATTTATCACTTCAGACAGGTTTTAATGTACTATTTATTGATTTTTAAATACAAGATTATACGATCTACAAACAGCGACTTTTTACTTATTTTTCTTTAATTTCAATGGATTTTTTTATTTCTTTGACTAATTCTTCTGCCACATGCTTCCAGTGCTACATTAAAATAGAAGCATTGACAATGGGCACAATATAGTTTTGTATTGGTGCCTAAATTTGATGGAGCAAACACCTCTTCAAGTTTTTTTTTTTTTTTTTTTTTGAGAGAGTCTCACTCTGTTGCCCAGGCTGCAGTGCAGTGGTGCAGTCTCAGCTCACTGCAACCTCCACCTCCCGGGTTCACGCCATTCTCCTGCCTCAGCCTCCCGAGTAGCTGGGACTACAGGCGCCCACCACCACACCCGGCTAATTTTTTAAAAATTTTTATTAGAGACAGGGTTTCACCGTGTTAGCCAGGATGGTCTCGATCTCCTGACCTCGTGATCCATCCGCCTCGGCCTCCCAAAGTGCTGGGATTACAGGTGTGAGCCACCACGCCTGGCCTTCAAGTTTTTATAAACTGATTTTAGAAGGTAAAGATCTTTTGTTGGGCCCTTAGGGTGATGAGATGCCCTCTGAATTTGTAGTGGAGAGGGGGTGTAGCTTGGTGACAAGGCTGCTGGGTCTGCACTAGGGTCCACCTTTAGTTGGCTTGTTACAGGGGCTTGGGTAGTTGTACTTCTCATTTTATTTTTGGACAGACTGCATATCCTTCAGGGCTTTGCTCCGTAGTTAAAACACTAGGGTATGTTTTTGTAGTCAGGTCTGCATATGGTGGGCCTTATATCTGGATATTGATGAGTATGGCTTTTATTGAGTATCAGAGAGCATTCCCTCAGATAACTGTGGGTTTCTATATAGGCAGAACTGACCATAAACTATCTTGTTTAAGTGAGTAGTCATGGAGATAGTCTTTTTTTTCACCATGTGTTTAATGATGAATATATATTTCCTTTTGTGAGAGAAATACTTGTTTGATTTGAAGGTAATTTTCAAAAAGATTTATAATTCTGGATTTTTTTTCAGTTTTTCTTTAAAAAAATTGTTTTAAAAACACATAACATAAAATTTACCATCTTAATTCAAGTGTACATTTTCAGGGCCAGGCATGGTTGTGGCTCCCATCTGTAATCCCAGGATTTTGGGAGGCCAACACAGGAGGATCCCTGGAGCCCAAAAGTTTGAGACCAGCCTGGGAAAGATATGGAGACCCCTCTTTATAAAAATAATTTAATAATTGCCAGGCATGGTGGTATGCAGCTGTGGTACCTGCTACTTGGGAGATGGAGGGGGAGTCAAAATTGTGCCACTACACTCCAGCTTGAATGACAGAGTGAGACCCTGTCTCCAAAAAACAAAAAAAAGCTGTTCATTTCAGGCATGTTAAGTATATTCTCATTGTTATGTAAAATACTTCTAGACACTTTACATCTTGTAAAACTAAAACTCAATACCCATTAAATAACAACTGCTCATTTTACCCTCTCTCACCCTCGACAGACAAACCTTCCACTTTCTGTTTTATGATTTGACTACTTAAGATATCCATAATTTTGTTACTGGATTAATTCAAGTGACATAATATTCTCAATGTTCATCTTAAAATGTGACAAGATTATTCTTTTTAAGATGGAATAATATTCCATTGTATGTATATGTTACATATTTTGATGTGTTTATAAATCAAGAGACATCTGGGTTGCTTCAACCTTTTGGCTTTTGTGAATACTGGTGCAATAAACATGGATTTTCAAATATGTCTTCCAGGTCCTGTGTTGCTTTTCTTTTTTTCTAGAGATGGATTCTCACTCTGTCACCCAGGCTGAAGTGCAGTGGTGTGATATCAGCTCACTGAAACCTCTGCCTCCTGGGTTCAAGCAATTCTGCTTCAGCCTCCCAAGTAGCTGTGATTACAGGTGCCCACCAACACACCCAGCTAATTTTTTGTATTTTTAGTATTATGGGGTTTATTATGTTGGCCAGGCTGGTCTCAAACTCCTGATCTCAGGTAATCACCCACCTTGGCCTCCCAAAGTGCTAGGATTACAGGCTTGAGCACCTGGGCCTGGCCTGTGTTACGTATTTTGTAAATAGATATAATAAGTGAGGAACATTTATAACATTTTTAAATAATGGCTGCATCTTTGTTTTCCAGCAAGAAGCAACATGGGTTTCATTTTTATTGCAACATCAACAGATTGGGTGTTTTTAAAAAAATTTACAGTGGCCATTCTAATGGATATGAGGTGATTTTGTTTGTCATTGTGTTTTTTTAATTTCTCTACAAATCAGTAATTTTGTGCATTCTTTCAAATGCTTTTTCCCATTTGTGTAGTTTTTTGATGAAAAATCTTTTTGTTCATTTTTAAATCAAGTTATTGAACTTTATTGATTAGTTTTAAGAGTTTTTATTTATTTTGAACATTAACTTCCTTCACATGAAATCTGCAAATGTTTTCATCCATTTTCTAAGGGATGTTGCCACTTTTGAATTTTCTTTTGATGTACAGAAATTTTGATGTCTAGTGTAGTTAAACTTTTCTTGTATTTGTTGCTCATGCATTTAATGTCGTATCTAAGAAAATGGTGGCAAGACCAATGTAATGTCCTTTTCCTGTATTTTTTCTAATAGATTTGTTAGTTTCTTTATGTCTAAGTATTTTGTTTAAAATATATTTTTGTATCGTTCAAGGAAATAACCCAATTTTATTTTATCAGTGTTGATATTCAGTTTTCAACATCATTTTTTGAAGATATTACTTTTCTCTATTTTGTACTCATAGCAACTTTTTGAAAGACCATTTGATCATATATAGAAGGGTTCATTTCTGAGCTCTCTATTCTGGTCTTTCATCTGTTTATCTTTGTGTCAGTATCACATTGTTTATGTTACTGTAGCCTTTAACTGTAGGTTGTATTGACATCTGTGAAGAATAAAATTTTTTGACCCCTGAGCAAGAATATGTTGAATCAGAGTGTTTTATATTCACATATTTTTGAATTTGCCAATTTACCTTTTGCTTTTAATTCCTAGTGTCATTCAGTTTTTGTTAGAAAACACACAATGTATAATTTTAGTGTTTTTAAATTGATTTGTTGTTGTTTTAAGACAAGATCTTACCAACACCAAGGCTGGAGTGCTGTGGCATAATTTTGGCTCACTATAGCCTCAGCCTCCTGGGCTCAAGTGATCCTTTCACCTCTGTTTTCTGACCAGCTTGGACTACAGACATGTACTACCATGTCTGCCTAATTGTTTGCTTGTTTGCAGTGTTAGGATCTCATTATGTTGTCCAGGCTGGTCTCAAACTTTTGGCCCTAATGGATCCTCTTACCTAGGTCTCCCAAAGTGTTAGGGTTATAGGCAAGAGCCACTGCACCCCGTCAGTACTTTTAAATTTAATAAAACTTGGTATGTGTCCTAACAGATTATACCAGATGCAAATAAGAATATTGTGTATTATCTTGGTTTTGACTGGAGAGTTTTGCTTGTGTCTGTGAAGCCTAGTTGGTCTATAATATGGTTTCCATGTTCATGTTCTCCAGACCTCATGCTGCAAAATAAATCTTCAATGTTGGATGTGGGACCTGGTGGGACATGTTTGTGTCATGGAGGCAAATTTCTCATGAACGGCATGGTACATCCTCTTGGTAACCAAAACTTTACACTCTATTAATTCAAATGAGAGCTGGTTCATTAAAAGAACCTGGATCCTTCACCTCACACTTGCTCTGTTTCATTAACATATAGTATGTCCAATTACTCTTTACCTTCCACCATGATTGTAAGTTTCCTGAGGCCCTCACCAGAAGCAGATGCTAGCACACACTTCTTATAGTCTGTCAAACTGTGAGCCACATAAATTATTTTTCTTTAAAAATTATGCACTTGGCTGGGCACGGTGGCTCATGCCTGTAATCCCTGCACTTTGGGAGGCCGAGGCGGGTGGATCATGAGGTCAGGAGATCGAGACCATCCTGGCTAACATGGTGAAACCCCGTCTCTACCAAAAATACAAAAAGCCGGGCGTGCTGGTGGGCACCTGTAGTCTCAGCTACTTGGGAGGCTGAGGCAGGAGAGTGGCGTGAATCTGGGAGGCGGAGCTTGCAGTGAGCTGAGATTGCTCTACTGCACTCCAGCCTGGGCGACAGCGAGATTCCTTCAAAAAAAAAAAAAAATTATGCACTCGGCTGGGGGCGGTGGCTCACACCTGTAATCCCAGCATTTTGGGAGGCCCAGGTGGGTGGATCACGAGGTCAGGAGATCGAGACTCTCCTGGCTAAGACGGTGAAACCCCGTCTCTATTAAAAATATAAAAAAATTAGCCGGGCATGGTGGTGGGCGCCTGTAGTCCCAGCTACTCGGGAGGCTGAGGCAGGAGAATGGCGTGAACCTGGGAGGCGGAGCTTGTAGTGAGCTGAGATTGCGCCACTGTACTCCAGCCTGGGCAAAAGAGCAGGACTCTGTCTCAAAAACAAAGAAAAAAAGAAAAAGAAATTATGCAGTCTCAAGTATTCCTCTGTATGCAAAATAATATGGTCTATAATGTTGCGTAAGTTGTCTGTTTCTCATTTTTTCTCTGAATTTTCTATTTATTATTGCAAATGGGGTCTTGATGTCTACAATTTTTATGTTGCTATGTATGCCTTGCTTCACTTTTGTCAATATTTGCTTTATATATTTTGGAGCCCTGATGTTATATACACATATACATATAGATAGATAAATAATATAGTTACCGATTCCTGGTAAATTAACTCACTTTACCATAATATAATATCATTCTTTGTCTAATGGTAGTATTTGACCTATAGCATATTATGTCTAATATAATTGTGACCACCTCACTCAATTGTGGTTACTATTTTTATGATATACACATTTTTTTCCTTCTGTTACTTTCAGCCTATTTGACTCAATGCTACAATGAGTCTCTTGTAGGCAGCATACTGTATGCTTTTAAAGAAACCACTGAGGCATTCTATAGCTTTTTCTTCATATGTATATATTTATTTATGTATTTATTTTGAGACAGAGTTTCACTTTTGTTGCCCAAGCTGGAGTGCAATGGCGTGAGCTCACTGCAACCTCTGCCTCCCAAGTTCAAGTGATTCTTCTTTGTCAGCCTCCCAAGTAGCTGGGATTACAGGCACCTGTCACCATGCCCAGCTAATTTTTTTGTATTTTAGGTAGAGATGGGATTCCACCATGATGGCCAGGCTTGTCTTAAACTTCTGACCTCAGGTGATCTGCCCGCCTCTGCCTCCCAAAGTGCTGGGATTACAGGCATCAGCCACCACGCCTGGCCTCATTTAACTTTGAGATAGGGTCTCACTCTGTCAACCAGGCTGATTTGCATGATTCACTGATGCCAGAACCTCCAAAACTCAGATGATCCTCTCATTTTAGCCTCTCAAACAGCTGGGTTACAAGTATGTGTCATCATAGCCATCTATGTTTTTTGTATTTTTTGTAGAGACAGAGTTTTGCCATGTTGCCCAGGCTGGTCTTGAACTCATGGGATCAAGTGATGAGCCTACCTTGGCCTTCCAAAGTCCTAAGATTACATTTGATTTTATTAAGTAGTATAATTAATTTATATTTACAATGAATAAACAAATGAAGTTGTCATTAGCAGTTAGATTGTTACTGTTTTATGTGTTTCTAGTAGTTATATTTTTCTCATCTCCTGTTTTACTTTCTTAATTTTCATTTTATTTTGTACTGGCATGCTTTCATTACTTTTTATCTTCTTTTGCATACTTTCTATAAATATTATCTTTGTAATCATCTTGAAAACTGGAGATTACATACATCTTAAAGTTAAAACAATATGTTTCAATCTCATAACTTCAACTGAATACAAAAACTATGCCTCTATATTTTATGGTTTGTTACTGATATAAAAATTATTTTATATGGTGTATCTATTAACATTTATGCAGATTTACATATTTCTTATATTTTATTAAAAAACTTTAAAGTTTTTATGTACCATCTTTTTTTTTTTTTTGAAACTGGGTCTCACTCTATTGCCCATGATGGAGTGCAGTGGTGTAATCTTGGCTCACTGTAACCTCCACCAGGCATGGTGGCTCATGCCTGTGTTCTCAGCACTTTGGGAGGCCGAGGTGGGTGAATCAGAAGGTCAGGAGTTCGAGAGCAGCCTGGCCAACATGGTGAAACGCTGTCTCTACTAAAAAATACAAACATTATCCGGGCATGCTGGCAGGTGCCTATAATCCCAGCTCCTCAGGAGGCTGAAGCAGGAGAATTGCTTGAACCTAGAAGGCGGACGTTGCAGTGAGCCAAGGTCACACCACTGTACTCCAGCCTGGACAACAGAGCGAAACTCCGTCTCAAAAAATAAAAAAAAATATGTCTTTTGATTGGAAAGATGATTATATATATATTTAAATCGTTTTCTGCAATAGAAAAACTTACTGTTATTTTTATTAATTGTTTTATTTGATTCTTCTATCTTTTTCACTCATTTTCTGTCTTTTTTGTGTTTTTTTAATTTTTTGTATTGATATGCTTTCAGTTTCTTATTTTCTTTTGTGTATCTATACAGCTATTATCTTAGTGGTAACATGGGGGATTACATAAAACCTAAAAGATCCAACAATATATTTGAATGTGGTAAAAAAATTAACTTCAGTTATATACTGAAATTCTTCATCATTACATTTGCCTTCAACTTTGTTACTGATTTTGCTAATTATATTTTTTATGTTGTATATTTATTAACAGATGTTAACAATAATTTCTATACTTTTATCTTTTAAATTTAGAGAGTATTAAAAATGTTTTCTGTACCATTATGATGTTAAGAAATTCCATTTTTGTGTATGTGGATATCTTTTCCAGAAAGTTATGTATTTTCATAGATTATCTGTTGTTTTCTTGCATTATGTTATTTTCAGTGGAAGAAACTCCTTTTAGCATCTTTGATGTGTATGGTGTATGCAGTGCCAATATACTTTCTCAGGATTTGGTTATTTTGGAAGCACTTGTTTTATTTGGTAGTACAATTTTGCTGATGGCATTATTGCATTTGACAGCTTTTTAAAAAAATTATTATAACTTTAGCAATATCACAGTTTTTTTCTGACGTGTAAGAATGTTTTAAATAAATTCACTGGTGCCGGTTGTGGTGGCTCACGTCTATAATCCCAGCACTTTGGGAGACTGAGACGGGCAGACCACCTGAGGTCAGAAGTTTGAGACCAGCCAGGCTAACATGGTGAAACCCTGTTTGTACTGAAAATACAAAAAAGTAGCCAGGCATGGTGGCGCACGCCTGTAATCCCAGCTACTCAGGACGCTGAGGCAGGAGAATCCCTTGAACCCGGGAGTTGGAGGTTGCAGTGAGCCAAGATTGCATCATTGCACTCCAGCTTGTGCAACAAGATTGAAACTCTGTCTAAAAAAAAAAAATTCTCTGGTTATCTCATGAGACTATGCTTATAAATGGAACATCATTTTTATCTTGTAGCACCCAAAATTCTATTCTTATATGTGATTTTTGAAATTTTGCTTATATATGTGTTTGTTATAAATATATTTGTGTGTATCTAAGTTTGTTCATTCAGCTTTTTCATGTTTACATCATATTTTCTTTTAATAAATTTTTCAGTTTTTTATATTTTTTATATCCACGATTTTCGGTTTTTTGGTATTTTAGTATTTCTTTTTATAGTTGTCTGGGTTTCTATTTTTTTCTTATACAGAGTCTTTTTCTGTCACCGAGGCTGGAGTGCAGTGGCGTGTTCTCAGCCAGGCTGATCTTGAACTGCTGACCTCAAATGATCCACCCACCTCAGCCTCCTAAAGTGCTGGGTTTACAGGCATCAGCCACTGCACCCAACCTTTTTAATTTTATTTTTGAGACAGTGTTGCTCTGTTTCCCAGGCCGCAGTACAGTGGTACAATCTCCACTCACTGCAACGTTTCCCGCCTGGATTCAAGCAATTCTCCTGTGTCAGCCTTACAAGTAGCTGGGATTACAGGCACATGTCACCATGCCCAGCTAATTTTTGTATTTTTAGTAGATACAGGGTTTCACCATGTTGGCCAGGCTGGTCTCAAACTTCTGACCTCATGTATTTTCCCACCTTGATCTTCCAGTGTGTTGGGATTACAGGAATGAGCCACCAACAGTGGGATGTTCAATTCATTTGGAATTTTAAAAATTACTTTGTATACTTTTTATGGTTGCTTTTGAAAAGTTTATAATTTTTTTGATGGGGCCATGTTCTAATATTTGGTATACATTATCATCTTTGATAGAGATTTGGAAATTAACAAAAAGCTACCTGTTACAATCTTTATAATATAGCTTTGTCCTGGCGTAGCATGAAATCAATTGTCTTGGCTAGAGATTCTGGGAATTTTTCAAACATGTTTTTAGGATGAGTCTTGTCTAAAATTTTGTGTTTATTGTTTAGTTAAATCAGCTTATTCATATCTCTTCTTAATAGTCAGTAATCACCTGCTACACCCATTCCCTGTTTGCAGTTTCTCTGCTTCTCTATAATTTACCTTTAGACTCAGCAAACTCAAACTGTCATTCCAATGTATATCACCATTTTTTTTTAGCATTTTATGTCATGGGACACATTATCTGGTGTCTAAAAAAGCCCCTAGAAGACAAATAAAGATGTATGTGCCAATGTTTCTTGTTTTTTAAAAAGGAAACCAGGAGTTGGCAATTTACATTTTTGTGTGTATGTGTGAGACAGAGTCTCATTCTGTTACCTAGTCTCAAGTGCAGTGGCATGATCTTGGCTCACTACATTCTCTGCCTCCACAGTTGAAGCAATTCTCCTGCCTCAGCATCCCAAATAGGATTACAGGTAACTGTAACCATGCCTGGCTAATTTGTTTGTATTTTAGTAGAGATGGGGTTTTACCGTGTTGGTCAGGCTGGTCTCAAACTCCTGACCTCAGGTGATCCTCATGCTTTGCCCTCACAAATTTCTGGAATTACAGGCATGAGCTATCATGCCTTGTTGGCAATTTACTTTAAAAAAAAATTTTTTTTTGAGATGAAGTCTTGCTCTGTCGCCCAGGCCGGAGTGCAGTGGTGCAATCTTGGCTTACTGCAACCTCCGTCTCCTGGGTTCAAGAAATTCTCATGCCTCAGCCTCCTGAGCAGTTGGAATTACAGCGGCCCATGACCATGACTGGCTAACTTTTTGTAATTTTAGTAGAGATGGGGTTTCACCATCTTGGCCAGGATGGCCTTGAACTCCTGACCTCAAGTGATTCACCCATCTCAGCCTCCGAAAGTGCTGGTATTACAGGAATGAGCCACTGCACCAGGTTGGCAATTTACTTTTAAAGGCACAATGTTATACTGGAGAGCAGGAAGAGCTGTTGCATATAAGTAACAGAATTTTCTTTATCTTCTATGTGACTGTTTGCATTGTGCTCACCTAGGGACTTTCACACACTTAAAACTCACTTATAAATTTTTTACAAATGTATTTTGGTCAGTATGTTTTTGTTACCTTTATATGTCCAGGAAGAAATTACAGCTTGTGGCATTTTGCTATGTCATCTTGCTTATGTAGTTTGTATAATTTTATAGGTTAGATTTGTAAAGTATATTTATCTGAGTCTAGCAATTGAAGTAATGTGTTTTTATTGTTTCTTTCAGTTGTGTGTTCTCATTTTGCCCAAGACCTTTGGCCAGAGCAGAGCATAAAAGATTCTTACCAAAAAGTGATACTGAGAAAATTTGAAAAATGTGGACATGGCAATTTACACTTTAAAAAAGGCTGTGAAAGTGTGGATGAGTGTAAGTTACACAAAAGAGGTTATAATGGACTTAACCAATGTTTGACAACTACCCAGAGCAAAATATTTCAATGTGGTAAATATGTGAAAGTCTTTCATCAATTTTCAAATTCAAAGAGACATAAAAGAAGACATACTGAAAAAAAACCTTTGAAATATATAGAAGGTGACAAAGCTTTTAACCAGTCCTCAACCCATACTACACATAAAAAAATTGATACTGGAGAGAAACCATACAAATGTGAAGAATGTGGCAAAGCCTTCAACCGGTCCTCACACCTTACTACACATAAGATAACTCATACTAGAGAGAAACCCTACAAATGTGAAGAATGTGGCAAAGTCTTTAAGTACTTCTCTAGCTTTACTACACATAAGAAAATTCATAGTGGAGAGAAACCCTACATTTGTGAAGAATGTGGCAAAGCCTTTATGTACCCCTATACCCTTACTACACATAAGATAATCCATACTGGAGAGCAACCCTACAAATGTAAAGAATGTGACAAAGCTTTTAACCATCCTGCAACTCTTTCTTCACATAAGAAAATTCATACTGGAGAGAAACCGTACACGTGTGATAAATGTGGCAAAGCCTTTATTTCATCCTCGATCCTTAGTAAACATGAGAAGATTCATACGGGAGAGAAACCCTACAAATGTGAAGAATGTGGCAAAGCCTTCACCCGCTCCTCACACCTTACTATGCATAAGATAATTCATACTGGAGAGAAACCATACAAATGTGAAGAATGTGGCAAAGCCTTTACATGGTCTGCAGGCCTCCATAAACATAGGAGAACTCATACTGGAGAGAAACCCTACAAATGTGAAGAATGTGGCAAAGCGTATACTACATCCTCAAATCTAACTGAACATAAGACAACTCATACTGGAGAGAAACCTTACAAATGTAAAGAATGTGGCAAAGCTTTTAACTGGTCCTCAGACCTTAATAAACATAAGAGAATTCATATTGGACAGAAACCAAGAACGTGACAAAGGATTATTTTATTATTATTATTTTTTTGAGAGGTAATTCTGCTGTTGTTTCCCAGGCTGGAGTGCAATGGCATAATTTTGGCTCACCACAACCTCCACCTTCTGGGTTCAAGTAACTCTCCTTAGTAGCTAGGATTACAGGGCTGCACCACCACACCTGGCTAATTTTGTATTTTTAGTAGAGATGGGGTTTCTCCATGTTGGTCAGGCTGGTCTCAATCTCCTAACCTCAGGTGGTCTGCCTGCTTTGGCCTCCCAAAGTGTTGGGGTTACAGGCATGAGCCACTGTGCCTGGCTGACAAAGCTTTTTAAGGAAGTTCTCAACCCTTATTACACATAATTCATACTGGACAGAAACCCTACAAGTGTGAAGAATGTGGCAAGCCTGTAACAAGTTCTCAATTCTTTTATTTTTATTTGTTTATTTATTTTTTGAGATGCAGTTTCACTCTTGTGACCCGGGCTGTAGTGCAATGGCATGATCTTGGCTTACTGTGACCTCTGCCTCCTGGGTTCAAGCCATTCTCCTGCCTCAGCCTCCCAAGTAGCTGGGATTACAGGTGCCACCACCATTCCCAGCTAATTTTTGTATTTTTAGTAGAGATGGGCTTTTGCCATATTTGCCAGGCTGGTCTCAAACTCCTGACCTCAGGTGATCCACTCGCCTCGGCTTCCTAAAGTGCTGGGATGACAGGCATGAGCCTCAATTCCCAGCCATAAGCTCTTAATTCTTAAGAGACATGGCGATAATTCATGGTGAAGAGGAACTTTACAAACCTGAAAGATGTGACAGTGCTTTTCCCAACACCTCCAACTTTTCTATGCATAAAAAAAATTATACTACACCATAGAAATGTATGAAATGTGACAAAGCCTTTATATGGTTGCCACACTTTATTGTAGGTAATTCATACTTCCAAAATACCTACAAGTATGAAGAATGTGGCAAAACTTTTAATCAGTGCTTACACCGTATTTCACAGGAAAGCTATTATCCTTGAGAAAAATTGTACAAATATAAAGAATATGGAAAAGCCATTAATGTCCATCACATCTTACTCAACAGAAGAAGGTTCATAAAAGAGCAATTACTGTGACAAAAATCTTTCAGAAAATATAAGCCTTTAAGGTGAAGAAGAGTATTGATTCTGAAGACAAGCATTACAAATATAAAGAGGTTTGTAGTACCTTTGCTTGTATTACAGATCTTATTGCCCGCGTTTTGTATTAGAAGGAAACCCTAAAGCGGTTGCCAAACTTTGTGCAACATCAGGGAATGTATATTGAAGAAGATTCCTGCAAATGTAATGAGTTTGGAAACACTTCTTAGATAAATTATTTGTGGCTGGGCACAGTGGCTCATGCCTGTAATCCCAGCACTTTGGGAGGCCAAGGTGGGAGGATCACCTGATGTCGGGAGTTTGAGATCAGACTGACCAAAACGGAGAAACCCAGTCTCTACTGAAAATATAAAATTAGCCATGCATGGTGGCACATGCCTGTAATCCCAGCTACTCAGGAGGCTTGAACCCTGGAGGCAGAGGTTGTGGTGAGTCGAGATCATTGCACTCCAGCCTGGGCAATAAGAGTGAAACTCTGTCTCCAGGAAAAAAAAAAATTTATTTGTGTATAACTTTAAAAGCAGATTTTTGGAAGCATTGTAATTACATTAAAAGTATACTTGTTCCAGCTGCGTGTGGTGGCTCATGCCTGTAATCCCAACACTTTGGGAGGCCAAGGCAGGTGGATCACGAGGTCAGGAGTTCAAGACCATCTTGGCCAAGATGGTGAAACCCTGTCTGTACTAAAAATACAAAAATTAGCCATGCATGGTGGCCGGCGCGTATAATCCCAGCTGCTTGGGAGGCTGAGGCAGAGAATTGGAATTGCTTGAACCTGGGAGGTGGAGGTTGCAGTGAGCCGAGGTTGCACCATTGTCCAGCCTGGGCAACAGAGCAAGACTCCATCTCAAAAAAAAAAGTGTATTTGTTTCCTTAAAAAAATTTTTCTGAAAAGTGGGTAATGACATAATACAGCTTTCAAATTACTTTATGCTGTTATTTTATTCTTATTGTATTCACATGTGAAAGCATGTGATCAATTTTTGCTGCATCAGAGATATTAGAGATAGTTTTTTATTAATTGGGCATTTATGACCTTTTCTATAAAAGTAAGGACATTAAAATGTAAGATGCATGATGAAAATATAAGTGGAGAGGCTCTTTGTAGTTAACCTATATGAAGTAATGTATAAGGTAGGTCAGAGTAATACTTTTCTACATTATAGTGCAAGAAATAATTATTGATAAAAGTATATTAAACTAAATTCGTATATTTTACTTATTGTACTTTTATGTAATAAAATGCAGTGCATTTAAAAATTGTTAGATTATGTGTGAATTTAATTTTATGTTTTTTACCATGTTAAGACTATTGTGCATTTAATGAAGCATTATTATGCCACTAACCTATCCCACCTTACTCAAAGGTGTAGGTAAAAGATGGTAGCAATATACTATTTGGTACATAATGGAATAATGTCTCTAGTAATCACTTTGCCAGTGGCTTTAAACAGCAAATGAATTTAAGAATATTGTTCCCATAGGTTAAATTTTTATTCTCTTTTCTTACTGAAATTTATTATTAGTATTTGTGAGTATATAGTATATGTATATATTTATGCTTTATATGGCATATTTTGATTCAGGCCTATAATATGTAGTAACTACATTAGGGTAAATAAGGTATCTATCACCTCTAGCATTTATCCTTTGTATTAAAAACAGTGTAATTATATACTTTTAGTTATTTTAAAATGTACAATAAATTGTTATTGACTACAGGGTTATTTTTATGATCATAATAAAAATTATACAGAAATATAAATAAAATACAGCCAGGCCCAGTGGCTCATGCCTGTAATCCCAATACTTTGGGAGGACAAGGCAGGTGGATTGCCTGAGGTCAGGAGTTCAAGACTGGCCTGGCCAACGTGGTGAAACCTCGTCTACTAAAAATACAAAATATAGTTGGGCATTGTGGTGCATGTTTGGAGGCTGAGGCAGGAGATTCACTTGTAACTGGGAGCTGGAGGTTGCACTGAGCTGAGATTGCACCACTTCACTCCAGCCTGGGCAACAGACTCAATCTCAAGAAAAAAAGAAATAGAAATCATACATATACTGAAAACTTATTAATAAATGTTTGTTATATGGTTTTCTTTGAACATGTGGTCTTTGCCTGCAAATGTAGACTTTCAGTGTTAATTTACATCAGTTAAATATACACATATTACTCTGAAGATAAACCTTAGATGTAAGAAACTTATGGAGTGTGTTTGTGTGAGCATGAGATTGTACATATTTTCAGAAGAAAAGAACAATTATTGGAACAAAACAAATTATTTTAATAAGGTGGCTAATAAAAAACTAAGCTCCTTGAGAATGCTGAAAGCAAATCTATGCTTTCTGCTTTGTCTTGAATTTATTAATATAAAATTTTATGGCTTATGTTTCAAATTTTTTTCAGAATCTGTCTATTAAAGTACAGGCAGCTTTGTCTCCAGAAACAACGCTCTTGAGTACAACAATAAAAGCCCTCTTCAAACAGAAAACAAATAATCATAGTTAACACTTGTTTTAATGAAAATTCAACCAAAATTAAATAATTAGATATATTTTTATTGTCCTATGTGTGTGTGAATGTATAAAATGGTGCATAAAGGAAAAATATGCCAGAAAAAAAGTTAATATTTGTAATGAATAAAACTGGAAATTAGTTCATTATTTGCAGGTGATATCTTTGTTTATGTAGATAACAAAAGCAGCAGAAAACTTTCACGGAGTCTCTCTCTGTTGCCCAGGGTGGGGTGGAGTGCAGTGGTGCGATCTCGGCTCACTGCAAGCTCCGCATCCCGGGTTCACGCTGTTCTCCTGCCTCAGCCTTCCGAGTAGCTGGGACTACAGGCGCCCGCCACCACGCCCAGCTAATTTTTTGTATTTTTAGTAGAGACGGGGTTTCGCCGTGTTAGCCAGGATGGTCTTGATCTCCTGACCTCATGATCCACCCGCCTTGGCCTCCCAAAGTGCTGGGATTACAGGCGTGAGCCACTGCACCCGGCCAAAACCTTTTTTTTTTTTTCCAAAGAATTATAAATAGAAGATTCTAAAGAGAAGTTTTTAATAAATAAGCATTTAAAAGAAACTAGGGTTACTTGTTATGTTTAAAATATATGCTGTTCTCACACAAAATGAAACTGCTGAAATCCAAATTTAGAAGCAAAGAATAGACTTAAATTGTTAAACATAGAAAATATAAATATATACTTTGAAGAACAGGATTAGGCACCTTGATACGTGAAAGAAAATATTAGGAAATAAACTATTTTATTCTTCAGATACAGGCTGAAGAAAGTAGATGAAAACCCTGTAATTCCTTTTTGCCTGCAGCAAACTTAAATTTATAAGTAATTATTTTGGTAAATATGGAGTGCCTACTAATTATGTAATTTACTTCATGCATAACATGCAAATTCTAGCATATTGTCATAAATAAATCTAAAATTACAGACAAATTTGAAATAGAAAATAGTCAAAATGTAGAGGGCGAGTGACATCAGTAAGATGAAAGATTAAAAGTTCCCTAATTTTATATCCCCTTACAGCAAAAAACATCGGCCATCCCTGACAAAAATGCCTTTATTGGCTGGGCACAGTGGCTGATGCCTTTAATCCCAGCACTTTGCTGAGATCTGCTGAGACGGGCAGATCACGAGGTCAGGAGTTTGAGACCAGCATGGCAAACATGGTGAAACCCTGTCTCTACAAAAATACCAAAAAAATAGGCAGTCATGGTGGCACACGTCTGTAATCCTAGCTACTCAGGAGGCTGAGGCAGGAGAATTGTTTAAACCCGGGAGGCAGAGGTTGCAGGGAGGTGAGATGGCACCACTGCACTCCAGCCTGAATGAGAGAGTGTCTCAGAGAAATAAATAAATGCCTTTATTAGAAAACCAGGCATTATGGCTCACACTTGTAATGACAGCTACATGGTACATTAATGATGGAGAACAGCTTCAGGCCAGGATTTCGAGACCAGCCTGGGTTATGTAGCAAGATGTCATCTCCAAAATAAGTGCCTCTATGAGAGATGTGAGATCCAGGGAGGGAGTTGTGAAACTGTTAAAGCTTAAGGTTGAGAAGTGTTCTATTCAGAAGGCAGGCCCTCATTCAGGTGGAAAACTATATGACCCCTGTTCTAGGCTACAGACCAGGATAGGGTTCACCCAACTTGGTCCCACTAAGAATTCTGAACTTACTGTGTAATCATCTGAAACTCCTCCAGCCACAGTCTGGCAGAGGTCTTGCCATTCCAGAGACCTGGAGGAAGGTGCCCATTCACAGCCATCTAGGCAGGCCTGCAGACCTTGGCCTGTACAGGGGTCCCTGAAGTGGTTCAGTGACTCAGTTTCAGTTACCTGAGCCACAGTTCATGGCCAGTTCGGCCTACATAGAAAGCTACAGAGTTACTTGAAAAAATAATCTCTGGTACTCACTGAAAGCCATACTCATCTACATCCTGATACAAGGCCCACCATATGCAGAACCAACTTCAGAAACATTCCTTATGTCTGCCCTATGGAGCAAAGTCCTGAAAGATTTGCAGTCTGTCCAAAAATAAACTGGGAATTACAATTACCCAAGCCCCTGTAACAAGCCAACTAAAGATGGACCCTAGTGCAGTCCCAGCAGCCTTGTGACCAAGCTGCAACCCCTCTTCACTACAAATTCAGAGGGTTTCTCATCATCCTAAGGGACCAACAAAAGAAGATCTTTATCTTCTAAAATCAGTGTATGAAAACTTGAAGAGGTGTTTGCTCCATCAACTTCAGACACCAATACAAAACTATACTGTGCCCATTGTCAACACTTCTATTTTAATCTAGCACCGGAAGTATGTGGCAGAAGAATTAGTCAAAAAAATTTTTTAATCCATTGAAATTAAAGAAAAATGAGTAAAAAGTTGCTGTTTGCAGATTATACAATTTTCTATTTAAAAAACTAAGCAGTATATTAAAGCCTGTCTAATAAATGCACTCAGTAAATTAGCAAAATATAAAAGTAACATAGAAGTATATGTATGGTTTCTTTCACTTAAAACAAACTATCTGATAAAATACAGAAAGAGGCTGGGTGCGGTGGCTCATGGCTGCAATACCAGCATTTTGGGAGGCCGAGGAAGGTGGATCATCTGATGTCAGGAGTTTGAGACAAGCGTGGCCAAAAAGGTGAAACCCTGTCTCTACTAAAAATATAAAAATTAGCTGGATGTTGTGGTGGGCACCGGCAATCTCTGCTAATTGGTAGGCTGAGGCAAGAGAATTGCTTGAAACCAGGAGGTGGAGGTTGCAGTGAGCCCAGATTGTGCCACTGCATTCCAGCCTGGGTGACAGTTGGAGACTCCATCTCAAAAGGAAAAAAAAAAAAAAATAGAGGAAGAAAAAAATCTTATTTACTATAACATTAAATAATAAATTTCTGAGAAAAATATTAACCAAGGAGGTAAAAAGTCTTTACAATAAAAAAACAAAATTAGAGAAGATCCAAATAAATTTTAAAATATTTTATGTCTATGGATTGAAAGAATAAATATTAAAGCACCATGTTATCCAAAGTGATCTATAGATTGAAGAAACTTCTTATCTAAATTGCAGTTGTATTTTTTCACAGTAATGGAAAATACAATTCTAAAATTTACATGAAATTAAAATAAACTTTGAATAGCCAAAGCAATCATGAGGAAAAGGAACAAGGCAGAAGGATATCATACTTATAATTTCAAATTATATTTCAAGACTATATAGTAATGAGTGGACTGTGCAGAAAAATGAACAGAAAAATTCAACAGAAATAACTACTCTCACACATTTCAAATCTGATGCGAAAAAAACCTTAAAAAATAGTTTTAGTTTCTTAAAATCATGCATATATTTGTGAGTCCCAAAAACAATGAAAAAGAAGCCAGATTGTGCAGTCTCTTATATGTCATGAAGAGGAATTTGGCTTTCAAATTTGGCTTATATGTCATGAAGAGGAATTTGGCTTTCACTCACCCCATCGTTCCTAACCTTACACCATTCTTAGCAAAATTCCATATGATCATCAATGGTTTACAATGATAGATTTGAAGGATGCCTTCTGGGCATACCCCTTGTCTGATGATAGCTGAGATATATTTGCTTTTGAGTGGTAAGACCCCTATTTGGGGCAGAGACAACAATATTGATGGACAGTCTTGCCCCAGGGTTTCACAGACTCCCCCAACCTCTTTGTTCAGGTCCCAGAACAAGTACTAGAAAAAGTCACAGTCCCTAAACAAATATGTCTGCTTCAGTATGTGGATGATCTTCTTATATCTGGTAAAGACATAAAAGAGGTAGGTGACTTCTCTACACACATTCTCAATCACTTGCAGTGTGAGGGGTTGCTGGTCTCAAAAGGGAAAATTCAGTATGTAGAACCTGAAGCTAAATACTTAGGCTACCTAATTAGTGCAGGTAAATGAAAAACAGGACCTGAAAGAGAATTGTTTCCCTACCCTTGCCTCAAACTAAACAAGAACTCAGGAAATTTTTAGGACTAATTGGATATTGTCATTTATGGATTTGACTCATATGCATGAAAGAGTAAACTTCTATATGAGAAACTTGCCCAGTGGAAGGCTGATAATTTCTTGTGGACTTCCCAAGAAATCCAGCAAATTGAGGAATTGAAAGGGACACTCATAGCCACCCCGTTCTAGCTCTACCCTCCCTAGAAAAGCCATTTCACCTTTTCATTAATGTAAATAATGGGGTAGCCCTAGGAATGCTAACCCAAGAACATGGAGGCTGCCAACAGCCCGTGGCCTTCTTGTCAAAGGTCTTAGACCCACTCACTCATAGGTGGCCCCAGGGTATCCAATCCATTGCAGCTACAGCAGTATTAGTCAAAGAAAGTAGGAAGGTAACCTTTGGAGGAAAGTTAACAGTAAGCCTGCCCCACCAAGTTAGAACTATATTAAATCAGAAAGCAGGGAGGTGGATCACTGACTCAATAATTTTAAAATATGAGGCTATTTTACTGGAAAAAGATGATTTAATATTAATTGAGAATATCATACCTAGATTTAGACTAATAGAAAATATTAGTCTACTACTACTGATAATTCACTTAATCCAGCAAGATTTTTAACAGAGGATCCAAACTTAAAACGAGAGCATGTATGTTTAGATCTGATTGACTACCATACAAAAGTTCGACCAGACTTAGGAGAAACTCCCTTCAAGACAGGTTGGCACTTATTCATAGATGGGTCTTCCCAGGTGATTGAGAGGAAAAGACATAACAGGTATTCAGTGATTGATGGAGAGACGCTTGAAGAAGTAGAATCAGGAAGGCTGCCTAATGATTGGTCTGCCCAAACATGTGAACTGTTTGCACTCAGCCAAGCTTTAGGACATTTACAAAGCCAAGGGTATACTGACTGTAAGTATGCCTTTGCCAGGAAGGAACTATCTATACTGACTGTAAGTATGCCTTTGGGGTGGCACACACATTTGGGAAAATTTGGATGAAGAGGTTCTTATCAATAGTAGAGGCCAAGATTTAGTTCATAGCTAATTGCTTGTGTCCTCAACAATCTCCAATTGCCAGAAGAGATAGCTATCGTGCATGTCGCAGGGCACCAAAGGGACTTTGGTGTCTGTAGTTCTCTAATATCACATCCCTATATAAATTCCACTGTGCAGTGTCCAGGCAATGCCATTCCTCCAGAGAGAATTCTATGGCCACATCTCTAAATTGCAATGGTTCCTGAAACACACACACACACACACACACACACACACACACACACACACACACATTTTTACCAAGTTGCCATTGGTGGAATTTTTAATTTGATTTAAGGTGAAATGAGAGAGTAAAGGGAAGTGATTCTGACTTACAGGACTAAAATTATCCAATAAAATAATTTTCAACACAGAAATATTCTCTAATATATTCTCTAACTCTAAGAAAAAAAGAGGAGCATAACATCCACAACATCATTTCATATATTTTTCCATATAATAAAGTATAAAATTAAGGGCATGAACATGAACATGTACATTTTTGAGTGCTATATTTACATCATACAGAATGAGTTGTGAATATTTTTCCGATGGAAAAGACATGTTGAGTTAGAAGGTATCTCTCAAATTTTGTTTTGAGATGGAATTTCAATCTAGTTGCCTAGGCTGAAGTGCAGTGATGTGATCTTGGCTCACCACAACCTCTGCCTCCCGGGTTCAAGCAAATCTCCTGCCACAGCCTCCCGAGTAGCTGAGATTACAGGCATGCACCAACATCCCTGGATAATTTTGTATTTTTAGTAGAGATGGGGTTTTCTCTATGTTGGCCAGGCTGGTCTTGATTTCCCGAACTCACGTGATCTGCCCGCCTCAGCCTCCCAAAGTGCTGGGATTACAGGCATGAGCCACTGCACTTGGCTGATTTTTTTAATTTCTAAGAAGCTCACCAGTAATGCCAATGTTTTTGGCCCAAGAAGGATATTTTGTCAAACATCCAGTAAGTGGAAGAGCCTGTGTTTTTCCCAGATTTTTTAGCCTGTAAGCAAAGATAAAAGCCTTCATTTTCCAAAGAGAGATATGTAGAAAAAAATAAGAAAAAAGGACAGCTGCCAGATTAAATGTGATGGTTTATGCACATCAGCTGCATAAACATACTTAATAATGAAGAGAAAAATAATTAACCCTATGGTGAAAAAAATCTGTCAGAGAGCTAATTCACCAAGTGAATCATTAACCATTAACTGCACGAGGACAAATTTTTACGATGTGCTAATGCACACAGGAGAACACAGAATCACTGTTGAAATATACTTCCCCAAAAAACTAAATTACAGTCTGAATTTAACCATAAAGAAACATGAGTTTTATGCAAACTTCAACATCCAGATAACTCCTATGTTCTGTAATTTTTACTAGTAATTTTAAATAGGGTTCATTTAGCACCCTAGAAAACAAGTATCTCCTGATAAGTTTTTTCAGAACTTTCTGGGTAATAAATGCCATCCCATTTTAATGAGCATTTTCTTAATCCTGTTCTGCATAGAGCTAATGGAACACACAGATGGAGCCTCAACATTACATGTTCTCCATCTTTACTAAGGACCACACTTTTCCCCAATAGAAATCTTCAGTATCCACATCTTTCCATGTTCAATAGCCACAAAAGGAACATTTTTAATATTGCAGATCATAAATCCTTGCTGAGAATCCTGCGTGACATATAAGAAGCTATGATGTAGAGAATGCAGAGATGGCTCTGGAATATAGGAAAGAAATATTTTTCAGAGACCCTTGACTATCATAAGAATTTTAACAAGTAGTTAAATCAAACTTATTAGGGAGGAAAAATACAAGTAGAAAAATAAAGGTTTGCAAGTACTAAACGCATGGCAGTCCAGGAGGCAGAGTGGACACAGGTCTTCATCTGACACAGGTTTACCTGAAGAAAAGCCTTTTTTTTTCTTTTTCCCCTTCTCTGGAATTCCTTCTCAGATGAGATTTTCTGGACAAATTAAACCTGCATCTGAAGGATATGCTTTTAAAGGTGTTTACCTGCTAGCATGACATCAACTAGCAGAAAAAGACAGAAAAAGTCCACCCATTTCTGTCCTTTAAAACAGAAGAGGTTCAGGAAAAATGAGATGCTCCATGAAGATGAAAGTATAAGTTTCTCCTTTCCTGTCCTCAGGTGCCCTCCCCTGCCACAGACACTAGCAATTTCTGCTACCTTAATGGAAATATGCACCACACTGACCTGTCCCTACTAAACCCAAACAGAACTGGCCCTGTGACCACCCTTTAGTCCAAAGGTGGAGCTTAACTCTCATGAATGTATTTTGAGGGCCTCATACCTGATTCTGGCCTAACCTTAGAGTCACATGAGGCCCTTCATTAAAACGTGATAGATGCTTCCACCGAGAATGATAAACAGAAGCTGTGGGGAGGGCACAAGAGATTTCTGCAAATTGGCCATTTGATCCTAATGGGAAGCCTGGGCTGATAACCACTAAGTTAAGCATTGCCTCTCAAGCTTTAATGAGATTATAAATCACCTGGTAATTTTGGCCCCACTTAATGTAATGTGATTCTGCAGGTTTGAAAAGGGTCCAAGAGTGAGTGTTTTAAACAAGTCCCCTGTCAATGCAGTTGTTTCTCCCCCTTGGAGAATTATTAACATTAGAGAAAGCAGGCACAGCACAGGGTCCCTTACACTTAGCACTCTTGTCACCACCAAATACTTCTGGTACAAATAAGGACAACCCATCTCCCTCCTAAAGTTTTATAGTCTTTGCTGGCTCTTTAGAGTTTACAGAGGAAACAAAAGTCAGCAATGTCTGAATAAGTCTGTATTTAAAAAACAACATGTAAACATGTACTAATGCAATGTTTATTAAGCAGGTACTATGTGCTCAAGGGTAAGATACAGAGCACTGTGCTGGTCATCCCTCATTATGTAATTTAATTCTCATAACACCCTGGGAGCTGGTACTAAGGGTTTAATAATTTTTAGGATTTAGATAAAGGGCCCAGCATTTTTATTTCTTCTGTTTCTCTGTCATCAAATTTTTTAAAAAACTGTAAATAGTAAAGCTAAATATAGGCAGATGAAAGAGATATAGAAAGGAAGAGTTTAATGTAGCTCAGAGAAAATTTTATTCTGTTTATATTCACTTTTTTGTGACTTGTGGAGCAACTACTGGATCTGCAGGAATAGAAAACAAGTTGCTAAAGAGAATGTCTCTGCAACCACTGGTTTTAATGGAAAATTTAAAAACTGGCCGGGTGCAGTGGCTCACGCCTGTAATCCCAGCACTTTGGGAGGCCAAGGCAGGTGGATCACCTGAGGTCGGGAGTTCAAGACCAGCCTGACCAACATGGAGAAACCCCATCTCTACTAAAAATACAAAATTAGCCAGGCATGGTGGTGCATGCCTGTAATCCCAGCTACTCAAGAGGCTGAGGCAGGAGAATCGCTGGAACCTGGGAGGTGGAGGATGCAGTGAGCCGAGATCGTGCCACTGCACTCCAACCTGGGCAACAAGAGCAAAACTTCATCTCAAGAAATAAATAAATAAATAAGTAAAATTTAAAAACTAAGGCTCTACAATATATACTTTATTTTTCCCATTTATCTGCTTTTGGGTTTCAGGAAATTGTGAGTAGCAGCTCTAGAACTGCTGCAGGATTCATCAGCCAAAATTCTGATAACTTCTAATCAGTTCTGTGAGGCAAGACTCCAGGGCAGGGTCAGACCTAAATAAGGCCTCCAAAAAGGGTGAATCTGAACAGGTCTGGGACAAGGTGAGGACCCTATAGAATTCTGTTCTCTATGCCACTGGAGTACTAACAATTTTGTTTTTTCTAAGCTTGCCTGAAAGAAGCCTAAAATCCCAGAGTTTCTGTTATTTTCATTTTTTCTAGCCACTACCCTGTCAACTGTATACTATATACTAATATGCAAATTAAACAAATCTCTTCAGGTTTTGTAGTGTAATTTTATTAGAAAATAAATACTGTGCACTTAACAACATAAAAGAAATAGATTTTATATGGCCGGGTGCTGTGGCTCATGCCCATAATCCCAGCACTTTGGGTGGCCGAGGCGGGTGGAACACGAGGTCAGGAGTTTGAGACCAGCCTGATAAAGGTGGTGAAACCACGTCTCCACTAAAAATACAAAAATTAACCAGGTGCAGTGGCAGGCCCCTGTAATCCTAGCTACTTGAGGGACTGAGGCAGGAGAATCACTTGAACCTGGGTGGCAGAGGTTGCAGTGAGCCAAGGTTGCACCACTGCACTCCAGCCTTGGTGACAGAGTAAGACTCCATCTCAAAAATAAAAAAGAAATTATAATAACAATTTTTCTGTTCATAAATATCCCTTCAGGTGTAGACATGAGAAGTTACAACAATATAAAGAAATAGCCTAAATAAAGCCTAAGATTTTGGGCATATCTATTTATTGTACCAACCATATGATGCATAATTCAATTATTTATCTGGGTGCTAGTCTAGACTAAAAGTTTCTAGATGGTAGGAACCATGACTGCTTCATGGATTTTTTTAAATGGCCATATGAAATGGAAGCAACTAGTTTATCTATTTGGGTCTCCGGATTTTCTCCTTTTGTATCATCCAAGTACCAGGAAACCGGAGAAACTCTCATCTGGGTACCAACCAAAGACACCTCTTGTATGAGGGGATGAACTAACAGGATGACTCATTTCTCTCACACTGAGACAGAAGGAGAATTAACCATTCTTGTCAGCCTGACATAATTCCGCTCAGGACATCCTCAAATGCCTCAAAGGCACCTAGATGATTGTGAGAGAATTCTCGGTGACCAGGGGCTAATGTCCCAATGATAAACCAGGCTGGAGAGACTCAGGCTGATTCTAAATAGAAAATGGAACTGTCCTGGTGGAGCTCCAGAACCTAGATCACCTATTCTAATTTGCTAGCTCCATGGTATAAAATATTTTTTTGGAACTTCTTAAATTTTTTCAACTCTTGGACATCTGAATTTTGCATACTGTATGCACTTGAAAGAATGTTTATGGGTGAAAATGCAGAAGAGGGAAATATGTTATAAAAAATCCATGAATGAACAATACCTATGCAACAGAATAGAGAGCCCAGAAATAATGCCACCCTCCTACAACGATTAGATTTTTGCCAAAGCTGACAAGAGGAATGTGGGAAGAATTCTCTATTTCATAAATGGAGTTGGAATAACTACCTAGCACTATGCAGAAGACTGAAACTGGACCTCTTCATTACACCATATACAAAACTCAACTCAAAATAAATTAAAGACTTAAATGTAAAATTTAAAATTATAAGACACCCTGCAAGATAACCTAAGAAATACCATTCTAGACATAGAAACTGGGAAAACCTTCATGATGAGTCTATCAAAAGCAATTGCCACAAAAGCAAAAATGGACAAAAGGGACCTATTTAAACTAAAGAGCTTCTTCACAGCAAAGGAAACTATCAACAGAGTAAACAGACAACATACAGAATAAAGAAAATATTTGCAAACATTGCCTCTGACAGAGGACTAATATCCAGAATTTATTAAGAGCTCAAACAAGTTTACAAGAAAAAAAACAAATAACCTCATTAAAAGTAGAAAAGAAAAACATGAACATATTCTTTTCAAAAGAAGACAAATGTGCAGTTAACAAGCATGTGAAAAAAATGCTCATTGCTAATTATTAGAGAAATTAAAAGAAAAACCACAATGAGATACCGCATCACACCCATCAGAATGGCTATTTTTAAAAAGTCAAAAAATAATAGATGCTGGCAAGGTTGCAGAGAAAAGGGAATGCTTATACTCTGCTGGTGAGAGTGTAAATTAGTTCAACAACTGTAAAAAGCAGTGTGGCGATTCCTCACAGAACTAGAAACAGAATTATCATTTGACCCAGCAACCTCATAATTGGGTATATACCCAAAGAAATATAAATTATTATATTACAAAGACACATCTATATGCATGTTCACTGTAGCACTATTCACAATAGCAAAGACACGGACAGGCACTAAATGCCTACCAATGATAGACTAGATAAAGAAAATATGGTATGGTCAGATGTTGTGGCTCATGCCTATAATCCCAGCACTTTGGGAGGCCATGGCAGGTGGGTTGCCTGAGCTTAGAAGTTTGAGACCAGCCTGGGCAACAAGACAAAATCTTGTCTCCCCGGAAAAAAAAAATATATAAAATTGCCCAGTTATGGTAATGCACGTATGTAGTCCCAGCTACAAGGGAAGATGAGGTAGGAGAGAATTGCTTGAGCCTGGGAGATTGTGGCTAAAGTAAGCCAATATCATGCCCTGGCACTGTAGCCTAGGCAATAAGCCTGTCTCCAAAAATAAAATAAAATAAAAGATTTAGTAAAAACAAAATATGGTATATAAACATTACAAAATACTGGGTAGCTATTTAAAAAAAATCATGTCCTTTGCAATAACATAGATGAATCTGGAGACCATTATTCTTAGAAAATGAATGCAGAGGCTGGACATGGTGGCTCATGCCTGTAATGCTAACACTTTGGGAGGCCGAGGTGGGCGAACCACCTGAGGTTGGGAGTTTGAGACTAGCCTGACCAACATGGATTAACCCTGTCTCTACTAAAAATACAAAATTAGCTAGGCATGGTGGTGCCTGCCTGTAACCCCAGCTACTGGGGAGGCTGAGGCAGGAGAACCGCTTGAACCCAGGATACGAATGTTTTGATGAGCCAAGATGTTACCATGGCTCTCCAGCCTGGACAACAAGAGCAAAACTCCCTTTCAAAACAAACAAACAAAAAAACAACAAAAAAAGAAAACTAATGCGGAAACACAAAACCAAATGCATGTTATAATTTATAAATAAGAGCTAAGAAGTAAGAACACAGAACACAAAGAGAAGAACAGACACAGGCCTAGTTGAGGCTGGAGGGTAGAAGGACTCAGAAGATCAGAAAACATAATTGTTTGGTGCTATGGGTAGTACCTCAGTGACAAAATAATCGGCACACCAAATCCCCATGACATAATTTTAGCTGTATAACAAACCCACATGTGTACCCGGAACCAAAAATAAAAGCTAAAAGAAAAACAAATCCCCTCTCCCTCTCCCTCCGCCTCCCCCTCCCTCTCCCTCTCCGTCTCCGTCTCCCTCTCCCCAGGGTCTCCCTCTCCCTCTCTTTCCACGGTCTCCCTCTGATGCCGAGCCGAAGCTGGACTGTACTGCTGCCATCTCAGCTCACTGCAGCCTCCCTGCCTGATTCTCCTGCCTCAGCCTGCCGAGTGCCTGTGATTGCAGGCGCGCGCCGCCACGCCTGACTGGTTTTCGTGTTTTTTTGGTGGAGACGGGGTTTCGCTGTGTTGGCCGGGCCGGTCTCCAGCCCCTAACCGCGAGTGATCCGCCAGCCTCGGCCTCCCGAGGTGCCGGGATTGCAGACGGAGTCTGGTTCACTCAGTGCTCAATGGTGCCCAGGCTGGAGTGCAGTGGCGTGATCTTGGCTCGCTACAACCTCCACCTCCCAGCCGCCTGCCTTGGCTTCCCAAAATGCCGAGATTGCAGCCTCTGCCCGGTCGCCACCCCATCTGGGAAGTGAGGAGCGTCTCTGCCTGGCCGCCCATCATCTGGGATGTGAGGAGCCCTTCTGCCTGGCTGCCCAGTCTGGAAAGTGAGGAGCGTCTCTGCCTGGCCACCATCCCATCTAGGAAGTGAGGAGCGCCTCTTCCCGGCCGCCATCACATCTGGGAAGTGAGGAGCGTCTCTGCCTGGCCACCCATCGTCTGAGATGTGGGGAGCGCCTCTGCCCCACCGCCCTGTCTGGGAAGTGAGGAGCGTCTCCGCCCGGCAGCCACCCCGTCCGGGAGGGAGGTGGGGGGGGTCAGCCCCCCGCCCGGCCAGCCGCCCCATCCGGGAGGGAGGTGGGGGTCAGCCCCCCGCCCGGCCAGCCGCCCCGTCCGGGAGGGAGGTGGGGGGGGTCAGCCCCCAGCCCGGCCAGCCACCCCGTCCGGGAGGTGAGGGGCGCCTCTGCCAGGCCACCACCCCGTCTGGGAGGTGTACCCAACAGCTCATTGAGAACGGGCCATGATGACAATGGCGGTTTTGTGGAATAGAAAGGGGGGAAAGGTGAGGAAAAGATTGAGAAATCGGATGGTTGCCGTGTCTGTGTAGAAAGAAGTATACATGGGAGACTTCATTTTGATCTGTACTAAGAAAAATTCTTCTGCCTTGGGATTCTGTTGATCTCTTGACCTTACCCCCAACCCTGTGCTCTCTGAAACATGTGCTGTGTCCACTCAGGGTTAAATGGATTAAGGGTGGTGCAAGATGTGCTTTGTTAAACAGATGCTTGAAGGCAGCATGCTCGTTAAGAGTCATCACCACTCCCTAATCTCAAGTACCCAGGGACACAAACACTGCGGAAGGCCGCAGGGTCCTCTGCCTAGGAAAACCAGAGACCTTTGTTCACTTGTTTATCTGCTGACCTTCCCTCCACTATTGTCCTATGACCCTGCCAAATCCCCCTCTGCGAGAAACACCCAAGAATGATCAATAAAAAAAATAAATTAAAAAAAAAAAGAAAAAAAATCCCCAGGTGAGAGAGAGTGCAATGTCAGTGAATGGACAGATTTTTGCTACAGATAGTTGACCAGGTGGGGCTGTACTCTGATTTATTTCTGTGTGCATGCAGGCAGATGAGATTATGAAAAGGAGGGCCAGAACCCTAGGCTGGTGGAGAAAACAGGTTGCTGCTGCAGATTCGATATCCGGGGATGGGAATATGCAAGGAAACTTGTAGATACTTTTGGCTTTTTGGCTAGAAGTGCTTGGACCAAAAATGTCATGGTGAAGTCACTGAGGGTGGTGCCTAGTCCTGGGAGGAGTGTGGACATGTCAATGTCTAGTGTGTGTGTTTGGGAGTATGTGGGAATCCTGTGGTGGCAGCTGCAAGAAAAGGGGATGTGTCATCAGAGCTCCTTTCCTGTAAGTTTTCAGTCCTCTGTCACCCTGGGAGAAGACCTGGAATCACAGGACAATGGGCAGTGTGACAATCTGTGTACAGGAGAGCAGAATCTCCCATTCCCAAACACCCAGAGTTTTATTCCAGGCCAGGCCTCCATGATATCTTCTTTCTGGCACCAAATCTGTAGCATTTGCTGAACATCAAACAATTCTCCAACACCAACTTATTGTATAACATTTGATTTCTAACACTACCCAGAGTCAGCACAGACCCTGATTCAGGGCTCGGTCCCACAACATTGTTCTCACTGCAGATGCCAGTCATAAATCCCATGGGCCCATCTATGGTTCTGAGCTACTGTTTAAAAACTGGGGACTCCCATAACTTCCCTGAAGCTCAGTAATTTGGTAGAGCTACTCACAGAACTCAGCAAAACACTGTAGTTATGCTTACTGGTTTAATATATAAGATGCAGCCCAGGAAAAGCCAAGTGGAAGAAATGCATAGAACAAAGAAAAGAGATGAGGAAAGATGAAACACATAGATAATTATGAAAAATATTTGTGATTAATAAAATTCTCCTTCCTTTGTGTGCTTCAGGAACAGTTTATGGAAAGAAACACTCTTCCCGTTATGATTAAGATGATGCTCCCTTTTCTTGCCTATCACACAGCCAGACATACACTCTGCACATTTTCTCCTTTTTCTCATTAAAAAAAAAACAAAAAACCAGCTGAATTTGCCTTCAGCAGTCAAAATCAATTATGATTTTTTTTTTTTTTGAGATGGAGTGTCACTCTGTCACCCAGGCTGGAGTGTAGTGGGGCCATCTCGGCTCACTTCAGCTTTCACCTCCAGGGCTCAAGCAATTTTCCTACCTCAGCCTCCCAAGTATCTGGGATTACAGGCACCTGCCACAACGCCCAGCTAATTTTTGTATTTTTAGTAGACAGGGTTTCACCATGTTGGCCAGGCTGGTCTTGAACTCCTGACCTCTGGTGATCCGCCTGCCTCAGCCTCCCAAAGTGCTGGGATTGCAGACTTGAGCCACCACACCCAGCCTAAAATAAAATATTTCTTAATCAAATTTTACTTAAGTTTATCTTCTCTCAGGCTCCTGAAATTCAAGCTACCCTCAGTCTGAGTCAACATACAACCCCATTTTATGTCCCTCCTAAGAACATGCTGATTTCAGGGTAAGCCATTCTCTGATCTAAAATCTGACTTTTTCACCCTCCATTTGCTGTTCCTCTCCCACCTCCTTTCTAATCTTGTTTGCTCTTCCCTAGAAAAGAAAGCCCTTTTCTGCCTATATTTTTGCAAGCCATAAAGATATTATAGTTATTTGGTGCTTCCTTTTGTTGCAATACTTTTTTGGAATTGGTTTTTTACCTGCCTCTTGAGAATATGCCTTTAAGGGTGTCAGTACCACATGTTTACCTGCAAGCATGACATCAACTGGCAGAAAAGACAGAAAAAGTCCATCCATTTCTGTCCCTTAAAGCAGAAGGTATTTGGGAACAATGTGCTGCTCCATAAAGATAAAAATATGTTTCTTCTTCCCTGTCCTCAGGTGCCCTCCCCTGCCACAGACACCAGCAATTTCTGCTACAGAACCTGCAGAGAAAAAGAGAAGAAATTAAAATGCTGGGCCCTTTTTCTAAATCCTGGAAATTAGTATTAAATCCTTAGTACCAGCTCCCAGGGTGTTATGAGGATTAAATTATATAATGTATTATGCCCAGCAGAGTTCTCTGTATCACAATCTTGAGCACATAGTACCTGCTTCATACAGTAATACAAATATACACCACTCTGACCTGTCCATACCAAGCCAAAACAGAACAGGCCCTGTGGCTACCCTTTAGTCCAAAAGTGGAACTTAATTCTCATGAATATATTTTGAAGGCCTCATACCTGATTCTGGCCTCACCTTAGAGTCACATGAGGCCCTTCATTAAAACAACATGGATGTTTTCAACCAGAATAATAAACAGAAGCTGTGGTGAGGGTACAAGAGATTTCTGCATATTGGCCATGTGATCCTAATGAGAAGCCTGGGCTGATAACCACTAAGCTAAGCATTGCCTCTCAAGCTTTAATGAGCTTATAATTCACTTGGTAATTCTGGCCACACTTTAAGTAATGTGATTCTGCAGGTTTGAAAAGGGTCTGTGAATCAGTGTTTTAAACAAGTCCCCTGTCAATGCTGATGTTACTCCTCCTTGGCTCATTATTAACATTAGTTAGAAAAGCAGGCAAACCACAGGGTCCCTTACACTTAGCACTGTTGTCACAATCAGATAACTCTGGTACAAATAAGGACAACTCATCTCCATCCTAAAGTTTTATATTCTTTGCTGGCTCTTTAAAGTTTACAGAAGAAACAGAAGGTAATTACCAGGATTTAGAAAAAGAGCCAAGCATTTTAATTTCTTGTTTTTCTGTCATCAAAAATTTTTAAAAATTGTATAGAATAAAAGCTAAGTATAGACAGATGAATGAGACATAAAAAGGAAGAGGTTAGTTTAGAGAAAATTTTATTCTGTTTGTATTTACTTTTTTTTGACTTACGGAGCAACTACTGGATCTGCGGGAATAAGAAACAAGTTGCTAAATAGAATGTCTCTGCATCCAATGGTTTTCATAGAAAATTAAAAAACGGCTGGGTGCGGTGGCTCATGCTTGTAATCCCAGCACTTTGGGAGGCAGAGGCGGGCGGATCACGAGGTCAGGAGATCGAGACCATCCTGGCTAACGTGGTGAAACCCCATCTCTACTAAAAATACAAAAAATTAGCTGGGCGTGGTGGCGAGCGCCTGTAGTCCCAGCTACTCGGAGGTTGAGGCAGGAGAATGGCATGAACCCGGGAGGCAGAGCTTGCAGTGAGCCGAGATCGCGCCACTGCACTCCAGCCTGGGCAACGGAGTGAGACTCCGTCTCAAAAAAAAAAAAAAAAAAAAAGAAAATTTAAAAATGAAGACCCTCAAATACATACTTTATTTTTTTGTATTTATCTGCTTTTGGATTTCAGGAAATTGTGAGCAGCAGCTCTAGAAATACTGCAGGATTCACCAGCCAAAACTGATCTCTGCCAATCAGTTCTGTGAGGCAAGACTCCAGGGTAGGTCTGGACCTACATAAAGCCTCCAAAAAAGGTGAATCTGAACAGGTCTGGGGCAGAGTGAGGATCCTTTGTAGAATTCTGTTCTCTATGCCACTGGGATACTTCCAGTTTTGTTTTTCTAAGCCTACCTAAAAGAAACTTAAATCCCAGAGTTTCTGTAATTTTAATATTTTCTAGCCACGGCCCTGTCAACTTTATACTATATACTAATATGCAATTTAAAGAAATCCCTTCAGGTTTCCTAGGGTAATTTTATTGGAAAATAAATATGTACAGTTAGCAAGGTAAAAGAAATAGAAACTATACGGCTGGGTGCAGTGGCTAAGTCCCACAATTCCAGCACTTTGAAAGGCTGAGGTGGGTGGATCATGAGGGCAGGAGTTCAAGACCAGCCTGACCAAGATGGTGAAACCTTGCCTCTACTAAAAATACAAAAATTAGCTGGGCATCGTGGCTGTGGCCAGTAATCTCAGCTACTTGGGAGGCTGAGGCAGGAGAATGGCTTGAACCCGAGTGGCAGAAATTACAGTAAGCCAAGATCGTGCCACTGCACTCCAGCCTGGGGAACTGAGATTCTGTCTAAAAAAAAAACAACAAAACTATAATAATTGTTCGGTTCATAAATATATTCAGGTGTAGATATCAGAAGTCACAACAGCATAAAGTGGCATAAATAAAGCCCAAGACTTTGGACACATCTATATATTCCACCAACCATATGATGCATAATTCAATTATTCATGAAGTTGCTAGTCTAGACTAAAAGTTTCTGGATTGTAGGAACAATGACTGCTTCATGTATTTTTTTAATGGCCATATAAAATGGAAGTAATGAGTTTATCTATTTGGGTCTCCAGGTCTCCTTATTTATCATCCAAGTACCAGAAAACTGGATAAACTCTCATCTGAGTACCAACCAAAGATACCTCTTGTATGAGAGGATGAACAAAAACACAGGATGACTGATTTCTCTTACACCGAGACAGAAGCAGAATTAATCACTCTTGTCAACCTGACACAACTCTGCTCTGGATATTCCCAAATGCCTCAAAGACACCTAGGTGATTGTGAGAGAATTCCCAGTGACCATGGGCTGATGTCTCAATAAGCCAGGCTGGAGAGACTCAATGATAAGCCAGGCTGGAGAGACTCAATGATAAGCCAGGCTGGAGAGACTCAGGCTGACTCTAAGTAGAAAATGGAACTGCCTTGGTGGAGCTCAAGAACCTGGATCACCCATTCTGATTTGCTAGCATTTGGGTAAGAGAAAGAATGAAAATATTCTACTCCAGTATCACATTTTACAGGTAAATATAGTTGTGCACATGGCTCTGGCTATTTTGTGGACTTGATGTCTCACTCCTAAGATGTTTATTTACACTTACAGATTCTACCATCAGATTCTATTTCCTCCTGGACACTCTTACAGTCTGACCCTTTTTTGTAAACCCCAGGCAGAAGCCATACCTTATCTGCAGATTCTAGGTAGGACCCACCTGGTTCTGCATCCTTTGGTGTTACAGCAAGTGGAGTACAATCAGAGAAGAGATCCCCTAATAGAGGCTGCTCTAGCACTTTCTAAGTATTAAGCCTACATGAAAAAAAAAAAAAAGCTGACACAACATGAATGTAAGTAGACAGTTTATTTGGGTGAAGTTTAAGGATTATAACCTGGGAGCAAAGACTGAAGTTGCCTAGAATCTACACTTTCATTAACAGCAGTTGCAAGAGGAGTTGTGAAGACAAAAACAAAGGGACAGAGAGTGGGCTGATAGAGTTGTCAGAAATTTTTATTTAAAGAAGTAACATTGGTTATTGATTGGACATATATCATTATGGTTTAGGGTATGAGATACAGTGTCCAATGTGGTATTATCAGTTTAATATACATCTACTTGTGGCAATAGTGAACAGTTTCAAGAGATGAATACATATTTCAAAGGAGGAGAAAGGCGTAACTGCACTTTCATTTCAATGTCTGAGTTTGATAACCAAAAGGACTTGCATTTTTAGATAAAAATTTTCTATTTCCCAAATCTCAAGACCTAGATACAAAATGTAGAGCTGCAGATTTAGGGCCCGAATGGCTGGAGTAGCAGCAGGTGTTACCTGCACATTTGTGAACATTTTACCAAGAGAAAAAAGGGGAAAGTGAAGATTCTCATGTCTGAATGTGTACTCAATGAAAACGTTACTCTGATTAGGTTTGTGGGCCCCATGGTCTCTGAATCAGTTTAAGGTCTGAAGATACAAGAGTCATTGAGATAAAACTATTGATTGTTGCCCTGTGAAGTTGGTAGAAATTTGGTTTAGTCTCTCTAGAAGTGACTGTAGAGGACTATAGATACCAAATAGGCAGAAACACAGTTCTGCTTGCATATTTAGGGGACAGCATGCACTTTGTTGCACAAGTGTGAGTTGACTGGAAGTCTGAGAGGGAAAGTCCCCTCTAGAGTAAATTCCAGTTGGCACCTTATGTGTTTATATCATGTCTGGTAATTATAGACAGTGTTTGGAAATAACAAAAGAATGTTCTCCAGCCCCAGAAAAACTCCACAATAGAACAGAAAGAAAACTGTTTTATGTGACATGCATCATAGTCAATCTGCTTAAGAGACTGCAGAGACAGAAAGATGGTCACCAAAATTAGTCCACAAGTAGAATTTCCAGAACCATGTCATACATAGTTCATCCTAAATTCACATGGAGATTGAAGAGGCCATCTGTATATGCTAATTGTTTATATTCAATAACAAAAAAACTTTTCACACCTTCATAACAGGAGGTAGTTTAGCAGCTTGAAGCCAGGTACTTGCTGAAGGTAGGTTTTCACTCTGCTACAAAAATGGTTGAAAAGCATTCTATCCTTTTGGCTATTTACATTTTACAGCAGTGGCTCTGTGTTCCATGGCATTGGGCTACAGCACTTTCTTGCTTTTTCCTGGTTGCTAGTGTCCTCTTGACCTCTCTCATCTGCCACTGAGGGACAGCCTTGAGCACAGCTCAGTTTATGTGAACCACATTTCCCACAGCAGCACTCTAGTGTCACATCAGAGAGGAAAGCCTGAGCTGCAGGAGAGCCTGCAGGCCTTGTGAGTAGAATTGCACTTTCACAATAATGGGAATGTGACCAGTGTTTCAGCCCGTTTTTAATTATCATGGTGACATGGAAAAAAAATCGGATGAATTTCCAGCATGAGTCCAGATAGAGATATCTACAAAAGTTCTCACTGTGACAGCCTACCTCATTCAGACACCATGGGATACTAATAGGGCTTCTGAAACAGACACCCAAAGTATTGGAGAGAAAAACAGATCTCCATCTGAGCAAGATAATTTTGAGAGAAAAAAGTTAAAAAGATCTTGAGAAAAAAGATCTTGAGAAAAAGCTCAGTTTAGATATAAGATTGATCAAGTCAGCCAGAAAATAGTCCCCTAAAAGCAATTTCTCTCTAACCACCCAAAGTGCACAATTACTCTCAGCATGAGAAACATGAGCATTATGAAGAAAGGGGGCAGAATTTCAGAAGAATTTTATAAAGCTTTTTTTCCCATCTCTGCTGCTCTCTCATCTCCTAGTCATTGAATGGGGGTTCTATATTGAAATATATCTGACAACTTCCAACAACACTTTTTGATGCAGAAATAGAATCTGACTGTGTTCACATTGTGGAGTATATTAGAACTTCCAACATAGTTAACTGAAGAGCTATCATGGTTTTTGGGTGGCCACATCAACTGTCTTTATTTCATTTGTAATAGCAGCATTCCAATTGAGTGAAATAAAAGATACTAAAATTGTGTTTACTTATAATTATCCCTATTGAATAAAGTAATAAACATGTCAGACTAGTATTGACTGTAACAATTTGGTAGTAAATTTTTTGGGGTATTAGATTAAATATCTAAGTATAAATAATTTTAATAAACTAGTAGTAATGTATATGGCAGTTAAAAAGTTTAACTATACTTCAGTTAAAATAGTTTATATTTCAAAAGTGTAAATAACAATATTAAAATAACCATTTAAGTGATTCATTCAAAGTAAGTATTGTGGCTTTATATTCATACTATTGTAAAAAATACTGTTTATGGCTCATGCCTATAATCCCAGCACTTTGGGAGACTGAGGTGTGTGGATCACCTGAGGTCAAGAGTTCACAATCAAGCTGGCCAACACGGTGATACCCCATCTCTACTAAAAATACAAAAACTTAGCCAGGCATGGTGGGGTGTGCCTGTAATCCCAGCTACTCAGGAGGCTGAGGCAGGAGAAATCACTTGAGCCTGGGTCCCAGTGGTTGCAGTGAGCAGAACACGCCCCTACACTCCAGCCTGGGCAAGAGTGAGACTCTGTCTCAAAGAAAAATTAAAAAAAAAGAAAAAGAAAACTGTTTAATGTATATGAATGTATTGTTATGTGTAGTGTCTGCAAACACTACACATAACTATGCTAATTGTTCTGAAGTCATCAATAGAAAGCCAAGTACAACTACAGACTCTACTGTTCAGTTTATGCACTGAACTCTTTTTGTTTTTGCTGTGTAAGTACTTCAGCCTGCAAATGTTGGATAATTACCTTGGATAATAAAGTTACTTTCAAAGAAACTTAGTATCTTTTAGCGTTTCTCATTCCATATTGCTAAATTTAATCCTATGTTTCTGCTAAGCTTCTGTGTGCTCTTAAAATGAGCTTTTATCTAAACACATTTGTGTTTACTTTAAAGGACTAAAAATGGGCCAGGCATGGTGGTTCATGCCTGTAATCCCAGCACTTTGGGAGGCTGAGGCGGGCAGATCACTTGAGTTTGGGAATTTGAGACCAGCCTGAGGAATATGGAGAAACCCCGTTTCTACTAAAAAAACAAAATTAGTTGGGTATGGTGGCACGTGACTGTAATCCCAACTACTCGGGAGGCTGAGGCCAGAGAATCCCTTGAACCTGGGAGGTGGAGGTTTTGGTGAGTCAAGATCATGCCATTGCACTCCAGCCTGGGCAACAAAACTGAAACTCCATCCAAAAAAAAAAAAAGTCCTAAAAAGGAGAGAAACAAACTTTTTAAAATTAGAAATAAACCAATAAATCAGATGTACTAGAAAAGATAATCTAAAGTAAAAAAAAAAAAAAAAAAAAAGACAAAGTTTATTTAACTGTTAATATGGTTTACAGATATTTCAAGAAAGCAGAGAAAAATATCTACACATAATCTAAATCCCTTAAGGAAAAAGAGAATAAGAAAAATTTTTTTGGAACTTTTTAAAAAGTCTTTGAACTCTTGGTAATCTAAGTTTTGCAAACAGGATGCACTTGAAAGAATGTTAGCCTAGGTGTGGTGGCTAACACCTGTAATCCCAGCACTTTGGGAGGTTGAGGCAAGCAGATCACCTGAGGTTGGGAGTTGGAGACCAGCCTGACCAGCAAGGAGAAACCCTGTCTCTACTAAAAATACAAAATTGGCTGGGCATGATAGCATATGCCTGTAATCTCAACTACATGGGAGGCTGAGGCAGGAGAATTGCTTCAACTCAGGAGGTGGAGGTTGTGGTGAGCCAAGATCATGCCATTGCACTTCAGCCTGGCAATAGCGAAACTCCCTCTCCAAAAAAAAAAAAAAAAAATGTTTATGGGGGGAAAAGCAGAAGAGAGAAAGATGTTATAAAAAATTCATGTGCACAAGACCAATGCAACAGAACAGAGAGCCCAGAAATAATGCCACCCTCTTGCAACCATCAGATTTTTGACAAAGCTGACAAAAGAAATGTGGGGAAAATTCTCTATTTAATAAATGGTGCCGGAATAACTAACTAGTAATATGTAGAACACTTAAACTGAACCCCTTAATTACACCACATACAAAAATCAACTCAAGAAAAATTAAAGACTTAAATGTAAAACATAAAATTATAAGAAACCCTGCAAGATAACATAAAAGCTACCATTCTAGACATAGAAACCTGCAAACACTTCATGATGAAGCTACCAAAAGCAATTGCAACAAAAGCAAAAGCTGACAAATGGGACCTATTTAAACTAAAGAGATTCTTCACAGCAAAGGAAACTATCAACAGAGTAAGCAGACAACCTACAGAATAAAAGAAAATATTTGCAAACTTTGCCTCTGACAAAGGTCTAATATCCAGAATTAATGAGAACTTAAACAAGTTTACAAGAAAAAACCAAACCTCATTAAAAAGTGGGCAAAAAACATGAACAGATGCTTTTCAAAGGAAGACATACATGTGGCTAACAAGCATATGAAAAACAAAGCTCAATGGTAATCATTAAAGAAATTAAAAAGAAGCCAGGCACGGTGTCTCACACCTGTAATCCCAGCACATTGGGAGGCTTAAGCAGGCAGATCACAAGGTGAGGAGTTCAAGACCAGCCTGTCCAATATGGTGAAACCTTGTCTCTAATAAAAAAACAAAAATTAGCCTGGCATGGTGGTGGGCACCTGTAGTCCCAGCTAGTCAGGAGGCTGATAGAGGAGAATCACTTAAACCTGGGAGGTGGAGGTTGCAATGAGCTGAGATCGTGCCACTGCTCTCCAGCCTGGGTGACAGAGCCAGGCTCCATCTCAAAAAAATAAACAAATAAATTAAAAGAAAAACCACAATGAGATACCACTTCACATCAGTCAGAATGGCTATTTTAAAAAAGTCAAAAAATAACAGATGCTACCAAGGTTGCAGAGAAAAGAGAATGCTTATACTCTGCTGGTGGGAGTGTAAATTAGTTTAACTGTAAAAAGCAGTGTGGCAATTCCTCACAGAACTGAAAACAGAATTATCATTTGACTCAGGAACCTGATAATTGGGTATATACCAAAAGAAATATAAATTATTATAAAGACGCATCCATATGCATGCTATGCATGTTCATTGCAGCACTATTCACAGTAGCAAAGACATGGACAGGACCTAAATGCCCATCAATAAAGAAAATATGGTATGGTCAGAAGCGGTGGCTCATGCCTTCAATCCTAGAGCTTTGGAAGGCCAAGGCAGGTGGACTGCCTGAGCTTAGAAGTTTGAAACCAGCCTGAAAAAAATAGCAAAATCTTGTCTACATGGAAAATACAAAAAGAAAAAGTGGCCAGCCATAGTAACGCACACGTGTAGTCCCAGCTACTTGAGAAGATGAGGTAAGGGAGAATTGCTTGAGCCTGGGAGGCTGAGACTAAAGTAAGCCAAAATCACACCATGGTAATCTAGCCTGGGCAATAAGTGAGACCCTGCATCCAAAGATAAAATAAAATAAAAGATGTAGTAAAAAACAAAATATGGCACATAATCATGGAATACTCCATGGCCATTAAAAAAAATCATGTCCTCTGCAATAACATCAATGAAACCCATTAAAAAAAATCAGCTCTGATCTTAGTTTTTTCTTGCCTTCTGCTAGCTTTTGAATGTGTTTGCTCTTGCGTCTCTAGTTCTTTTAATTGTGATGTTAGGGTGTCAATTTTAGATCTTTCCTGCTTTCTCTTGTGGACATTTAGTGCTATATATTTCCCTCTACATACTGCTTTAAATGTGTCCCAGAGATTCTGGTTATGTTCTGTCTTTGTTCTCATTGGTTTCAAAGAACATCTTTATTTCTGCCTTCATTTCATTATGTACCCAGTAGTCATTCAGGAGCAGGTTGTTCAGTTTCCATGTAGTTGAGCAGTTTTGAGTGAGTTTCTTAATCCTGAGTTCTAGTTTGATTGCACTGTGGTCTGAGAGATAGTTTGTTATACTTTCTGTTCTTTTACACTTGCTGAGGAGTGCTTTACTTCCAATTATGTGGTCAATTTTGGAGTAAGTGCAATGTGGTGCTGAGAATGTATATTCTGTTGATTTTGGGTGGAGAGTTCTGTAGATGTCTATTAGGTCTGGCTGGTGCAGAGCTGAGTTCAATTCCTGGATATCCTTGTTAACTTTCTGTCTCATTGATCTGTCTAATGTTGACAGTGGGGTGTTAAAGTCTCCCATTATCATTGTGTGCGAGTCTTAGTCTCTTTGTAGGTCTCTAAGGGCTTTCTTTATTAATCTGGGTGCTCCTGTATTGGGTGCATATATATTTAGTATAGTTAGCTCTTCTTGTTGAATTGATGCCTTTACCATTATGTCATGGCCTTCTTTGTCTTTTATGATCTTTGTTGGTTTAAAGTCTTGTTTTTCTCAGAGACTAGGATTGCAACCCCTGCTTTTTTTTTTTGTTTTCCATTTGCTTCAGAGACCTTCCTCCGTCCCTTTATTTTCAGCCTATGTGTGTCTCTGCACATGAGATGGATCTCCTGAATACAGCACACTGGTGGGTCTTGACTCTTTTTTTTTTTTTGAGATGGGTCTCTGTTGCCCAGGCTGGAGTACAGAGGCATGATCTTGGCTCACTGCAAGCTCTGCCTCCCAGGTTCATGCCATTCTCCTGCCTCAGCCTCCCAAGTGCCTGGGACTACAGGTGCCTGCCACCATGCCTGGCTAATTTTTTGTATTTTTACTAGAGATGGGGTTTCACTGTGTTAGCCAGGATAGTCTCGATCTCCTGACCTCGTGATCTGCCCACTTCAGCCTCACAAAGTGGTGGGATTACAGGTGTGAGCCACTGCACCTGCCAGGGTCTGGGCCCTTTATCCAATTTGCCAGTCTGTGTCTTTTAATTGGAGCATTTAGCCCATTTACATTTAAGGTTAATATTGTTATGTGTGAATTTGGTCCTGTCATTATGTTAGCTAGTTATTTTACTTGTTAGTTGATGCAGTTTCTTCCTAACATTGATGGTGTTTACGATTTGGCATGTTTTTGCAGTGACTGGTACCAGTTGTTCCTCTCCATGTTTAGTGCTTCCTTCAGGAGCTCTTGTAAGGCAGGCCTGGTGGTGACAAAATCTCTCAGGATTTGTTTGTCCGTAAAGGATTTTATTTCTCCTTCACTGATGAAGCTTAGGTTGGCTGGATATGAAATTCTGGGTTGAAAATTCTTTTCTTTAAGAATGTTGAATATTGGCCCCCACTCTCTTCTAGCTTGTAGAGTTTCTGCCGAGAGATCCACTGTTAGTCTGATGGGCTTCCCTTTGTGGGTAACCCGACCTTTCTCTCTGGCTGCCCTTAACATTTTTTCCTTCATTTCAACTTTGGTGAATCTGACAATTATGTGTCTTGGAGTTGCTCTTCTCGAAGAGTATCTTTGTGGCGTTCTCTGTATTTCCTGAATTTGAATGTCGGCCTGCCTTGCTAGGTTGGGGAAGTTCTCCTGGATAATATCCTGCAGAGTGTTTTCCAACTTGGTTCTATTCTCCCCATCACTTTCAGGTACACCAATCAGACGTAGATTTGGTCTTTTCACATAGTCCCATATTTCTTGGAGGCTTTGTTCATTTCTTTTTATTATTTTATCTCTAAACTTCTCTTCTTGCTTCATTTCATTCATTTTAACAATCACTGATACTTTTTCTTCCTGTTGATCACATTGGATACTCAAGCTTCTGCATTCATCACGTAGTTTTTGGGCCATGGTTTTCAGCTCTATCAGGTCATTTAAGGTCTTCTCTACACTGTCTATTATAGTTAGCCATTCATCTAATCTTTTTTCAAGGTTTCCAGCTTCTTTATGATGGATTCGAACATCCTCCTTTAGCTTGGAGAAGTTTGTTTTTACTGATTGTCTGAAGAACTGAAGGAGAGAGAGAGACACAAAAGAACCTTCAAAAAAAATCAATGAATCCAGGAGCTGGTTTCTTGAAAAGATCAACAAAAGTAATAGACTGCTAGCCAAAGTAATAAGAAAAGAGAGAAGAATCAAATAGACGCAATAAAAAATGATAAAGGGGATATCACCACTGATCCCACAGAAATACAAACTACCATCAGAGAATGAATACTATAAACATCTCTACACAAATAAACTAGAAAATCTAGAAGAAATGGATAAATTCCTGGACACATACCCCCTCCCAAGACTAAACAAGGAAGAAGTTGAATCCCTGAATAGACCAATAACAGGCTCTGAAACTGAGGATATAATTAATAGCCCACCAACCAAAAAAAGTCCAGGACCAGACAGATTCACAGCTGAATTCTACCAGAGGTACAAAGAGGAGCTGGTACCATTCCTTCTGAAACTATTTCAATCAATAGAGAAAGAAGGAATCCTCCCAAACTCATTTTATGAGGCCAGCATCATCCTGATTCCAAAGCCTGGCAGAGACACAACAAAAAAAGAGAATTTTAGACCAATATCCCTCATGAACATTGATGCAAAAATCCTCAATAAAATATTGGCAAACTGAATCCAGCAGCGCATCAAAAAGCTTATCCACCATGATCAAGTTGGCTTTATCCCTGGGATGCAAGGCTGGTTCAACATACGCAAATCAATAAACGTAATCCATCATGTAAACAGAACCAAAGACAAAAACCACATGATTATCAATAGATGCAGAAAAGGCCTTTGACAAAATTCAACAGCACTTCATGCTAAAAACTCTCAAACTAGGTATTGATGGGACGTATCTCAAAATAATAAGAGCTACAAACCACTGCTCAATGAAATAAAAGAGGACACAAACAAATGGAAGAACATTCCATGCTTATGGATAGGAAGAATCAATATCATGAAAATGGCCATACTCCTCAAGGTAATTTATAGATTCAATGCCATCCCCATCAAGCTACCAATGACTTTCTTCACAGAATTGGAAAAAACTACTTTAAAGTTCATATGGAACCAAAACAGAGCCCATATTGCCAAGACAATCCTAAGCCAAAAGAACAAAGCTGGAGGCATCACCATATTTGACTTCAAACTATACTACAAGGCTACAGTAATCAAAACAGCCTGGTGTTGGTACCAAAAGAGATATAGACCAATGGAACAGAACAGAGCCCTCAGAAATAATACCACACATCTACAACTATCTGATCTTTGACAAACCTGACAAAAACAAGAAATGGGGAAAGGATTCCCGATTTAATAAATGGTGCTGGGAAAACTAGATAGCCATATGTAGAAAGCTGGAACTGGATCCCTTCCTTACACCTTATACAAAAATTAATTCAAGATGGATTAAAGACTTAAATGTTAGACCTAAAACCATAAAAACCCTAGAAGAAAATCTAGGCAATACCATTCAGGACATAGGCATGGACAAGGACTTCATGACTAAAACACCAAAAGCAATGGCAACAAAAGCCAAAATTGACAAATGGGATCTAATTAAACTCAAGAGCTTCTGCACAGCAAAAGAAACTACCATCAGAGTGAACAGGTAACCTACAGAATGGGAGAAAATTTTTACAATCTACCCATCTGACAAAGGGCTAATATCCAGAATCTACAGAGAACTTAAACAGATTTACAAGAAAAAATCAAACAACCCTAACAAAAAGTCGGCAAAGGATATGAACAGACACTTCTCAAAAGAAGACATTTATGCAGCCAACAGACACAAGAAAAAATGCTCATCATCACTAGCCATCAGAGAAATGCAAATCAAAACCACAATGAGATACCATCTCACACCAGTTAGAATGGCTATCATTAAAAAGTCAGGAAACAACAGGTGCTGGAGAGGATGTGGAGAACTAGGAACACTTTTACACTGTTTGTGGGACTGTAAACTAGTTCAAACATTGTGGAAGACAGTGTGGTGATTCCCCAAGGATCTAGAACTAGAAATACCATTTGACCCAGCCATTCCATTACTGAGTATATACCCAAAGGATTATAAATCATGCTGCTATAAAGACACATGCACACGTATGTTTATTGTGGCACTATTCACAATAGCAAAGACTTGGAACCAACCCAAGTGTCCATCAATGATAGACAGGATTAAGAAAATGTGGCACATATACACTATGCAGCCATAAAAAAGGATGAGTTCGTGTCCTTTGTAGGGACATGAATGAAGCTAGAAACCATCATTCTGAGCAAACTATCACAAGGACAGAAAACCACATGTTCTCACTCATAGGTGGGAATTGAACAATGAGAACACTTGGACACAGGGTGGGGAACATCACACACCCCGGCCTGTCATGGGTGTGTGATGGAGCAGAGAGGGATAGAATTAGGATATACCTCATATGAATAATGAGTTAATGGGTGCAGCACACCAACATGGCACATGTATACATATGTAACAAACCAGCATGTTGTGCACATGCACCTAGAACTTAAAGTATAATAATAATAATAAAAAATTAATAAGTAAAAAAAAAATGAGGTCTTTGCAATAACATCAAGGCACGGTGGCTCACGCCTGTAATCCCAGCACTTTGGAAGAATGAGATGGGTGGATCACCTAAGGTTGGGAGTTTCAGACCATCCTGACCAACATGGAGAAACCAAATCTCTACTAAAAATACAAAATTAGCCAGGCGTTGTGGTGCGTACCTGTAATCCCAGCTACTCGGAAGGCTGAGGCAGGAGAATCCCTTGAACCTAAGAGGTGGAAGTTGTGGTTAGCGGAGATCACGCTGTTGCACTCAAGCCTGGGCAACAAGAGTGAAACTCTGTCTCAAAAAACAAAAACAAAAACAAAAAACAAACCAAACCAAAAAGAAAACTAATGAAGAAAAAGAAAACCAAATGCTTGTTATTATTTATAAGAGGTAAATAATAATAACACATGAACACAAACAACAGACACTGAGGACTAGTTTAGGGTGGACCCTGCAAGGACTCAGAGGATCAGAAAACATACCTGTTTGGTGCTATGGGTAGTACCTCAGGGACAAAATAATCTGCACACCAAACCCCCGTGACACAATTTTAGCTGTATAACAAACCCACATGTGTACCCCGAAACAAAAATTAAAGCTAAAAGAAAAAAAAAAATCCCAGGGTGGGAGAGTGCAATGTAGGTGAAAGGACTGATTTTTGCTACAGATAGTGGTCCCAGTGGGGCTGTACTGATTTATTTCTGTGTGCATGCATGCAGATGAGATTATGAACAGGTGGTCCAGAACCCTAGTTTGGTAGAGAAAACAGGTTGCTGCAGCAGATTTACAGTCTGAGGGGATGTACCAGGAGACTTGTTTTTTGGCAAAAAACACTTGGATCAAAAACGCCATGGTGAAGTTCCTGAGGGGGGTGCCTAGTCCTGGGAGGAGTGTGGACACATCAATATCTAGTGTGTGTGTTTGTGAGTGGGTGGGAATCCTGTGGTAGCAGCTGTGTGAAAAGGGGGTCTGTCATCAGAGCTCCTTTCCTCTAAGTTTTCAGGCCTCTGTCACCCTTGGAGAAGACCTGGAATCACAGGACAATGGGCAGTGTGACTGCCTGTGTACAGGAGAGCAGTCTCTCATTCCCAAACACCCAGAGTTTTATTCCAGGCAAGGACTCTGTCATATCTTATTTCTGGCACTAAATCTGTAGTTTGCTGAACATCAAAAAATTCTCCAACAATTTATTGTCTAACATTTGAATTCTGACACTACCCACAGTCAGAACAGACTCTGATTCAGGGCTCGGGTCCCAACATTGTCCTCACTGCAGATGCCAATCACAAACCCCATGGGCCCATGTATGCTTCTGAGCTAATGTTTAATATTTGGGGCTGCCATGACCTCCCTGAAGTTGAATAATTTTGTATAGCCACTCACAGTACTCAGCGAAACACTGTAGTTATGTTTACCAGTTTCATATATAAGATGCAGCCCAGGAAAAGCCAAATGGAAGAAATGCATAGAACAAAGAAAAGTGATGGGGAACGATGAAATGCATAGATAATGCTGGAAAATATTTGTGATTAATACAATTCTCCATCCTATATGTGCTCCAAGAACAGTTTATGGAAAGAAACACTCTTCCCATTACAACTTAGACGGTGCTCCCTTTTCTTACCTGTCACAGAGCCAGACACACACTCTGCACATTTTCTCCTTTTTCTCATTAAAAAAATCAGCTGAATTTGTCTTCAGTGGTAAAAATAAAATATTTCTGTCTTTTTCTTGAGCTGGAATCTCGCTCTGTCACCCACGCAGAAGTGCAGTGGTGTGATCTTGGCTCACTGCAACATCTGCATCCCGGGTTCAAGAAATTCTCCTGCCTCAGCCTCCCGAGTAGCTGGGATTATAGGCACCCACCACCATGCCCGGCTAATTTTTGTATTTTAAGTAGAAACAGGGTTTCACCATGTTGCCTAGGCTGGTCTCAAACTTGTGACCTCTGGTGATCTGCATGCCTTGGCCTCCTGAAATGCTGGGATTCCAGGTGAGCCACCATGCCAGGCTTAAAATAAAATATCTCCTTTTTTTTTTGAGTTGGAGTATTGCTCTGTTGCCTAGGCTGGAGTGCAATGGCATGATCTCAGCTCAATGCAAACTCTGCATCCCAGGTTCAAGCTATTCTCCTGCCTTAGCCTCCTGAGTAGCAGGCATTACAGGCACGTGCCCCCGCAGGTGGCTAATTTTTGTATTTTTAGCAGAGACAAGGTTTCACCATCTCAGGCTGGTCTCGCACTCCTGACCTTGTGATCTGGAATTACAGACATAAGCCACCACACCCAGCCTAAAAGTAAATACTTCTTAAACTTTACTTAAGCTTATCTCCCTCCCTCAGGCTCCTGAACTTTGAGCTACCCTCAGTCTGAGTCAACATACAACCCCATTTTATGTCCCTCCTAAGAATATGCTGATTTCAGGGTAAGACATTCTCTTTTCTATAATCTGACTTTTTCACCCTCCATTTGCCATTCCTCTCCCACCTCCTTTCTAATCTTGTTTGCTCCTCCCTAGAAAAGAAAGCTCTTTTCTGCCTACATCTATGCAAGCCGTAAAGATCTTATAGTTAGTTGGTACTTCCTCCTGTTGCAATACATTTTTGAAATTCATTTTTTTTACATAAATCTAACATTTGTATTACACAAAGTGTAGAAGGTGCCTCAAAACAATAACAACTTCATCATCATTAGTAAGACCGTCCCCCAGTTTCCTTTCATTTTAACCTTAACTGCATCTGCCTGTGGGGCCCCAGCTTTCCAGGGCTCTGCAGTTTCTCTGAGGATGAAGGCTCCTTCCATGGCTCGGGTGAGCAGGCTGAAACATCTGCAGGAAAGGTTCCCCAAGAATAACTAACTGGGCCTTTAATAACCTCCTGTTGCAGGCTTAATATTAGCCTTAGCTTGGAGTCACAAGGTTCAAGCTTTAATTTCCATGTGAGAGTTATTTACTTGGTTTTTGAAACTGTTCAAAAAATCCAGTGAAATTACTCAAACACTGTGTTTATATAAGGGATGGAAATTTTAAGGTGCTTAATTTTTTTTTTGAGATGGAGTCTTGCCCTGTCACCCAGGCTGGAGTGCCATGGTATGATCTCAGCTCACTGCAACCTCTGCTTCCCGAGTTCAAGTCATTCTCCTCCCTCAGCCTCCCAAGCAGCTGAAACTACAAAGTATGCGCCACCATACCCTATTAATTTTTGTATTTTTAGTAGAGATGGAATTTCACTATGTTGGGAAGGCTGGTGTGGAACTCCTGACCTCAAGTGATCTACCTGCCTCGGCCTCCCAAAATGCTGGGATTACAGGCATGAGTCACTGCACCTGGCTAAAGTGCTTGCATTTTATACCTTCATAAGAAAAGCAAATATACCTACTTCTTTCAGACAATATATGTATTATCTTATTATTTCTATTAAAAATAATGTAGTAACAAATTAGTCATATGGGAACACTTGTAGAAGGTACCATGTTTCATCACATATAATTTAGCATTACATTCAGAAATGAAGACAACAGGATATAGACATGAGATATTTATTCACTGTCACAAATTTACCCAGCAAAAGGAGGTACTGATGTTTTGATGAATTTATGTAACTCAATTATCTACAACATTTTCCTGTGGAAATATATTCATTGTCTACAGCCAAAATGAAAGAGAGATTTTTCTTATTTTTTCCCTTGGTAGCTAGCATTCTTAAAGTTAAGGCTTGGAATTCTGTTTGAAATCACTCAGCCATAAAAAACACACCTGAGAAAATTCCTAAACTCACTCTGGGAAAGAAAAAGATAAATGAGAATGATTAACAAATGGAATATATGATTAGATATTAATTTTTTGAAACTCATATTTTATTTTCTTTGTAAATATTTTCTTAACTTTCAAGCCCTACTAATAAAATGCAAATTTTAGTTAAAAAAACATGTCAGCTGGGTGCAGTGGCTCACGCCTGTAATCCCAGCACTTTGGGAGGCCAAGGCAGGTGGATCACTTAAGACTAGAAGTTTGGGACCAGCCTAGTCCATCTCTACTAAAAATACAAAAACTAGCTGGGCCTAGTGGTGCGCACCTGTAGTCCTAGCTACTTGGGAGGCTGAGGCCATGAGAATCAATTGAACCCAGGAGGTGGAGGTTGCAGTGAGCCGAGATTGAGCCATTGCATTCCAGCCTGTGCAACAGATTGAGACTGTCTCAAAAAAGAAAAAAAAAAAGGGAGGTCAAAATAAGTGAACAGATCGTTTCAAGGTACAGGTCGAATCACCCACCCCATCCTGCTCATTTACGTGCTCAATAACCACCCTCCCAGGAGACACTGCGATATGACCCAGTGAGTCCTCCAGGTGCATTTTACTTCCTAAATTTTTACGCCATCTCACTGGGGTCAGTTTTTTTTGTCTTTTGGAGTGTTTTTTTTTTAAACAAATTTTTCACTATTTTTCTGCCACCCCCCCCCTGCCCCCGCCAAGAAAATCTAGGGGACAGAAATTATTTGTTTTCCCCTCGATACCAGCATCTGGTTGGCTGACAAGCAATGTGTCTCCAAGAATTGGAAGCTAGGTTGGGTGAAGAGAATCATGTCTCAAGGGGTTAGCTTTTCTTTATTTTTTGTGAGATCGAGTCTTGCTCTTGTCGCCCAGGCTGGAGTGCAGTGGCGCAATCTCGGCTCACTGAAACCTCCGCCTACCGGGTTCACGCCATTCTCCTGCCTCAGCCTCCCGAGTAGCTGGGATTACAGGCGCCTGCCACCATGCCCGGCTGATTTTTTGTATTTTTTAGTAGAGATGGGGTTTCACCATGTTGGCCAGCCTCCAGGCTGGTCTCCAACTCCTGATCTCAGGTGACCCACCCACCTCGGCCTCCCAAAGTGCTGGGATTACAGGCGTGAGACACTGCACCCAGCCTCAAGGGGTTAGCTTTTCAGGAAAAAAAAAAAAAAAAGAAAAAAGAAGAAGTGCAACAGGAGATGCCTTTCAGCCCCAAGGCTGTCACCTGCTCTTTTGAGAGGCTACACTGTATACTTCAGGTGGTCCTATGGGAGAAAATGACCCAAGAGCTAATAGTCACTAGACACTCTACCAGACATAGCCATGGTGGGTATCTTGGTTTATTCCCAGAAAGTACTAAAACTCAGGCCCAGAAAAAAAACTGAAGGATAGCTGAGGACACATCACCCTACAAAGTTTACAAAGGGTAATCTTGACCCAAAAACATTTTGGTAAGTTCTCTGGAAAAATAAAAGAAAAAGAGGAGCCGGGCGCGGTGGCTCACGCCTAACCCCAGCACTTTGGAAGGCCAAGGCGAGTGGATCACGAGGTCAAGAGATTGAGACCATCCTGGCCCACATGGTGAAACCCCGTCTCTGCTTAAAATACAAAAATTTAGCTGGGCGTGGTGGCGCGCGCCTGTAGTCCCAGCTACTGGAAAGGCTGAGGCAGGAGGATCGCTGGAACCCAGGAGACGGAGGTTGCAGTAAATCGAGATCGCGCGACTGCACTCCAGCCTGGCAATAGAGCCAGATTCCATCTCAAAAAACAAAAACAACAAAAGAAATGCAGGCACAGATATTTTTTACAATACAGTGTCAGGGGATTATTCTTTGCTTTCTTCTGGGAAATATTTACAAAGAGAAAACAAGTCTTTTCAATAGTGTTATGCAATGCTTTAAAAAAAATGATTAATTGAGGAACGTGGGGTACATTTCAGGCCCTGCTTAGGACACATGTGAAAAATGCTAGGGAAAAATCAGTCCCCTGTGGGGTGTGGAAATAATTAAGTGGCAGGCAATTAGACTGAGGATGCTCTAGTCCTCGGATTCCTCCTTCTAAAATAAAAATCTAAACTCAAGTGCAGTTTTTGCTAAATTACTACATTCGGGAAACAAAATTCAGGCTTAAAAAACCATAAACTGCCAATTAAGCTCTGATTACATAACCAGGAAATTTCCACCTTAATTGTACAAAGAAACTACATAACTATACGTATTGAATTATTGAATATGGTTTTCTTCATCATGCACCTTATCAATGTTTCCTTCAAGCCCCTCCCATGGACCGCAAACTACAAACTATAGCTGGGTGCTCTTGAATGACTGATTAAATTATTTGATATTTTTGCGGTGACTCCCATAATTTATGTATTTATTTATTTTTTTAGACAAAGTCTTAGGCCGGGCGCGGTGGTTCACGCCTGTAATCCCAGCACTTTGGGAGGCCAAGGCGGGCGGATCACGAGGTCAGGAGATGGAGACCATCCTGGTTAACACAGTGAAACCCCGTCTCTACTAAAAATACAAAAAATTAGCCAGGCAAGGTGGCGGGCGCCTGTAGTCCCAGCTACTCGGGAAGCTGAGGCAGGAGAATGGCGTGAACCCCAGGGGGCGGAGCCTGCAGTGGGCCGAGATCGCGCCACTGTACTCCAGCCTGGGCGACAGCGAGACTCCGTCTCAAAAAAAAAAAAAAAAAAAAAAAGGACAAAGTCTTGCTCTGTCACCCAGGCTGGAATGCAGTGGTGTGATATCAGCTCACTGCAGCCTCCGCCTCCTGGGTTCAAGCGATTCTCTCTCCTCTGCCTCCCGAGTAGCTGGGACTAGAGACATTCGCCATCACACTCAGCTAATTTTTCTATTTTCTTTGTAGAGATGGGGTTTCCCCATTTTGCCCAGGCTGGTCTTCAACTCCTGACCTCAAGTGATCAGCCCTTCTCAGCCTCCCAAAGTGTTGGGATTACTGGCATTTCGTACCTGGCACCATACTTTTTTTTTTTCTTTGAGACGGAGTCTCCCTCTGTCGCCCAGGCTGGAGTGGTGGTGCAATCTCGGCTCAATGCAAGCTCCACCTCCCGGATTCCACACATTTTTAATAACAGAAAAGAGAAACTGTGAACCCCACGGACCAAAGCTCTTCCCATTCATGAACCCACATCCCGAGTCAGGATTCTCCCCTGACGACCCTCCCATGGTCCCTGCAAAATCTGGGAGAAACGCGGCGCTGCCGCTGCAGAGCTGCCTAGAAAGGGCTCCAGGCCATGGCACAGTCACTGCGAGAGGAAGAGACAGGAGGCCTGGCGGCCCGGCTGTCAGCGCAGTCGCCATCTTAAGGCTGAAGGGGGCTGAGGCCAACCTGGGCAAGGAGAACTTGGGGCGCACATTGTGGAGCTGACTGCGAAGAGGCCTGAGTCCCGCCACAGTCACTTCCCACCAGTTCCACCCTGCCCCTCTTCCTGTCTCGGGATGTCGGCCGGGCACTCTCACCATTTCTATGCTTCCAGGGTGTCCTGGGGTTTTAGCTGTGGATCTCCCAATACCTGCAGGTCACAGGGCCACAGAGGCTGGGCCTCCAGGAGAATAGGACACAGACCAGTGAAGACGAGACCTGAAACGCCGGCTGCAGCTAGAGACAAAGGCCGCGCCAAAAGCGGAAAGCCGTCCTCGTCGCTCCAGCTGCGTGCCTGATTGGACGGTTTCCAGCCCAGCGTCTCTGATTGGATAATGCTTTAGGTCCCGCCCCTCAGGCCCTGAGTGACAGAAGATGTGATCAGATGCTGGGCTAAGTGAAGAGAGACAGCCTAAGCTGCAGCCTTTACAGGCAGGGCTTCCTTCCTGAGCTGACCCAGGCCCCCCCCAGAGCATGAGAAAATTCTCTTTTGTACTCACTCTCCTTTTGAATGTATTCAAAAGGTGAACAGAAGTATTTTGCTGGCATATTAATAATACATAAAATTTTTGTTCAAGAGAAAATCAACGTTTACTTTGTTAGTAGTGTATTATCAATACTAAAGCTAATGTTTTTTTTTTTTTTTTTGAGACGGAGTCTCGCTTTGTCACCCAGGCTGGAGTGCAGTGGCGGGGTCTCGCTCACCCGATTTTCCTGCCTCAGCCTCCTGAGTAGCTGGGATTACAGCTACTATTGTTGAAAAACAATAGACAATCACAAAAACAAGCTGACCTTTTTGTGTTCCTTAAGCCCTGTCCTGAAGAGCCCTGTGACTGGGCTTTATGCCAAACAACTCGTTACTAAAGAGCTGTGGTCCCAGACTGCACCGAAGCTTCATGAGACCTCTCCTCGTCTGTGCACGGACGAGTGGCCAACTCTGGAGCCCAGGCTGTTGCTTCCCTGTCTGGTGGTGAATCCTCCACAGTCTGATGAGGGTGGTGTCTGACTCTGGAGCTCAGGCTGTTGCTTCTTGGTCTGGTGGTGAGTCCTTCATAGTCTGGTGAGTGCGGGTGTCCCACTCTGGAACCCATGCTGTTGCTTCCTGGCCTGGTGGAGAATCTTCCAGCCTGGAGAGTGCGGTGTCTGACTCTGGAGCCCAAGGCTGGAAACTTGGGGACGTCCCAAATCCCGGAATGGAAACTCCCCCAGTTCTCCCCCTTGGCGTGCCCTATCTGGTGAGTTTCGGGGGAACTCATGACCCAAGTCATAATAGGAATTTCAAGCCTCATAAAGACATCATGGTTGAAGCAGAGGTGTTTCGTTTCCAGCAAAGCCCAATAGCAAGCTAACAATTGCTCCTCGAAAGGGTTATAAGCTTTGCTGGCCTCTGGCAGTTTCTGGGTCCAAAACCAGAAATGTACCTCTTCCCATCTTGTTTCTGCCTAAGGCTCCAATTAGCATGTTGATCTAGGACAGTTACTTGCAGTTCTACGGGACCATCCCAAATGGGTCATAGATCCAGGGCCAGTTGCACTGCTTGTTTATCTTGTTCGGAAGCCATGATCTCTTTCTCTCCCCAAAGTCATAGCGTTTTCTGGTGGCTGCATGCAGAGGTTGTAACATGTTACCCAAGTGGGGAATATGATGTCTCCAGAATCCAAACAAGCCAATAAATTTCTGAGCCTCATTTTTAGTGGTAGGGGTTGCAAATTCTAGTATTTTAGGCTTAGCCTTTGGTAAAATGAATTATTTCCCTGCATTTCATAGGATGCAACCAGCCCCTATCTTGACACATTATCTTATAAGCAGTAAGGAAACACCATCCACTCTGGGAGATCCCCTCAGCGTCTCCTTTGCTGACTGGAATTCCCTGCAGCACTTCACGCACAAAGGTCTAAATTGCACTAATTTAGATTCCCAATTCTTACAAAGTCCGGTTCCCCTTGACCATTCAATTGCCAAGGGAGAGAACTGGGGGAGTTTCCATCCGGGGATATGGGAAGTCCTCGAGCCTCCCGCCCTGCCCTTGTTGCTAAAAAGTGGCACACTTTTGTTTTTGAATCCTGTTTGTGACACCAAAAGTGTTCTGTGCGGGAAACGCACGAGGGGGAGAAGGAAAGACACACACACAATACCTTTAAGGGTAAACAAGCTTCATTCCACGTAAATAGCAATGCAGATATAATAAGCAAATTATGTAATAAGCAAATCAATATAATAAGCAGATTGATATAACAAGTAGATTGATATAATAAGCAAATTGCAATGGGAAGAGGAGAAAGGAAAAAATATATATATATTTACACTCACCAGACTATGGAGGATTCACTACCAGAGTGGGAAGCAACAGCCTGGGCTCTAGCATCGGACATTGCACTCACCAGACAGTGGAGGCCTCACCACCAGATGGGAAGCAACAGCTTGGGCTCCAGAGTCGGCCGCTCATTCCTGCACAGATGAGAAGAGGTCTCATGAAGCTTCAGCCCAGTCTGGTATCCTAGCTCTTTTGTAACTAGTTGTTTCGCATGAGGCCTAGTCACGAGGGCCTTTCATGACCCGGCACGAGGAACATAAAAATGTCAACTTGTTTTTGCGATTGCCTATTGTTTTTCAATAACTAATGCATAGGAATAGATTGAAATAGAGATTTCTCCAAAACAGCACTGAATGAACGCTTGAAGGGGCTCACACAACCTGTTCTGGGACTCGGTGACCATTGTTTGTGTCCACGTTCAATTGAGTTCAAATTTATTATTTAACTTTTCCTCCACAAATTCGCCTGTCTTGATGAATCAGCTCTGTCTAGGCAAAGGGCAAGGTGAACCTCTTGGGCCTTACACAACCTCCACCTCCTGGGTTCAAGCGATTCTTCTGTTTCGGTCTCCAGAGTAGCTGGCACTACAAAAGTGCACCACCACAACCTGCTAATTTTTTGTATTTTTAGTAGAGATGGAGTTTCACCATGTTGGCCAGGCTAGTCTTGAACTCCTGACCTCAAGTGATCCACCCACCTAGGCCTCCCAAAGTTCTGGGATTACAGGCGTGAGCCACTGAGGTTATCACTAAATGATATCTTTTTGTTTCCTATAACAATGTGAAATTACTTAAAGGTGGTTTCAAATTGAAAAAATAAAAAGAATGCAGATAAAAATAAAATATAAAAAGTTCAAAAAATTACAAGAGATTACAAAATATACATGTATATCTTGAGAGGTCAAAAATGACAAATTTTGTTTATTTACAAGGTTGTATTTATTTATTTATTTATATTTTTATTTTTTGAGACAAAATATTGCTCTGTTGCCCACGATGGAGTGCAGCGGTGCGATCTTGGCTCACCGCAACCTCCACCTCACGGGTTCAAGCGATTCTCTTGCCTCAGCTTCCCTAGTAGCTGGGACCACAGGCTCATACCAGGAGGCCCGGCTAATTTTTTTTATGTTTAGTAGAGACGGGGTTTCACTGTATTAGCCAGGATGGTCTCGATTTCCTGAACTCCTGATCCGACCGCCTCAGCCTTCCAAAGGGCCAGGATTATAGGTGTGAGCCACTGCACCAGCTTTATAAGGTTTTATTAAAATTGGCTTTAGTGTTGATAATACACTATTAACAAGTAAAAGTTGATTTTCTCTTGAACAAAAATTTTATGTATTATTAATATGACAGCACAATACTTCCGTTCATCTTTTGAATACATTCAAAAAGAGAGACAATGAAAAGAGATAGAATTTTCCCATGCTCTGGAATGGGCCTGGCTCAGCTCAGGTAGGAAGCCCTGTTTGAAAAGGCTGCAGCTAGGCCAGGCCCAGCGGTTCACGCCTTTAATCCCAGGAGTTTGGGAGGCCGAGGTGGGTGGATCACCTGAGGTCGGTAGTTCGAGTCCAGGCTGACCAACATGGAGAAACCCTGTCTTTACTAAAAATACAAAAAATTAACCAGGCATGGTGCCACATGCCTGTAATCCCAGCTACTTGGGAGGATGAGATCTATTATATCTCACAGGGTTTACAATTTCTCTTTTCTCCTATTATAAATTTATGAGGCCAGCGGCTGGGCATGGTGACTCATGCCTGTAATCCCAGCACTTTGGGAGGCTGAGGTGGGCAGATCACTTGAGGTCAGAAGTTCAAGACCAGCCTGGACAATATGGTGAAGCCCCATCTCTACTAAAAAAATACAAAAAAATTAGCTGGGCATTGTGGCGTGTGCCTGTAATCCCAGCTACTCAGGAGGCTGAGGCAGGAGAATTGCTTGAACCTGGGAGGTGGAGGTTGCAGTGAGCCAAGATCGTGCCACTGCACTCCAGCCTGGGCAACAGAGAAAAACTCCATCTCAAAAACAAACAAAAAAAATTTATGGGGCCAGGTGCAGTGGCTCACACCTGTAATCCCAGCACTTTAGGTGGTCTAGGCAGGTGGATCACTTGAGGTCAGGAGTTTAAGACAAACCTGGCCAAAATGGGGAAACCCCATCTCTACTAAAAATACAAAAATTAGTTGGGTGTGATGGTGAATGTCTCTAGTCCAGGCTACTCAGGAGGTAGAAGTGAGAGAATAACTTGAACCCAGGAGTGGAGGTTGCAGTGAGCTGAGATCATGCCACTGTACTCCAGCCTGGGCGACAGAGCAAGACTCTGTCTAAAAACAAAAAAACAAACAAAAAAACAAAAAAAAGTATGAGTGTCTCTGCCAAAATGGAAATAATTTAATCAAACAGTGATTCAAGAATTGTCGAGCACCCAGCTATAGTTTGTAGTTTGTGGTCCATGGGAGGAGCTTGAAGGAAAGACATTTATAGGGTGCATGATGAAGAAAACTATATTCAATAATTGCTCAGGTATGGTTATGTAGGTTCTTAATTTGTTCAATTAAGGTGGAAATTTCCTGGTTATGTAATCAGAGCTTAATTGACAGTTTATAGTTGCTTAAGCCTGAATTTTGTTTCCCCTAATGTAAAACTTTTTTTTTTTTTGAGACGGAGTCTCACTGTATAGCCCAGGCTGGAGTGCAATGGCATGATCTCGGCTCACTGCAACCTCCGCCTCCCAGGTTCAAGTGATTCTCCTGCCTCAGCCTCCCAAGTAGCTGGAACTACAGGTGCATGCCACCATGCCCGGCTAATTTTTTGTGTGTATTTTTAGTAGAGATGGGGTTTCACCATGTTAGCCAGGATGGTCTTGATCTTCTGACCTCGTGATTCACCTGCCTCGGCCTCCCAAAATGCTAGGATTACAGGCATGAGCCGCCACACCCGGCCCTACCCCTAATGTAGTAATTAACCAAAAAATGTCCTTGAGTTTAGATTTTTTTATTTTAGAAGTAGGAATTTGAGGACTACAGCCTCCTCAGTTTATTTGCCTGCCACATAATTATTTTCATACCACATAGGGGACTGATTTTCCATGGCATTTTTCACATATGCCTCAAGGGTACCCCATGTTCTTCAGTTAATCATTTTAAAAAAGCATTGGCTAACACTATTGAAAAGATTTGTTTTCTGTTTGTAAATATTTCCAGTGAGAAGAAAGGAAAGACTAATCCCCTGACACTGTAAGGAAGGAGACCACCTTTCTGCTTGTCTCAAGCCTCAGAAAAAGAAAAGAGGAAGCAAAAGCTAAAGAAAGTCAGAAATGAGATCAATAGTTAGACAGCTCCTGGCCACTCCCCAGGGCTGGTAGTTAAAAATCAGCTCCTGACCTAACTGCTTGTATTATCCATAGATTTCAGGCATTGTATGAGGAAGCATTGTGAAATTTTCTGTTCTGTCCGGATTACCGATGCATACACGCTCAGTTATGTACCCCATGCTTGCTCAATCAATCATGACCCTTTCACGTGGACTCCTTTAGAGTTGTAAGCCCTTAAAAGGGACAGAAATTTCTGTCTCAGGGAGCCGGCTTTTGAGACGCAAGTCTCCTGATGCTCCTGGCCGAATAAAGCCTCTTCCTTCTTTAACCTGGTGTCTGAGGAGTTTGTCTGTGGCTCGTCCTGCTACATTTCTTGGTTCCCTGACTGGGAAGTGAGGTGATTAGTGGTTGGTCAAGGCAGTCTTTTAGGTGACTTAGGCCTGTCCTGTGGAGCATCCCCGTAGGGGACTCCAGCCAGCCTGAGAGACACGGATCCTGAGAGTGCTCCCAGGTAGGCAATTGCCCTGGTGGAATGCCTTGTCAGTGCAGTGCATGGGAGGCCCCTGTGGAGGATCAATGCAGTGGCTGAACACTGGGAAGGAACTGGCAACTTGAGTCTGGACATCTGGAACATGGTAAGACCGGTCTTAGAAACTTGCTCACTCCATTTGAGGGGAAGCATGGCCTGATCACCCATGACGTGCCTTTATCGGCATTTTGGTTTTGGTTTTGATTTTGTCTTGGCTTAAATTGCTTGGCACCATGGTTTTGGTTTTGATTTTGATACAGTGTGAATTAGGCAAGTGTGTGACCTTTTACCCTTTCCTTCTTGTAGTGTGAGTTTTGTCTTGTCTCTAGAGAAAAATGGGTCAGACACAAAGTAAGCCTACCCCACTTGGAACTATGCTGAAAAATTTCAAGAAGGGATTTACAGGAGACTATGGGGTTACCATGACACCAGAGAAACTTAGATCTTTATGTGAAATAGATTGGCCAGCATTAGAAGTGGGTTGGACATCAGAAGGAAGCCTGGACAGGTCCCTTGTTTCAAAGGTATTGCACAAGATATCTTGTAAGCCAGGATACCCAGACCAGTTCCCGTACATAGACACTTGGTTACAGCTAGTTTTAGACCCCCCCACAGTGGTTGAGAGGACAGGCAGCAGCAGTGTTAGTGGCAAAGGACAGGTAGCCAAGAAGAATCCCACTCCACCCATCGAGGGAAGTCGGTTCCTAAAGTTCTGTCTGACCCCATATCAGAAGACTCATGGCAGGAAATGGCACCAGTGATGCCTCCCCCTTATCGAGATGAGAGACCCCCACTTCTGAGCCCACAGCACCTGTGCCTCCACAGGACACACACACCCCTAGACCACCCAGAGTAAACAAGAGAGGATGTGAAGCCATGGGAGAAACCCCTCCCTTGGTGGCTCATTTAGGACCTAAGACTGGAACACAGATGCCCCTGAGGGAGCAGTGATATACTGGAGTAGATGAGGACAGGCATGTGGTAAAAAGTCATGCCTTTGTGTATCAACCTTTCACCTCTGCTGATCTCCTCAATTGGAAGAACAATACCCCATCTTATACTGAAAAGCCTCAAGCTTTGATTTGCTCCAAACTATTATCCAGACTCATAACCCTACTTGGGCTGATTGCCACCAACTGCTCATGTACCTCTTTAACACAGATGGAAGGTGAAGGGTGCTCCAGGCAGCAACTAAGTGGCTGGAGGAACATGCTCTGGCCAATTACCAAAATGTCCAAGAGTATGTAAGGTTCCAATTACCAGGAACAGACTCCCAGTGGGACCCAAATGAAGGGCCAGACATGAAAAGACTAAAATGATATAGGGAGGCCCTCCTAGAAGGGTTAAAAAAGGGAGCCCAGAAGGCCACAAATGTTAACAAAGTCTCCGAGGTCATTCAAGGAAAAGAAGAGAGTCCAGCACAATTTTATGAGAGACTATGTGAGGCATATCGTATGTATACTCCCTTTGATTCAGATAGCCCTGAAAATCAGTGCATGATTAATGTGGCTTTAGTTAGTCAAAGCGCCGAAGATATTAGAAGAAAGCTTCAGAAACAGACTGGGTTTGCAGGTATGAACACTTCAGTTATTAGAAATAGCCAATCAGGCGTTTGTGAATAGAGATGCGACGGGTCGTAGAGAAAGCCGTAAAGAAAGTGAGCGCCAAGCCCGGTGAAATGCTGACCTGCCAGCCACAGCTATTAAAGGGGTTCCCCCAAAGGGCTGAGGAATGGGGGACCCCGGGGAAAACACACAGTCTGACTGACCACGTCTGCAGCGTAACCGGTGTGCTTACTGTAAAGAAAGCAGGTCATTTGCAACCTACCAGAACCTAAGACCAGGAGGCAGGTGAGAGAGTTCTTAGGAGCTGTGGGGATCTGCAGGTTATGGATCCCAAACTTTGCAGTACTGGCCAAACCTCTGTACCAAGTCACAAAGGGGGGCATCCAGGAAACTTTTGAATGGGGGTCTCAACAGCAGCAAGCCTTCCATGAATTAAAAGAGTAACTCATGTCAGCCCCAGCCCTGGGTCTGCCTGACCTGTCAAAGCCATTTACACTATATGTGTCAGAGAGAGAAAAAATGGCAATTGGGGTTTTGATCCAGGCTGTGGGGCCCTGGCTAAGGCTGGTGGCCTACCTATCTAAACAACTGGACAGGGTTTCTAAAGTTTGGCCCCCGTGTTTGAGAGCCTTAGCAGCAACTGCCCTGCTAGCACAAGAAACAGATAAATTAACTCTTGGGCAAAACCTAAACATAAAACACCTCATGCTGTGGTGACTTTAATGAATACCAAAGGATATCATTGGCTAACGAACGCTAGACTAACCAAGTACCAAAGCTTGCTCTGTAAAAGTCTCTGCATAACCATTGAAGTTTGTAACAGCCTGAACCCCACCACCCTGCTCCCGGTATCAGAGAGCCCTGTTGAGCATAACTATATAGAGGTGTTGCACTCAGTTTGCTCAGGTTAGCAAACCTGACCTATGGGACCAGCCTTGGACATCAGTAGACTTGGAGTTATATGTGGATGGGAGCAGCTTCATCAACCCACAAGGAGAGAGGTGTGCAGGATATGCACCTCTGGATGCTTTTATTGAAGCCAAATAATTGCCTCCAGGGTTCTTCAGCCCAGGAGGCCGAACTCATTGCTTTAACTTGGGCCCTAGAGCTAAGTGAGACTGTGAACATTTACACTGACTCTCGATATGCCTTTTTAACCCTCCAAGTGCATAAAGCATTATATAAAGAAACAGGCCTGTTAAACTCTGGGGGAAAAGATATAAAGTATCAGCAAGAAATCTTGCAATTATTAGAGGCAGTGTGGAAGCCCCAGAAGATGGCAGTCACGCACTGCAGAGGACACCAGTGAACTCCTACTACAGTTGCTTTAGGGAACTCCTGAGTGGACTCGGAGGCTCAAAAGGCAGCATCCACCCCTTACCGGGCATCAATCACAGCCCCCTTTCTCCCTCAAGAACCTGAACTTTTACCTACCTATTCTAAGGGAGAAAAAAACTTTTTCCAAGTGGAAGGGGGACAGGTAATAAAGGAAGGATGGATCCAGGTATCGGATGGGAGAATAGCTGTGCCACAGCTACTTGGAGCAGAGGTTGTACTGGCTGTGCATTTAACTACCCATCTAGGTCAGGAATCACTTGAAAAGTTGTTAGGCCGGTATTTTTACATCTCCCATTTATCAGCTCTTGCCAAAACAGTAGCGCAGCGATGTGTTATCTGCCGACAGCACAATGCAAGACAGGGTCCAGCCGTTCTGCCAGGTATACAGACATATGGAGCAGCCCCCTTTGAAGATCTCCAAGTGAACTTCACAGAAATGCCAAAGCGTGGAGGTAATAAGTATTTACTAGTTCTACTCTGTACCTGGTACCTACTCTGGGTGGGTAGAGGCTTATCCAACATGAACTGAGAAAGCTCATGAGGCAACCCGTGTGCTTCTTCAAGATCTTATTCCCAGGTTTGGACTGCCCTTATGGATCAGCTTGGACAACAGGCCAGCATGTGTGGCTGACTTGGTACAGTAAACATCAAAGGTATAGGAGATCACATGGACACTGCATGCAGCCTACCAACCGCAGAGTTCGGAAAGGTGGAGTGGATGAATCAGACAATCAAAAACAGTTTAGGGAAAGTATGTCAGAAAACAGGATTAAAGCGGTACTTTTAACCCTGGTACTGTTCAAGATTGATGCAACCCTTCAAAGAGAACAGGATATTCTCCCTATGAAATATTATATCATAGGCCCCTTCCTATATTACAGGGACTCCCAGGCACTCCACAAGAGTTAGGTGAAATTGAGTTACAGTGACAGCTACAGCTACAGGCCTTAGGAAATTTACTCAAACAATTTCAGCCTGTGTAAATGAGAGGTGCCCCATCAGCTTATTCTCCCCAATTCACCCTTTCTCCCCAGGTGATTGAGTGTGGATCAAAGATTGGAACACATCCCCCTTGCGACCACGGTGGAAAGGAGCCCAGACCATCATCTTGACCACCCCCCCACAGCTGTAAAGGTAGAAGGAATCCCAGCCTGGATCCACCATAGCTGAATAAAACCTGCAGCCTCTGAAACCTGGGAGGTGAGACTGAGCCCAGACAACCCCTGCAAAGTGATTCTGAGAAGTGTTTGTGTCCCTGGGTACTTGAGATTAGGGAGTGGTGATGACTCTTAAGGAGCATGCTGCCTTCAAGCATTTGTTTAACAAAGCACATCTTGCACAGCCCTTAATCCATTTAACCCTGAGTTGACACAGCACATGTCTCAGGGAGCACAGGGCTGGGGATAGGGTTGCAGATTAAAATGGAGTCTCTTATGTCTACTTTCTATATGGACACATTAACAATCTGATCTCTCTTTCTTTTCCCCACAGAAAAATATTCACAACTCATTCTGTATGATGTAAATATAGCACTCAAAACTGTATGTGTTCTTGTTCATGCCCTCAATTTTATACTTTATTATCTAGAAAAATATATATGAACCGATGTGGCGGATCTTATGCTGCTCTTTTTTCTCAGAGTTAGAGAATATATTAGAGAATATTTCTGTGTTGAAAACTATTTTATTGGATAATTTTAGTCATCCTATAAGTCAGAACCAGTTCTCTTTATGCTCGCATTTCACCTTAAGTCAAATTGAAAATTCTGCTCATGGCCATTTAAGTAAAGGTGTGTGTGTGTGTGTTTCAGGGACCACTGCAATTTAGGGATGTGGCCACAGAATTCTCTCTGGAGGAGTGGCATTGCCTGGACACTGCACAGTGGAATTTATATAGGGATGTGATTTTAGAGAACCACAGAAACCTGGTCTTCCTTGGTGAGGATAACCTGAATACATAATTCATAATATACCCTAAAGATTTTATTTCTCTTTTTTTGCAGAATTTTTTTAGTAATTTATTCTTTTCATAAAAGAGTTTCAGATCCACTTTTTCCAGAAAATCTTCAGAATTTGTTCATTTAGAAAAGAATTTCTTCAAGATGTTTCATCTTAATCCAGACTTTCCACATTCCTGAGTTGAGCTGTATTCTTCACTCTAAATTAGTGGTAATTCCAGAAACTTAGTGGCATAAAATATTGTTGCCCCACCTGAAAATCTAATTGCCACCACCAATTTTTGATTCAGTAGTACCAGATAGTAAAATTAAGAAACCGGCATATTGAAAGTATTCTTCCTTCCTTTTTTTTTCTTTCTTTCTCTTTTTCTTTCTTTCTTTCTTTCTTTCTTTCTTTCTTTCTTTCTTTCTTTCTTTCTTTCTTTCTTTCTTTCCTTCTTTGTTTCTTTGTTTCTTTCTTTCTCTTTCTTTCTTCTTTCTTTCTCTCTCTCTTTCTCTCTTTCTTTCTTTCTTCTTTCCTTCTTTTTTTTTCCTTTTTTTTTTTTTTTTTTTTGAAGAGTTTCACTCTTGTTGCCCAGGCTGGAGTGCAATGGTATGATCTCCGCTCACCACAACATCCACTTCCTGGGTTCAAGCAATTCTCTTGCCTCAGCCTCCTGAGTAGCTGGGATTAGAGGCCTGTGCCACCATGCCCGGCTAATTTTTTGTATTTTTAGTAGAGATGGGGTTTCTCTATGATGGTAAGGCTGGTCTTGAACTCCTGACCTCAGGTTATCCACCACCTCAGCCTCCCAACGTGCTAGGATTACAGGTGTGAGCCACTGCACCTGGCTGAAAGTATTTTCTAAATATTTATAAATTTCTGTTATGAATTAGTATTTTGGTATTAATTTACTAGAATATTTTATTATATCTGCTCTGCTGAGCACATTTAGTAATGTGCTTATAATTGGAGAATATGAGCAAGACTCATGTTATTTATTTTTAATAAAACAGGTATTGTTGTCCTAAGCCAGACCTGATCACCTGTCTGGAGCAAGGAAAAAAACCCTTGACTATGAAGAGACATGAGATGATTGCCAAACCCCCAAGTAGGTGTGAGTGAAAATGAATACAAGAGACGACAGAGATAAGAGGTCCCAAGGTCAATGAGAAAGCAAGTTTTTAAAATGTGATTCAGGAAGCTGTGTTCCAAAGGAAATAGTTCCTGGGCAGCTGTGTTATTTGTTTATTTATTTATTTAATTTTGCTCCTACAAAGGGGCATCTTCTGTCTTATGATTTTAAATTCTCTAAGGATTCCACTTTTCTTTTGGTGAGCTTCCTTCAAGTTCACAGTGAGAGCCAAAGTCCTCTTCATGGCATATAAGAGACTGCACAGGCTGGGCACATTGGCTCATGCCTGTAATCTCAGAACTTTGGGAGGCTAAGGCAGTGGATCACCTGAGGTCAGAAATTCGAGATTAGCCTGACCAACATGGTGAAACCTCGTCTTTACTAAAAATACAAAAATTAGCCAGGGGGGTTGTTGGGCACCTATAATCACAGCTACTTGGGAGGCTGAGGCCAAAGAATCACTTGAACCCAGAAGACGGAGCTTGCCGTGAGCCAAGATCGTGCCATTGCACCCCAGCCTGGGCAACAGAGTGAGACTCCATCACAAAAAAACAAAACAAGACAAACGAAAAAGAGACTGCACAATCTGGCTGCTTTTCCATTGTTTTGCAGATATGCAAATATCTATTTGCATTATTTAGAGAAACTAAAATTATTTTTCATGTTATCTTTTTGCATCAGGTCTGATATGTGTGAGAGTAATAGTTTCTGTTGCACTTTTTTGTTTATTTTTTTCAGCACAGTCTATTCTGTTTTTATTACTATAAAGTCTTGAAATATAGTTTGAAATTATAAGTATGATATTTTTCTGCTTTATTCCTTTTCCTCAAGATTGCTTTGGCTATTCAAAGTTTATTTTAGTTTCATGTAAATTTTAGAATTGTATTTTCCAGTACTGTGAAAAAAATGCCACTGCAATTTTGATAGGAAGTCTATTGAATCTATAGATCACTTTGGATAATATGGTACTTTATTAATATTTATTCTTTCAATCCATAGACAAAATATTTTAAAATTTATTTGGATCTTCTTTAATTTTTTCATTTTTTATTGTAAAGATTTTTACCTCCTTGGTCAATTTTTTTCTCAGAAATTTATTACTTAATGCTACAGCAAATAAGATTTTTTTCCCTCTATTTTGTTAGATAGTTTGTTTTAAGTGTATGAAACTGTAGCCAGGCACGGTGGCCAACGCCTGTAATTCCAGCACTTTGGGAGACTGAGGTGGGTGTATCAACTGAGGTGGGGAGTTCGAGACCAGCCTGACCAACGCGGAGAAACCCTGTCGCTACTAAAAATACAAAAATTAGCTGGGTGTGGTGGTGCATGTCAGTAATCCCAGCTACTCGGGAGGCTGAGGCAGGAGAATCACTTGAACCTAGGAGGTGGAAGTTGCAGTTAGTCAAGATCACACCATTGCACTCCAGGTTGGTCAAAAGAGCAAGACTCCTCAAAAAAAAAAAAAAAAAGTGTATGAAACCCTATATATACTTGTATGTTAATTTTGTATTTTGCTAATTTACTGAGTGTACTTAATAGTTTAGACAGATTTTAATGTACTGTTTATGGTTTTTTATATACACAATTGTATGATCTACAAACAGCAACTTTTTACTTTTTTTATTTCAATAGTTTTTTTATTTCTTTGACTAATTCTTCTGCCACATACTTCCAGTGCTACATTAAAATAGAAGCACTGGCCAGGCTCTGTGGCTCACAGCTGTAATCCCAGCACTTTGGGAGGCCGAAGCGGGTGGATCACCTGAGGTCAGGAGTTTGAGACCAGCCTGACCAATATGATGAAACCCCATCTCTACTAAAAATACAAAAATTAGCTGGGTGTGTCGACATGAGTCTGTAATCCCAGCAACTCCAGAGGCTGAGACAGGAGAATCGCTTGAGGCAGGAGGCAGAGGTTGCAGTGAGCCGAGATCACACCAATGCACTTCAGCCTGGGCAACAAGAGCAAAACTGCATCTCACACCTACACACACACACACACAAAATAGAAGCATTGACAATGCTCACAATATAGTTTTGTATTGGTGTCTGAATTCAATGCAGCAAATACCTCTTCAAGTTTTCACAAACTGATTTTAGAAGGTAAAGATCTTTTGTTGGCCCTTAGGGTGATGAGATGCCCTCTGAATTTGTAGTGAAGAGGGGTTGTAGCTTGGTCACAAGGCTGCTGGGTCTGCACTAGGGTCCACCTTTAGTTGGCTTGTTACAGGGGCTTTGGTAGTTGTAATTCTCATTTTATTTTTAGACAGACTGAATATCCTTCAAGACTTTGTTCCATAGGGCAGACACTAGGGCAGGTTTTTGCAGTCAGGTCTGCATATGCTGGGCCTTGTATCAGGATGTGGATGAGTGTGGCTTTCAGTGAGTACCAAAGAGCATTTCCTCAGGTAACTGTGTGGGTTTCTATATAGGCAGAACTGACCATAAACTGTGGCTCAGGTAACTGAAACTGAGTCATTGAATTGCTTCAGGGACCACAGTAAAGGCCAAAGTCTGCAGGCCTGCCTACATGGCTGTAAGTGTGTGCCTTCCTCCAGGTCAGGGAATGGCAGGACCTCTGCCAGACTGTGGCTGGGAAAAGTTTGGGATGGTTACAGAGTAAGTTCTGAATTTTCAGTAGGACCAAGTTGGATGAATCTTATCCTGGTCTGTAGCCAAGAACAGGGGTCCTGTAGTTTCGCACCTGAATGAGGGCCTGCCTTCTGAATAAAACTCTTCTCAATCTTAAGCTTTGACAGTGTTTCACAACTCCCTCCCTGGATCTCAAATCTCTCTTAGAGGCACTTATTTTGGAGATGGCATCTTGCTACATAACCCAGGCTGGTCTCGAAATCCTGGCCTGAAGCAGTGACATAACCTTAATGTACCATGTAGCTGTCATTACATGTGTGAGCCACAATGCATAAAGGCATTTTTGTCAGGTATGGCTGATATATATACATACACATATATATATATATATACATACACATATATATTTTTATTGTAAGGGGATATGAAAATAGGGCACTTTTAGTCTTTTCATTTTTTTCTTTTTCTTTTTTTTTTTTTGATGTGGAGTTTTGCTCTTTTTGCCCAGACTGTAGTGCAATGGCACGATCTTGGCTCACTGCAACCTCCGCCTCCCAGGTTCAAGCAATTCTCCTGCCTCAGCCTCCCAAGTAGCTAGGATTACAGGTACCTGCCACCATGCCTGACTAATTTTTTGTTATTTTTAGTGGAGATGGGGTTTCACCATGTTGGCCAGGATGGTCTCAATCTCTTGACCTCATGATCCGCACGCCTTGGCCTTCCAAAGTGCTGGGATTACAGGCATGAGCCACTGCACCCAGCTAGTCTTTTTATCTTACTGATGTCACTCTCCTTATACATTTTTACTTTCTATTTTCTACTTCAAGTTTGTCTGTAATTTTAGATTCAGATATTTAAAACAATTTGTTAAAATTTGCATATTATGCCTGCAGTAAATTAGATAATTAGTGGGCACTCCATATTTACTAAAATATTTACTTATAAATTTAATTTTGCTGCTGGCAAAAAGGAATTACAGAATTTTCCTCTACTTTCTTCAGCCTATATCTGAATAACAACATAGTTTATTTTCTAATTGTTTTACATATCAGAGGGTCTAACCCTATTCTGCAAAGTAGATATATATATTTTCTATATTTAACAATGTAAGGCTATTCTTTGCTTCAAAGTTGGATTACAGCAGTTTCATTTTGTGTAAGAATAGCATATATTTAAAACAAATATAACTCTAGTTTCTTTTAAATGCTATTTATTAGAAGTTTCTCATTAGAATCTTCTATTTATAATTATACTCCTTATTCTCTGAAATTTTACTGCCACACAGTGCATGCCAATGATTCAAAATACTCACATTTGATGAGTATACAGTAATAGTTAAATATTCCAGTTACCTAGACAATTTTTTTTGTTTTTGTGAGTCTGAGTCACGCTCTGTCACCCAGGCTGGAGTACAGTGGTGCGGGCTTGGCTTACTGCAACCTCCACCTCCCGGGTTCAAGCAATTCTCGTGTCTCAGCTTTCCAAGGAGCTAAGATTACAGGCATAAGCCACTGTGCCTGGCCTCAGTGTAGGTTTCTTAACATCAGTTTTTTGTGTCTGTTGGCTTTACTTTCGTATTACAATTTTAGACAATTTGCAATTCTGTTTGTACAGTTTAAGTCAATTTGAGGTTTAATTAAGAGATAAATTATGCATGTTTATCACAATCAGATTACATATGTCTGTGTGTTTATTTATAAATGTGACCCCAATTTTAGTTATGGCTTATCCTATATTCTTTCTTAGCCGATTTTCAATGGCAGTTTTATCTTGTCTAAGTGAGTTGTCATGGAGGTAGTCTTATTTTTACCATGTGTTTAATGATGAATACATATTTCGTTTTGTGAGAGAAACACTTTAGTGATTTGAAGGTAATTTTCAAAAAGATTTATAATTCTGTATTTTTTTCAGTTTTTTTTTTAAAGAATTTTTTTTTGAGACGGAGTCTTGCTCTGTCGCCCAGGCTGGAGTACAGTGGCGTGATCTTGGCTCACTGCAAGCTCCACCTCCCAGGTTAACGCCATTCTCCTGCCTCAGGCTCCCGAGTAGCTGGGACCACAGGCGCCCACCACCAAGCCCAGCTAATTTTTTGTATTTTTAGTAGAGACGGGGTTTCACCGTGTTAGCCTGGATGGTCTCGATCTCCTGACCTCGTGATCTGCCCGCCTCGGCCTCCCAAAATGCTGGGATTACAGGCGTGAGCCACCACGCCCGAACAAAAGAAATATTTTAAAAACACATAAAATGTACCATCTTAAATCTATTGAAGTGTATATTTCATGGCCAGGCATGTTTGTGGCTCTCATCTGTAATCCCAGGATTTTGGGAGGCCAAGACAGAAGGATCCCTGGAGCCTGAAAGCTTGAGACCAGCCTGGGCAACATATGGAGACCTTTCTCTATTAAAAAAAAATTAATAATTGCCAGGCATGGTGGTGTGCACCTGTGGTCCCATCTACTTTGGAGATTGAGGGGGAGTCAAAATTGTGCCTCTACATTCCCTCTTGGGTGACAGAGTGAGATCCTGTCTCAAAAAAAAGCTGTTCATTTCAGGAATGTTAATTATATTCGCATTGTTATGCAAAGACTTCTAGAAACTTTACATCTTGTGAAACTTAAACTCAGTACCCATTAAGTAACAACTGCTAATTTTACTCTCTCTCCAGCCCTAGACTGGACAAACCTTCCACTTTCTCTTTTTATGATTTTGACTTCTTAAGATACCTCATATAAATGGAATCATACAGTATCCATTATTTTGTTACTGGATTAATTCAGGTGACATAATATTCTCAAGGTTCATCTTAAAATATGACATGATTTTTTTTTAAGGTGGGATAATATTTCATCATATGTATATGTTACATTTTTTGATATGTTTATAAATCAAGAGACATCTGGGTTGCTTCAGCCTTTTGTCTTTTGTGAATACTGGCACAATAAACATGGATTTTCAAATATGTCATTATTATTATAGCAAGTGGGGTATTGAAATAGCCTAGTATAATTATATTTCTCTCTATGTGCTTATTCAGTTTTGTTAGTATTTGCTTTATATATTTGAAACCCTAATTTGAAACACAGACACACACAAATACACACAAATTTGTGATAAGTTCCCAGTGAATGAATCTATGTATTGTTTAATGCCCTTCTGTGTCTTTTTGAAGTTTTGACTTAAAGTACATTTTATAAAATATGACAGTTTTTGACTTAAGATGTAGCTTTTGTAATATTATTTTGACCTCTTCTGCTCTCATTTCATTAATATTTACATGAAATTTCTACTTCCATCTCACCACTTACAGTCTTTGTCATTAGATCTGAGGTGACTCTTGTAGAAAGGCAAGTTGGATCTTGATTTTCAAATTTTTTTTTTTTGAGATGGAGTCTCACTCTGTCACCCAGGCTGGAGTGCACGTGGTGCGACCTGGGCTTACTGCAACCTCCGCCTTCTGGGTTCAAGTGATTCTCCTGCCTCAGCCTCCTGAGTAGCTGGGATTACAGGCAGGCACCACCATAGTTGACTAACTTTTGTATTTTTTGTAGAGACAGGGTTTTGCCATGTTGGTCAGGCTGGTAAAATTTTTTAAAAAGGCTTTTTATTGAAAGTATGTCTCTTGATTGGAAAGATAATTATATATATTTAAATAGTTTTCTGAAAGAGGAAAACTTAATAATTTGTGTGTGTGTGTGTGTGTGTGTGTGTGACAGAGTCTCACTCTTTCATCCATGTTAGAGTGCAATGGTGCAATCTCAGATCACTGCAACCTCTGCCTCCTAGGTCCAAGGGATTCTCCTGTCTCAGCCACCTGAGTAGCTGGGATCACAGGCACCTGCCACCATGCCTGGCTAATTTTTGGTATTTTTAGTACAGATGGATTTATGCCATGTTGGCCAGGCTGGGCTTGAATTCCTGACCTTAAGTGATCCAACTTCCTTGGCTTCCTAAAGTGCTGGGACTACAGGCATAAGCCGCCGCACCTGACCAATGTTACTTTATTAATTGTTTTATTTGATTCTTGTATCTTTGTCTCTCATTTTTTCTGCCTTTGTGTGTGTGTTTTTTTTTAAATTTTTGTATTGATATGCTTTCAATTTTCTTCTTATTTTCTTTTGTGTATCTATACAGATATTTTCTTAGTAGTGTCTTGGGGATTACACAAAACCTCTAAAAGATCCAACAATATGTTTAAATGAGGTAAAAAATTAACTTCAGTTGAATGCAAAAATTCTTCATGATTACATCTGCCTTCAACTTTGTTATTGATTTTGCTAATTATATTATTTATTTATTTATTTATTTATTTTTTGAGACGGAGTCTCGCTCTTTCTCCCAGGCAATACTGCAGTGGCACTATCTCGGCTCACTGCAAGCTCCGCCTCACGGGTTCACGCCATTCTCCTGCCTCAGCCTCCCGAGTAGCTGGGACTACAGGCTCCTGCCACCGCGCCCAACCTCCGCCTCCCAGGTTCCAGTGATTCTAGTGCCTCAGCCTCCTGAGTAGCTGAGATTACAGGTGTGCACCACCACACTTAGCTAATTTTTGTATTTTTAGTAAAGGCAGGCTTTCACCATGTTGACCAGGCTACCTTTTATTTGTTTGTATATTTCTTTCTTCCTTTCCTTCTTTATTTCTAGAAGCATGTTCGTTTTAAAATATAAATTATGAATATTAAAAATCTTCTTTTCTCTGTCTTTGATTACTATTATGGCTGATTTAAAAATAAGTTTTGGAAGAAGAGAAAACGGCAGGGCGGCAGCGGCTGTAGGTTGTGCGGCGGCAGCGGCTCTTCCCTGGGTGGACGATGGACAGCCAGAGCAGGAAGGTGGTGGTGTGCGACAATGACACTGGGTTTGTGAAGTGTGGATATGCAGGCTCCAACTTTCCAGAACACATCTTCCCAGCTTTGGTTGGAAGATCTATTATCATGTAATGCCCAACCTTGTTTTTTCCTTTATTTACCTAGCCTTGTTTCTCCCTTAGCTAAGAGAACCAGACAAACTCCATCTTGGCTCTTTCACTGGCAGCCCCTTCCTCAAGGACTTAACTTGTGCAAGGTGACTCCCAGCACATCCAAGAATGCAATTAACTGATAAGATACTGTGGCAAGCTGTATCCGCACTCCCCAAGAATTCATCTGATTGATAACGCCCAAAGCCCCGCGTTTATCACCTTGTAATAGTCTTAAAGCCCCTGCACCTGGAACTGTTTACTTTCCTGTAACCATTTACCTTTTAACTTTTTGACTACTTAACTTCTGTAAAATTGTTCTAACTAGACACCCCTCCCCTTCCTAAACCAAGGTATAAAAGTTAATCAAGCCCCTTCCTCTGGGCCGAGAGAACTTTGCACGTTAGCCGTCTCTCGGTCGCCGGCTAATAAAGGACTCTTAATTCATCTCAAAGTGTGGCGTTTTCCTAACTCGCTAGGGTACAACAATCAGATCAACCACCAAAGTGGGAAACATTGAAATCAAGGATCTTATGGTTGGTGATGAGGCAAGTGAATTACGATCAATGTTAGAAGTTAACTACCCTATGGAAAATGGCATAGTACGAAATTGGGATGACACGAAACACCTGTGGGACTACACATTTGGACCAGAGAAACCTAATATAGATACCAGAAATTGTAAAATATTACTCACAGAACCTCTTATGAACCCAACCAAAAACAGAGAGAAGATGGTAGAGGTAATGTTTGAAACTTACCAGTTTTCCGGTGTATATGTAGCCATCCAGGCAGTTCTGACTTTGTACGCTCGAGGTTTATTGACTGCTGTAGTGGTAGACTCTGGAGATGGCGTGACTCACATTTACCCAGTATTAGAAGGCTTTTCTCTCCCTCATCTTACCAGGAGACTGGATATTGCTGGGAGGGATATAACTAGATATCTTATCAAGCTACTTCTGTTGCAAGGATACACCTTCAACCACTCTGCTGATTTTGAAACGGTTCGCATGATTAAAGAAAAACTGTGTTACGTGGGATATAATATTGTGCAAGAGCAGAAACTGGCCTTAGAAACCACAGTATTAGTTGAATCTTATACACTCCCAGATGGAGGAATCATCAAAGTTGGGGGAGAGAGATTTGAAACACCAGAAGCTTTATTTCAGCCTCACTTGATCAATGTTGAAGGAGTTGGTGTTGCTGAATTGCTTTTTAACACAATTCAGGCGGCTGACATTGATACCAGATCTGAATTCTACAAACACATTGTGCTTTCTGGAGGGTCTACTATGTATCCTGGCCTGTCATCACGGTTGAAACGAGAACTTAAACAGCTTTACTTAGAAAGAGTTTTGAAGGATGATGCGGAAAAACTTCCTAAATTTAAGATCTGCATTGAAGACCCATCCCGCAGAAAGCACATGGTATTCTTGGGTGGTGCAGTTCTAGCGGATATCATGAAAGACAAAGACAATTTTTGGATGACCCGACAGGAGTACCAAGAAAAGGGTGTCCTTGTGCTAGAGAAACTTGGTGTGACTGTTCGATAAACTCCAAAGCTTGTTCCCATCACACCCGTAATGCTTTCTTTTTTCTTTTATTGCCAATCTTTGAACTCATTCAACTCCAGGATATGGAAGAAGCCTTTCTCTACCCTTTGACTGGAAAGGTCAAGTTTTATTCTGGTGTCTTGGGGGAGCTTTGTTAAATTTTTGTTAATGTGGGTAAATCTGAATTTAATTCAACTGCTTCCCTACATAGACTAGAGGGCTAAGGATTCTGTCTGCTGCTTTGTTTCTTCTAAGTAGGCATTTAGATATTCCTGTAGGCTTCCTATTTTCACTTTACCTCTCTAATGCTGCTAGTCACTAGGTGGTACGCATTTATTAGCATAAGAAAAAAACTTTAACAGGAGCTTTTACATATTACTGGGATTGGGGGTGGTTTGGGATGGGTGGGCAGCTGCTGAACCCTTTAGAGCATTTCCTCTGTAATGTGGTGCTTTCAACTGTACTGCTGCAGCTTTAAGTACCTTAAAGCTTCTCCTGTGAACATCTTAGTGAAATGTTAGGTTCAGAACTAAAGTGTTTTGGGTAGATTTTGTTGCTGGGGAGGGTAACAGTGGGTGGTCTGATTTTTATTTTTGAGGTTTTTCACACTGGAGTACATAGAGGAACTTTATTTACAGTATTTTGATTTGGCAGGTTTTCTTCTACTTGTGCTCTGCCTGGAGCTGTTTCCATATGATAAAAAAAGCAAGTGTAGTATTCCATTACTATGTGGCTTAGGGATTTATTTGTTTTTTAAAATCAACCACGTTAGCTGGGACTAGACTCCCTACAATCCTTCAATGGAAAAGTAACATTTAAAAATCCTTGGCCGGGCGCGGTGGCTCACGCCTGTAATCCCAGCACCTTGGGAGGCCGAGGCGGGTGGATCATGAGGTCAGGAGATCGAGACCATCCTGGCTAACAAGGTGAAACCCCGTCTCTACTAAAAATACAAAAAATTAGCCGGGCGCGGTGGCGGGCGCCTGTAGTCCCAGCTACTCGGGAGGCTGAGGCAGGAGAATGGCGTGAACCCGGGAAGCGGAGCTTGCAGTGAGCCGAGATTGCGCCACTGCAGTCCGCAGTCCGGCCTGGGCGACAGAGCGAGACTCCGTCTCAAAAAAAAAAAAAAAAATCCTTTGGGTAATTCAAATTACAGATTTGAAAGTGCTTAAGATCTGGTGTTTTGTTAATGCTTCTGTTTATTCCGGAAGCATTAAGGTAACCCATTGCCAAGTATCATTCTTGCAAATTATTCTCTTATATAACTGACCAGTGTGTAATAAAACAAGCAGGTACTTATAAATAATTACTGGCAGTAGGTTATAATTGGTGGTTTAAAAATAACGTTGGAATACAGGACTTGTTGCCAATTGGGTAATTTTCATTTTTCTTTCTTTTTTTTTTTTTTTTTGAGACAGCGTCTTGCTCTGTCGCCCAGGCTGGAGTTCAGTGGCATGATCTCAACTCACTGCAAGCTCCACCTCCTGGGTTCACACCATTCTTCTGCCTCAGCCTCCAGGGTAGCTGGGACTACAGGTGCCCGCCAACACGCCCCGCTAATTTTTTGTATATTTAATAGAGACGGGGTTTCACTCTGTTAGCCAGGATGGTCTTATCTCCTGACCGATTGGGTAATTTTCATTAGTTGTTTTATTTGTTTTGATTTGAAACCTAATTTGACTGTTTAAAATGTTGGCCAAAAAAATCAAGATTTAAATTTTTTATTTGTACTGAAAAACTAATCATAACTTAATTTTCAGCCATCTTTGAAGCTTGAAAGAAGAGTCTTTGGTATTTTGTAAACATTAGCAGACTTTCCTGTCAGTGTCAGAAAATCCTATTTATGAATCCTGTTGATATTCCTTGGTATCTGAAAAAAATATCAAATAGTACCCATACATGAATTATTTCTAAGTTTGAAAAATAAAAAGAAACTACATCACACTAATTACAAAATACAAGTTTCTCTCGCATCCGTGTGGAGACCAACAAACAGGCTTTGTGTGAGCAACAAGGCTGTTTATTTCACCTGGGTGCAGGTGGGCTGAGTCTGAAAAGAGAGTCAGCCAAGGGAGATAAGGGTGGGGTCGTTTTATAAGATTTGGGTAGATAAAGGAAAATTACAGTCAAAGGGGGGTTGTTCTCTGGAGGGCAGGAGTGGGGGTCACAAGGTGCTCAGTGGGGGAGTTTCTGAGCCAGGATGAGCCAGGAGAAGGAATTTCACAAGATAATGTCATCACTTAAGGCAAGGACTGGCCATTTTCACTTCTTTTGTGGTGGAATGTCATCAGTTAAGGCAGGAACCACCCATCTGGATTTGTATGTGCAGGTCACAGGGGATATAATGGCTTAGCTTTGGCTCAGAGGCCTGAGAACAAATTCTGGAAAAAAATATTTTTCTTCATTTTAAAACTTTTTTTTAAACTAATAATGGCTTTGAAAGAAGAGGCTTAATTTGGGGTGACTAAATTCAAAAGAAATTATTGACTTGAGGGTCTCTGTTTGGTAAGAATACATAATTAGCTTAAATAAGCAGCAAAAGGTTAGTTTTAATTATGTAACTTCTGTTAATATTAAGTGTTTTTTGTCTGTTTTACCTCAATTTGAAAAGATAAGTTTGCCTGCATGCTGGACATGCCTCAGAACACATGAATAGCCCATACTAGATCTTAGGAACATGGATCTTTGAGTCACTTTAGACTAAGTTCTTATATAAATATCCCCAGCTTTTTGAGAACAGAGCTTGTTAAAGGATGCACATGTAGGGCCAGTACCTACTGGCAATTGTGTTCAGGGAAATGGGATTGACTTGGCCATTTGTCCTTTGGTCATAATTTTAAAATGTGGGAGTAAAAAACAACAAAGAATTGAATGGACTCTTAAAACAATGAAAGAGCATTTATCATTTGTCCCTTGAATGTAGAATTTGTTTTTGATTTCATAATTCTGCTGGGAAACGTGACAGTTAAAATGGTGTATTATGTATATATATTATAATTTAGAAATACCATTTTATAATTTTACTATTCCAAGGTGACATAATGCATTTAAATTTGGGATTTGGGTGGAGTATTATGTTTAACTGGAGTTGTTGTCAAGTATGAATCCCTCAGGAAAAAAAAAATCTGTTTTAAAAAGCAATCTGATTCTTAGCTCTTGAAACTATTGTTACTTAAATTTCCAATAATTAAAAATTTTAAATTTTTAAATTAGAATTGCCAATACTTTGACCTTTGAGAAGGGTTTCTTAGAAATACATTTAGTAATGTCCCCAAGACATTAGTCTTACATTTAAACTTTTTTCTTTAAAACATGGTATTGGTGGTTAACTTTTACACAGTTCTGAGTTCTGCTAATATCTGGAAAGTATCTTGAGATATCAGTGGAAAGCTAAACAGTCTAAATTTAACATGAAATACTTCTTTTTGATTCAGAAAATAAAATCAGATTTTTTTAATGTCAAAAGCATTAAAAAATTAAAAAAACAAAAATAAGTTTTTTTGAAATTATCTGCATAAAGGTTTTTGCTTCATTATTGACATAACTTGAGACAATACAGAAATGAAAATGAACATTTGTTAGTAAAACAGCAATTATCTAGCTCCTGGTAGTGATTTAATCTCTCACCTAGTCTTTAGAACTTCCATCAAGACAAGAACTCTTTTTTTCCAAGAGTGTGTGATGTAAAATCACACTCTTGTTTTTTTGTCTTTGTGGCAGAATTTGGGTATTTATGGTAATGAAAAAGAATTCTAGGTCTCTTTTCAGAAGAAAGATGGTGATGATGGAAGCAAATATAATGGTACTTGGTACTTAGCCACATTTCAAAGCATGCCAGTACAAAGCTAAATGAAGAAAGTCAAATAGGAAATGAGAAAAAAATAGCTCCTAGAAACACATAAAATGATAACAATATAATTAACAAACAATTTTTTTTTTTTTTTTTTTGGTTTTAGACAGAGTTTCCCTCTTGTTGCCCATGCTGGAGTGCAATGGCACAATCTTGGCTCACTGCAACCTCTGCCTCCGCGGTTCAAGTAATTCTTTTGTCTCAGCTTTCCCAGTAGCTTGGACTACAGGCACATGCCACCACGCATGGCTAACTTTTGCATTTTTAGTAGAGAGAGGGTTTCATCATATTGATCAGGCTGATCTCAAACTCCTGACCTCAGATGATCCACCTACCTCAGTTTCCCAATGTGCTGGGATTACAGGCATGAGCCACAGCGCCTGGATAACAACTTTATTTCTTTAAGCAATTATTTTAAATATAAGTTAATTAAACTACTTAATAAAATAAAATGAAATGTAATTTTAGGACTTTGGAAGGCCAAGGTAGGCTGATCACTTGATCCCAGGAGTTCAAGACAGGCCTAGGCAACATGGCAAAACTCTGTCTCTATAAAAAATACAAAAAAGCTAGCCTGGTGTGACGGCACATACTTGTAATCCAGGTATTTGAGAGACTGAAATGAGATAATCAGCAGACTTTGAGAGATTCAAGCAGCAGTGAAATATGCAAATCAGCCTGGTTGGCACAGTGAGTTCCATTCTGAAAAATAAATGAGGCTGGGCATGGTGGCTCATGCCTATAATCCCAGCCTTTTGGGAGACTGAGGCAGGCAGATCACTTGATGTCAGGACTTAAAGACCAGTCTGGTCATCATGGTGAAACCCCGTCTCTCTAAAAATACAAAAAATTAGCAGGGTGTGGTGGCAGACACCTGTAATCCCAGCTACTCAGGAGGCTAAGCCAGGAGAATTGCTTGAACCCAGGAGGTGGAGTTTGCAGTGAGCAGAGATTGCACCATTGCACTCCAGCCTGGGCAACAAGAGCAAAACTCCGTCGCAAAATAAATAAATACATATATAGGCTGGGTACAGTGGCTCTCGCCTGTAATCCCAGCACTTTGGGAGGCTGAGGTGGGAGGATCATGAGGTCAGGAGTTCAAGACCAGCCTGGCCAATATGGTGAAACCCCATCTCTACTAAAAATACAAAAGATAGTTGGGTATGGTGGCACGCATCTGTAGTCCCAGATATTCAGGAGGCTGAGGCAGGAGAATCACTTGAACCTGGGAAATGGAGGTGGCAGTGAGCCAAGATTGTGCCACTGCACACCAGCCTGGGCAACAGAGCAAGACTCCATCTCTCAAAAAAATAAAAAAATAAATAAAAATAAATAAATAATAAAAAAAAGGAAATAGAATGCTTGTGCGGTTTTTTAAAAAGCATACGCTATGCTGCCTACAAGAGATTCATTTAAGCATTGAGTCAAATAGGCTGAAAGTAACAGAATGAAAAAAATGTACATTCCATGAAAATAGTAACCACGATTGAGTGCAGTGGTCATAATTATATTAGACATAATATGCTTTAAGTCAGGTAGTACCATGAGACAAAGATTGACGTTATATTATGTTAAAGTGAGTTGATTTACCAGGAATCTATAACTATAATATTTACTTATCTATATATATATGTGTATATAACATCAGGGCTCCAAAATATATAAAGCAACTATTGACAAAAGTGAAGCAAGACATACATAGCAACATAATTGTAAACATCAAAACCCCATTTGCAATAATAAATAGAAAGTTTAGATAAAAAATAAGAAACAGAAAACCTAGACACCATTATAGACTATATTAATTATTTTGCATATAGATGAATATTTGAGAGTGCATAATTTATAAAGAAAAAAGGTTTAGATGGCTCACAGTTTGGCAAACTGTATAAGTGTGTGCCAGCATCTGCTTCTGGTGAGGATTTCAGGAAGCTTAAAATCATGGTGGAAGGTAAAGAGTAACTGGATATATTATATGGTAAGAGACAGAGCAAGTGTGAGGTGAAGAAGCCAGGTTCTTTTAATGAACCAGCTCTCATTTGAATTAATAGAGTGTAAACTTTTTGGTTACCAAGAGGATGTACCAAGCCATTCATGAAAAATTTGCCCCTATGACCCAAATGTGTCCCACCAGGTCCCACATTCAACATTGAGGATTTATATTGCAGCATGAGGTTTGGAAAACATGGACATCCAAACCATATTATAGACCAACTAGCGTTCGCAGACACACACAAAACTCCCCAGTCAAAACCAAGATAATGCACAATATTCTTATTTTCATCTGGTGTATTTTGTTAGGGCACATAGCAGGTTTTATTAAATTTTAAAATACTGACTGGGTACAGTGGCTCTTGCCTATAATCTTAACACTTTAGGAGACCAAGGTAAGAGGATCCACCAGGAATTATGAATATTTTTCAGATGGAAAAGACATGTTGAGTTAGAAGACACCTCTCAAATTTTTTTTTTTTTTTTTTTTTTTGGAGACGGAGTCTCGCTCTGTTGCCCAGGCTGGAGTGCAGTGCTGTGATCTCGGCTCACTGCAAGCTCCACCTCCCGGGTTCAGGCCATTCTCCTGCCTCAGCCTCCCAAGTAGCTGGGACTATAGGCGTCTGACACCTCACCCGGCTAATTTTTTGTACTTTTAGTAGAGAACAGGGTTTCACCATGTTAGCCAGGATGGTCTCGATCTCCTGACCTCATGATCCTCCCACCTCGGCCTCCCAAAGTGCTGGGATTACAGGCGGAGCCACCGCACCTGGCCACCTTTTTTTTTTTTTTTTGAGATGGAGTTTCGCTCTCGTTGCCCAGGCTGGAGTGCAGTGGCACGATCTTGGCTCACCGCAACCTCGGCCTCACAGGTTCAAGCAATTCTTCTGCCTCAGCCTCCCAAGTAGCTGGGATTACAGGCATGCACCACCACACCAGGCTAATTTTGTATTTTTAGTAGAGATGGGGTTTCTCCATGTTGAGGCTGATCTCAAACTCCTGACCTCAGGTGATCTGCCTGCCTCGGCCTCTGAAAGTACTGGGATTACAGGCATGAGCCACCACGCCCGGCCATACACTGTGTATTTTCTAACAAAAACTGAATTAAACTAGGAATTAAAAGCAAAAGTCAAACTGGAAAGTTCAAAAATATGTATATATAAAACACTTCAATATATTTTTGCTCAGGGGTCAAAAAATTTTATTTTTCAAAAATGTCAATACAACCTACCATTAAAAGATAATACAAAGTTGTTTGTCAGAAATGTTTATTTATTTACAGAAATAGCATTGATTATTGATTAGATATATATCGTTATGGTTTAGGGTATGGGATATAGTGTCCAATGTGGCATTATTAGTTTAATTTATAGCTACTTGTGGCAATAGTGAACAGTTTCAAGACATGAATACATAGTTCAAAGAGGGGAGAAATAACTGCACTTTTATTTTCATCTCTCTGAATTTGATAACCAAAAGGACTTGCATTTTTTAGATAAAAGTTTTTTATTTCCCAAATCTCAAGATCTAAATTCAAAATTTGGAGCTGCACATTTAGGGCCTGAATGGCTGGAGTAGCAGCAGGTGTTACCTGTACATTTGTGAGCACTTTGGCAAGAGGAGGAAGGGGAAAGTGGAGATTCTCATGTCTATATGTCTACTCAATGCACACACGTTACTCTGATTGGGTTTCTGGGCCAAATAGTTTCTGTATCAGTTCCAGTCTGAAGATACAAGAGTCAGTGAAAGAGGTAAAATGATTGATTGCTGCCCTGTGAAGTTTGTAGAAATGTGATCTAGCCTCTCTAGAAGTGACTGCAGAGGACTATGAATGCCAACTAGGCAGAGACACAATTCTGCCTGCATATTTAGGGGACAGCATGCACTTTGCTGCACAACTCTGAGCTGACTGGAAGCCTGAGAGGGAAAGTCTCCTCTAGAGTAAATTCTGGATGTCACCTTATGTGTTTATATCATGTCTGGTAATTCTAGACAGTGTTTGGAAACAATAATTAAATGAAAATTTTTCTCCACCCCAGAGAAACTCCACAATAATAGAATAGAAAGAAACTGTTTTATTACACAATTGAACTTGAATGTGACACGGATCTTCATCAATCTGCTTAAGAGACGGAAAGATGGTCACTATAATTAGGCCACAAGTAGAAGAATTTCCAGCACCATGTCATACATAGTTCATCCTAAATTCACCTGGATACTGAAGAGGCCATCTGTGTATGCTAATTACTTATATTCAATGACAAAAACTTTTCACATCTTCATAATAGGATGTAGTTTAGCAGCTTGAAGCCAGGTGCCTGCTGAAGGTAGGCTTTCACTCTGCTACAAAAATGGTTGAATAGTGTTCTATCTTTTTGGCTACTTACATTTTAGAGCAGTGGCTCTGTACTCCCTGGCACTGGGCTACAGCACTCCTGCTTGCTTTCTCCTGGTTGCTAGTGTCCTCTCTTGGCCTCTACCATCTGCCACTGAGGCACAAACCACAGCTCACATTTTATGTGAATCCTATTTGCCACAGCAGCACTCTAGTGTCACATCAGAGAGTGAGGCCTGAGCTGCAGGAGGAGAGCCTGCAGGCCTCCTGGGTAGAATTACACCTTCACAATCATGAGAATGTGAGCAGTGTTTCAGCGTCAATTTCTACGTATAGAGATGACAAGGAAAAGATAAAGCTGAATTTTCAGCATGAGTCCAGATAGTGATAGCTGCAAAAATTCTCATTGTGACAGCCCACCTTAATCTGACACCATGGGACACTAATAGGGCTTCTGAAACACACACCCAAAGCATTGGAGAGAAAAATGAGATCTTGATCTGAGCAAGATTATTTTCATAGAAAAATATTATAAAGATCTTAAGAAAAAGCTCAGATTAGATATGATTGATCAAGTCAGTCAAAAAATATTCCCCTAAAAGCAATTTCTCTCTAAACACCCAAAGTGCACAGCTACTCTCAGCATGAGAAACATGAGCTTCAGGAAGAAAGAAGGCAGATTTTCAGAAGAATTTTATAAAGTTTTTTTTCCATCTTTGGTGCTCTCTCATCTCCTAGCCAGTGAATGGAGTTCTATATTGAAATACATCTGACAACTTCCAACAACACTTTTTGATGAAGAAATAGAATCTGACTGTTTTCATAGAGTGGAATATATTAGAACTTGTAGGCTGGGCGTGGTGGCTCACGCCTGTAATCCCAGCACTTTGGGAGGCAGAGGTGGGTGGATCACGAGGTCAGGAGTTCAAGACCAGCCTGGCCAAGATGGTGAAACCCCATCTCTACTAAAAATACAAAAAAGTAGCCAGGCACGGTGGCAGGCGCCTGTAGTCCCAGCTACTCAGGAGGCTGAGGAAGGAGAATCATTTGAACCTGGAGGGTGGAGGTTGCAGTGAGCCGAGATCATGCCACTGCACTCCAGCCTGGGTGACAGAGTGAAACTCCATCTCAAAAAAAAAAATAAAAATAAAAGAACTTGTAACATAGTTAACTGAATAGCTATTATTGGTTTTGGGTGGCCACATCACCTGTCTTTATTTTTCCTGTAATAGCAGCATTCCAATTTAGTGCAATAAAAGATACTAAAGTTGTGTTAATTCATAATTATCCCTATTGAATAAAGTAATAAACATGTCACACTAATATCTACTGTAACAATTTGGTAGTAAATTTTCTTTGGATATTAGGTATAAGTATCTAAGTATGAATAATTTTAATGAACTAGTCATAATGTATGTAGCATTTTAAAAAATTGCAACTATAGCCAGGCACGGTGTCTCACATCTATAATCCCAGCACTTTGGGAGGCCTAAGCGTGCAGATCATGAGGTCAGGAGTTTGAGACCAGCTTGGCCTATATGGTGAAACCCTGTCTCTACTAAAAATACAAAAATTTTAGCCAGGCATGGTGGAGCCTGCCTGTGGTCCCAGCTACCCGGGAGGCTAAGGCAGAAGAATCGCTTGAACCCAGGAGGCAGAGGTTGCAGTGAGATGAGATTGCAGCACTGTGGTCTAGCCAGGACAAAAAAGTGAGACTCCGTCTAAAAAAAAAAAAAAAAAAAAAATTCAACTATACTTCAGTTAAAACACTATATTTCAAAAGTATAAATAACAATATTAAAATAACAACTTAAGTGATTCATTCAAAGTAAGTATTGTGGCTTTATATTCATATTATGTAGAAAATACTGTTTACAGGTCACGCCTGTAATCCCAGCACTTTGGAGGAGTGAGGCGGTTGGACCACCTGAGGTCGGGAGTTCAAGATCAAGCTGGCCAACATGAGACCCTCATCTATACTAAAAATACAAAAACTTAGCCAGGCATGGTGGCACATGCCTGTAATGCCAGGTACTTGAGAGGCTAAGGCAGGAGAGTCGCTTGAACCTGAGAGGCGGTGGTTTCAGTGATCCAAGATCATGCCACTGCACTCCAACCTGGACGACATGGTGAGACTCTGTCTCAAAAAAAATAAAATACTGTTTAATGTATATGAATGCAATTTGTTTACAAACCCTACACATAACTATGCTAATCGTTCTGAAGTAATAAATAGAAAGCAAGATACAACTACAGACTCTACTGTTCAGTTTATGCACTGAACTGTTTTTGCTTTCACCGTATAAGTCCTTCAGCCTGCAAATATTGGGTAATTACCTTGGATAATCAGATTTCTTTCAAAGAAACTTAGTATCTTTCAGTCTTTATCATTCTGTATTGCAAAATTTAATCCTATCTTTGTGCTAAGCATCTGTGTGCTCTTAAAATGAGCATTTATCTAAACCATCTGTGTCTACTTTAAAGGACTAAAAATGAAAAAGATAAACTTTTCAGAAGCAAAAAGAAAGCAAAAAACCTGAAGTACTAGATAAAGATAATCTGGAGTCTGAAAAAATGACTAAAGGTTTATTTAACTGTTAATATAATTTACATATATTTCAAAAAAGCAGAGAAAAATATCTACATATAATCAAAATGCCTTAAGAAAAGAGAGAATAGTAAAATAGCTTTTTGATACTTTTTAAAGAGTTTTTGAACTCTTGGACACCTGAATTTTGCACACTATATGCACTTAAGGTGATGCTTATGGGAGAAAAACACAAGAGAGAATGATGTTATAAAAAAATCCATGCATGCAAAAGACCTTTGCAACAGAATAGAGAGACCAGAAATAATGCCACCCTCCTACAACCATCAGATTTTTGTCAAACCTGACAAGAGAAAAGTGGGAAGAATTCTCTCTTTAATAAATGATGCTGGAATAACTACCTAGCACTATGTAGAAGACAGAAACTGGACCCCTTCATTACACCATATACAAAAATCAGCTCAAGATAAATTAAAGACTTAAATGTAAAACTTAAAATTATAAGAAACCCTGCAATATAACCTAAAAAATACTGTTCTAGACATAGAAACTGGCAAAGACTTCATGATGAAGCTTCCAAAAGCTATTGCCACAAAAGCAAAAATTGACAAATGGGACCTATTTAAACTAAAGAGCTTCTTCACAGCAAAGGAAACTATCAACAGAGTAAAGAGACAACCTACAGAATAAAAGAAAATATTTGCAAACTTTGCCTCTGACAAAGGATTAATATCCAGAATTTATTAAGAGCTCAAACAAGTTTACAAGAAAAAAAACAAACAACCTCATTAAAAAGTAGAAAAAAAATGAACATATTCTTTTCAAAAGAAGACAAATGTGCAGTTAACAAGCATGTGAAAAAAATGCTCATTGCTAATTATTAGAGAAATTAAAAGAAAAACCACAATGAGATACTGCATCATACCCATCAGAATGGCTATTTTTTAAATGTCAAAAAATAACAGATGCTGGCAAGGTTGCAGAGAAAAGGGAATGCTTATACTCTGCTGGTGGGAGTGTAAATTAGTTCAACAGCTGTAAAAAGCAGTGTGGTGATTCCTCACAGAATTAAAAACAGAATTATCATTTGACTCAGGAACCTCATAATTGGGTATATACCCAAAGAAATATAAATTATTATAAAGACATATCCACATGCATGTTTATTGCAGCACTATTCACAATAGCAAAGGCATGGACGGGTCCTGAATGGCTATCTATGATAGACTGGATAAGGAAAATGTGGTATGGTCAGATGCGGTGGCTCACGCCTGTAATTGCAGCACTTTGGGAGGCTGAGGCAGGTGGATCACACGGTCAGGCGTTTGAGAGCAGCCTGGCCAACATAATGAAACCCTGTATCTACTAAAAATACAAAAAATTAGCCAGGTGTCGTGGCAGGCACCTGTAATCCCAGCTACTCACGAGGCTGAGGCAAGAGAGTCACTTGAACCCAGGAGGCAGAGGTTGCAGTGAGCCGAGATCACGCCAGTGTACTCCAACCGAGGTGACAGTGTGAGACTTTGTCAAAAAAAAAAAAACAAAGAAGAAGAAATTAAAAAAAAAGAAAAACGAACTGGACCTTTAATAACTTCCTCTTTCTGGCTTAATATTAGCCTTAGCTTGGAGTCTCTTGGTTAAAACTTTAATTTCCATGTCAGAGGTATTCACTTGGTGTTGAAACTAACTGAAAAATCCGGTGAAACTACTCAAAGTGTTTACATAAGGGAAGGAAATTTAAAGTGCTCACTTTTTTTTAATGGTTTTTTTTTTTGAGATGGAGTCTCTCTCTGTCACCCAGGCTGGAGTGCAATGGCACAATCTCAGCTCACTGCAGCCTCCACCTCCCGTGTTCAAGCCATTCTCCTGCCTCAGTCTTCCAAGTAGCTGGGACTACAGTCATGCGCCACCACACTCGGCTAATTTTTGTAATTTTAGTAGAGACGGGGTTTCGCCATGTTGGGCAGGCTGGTCTCAAACTCCTGACCTTAAGTGATCAAACCGCCTAGGCTTCCCAAAGTGTTGGGATTACAGTTATGAGCCAGTGTACCTGGCTAAGATGCTTACATTTTATTCCTCCATAAGAAAAGCAAATATATCTACTTCTTTCAGACAATATATGTATTATTTTATTATTTCTATTAAAAATAATGTAGTAAAAAATTAGTCATATGAGAAAACTTGTAGAAGATACCATGTTTCATCACATATAATTTAGCATTTAATTCAGAAATCAAGACAACATGATATAGAACTGAGATATTCACTGTCACAAATTTACCCTGCAAAAAGAGGAACTGATGTTTTGACAAGTCTATGTAACTCATCAATTATCTACCACATTTTCCTGTGGAAATATGTTTATTGTCTACAGTCAAAACAGAAGAGAGATTTTCTTTCTTTCTTTTTTTTTTTTTTTTATGGAGTCTATCTCTGTTGCCCAGGCTGGAGTGCAGTGGTGTGATCTTGGCTCACGGCAACCTCCACCTCCCAGGTTCAAGCAATTCTCTGCCTCAGCCTCCCAAGTAGCTGAGATTACAGGTGCCTGCCATCGCGCCTGGATAATTTTTGTATTTTTAGTAGAGACAGGGTTTCACTGTCTTGGACAGGCTGGTGTTGAAATCTTGACCTTGTGATGCATCCGCCTCGTCCTCCCAAAGTGCTAGGATTACCGGCATGAGCCACTGCGCTTGGCTGATAGCTAGCATTCTTAAAGCTAAGGCTTGGAATTCTGTTTGAAATCACTCAGCCATAGAAAACACCTGGCCAGGCATGGGGGCTCATGCCTGTAATCTCAGCACTTTGGGAGGCTGAGGCAGGCAGATCACGAGGTCAGGAGTTCGAGACCAGCATGACCAACATGGTGAAACCTGTCTCTACTAAAAATTAAAAAATTAGCCGGGCATGGTGGCATGGTACCTGTAATTTCAGCTACTCAAAAGGCTGAGGCAGGAGATTCCCTTGAACCCGGGTGGCAAAGCTGAGATCATGCCACTTGTTGGGGTGATCAGACCCAATACCAGACCATTGTGGCTATGAAGTCCAGTGGAGTCAAAGGAATGAGAAAAGACAGGTTAAGAGTACATAAGGTGGGTCCAGAGGGCCAAAGCTAGTATGGAAACTGTGAGGGCCCCAAGCTTTGGAAGCCCACACTATTTATTGGTGATCAAACAAAGAAGCAGGTGGTGAGGATGTGTGGATGTGGGGGTAAACAGGTGAGGACATAAGGACGTGAGGGTAGAAAGGTAACAGTGCATCAAGTGTAGCTGTGACGGTTTAGCATTTTCTTTGACACATAAAGAGTATGCTCTGCTGCTTGAGATAATGGAGAACATATTTATGAGCCTGGGAGAGCAACCAACAAGTCTGTGCACATTCTAGAGGCCACGAGGGGTTTTATGCCCTGAGCCTTGGATTCCATCCAAGCCGTGAGGGGTTTTATGCCCTGGGCTCAGATTTGTGTTTTGTCAGGGCAGCCTTCCACCATTTGGCACAGAGTTTGATGTTCCAAAGGCCATGAGGGATTTTAGACCCTGGACCCAGGACATCTTCCAAGACTCTTTTATATTATGACAGACAAGCCAGTCCTGCCTCAGCTCTTCTACCAACACCACTGCACTTCAGCCTGGTTGACAGAGCTAGACTCCATCTCAAACAAAAACAAACAATCAAACAGAAAAACACCTGAAAATATTCCTAAGGTTACTCTGGGAAAGAAAAAGGTAAATAAGAATTATTAACTAATAGAATATATGATTAAATACTAATTTTTGAAACTCATCTCTATTATGTCTTTTGTAAATATTTTCTTATTTTTCAGCCCCTACTAATAAAATGCAAATCACAGTAAAAAATACTGATACAGCTCAGTGCAGTGGCTCATGCCTGTAATCACAACACTTTGGGGGCCAAGGCAGGGAGATCACTTCACACCAGAAGTTTTGGAGCAGCCTGGTCCCTCTCTACTAAAAACACAAAAACTAGCCAGGCAAAGTGTTGTGCACCTAGCTACTTGGGAGGCCAAGGAATGAGAATCACTTGAACCCAGGAGGGGGAGGTTGCAGTGAGCCGAGATCAAGCCACTGCATTGCAGCCTGTGTAACAGAGTGAAACCGTCAAAAAAAAAAAAAAAAAAAAAAAAAACCCGAAAAAACGAAAAAACCTGAGGTCAAAATAAGTAAAGAAATCTTTTCAATGTACAGACCCAATCATCCAACCCATCCTGTTCACTTACATGCTCAATAACCACCCTCCCAGGAGACACTGCTCTATGCCCCAGTGAGTGCCCCAGGTGCATTTTACTTTGTTTTTATGCCATCTCACTGGGGTCAGTTTTTTTGTCTTTTGGAATTTTTTATTTTTATTACAAAATTTTCACTGTTTTTATTTCACTGTTTTTCTGCCCCCACTCAAGAAAATCCAGGGGGCAGAAATTATTTGTTTTGCCCTCAATACCAGCATTTGATTGGCTGACCAGCAATGTGTATCCAAAAAATGGAAGCTAGGTTGGGTGAAGAAAATCTTCATGTCTCAAGGGGTTAGCTTTAAAAAAAGAAAAAGAAAAATAAAAACAAACATGCACCAGGAGATGCCTTTCACCTCCAAGGCTGCCACCTGCTCCCTTGAGAGGCTACACTCCATACTTCAGGTGGTTCTATGGGAGAAAATGACCCAAGAGACAATAGTCACTAGACACATAGCCATAGCCATAGTGGGTATCTTGGTTTATCCCCAGAAAGTACTAAAACCCAGGCCCAGAAAAAAAAAACTGAAGGATAGCTGAGGACACATCACCCTATGAAGTTTCCAAAGGGTAATCTTAACCTAAAAACATTCTGGTAAGTTCTCTGGAAAAAAAAAAGCAAAAGAGGGACAGATATTTTTACAATACAGTGTCAGGGGATTATTCTTTGCTTTCTTCTCAGGGAAAATATTTACAAACAGAAAAAAATCTCTTCAATACTGTTATGCCATGCTTTGTATAAAATGATTAATTGAGGAACATGGGGTACACTTGAGGCGCTGCTTGGGGCACATGTGAAAAATGCCAGGAAAAATCAGTCCCCTGTGGGATGTGAAAATAATTAAGTGGCAGGCAATTAGACTGAGGATGCTCTAGTACCCAGATTCCTACTTCTAAAAAAAAAAAAATCTAAACTCAAGTGCATTTTTTGGTAAATTACTACATTAGGGGAACAAAATTCAAGCTTAAACAACTATAAACTACCACTTAAACTCTGATTAAATAACCAGGGAATTTCCACCTTGATTGTACCAATTAAGAAACTACGTAACTGCATCTAACCAATTATTGAATTTGGTTTTCTTCTTCATGCACCTTATAAATGTCTTTTCTTCAAGACCCTCCCACGGAGAACAAACTACAAACTATAGCTAGCTGGTCTACAATTCTTGAATCTCTCTTTTTGAGGCTGGGCACGGTGGCTCAAGCCTGTAATCCCAGCCCTTTGGGAGGCTGAGGCGGGCAGATCACAAGGTCAGGAGATCGAGACCATCCTGGCTAACACGGTGAAACTGCCTCTCTACTAAAAATACAAAAAATTAGCCAGGCACGGTGGCAGGAGCCTGTAGTCCCAGCTATTCAGGAGGCTGAGGCAGGAGAATGGTGTGAACCCAGGAGATGGAGCTTGCAGTGAGCCGAGATTGCGCCACTGCACTCCAGCCTGGGTGACAGAGCGAGACTCCGTCTCAAAAAAAAAAAATTATTTGATATTTTTACAGTGACTCCCAAAATTTTTTTTTTAAGACAGACTCTTGCTCTGTCGCCCAGGCTGGAGTGCAGTGGCATGATCTCAGCTGACAACAACCTCGGCCTCCCAGGTTCAAGCCATTCTCTTTTCTCTGCCTCCCGAGTACCTAGGACTACAGACATTCGCCATCACACCCAGCTAATTTTTGTATTTTTAGGAGAGATGGGGTTTCCCCATTTTGTCCAAGCTGGTCTTCAACTCCTGACCTCAAGTGATCTGCCCCCCTCAGCCTCCCCTAGTCCCCACACAATCTGGGAGAGATGCCACACTGCGGGTGCAGAGTCACCTGGAGAGGGCTCCAGGCCAGGGCACAGTCACTGAGCAGGGAAGAGAAAGGACGGCCGGGAGCCCAGCTGTCAGCATAGCGGCCATCTTATGGCTGAAGGGTACTGAGGCTGAGCTGGGCAAGGAGAACTCGGAAAGCAGATTGTGGAGCTGACTATGGGGAGGCCTGGGTCCTGCCACAGCCATTTTCCTGCCAAGGGAGGCTGTGACTGAGCGGGCTACCCAGCCTGGGAAACTGCTTTTTCCATGGAACTGTGCAACCCACAGTTCAGAAGATTCCACTTGTGAACCCTTGCCACTGGAGCCTGAGATCTGAACCCTGGAGGTGAGCAATTCTCAACAGCCTCTCTCCTAGAATCTGCTTAAGCCTGCCAAGATCCCGGGGGAGGGGTGTGGGGAAAAGAGAGATCAGACTGCTACTGTGTCTATGTAGAAAGAAGTAGACATGAGACTCCATTTTGTTCTGTACTAAGAGAAATTCTTCTGCCTTGAGATGCTGTTAATCTGTAACCCTAGCCCCAACCCTATGCTTCCTGAGACATGTGCTGTGTTGACTCAAGGTTTAATGGATTTAGGGCTATGCAGGATGAGCTTTGTTAAAAAAGTGCTTAAAGGCAGTATGCTTGTTAAAAGTCATCACCATTCTCTAATCTCGAGTACCCAGGGACACAATACACTATGGAAGTTGGCAGGGATCTCTGCCTAGGAAAGTCAGGTATTGTCCAAGGTTTCTCCTCATATAATAGCCTGAGTTATTGCCTCATGGGAAGGGAAAGACCTGACCATCCCCCAGCCTGACCCCCATAAAGGGTCTGTGCTGAGGAGGATTAGTAAAAGAGGAAGGCCTCTTTGCAGTTGAGACAAGAGGAAGGCATCTGTCTCCTGCTTGTCCCTGGGAATGGAATGTCTTGGTGTAAAACCTGATCACACATTCTATTTACTGAGATAGGAGAAAACTGCCTTATGGCTGGAGGTGAGATGTGCTGGCGGCAGTACTGCTCCTTAATGCACTGAGATGTTTGTGTAAAGTCAAACATAAATCTGGCCTACGTGCACATCAACGCACAGTGTCTTTCCTTAACTTATTTATGACACAGAGATCTTTTCTCACGTGTTTTCCTGCTGACCCTCTTCCCACCATTACCCTATAGTCCTGCCACATCCCCCTCTCTGAGATGGTAGAGATAGTGATCAATAAATACTGAGGGAACTCAGAGACCAGTGCCAGCGCGGGTCCTCTGTATGTTGAGTGCCGGTCCCCTGGGCCCACTGTTCTTTCTCTATACTTTGTCTCTGTGTCTTATTTCTTTTCTCAGTCTCTCATCCCACTTGATGAGAAACACCCACAGGTTTGGAGGGGCAGGACACCCCTTCATCTGGTGCCCAATGTGGGTGCTTTTCTTTAGGTTGAAGGTATGCCAGAGCGTGGTCATTGAGGACAAGTTGATGAGAGATTCCCGAGTACATCTATGGTCAGCCTTGCGGTAAGCTTGTGCGCTCAGAAGAACCTAGGGTAACAATGGGATAAACTGAAAGTAAATATGCCTCTTAGCTTTATTAAAATTCTTTTAAGAAGAGGGGGAGTTAGAGTCTCTACAGAAAATCTAATCACGCTACTTCAAACAATAGAACAATTCTGCCCATGGTTTCCAGAACAGGGAACTTTAGATCTAAAAGATTGGGAAAAAATTGGCAAAGAATTAAACAAGCAAGTAGGGAGGGTAAAATCATCCCACTTACAGTATGGAATGATTGGGCCCTTATTAAAGCAGCTTTAGAACTGTTTCAAACAGGAGAAGATAGTTTCAGTTTCTGATGCCCCTGAAAGCTGTGTAATAGATTGTGAAGAAGAGGCAGGGATAGAATCCTAGAAAGGAACGGAAAGTTCACATTGTAAATATGTAGCAGAGTCTGTAATGACTCAGTCAATGCAAAATGTTGACTACAGTCAATTACAGGAGGTAATATATCCTGAAACATTAGAATTAGAAGAAAAAGGTCCAGAATTAGTGGGGCCATCAGAGTCTAAACCATGATGGCCAACTCCTCTTCCAGCAGTTCAGATGCCTGTAACATTACAACCTCAAATGCAGGTTAGACAAGTACAAACCTGAAGAGAATAACAAATAGAGAAAGATAGAGTATCTGTCACAGCAATGCCAATCCAAATACAGTATCCACAATATCAGCTGGTAGAAAATAAGACCCAACTGCCAGTAGCCTATCAATACTGGCCGCCAGCCGAACTTCAGTATTGGCCGCCCCTAGAAAATCAGCATGGACAGCCAGGAATGTTTCCAGCACCACAGGGCAGGGCACTATATCCGCAGCCTCCCACTATGAGACTTAATCCTACATCACCACCTAGTAGACAGGGTGGTGCATTACATAAAATTATTAAAGCAAGAAAACAAGGAGATATCGAGGCGTGGCAGTTCCCAGTAATATTAGAGCCGATACCACCTGAAGAAGGGGCCCAAGAGGGAGAGCCTCCCCTAGCTGAGGCCAGATATGAGTCCTTTTCTATAAAAATGCTAAAAGATGTGAAAGAGGGAGTAAAAAGTATGGACTCAACTCCCCTTATTTGAGGACATTATTAAATTCCATTGCTCATGGACATAGACTCATTCCTTTTGATTGGGAGATTTTGGCCAAATCATCACTCTCACCCTCTATCTTTTACAATTTAAGACTTTGTGGATTGATGGGGTACAAGAACAGGTCCAAAAAAATAGGGCTGCCAATCCTCCAGTTAACATAAATGCAGATCAACTATTAGGAACAGGTCAAAATTGGAGCACTACTAATCAACAAGCAATAATGCAAAATGAGGCCATTGAGCAAGTTAGAGCTATCTGCCTTAGGGCCTGGGAAAAAAATCCAAGACCCAGGAACCACTTGCCCCTCATTCAGTACTATAAGACAAGGCTCTAAAGAGCCCTACCCTGATTTTGTGGCAAGGCTCCAAGATGCTGCTCAAAAGTCAATTACCGGTGAAAATGCCCATAAGGTCATAGTGGAGTTGATGGCATATGAAAACACCAATCCTGAGTGTCAATCAGCCATTAAGCCATTAAAAGGAAAAGTCCCAGCAGGATCAGATGTAATCTCAGAGTATGTAAAATCCTGTGATGGAATTGGAGGAGCTATGCATAAAGCTATGCTTATGGCTCAAGCAGTAATGGGAGTTGCTTTAGGAGGACAATATTTGGGGGAAATATTATAATTGTGGTCAAATTGGTCATGTAAGAAAGAATTGCCCAGTCTCAAATAAACAAAATATAACAACTCAAGCTACTACAACAACAGATAAAGAGCCACCTGGCCTATGTCCAAGATGTAAAAAAGGAAAACATTGGGCTAATCAATGTCATTCTAAAGTTGATAAAAATGGGCAACCATTGTCGGGAAATGAGAAGAGGGGCCAGCCTCAGGCCCCGCAAAAAACGGGGCGTTCCCAGTTCAGCCCTTTGTTCCTCAGGGTTTTCAGGGTCAACAATGCCCACTGTCACAAGTGCCTCAGGGAATGAGCCAGTTACCACAATACAACAATTGTTCCCCACCACAAGTGGCAGTGCAGCAGTAGATTTATGTACCATACAAGCAGTCTCTCTGCTTCCAGGGGAGCCCCCACAAAAAAATCCCCACAGGGGTATATGGCCCACTGCCTGAGGGGACTGTAGGACTAATCTTAGGAAGATCAAGTCTAAATCTAAAGGGAGTTCAAATTCATACTGGTGTGGTTGATTCAGACTACCAAGGCGAAATTCAATTGGTTATTAGCCCTTCAATTCCTTGGAGTGCCAGTCCAGGAGACAGAATTGCTCAATTATTACTCCTGCCTTATATTAAGGTTGGAAATAGTGAGATAAAAAGAACAAGAGGGTTGGGAAGCACTGATCCAACAGGAAAGGCTGCATATTGGGCAAGTCAGGTCTCAGAGAGCGGACCGGTGTGTAAGGCCATTATTCAAAGAAAATAGTTTGAAGGGTTAGTAGACACTGGAGCAGATGTCTCTATCATTGCTTTAAATCAGTGGCCAAAAAATTGGCCTAAACAAAAGACTGTTACAGGACTCATCGGCGTAGGCACAGCCTCAGAAGTGTATCAAAGTACTATGATTTTACATTGTTTAGGGTCAGATAATCAAGAACGTACTGTTCAGCCAATGATTACTTCGGTTCCTGTTAATCTGTGGGGTTGAGATTTATTACAACACTGGGATGCAGAAATCACTATGCCCACTCCATTATACAGCCCCATGAATCAAAAAATCATGACTAAGATGGGATATGTACCAGGAGAGGGACTAGGAAAAAATGAAAATGGCATGAAAGTCCCAATTGAGACTGAGAGAAATCAAGAAAGAAAAGGAATAGGGTATCCTTCTTAGGGGTGGCCACTGTAGAACCTCCTAAACCCATTCCATTAACTTGGAAAACAGAAAAACTGGTATGAGTAAATCAGTGGCCACTACCAAAACAAAAACTGGAGGCTTTGCATTTATTAGCAAAGGAACAATTAGAAAAGGGACATACTGAGCCTTCATTCTCTCCTTGGAATTCTCCTGTGTTTGTAATTCAGAAAAAATCTGGCAGATGGCATATGTTAACTGACTTAAGAGCCATAAATGCCATAATTCAACCCATGGGGCCTCTCCAACCTGCATTGCCCTCTCCGGCCATGATCCCAAAAGACTGGCCTTTAATTATAATTGATCTGAAAGATCGCTTTTTTACCATTCCTCTGGCAGAGCAGGATTGTGAAAAATTTGCCTTTACTATACCAGCCATAAATAGTAAAGAACTAGCCACCAGGTTGCAGTGGAAAGTGTTACCTCAGGGAATGCTTAATAGTCCAACTATTTGTCAGAATTTCATAGGTCAAACTCTTCAACCAGTTAGAGACAAGTTTTCAGACTGTTATATCATTCATTATGTTGATGATATTTTATGTGCTGTAGAAACGAGAGACAGATTAATTTATTGTTATACATTTCTGCAAGCAGAGGTTGCCAACACAGGACTGACAATAACATCTGATAAGATTCAAACCTCTACTCCTTTTCATTATTTAGGGATGCAGATAGAAAATAGAAAAATTAAGCCACAAGAAATAGAAATAAGAAAAGACACATTAAAAACATTAAATGACTTTCAAAAATTGCTAGGAGATATTAATTGGATTTGGCCAACTCTAGGCATTCCTACTTATGGCATGTCAAATTTGTTTTCTATCTTAAGAGGAGACCCAGACTTAAACAGTAAAAGAATATTAACCCCAGAGGCAACAAAAGAAATTAAATTAGTGAAAGAAAAAGTTCAGTTGCACAAATAAATAGAATAGATCCCTTAGCCCCACTCCAGCTTTTGATTTTTGCTACTGCACATTCTCCAACAGGCATCATTGTTCAAAATACTGATCTTGTGGAGGGGTCATTCCTTCCCCACAGTACAATTAAGACTTTTACATTGTACTTGGATCAAATAGCTACATTAATTGGTCAGGCAAGATTACAAATAATAAAATTGTGTGGAAATACCCAGACAAAATGGTTGTCCCTTTAAACAAGGAACAAGTTAGACAAGCCTTTATCAATTCTGGTGCATGGCAGATTGGTCTTGCTGATTTTGTTGGAATTATTGATCATCATTACACAAAAACAAAAATCTTCCAGTTTTTAAAACTGACTACTTGGATTTTACCTAAAATTACCAGACATAAACCTTTAGAAAATGCTCTGACAGTGTTTGCTGATGGTTCCAGCAATGGAAAGGCAGCTTACACAGGGCCAAAAGAGTGAGTAATCAAAACTCAGTATCAATCGGCTCAAAGAGCTGAGTTGGTTGTAGTCATTATAGTGTTACAAGATTTTAATCAACCTATTAATATTGTATCAGATTCTGCATATGTAGTACAGGCTACAAGGGGTGTTGAGATAGCTCTAATTAAATATAGCCTGGATGATCAGTTAAACCAGCTGTTCAATTTATTACAACAAACTGTAAGAAAAAGAAATTTCCCATTTATATTACTCATATTTGAGCACACACTAATTTACCAGGGCCTTTAACTAAAGCAAATGAACAAGCTGACTTCCTAGTATCATCTGCATTCATAAAAGCACAAGCACTTTGTGCTTTGACTCATGTAAATACAGCAGGATTAAAAAACAAATTTGATGTCACATGGAAACAGGCAAAAAATACTGTATGACATTGCACCCAGTGTCAAGTCCTACACCTGCCCACTCAAGAGGCAGGAGTTAATCCCAGAGGTCTCTGTCCTAATGCGTTATGGCAAATGGATGTCACACATGTACCTTCATTTGGAAGATTATCATGTGTTCATGTAACGGTTGATACTTATTCACATTTCATAAGGGCAACCTGCCAGACAGGAAACAGTACTTCCCATGTTAAAAAACATTTATTGCCAGGCGCGGTGGCTCATGCCTGTAATCCCAGTACTTTCGAAGGCCAAGGCGGGTGAATCACCTGAGGTCAGGAGTTCGAGACCAGCCTCAACATGGAGAAACTCTGTCTGTACTAAAAATACAAAATTAGCCAGGTGTGGTGGTACATGCCTGTAATCCCAGCTACTTGGGAGGCTGAGGCAGGAGAATTGCTTGAACCTGGGAGGCAGAGGTTGCGGTGAGCCGAGATCGTGCCATTGCACTCCAGCCTGGGCAACAAGAGTGAAACTCCGTCTCAAAAAAAAAAAAAAAAAAATTATTATCTTGTTTTGCTGTAATGGGAATTCCAAAAAAAAAAAAAAAAAAAAAAATTAAAACTGACAGTGGGCCAGAATACTGTTTTTAAGCTTTCCAAAAATTCTTAAATCAGTGGAAAATTATACATACAACAGGAATTCCCTATAATTCCCAAGGATAGGCCATAGTTGAAAGAAGAAATAGAACACTCAAAACTCAATTGGTTAAACAAAAAGAAGGGGGAGACAGTAAGGAGTGTACCACTCCTCAGATGCAACTTAATCTAGCATTCTATACTTCAAATTTTTTAAACATTTATAGAAATCAGACTACTACTTCTGCAGAACAACATCTTACTGGTAAAAAGAATAGCCCACATGAAGGAAAACTGATTTGATGGAAAGACAACAAAAATAAGACATGGGAAATAGGGAAGGTGGTAACGTGGGGGAGAGGTTTTGCTTGTGTTTCACCAGGAGAAAATCAGCTTCCTGTTTGGATACCCACTAGACATTTGATTCTACAATGAACCCATCGGAGATGCAAAGGAAAGCACCTCCACGGAGACGGAAACACCGCAATTGAACACCATTGACTCATAAGATGAAGAAAAAGGTCATGTCAGAAGAACAGATGAAGTTGCCATCCACCAAGAAGACAGAGCCGCCGACTTGGGCACAATTAAAGAAGGTGACACCGTTAGCTAAAAAAAAGCCTGGAGAACACAAAGGTGACACAAACTCCAAAGGGTATGCTGCTTGCAGCTTTGATGATTGTATCAATGGTGGTAAGTCTCCCCATTCCTGCAGGAGCAGCTGTGGCTAATTATACCTACTGGGCCTGTGTGCTTTTCCCGCCCTTAATTCAGGCAGTCACCTGGATGGATAATCCTATTGAAGTATATGTTAATAATGGTGTATGGGTACATGGCCCTACAGATGATCGTTGCCCTGCCAAACCCAAGGAAGAAGGAATGATGATAAATATCTCCACTGGATATCGTTATCCTCCTATTTGCCTAGGGAGAGCACTAGGATGTTTAATGCCTGCAATCCAAAATTGGTTGGTACAAGTACCTACTGTCAGTACCATCAGTAGATTCACTTATCACATGGTAAGGGGAATGTCACTCAGGCCATGGGTAAATTATTTACAGGACTTTTCTTATCAAAGGTCATTAAAATTTAGGCCTAAAGGGAAACATTGCCCCAAGGAAATTCCCAAAGGATCAAAAGACATAGAAGTTTTAGTTTGGGAAGAATGTGTGGCCAAGAGTGCAGTGATATTACAAAATGATGAATTCAGAACTATTATAGATTGGGCAACTCAAGGTCAATTCTAACACAATTGCACAGGACAAACTCAATCATGTCCCAGTGCACAAGTGAGTCCAGCTGTTGATAGTGACTTAACAGGAAGTTTAGACGAACATAAGCATAAAAAATTACAGTCTTTCTACACTTGGGAATGGGGAGAAAAAGGAATCTCTACTTTGATTGGACTTCAGCGAAGACTCCAAGATGGCAATCGCCACCTCGGATACCCTAACTCAGCATTTCCGGGTTCACCTTTCCTGTTCCCACCACCCCGACTAACGCACATGCCCACTAGGGCGTGTCACACTCAGAAGTGTGAAACTCAACCGATCCCGCCCCTACCCCGACCACTCCTCACCCAGCATCCATAAAAGCGCGCTGCACCTTTCGCACAGCGTGACTTCCCCTGGCGGACCAGTGAACCTCACCGGAGAGCTCAATAAAGAAGATTTTTGCCCTCTTTGTCTTGCCTCTTGGCCTTATTGATCCACGGTGCCTTTCCATTGCCTTTCATACTCCAAGACCAAAAATAATAAGTCCTGTTTCTGGTCCTGAACATCCAGAATTACAGAGGCTTACTGTAGCCTCATACCACATTAGAATTTGGTCTGGAAATCAAACTGTAGAAACAAGAGATCGTAAGCCATTTTATACTATCGACCTAAATTCCAGTCTAACAGCTCCTTTACAAAGTTGTGTAAAGCCCCCTTATATGCTAGTTGTAGGAAATATAGTTATTAAACCAGACCCCCAAACTATAACCTGTGAAAATTGCAGATTGTTTACTAGCATTGATTCAACTTTTAATTGGCAGCACCGTATTCTGCTAGTGAGAGCAAGAGAAGGTGTGTGGATCCCTGTGTCCATGGACCGACTGCGGGTGGCCTCGCCATCCGTCTGTATTTTGACTGAGGTATTAAAAGACATTTTAAATAGATCCAAAAGATTCATTTTTACTTTAATTGCAGTGATTATGGGGTGGCAAAAGAATTCTACAAGATTGTGGAATTCACAATCTGGTATTGATCAAAAATTAGCAAATCAAATTAATGATTTTAGACAAACTGTCATTTGGATGGGAGATAGGCTTATGAGCTTAGAACATCATTTCCAGTTACAGTGTGAATGGAATACTTCAGATTTTTGTATTACACCCCGAGTTTATAATGAGTCTGAGCATCACTGGGACATGGTTAGACGCCATCTACAAGGAAAAGAAGATAATCTCACTTTAGACATTTCCAAATTAAAAGAACAAATTTTTGAAGCATCAAAAGCCCATTTAAATTTGGTACCGGGAACTGAGGCAATCATGGGAGTTGCTGACTGCCTCTCAAATCTTAACCCTGTCACTTGGGTTAAGACCATCAGAAGTACTACTATTATAAATTTCATATTAATCCTTGTGTGCCTGTTCTGTCTGTTGTTAGTCTGCAGGTGTACCCAGCAGCTCCAAAGAGACAGGGACCATCAAGAACGGGCCATGATAACGATGGTGGTTTTGTCAAAAATAAAAGGGGGAAGTGTGGGGAAAAGAAAGAGAGATGAGACTGTTACTATGTCTATGTAGAAAGAAGTAGACATAAGAGACTCCATTTTGTTCTGTACTAAGAGAAATTCTTCTGCCTTGAGATGCTGTTAATCTGTAACCCTAGCCTCAACCCTGTCCTTGCAGAGACAAGTGCTGTGTTGATTCAAGGTTTAATGGATTTAGGGCTGTGCAGGATTACTTTGTTAAACAAGTGCTTGAAGGCAGCATGCTTGTTGAAAGTCATCACCATTCTCTAATCTGAAGTACCCAGGGACACAATACACTGCGGAAGCCCGCAGGGATCCCTGCCTAGGAAAGCCAGGTATTGTCCAAGGGTTCTCCCCATGTGATAGTCTGAAATATGGCCTTGTGGGAAGGGAAAGACTTGACCATCCCCCAGCCCGACACCCATAAAGGGTCTGTGCCGAGGAGGATTAGTAAAAGAGGAAGGCCTCTTTGCAGTTGAGATAAGAGGAAGGCATCTGTCCCTGGGCAATGGAATGTCTTGGTGTAAAACCCAATGGTATATTGTATTTACTGAGATAGGAGAAAACCGCCTTAGGGCTGGAGGTGAGACGTGCTAGCGGCAATACTCCTCTTCAATGCACCAAGATGTTTATATACGTGCACATCAAGGCACAGCATCTTTCCTTAAAATTATTTATGACACAGAGACCTTTGTTCACATGTTTTCCTGCTGACCCTCTCCCCACCATTACCCTATTGTCCTGCCACATCCCCTCTCCAAGATGATAGAGATAATGATCAATAAATACTGAGGGAAGTCAGAGACCAGTGCTGGCGCAGGTCCTCCATATGTTGAGTGCCAGTCCCCTGGGCCCACTTTTCTTTCTCTATACTTTGTCTCTGTGTCTCTTTCTTTTCTCAGTCTCTTGTCCCACCTAACGAGAAACACCCACAGGTGTGGAGGGGCTGGCCACCCCTTTAGCTGTGTGATAGATAAGTAAAAACAGCACCATCTAATTCATAATGGGAAGGGTGTTTCTTTCCATAAGCTGTTCCTAGAGTACACAAAGGATGGAGAATTTTACCAATCACAAATATTTTCCTGGATTATCTATCCATTTTATATTTCCCCATGTATTTTCTTTGTTCTATGCATTTCTTCCATTTGGCTTTTCCTGGGGTGCATCCTATATATTAAACCAGTAAACATAACTACAGTGTTTTTCTGAGTTCTGTGAGTAGCTCTACCAAATTACTGAACTTCAGGGAGGTTTTGGGAGTCTCCAGTTTTCAAACAGTGTGTCAGAAGTATAAATGGGCCCATGGGGTTTGTGACTGGCATCTGCAGTGAGGACAAGGTTGTGGGACTGAGCCCTGAATCAGGGTCTGTGCTGACTCTGGGTGGTGTCAGAATTCAAATGTAAGACAATGAGCTGGTGTTGAAGAATTGTTTGATGTTCAGCAAACTACAGATTTTGTGCCAGAAAAAGCATATCATGGAGGCCTGGCCTGGAACAAAACTCTGAGTGTCTGGGAATGGGAGGCTCTGCTCTCCTGCACACAGGCTGTCACGCTGCCCGTTGTCCTGTGATTCCAGCTCTTCTCCCAGGGTGACAGAGGACTGAAACTTACAGGAAAGGAGCTCTGATGACAGACCCCTTTTCTTTCAACTGCATCCACAGGATTCCCACTCACTCACAAACATACATACTAGACATTGATGTGTCCGCACTCCTCCCAGGACTAGGCACCACCCTCAGGAACTTCACCATGGCATTTTTGATCCAAATGTTTCTTGCCAAGAACTCACAAGTGTCTACAAGTCTCCTGTCATATCCTCACTCCCAGACATTGAGCCTTGAGCAGCAACCTGTTTTCTCCACCAACCTAAGGTTCTGGACCTCCTGTTTATAATCTCATCTGCCTGCATTCACACAGAAATAAATCAGAGTACAGCCCCACCTGGGCCACTAGCTGCAGTGAAAATCAGTCCATTCACCTACATTGCACTCTATCCCATGCAGGGATTTTGTTTTTTTCTTTTAGCTTTTATTTTTGGTTCTGTGTACACATGTGGGATATACAGCTAAAATTATGTCATGGGGGTTTGGTGTGCAGATTATTTTGTCACTGAGGTACTACCCGTAGCACCAAACAGGTCTGTTTTCTCATCCTCTTAGTCCTCCCACCGTCTACCCTCATCTAGGCCTCAGTGTCTGTTGTTCTCCTCTTTGTGTTTTTGTGTTCTTATTACTTAACTCTTACTTATAAATAATAACATGCATTTGGTTTTCACTTTCTGCATTAGTTTTCTTTTATGTTTTTGTTTTGTTTTGATTTTTGAGACAGAGTTTTGCTCTTGTTACCCGGGCTAGAGTGCGATAGTGCAATCTTGACTTACTGCAACCTTAGCCTCCCAGGTTCAAGCAATTCTCGTGCCTCAGCCTCTTAAGTTGCTGGGATTACAGGTGCATGCCACTACCCCTGGCTAATTTTGTATTTTTAGTAAAGACAGGGTTTTTCCATGTTAGTCAGGCTGGTCTTAAACTCCCAACCTCAGGTGATTACCCCGCCTCGGCCTCCCAAAGTGCTGGGATTACAGGTGTGAGCCACCGCTCCCAGCCTCTGAATTAGTTTTCTGAGAATAATGGTCTCTAGCTTCATTGATGTTATTGGAAAGGACATGATCGTTTTGTTTTTTAATAGACACAGAGTTTTCCATGATGTTTATGTACCATATTTTGTTTTTACTAAATCTTTTATTTTATTTTACTTTTTTGAGGTAGGGTCTCGCTTATTGCCCAGGCTACAGTGTCATGGCATGATATTGGCTTACTTCAGGGTCAAGCAATTCTCTCCTATCTCATCCTCACAAGTAGCTGTGAGTTCACATGTGCGTTACCACGTCTGGCCAATTTTTCTTTTTTTTTTTTTGAGGTGGAGTTTCACTCTGTTGCACTCCGTTGGAGTGCAGTGATGCGATCTCGGCTCACTGCAAGCCCCGCCTCCCGGGTTCATGACATTCTCCTGCTTCAGCCTCCAGAGTAGCTGGGACTACAGGCTCCCGCCACCACGCCCAGCTAATTTTTTGTATTTTTAGTAGAAACGGGGTTTCACCGTGTTAGCGAGGATGGTCTTGATCGCCTGACCTCGTGATCTGCCTGCCTTGGCCTCCCAAAGTGCTGGGATGACAGGCATGAGCCACTGCGCCTGATCAATTTTTCTTTTTGTATTTTCCGTGGACACAGGATTTTGCCATGTTGCCCAGGCTGGTCTCAAACTTCTAAGCTCTGGCAATCCACCTGCCTTGGCCTCCCAAAGTACTGGGATTACAGGCATGAGCCACCAGATCTGACCATACCATATTTTCTTTATCCAATCTACTACTCATAGGCATTTAGGGCCTGTCCTTATCTTTGCTATTGTGAATAGTGCTGCAGTGAACATGCATGTGGATGTGTCTTTATAATATAATAATTTATATTTCTTTGGTTATATACCCAATTATAAGATTCCTGGGTCAAATGATAATTCTGTTTTTAGTTCTGTGAGGAATCACCACACTGCTTTTTACAGTTGTTGAACTAATTTACACTCCCTCCAGCAGAGTATAAGCATTCCCTTTTCTCTGCAACCTTGCCAGCATCTGTTATTTATTGACTTTTTAAAAATAGCCATTCTGACTGGTGTGAGGTGGTGTCTCATTGTGGTTTTTTTAAAAAAAATTTTCTCTAATGATTAGCAATGAGCATTTTTTTCCATATGCTTGTTAGCCACATATGTATCTTCTTTTGAAAAGCATCTGTTCATGTATTTTGCCTACTTTTTAATGAGGTTGTTTAGGTTTTTCTTTTAAACTTATTTAAGTTTCTAATAAATTCTGGAGATTAGACCTTTGTCAGAGGCAAAACTTGCAAATATTTTCTTTTATTCTGTAGGTTGTCTTTTTCCTCTGTTGATGGTTTCCTTTGCTGTGAAGAAGGGTTTTAGTTTAAATAGGTCCCATTTGTCAATTTTTGCTTTTGTTGCAATTGCTTTTAGTAGCTTCATCATGAAGTCTTTGCCGGTTTCTGTGTCTAGAATAGTGTTTCTTAGGTTATCATGCAGGGTTTCTTATAATTTTAAGTTTACATTTAAGTGTTTAATTTATCTTGAGTTGATTTTTGTATATGGTGTAATGAAGGAATCTAGTTTCAGTCTTCTACATAGTGCTAGGTAGTTATTCCAGCACCATTTATTAAATAGAGAATTCTTGCTACATTCCTCTTGTCAGCTTTGTCAAAAATCTGATGGTTGTAGGAAGGTGGCATTATTTCTGTGCTCTCTATTCTGTTGCATTGGTCTTGTGCACTCATGGATTTTTTTATAACATCTTTGTCTCTTCTTTTTTTTTTTTTTTTGAGACAGAGTTTCGCTCTGTCGCTTAGGCAGAGTGCAGTGGCGCGATCTCGGCTCACTGCAAGCTCCGCTTCCCGGGTTCACGCCATTCTCCTGCCTCAGCCTCCCGAGTAGCTGGGACTACAGGCCACAGCGCCCGGCTAATTTTTTGTATTTTTAGTAGAGGCGGGGTTTCACCGTGTCAGCCAAGATAGTCTCGATCTCCTGACCTCTTGATCCACCCACCTCGGCCTCCCAAAGTGCTGGGATTACAGGCGTGATCCACCGCGCCCGGCCTCTTCTCCTTTTTCTCCATAACCATTCTTTGAAGTGCATACAGTGTTCAAAATTCAGATGCCCAAGAGTTCAAAAACTCTTTAAAAAGTTTGAAAACAAATTTTGCTATTCTCTCTGCTTTTAAGGGATTCAGATTATATGCAGATATTTTTCTCTGCTTTTTTGAAATATATGCAAGCGATATTAACAGCTAAATAAATCTTTTGTTATTTTTTATGACTCCAGATTTTCTTTTTCTGGTACTTCAGATTTATTGCTTTGTTTTAGCTTCTGAAAAGTTTATTTTTTTCATTTTTAGTCCTTTAAAGTAGACACAGATTTGTTTAGATAAAAGCTAATTTAAGAGCACACAGAAGCTTAGCACAAAGATAAAATTAAATTTAGCAATACAGAATGATAAACACTAAAAGATACTAAATTTTTTTGACAGAAACCTGATTATCCAAGGAAATTATCCAATATTTGCAGACTGAAGTACTTATACTGGAAAAACAAGAACAGTTCAGTGCATAAACTGAACAGTGGAGTCTGTAGTTGTACCTTGCTTTCAATTTATTACTTCAGAACAATTAGCATCATTATGTGTAGTGTTTGTAGACAACCTGCATTCATATAAATAAAACAGTATTTTCTTTTTTTCAGACAGAGTCTCACTCTGTTGCCCAGGCTGGAGTGTAGTGGCATAATATAAAGCCCTACCATCTTGGTCAGGCTGGTCTCAAACTCCTGATGTCATGATCTACCAACGTTATTCTTCCAAAGTGCTAGGATTACAAGTGTGAGCCACCACATCTGGCCATATAATTTCTACTTCTTTTACTTTACTAAGTGTACATATTTATTTTCTAATAAAATTACCTAAGAAAGGCTGGGCATTGTTGCTCATGTCTGTAATCCTCGCACTTTGTGGGACTGAGGCAGGTGGATCACAAGGTCAAGAGTTCGAGACCAGCCTGGCCAATATAGTGAAATGCTGTCTCTACTAATAATACAAAAATTTGCCGTGTGTGTTGGTGCACACCTGTAGTTCCAGCTACTTGGGAGGCTGAGGCAGAAGAATCACTTGAACCCTGGAGGCAGAGGTTGTAGTGAGCCGAGATGGCACCACTGCACTCCAGCCTGTGCAACAGAGTGAGACTCCATCTCAAAATAAAATAAAAAGCCATAAAAAACCCTAGCAAAGCTTAAAGGATTTGTTTAAACTGTGTATTAGTATGTAGTATAAATTTGACAGGGCAGTGGCTAGAAAATATTAAAATTACAGAAACTCTGGGATTTAAGTTTTTTTTTTTTTTTTTGGTAAGCTTAGAAAAAACAAAACTACTAGTACTGCAGTGGCATAGACACCAGAATTCTATGTAGGGTTGCCACCTTGCCGCAGATCTGTTCAGATTCACCCTTTTTGGAGGACTTATTTAGTTCTGATCCTACCTTGGAGTCCTGCCTCAGATAACTGATTAGAAGAGATCAGAGTTTTGGCTGGTGAATCCTGTTGCCTTTCTAGAGCTGGTGCTTACAATTTCCTGAAAGCCAAAAGCTGATAAATGGGATAAATAAGGTATATATTTTAGGGTGCTACTATTTAAATGTTCTATTAAAACCAGTGCTTGCAGAGACATTGTATTTAGAAACTTGTTTTCTATTTCTGCAGATACAGTACTTGCTCCATAAGTCACAAAAAAGTAAATATAAACAGAATAAAATCGTGTCTAAACTACATTAACCTCTTTTTATATCTGTTTCATCTGCCTATATTTAGCTTTTATTCTTTATAATTTTTTAAAAAATTTGATGACAGAGAAACACAAGAAGAAATAAAAATGCTGGGCCCTTTATCTAAATCCTGGAAATTATTAAACCCTTAGTACCAGCTCCCATGGTGTTATGAGAATTAAATCACATAATGTGTTATGCCCAGCACAGTGCTCTGTATCACACTCTTGAGCACATAGTACCTGCTTAATAAACATTGCATTAGTACATGTGTACATGTTGTTTTTTAAATCCAGACTTATTCAGACATTGCTGCATTCTGTTTCCTCTGTAAACTTTAAAGAGCCAGCAAAGAATATAAAACTTTAACATGGAGATGGATTGTTCTTGTTTGTACCAGAAGTATTTGGTTGCAACAAGAGTGCTGAGTGTAAGGGACCCTGTGCTGTGCCTGCTTCTGTAACTAATGGTAATAATGAACCAATGGGGAGCAACACCAGCATTTATAGGGGATTGTTTAAAACACCCATTCATGGACGCTTTTCAAACCTGCAGAATCACATTACATAAAGTGGGGCCAAAATTACCAAGTGATTTATAGGCTCTTTAAAGCTTGAGAGGCAATAATTAGCTTAGGGATTATCAGCCCAGGCTTCTCATTAGGATCAAATGGCCAATTTGCAGAAATCTCTTGTGCCCTCCCCACAGCTTCTGTTTATTGTTCTGGGTGGAAGCATCCATGTTGTTTTAATGAAGGGCCTCATGTGAATCTGAGGTGAGACCAGAATCTGGTATGAGGATTTCAAAATACATTCATGAGAGTTAAGTTCCACCTTTGGACTAAAGGGTGGTCACAGGGCCTGTTCTCTTTGGGTTTAGTAGGGACAGGTCAGTGTGGTGCATATTTCCATTACTGTAGCAGAAATTGCTGGTGTCTGTGGCAGGGGAGGGCACCTCAGGACAGGAAAGGAGAAACTTATATTTTCATCTTCATGGAGCAGCTCATTGTTTCTGAATCTCTTCTGTTTTAAAGGACAGAAATGGGTGGATTTTTCTGTCTTTTTCTGCTGGTTGATGTTACGCTAGCTGGTAAACATGTGGCACTGACACCTTTAAAGGCATATTCTCAAGATGCAGGGGTAATTTTTTTAGAGAATCTCATCTGAGAAGGAATTCCAGAGAAGTAGGAGATAGAAAAAACAAAAAAGGCTTTTCTTCAGGTAAACATGCCTCAGCTGAAATGCTGTGTCCACTCTGCCTCCTGGAATGCCATGCATTTAGTACTTGCAAACTTTTATTTCTCTACTTGTGTTTTTCCTTCCTAAGTAGTTTGGTTTAAGTACTTCTTAAAATTCTTATGATAGTCAAGGGTCTCTGAAAAATGTTTCTTTCCTGTATCCCAGAGCCTTCTCTTCTTTCTCTACACAATAACTTCTTATATGCCATGCAGATTTTTCAACAAGTATTCATGATTTGCAATATTAAAAATGTTCCCTTTCTGGCTGTTGAACATGGAAAGATGTGGATACTCAAGATTTCTATTGGGGAAAACTGTGGTCCTTAGTAAAGATGGAGAACATGTAAAGTTGAGGCTCTATTCCTGTGTTCCATTAGCTGTATGCAGAACAGGATTAAGAAATTGCTTATATATGTCAGGTGTGGTGGCTCATGCCTGTAATCCCAGCACTTTGGGAAGTCGAGGTGGGAAGGCCACCTGAGATCAGGAGTTTGAGACCAGTCTGGCCACCATGGTGGAACCCTGTCTCTACTAAAAATACAAAAATTAGCCAGGCTTGTTGGCAGGTGCCTGTAATCCCAGCTACTCATGAGGCTGAGGCAGGAGAACCACCTGAACCCAGGAGGTGGAAGTTGCAGTCAGCCAAGATTGCACCATTGCACTCCAGCCTGGGGGACAAGAGTGAGACTTCATCTCAAAAAAAAAAAAAAAAAAAATTGCTCATTTAAATGTGATGGCATTTATTACTCAGAAATTTCTGAAAAAAATTATTAGGAGATACCTGCTCTCTAGGGTGCTAAATGAAGCCGACTTAAAATTACTACTAAAAATTACAGAGCATAGGATTTATCTGTATTTTGTGGTTTCCATAAAACAAATGATTCTTTATGATTAAATTCAGATTTTACTTACTTTTTTAAAAGAGGAATATTTCAACAGTGATGCTGTGTTCTGTGTGCATTAGCACATCATAAAAATTAGTCCTAATGCAGTTAATGATTCACTTGCTTAAATAGCCCTCTGGCAGATTTTTTCACTATGTAGCTAGTTATTTTTCTCTTCATTATTAAGTATGTTTATGCAGCTGATGTGCATAAACCATCACATTTAATCTGGCAGCTGTCCTTTTTTCTTATTTTTATCTATATATTTTTCTTTGGAAAATGAAGGTTCTTATCTTTGTTTACAGGTCAGAAAAACTGGGAAAAACACAGGCTCTTCCACTTACTGGCTGTTTGACAAAATATCCTCCTTCTTTGGCCAAAAACATTGACATTATTGATGAGCTTGTTAGAAATTCAAAAAATCAGACTTTATTCCAGATCTTCTGGAAAAAAAAACCCTGTATAACAAGGTATTCAGCTTATTGCACATATTAAAATTTGAGAAGTGTCTTCTAACTCAACATGTCATTTTCATCTGAAAAATATTCACAACTCTTTCCATATGATGTAAATATAGCACTCAAAAATGTACCTGTTCATGTTCATGCCCTTAAATTTATACTTTATTATCTAGAAAAATATATGAACTGATGTTGTGGATCTTATGCTTCTCTTTTTTCTCAGAGTTAGAGAATATTTTGGAGAGTATTTCTGTGTTGAAAATTATTTTATTGGATAATTTTCATCAGTACTATAAGTCAGAACCAGGTGTCTTTACTCTCTCATTTCACCTTAAGTCAAATTAAAAATTTCATTCATGGTCACTTGGTGAAAATGTGTGTGTGTATTTTTCAGAGGACATTACAATTCAGAGATGTGGCCATAGAATTCTCTCTGGAGGAGTGGCATTGCCTGGACACAGCACAGCGGAATTTATATAGGGATGTGATGTTAGAGAACTACAGAAACTTGGTCTTCCTTGGTGAGGACAACTTGAATATATAATTCATAATATACACAAAAGGTTTATTTCTCTTTTTTGTAGAATGTGTTTTAGTAATTTGTTCTTTTTATAAATGAGTTTCAGATCCAGTTTTTCAAGAAAATCTTCAGAATTTGTGCATTTAGAAAAGAATTACTTCCGTGCCTCATGCCTGTAATCCCAGCACTTTGGGAGGCTGAGGCGGGGGATTACCTGAGGCCAGGAGCTTGAGACCAGCCTGGCCAACTAACGAAAGTACAAAAAATTAGCTGGGGGCTGTGGCACACACCTGTAACCCCAGCTACTTAGGAGGGTGAGGCAGGAGAATCGCTTGAACCCAAGAGGCAGAGGTTGCAGTGAGTTGAGATCATGCCATTACACTCCAGCCTGGGTGACAGAGCAAGTTTCCATCTCAAGGAAAAAAAAAAAAGAAAAAAATTTCTTCAACATGTTTCATCTAAATATAAACTTTCCACATTTCTGAGTTGAGTTGTATTTTTCACTCTAAATTAGTGGTAATTCCAGAAATTTATTGACATAAAATATTGCAACCTCCCTCTCCCCTCTCCCCTCTGCCTCTCTTTCCACGGTCTCCCTCTGATGCCGAGCCGAAGCTGGACTGTACTGCTGCCATATCGGCTCACTGCAACCTCCCTGCCTGATTCTCCTGCCTCAGCCTGCCTAGTGCCTGCGAGCGCCGCCACGCCTGACTGGTTTTCGTACTTTTTTGGTGGAGACGGGGTTTCACTGTGTTGGCCGGGCTCGTCTCCAGCTTCTAACCGCGAGTGATCCACCAGCCTCGGCCTCCCGAGGTGCCAGGATTGCAGGCGGAGTCTCGTTCACTCAGTGCTCAATGGTGCCCAGGCTGGGGTGCAGTGGCGTGATCTCAGCTGGCTACAACCTCCACCTCCCAGCCGCCTGCCTTGGCCTCCCAAAGTACCGAGATTGCAGCCTCTGCCCGGCCGCCACCCAGTCTGGGAAGTGAGGAGCGTCTCTGCCTGGCCACCCATCATCTGGGATGTGAGGAGCCCCTCTGCCTGGCTGCCCAGTCGGAAAGTGAGGAGCGTCTCTGCCCAGCCGCCATCCTGTCTAGGAAGTGAGGAGCGTCTCTGCCTGGCTGCCCATCGTCTGGGATGAAGTGAGGAGCATCTCTGCCCGGCTGCCCATCGTCTGAGATGTGGGGAGTGCCTCTGCCCCGCCGCCCCGTCTGGGATGTGAGGAGCGCCTCTGCCCCGCCGCCCCGTCTGGGATGTGAGGAGTGCCTCTGCCCGGCCGCGACCCCGTCTGGGAGGTGAGGAGCATCTCTGCCCGGCCGCCCCATCTGAGAAGTGAGGAGACCCTCCGCCCGGCAGGGGCCCCGTCCGGGAGGGAGGTGGGGGGGGTCAGCCCCCCGCCCGGCCAGCCGCCCCGTCCTGGAGGTGAGGGGCGCCTCTGCCCGGCGGTCCCTACTGGGAAGTGAGGAGCCCCTCTGCCCGGCCACCACCCCGTCTGGGAAGTGTACCCACCAGCTCATTGAGAACGGGCCATGATGACAATGGCAGTTTTGTGGAATAGAAAAGGGGGAAAGGTGGGGAAAAGATTGAGAAATCGGATGGTTGCTGTGTCTGTGTAGAAAGAGGTAGACATGGGACACTTTTCATTTTGTTCTGTACTAAGAAAAATTCTTCTGCCTTGGGATCCTGTTGACCTATGACCTTACCCCCACCCCTGTGCTCTCTGAAACAGGTGCTGTGTCCACTCAGGGTTAAATGGATTAAGGGCGGTGCAAGATGTGCTTTGTTAAACAGATGCTTGAAGGCAGCATGCTCGTTAAGAGTCATCACCACTCCCTAATCTCAAGTACCCAGGGACACAAACACTGCGGAAGGCCGCAGGGTCCTCTGCCTAGGAAAACCAGAGACCTTTGTTCACTTGTTTATCTGCTGACCTTCCCTCCACTATTGTCCTATGACCCTGCCAAATCCCCCTCTGCGAGAAACACCCAAGAATGATCAATACAAAAAAAAATAAATAAAAAATAAAAATAAATAAAAGATTAAAACACACACACACACAAAAATATTGCAGCTTCCACCTGAAAATCTAATTGCCACCACCAATTTTTGATTCAGTAGTACCAGGCAGTAAAATTAAGAAACCTACAAATTGAAAGTATTTTCTTTTTTTTTTTTTTGAGATGGAGTCTTGCTCTGTTGCCCAGGCTGGAGTGCAGTGGTGCAATCTTGGGTTACTGCAACATCCACTTCCCAGGTTCAAGCAATTCTCCTGCCTCAGCCTCCCGAGTATCTGGGACTACAGATGCACATCACCATGCTGGGCTAATTTTTGTATTTTTAGTAGAGATGGGGTTTCTCCATGCTGGCCAGGCTGGTCTCAAACTCCTGACCTTGTGATCTACCTGTCTTGGCCTCCCAGAATGCTGGGATTACAGGCATGAGCCACTGCACCAGGCAAATTGAAAATATTTTCTAAATATTTAGAAATTGCTGTTATAAATTTGTATTTTGGTATTAATTTACCAGAATATTTTGTCACATCGTCTTTGCTGAGCACATTACTAGCTTGTAATTGGAGAATATGAGCAAGATTCATGTTATTTATTTTTGATAAAACAGGTATTGTTGTCTTAAAGCCAGACCTCATCACCCATCTGGAGCAAGGAAAAAAACCTTTGACTATGAAGAGACATGAGATGGTAGCCAACCCCTCAGGTAGGTGTGAGTGAAAATGAATACAACAGATGACACAGGTAAGAGGTCCCAAGGTGAAAGAGAAAGCCAGTCCTTAAAGTGTGATTCAGGAAGCTGTGTTCCAAAGAAATACTTCCTGGGCAGCTGTTTTATTTATTTATTTATTTATTTTTTAAATTTTGCTCTCACAAAGGGGCATCTTCTGTCTTATGCTTTTAAATTCTCTAAAAATTCTACTTTTCTTTCAGTGAGCTTCCTTCAAGTTCACAGTGAGAGCCAAAGTCCTCTTCATGGCATATAAGAGACTGCACAATCTGGCTGCTTTTTCATTGTTTTGGGGACACACAAATATCTGCATGATTTTGAGAAACTAAAACTATTTTTTAGTTCTCTTTTTGCATCAGGTCTGAAATATGTGAGAGTAGTAGTTTCTGTTGCATTTTTTTGTTCATTTTTGTTCACAGTCCATTCTATTTTTATTATGACACAGTCTTGAAATATAGTTTGAAATTTTAAGTATGATATCCTTCTGCTTTGTTCTTTTTCCTCAAGATTGCTTTGGCTATTCAAAGTTTGTTTTAGTTTCATGTAAATTTTAGAATTGTCTTTTCCATTACTGTAAAAAAAACCACTGCAATTTTGATGGGAAGTTTATTGAATCTATAGATCACTTTGGATAATATGAAACTTTAATGATATTCTTTCAATCCGTAGACATAAATATTTTAAAATTAATTTTGATCTTCTAATTTTTTTATTTTTTTACTGTAAACATTTTTTACCTCCTTGGTTAATGTTTTTCTCAGAAATTTGTTATTTAATGCTACATTAAATAAGATTTTTTCTTCCTTATCAGATAGTTTGTTTTAAGTATATGAAACCATACATATACTTGTGTGTTAATTTTATATTTTGCTAATTTACTGAGTTTATTTATTAGTTTAGACAGGTTTTAATGTACTGTTTATGGTTTTTTAAATATAGGATTCTATGATCTACAAACAGCAACTGTTGACCTATGTTTCTTCATCTGAAGAAATCCATAATTTTAGATTCAGATATTTAGGACAATATGCTAGAATGTTCATGGTATGCCTGAAGTAAATTAGATAATTTGTAGGGACCCATATTTACTAAACTAGTTACTTATGCATTTAAGTTTGCTGCAGGCAAAAAGGAATTATAGGATTTTTATTTATTTATTTATTTATTTATTTGTTTGTTTATTTTCTTTTGAGTGGGGCTTTCACTCTTTTTGCCCAGGCTAAAGGGCAATGGCGTGATTTTGGTTCACTGCAACCTTCACCTCTTGGGTTCAAGCGGCTCTCCTGCCTCAGCCTCCCGAGTAGCTGGGATTAGAGGTGCTCACCAAAACACCCAGCTAATTTTTTGTATTTTTTTGGTAGAGATGGGGTTTCAACATGTTGGCAAGGCTTGTCTCAAACTCCTGACCTCAGATGATCTGCCCACCTCTGCCTCCCAAAGTGTTGGGATTACAGCCATGAGCCAATGTGCCCGGCTGGATTTTTTCATTTCTGTGAATACTGGTACAATACGCATGGATTTTCAGTTATGTCTTCCAGGTCCTGTGTTGCATATTTTGTTTTTTTGTTATTGTTGTTTTCTTTTCTTTTCTTTTCTTTTTGAGCTGGAGTCTCACTCTGTTGTCCAGGCTAAAGTGCAGTGGTGTGATCTTGGCTCACTGCAACCTCTGCCTTCTGGGCTAAAGTGATTCTCTTACCTCAGCCTTCCAAGCAGCTGGGATTACAGGTGCATGTCACATCACCAAGCTAATTTTTATATTTTTAGTGAAATGGTATTTCACCATTTTGGCCAGGCTGGTCTCAAACCTCTGACCTCAAGTTATCTGCCCATATCAGGCTCCCAAAGTGCTAGAATTACAGGCTTAAGCCACTGCACCTGGCCTGTGTTACATAGTTTAGATATAGATTTATAAATGAGGAACATTTATAACATTTTAAAATAATGGCTGCGTCTTTGTTTTCCACCAGCAATCAACATTGGTTTTATTTTTATTGCACCTAATGGGTGTGAGGTGATTTTGTTGGCATTGTGCTTTTTTTTGATTTCTCTACAAATTAGTAATTTTGTATGTTCTTTCAAATGTTTTTTTCCCTTTTGTGCATTTTATGTCTTGTATTTAGTTTAAAATATATTATTGTATCATTCAAGGAAATAATCCAACTTTATTTTATCAGTGTTGACATTCAGTTTTCAACATCATTTTTTGAAGAGATTATTTCTATTTCATATGCATGGCAACTTTCTGGAAGATTATGTGATCATATACAGAAGGGTTTATTTCTGGGCTCTCTATTCTGTTCTTTCATCTGTTTGTCTTTGTGTCAGTATCACTTTTTTATGTTACTGTAGGTTTTAACTGTAGGTTGTATTGACATCTTTGAAAAATAAAATATTTTGCCCCTGAGCAAGAATATGTTGAAGAGTGTGTTTCATATTCACATATTTGTGAATTTGCCAGTTTGACTTTTGCTTTTAATTCTTAATTTCATTCAGTTTTTGTTAGAAAACACACAGTGTATAATTTTAGTGTTTCTAAAGTGATTGGTTGTTGTTTTGAGACAAGATCTTACTGTCACAGTGGCATAATTGTGGCTCACTGTAGCCTCAGACTCCTGGGCTCAAGTGATTCTTTCTTTTTTTTAAATTTTTTAAATTTTTTTATTACACTTTAAGTTTTAGGGTACATGTGCACAATGTGCAGGTTAGTTATATATGTATACATGTGCCATGCTGGTGTGCTGCACCCATTAACTCATCATTTAGCATTAGGTATATCTCCTAATACTAAAGTGATTCTTTCACCTCAGTTTTTTGAGTAGGTAGGACTGTAGACATGCACTACCATGTCTGGCTAATTGTTTACTTGTTTGTAGTGTTAGGATCTCACTATGATGCCCAGGCTGTTCTCAAACTTTTGGCCTCAATGGATCTCCAAAGTGTTAGGATTATAGGCAAGAGCCATGGCACCCAGTAGATATTTTTAAATTTAATAAAACTTGGTATATGTCCTAACAGAATACACCAGAAGCAAATAAGAATATTGTATATTATCTTGGTTTTGACTGGAGAGTTTTGTATGTGTCTTTGAACCCTAGTTGGTCTATAATATGGTTTGGATGTCCATGTTGTCCAAACCTCATGCTGGGATATAAATCTTCAATGTTGGATGTGGGACCTGGTGGGACTTGTTTGGGTCATGAGGGTGAATTTCTCACGAATGGCTTGGTACATACTCTTCATAACCAAAAAGTTTACACTCTATCAATTCAAATAAGAGCTGGTTCATTAAGAGAACTTGGCTCCTTCACCTCACACTTGCTCTGTCTCTTACCATGTAATATACCCAGTTACACTTTACCTTCCACCATGATTTTAAGCTTCCTGAAATCCTCATCAGAAGCAGATGCTGACACACACTTCTTGTACAGTCTGGTGAGCTGTGAGTCAAATAAACATTTTTTCTTTATAAATTATGCACTCTCAACTATTCTTCTATATGTAAAATAATTAATATGGTCTATAATGTTATCTCAGCTTTCTTTTTCTTATTTTTTATCTGAGTTTTCTATTTATTATTGCAAATGGGGTCTTGATGTCTACAATGATTATGTTGCTATGTATGTCTTGCTTCACTTTTGTCAATATTTGCTTTATATATTTTGAAGCCCTGATGTTATATACACATATACATAGAGATAGATAAGTAGTATAGATCCCTGCTAAATCAACTCACTTTTGCCATAATATAATATCAATCTTTTCTCATGGTAGTACTTGACTTAAAGCATATTCTGTCTAATATAATTATGACCACCTCACTCAATTGTGGTTACTATCTTCATGGAATATAACTTTTTTTCATTCTGTTAATTTCAGCCTATTTGACTCAATGTTAAAATGATCTCTCATAGGCAGCATAGTGTATACTTTTTGAAAAACCATTCAGGCATTCTATATCTTTTTCTTTATATAATTTTATTTATATGTTCATTTATTTATTCATTTTATTTAATTTTATTTTTTGAGATAGAGTTTTGTTCTTGTTACCCAGGCTGGAATGCAATGGTGCAATCTCAGCTCACTGCAACCTTTATTTCCCGGGTTCAAGCAATTCTCCTGCCTCAGCCTCCCAAGTAGCTGGGATTACAGGTGCATGCCACCACACCTGGCTAAGTTTTTGTATTTTTAGTAGAGATGTGGTTTACCATGATGGCCAGGATCATCTTGAACTCCTGACCTCAGGTAATCTGCCCACCTCGGCCTCCCAAAGTGTTGGGATTACAGGTGTGAGCCACAGCACCCGGCCTCAGAGGCATGATCTTGGTCACTACAACTCTGCCATTACAGAGTCTCACTCTGTCACCCAGGCTGGAGTGCAGTGGCATGATCTCAGCTCACTGCAACCTCTGCCTCCTGGGTTTAAGCAATTCTCTGTCTCAGCCTCCTGAGTAACTGAGATTACAGGTGCCTGCCACCACACCTGTCTAATTTTTTCTGTTTTTAGTGGAGATGGAGTTTCACCATCTTGGCCAGGCTGCTTTTGAACTTCTGACCTCATGATCAACCCATGTCAGCCTCCCAAAGTGCTGGGATTACTGGCGTGAGCCATTGCGCCCAACCAGCAATTTACTTTTAAAGACACAATATTATACTGGAGAGCAGGAAGAGCTCTGTTGGGTATAAGTAACAGACTTTTCTTTTTCTTCTATGTGGCTCTTTGCATTGTGCTCACCTGGGGCCCTTCATCCATTTAACCCATTTATAAATTTTTTACAAATGTATTTTGGTCAGTATGTTTTTGTTACCTTTATATGTCCAGGAAGAAATTACAGCTTGTGGTATTTTGCTATGTCATCTTGCTTATGTAGTTTGTATAATTTTATAGGTTAGATTTGTAAAGTATATTTATCTGAGTCTAGCAATTGAAGTAATGTGTTTTTATTGTTTCTTTCAGTTTTGTGTTCTCATTTTACCCAAAATCTTTGGCCAGAGCAGAGCATAAAAGATTATTTCCAAAAACTGATACTGAGAAGATATGAAAAATGTGGACATGAGAATTTACAGTTAAAAGAAGGCTGTGAAAGTGTAGATGAGTGTAAGGCGCACAAAAGAGGTTATAATGGACTTAACCAATGTTTGACAACTACCCAGAGCAAAATATTTCAATGTGATAAATATGGGAAAGTCTTTCATCAATTTTCAAATTCAAACAGACATAAGATAAGACATACTGGAAAAAACTTTTCAAATGTATAGAATGTGGCAAAGCTTTCAACCAGTCCTCAAACCTTACTACACATAAGAAAATTCATACTGGAGAGAAACCCTACAAATGTGAAGACTGTGGCAAAGCCTTTAACTTCTCCTCTAACCTTACTACACATAAGAAAATTCATACTGAAGAGAAACCCTACAAATGTGAAGAATGTGGCAAAACCTTCAGTTGGTCCTCTATTCTTATTACACATAAAATGATTCATACTGGAGAGAAACCATACAAGTGTGAACGATGTGGCAAAGCTTTTAACCATTCTGCAACTTTTTTTCGCATAAGAAAATTCATATTGGAGGGAAACCATACAAGTGCGATAAATGTGGCAAGGCCTTTATTTCATCCTCAAACCTTAGTAGACATGAGATAATTCATATGGGAGAGAAACCATACAAATGTGAAAATGTGCAAAGCCTTTAAGCACTCCTCTACACTTACCAGACATAAGATAGTTCATACTGGAGAGAAACCCTATGAGTTTGATGAATGTGGGAAAGCCTTTAACCAGCTATCAACTTTTACTAAATATGAGAATTTATATGGAACATAAACCCTACAAATATAAAGAATGTGACAAAACTTTTAGGAAGTTCTCAACCCTTATTATACAGAATTCATACTGGACAGAAATCCTACAAGTGTGAAGAATGGGGCAAAACCTATAACAGGTTTTCAATTCTTTTTGGTTTTTTTTTTGAGATGAAGTTTCACTCTTGTCACCCAAGCTGGAGTACAATGCCACGATCTTGGCTCACTGCAACCTCCGCCTCCTGGGTTCAAGCCATTCTCCTCCCTCAGCTTCCCTAGTAGCTGAGATTACAGCTGCCTAACACTATGCCCAGCTAATTTATATATTTTTAGTAGAGACACGATTTTGCCATGTTTGCCAGGCTGGCCTTGAACTCCTGACCTCTGGTGATCCACCTGCTTTGGCCTCCTATAGTGCTGGGATTATAGGCATGAGCCACGATGCCCAGCCACAAGTTCTCAATTCTTAGGAGACTTGGTGATAATTCATGCTGAAGAGGAACTCTACAAACCTAAGAAATGTGACTGACAGAGTTTTTACCAACACCTCCAACTTCTCTATACATAAAAATAATTATACTAGTGTGAAAACCTAGAGATATATAAAATGTGACAAAGCCTTTATATGGTTGCCACACTCGATTGTAGTTAAGATAATTCATATTGGCAAAACTCCTACAAGTGTGAAAAATGTGGCAAAACTTTTCATCCGTTCTTATACTTTATTTCACAGGAAAGCTAGTATCCTTGAGAAAAATTGTACAACTATAAGGAATATGGAAAACCCATTAATTCCTACTCACATCTTACTCAACATAAAAAGGTTCCTTTTAATAAAAGCATTAAAAGTGCAATTACAGTCAAGAAATCTTTCAGAAAGTATAAGCATTTAATGTGAAGAAGAGTATTGTGAAGACAACTATTACAAATATAAAGGGGGTTATAGTACATTTACTTGTATCACTGATCCTATTGCACACACTTTGCACTAGAGGAAAACCTTGAAGCAGTTGCTCAAGCTTTGTTCAACAACAGGGAATTTATATTGGAGATGAGTCCTGCAAATGTAATAAGCTTAGAAACACTTATTTTTTTTTTCAGAAACTACAGCTTAGAAAACACCAGAGAGTTTATACCAAAATATAATTTTGCAAATGTGGTAAATATAAAAAACTAATTCAAAATAGAATGTATTTAAATATCAGAGAATTTACAGTAGAATAACTAAGGCACTGACACTTCAGACATTACACTAAATCAGAGTGTTGAGTATAAAAACTAATCCACAACTACAGTTTTTAGATAAATGATTTGCATGTAACTGTAAAAGGAGTAGATTTTTGGAAGCATTGTAATTACATTGAAAGTATACTTGTTTCCTTGAATAAAATTTTTTGAAAACTGCATAATGATGTCATACAGCTTTTAAATTACTTTACGCTGTTATTTTACTCTTATTCACATGTGAAAGGACGTGATAAATTGCTTCTGCATCAGAGATATTAGAGATTTTTGAAAATTATTTGGACATTATGACTTTTTCTATAAAAGAGTAAGGACATTAAAATGTAAGATGCATAATGAAAATATAAGCGGAGAGGCTTTTTGTAGTAAACCTCTATTAAGTAATGTATAAGGTAAATGTTCAGAGCAATACTTTTCTACATTATAGTGACATAAATAATTATAGTTAAAAGTATATTAAAATAAATTAGTATATTATTTTACTAATTGTAGTTTTATGTAATAAAATGCAGTACATCTAACAATTGTTAGGGCTGGGCTCAATGGCTCAAACCTGTAATCCCACCAATTTGGGGGGCCAAGGTGGGCAGATCACCTGAGGTCGGGTGTTCGAGACCAGCCTGACCAACGTGGAGAAATCCCGTCTCTAGTAAAAATACAAAAAAATTAGCCAGCCATGGTGGTGCATGTCTGTAATCCCAGCTACTCAAGAGGTTGAGGCAGGAGAATCGCTTGAACCAGGGAGGCAGAGGTTGTGGTGAGCCGAGATCATGCCATTGCACACCAGCCTGGGCAACAAGAACAAAACTCTGTCTCAAAAAAAAAAAAATAGTTAGATTATGTGTGAACTCAATTTTATTATTATTTTTTACCATGTTAATACTATTGTGCATTTAATGAAGCATTATTATGCCACTAACTTTAACCTATCCCACCTTACTCAAGGGTGTAGCTACAAGATGGTAGCAACATACTATTTGGTACATAGTGGAATAACATCTCTAGTTATCACTTTGCCAGTGGCATTAAACTGCAAAAGAGTTAAAGAATATTGTTCCCATAGATTAAATTTTTACTCTTTTTTCTTATCAAAATTTGTTATTGTATTTGTGGGTATATAGTATGTGTATGTATTTATGCCTTATATGGCATATTTTGATTGAGGCCTACAATATGTAGTAATTACATTAGGGTAAATAAGGTATCCATCACCTCTAGCGTTTATCCTTTGTATTACCAACAGTATAATTATATGCTTTCATTATTTTAAAATGTACAATTAAATTGTTATTGACTACAGGATTTTTTTATGGTCATAATAATTATACAAAAATATAAATAAAATACAGCCAGGTGCAGTGGCTCATGCCTGTAATTCCAACACTTTGGGAGACCGAGGCAGGTGGAGTACTTGAGGTTAGGAGTTCAAGACCAGGCTGGCCAACATGGCAAAACCCCACCTCTACTAAAAATAAAAAATTAGCCGGGCATGGTGGCACATGCCTGGAGGCTGAGGCAGGAGAATCGTTTGAACGCGGGAGATGGAGGTTGCAGTGAGCCGAGATCACGCCACTGCACTCCAGCATGGGTGACAGAGTGAGACTCCATCTCAAAAAAAAAAAAAAAGAAGAAATACAAATAAAGTCCATACATTTCTGAGTCCTGAAAAATAATTAATAAATATTTGTCATATAGTTTTCTTTGAACATGTGGTCTCTCTGCCTGCAAGCATATAGACTTTTAGTTTTAATTTACATAGAGTTAAATATACTCATATTACTCTGAAGATAAACCTTAGGTGTAAGAAAAATATAAAGTGAGTGTTTTTGTCTGAGTATGAGTTTGTACACATTTTCAGAAGCAAAGAGCAATTATTGCAACAAAGGAAATTATTTTAATTAGGTGACTAACTAAACACCTTGAAAATGCTGAAAGCAAATCTATACTTTCTGCTTTGTATTCAGTTTATTAATGTAAACTGTTAAGGCTTATGATTCAGATTCTCCCCGGAATCTGCCTATTAAAGCACAGACAACTTTGTCTCCAGAAACAACACTCTTGAGTACAACAATAAAACCCCTCTTCAAACAGAAAAAAAAATAATTTTTAACAATTACCTTTATAAACATTCAACAAAATTAAATAATTGGATATATTTTTATTGTTCTGTGTGTGTGTGAATGTATAAAATGGTGCATACAGGAAAAATAAGCCAGAAGAAAGATGTTAGTTAATATTCACAGTGAATAAAACTGGAAAGTAGTTAATTATTAAATCCAGATGATAGCTTTGTTTATGTAGATAACAAAAGCAGCAGAAAGACTTTTTTTTTTCCCAGATGAAGTCTTGCTCAGTCGCCCAGGCTGGAGTGCAGTGGCATGATCTCGGCTCACTGCAACCTCCACCTCTTGGGTTCAAGCAATTCTCATGCCTCAGCCTTTTCAGTAGCTGGGATTACAGTCCGTGCCATCATTCCTGACTAATTTTTGTAGTTTCAGTAGAGACAGGGTTTCATCATGTTGGCCAGGCTGGTCTCAAACTCCTGACCTCTTGATATGCCCACATCAGCCTCCCACAGTGCTGGTATTACAGGCATGAACCACCGTGACCGGCAAAATACTATTTTAAAAGTTTATTTAGGTGGATAGACAACATTCTAAGATAATACCCTGGATTCTCAGTCTGTTGCACACCTGCTGTGTAATACTCTCCTCTTGAGTTTAAAAACATGTGTGACTGTGGTGGGAAATCATTCATGATATTAGGTTACTCATGTGTTAACTTTGTGTTTATCAAAATGGAGATTATCCTTATTGTGCTAAACTTAATCAGAGGTGCTTTTAAGAGAAAGAGACACATCACAGAAAAACACCCCTGCTGGCCTGAAAGTCAGTGACTTCTTCGTGGAACATGTAAGCTGCTTATGGTGGCCATATGGCGGGAAACATGTTTGTTTATTGTCATCATTCCTGCCTCCTGTATGTTGATTCCAGTAAGGAGAATAAGAGGATCGTATGGCAGAGGGGAAAAAAAGGACTCTCATTCATGCAAGAAATAAACACCTCTCACCTGGGATAGCTTAAGAGAAACAGGAGACCACAACAGGTCCACATTAATGGGAGGAAAAGGGTAACCTGGGTAAAAGTGCTCACTGGCATTATGGAACAGTATTTAGTAAGCTGTAGTGAATGATCAGCCTCTGGGATACCAATAGTCTACCAACAAGGCTGAACTCATTCTATTTCAATCAGCATGTCTGCACCATTCTGGCGACCCAGGTTTACACTATTCATTGAAGAAATACCATGAAGACCAGTGGGTAATGTCCTAGAATTGAACTTACTTCAAAAAGCATACCTAATTGTTTGTTTTTACATTTGAAAAACTTTTAAAACAATGAACTTATAATTAACTTCTAATTACAGAAGATTCTACTGTACTGTTACATGATTAAATTGTAAACACCTTAATATGAAGATTTTTTGAATGCATGATTAGTTATGTAGATAGTTTCTTTTAGAGTCACATGACCAAAGTAACAATTAGAGAAAACATTTGAAATGAGACAAAATTAACCAAAACCACATCTTTTCAAAGGCTTGGCATAATTGCCATATTTATGGAAATGGCCAGATGACTAACAAGAAACAAAAAGATTTTGGCTTTGCTCAATGATTGTTTTTGACCTTTTGAAATCTAAAATCCTGGCTAAAGTATTCAAAGGGAATATTTTGTAGGTGGCTTCCCAGGGTTTCCAAGTAAATGAAGGAGGGATTCTCTCTCTGTCACCCAGGCTGCAATGCAATGGTGCATTCTCATCTCACTGCAACCTCCACCTCCCTGATTCAAGCAAATCTTCCACCTCAGCCTCCCAAGTAGCTGGGATAACAGGCACCTGCCCTTATGCCCAGATAATTTTTGTATTTTTGGTAGAGATGAGGTTTCACCATGTTAACCAGGCTTGTCTTGAACTCCTGACCTCAGGTCATTCACCCACCTTGGTCTCCCAGAGTGCTGGGATTACAGGCATGAGCCACCATGCCCAGCCGGAAGAATTTTGATAGGCAGAAAAATGCAGATTATATACACTCATTGCTCTACTCTGATTTGCTTCAACGCTGAAAAATTGAAGATTGTAAATGTAGTCTCAATTTAGAGAAAATTATCAAAATATTTATTTTTCAAAAAAGCAAATGTATAAAATTAATGGGTATCAGGTGTCATTAGCTGCTAAAAAAATAGTATGACTAAATTTAGTAAGTATCTAGCTATGCAAATAACAGCCTAATTAAATTAACACCCTAATAGGTGCATGTGGAAAGCATTGCTGTGCACTGTGGTGCACCCAGACTCAGCATTTTCTTCTGCCTCTTCACAGAGATACCAATTCCCCCTGAGTTACTCAGTGTCCATACTGTTGTTAGAAATGCTTGTTCTCTGGTGCCATAAAGAAATAGTACTTGAAAATAAATTTAATTTTCTTAGCAAGGCCATTCTTTTTGCAAAAAGGGCACACTCACCAGCAGTTTTGCTACCAGAGTACACTGAACAAAAGAGACAGGGTCATTTATAACCTGATGTGTCCACCCTACTTTTATGTTTGGTTTTTATTGGCTGAAAAGAGACTTCACATTCTGTATTTTTCCCGATTGTTTAGCAACTTAGAACTTTTTTTTTTTTTTTTTTTTTTTTTAAGACGGAGTCTCGCTCTGTCGCCCAGGCTGGAGTGCAGTGGCGGGATCTCGGCTCACTGCAAGCTCCGCCTCCCGGGTTCACGCCATTCTCCTGCCTCAGCCTCCCAAGTAGCTGGGACTACAGGCGCCCGCAACTACGCCCGGCTAATTTTTTGTATTTTTAGTAGAGACGGGGTTTCACCGTTTTAGCCGGGATGGTCTCGATCTCCTGACCTCGTGATCCGCCCGCCTCGGCCTCCCAAAGTGCTGGGATTACAGGCGTGAGCCACCGTGCCCGGCCAACTTAGAACTTTTTAAAGGAGGCAAATGCAGAGGAGAACAAAGAAAGGAGGAAGTAACTTGTGGAATGCTGAGACAGGTAAAAACACCTTCAAATAAGGAAGAGTAACAGGCTGTGACCTAATGCTTGCTTGGACCAGTATAAGCATGCCAAGGCAAATATTTAGGCTAAATTATGGAAGCTAAGAACATAAAGTCCATTGATTTTTTTGTTATGGCTAGCAGATATTTAAGAATGTTAGCACAGGTCTTTGAATAAACTTTGCTTCTAAGAGAAGTTACTATTTATTCCTAATTAGACGGGGAGGAAAGTCTTTGAAGAGGAACCTCTACTTCACTTTTTATACTGGGAACTGAGAATGCTGTGTTCAGAGTGATTACCGAAAACATGGTTAATACACTTCTTCCATATGATAATAAAATGTTATAAATCTTACTCTGCCTCAGAAAAGCTTTTACTAAAACATTATCTATAGTACTCAATTAGAGTTCATGGAAAATTTCAATATTCCAAATAATTCAGACAGTTAAATGTCAATGAAATCCCATAAAACATTTGAATAAGATAAGTCTTCTTAGCAAATAATTTTATATTACTGGTAAATTTAGAAAAAAAAAATAGAAAACCAGGCCAAATGTGGTGGCTCACACCTGTAATCTCAGCACTTTGGGAGGCTGAGGTGGGTGGAAATCCCATCTCTACTAAAAATATAAAAATTTGTTGGGCGTGGTGGCACATGCCTGTAATCGCGGGTATTGAGAAGGCTGAGGCAGGAGAATCGCCTAAACCTGGGAGGTGGAGGTTACAGTGCGTGGAGATGGTGCCACTGCACTCCAGCCTGGATGACAAGAGCAAAACTCCATCTCAAAAAAAAAAAAAAAAGGATTTTTTTTTGTTTTTTTTTTTCTGTGTTGACTTACTTTACTTAGCATAATATCTTTCAGGTTCATGAATGTTGCAAATAACAAGATTGTCTTACTTTAGGGGCTGAATAGCATTTCATTGTTTACATACACCATATTTTCTCTCTTCATTCACTTCTTGATGGACACTTAGATTAATACCTTAGCTATTGCGAGTAATCCACTTCTTTCCTTCTCTTTTGTTTTTGTTTCGTTTTGTGTGAGACGGCGTCTCTTTCTGTCGCCCAAGCTGGAGTGTAGTGGCATGATGTCTGCTCACTGTAAACTCTGCCTCCCAGGTTCAAGTGATTCTCATGCCTAAGCTTCCTGAGTAGCTGAGATTACAGGTGTGTGCCACCACACCAGGCTAATTTTTGTATTTTTAATAGAGGCAGGCTTTCTTTATGTTGACCAGGCTGCCTTTCATTTGTTTGTATATTTCTTTCTCCCTTTCCTTCTTTATTTCTAGAAGTATTTTACTTTTAAAATATAAATTATGACTGTTATAAACCTTCATTTCTCTGTCTTTGCTTACTATTATGGCTGATTAAAAATAAGTTTTTTGAAATTTCCTGGATAAAGTTATTATTTCATTATTAACATAACGAGAAAATATAGAAAGGAAAACCAACATTTGTTAGTAAAACAGAAATTATCTAGCTACTGGTAGTGATTTAGTCTCTCACCCAACATGAATGCTACATCTTGGTGTCATCTCTCCCAGTCGTATGAAAGAGGCTACTGATCAAATTGGTCAGCATAAAATTTTGTGAAGTTTAACACCTTTGTTCTAAAAATTAAGCTGATCTATTACCAAAAAAGTAGATTTTTTGATATGTATAATTTGACTCTATTTAAATTCCGCAGAAAAATTAAACTGACAACATATATTTAAAAGTTTTTTGAGGGCTGGGTGCGGTGGCTCATGCCTGTAATCCCAGCACTTTGGGAGGCCAAGGCGGGTGGATCTCGAGGTCAGGAGATTGAGACCATCCTGGCTAACACGGTGAAACCCCGTCTCTACTGAAAATACAAAAAATTAGACGGGAGTGGTGGTGGGCGCCTGTAGTGCCAGGTACTCGGGAGGCTGAGGCAGGAGAATGGCGTGAACCTGGGAGGCGGAGCTTGCAGTGAGCTTGTGCCACTGCACTCCAGCCTGGGTGACAGAGCGAGACTCCATCTCAAAAAAAAAAATTTTTTTTGGAAATTAAAAATGCTTAAGAAACATATTTATAGAAACTAAAAGTAAAAATAATTTTAGATTCTTAGAGAACATCTCTAAAATACTTCAAGTTATCCTCTGAGAGTATATATATATATATATGTATATATATGTGTGTATATATATAAACACACACATATATATACATATATATATATATATACATATGCATGCATATTTTTTTTTGTTTTTTTCTTTTTTTGAGACAGAGTTTCACTCTTACCCAGGCTGAAGTGCAATGGCAGAATCTCTGCTCACTGCAACCTCCACCTCCCGGGTTCAAGTGATTCTTTTGCCTCAGCCTCCTCAATACCTGGGATTACAGGCACTCACCATGCCTGGTTAATTTTTGTATTTTCAGTAGAGATGGGGTTTCACTATGTTGGCCACAGTGGTCTCGAACTCCTGAAATCAAGTGATCTGCTTGCCTCAGCCTCCCCAAAGTGCTGGGATTACAGGCGTGAGCCACTGCCCAGCCAAGTGTTCAACTTTTCTGCATCAATTATCTCAGCTCAGAAAATTTAAATCAGCCAATTAGCTTACCTCAGGGGATTCCAAGCAGCTCATTAGCACTCCCCAGGAGAATCCAATCAACAAATTAGCTTAGCCCAGCTGATTAGCCCAGGTGATTTCTTTTCTTTACTTTTCTTTTTCTTTTTTTTTTACAGGAACACAGATTTGATGTTTTAATAAAAAAAAAAATACGATTTCTGCAAAAGGTGCTTAACACGGCCCAGGACGGGCTGTCCGGTGGAGTCAGCCCTAGGACCCCTGAAGGATGCATAAAGACAGAGCCGGCTCGCCAGCACGCTCCTGCCAGCACCGGGACCCACTGCGAGCCACTGCGGGGTGTCCTTCATTAAAAAAAAGTCTGGATTGTGACATTGCAAAAGGAGTCTGAAAGCCATATGCCCAATTCCTGAATCCCTACGTTAGAACTGAGAGTTTAGGCTGGGCACGGTGGCTCACGCCTGTAATGCCAGTATTTTGGGAAGCTGAGGCGGGTGGCTCACCTGAGGTCAGGAGTTCAAGACCAGCCTGACCAACATGATGAAACCCCGTCTCTAATAAAAACTTGCCCGTAATCCCAGCACTTTGGGAGGCCTAGGTGAGCGGATCACGCGGTCAGGAGATCGAGACCATCCTGGCTAACACGGTGAAACACCGTCTCTAATAAAAATACAAAAAAAATTAGCTATGTGTGGTCATGGGCGCCTGTAGTCCCGGCTACTTGGGAGGCTGAGGCAGGAGAATGGTGTGAACCCAGGAGGCGGAGCTTGCAGTAAGCCGAGATTGCGCCATTGCACTCTAGCCTGGGCGACAGAGTGAGACTCTGTCTCAAAAAAAAAAAAAAAAAAAAAAAAAAAAAAAAAAAAATTAGCTGGGCATGGTGGCGCATGCCTGTAATCCCAATTACTTAGGAGGCTGAGGCAGAAGAATCGCTTGAACCCGGGAGGTGGAGGTTGCAGTGAGCCGAGATCGCACCACTGCACTCCAGCCTGGGTGACAGAGCAAGATTCCATACCAAAAAAAAAAAAGTGAGTGCTTAGCTGGAGTGAGGAGGAAATACTGAATTCCTAGGTCAGGAATTCATTTCATTTTCACCAAGCGCAGATATCCCAGCTCCTGAACAAGGCCAAGACCGAGGGTCTGGCACCGGGCACGTGTAAGAAAGGACTGTTTTAAGAACCTTATTACACAAAGCTCTTATTTCTGGATCCACCACTGCTTACATTTGCACCCAGACACCACTTCTAGGTGCAAGAAGAAAGATCAGGACATAGAGAAAAATGCACACAGAACGATGAGGGAGGATGACGAGGGAGAAAGCCTGCATCAGAGCACTAGCCCAGATGATTTCTAACAGCCAACTAGCTTTTTCTAGGGGACACCAATCAGCCAGTTAGCTCAGCTGATGTGAATCTTATAACCCGATTAGTTTAGCACAGGTGATTTTAAACCACCGATTAACTCAGCTCAGGTGATTTCAATCAGCGAATTAGCTCAGCCCAGGTGATTTCAATCAGCTACTTTATCAACCCAGGTGAATTCAATTAGCCAATTAGCTCAGTCTAGGTGATCCCAATCACCTAATTATCTAGTGGCTACAGATTCATTAAGGTATGCCCAAAATTGTAAATGTAAATAGCCCATGAACACCAAGAAGAAATGCAGGGCCCTATATGCTAACCTGGACAGTATGTATAACACAGCTTTACTGTCACTTTATTTACAAGGCCTGAAACCTGAAGCTGAAGCTTTACGTTTATATAAACAACACTGTATGGCTATGTTTCATTCTGACATGCTATTGAGCAAAAGAGAAGGCAATTAATTCTGCATCTGCATCCTTAGTATATGCTCTATATTTTAAAAAGTGGGAAAATATTGTATGTATACATTAATATTTACATAGATACATTCATATAAGTTTGTGAGTGTTTATGTAGCTACCATATGTGTACATATATTCATACACATACCTAAGTGTATATAAATATATATATGAAGCTGTAACAATTTTTGTATTTATATTCATACAAAATAAAGATGTTGAATGTGGAAGTATTGATAGCTATTGCTACAAACAGTAATACAGAACCTTCCATACCTGTATAAAAATATTTTCTCTATAGACTACTATATCTAGAATAGTACAGAAATAGAGGAATGCTCTAATATACATCCTGCTGCAGTTAATATATTCAAAGGGAGCATTGGGCTTTGTTTTGCACTTCTGGAAGATGAAAATTTACTAAGACCATTGGAGTTATTTACTGCCATGTCAGGGTTGACTTTTCTTTTATTGTTGTACATAGGGTCAGAGATGAACCAGCCCCAGTCCAAAGGTCTAACCTAAATATGAGAATACTTATTCTTTCTCTTTAGAACTTCCATCGAACAAGAACTGTATTTATTTCCAAAAGTGTGTGATGTAAAATCACACTATTGTCTTTCGGTCTTTGTGGCAGAAGTTGGGTATTTATGGTAATGAAAAAGAAGTCTATGTCTCTTTTTAGAAGACAGATGGTGATGGAAGCAAATATAATGGTACATGGTACTTGGCCACATTTCAAATGGGTGATATTGAATAGTCGCTGAAGTGCCACAGGTGGCTTTTATTTCCCAGGTCAAATCTTCTTTGTGAGGAAGGCTCAGCCCACTGTTGTCAAGCATTTCTGGTAATTTCTAGATAGATGAACAAAATTTCACTGGGCTGGATTAATGAGACCAGGTTTAAAAACACCCAGGTTCCAGGTTATTAAAGACATTGTTAAATTTGTATTAAAAAAAGTGGCATGGTGTGCGGCTTGGTTTGAATAAATCTTCACTGAGCTCAGTAGCTGATTACCTAACCTGTAGGTAAAGGAATTGGAAAAACCTCTGACCAAGTTTATTTTATAGGCTTCTTTCTGTACATGTAGATATAAAATAGGTGGCTAGATAAACATATACACATGAAATGAGTCACACGTGTATGTCTACGTAATGTTTATTTCTGCATATGACTCTCAAAAAAAAAGCCTCAGGAATAAAGTCAGATGACATCTCGGTAAGCTACCCTGAAGCTGAGGTAAATCAAATAAGCAAATTAGCAGAAGTCGGGTGATTGCAATCAGTCAATTTGCACAGCTCAGATGATTCCAACCAGCGAAGTAGCTCAGCCCAGGTGGATACAATCATCCAATTATCTAAATGATGACTGGCTTTGTCAAGGCAGGACCCAAATGGTGGATGTGTACAGAACATGCACACATTGAGGAGAAATGCAGGGCGCTGAAATACTAACATGGACAGATGTGTTGTACATGGCTTTATTTTCAGCTTCTGTGGTCTTGCCCTTGAAGATAAAGCTTTGTTGATATTTACATAAAAAACATTGTATGAATATGTTCCATTCTGACATGTTATTTAGCAAAAGAAAAAAGAAGTAATTCTACATCAGCATCTTTAGTACATGCTAAAAGATTAAAAATGTTTTTTGGGAAATTTGTTTTGTATAAATATTTATATAGAAATATTTATTTAATTCTCTATGTGAGTGTTTGTCTTCCTATGTACATTTATATCTAGATGTGTCAATCTTTGTATCGATATGCATTGCTATGAATAGTAAGATAAAAAGTAACTTCTGGCTGGGCACTGGGGCTCACACCTGTAAGCCCAGCACTTTGAGAGGCTGAGATGAGTAGATCGCCTGAGGTCAGGAGTTCAAGACCAGCCTGGCCAACATGGTGAAAAGCCATCTCTTCTAAAAAATAAAAAAATTAGCCAGGCTTGGTGGCAGGTATCTATATTTCCAGCTACTTGGGAGTCTGAGGCAGGAGAATTGCTTGAACCCAGGAGGCAGAGGTTACAGTGAGCCAAGATTGAACAACTACACTCCAACATAAGCAATAGAGCAAGATTCAATCTCAAAAAGCAAACAAAAAAAAACCCCAAAATGATGATATGTAAAACCTTTAAAGTTCTTTTATAGAATATAAAAAATATGTAAATTCACATACATCTGAGAGATACACCACATAAAATAATTTTAATATCAATAACAAACTGGAAAATATAGAGGCATGGTTTATGTATTCAACTGAAGTTGTTATGAAATTTAAAAATATTGTTTTAACTTTAAGATGTATGTCATTTCCAGCTGTCAAAATGATTACAAAGATAATATTTATAGAAAGTATGCAAAAGAAAACAAAAAATAATCAAATCATGCCAGTACAAAATTAAATGAAAGTTAAGAAAGTAAATAAGGAAAAGAGAAAAATATAACTACTAGAAACACACAAAACAATATCAGTATAACTAGTAATAACAACATCATTTCCCTAAGCAATCATTTTAAATATAAATTAATTAAACTACTTAATAAAATGAAATGTAATCTTAGGATTTTGGAAGGCCAAGGTAGGCTGATCACTTGATCCCAGGAGTTCAAGACCAGAATTCTCAATAAAGAATACAAAAAAGGTAGCTGGGTGTGATGGCACATACTTGTAACCCAGCTACTTGAGAGGCTGAATGAGAGGATCATCTATCTGAGTTTGGGAGGTTCAGGCAGCAGTGAACTGAGCAAATCAGCCTGGCTGACAGAGTGAGACCCTATCTCCATGATAAATGAGGCCAGGTGCAGTGGTGCACACCTGTAATCCCAGCACTTTGGGAGGCCGAGACAGGCAACCACCTGAGGTCAGGAGTTCAAGAGCAGCCTGGCCATCATGGTGAAACCCCATCTCTACTAAAAATAGAAAAAATTAGCTGGACATCGTGGTGGGAACCTGTAATCCTAGCTACTCAGGAGGCTGCAGCAGGACAATTGCTTGAAACCAAGAGGCAGAGGTTGCAGTGAGCTGAGATAGCACCATTACATTCCAGCCTGGGAAACAAGAGTGAAACTCAGTCTGAAAATGTATATATATATATATGAATAAGTAAAATTATATAAAGAAAAAGAAATAGAATGCCTGAGTAGTTTTTTATAAAGCATACAGTATGCTGCCTACAAAAGATTCATTTTAGCAATGAGTCAAATAGGCTGATAAAGTAACAGAATGAAAAAGATGTATATCCCATGAGAATAGCAACCACAACTGAGTGAGGTGGTCATAATTATAATAGACATAATATGCTTTAAGTCAATACTGTCATGAAACAATGATTGATATTGTATTATGATAAAGTGAGTTAATATAGCAGAAATCTGTAACTATAATATTTATCTATATATATATGTGTATACAACATCAGGGCTTTAAAACGTACAAAGCAAATATTAACAAAAGTGAAGCAAGACACACATAGCAACATAATTCCTGTAGGTGAATGTTTAGTAGGAAAAACTAAAAACTGTAATGGCTGCATAGGGTCAATTCATTTCACTTGTGCTTGTTGAATTTTTTCTTCAATTAATTGAAGTTCCTCTAATGCCTCTTTAGAAAGGGAGCATTTACTGTTAAGGTCAGAATTAGCTTGTAAAGTAGAAAAAAGGTGAGACATAGCATAGGTAGGAATGCCTAAAGATGGACAAATCCAATTAATGTCTCCTAATAAATTTGAAAATCATTTAGAGTTTTTAAATTATCTCTTTCAATTTGAACTTTTTGAGGATTATTAGTACTTTGTTCTACTTTCATTCCTAAATATTGAAAGGGAGTAGAGGTTTGGATTTTGTCAGGGGCTATGATTAATCCTGCTGCAGTCACAGACTTTTCTAACTGTTGTTAGCATAGCATTACTTCCTCTCTAGTTTCAGCTGCACATAAAATGTCATCCATGTAATGGATAATATAACTTTTTAAAATTGTTCTCTAACTGGCTTAATAGTTTTTCCGACATAAGTTTGACAAATAGTTGGGCTATTTAACATTCCTTGTGGTAATACTTTCCAATGGTATCTGTCCGCTGGTTCTTTGTTATTTATAGTGGGAACAGTAAAAGCAAATTTTTCATAATCTTGGGTCACTAAAGGAATGGTAAAGAAAGAATCTGTTAAATCTATCACTATTAGAGGCCAGTATTTAGGAATAATAGTTGGAGAGGGCAGCCCTGGTTGCAGTGCGCTCATGGGTTGAAATATAGCATTAACAGCCCTCAAGTCTGTTAACATTCTCCGTTTACCTGATTTTTTCTTAGTAACAAACACAGGAGAATTCCAAAGAGAGAAGGTAGGCTCTATGTGTCCCTTTCGCAATTGTTCCTGTGCCAATTCTATAAAAGCCTCCAGTTTTTCCTGTTTCAGTGGCATTGATCCACCCAAACAAGTTTGGCAGTTAACCAAACAAGGGGAATGGGAGCTGGAGGCTCAGCAATGGCCACTCCTAAAAATGATACCCTAATCCAGTTCTATCTATTTGCCCTTTTAGTTCTAAAGGTTCTGGTTGGCTATTTTCATTTTTTCCTAATCCCTTCCCCAGGAGATGTCCAATTTTTCTCATAATTTGTTTACTGTTATTACTATACTGTTCCATAGGAATAGATATTTCAGCACCCCATTGTTGTAATAAGTCTCTACCCCATACATAGATTGAGAGGAATATGTGTAATAATAGGTTGAATTGTCCCTTCTTGGCCATCTGGCCCTTGGCATGGCAAAATTAAAGAACTCTGAAAAACTTCTGAGGCAGTCCCTATGCCAACAATACCCATGGAAGCCTTTTCTTTGGGCATTGTCAGGGCCATTGATTTAAAGCAGTAATAGAGACATCAGCTCCAGTATCTACTAATCCTTTAAAGTCTTTACCTTGAATGGTTACTGTACAAATAGGTCTTTTGTCAGAAACTTGATTAACCTAATGGACAGCCTTTCCTGCTGGATTCGTACTACCAAAGCCTCCTGTTCTTTTCACTGTACTACTTCCTAGCTTTGTGTAAGGTAGTAGTAATAATTGAGCAATTCTTTCTCCTGGAGAAGCAGACCATGGAGTTGAGGAAGTAATAACTATTTGAATTTCTCTGCTATAATCAGAATCAATTATTCCCGTGTGAACAGTGACACCCCTTAAATTTAAACTAGACCTTCCAAGCAATAGACCAACTCTTCCTGAGGGTAAAGGGCCCCTAACTCCCATGGGGACCTTCTTTGGTGGCTCCCCAGGAAGTAAGAAAATGGGAACTGTACTGCAAAAATCTATGGCAGCAGTGCCTGCTGTGGTGGGGGACAATTGTTGTACATTTGTAAGGGCAGTGGCTGTGCCAGATATGCCTCGGTTTGTTGAGGGGCCCAAGTTGGGCACCCCTTCCTGTTTCCCGAAAGAGGTTGTCCACATTTTTTTTATTTTTTATTTTTTTAAATGTTATTATTTTTATACTTTAAGTTTTAGGGTACATGTGCACAACGTGCAGGTTTGTTACATATGTATACATGTGCTATGTTGGTGTGCTGCACCCATTAACTCATCATTTAGCATTAGGTATATCTCCTAATGCTATCCCTCCCTCCTCCCCCCACCCTGCCCATCTTTACTAAATTTAGAATGACACTGATTTGACCAGTGAATCCCTTTTTTATATCGGGGGCAGATACTGGGACTTTTTTGTTGCTTACCGGTAGTAGTCTTTGCCTGCTGATTTCCTTTTTTACATTCCTTTTTTGTGTATCCAAATTGCCCACAATTAAAAGAGACTGAGAAATGGGGCATGTTTTTTCCCCTTTAGTCCAGCCATAGCTTGAGCTAAATGAGGAGCCTTATGTAAATTACCCCTAATGCCATCACAAGCCTTAATATATTCAGCCAAATGAGCCTTCCCTCTCATAGGTCTCATAGCAGCTTGACATTCTGCATTGGCATTATCATATGCAAGAAGCTGTATTGTAACATCTTGAGCTGTTTTGTCAGTTATAGCTTTATGCACAGCCTCTTGGAGCTGAGGAATAAAATCAGCATATGATTCTTTAGGTCCTTGTAGGACAGAACTGAAAGAAGGATATTTTTCTCTTGTAACATTTATTCTCTCCCACGCCCATAAGCACACAGCATGCAGCTGAGAAATGGCAACATTCTCTATCACTGCCTGATTTTCTAATCACCCCCAATTAGGGCCAACTCCCATTAACTGTTCAAAACAAACAGGCACAGGTGGCTGTGCTTGTATGTTTTCTCTTGCCTGAGTTTGAGCTTCATCAGCCCACCAAGTTTTAAACTGCAAGTACTGAGATGGAGTGAGAACAGATTTTGTTAAAGTATCCCAGTCATATGGTATAAAGTATCCCAGTCATACGGTATTAACCTATTGTCAAGAGCCATATTTTTTAATAAAGTTTTTACAAAAGGAGAATTTGGCCCATATTGACTAATGGCTTGTTTGAATTCCTTTAACAACTTAAAAGAAAAAGTGGCCCAATTAGCTATATTTCATCCTTCTTGTTGGGTTATAGTAACTGGAAATTGCCATGCTTCAAAGTCACCTTCAGCTCTAGCTTTTTGAATCGAATTTCGTATAGGACCACCAATCGCTCCAGGTTTTAATGTTGCAACTACAGGAGTGGTAAGTTTCTCAGCTGTTTCATTTTCTTGCCCATTATGGGGAGAGGGAGGATATGGCCATTCACTTAATTCAGCAGGTGGAATCAATGGGCTAGTAAAACATACCTTTTTCAGTTTCCCTTTGTTTTCTTTAATTTCCTCCAGTTGCTGTTCCTCACATTCAGAATCTGAAGTTAGTTTTTTACACTAGTCTGCCTCTTCCTCTTCTGAATCTGCCTTGTCATCTGTTTGAAGTGCCCCAAGAGCTGCCTTTATCAATGCCTGCACTGACCAAACAGAAACTGGAATTTTGGCTCCGTCTTTATATGCCTTTTTAAATTCTCTGCCAATTCTTTTCCATTCATCCAACTCCATAGTCTCATGTTCTGGGAACCATGGGCAAAACTGCTCTACAGTACTAAAGAGTGTCAATAAATTCTGTGTACTAACTTTCACATCTCCTCTCCATAATAAATGCCTTAGAAGTTTAAACAAGCAGAATGTTTGCTTTCATTCTGTCCCATTGTTACCCTGGTTCTTCTGAGTGCCCAGCTTAGCACTGAGCTTCTTTTAGTCATCCTCGGGTGTCCTCTGACAATATGTCCTCTGCTTCCACAAGCTCTAGCGTTCCTTCACTGGGGTCTTCATAGTCCCACATTGGGCACCAGAAATGTTGGGGTGATCAGGCCCAACACCAGGCCATGTGGGCTATGAAGTCTGGCGGAGTCAAAGGATTGAGACAAGACAAGTTAAGAGTACTTAAATTGGGTCCAGGGGGCCAATGCTAGTATGGAGGCTGTGAAGGCCCCGAGCTCTGGAAGCCCACACTATTTATCAGTGATCAGACAAATAAGCAGGTGGTAAGGACGTGCGGATGTGGGGTAAACAGGTGAGGACGTGAGGACTTCGGGCTAGAAAGGTAGCAGTGCATCAAGTGTAGCTGTGATGGTTTCACATTTTCTTTGATGCATACGTAATATGCTGTGCTACCTGACATAATGGAGAACATGTTTATGAGCCTGGGAGAGCAAGAAACAAGGAATCAACAAGTCTGTGCCATTCCAGAGGCCAGGAGGGGTTTTATGCCCTGAGCCTTGGATTCCATCCGAGCCACGAGGGGTTTTATGCCCTGGGCTTAGATTATGGTGTGGCAAGGCAGCCTTCCACCCTTTGGCACAGAGCTTTGTGTTCCAGAGGCCACGAGGGGGTTTAGACCCTGGACACAGGACTTGTTCCAAGACCCTTTTACATTAGGACAAACAAGCTAGTCCTGCCTCAGCTCTTCTACCAACAGTGATCCACCCACCTCAGCTGCTCAAAGTGCTGGGATCACAGGCATGAACCACCATGCCCAGTCCATTTTTAGTCCTTTAAAGTAAACACAGATTTGTTTAGATAAAAGCTCATTTTAAGAGCACACAAAAGCTTAGCACAAAGATAGGATTAAATTTAGCTATACAGAATGATAAAGACTAAAAGATACTAAGATTCTTTGAAAGAAACCTGATTATCCAAGGTAATTATCCAATATTTGCAGACTGAAGTACTTATATTGCAAAAGCAAGAACAGTTCAGTGCATAAACTGAACAGTGGAGTCTGTAGTTGTACCTTGCTTTCTATTTATTACTTCAGAGCAATTAGCATAGTTATGTGTAGTGTTTGTAGACAACCTGCATTCATATACACTAAATAGTATTTTTTTTTTTTTTGAGACTGTGTCTCACTCTGCTGCCCAGGCTGGAGTGCACTGGTATGATCTTGGCTGACTGCAACCACTGGGTCCCGGGTTCAAGCAATTCTCCTGCCTCAGCCTCCTGAATTGCTGGGATTACAGGCACCCACCACCATGCCTGGCTAAATTTTTCTATTTTTAGTTGAGATGGGGTATCACCATATTGGCCAGCTTGATTGTGAACTCTTGACCTCAGGTGATCCACACACCTCAGTGACTCAAAGTGCTGGGATTACAGGCATGAGCCATAAAGTTTCTTTTTTTTTGAGATGAAGTCTTGCTTTTGTCCCCCAGGCTGGAGTGCAATGGCATGATCTCAGCTCACTGCAACCTCTGCCCCTCAGGTTCAAGCGATTCTCCTGCCTCAGCCTCCCAAGTAGCTGCGATTACAGGTGACTGCCACCACACCTGGCTAATAATAAACAGTATTTTCTTTTATTTATTATTATTATTTTATTTTTTGAGACAGAGTTTCACTCTTGTTGCTGAGGCTGGAGTGCAATGGCATGATCTTGGCTCACCCTCAGCCACACAGGTTCAAGCAATTCTCCTGCCTCAGCCTCCCTAGTAGCTGGGACTATAGGCATGAGCCACCACACCCAGCTGATTTTGTATTTTTAGTAGAGACGGGGTTTCTCCATGTTGATCAAGCTGGTCTTGAACTCCCGACCTCTGGTGATGTGCCCGCCTCAGCCACCCAAAGTGCTGGGATTACAGACGTGAGCTGCCACGCCCAGCCAAATAAACAGTATTTTCTACAATAGTATGAATAAAAATCCACAATACTTACTTTGAATGAATCACTTGAATGTTTATTTTAATATTGTTATTTACACTTTTGAAATATAAATTGTTTTAACTGAAGTATAGTTGCAATTTTTAAGAATGCTACATACATTACTACTAGTTTACTAAAATTATTCATACTCAGATATTTATATCTAATATCCAAAAAAAATTGCTACCAAATTGCTACAGTAGATATTAGTCTGACATGTTTATTACTTTATTCAATAGGGATAATTATAAGTAAACATAATTTAACATCTTTTATTTCACTAAATTGGAATGCTGCTATTACAAAAGAAATAAAGACAGGTAATCTGGCCACCCAAAAACCATAATAGTTCTCCTGTTAACTATGTTGTAAGTTCTAATGTATTCCACCATAAGAACATGGTCAGATTCTATTTCTTCATCAGAAAGTGTTGTTGGAAGTTTTCAGGTATATTTCAATGTAGAACCCCCATTCAGTGGCTAGAAAATGAGACAGCAGCAGAGATGGAAAAAAAAAAACTATAAAATTCTTGTGAAAATCTGCCCCCTTTCTTCGTAATGCTCATGTTTCTCATGCTGAGAGTAGCTGTGCACTTTGGGTGGTTAGAGAGAAATTGCTTTTAGGGGACTATTTTCTGGCTGACTTGATCAATCTTATATCTAATCTGAGCTTTTTCATAAGATCTTTTTAACTTCTCTCAAAATAATCTTGCTCAGATAGAGATCTGGTTTTCTCTCCAGTGCTTTGGGTGTCTGTTTCAGAAGTGCTGTTAGTTTCCCATGGTGTCTGAATGAGCTGGGCTGTCACAGTGAGAATTTCTGGAGCTATCTCTATCTGGACTCATGCTGGAAATTCAGCAGTATTTTTTTTATGTCACCATTATAAATAAAAATTGGGGCTGAAACTCCACTCACATTCCCATTGTTGTGAAGGTGCAATTCTACCCACGAGGCCTGCAGGCTCTCCTCCTGCAGCTCAGGCTTTACTATCTAATGTGACTCTAGAGTGCTGCTGTAGCAAATGGGGTTCACATAAACTGTGAGCTGTGCTCTCGGCTGTGCCTCAGTGGCAGATGGTAGAGGCCAAGAGAGGACACTAGCAACCAGGAGAAAGCAAGCAGGAGTGCTATAACCCAGTGTCAGGGAGTGCAGAGCCACTGCTCCAAAATGTAAATAGCCAAAATGATAGAACCCTATTCAACCACTTTTGTAGCTAGTGAAAACCTACCTTCAGCAGGCACCTGGCTTCAAGCTGCTAAACTACCTTCTGTTATGAAGATGGAAAAAGTTTGTCCTTGAATATAAGCAATTAGCATACACAGATGGCCTCTTCAACCTGCCTGTGAATTTAGGATGAACTGTGTATGACGTGGTGCTGTAAATTTTACTTGTGGACTAATTATGGTGATCATCTTTCTTTGCAGTCTCTTAAGCAGATTGACTATGATGCATGTCACATTCAAGTTTAATGGTGTAATAAAACTGTTTTCTTTCTGTTTTACTATTGTGGAGTTTTTTTGGGGCTGGAGAAAATTGTTCTTTTAATTATTGTTTCCAAACACTGCCTAGAATTACCAGGCATGATATAAACACATAAGGTGCCAACCAGAATTTACTTTAGAGGAAACTTTCCCTCTCAGACTTCCAGTCAACTCACACTTGTGCAACAAAGTGCATGCTGTCCCCTAAATATGCAGGCAGAACTGTGTCTCTGCCCATTTGGTATCTATAGTCCTCTATAGTTACTTCTAGAGAGACTAGACCACATTTCTACTAACTTCACAGGGCAACAATTAATCATTTTATCTCAATGACTCTTGTATCTTCAGACCTGAAACTGATTCAGAGACCATGGGGCCCACAATCCTAATCTGAGTAACATGTGTGCATTGAGTACATATGCAGACATGAGAATCTCCACTTTCCTCTTTTTTCTCTTGGTAAATTGCTCACAAATGTATAGGTAACACCTGCTCCTACTCCAGCCATTCAGGCTCTAAATCTGCAGCTCCACATTTTGTATCCAGGTCTTGAGATTTGGGGGATAGAACATTTTTGTCTAAAAATTGCAAGTCCTTTTGGTTATCAAACTCAGACGTTGAAATGAAAGTGCAGTTGTCTTTCTTCCCCTTTAAAATATGTATTCATCTCTTGAAACTGTTTGCTATTGCCACAAGTAGATATATATTAAACTAATAATGCCACATTGGATGCTATATCTCATACCCTAAACCATAATAATATATATCTAATCAATAATCAATGCTATTTCTGTAAATAAATAAATATTTCTGACAAACAACTTTGCCATTAAAAAAATACATGAAAGCAGTCATGGTTCCTACAATTCAGAAACATTTAGTCTAGACTAGCAACTGCATAAATAATTGAATTATGCATCATATGGTTGGTACAATATATAGACGCATCCAAAATCTTGGGCTTTATTTAGGCCACTTTCTTTATGCTGTTGTGACTTCTGATGTCTACCACTGAAGAGATATTTATTAACAGAAGAATTGTTATTATAATTTCTTTCTTTCTTTCTTTTTTTTTTTTTTTAGACAGAGTCTCTGTTGCCCAGGCTGGAGTACAGAGGCACTATCTCAGCTCACTGCAATTTGTGCCACTAGAGTTCAAGTGATTCTCCTGCCTCAGTCTCCCAAGTAGCTGGGATTACTAGGCCCTGCCACTGTGCCCAGCTAATTTTTGTATTTTTAATAGAGGCTGGGTTTCACCATTTTTGTCAGGCTGTTCTTGAACTCCTGACCTTGTGATCCACCTGCCTCAGCCTTTTAAAATGCTGGAATTATGGGCCTGAGCGACTGCACACTGCTGTATAGTTTCTATTTTTTTTTTAACATTGCTAACTGTACATATTTATTTTCCAATAAAATTACCCTAGGAAACCTTAAGGGATTTGTTTAAATTGCATATTAATGCATAGTATACATTTAACAGGACAGTGGCTAGAAAAGATAAAAATTACAGAAACTCTGGGATTTAAGTTTCTTTTAGGTAAGCTTAGAAAAAGCAAAACTGGAAGTACCCCAGTGGCATAGAGAACAGAATTCTACATAGGGTCCTCACCCTGCCCCAGACCTGTTCAGATTCACCCTTTTTGGAGGCCTTATTTTGGTCTGGCCCTACCATGGAGTCTTGCCTTGCAGAATTGATTAGAAAAGATCAGAGTTTTAGCTGGTGAATCCTGCTGCCTTTCTAGACCTGCTGCTCACAATTTCCTGAAATCCTAAAGCAGATAAATGGGAAAAATAAAGTATGTATTTGAGGGTCTTAGTTTTTAAATTTTCAATGAAAACCAGTGGTTGCAGAGACATTCTATTTAGCAACTTTTTTTTTATTCCTGCAGATCCAGTAGTTTCTGCACAAGTCACAAAAAAGTAAATACAAACAGAATAAAATTTTCTCTAAATAACTGAAGAAATGAAAATGCTGGGCCCTTTTTCTAAATAGTGGAAATTATTAAATCCTTAGTACCAGCTCCTAGGATGTTATGAGAATTAAATCACATAATGTGTTATGCCCAACACAGTGCTCTGTATCATACCCTTGAGCATATAGTACCTGCTTAATAACATTGCATTAGTACATGTGTACATGTTGTTTTTTAAATCCAGACCTATTCAGACATTGCTGCCTTCTGTTTCTTCTGTAAACTTTACAGAGTCGGCAAAGAATATATAACTTTAGGATACAGATGGATTGTCCTTGTTTGTATCAGAAGTATTTGGTTGTGACAAGAGTGCTGAGTGTAAGGGACCCTGTGCTGTGTCTGCTTCTGTAACTAATGGTAATAATGAGCCAATGGGGAGCAACATCAGCATTGACAGGGGACTTGTTTAAAACCCCCATTCATGGACCCTTTTCAAATCTGCAATCACATTACATAAAGTGGGTAAAATTACCAAGTGATTTATAAGCTCGTTAAAGCTTGAGAGGCAATGCTTAGCTTAGTGATTATCAGCTCAGGCTTCTTATTAGGGTCACATGGCCAATTTGCAGAATCTATTGTGCCCTCCCCGCAGCTTCTGTTTATTGTTGTGTGTGGAAGCATCCACGTTGTTTTAATGAAGTGCCTCATGTGACTCTAAGGTAAGGACAGAATCAGGTTTGAAGGCTTCAAAATACATTCATGAGAGTTAAGTTCCACCTTTGCACTAAAGCATGGTCACTGGGCCTACTCTATTTTGACTTGGTAGGGACAGGTCAGTGTGGTGGATATTTGTATTACTGTAGCAGAAATTGCTGGTGTCTGTGGCAGGGGAGGGCACCTGAGTACAGGAAAGAAGAAACTTATATCTTTATCTTCATGGAGGAGTGTATTGTTCCCAAATCTCTTCTGCTTTAATGGACAGAAATGGGTGGGCTTTTTCTGTCTTTTCTGTCAGTTGATGTCATGCTAGCAGGTAAACATGTAGTAGTGCCACCTTTAAGGGCATGTTCTCCAGATGCAGGTGTAATTTGTCCAGAGAATCTCAGAAGAAATCCGGAGGAGAAAAAAAAAAAAGGTTTTTCTTCAGTTAAACATGTCCCAAATGAAAAGCTGTGTCCACTCTGCCTCCTTGAATGCCATGCGTTTAGTACTTGCAAATCTTTACTTCTCTACTTGTGTTTTTTCTTCCTAAGGGGTTTGATTTAACTACTTCTCTAAATTCTTACAATAGTCAAGGATCTCTGAAAAATATTTCTTTTCTTTATCCCAGAGCCTTCTCTTTATTCTCTACATCATAGCTTCTTATATGCCACACAGAATTCTCAGCAAGAATTTATGATCCACAATATTAAAAATGTTTCCTTTGTGGCTGTTGAACATGGAAAGATGTGGATACTCAAGATTTCTATTGAGGAAAACTGTGGTCCTTAGTACAGATAGAGAACATGTAATGTTGAGGCTTCAATCATGTGTTCCATTTGCTCTAAGCAGAACAGGATTAAGAGAATGCGTATTTAAATGGGATGGCATTTATTACCCAGAAAGTTCTGAAAAAAATTATTAGGAGATTCCTGCTCTCTAGGGTGCTTAATGAAGCCTACTTAAAATTCCTACTAAAAATTACAGAACATAGGAGTTACCTGTGTTTTGAAGTTTGCATAAAACTGATTTTCTTTATGGTTAAATTCAGATTTTAATTTACTTTGTTTGGGAGGAATATTTCAACACTGATGCTGTGTTCTTGTGTATTAGTATATCATAAAAATTTTTTTCATGTGGTTAATGGGTAATGATTCATTTGGTGAAATAGCTCTCTGACAGATGTTTTCACTATATAATTATTTTTTCTTCATTATTAAGTATCTTTCTGCAGCTGATATGCATAAACCATCACATTTAATCTGGAAGCTGTTCTTTTTTCTTATTTATTTATTTATTTTATTTTTTATTTTTTTTTTGAGGAGTCTCACTCTGTTGCCCAGGCTGGAGTGCAGTGGTGTGGTCTCGGCTCACTGCAACCTCCGCCTCCGGGGTTCACACCATTCTCCTGCCTCAGCCTCCCTTAGTAGCTGGAACTACAGGCGCCCACCACCACGCCTGGCTAATTTTTTGTATTTTTAGTAGAAACGGGGTTTCACCATGTTAGCCAGGATGGTCTCGATCTCATGACCTCATGATCCATCCGCCTCAGCCTCCCAAAGTGCTGGGATTACAGGCATGAGCCACCTCACCCGGCCCTTTTCTTATATTTTACTACATTTTTTTCTGGAAAATTAAGGCTCTTATCTTTGTTTACAGGCCAGAAAAAGTGGGAAAAACAAAGGCTCTTCCATTTATTGAATGACAAAATATCCTTCTTAGGCCAAAAACATTGGCATTACTAGTGAGCTTGTTAGAAATTCAAAAAATCAGTCAGGTACAGTGGCTCATGCCTATAATCTCATCTCTTTCGGAGGCCAAGGTGGGCTGATCACCTGAGGTCTTGAGTTCCAGACCAGCCTGACCAACATGGAGAAAAACCTCATCTCTACAAAAAAAAAAATTAGTCAGGTGTGGTGGTGTATGCCTGTAATCCCAGCTATTTGGGAGACTGACCCAAGAGAATCGCTTGAACCTGGGATACGGAGGTTGCTGTGAGCTGAGATTGGGCCACTGCACTCCAGCTTGGGCAACAAGAGCGAAAATCTGTTTCAATAAATAAATAAATAAAAATTGAGAGATGTCTTCCAACTCAACATGTCTTTTCCATTTGGAAAATATTCACAACTACTTCCGTATGATGTAAATATAGCACACAAAAGTGTACATGTTCATGTTTATGCTTTTAATTTTATACTTTATTATCTAGAAAAGTATATGAACGGATGTTGTGGATCTTACGCTACTCTTTTTTCTTAGAGTTAGAGAATACATTAGAGAATATTTCTGTGTTGAAAATTATTTTATTGGATAATTTTAGTCAGTCCTATAAGTCAGAACCAGTTCTGTTTACTCTCTAATTTCACCTTAAGTCAAATTAAAAATGTCGCTCATGGTTACTTAGTAAATATGTGTGTGTGTGTGTGTGTGTGTGTGTGTGTGTGTGTGTGTGTTTCAGGTACCATAGCAATTTAGAGACGTGGCCATAGAATTCTCTCTGGAGGAGTGGCATTGCCTGGACACTGCATGGCAGAATTTATATACACACGTGATGTTAGAGAACTACAGAAACCTGGTCTTCTTTGGTGAGGATAACTTTAATACATAATTCATAATATACGCTAAAGATTTTATTTCTTTTTTTTTTTTTTTTTTTTTTTTGAGACGGAGTCTCGCTCTGTCGCCCAGGCCGGACTGCGGACTGCAGTGGCGCAATCTCGGCTCACTGCAAGCTCCGCTTCCCGGGTTCACACCATTCTCCTGCCTCAGCCTCCCGAGTAGCTGGGACTACAGGCGCCCGCCACCGCGCCCGGCTAATTTTTTGTATTTTTTTTTAGTAGAGACGGGGTTTCACCTTGTTAGCCAGGATGGTCTCGATCTCCTGACCTCATGATCCACCCGCCTCGGCCTCCCAAAGTGCTGGGATTACAGGCGTGAGCCACCGTGCCCGGCCTTATTTCTTTATTTTATGGAATGTTTTTTAGTAATTTATTCTTGGCATAAAAGAGTTTCAGATCCCCTTTTTCCAGAAAACTTTCAAAATTTGTTCATTTAGAAAAGAATTTCTTCAAAATGTTTCATCTTAATCCAAACTTTCCACATTCCTGAGTTGAGCTGTATTTTTCACTCTAAATTAGTGGTAATTCCAGCAATTTAGTAGCATAAAATATGTTGCCCCTACCTGAAAATCTAATGTTTGATTCAGTAGTACCAGGTAGTCAGGTAGTAAAATTAAAAAACCTACAAATTGAAAGTATTTTCTAAATATTTAGAAATTTCCTTTAGAAATTAATATTTTGGTATTAATTTACTAGAATATTTTATTATATCCTCTCTGCTGAGCACATTACTAACCTGTACTTGGAGAATATGAGCATGATTCATGTTATTTTTTTTTTTTTTAATAAAACAGGTACTGTTGCCGGGCGCAGTGGCTCACGCCTGTAATCCCAGCACTTTGGGAGGCCAAGGCCGGCGGATCACGAGGGCAGGAGATCGAGACCATCCTGGCTAATACAGTGAAACCCCATCTCCATCCTGACCGAGACCATGCTGGCTAACACGGTGAAACCCCGTCTTTACTAAAAATACAAAAAAAATTAGCCGAGCGGGGTGGCGGGCGCCTGTAGTCCCAGCTACTCGGGAGGCTGAGGCAGGAGAATGGAGTGAACCCGGGAGGCGGAGCTGGCAGTGAGCTGAGATCACACCACTGCACTCCAGCCTGGGCCAAAGAGCGAGACTCCGTCTACAAAACAAAACAAAACAAAACAAAACAAAACAAAACAAAACAAAACAAAAAAACAGGTATCGTTGTCTGGAAGTCAGACCTGATCACCTGTCTGGAGCAAGAAAAAGAAAAAAACCTTTGACTATGAAGAGACATGAGATGACTGCCAAACCCCCAGCTAGGTGCGAGTGAAAATCAATACAATAGACAACACAGATAAGAGGTCCCAAGGTCAAAGAGAAAGCCGGTCCTTAAAATGTGATTTGGGAAGCTGTGTTCCAAAGAAAATAGTTCCTGGGCAGCTCGTGTTTTTTTTTTGTTATTGTTGTTGTTTATTTTTTAATTTTGCTTTCACAGAGAGGCATCTTCTGTTTTATGATTTTAAATTCTCTAAGAATTCTGCTTTTCTTTTGGTGAGCTTCCTTCAAGTCCACAGTGAGAGCCAAAGTCCTCATCATGGCATATAAGAGACTGCACAATCTGGCTGCTTTTTCATTGTTTTGGGGGCACATAAATATCTGCATGCTTTTTAGAGACTAAAACTATTTTTTAAGTTTTTTTTTTCATCAAGTCTGAAATGTGTGAGAGTAGTAGTTTCTGTTGCATTTTTTTGTTCATTTTTCCTTACAGTCCATTCTGTTTTCATTACTATATCATCTTGAAATATAGTTTGAAATTAGTATGATATCCTTCTGCTTTGTTCTTTTTTTTCAAGATGGCTTTGGCTATTCAAAGTTTATTTTAATTTTATGTAAATTTTGGAATTGTATTTTCCATTACTGTAAAAAAATACCATTGCAATTTTGATAGGAAGTTTATTGAATCTATAGATCACATTAGATAATATGGTGCTTCAGTAATATTTATTCTTTCAATCCATAGACATAAAATAGTTTAAAATTTATTTGGATCTTCTCCAATTTTTTTCATTTTTTTATTGTGAAGATTTTTTACCCAGTTGGTTAATTTTTTCTCAGAAATTTATTATTTAATGCCTTAGTAATTGAGTTTTTGTCTTCCTCTACTTTATTATTTTTTTGAGATGGAGTCTTGTACTGTTGGTTGCCCAGGCTGGAGTGCAATGGCTCAGTCTCGGCTCCCTGAAATGTCCGCCACCCAGATTCAAGCTATTCTCCTGCCTCAGCATCCCAACTAGCTGGGATTACAGGCAGCCACCACCACACCCAGCTAATTTTTGAATTTTTAGTGGAAACGGGATTGTATCATGTTGGCACACTGGTCTCGAACTCCTGACCTCAAATGATTTAACCGCCTCTGCCTCCCAAAATGCTGGGATTAGAGGTGTCAGCCACTGTGCCCAGCCTCATTCTCTATTTTATCAGATAGTTTGTTTTAAGTGTATGAAACCATACGTATTCTTAAATGCTAATTTTATATTTTGCTAATTTACTGAGTGTATTTAATAGTTTAGACAGGTTTTAATGTACTGTTTATGGTTTTTAAACATAAGATTGTATGATCTACAAACAGCAGCATTTTGTTTTTCTTCAGGTTCAAAAGATTTTTTTATTTTCTTGTCTAATTCTTTGGCCAATACTTCCAGTGCTACATTAAAATAGAAGCATTGACAATGGGCAAAATATAGTTTTGTATTGGTGTCTGAATTTGATGGAGCAAACACATCTTCATGTTTTTTGTTTTTGTTTTGTTTTTTGTTTTTTTTTGAGATGGAGTTTTGCTCTCATTGCCCAGGCTGAAGTGCAATGGCATGATCTCGGCTCACCGCAAACTCCGCCTCCCAGGTTCAAGCAATTCTCTTGCCTCAGCCTCCCGAGTAGCTGGGATTACAGGCATGCACCACCACACCTGGCTAATTTTGTACTTTTTAGTAGAGACAGGGTTTCTCCACGTTGAGGCTGGTCTCAAACTCCTGATCTCAGGTGATCTGCCTGCCTTGGCCTCCCAAAGTGCTGGGATTACAGGTGTGAGCCACCATGCCTGGCCATCTTCATGTTTTTATAAACTGATTTTAGAAGGTAAAGATCTTTTGTTGGGTCCTTAGGATGATAAGATGCCCTCTGAATTTGTAGTGAAGAGGGGCTGTAGCTTGGTCACAAGGCTGCTGGGTCTGCATTAGGGCCCACCTTTAGTTGGCTTGTTACAGGGGCTTGGGTTGTTGTAATTCCCATTTTATTTTTGAACAAACTGCATATCCTTCAGGACTTTGCTCTACAGGGCAGACACTAGGGCACATTTTTGCAGTTGGTTTTTCACATGGTGGGCCTTGTATCAGGATGTGGATGAGTGTGGCTTTCACTAAGTACCAGAGAGCATTTCCTCAGGTAACTGTGTGAGTTTCTATATAGGCAGCACTGGCCATGAACTGTGGCTCAGGTAACTGAAACTGCGTCACTGAACCACTTCAGGGACCACAGTAAAGGCCAACTTCTGCAGTTATATTTTTCTCATTTCCTGTTTTACTTTCTTAATTTTCATTTAATTTTGTACTGGTATGCTTTGATTATTTTTTATTTTCTTTTGCATAAATTTTATAAATATTATATTTATAATCATCTTGAAAACTGGAGATTACATCTGAAAGTTAAAACAATATGTTTTAATCTTATAACAACTTCAATTGAATACAAAGATTATGCCTCTATATTTTAGTTTGTTATTCATATTGAAATTATTTTATATGGTGTATCTATTAACAGATTTATGCAGATTTACATATTGCTTTTTATATTCTATTAAAAAACTTTAAAGGCTTTATGTGCCATCATTTTTTAAAAATTATTATTGAGATTGAATCTTGCTGTCTTGCTTAGGACGGAGTGCAGTGGTGGAACCTTGGCTCACTGCAACCTCTGCCTCCTGGGTTCAAGCAATTCTCCTGCCTCAGGCCTCCCAAGTAGCTGGGATTGCAGACGCCTGCACCTAGCCTTGGTAATTTTTTGTATTTCTTAGTAGTGCTGGGCTTTCACCATGTTGGCCAGGCTGGTCTTGCACTCCTGACATCAGGTGATTCACCTGCCTCAGCTTCTCATAGTGCTGGGCTTACAGTTGTGAGCCACCGCCCCCAGCCAGAAGATACTTTTTATCTCACTATTCCTAGCTTTGTATATCAATACAAAGATTGACACAGCTAGATATAAATATACATAGGAAGACAAATGTTCATATAGAGAATTATATAACTATTTCTATATAATGTTTTTGTATACAAAATATGTTCCCCAAAAGACATCTTTAATCTTTTAGCATACATCTCAGATGCTGATGTAGAATTATTTGTTTTCTTTTGCTAAATAACATGTCAGAATGGAACGTAGCCATACAACTTTTTATGTAAATACCAACAAAGCTTTATCTTCAAGGGCAAGTCTACAGAAATAAGCTGAAAATAAAGCCATGTAACCCATCTGTCCAGGTTAGTATTTCAGTGCCCTGCATTTCTCCTCAGTGTCTGCATGTTCTGTTCACATCTACCATTTGGGGCCTGCCTTGATAAAGCCACAGTGACTATTTATATAATTGAATGATTGGATCCATGCGTGCTGAGCAAATTGGCTGGTGGGAGTCACCTGGGCTGTTCAAATTGGCTGATTGGAATCTCCTGGGTTCTGCTAATTTGCTTATTTAATTTACCTCGGCTTCAGGGGTAGAATATGGAGATATCACCTGACCTACTTTATTTCTGATGCTTTTATTTTTGTGGGGCCTATGCATAAATAAACATTACGTAGACATACACATGTAACTCATTTTGTGCATATATGTTTATCTAGCCATCTATTTTATATGTATATGTACAGAAAGAAGACTATAAGATAAACTTGGTCAGAGGCTATTTCCATTTCTTTACCTATAGGTTAGGTAAATTCTATCAGCTACTTAGCTCAGTGAAGATTTATTCAAACCAAGCCACACATCACATCACATTTTTTTTTCCATAAATGTAAAAATGTTTTTAATAACCTGGCACCTGGGTGTTTTTAATTCTGGTCACACTAAACCAGCCCAGTGAGGTTTTGTTCATCTGTCTAGGAACTGCCAGAAATGCTCAACACCAGTGGGCTGAGCCTTCCTCACAAGGAAGATTTGACCTGGCAAATAAGAGCCACCTGTGGCACTTCAGTGAATGTTCTCTATCACCCCTTTGAAATGTGGCCAAGTACCACGTACCATTATATTTGCTTCCATCATCACCATCTGTCTTCCGAAAAGAGGCCTAAACTTCATTTTCATTACCATAAATATCCAACTTCTGCCATAAAGACGAAAAGACTAGAGGGTGACTTTACATCACACACTCTTGGAAAAAATTAGAGTTCTTGTCTTGATGGAAGTTCTAAAGAGTGGGTGAGACATTAAGTGACTACCAGGAGCTAGATAATTGCTGTTTTACTAACAGATGTTCATTTTCATTTCCATATTGTCTCAAGTTATGGTAATAATAAAGTAATAATGGTATCCAGGAAATTTCAAAAAAACTTATTTTTTTCATCAGCCATAATAGTAATCAAAGACAGAGAAATAAAGGTTTTTAAGTCATAATTTATATTTTAAAATTAACATGCTTCTAGAAATAAAAAAGGAAAGGAAGAAAGAAATATACAAACAAATGAAAGGCAGCCTGGTCAACATGGTGAAAGCCTGCCTCTACTAAAAATACAAAAATTAGCCGTGTTTGGTGGTGCACACCTGTAATCTCAGCTACTCAGGAGGCTGAGGCACTAGAATCGCTTTTACCTGGGAGGCCGAGGTTGCAGTGAGCAGAGATCGTGGCAATGCACTCCAGATTGGGTGACAAAATGATACTCTGTCTCAAGCAAAATAAAAACAAAAACAAAACAAAAAGAAGGGAAGTGGAATACTCACAATACCTAAAGTATGGAATCAACTTAGGTGTACATCAATAGGTGAATGGAGAAAGAAAATGTGGAATTATGTACACAATGCAATGCTATTCAGCCCTTAAGAAAGTCTTGTTATTTGCAGCATCATTTATGAACCTGAATGATATTATGCTAAGTAAAATAAGCCAGCACAGAAAAACACACAAGCAAAAAAATTATTTTATTTTTGAGATAGAGTTTCACTCTTCTCACCCAGGCAGGCGATGGTGCAGTGGCACCATCTCAGCTCACTGCAATCTCTGCCTCCTGGGTTCAAGCAATTTTCCTGCCTCAGCCTCCCTAGTACCTGGGATTACAGGTGCCAGCCACCATGCCCAGCTGATTTTTGTATTTTTAGTAGAGACAAGGTTTGTCTATGTTGGCCATGTTGACCAGGCTTGTCTTGAACTCCTGACCTCAAGCGGTTCACCCACCTCAGCCTCCCAAAGTGCTGGGAGGTGAGAGGTGATTACTTCTTGCATGAATGAGATTCCCTTTTTTTCCCTCTGCCATAGGATCCTCTTATTGTCCCTACTGGAAGCAACATGCAGAAGGCAGGAATGATGACAATATACAAATACGTTTCCTGCCATGTGACCACCATAAGCAGCTTGCAACATGGCTCACCTAGAAGTTACTTACTTTCAGGCCAGCAAGCGTGTTTTTCTATGATGTGTCTCTTTCTCTTGAAAGCACCTCTGATTAAGTTTAGCACAATCAGTGTAATCTCCATTTGGATAAACACAAAGTCAACGCAAGAGGAACCTAATTTCATGAGTGATTTCACACCACAGTTACACATTTTTTTACGTTGGAGAGGAAAGCAGGTGTGCAACGGACTGGGAATCCAGGGTATTATCTTAGAATGTTGCCTACCCATCTCAATAAACTTTTACAATAGTCTTTCTGCTGCTTTTGTTATCTGCATAAACAAAGATATCATGTGCAAATAATAATTAACTACTTTCCAGCTTTATTCACTACAAATATTAACATCTTTTTTCTGGCTTAAATTATTTTTCCTTTATGTACCATTTTATACATTCACCCACACATGGAACAATAAAAATGTATCCACTTATTTAATTTTGGTTAAATTTTCATTAAAATGAGTGTTAAAAATAACTTTTTTTCTGTTTGAAGAGGGCTTTTATTGTTTTACTCAAGAGTGTTATTTTGCCCAGTGCGGTGGCTCACACCTGTAATCCCAGCACTTTGGGAGGCCGAGGCAGGTGGATCATGAGGTCTGGAGATCGAGACCATCCTGGCTAACACCCCATCTCTAACATCGATGACTAACATTGAGATCATCCTGGCTAAACCCCATCTCTACTAAAAATACAAAAAATTAGCCGGGCGTGGTGGTGGGTGCCTGTAGTCCCAGCTACTCGGGAGGCTGAGGTAGGAGAATGGTGTGAACCCAGGAAGTGGAGCTTGCAGTGAGCTGAGATTGGGCGGCTGCACTCCAGCCTGGGCGACAGAGTGAGACTCCGTCTCAAAAAAAAAAAAAAAAGGTGTTATTTCTGGAGACAAAGTTGCCTGTGCTTTAATAGGTAGATTATGGAAATAATTTGAAACATAAACCATAAAATTTTACATTAATAAATTCAGTGCAAAGCAGAAAGTATAAATTTGCTTTCAGCATTTTCAAGGTGTTTAGTTTTCTATTACTCACCTAATTAAATTTGTTTTGTTCCAATAATTGTTCTTTTCTTCTGAAAATATGTACAAATGCATACTGACACAAACACACTTACTCACTTCATAATTTTCTTACACCTAAGGTTCATCTTCAGAGTAATATGTGTATATTTCACTCTATGAAAATTAAAACTAAAACTATGTTTTCAGGCAGAGAGACCACATGTTCAAAGACTATATACACATTCAACTATATAACAAATATTTATTAATAATTTTTCAGGACTCAGAAATAAAAGGATTTTATTTCTATTTCTTTCTTTTTTTTTGAGACAGAGTCTCGTGGGAGTACAGTGGTGCTATCTCAACTCAGTGCAACCTCGGCCTCCTGCGTTCAAGCCATTCTCCTGCCTCAGCCTCTGGAGTAGCTGGGATTACAGGCACGCCAACATGCCCAGCTAATTTTTGTATTTTTAGTATAGATGGGGTTTCACCATCTTGCTCAGGCTGCTCTCCAACTCCTGACCTCATGATCTGTCTGGCTCAGCCTCCCAAAGTGCTGGGATCACAGGTGTCAGCCACTGTGCCAAACCCATATTCTATTTATATCTCTGTATAATTTGTATTATGACCATAAAAATAACCCTGCAGTCAAAAAGAATTTAATTGTGCATTTTAAAATAACTAAAAGTGTATAATTACAGTTTGTAATACAAAGGATAAATGCTAGAGGTGATGGATACCTTATTTACCCTAATGTAATTACTACACATTGTATGCATTAATGAAAATATGCCATATAAGGCGTAAATATATACACATACTATATACCCACAAATACTAACAATAAATTTCAATAGGAACAAAGAATAAAAATTTAACCTATGGGAAAAATATTCTTCAACTCATTTGCAGTTTAAAGCCACTGACAAAGTGATTACTAGAGATGTTATTCCACTATGTACCAAATAGTATACTGCTGCCATCTTTTACCTACACCCTTGAGTAAGTTGGGATAGGTTAAAGTTAGTCACATTTAAAGGCTTATATTTAAAGTCAACTTAAAGGCTTATACTTTCTGGAAGATTTTTTCACAGTAATTGCACTTTTAATGCCTTTATTAACTATGAACCTTCTTATATTGAGTAAGATGTGAGTGGGCATTATTCCTGTAATTCCAACACACTGGGAGATCAAGGTGGGAAAAATCACATGAGGTCAGGAGTTTGAGACCAGCCTGGCCAACATGGTGAAACCCTGTATCTACCAAAAATACAAAACTAGCTGGGCGTGGTGGTATGTGCCTATAATCCCAGCTACTTGGGAGGCTGACACACAAGAATTGCTTGAACCTGGGAGTGGATGGTTGCAGTGAGTGGAGATTATACCACTGCACTGCAGCCTGGGCAACAGAGCAAGAGTGTCTCAAAAATAAAATAAAATTGGCCAGGCATGGTGGCTCATGTCTGTAATCCCAGCAATTTAGGGGGCTGAGGTGGGTTGATCATTTGAGGTCAGGAGTTCAAGATCAGCCTGGCCAACATGGTGAAACCCCGTCTCTACTAAAAATACAAAAAATTAGCCAGGCATGGTGGCAGGCGCCTGTAACCCCAGCTACTCAGGAGACTGAGGCAAAAGAATCAGTTAAACCCAGGAGGTGGACATTGCAGTGAGCTGAGATTAAGCCACTGCACTCTAGCCTGGGCGACAGAAAAAAACTCCGTCTCAGATTAAATAAATAAATAAATAAATAAATAAATAAATAAATAAATAAAATTGAATAATATTCAGTAAGTGAACTAGAAACACAGACAACTACCAAAGATCAGAAAAATGAAAATAACAAGAAATATTAAAATAGCAAAAAAACAGAAATTGTGGATATAAAAAATACAAAAAATCCCTGAAAAATTTCTTTAAAAAATGATGTAAACATGGAAAAGTTGAACAAACAAACTAGGATACACATAAAGATATTTATAACAAGCATACATATAAGCAAAATTTCAAAATTCACAGATAAGAGAATTTTGGGAGCTCAATGTAGGCAGATGTATGATGAAGAATTGTTGTATGCAACTGAAGTTAATTTTTTACCACATTCAGATATGTTGTTGGATCCTTTAGAGGTTTTGTGCAGTCCTCCAAGGTACCACTAAGAAAATATCTGTATAGATACACAAAAGAAAATTTAAAAAACCTGAAAGCATGTCAATACAAAAATCAAAAAAACACAAAAAAGACAGAAAGAGAAAATGAGAGACAAAGATACAAAATCTAATAAAACAATTAATAAAATACCATTAGTAAGTTTTTCTCTTTTAGAAAACTATTTAAATATATATAATTATATTTCCAATCAAGAGACATACTTTCAATAAAAAGGTTTATTAAAAATTCTGTGAAATCAAGATTCAACTTGACTTTCTACAAGAGTCAGTTGAGATCTAATGACAAAAAAAGACTGAAAGTGGTGAGATGGAAGTAGAAATTTAATGTAAATATTAACCAAATTAGAGCAGAAGAGCTCAAAATAATATTACACAAGCTACATCTTAAGTAAAAAACTGTCATATTTTATAAAATGTACTTTAAGTCAAAACTTCAAACAGACAAAAAAGGACATTTAACAATACATAGATTCATTCCCTGTGAATGTATGACAAATTTGTTTATACATGCATGTATTTGTGTGTGTGTCTCAAATTAGGCTTTCAGATATATAAAGTAAATACTAACAAAACTGAATAAACACAGAGAGAGCAATATAATTATAGTAGGATATTTCAATACCCCACTTTCTGTAATAATAATAAAACAAGATGATATTAGTAAGGGAACAGAGGACTAAAAGGCAGTCAAAAACAATAATTTCTAATGAAGGTATAGAGAACACTCCTCAACAACATCGGGATACACAGCCTTCTCAATAGCTCATTCAACATTCTTCTTTATAAACCACCTGATAGGCCAAAAACAAAGACTTAACACATTTTTTAAAACCGAAATTTCATAGATTACCTTCTACGACAAAAAATGGAATTAGAGTATAAAACAATAATATAAATAATTGATAAATTTACAGCTATATAGAAATGATACAACACACTCTTGAGCATGCACTTGTTGAAATAACTGGGCTGGGTGCGGTGGCTCATGCCTGTTATCCCAGCATTTTGGAAGGCCGAGACAGGTGAATTTAATTCCATCTAAAAAACAAACAATTCAAAAAAGAAATAATTAATATTGTGAAGATTTCTGTACCGCTCAATTTAATCTACAGATTTAATGCAATATTTTTCAAATTTCTCATTGCATTTTTGAAGAAATAAAAACAGCAAATCCAAAAGTATATGGAATCTAAAAAGGCAATAAAGTACCCGACAATCATCAAAAAAAGGAACAATGTTGGAGGCATTACCATTTCTGATTTCAAAACACATCAAAAAGATACAGAATTAAAACAATTTGGTATGAGCATAAAGGTGAAAAAGCAGACTAATAAAATAGAATGCAGCACACATATTAACTTTCACATAATTATTGCAGCATTGTTACTGAAAGCCAATAGGTAAAAGCAATGCAAATTTCTGTCACCAAATGATTCTGTAGATATAAAAATAGTGGAATCTCGTTCAGTTTTCAAAAAGCAGAAAATATTCCAACAACTATTAAGATAAATATTGATGACATTGTGCAAAATAAAATGAGCCAGCCACAAACAGAGATTTTATAAGCATTTATACCCTTAGAAAGAGAAAACAGAGTAGTGTTTGAAAAGTGCCACAAAATGGGAAGAATTGGTAGTTGTTTAAGGTGTATAGAGCTTTAGCTTTGCAAGATAAAAACATTCTAATGATATGTTACATAATAATGTCAATATAATTAATATGAACAAACTGAATATTTAGAAATATATACTTCTCACTCTGTCTCCCAGGCTAAACTGCAGTGGCACAATATCAGTTCTCTGCAACCTCCACCTCCCAGGTTTAACAAATTCCCCTGCTTCAGCCTCCTCAGATGCTGGGATGACAGGAGGATGCCACCATTCCTGGCTAATTTTTTTATGACACTGCGCCCTGCCTAGAAATATTTTAATGTAAATTTTGTTATGTGTTTCTGACACATAACACATAAGTAAAAATCAACAATACCAGCCTGGCCAACATGGTGAAACCTTGTCTACTAAAAATACAAAATTAGCCAGGCGTGGTGGCGCAGGCCTGTAATCCCAGCTATTCGGGAGGCTGAGGCAGGAGAATGGCTTGAACGCAGGAGGCGGAAGTTGCAGTGAGCTGAGATCCCGCCGTTGTGCTCCAGCCTGGTCAAGAAGAGCAAAACTCCCTCTCAAAAAAAAAAAAAACAAAAAACACCTGTTACAACAAACCTACACAACAAATATACAAGTGACACAAAACTACGGGAATAATATTTATACTGAACAAACTGCATATTTAGAAATATATACTTTTTGCTCTATCTCCCAGGCGAAACTGCAGTGGTACGATCTCGGATCACTGCAACTTCCACCTCCCGGGTTTATGCAATTCCCTTGCCTCAGCCTCCTCAGTAGCTGGGATTACAGGCGCGCGCCACTATGCCTGGCTAGTTTTTTGTATTTTAGTACAGACAGGGTTTCACCGTGTTGGCCAGTATGGTCTCCATCTTCTGACCTTGTGATCCACCCGCCTCGGCCTCTGAAAGTGATGGGATTACAGGCGTAAGACATTGTGTCCGGCCTGGAAATATTTTATTGTAAATTTTGTTAGGTGTTTTTGACACATAACACATAAATAAAAGTAAACAAAATGCCTAAAAGAGATACGGAGTTATTATTGTTTTTAAATTATCTTTAAATCCAAAAGTGTTTCTTGGACACAAAAATAATATAGATTCACAAATAAAGAGATGTTGAAATCAGGAGAATTTTTATGACTACTCACCTAGACAGGATTAAAAAACTGTTACAGGTCGGGCATGGTGGCTCACGCCTGTAATCCTAGCAGTTTGGGAGGCCAAGGCAGGCGGATCACCTGAGGTCAGGAGTTCAACACCAGCCTGACAAACATGGTGAAACCCTGTTTCTACTAAAAATACAAAATTAGCTGGGTTTGGGGGTGCATGCCTGTAACCCCAGCTACTCAGGAGGGTGAGGCGAGAGAGCGACTTGAGCCCAGAAGGTGAAGGCTGCAGTGAGCTGAGGTCCTACCATTGTACTCCAGCCTGGGCAACAAGAGCAAAACTCCCTCTCAAAAAAAAAAAAAAAACCCTGTTACAACAAACCTACACAACAAATATACAAGTGACACCGAACTACAGGGATAATATTTATACAGGCAAAGAAACAGAAATAATTGTATTGGCAATAGACATGGTTTATTCATATTTAATTTTGCTCCACACTGTCTTAAATTGTACAGAGTTAAATATTGTCATATACAATTATAATATAAACTAAAAAATCAAAACACAATTAACTGGTGTGATGTGATGTACCCAAGAATACACAACACAAAAATATTAAATTGCAAAAAAAAATTAAAACATGGAATGTAAAACTTATTGAATACCATAAAGTAGATCAATGTTTTCATGAAAGGAATCTTAGCATATAGGGAAAAAGTAATACATAGGTTACTTGAAGATTAAAAAAAAAAGAAAAAAAAGCTGAGAACTTCCCAAATTTTGATGTAACAAAAAAATTTTCTAACCTGTAATACTAGATTCAAAATTATCTTAATTTAAAAAGAAGATAAAAATGAAGACTTTGCTAAATAAAAGTTGAGTGTTCATCACCATTAGCACAGTCCTAGAAGATATACTACACGGGCTTGTGTGCTCTGGCTCACGCCTGTAATCCCACCACTTTGGGAGGCCAAGGAGGGTGGATTGCCTGAGGTCAGGAGTTCAAGACCAGCTGAACAACATGGTGAAACTCCATCTGAACTAAAAATGCAAAACTTAGCCCAGCATGGTGGCACACACCTGTATTCCCAGCTACTCAGGAGGCTGAGGCAGGAGAATTCTTGAACCCAGGATGCAGAGGTTGCAGTAAACCAAAATCATGACATGCCCCTTTAGCCTGGGCGATAGAGAAAGACTCCATCTCAAAAAAAAAAAAAAAAAAAAAAAAATAGGCCAGGTGCAATGGTGCCCACTGCACTCCACCACTGCACTCCAACTTGGGCAATAGAGTGAGACTCAGCCTAAAAAAAAAAAAAAAAAAAAATCAAAATGATTGTACATAAAACCTTTAAAGTTATTTTATAGAATATAAAAAACAATATGTAAATCTGCATAAATCGGCCAGGCACAGTGGTTCATGCCTATAATCCCAGCACTTTGGGAGGCCAAGGTGGGCGGATCACAAGGTCAGGAGTTCGAGAACAGTCTGGCCAACATGCAGAAACCCCATCTTTACTAAAAATACAAAACTTAGCCAGGCACGGTGGTGCATGCCTGTAATCCCAGCTACTCAGGAGGCTGAGGCAGGAGAATCACTTAAACCTGGGAGTTGGAGGTTGCAGTAAGCCGAGATTGCATCACTGGACTCCAGCCTTGACAATAGAGTGAAACTCCGTCTCAAAAATTTAAAAAACTGCATAAATCTGTTAATAGATACACCATGTAAAATAATTTTAGGCCAGGCGCAGTGGCTCATGCCTGTAATCCCAGCACTTTGAGCTGCCAAGGTGGGTGGATCACCTGAGGTGAGGAGTTCGAGACCAGCCTGTCCAACATGGTGAAACTCCTCTCTCTACTAAAAAAACAAAAATTAGGCAGGTGTGGTGGCAGGTGCCTTTAATCCCAGCTACTTGGGAGGCTGAGGCAGGAGAATCGCTTGAACTCAGGAGGTGAAGGTTTCAGTGAGCCAAGATTGTGCCATTGCACTTCAGCCTGGGGGACAAGAGCGAGAAGACTTCGTCTCAAAAAATCAATAAATTAAATAATAATTTTAATATCAATAACAAACTGGAAAATATAGAGGCATCATTTTTGTATTTAACTGAAGTTGTTATGAGATTAAAACATATGTTTTAACTTTAAGATGTATGTAATCTCCAGATTTCAAGATGATGACAAAGATAATATTTATAGAAAGTATTCAAAATAAAATACAAAATAATCAAAACAAGCCAGTATGAAATTAAATGAAAATTTAAAAAGAAGGCTGGGTGCAGTGGCTCATGCCTGTAATTCTAGCAATTTCGGAGGCCGAGGTGGCAGATTACCTGAGGTCAGGTGTTCGAGACCAGCCTGGCCAACATGGTGAAACACTGTCTCTACTAACAATACAAAAATTAGCCAGGAGTGGTGGCAGGCATCTGTAATCTCAGCTACTTGGGAGGCTGAGGCAGGAGAATCATTTGAACCTGGCATGTAGAAGTTGCAGTGAGTGGAGATTGTGCCATTGCACTCCAGCCTGGGGGGCAAGCATGAGACTTTGTCTCAAAAAAAAAAAAGGAAAACAGGAAATGACAAAAATATAACTACTACAAACACACAAAACAATAACAATATAACTGGTAATTACAACTTCATTTTTTTTTTTTTGAACTGGAGTTTTGCCCTTGTTACCCAGGCTGGAGTGCAATGGCATGATCTTGGCTCACAGCAACCTCTGCCTCCCGGGTTCAAGAGATTCTTCTGCCTTAGCCTCCCAAGGAGCTGGGATTACAGGCATGAACCACCACGACCATCTAATTTGGTATTTTTAGTAGAGACTGTGTTTCTCCATGTTGGTAGGGCTGGTTTTGGACTCCTGACCTCATGTGATCTGCCCATCTTGGCCTCCCAAAGTGCTGGGATTACACGCCTGAGCCACCTCTCCTGGCCCCTACAACTTCATTTCTTTAAGCAATCATTTTAAACATAAATTAATTAAACTACTTAATAAAGTAAAATGCAATCTTAGGACTTTGGAAGGCAAAAGTAGGCTGGTCACTTGATCCCAGGAGTTTAAGACCATCGTGGGCAACGTGACAAAACTCTATCTCTTCAAAAAATACAAAAAAGCTAGCTGGGTGTGACGCACATACTTGTAAGCCAGCTACTTGAGAGGCTGAAATGAGTGGATCATCTGAGTTTGGTAGGTTCAGGCAGCAGTGACTCATGCAAATCAGCCTGGTTGAGAGAGTTAAACCCTATCTCAAAAATAAAGGAGGCCAGGTGCAGTGGCTCATGCCTGTAATCCCAGCATTTTGAGAGGCTGAGGTAGGAATATCACACGAAGTCAGTAGTTGAAGACCAGCCTGGCCATGAGGGTGAAACCCTGTTTCTACCAAAAATACAAAAAATTGGCCAGGCATGCTGGCAGGCACCTGTAATCCCAGCTACTTGGGAGGCTGAGGCAGGAGAATCACTTGAACCCAGGAGCCACAGGTTACAGTGAACTGAGATTGCACCATTGTACTCCAGCCTGGTCAACAAGAGTGAAACTCCATCTCAAAATAAATAAACATATATATAAATAAATAAAATTATGTAAAGGAAAAGACATAGAATGCCTTAGTGGTTTTTTAAAAAGCTTTCTGTATGGTGCCTACAAGAGAGTCATTTTAGCATTCATTCAAATAGGATGAAAGTAACGGAAGAAAAAAAGTATATTCAATGAAAATAGTAACCCCAATTGAGTGAGGCGGTCATAATTATATTAGATATAATACGCATTAAGCCAAGTACTACCATGAGACAAAGGTTGATATTATATTATTGTAAAGTGAGTTGATTTACCAGGAATCTGTAACTATAATATTTATCTATCTATATGTATGTGTCTATATAACATCAGGGCTCCAAAATATATAAAGTAAATATTGACAAAACTGAAGCAAGACATACATAGCAACACAATAATTGTAGACATCAATACCCCATTTTCAATACCAGAAAATACAGATAAAGAAACAGAAAATGTAGACAACATTACAGACTATATTAATTATTTTGCATATAGAGGAATAATTGAGAATACATAATTTAAAAAGGAAAAAGGCTTATTTGGCTCACACTTTGGCAGACTGTATAAGAAGTGTGTGCCAGCATCTGCTTCTGGTGAGGTTCTCAAAAAACTTACAATCATGGTAGAAGGTAAAGAGTAACTGGACTTATTATATGGTATGAGACAAAGCAATTGTAAGGTGAAGGAGCCAGCTTCCTTTAATGAACCAGCTCTCATTTGAATTAATAGAGTGCAAACTTTTTGGTTACCAAGAGGATGTACCAAGCCATTCATGAGAAATTTGCCCTCGTGACACAAACATGTCCCACCAGGTCCCACATTCAACATTGAGGATTTATATTGCAGCATGAGGTTTGGACAACATGGACATCCAAACTGTATTATAGACCATCTAGGCTTCACAGACACACACAAAACGCTCCAGTCAAAACCAAGATGATACACAATATTCTTATTTGCATCTGGTGTATTCTGTTATGACATATACCAAGTTTTATTAAATTTAAAAATACTGACTGGGTGCAGTGGCTCTTGCCTATAATCCTAACACTTTGGGAGACCGAGGTTAGAGGATGCATTGGGGCCAAAAGTTTGAGACTAGTCTGGGCAATATAGTCAGATCCAAACACTACAAACAAGCAAATAATTAGCCAGATGTGGTAGTGCATGTCTGTAGTCCTAGCTACTCAGAAAACTGAGGTAAAAAGATCACTTGAGCCCAGGAGGCTGAGGCTACAGTGGGCCAAACTTATGCTACTACACTCCATCCTGTGTGATGGTAAAAATCTTATCTTAAAACAACAACAGCCATTATTTTAAAAAGATTAAAATTTTGTATAAGTTGCTGGCTCTTTAAAGTTTACAGAGGAAACAGAGGGCAGCAATGTCTGAATAAGTCTGTATTTAGAAAACAACTTGTACACATTTACTCATGCAATGTTCATTAAGCAGGTACTGTGTGCTCAAGAGTATGATACAGAGCACAGCACTGGGAATAACATTATGTAATTCTCATAACACCCTGGGAGCTTGTACTAAGGTTTTAATAAATTTCAGTATTTATATAAAAGGCCCAGCATTTTTATTTCTTCTTGCATTTCCCTATCATCAAAATTTTAAAAAACTATCAAGAATAAAAGCTAAATAGAGACAGATATAAGAGATATAAAAAGGTAGAGTTTAATGTAGTTTAGAGAAAATTTCATTCTGTCTATATTTACTTTTTTGTGACTTGTGGAGCAACTACTGGATATGCAGGAATAGAAAACAAGTTCCTAAATAGAATGTTTCTGCAAATAGTGGTTTTCATAGAAAATTTAAAAACTAAGACCCTACAATACATACTTTATTTTTCTCATTTATCTGCTTTTGGGTTTCAGGAAATTGTTAGCACCAGCTCTAGAAAGGCAGCAGGATTCACCAGCTGAAACTCTGATCTCTTCTAATCAGTTCTGTGAGGCAAGACTCCAGGGTAGGGTCAGAACTAAATAAGGCCTCCAGAAAAGGTCAATCTGAAAGAACTGGGCCAGGAAGTAAACCCTATGTAGAATTCTGTTCTCTATGTCATTGGGAGATTTCCGTTTTCTTTTTTCTAATCTTACCTAAAAGAAACTTAAATCCCAGAGTCTGTAATTTTAATCTTTTCTAGCCAATGCCCTGTCAACTTTATACTACATGATAATATGCAATTTAAACAAATCCCTTCAGTTTTTCTAGGGTAATTTTATTAGAAAATAAATACATACACTTAACAAGGTGAAAGAATAAAAATTATATGGCCCAGTGCGGTGGCTCATGCCTGTAATCCCAGCACTTTGGGAGGCTTTGGCAGGTGGATCATGAGGTCAGGAGTTCAAGACCAGCCTGACTGAGATGGTGAAACCTCGTCTCTACTAAAAATACAAAAATTAGCCGGGTGCGGTGGCAGGCACCTGTAATCCCAGTTACTTGAGTGGCTGAGGAAGGAGAATTGCTTGAACCCGAGTGGCAGAGGTTGCAGTGAGCTGAGATCACACCACTAAACTCCAGCCTGTATGACAAATTGAGATTCCATCTCCAAAAAAAAAAAAGAAAGAAAAGAAATTAAAATTATAATAACAATTCTTCTGTTCATAAATATCCCTTCAGCTGTGGACTTCAGAAGTCACAACAATATAAAGAAAGTGGCAAATAAAGCCCAAGATTTTGGACACATCTATTTGTTGTACCAACCATATGATGCATAATTCAATTATTTATCCAGTTGCTAGTCTAGACTGAAAGTTTCTGGATTGTTGGAACCATGACTGCTTCATGTATTTTTTTAATGGCCATATAAATTGGAAGCTACTAGTTTATCTGTTTGGGTCTCCAGATCTTCTCCTTGTTTATCATCCCAGTACCAGGAAACTAGAGAAACTCATCTGGGTACCAACCAAAGACATCTTTTATATGAGGGGATGAACAAACACAGGATGACTCATTTCTCTTACACTGAGACAGAAGCAGAAGTAATCACTCTTGTCTGCTCTGGACATCCTCAAATGCTTCAAAGACACCTAGGTGACTGAGAGAATTCCCATTGACCTGGGGCTGATGGCCCAGTGATAAGCCAGGTTGGAGAGACTCAGGCCGATTCTAAATAAAAAATGGAACTGCCTTGGTGGAGCTCAAAAACCTGGATCACCCGTCCTGATTTGCTAGCTCTTGGGTAAAAGAAAGAACAAAAATGCTCTACTCCAGTATCACATTTTACAGGTAAATTTAGTTGTGATCATGGTTCTGGATACTTTGTGGCCTCGATCTCTCATGCCTAAGATGCTTATTTACACTTACAGATTCTGCCATCACATTCTATTTCCTCCTGGATCCTCTCACATCACTGTAGCAGGGCAATGAACAAAATGTGAAAAATCTCAAAATGCCACACTCCCAAATGGGAGCTTAAGATGTCAAGACTGACATCTCACAGTGCAGAAAATGCCTTTTGTTAGTTTTCTGTACATCTCCGTCCAAAGTCCAGACCTTTTTTGTAAATTCCAGGCAGAGGGCAGACCTTATCTGCAGATTCTAGGTAGGATCAACCTGGCTCTGCATCCTATGGTGTTACAGTAAGTGGAGTACAAAGGAGGGATCCCCTCATAGAGGCTGCTCTAGCACATTCTAAATAAGTCTAAATGGAAAAAAAAAAAGCTGATGTAACATGAATGTAAGTAGACAGTTTATTTGGGTCAACTTTAGATTATAAACTGGGAGCAAATATTCAAGTTGCCTTAAATCTACACTTTGATTAGCAGCAGTTACAAGAAGATTTGTAAAGACAACAAGAGAAAGAGAGAGAGTGGGCTGACACAAAGTTGTTTTTCAGAAAATTTTATTTATTTACAGAAATGACTTTGATTATTGATTAGAAATATATGGTTATGGTTTAGGGTATGGGATATAGGGTCCAAGGCAGCATTATTAGTTTATTTTATGGCTACTTGTGGCAATAGTGAACAGTTTCAAGAGATAAATACATAGTTCAAAGGGGGGAGAAAGACATAACTGCACTTTCATTTTAATGTCTGAGTTTGATAACCAAAAGAACTTGCATTTTTCAGATAAACGTTTTTTATTTCCCAATCTCAAGACTGGGATTCAAAATTTGGAGCTGCAGATTTAGGGCCTGAATGTCTGAAGTAGCAGCACGTGTTACCTGCAAATTTGTGAGCATTTTAGCAAGAGGAGGAAGAAGAAAGTAGAGATCCTCTTGTCTACATGTCTACTCAATGCACACGTTACTTTAATTGGATTTGTGGGTCCCATGATCTCTGAATCAGTTTCAGATCTGAAGATACAAGAGTCAGTGAAAGAGGTAAAATGACTGATTACTGTATTGTGAAATTTATAGAAATCTGATCTAGCCTCTCTAGAAGTGACTGTAGAGGACTATAGATACCAAATAGGCAGAGACACAATTCTTCCTGCATATTTATGGGACAGCATGCACTGTGCTGCACAACTGTGAGTTCACTAGAAGCCTGAGAGGGAGTCTCCTCTGGAGTAAATTCTGGTTGGCACCTTATGTGTTTATATTATGTCTGGTAATTCTAGACAGTGTTTTGAAACAATAATTAAAAGAAAAGTTTTCTCCATCCCCAGAAGAATGCCACAATAGAACAGAAAGAAAATGGTTTTATTACACAATTAAACTTGAATGTGACATGCATCATAGTCAATCTGCTTAACAGACTGCAATAATAAAAAGACGGACATCATAATTAGTCCACAAGTAGAATTTACAGCACCATGTCATACATAGTTCATTCTAAATTCACCTGGAGATTGAAGAGGTCATCTGTGTATGCTAATTGCTTATATTCAATGATAAATAATCTTTTCACATCTTCATAACAGGAGGTAGTTTAGCACCTTGAAGCCAGGTACCTGATGAAGCTAGGCTTTCACTCTGCTACAAAAATGGTTGAATAGGGTTCTATGTTTTTGGCTATTTATATTTTAGAGCAGTGGTTCTGTACTCCCTGGCACTGGGCTACAGCACTCCTGCTTGATTTCACCTGGTTGCTAGTGTCCTCTTGACTTCTACCATCTGTCACTGAGGAACAGCCCAGAGCACAGCTCACATTTTATGTGAAGTCTATTTGCCACAGCAGCACTCTAGTGTCACATCAGAGAGGGAAGCCTGAGCTGCAGGAGGAGAGCCTGCAGGCCTCCTGGGTAGAATGACACATTCACAATAATGGAAATGAGAGCAGTGTTTCAGCCCATTTCTACTTATAATGGTGACCAGGGAAAAATACTGCTGATTTTCCAGCATGAATCCAGATAGAGATAGCTCCAGAAGTTCTCACTGTGACAGCCCAGCTTATTCCAAAATCAAGGGTTATGAATAAGGCTTCTGAAACAGAGACCCAAAGCACTGGAGAGAAAAACAGATCTCCGTCGGAGCAAGATGGTTCTGAGAGAAAAAAGTTAAAATGATCTTAAGAAAAATCTCAGACTACATATAACATTGATTATGTCAGATAGAAAATATTCCCCTAAAAGAAATTTCTCTCTAAACACCTAAAGTGTACAGCTACTCTCAACATGAGAAACATGAGCATTATGAAGAAAGGGGGCAGATTTTCAGAAGAATTTTATAAAGTTTCTTTTCTATCTCTGCTGTTCTCTCATCTCCTAGCCATTGAATGGGGGTTCTACGTTGAAATATATTTGACAACTTCCAACAACACTTTCTGATGAAGAAATAGAATCTGACTGTGTTCATATAGTGGAATATGTTAGAACTTGCAACACAGCTAACTGAAGAGCTATTATGGTTTTTGCATGGCCACATCACCTAACCTTATTTGTCCTGCAATAGCAGCATACCAATTTAGTGAAATAAAATATACTAAAATAGTGTTTACTCAAAATTATCTCTATTGAATAAAGTAACAAACATGTCACACTAATATCTACTTACTGTAACAATTTGGTAGTAAAGTTCCTTTGGATATTAAATATAAATATCAAAGTATAAATAATTTTAATGAACTAGTGTTAATGTAGATAGCATTTAAAAAATTAAAACTTCAGTTAAAACATTTTATATTTCAAAAGTATAAATAACAATATTAAAATAACCATTTAAGTGATTCATTCAAAGTAAGTAGTGCAGCTTTGTATTGGTACTATTGTAGAAAATACTGTTTCTGGCTTATGCCTGTAATCCCAGCACTTAAGAGGCTGAGGAGGGTGGATCACCTGAGGTCAAGAGTTCAAGATCAAGGTGGTGAACATGGTAACACCCCATTTCTACTATAAATACAAAAACTTAGTCATGCAGGGTGAGGCATGCGTATAATTCCAGCTACTTGGGAGGCTGAGGCAGGAGAATCACTTCAACCTGGGAGGCAGTGGTTGCAGTGAGCTGAGATCACACCACTGCACTCCAGCCTGGGCAACAGAGTGAGACTCTGTCTCAAAATAAAAGAGAAAATACAGTTTAATGTACATGAATGCAGATTGTCCACAAACATTACACATAATTATGCTAATTGTTATGAAGTAATAAATAGAAAGCAAGATACAACTACAGACTCCACTGTTTAGTTTATACCCTGAACTGTTTTTGCTTTTGCAGTATAAGCACTTCAGCCTGCAAATATTGGATAATTACCTTGGATTTTCAGGTTTCTGTCAAAGAAATATAGTATCTTTTAGTCTTTATCATTCTGTATTGCTAAATTTAATCTTATCTTTGTGCTAAGCTTCTGTGTGCTCTTTTTTTTAATTATTATTATACTTTAAGTTTTAGGATACATGTGCACAATGTGCAGGTTAGTTACATGTGTATACACGTGCCATGCTGGTGTGCTGCACCCATTAACTCGTCATTTAGCATTTGGTATATCTCCTAATGCTATCCCTCCCCCCTCCCCCCTCTGTGTGCTCTTAAAATGAGCTCTTATCTAAACAAATCTGTCTACTTTAAAGGACTAAAAATGAAAAAAATAAACTTTTCAGAACCGAAAACAAAGCAATAAATCTGAATTATCAGATAATCTGAAGACAGAAAAAATGACAAAAGTCTTATTTAGTTGTTAATATGATTTACATATATTTCCAAAAGCAGAGAAAAATATCTATATATAATCTAGATCCCTCAACAAAAGAGGGAATAGCAAAACTTTTTTTGGAACTTTTTTTTTTTTGTTTGTTTGTTTCGAGACGGAGTCTCGCTCTGTCGCCCAGGCTGGAGTGCAGTGGCGCGATCTCAGCTCACTGCCGGCTCCGCCTCCCGGGTTCACGCCATTCTCCTGCCTCAGCCTCCCGAGTAGCTGGGACTACAGGCGGCCGCCACCATGCCTGGCTAATTTTTTTGTACTTTTAGTAGAGACGGGGTTTCATCGTGTTAGCCAGGATGGTCTCGACCTCCTGACCTCGTGATCCACCCTCCTCGGCCTCCCAAAGTGCTGGGATTACAGGCTTGAGCCACCGCGCCCGGCCTTTTTTCAGAACTTTTTAATGAGTTTTTGAACCCTTGGACATCTGAAATTTGCACACTGTATGCACTTGAAAGAAGGTTTATGGGGAAGCTGGGTGGGGTGGCTCATGCCTGTAATCCCAACACTTTGGGAGACCAAGGCAGTCAGATCACGAGGTTTGGTGGTCGAGACCATCCTGGCTAACACGGTGAAACCGCATCTCTACTAAAAATACAAAAAATTAGCCAGGCGTGGTGGTGGGCACCTGTAGTCCCAGATACTCGGGAGGCTGAGGAAGGAGAATGGCCTGAACCCGGGAGGCAGGGCTTGCAGTGAGCCGAGATCGCGCCACTGCACTCCAGCCTGGTCAACCGAGCGAGACACTGTCTCGAAAAATAAAAAATAAAAAATAAATTAAAAAAAGAAGGTTTATGGGGAAAAAAAACCCAGAAGATAAAAAGATATTACATAAAATCCATAAATACTCAAGACCAATTAAACAGAATAGAGAGCCCAGAAATAATGCCACCTTCCTACAACCATCAGATTTTTTACAAAGTTGACAAGAAGAATGTGGGAAGATTTTTCTCTGTAATAAATGGTGCTGGAATAATAGCTAACACTATGTAGAAGACAGAAACTTGACCCCTTCGTTGCACCACATACAAAAATCAACTCAAGATAAAATAAAGACTTAAATGAAAAACTTAAAATTATAAAGAAACCCTGCAAGATAACCTAGGAAATACCATTCTTGACACAGAAACAGGTAAAGACTTCATGATGAAACTACAAAAACCAACTGCAACAAAAGCAAAAATTGACAAATGGGACCTATTTGAACTTAAGAGCTTCTTCACAGGAAAGGAAACTATGAATAGAGCAAACAGACAACCTACAGAGTAAGAGAAAATAGTTGCAAATTTTGCCTCTTACAAAGGCCTAATATACACAATTTATTAAGAACTGAAATGAGTTTAGAAGAAAAAACCAAGAAACCTCATTAAAAAGTAGGCAAAAAATATGAACGGATGCTTTTCAAAAGACATACATGTGGCTAACAAACATTATGAAAAAAAGGTCACTGCTAATCATTAGAGAAATTAAAAGAAAAACACAATGAGAAACCACCTCACTCACACACGTCAGAATGGCTATTTTTAAAAAGTCAAAAAATAACAGATGCTGGCAAAGTTGCAGAGAAAAAGGAATGCTTATACTCTCCTGGTGGGGGTGTAAATTAGTTCAACAACTTAAAAAGCAGTGTGGCGATTCCTCACAGAACTAAAAACAGAATTATCATCTGATCCAGGAGCCTCAAAACTGGGTATATACCCAAAGAAATATAAATGTTTATATTATAAAGACACATCCACATGCATGTTCACTGCAGCACTATTCACAATAGCAAAGACACGGACAGGCCCTGAATGCTTATCAGTGGTAGACTGGATAAAGAAAATATAATATGGTCAGATGCGGTGGCTCATGCCTGTAATCCCAGCACTTTGGGAGGCCACAGCAGGTGGATTGCCTGAGCTTAGAAGTTCGAGACCAACCTGGGCAACATGGCAAAATCCTGTCTCCACGGAAAATACAAAAAGAAAAATTGGCAAGGCATGGTAACACACACGTTTAGTCCCAAGGTTGAGGCTAAAGTAAGCCAATATCATGCCATGGCACTCTGGCCTGGGCAATAAATGAAACCCTGTCTCCAAAAATAAAATAAAATAAAAGATTTAGTAAAAACAAAATATGGTACATAAATATCATGGAATACTCTGTAGCCATTAAAAAATAATTATCATGTCCTTTGCAAGAACATAGATGAAGCTGGAGACCATTATTCTTACAAAACTAATGCAAAGTCTGGGCGCGGTGGCTCACACCGGTAATCCCAGCACTTTGGGAGGCGGAGGCGGGCTAATCACCGGAGGTTGGGAGATTAAGACCAGACTGATCAACGTGGAGAAACCCCGTCTTTACTAAAAATACAAAATTAGCCAAGCGTGGTGGTGCGTGCCTGTAATCTCAGCTACTTGGAAGGTTGAGGCAGGAGAATCCCTTGATCCCCGGAGGTGAAAGTTGCGGTGCGCTGAGATGGCACCACTGCACTCCAGCCTGAGAAACAAGAGCAAAACTCTGTCTCAAAAAAACCAAACAACTGGGCCGGGTGCGGTGGCTCATGCCTGTAATTCCAGCAGCTTGGGGGGCCCTGAGGAGGGTGGATCACGAGGTCAGGAGATCGAGACCATCCTGGCTAACACGGTGAAACCCCGTCTCTACTAAAAGCACAAAAAATTAGCCGGGCGTGGTGGCGGGCGCCTGTAGTCCCAGCTACTCCGGAGGCTGAGGGAGGAGAATGGCGTGAACCTGGGAGGCGGAGCTTTCAGTGAGCAGAGATCGCGCCACTGCACTCCAGCCTGGGTGACAGAGCGAGACTCGGTTTCAAAAAAAAAGGACAAAACAGCACAACAACAACAAAAACAGAAAACTAATGCAGAAACAGAAAACCAAATGCATGCTATTATTTTTAAGTAAGAGCTAAGTAATAAGAACACATGAACACAAAAAGGAGAACAATGGACACTGAGGCCTAGTTGAGGGTGGAGGGTGGGAGGACTCAGAGGATCAGAAAACATACCTGTTTGGTGCTATGGGTAGTACCTCAGTGACAAAATAATCTGCACACCAAACCCTCATGACATAATTTTAGCTATATAACAAACCTACATGTGTACACCAAACCAGAAATAAAAGCTAAAAGAAAAAAAAAAATCCCTGCGTGGGAGAGTACAATGCAGGTGTATGAACTGATTTTGGCTACAGATAGTGGCCCAGGTGGAAATGTACTCTGATTGATTTCGGTGTGCATGCAGGCAGATGAGATTAAACAGGTGGCTCAGAACCTTAGGGTGGTGGAGAAAACAGGTTGCTGCTGCAGATTCAGTGTCTGGGGGTGGGGATATGCCAGGAGACTTGTAGAGACTTGTGGGTTCTTGGCAAGAAACACCTGGATCAAAAATGCCATGGTGGCCAGGTGCCATGGCTCACCCCTGTAATCCCAGCACTTTGGGAGGCCGAGACAGATGGATCACCTGAGGTCAGGAGTTTGAGGACAGGAATTCAAGACCAGCATGGTGGAAGGCGCCTGTAAACCCAGTTACTCGGGAGGCTGAGGCAGGAGGATCACTTGAACTCAGGAGGCAGAGGTTGCAGTGAGCCAAGATCGTGCCACTGCACACCAGCCTGGGCAACAAGAGTGAAACTCTGTCTCAAAAAAATAAATAAATAAATAAAAATACAAAAAATTAGCCAGGTGTGGTGGTACACACCTGTAGTCCCAGCTACTCCGGAGGCTGGGGCAGGAGAATCACTTGAACCTAGTAGGCAGAGATTGTGTAATGGCCTAAGGCGTTCACCTTGCCCTTTGCCTAGACAGAGCCCATTCATCAATACAGGAGAATTTGTGGAGAAAATATTAAACGTTAAATTTCAACTCAATTGAACATGGACACAAACAATGGTTACCAAGTCCTGGGACAGGTTATGTGAGCCCCTTGAGGCATTCATCCAGCACTATTTTTGAGAAATCTCTGTTTGAAATGCTTGTTCCTTGGTGCCATAAAGAAATAGCACTTGAACATAAATTTAATTTACTCAGTAAGGCCATTTTTACTTTCTGCAGAAAGGGTACACTTACCAGCAGTTTTGCCATGAGTGTACACCGAACAAAGGAGACAGGGTCACTTATAACCAGATGCATCAACTCTACTCCTGTGTTGTTTTCACTGGCTGGGACTGGACCTCACATTCTGTATTTGTCTCGATTGGCTAGCAATGTAGAACTTTTTAAAAGAGGCAAACGCAGAGGAGAACAGAGGAAGGAGGAAGTAACTTGTAGAATGCTGAGAAAGGTAAAAACACCTTCAAATAAGGAAGAGGAACAGGCTATGACCTAATGCTTGCTTGGACCAGTATAAACATGCCAGAGCAAATATTTAGGCTAAACAGTGGGAGCTAAGAACATAAAGTACATTGATTTCTTTATTATGGCTAGCAGATATTTAAGAATATTAGCACAGGTCTTTCAATACATTTTACTTCTAAGAGAAGTTACTATTTACTCCTAATTAGATGGGGAGGAAAGTCTTTGAAGAGAAACCTCTACTTTACTTTTACATCTCTATTTTAATCTATTCCTCTACGTTAGTTATTGAAAAACAATAGACAATTGCAAAAAAACAAGTTCACCTATTTGTGTTCCTGGAGCCCATTCACAAAGGGCCCTCGTGACTGGGCCTCATGCCAAACAAGTTGTTACAAAAAGAGCTAGGGCCGCAGACTGCCCTAGCTTCAGGAGACCTCTCCTCATCTGTGCACGGTTGAGTGTCCGACTCTGGAGCCCAGGCTATCACTTCCCGGTGTGGTGGTGAATCCTCCATAGTCTGATGAGTGTTTTTGTCTGACTCTGGAGCCCATACTGTTGCTTCCTGGTCTGGTGAGGAATCCTCCATAGTCTGGTGAGTGTAAACATACACACACACACACACACACACATATATACACACACATATATGTACATATACGTATATACATATATGTATATACGTATATGTATATATACATATATACGTATGTGCATATATACATATATACGTATATACGTATGTGCATATATACATATATAGGTATATATACATATATGTACATATACATATATACATATACATATATACATATATACATATATACATAATACATATATACATATATACATATATACATAATACATATATACATATATACATATACGTGTGTGTGGTCATGTGTGTGTATATATGTGTGTGTGTGTGTATATATATCACTTTTCCCTTCTCCCCTTTCCATTGCAATTTTCTTATTATATCAATTTGCTTATTATATCTGCATTGCCATTTACATAAGATAAAGCTTCTTTACCCTTAAAGGTATTGTGTGTGTGTCTTTCTTTCTCCCCTCATGAGTTTCCTGAACAGAACACCATATTTTTCAGAGGCTTTATTTGTTTCTTATTATTCTTTTTTCCTTAATCTTGCCTGCATGCCTAATTTTGACAAGGTGCTATTCAAACTCTGATATCCTTTCTTCTGCTTGGTGAATTCGGCTTCAAATACTTTTGTATCCTTCATGAAGCATAAAACAAAAACTAACTGGGCCTTTGGCCAGGCATGATGGCTCAAGCCTGTAATCCCAGCACTTTGGGAGGTCATGGTGGGTGGATCACGAGGTCAGGAGTTTAAGACCAGCCTGGCCAAGATAGTGAAACCCCATCTCTACTAAAAATAGAAAAGTTAGCCAGGCATGGTGGTGGAGGCCTGCGTCAGGCCTCTGAGCCCAAGCTAAGTCATTGTATCCCCTGTGATTTGCACGTATACATCCAGATGGCCTGAAGCAAGTGAAGAATCACAAAAGAGAAAATGGCCGGTTCCTGCCTTAACTGGTGACATTATCTTGTGAAATTCCTTCTCTTCGTTCAGAGGCTTCCCAACTGAGCACCTTGTTACCCCCGCCCCTGCCCACAAGAGAAAAACCCCCTTTGACTGTAATTTTCCACTACCCACCCAAATCCTATAAAATGGCCCCACCCCTATCTCCTTTTGCTGACTCCATTTTCAGACGCAGCCCACCTGAACCCAGGTGATTAAAAAGCTTTATTGCTCACACAAAGCCTGTTTGGTGGTCTCTTCACATGGACGCATGTGAAAGCCTGTAATCTCAGATACTCAGGAGGCTGAGGCAGAGAATTGCTTGAACCTGGGAGGCGGAGGTTGCAGTGAGCCGAGATCGTACCACTGCACTCCAGACTGGGCAAAAGAATGAGACTCTGTCTCAAAAAAACAAAACAAAACAAAAACAGAATACAGAAGATCTTTCTTCCATTTTGACTGTAGAAAATGAATGTATTTCCACTGGAAAATGTGGTAGATAATTGATGAGTAACATAGATTCGTCAAACTATCCGTTTCTCTTTTTGCAGGGTAAATTTGTGACAGTGACTATCTCGGTTCTGTATCTTGTCTTGATTTCTTAGTTTAATGCTAAATTATATGTGGTGAAACGTGGTACTGTTAGATATGAGTTCTAAATGTCTTTTCAAAGAGTCAATATGTCAGTATGTTCAATTCTTTGCCTTCTACTTATAAACTTAACTTCCTCGTAAAGCAAACTTTTTCAATTACCTGCTCCACCTGACTCATTTCAATCACCTGCTCCAACCTGACTCATTCCCATTACCTGCTACCTGCTCTGCCCTGACTCATTTTTTCCCCACATAACCATTTTTTTTCCCGCCAAACCACTCACCCAATCACTGTCTTTAAATTAGCTAAGTGGAATTAGTTTAGCCTATGCAGTCTAACCCTAGCCAATAGGGGAACGACACAGCAACAGGGGCCATGCGCGTCAGGGATAAGAACCCCTTTCCCTCCCTTGTCCAGGTGTGCACTCACCATTGCTCCATTTGTAAAGGCACACCCTTCTATAGAATTACCTTGCCTTGCTGAGAATTAAAAAGAAAATTTTATATTCGAGTGCTATTTCTTTTGCGGCACAGAAATTTTATTTATAACAATTTGGGGGTTCGCTTGTGATTACATTCCCCTCCAGGGGTGGTCTCTGGTTCTCTCTCATGAGGAGGTTTGCCCTGCCCCCTTGTGGTGGCCTCAGGGGTGAGAAATCCAGACCCACTCAGTGGGAAAAATAACCGGAGCTCTCAGCAACGAGGGGAAAAAAAAACTGGCCAGTAACCTAGCTTAAAGGATCCTCATATACTGTGGCAACAACTCTGTGCACAGACCCAGGAAGGAGAAGCTGCGGGAGCCAGAAAAGTACTTCATTGGTGGTCAAATTCTGGAGAGCTAAATGTGTTTGTGCGTGATTGATCACAAACAACCCTGCTTGCGATGTTGTTCGTGTGGATGGTGACAAGTCCTACTGCTGAATGGAGTGAGTGGGTCCTCTCTGTGGTTCCGTAGCTACCTCATATGACTTAGGGTGGATCCTGCCATGAGATTTATTCTGACATGCCAACACTAAGAGGGGCCTAATTCTCCCTTGGGGGAGCAGCCAGAGAGAACAACACGAATGGGAAGTGCGCAAGGAAAGAGGGGGAAAGGGAGGAAACAGGTTAACTTTCTGGGACAGGCAAGGAGAGACATTTCTGGTGTCAGGGGTTGAGACTTCCGGGACAGGCAAGGTGAGACAGCCCTGGTTTGAGGGGTTGAGGCTTCTGCTAATTTCAAGGGTTGAACCTCACACAACCCCCCTTTCCTTTTATCTTGGGGGAAGAAAGAGTAGCTCCACTCCCGCTGGTCCCTCCCCTAGGGGAAGGAGAAGGAGAGGACAGAACAGCAGCATAAGCATCTGGGAGAGGCACGGAAAGACCAGAAGAGAGATGAGACAGAGAGAAAGACAGAGGGGAAAGAGAGAGAAAGAGAGGCAGAGAGAGAGAGAGGAAGAGACAGAGACAAAGAGGGAGTCAGAGAGAGAGACAGAAAGTCAAAGAGAGAAAGAAAGAAGTAGTAAAGAAAAAACAGTGTACCCTATTTCTTTAAAAGCCAGGGTAAATTTAAAGCCTATAATTGATAATTGAAGGTCTTCTCCGTGACTCTATAACACTCTAATACCACCTTGTTGTCAGTGTAAACAAGGGCGCAGCCCGAAAGCACTGAGGTCACTGACAACCTGTAGCCTTCCTATCAAAAATCCTTAACCCAGAAACCTGTGGATGAAGGTAATTCATTCAATCTGTAGTGACAACTGCTTTGCCCGTAATGCCCAACCTTGTTTTTACTAACCCTGTTTTTAGACTCCCCCTTTTTCTCCCTTAATCACCTAGCCTTGTTTCCACATGAATAAAACCCTCCCTGGGCCAGGTGCGGTGGCTCACGCCTGCAATCCCAGCACTTTGGGAGGCCTAGGTGGGCGGATCACGAGGTCAGGAGATCGAGACCATCCTGGCTAACATGGTGAAACCCCGTCTCTACTAAAAATACAAAAAATTAGCCAGGCGTGGTGGTGGGCACTTGTAGTCCCAGCTACTGGGGAGGCTGAGGCAGGAGAATGGCATGAACCCGGGAGGTGGAGCTTGCAGTGAGCCGAGATCACACCACTGCACTCCAGCCTGGGCAACAGAGCCAGACTCCGTCTCAAACAAACAAACAAACAAACCAAAAACTCTCCCTTAGCTGAGAAAGCTAGACAAACTCCATCTGGCCCCCTTGATTTATAAGACGTTAAGGACTCCTTACCCACCCCCTTCTTCAAGGAGTTAACTTGTGTAAACAGATTCTCAACATATCAAAAGAGTCCAATTAACTGATAAGGTACTGAAACAAACAATGTATGAAGTTCCCAGGATCTTGCTCAAAAGATAACACCACAAAGCCTTGAGTCTGTGTCCGGCATAGCACCCATATCTAACATCTTATGAAGGATTTAGAGCCCCCGCACCTGCTACCGTTGCTTTTCTGTAAACATTTGTCTTTTAAATTGTCTGTTTCTCTGTAATCATTTGTCCTTTTAATTTTTGCATGTTTTTACTTCTGTAGAATTGTTGCATTTGAGCTCCCCTCCCCTTCCTAAACCAAAGTATAAAAGAAAATCAAGCCCCCTCCTCATGGCCGAGAGAATTTTGAGTGTTAGTCATCTCTTTGGCCACAGGCTAAATAAAGGACTCTTAATTCATCTCAAAGTGTGGCGTTTTTCTAACTCGCTCGGGTATAACATTTGGAGGCCCCAGCGAGATATATTCCCCACCGGGTGAGAGCCGGGCTTTCTCCAGGCTCCCCCAGACAGATGGCTGGCTTATTGGGGGGTGCCACCTGAAAAATTTTTCCAGGTCCGTTAAAAGTGACCATCTTCCGGAGGAGAGCAGATTGACTACCGTGTGTTTGCCCACAAAATTCCACCTCTGAGTCCTCAACTTCTGACCCTGGGGTCAGGTAAGTCAGGCTTGACTTTGCCCTGGACTCAGTCCATATCCCAGGTGCTGGGGGACTGAGTCCTGGTTTCTGGCAGGCCAGTCTCTCTCTCTCTCTCTCTGTCTTTCTCTCTCTGTCTCATTAAAGACTAGTCTCACTCTCTGCTCTCTTTCTCACTCTCACTCTCCCTCTCCCTTTTTCTATTTCTCATCCTTCTCTTGTTCAGGTTTCTTGGAGATCTCCGGGAAAAAAAAAACAAACAAAACTGTTATAAACTCTGTGTGAATGGTGAGTGATTGGGTGATTGTGGAAGACAAGGGCTTGTGCTTGTCTTCCAGTTTGTAGCTCCATGGCGAAAGCTACACAGCTTGAGTGGGCCCTCACCTGTGGTTCCATGGTGACCTCGTAAGGCTTAAGAGGCATAGCTTGATCTGAGCCGGGGGTTTATACCAGCCTGCCAGTACTAAGAGGAGCCCAAGTCCCCCAAGGGGGAGTGGCCAGGTGGGCATCTGAATGATCCCATCATGGGACCCCCTCCCCTTGTCTGTCTAATAAAAACTGTCATAATTGTTTACATGCCCTAGGGCCAATTTTTTGTTTTATATTTATTGCTCTGCTCAGTGTCTATTGTCTTGTTCAGTGGTTGTCAAAGTTTTGTATGTCATGTCATTGATATTGCCCAAGACATCTGGGTAAGAACTTCTTCAAGGTCCTTAGTGTTGATTTTTTATCACAGGAGGTTAAATTTCTCATCAATCATTTAGGCTGGCCACAACAGTCCTGCCTTTTCTGTCAGAAACAAGTGAGGTGTTGTTACGGAAACGAGTGTGGAGAACATTCGCCTGATTGGGATTTCTGGCAGCGTGAAGGTTGCTGGTATTTAGATTGTCATACCCTACATCCAAGAGCTGGGCTGCCTCTAGGTTAAACTGGTGGTGGGTTGAAAATAGCCACCCTGCAGATTTCCTTGCTTACCTCTTTTGTCATACTGTAACTTTTCCCATGCCCTTAAATAGGACACTGTGTAGGGAAACCTACACCTGTACTGCTTTACTTCATTTAGATCCTTACTCTGTTCCTCTGTGGCTACTCTCCCACCTTAAAAATGATCCGAGTGGCCTCATCCCTGCCCCTTACCCTGTACATCTCATTTTCCAGTGCCACAGCAAGTTCAGCATCTCCAGGACTTGGCTCTGCTCTCACTCCTTAAACCCTTACAGAAAAAGGCTGAGTTTGAGCTATTTGCCTTTGAGTCATGGAGACACCAAAAGTATTTAGGGTACAGGTCCAGAGGAAGAGGGAGAACGCCTAGATCCAACTGACCCAGGAGACCTCAGGGCAGCCTCTAGTCCCCCTCCCTCAATCTTAAAGCTACTGTAATGTGGCAAGTGGTATTAGCTGTTGTGGTTTTTCTGCTCTTTCTGGTTATGTTGATTCTGTTCTTTCAGTACTCCAGCCCCCTAGGGAGTGAGTTTCTCTGTACATGCTGGGTTTAATATCTATTCTCAAATCTTAATAAATTGCCTTCAAAAAAAAAAAAAAAAAAAGAGGGAAACTCCTTCTCTGGCCTTGTAAGTGTTGGAGCCCTCTCCAATGTATGCCACAGAATTTTTCTCTCGGTTTCTCAGAGGATTATGGAGTCTGCCTTAAAAAAGGCAAGCTCCGGACACTCTGTGAAGTAGAATGGCCAAAGTTTGGAGTCGGGTGGCCCCGTGTAGGGTCACTGAAACTCACAATTGTCCAGGCTGTGTGGCAGGTTGTTACTGAAACTCCCAGCCACCCCGATCAGTTTCCCTACATTGATCAATGGCTGAGTTTGGTCAGGAGCCCCCCTCCATGGGTGCGCTCATGCACCATTCATAATTCTACCTCCAAGGTCATTCTGAGCCAGACCGCATTTTCACCTCGACCCTCAGCCAGTCTGACTTCCCTGTACTGCCTCCCTCTGAAGAAGAGGAGAGTCTCCCTCACCCAGTCCCGCTGCCTTACAACCAGCCTGCTCCCATAGAATCATCCTTTGTCTCCTCAACTACTTCCCCTGTAGGCTCACCGCCTATTGCTTCTTGACTGTGACCACGGTAGGAGGAAGTAGCCCCTCTACTACCACTGAGAGAGGCACAAGTCCCTCTGGGTGATGAGCGCTCATCTCCCTTCTTGGTTTATGTCCCTTTTTCTACTTCTGACTTGTTTAATTGGAAAACCCATAATCCTCCCTTCTCTGAAAAGCCCCAGGTTTTGACCTCTCTGATGGAGTCCGTACTCCGGACTCACCGGCCCATCTGGGATGATTGTCAAAAGCTCCTTTTAACCCTTTTCACCTCTGAAGTGAGGGAAGGTATCTGAAGAGAGGCCAAAAAGTACTTCCTCACATCAGCCAATAGGCCAGAGGAGGAAGCTAGAGACCTCCTTGAGGAGGTCTTTCCCTCTACCCGGCCTAATTGGGACCCAAATTCCTCAAGTGGAAGGAGAGCTTTGGATGATTTCCAGTGGTATATCCTCGTGATTATTAAGGGAGCTGTTCAGAAACCCATAAACTTGTCTAAGATGACTGAAGTTGTCCAGGGGCCTGATGAGTCACCAGGAGCATTTTTAGAACGCCTCCAGGAGGCTTATCAGATTTACACCCCTTTTGCCCCGGCGGCTCCTGAAAATAGCCGTGCTCTTAATTTGGCATTTGTGGCTCAGGCAGCCCCAGATGTTAAAAGAAAACTGCAAAAACTGGAGGGATTTGCTGGAATGCATATCAGTCAGCTTTTAGAAATAGCCCAAAAGGTTTTTGACAACTGAGAGTTTGAAAAACAAAAACAAGCAACATAGGCATCTGAAAAAGGTGCTGATAAAGTATTCAAAAGACAAGCAAAAATCTTAGTGATGGCTATCCAAGAGGGGAAAAAGAAAAGGCCCCCATCACAGAGAAATGGCCAGGGAACCTTGGGTTCCCACCATAAAGGTAAAGGAGTTGAACAGGCTCCTCTAGGAAAGGACCAATGTGCTTATTGCAAGCAGACTGGCAGTGGAAAAAGGAATGCCCACTACGACCAGAAGAAAAATCAGAAAAGAAAAAGTCCTCACCCTACCTGTAATGGAAGAGCCTGATGACTGAAGGGGCCAGGGCTCCCTCACTGTTGGCTCCCAGGAACCCATGGTAACTGCTACAGTGGGGGGCCAGCCTGTACGCTTCCTAGTAGATACCAGGGTGGAGCACTCGGTACTGTAGACCCCCTTGGGCAGTGTCTCAAATAAAAGTGACTGTACAAGTCACTGGAGCAACTGGAGCTATTCAAGAAGATCCTGTCACACACTCATGAGAAGTGAGCTTGGGACAGAAAAGAGTGACGCAGTCATTTCTTGTGGTTCCAGAGTGTCCTTTTCCTCTCCTTGGATGAGACCTGCTCCATAAGTTACAGGCCTCAATCTCTTTCTCAGCTCAATAGGCTCACCTCACACTAGGAAATACAGCTCCCTCCACTGCCCAATTTCTGCTAAGTACCCCTCTGTCGGAGGAATAGCTTTTAGTTTCACCATCACAATCACCGGAGGAGAATAATAATCCTCTTCTTTTGGACTTACAGACACTTTTTCCCTGAGTTTGGGCCGAGCCAAACCCTCCAGGACTGGCTAAACACCATTCACCAGTGGTTGTAGAACTCCTGGCCACTGTCATGCCAGTCCAGGTGAAATAATACCCCATGAGTCAGGGGGCAAGACAGGGGATTAATCCCCATATTTAATGACTGTTACAAGCTGGCATACTTACACCATGTCAGTCTGCTTGGAATGCTCCATTATTGCCAGTCCAGAAACCTGGAACAAATGATTACTGGCTGGTACAGGACTTAAGGGAAGTTAACAAATGGACTGTTACTGTCCATCCAACCGTCCCTAATCCTTATACTCTACTTAGCCTGCTCTCACCAGAACATACAGTATACACTGTCCTTGACCTAAAGGATGCTTTTTTTGCTATTCCTCTGGACCCCAAAAGCCAGCCGATCTTTGCATTTGAATGGGCAGATCCTAGCTCAGGGAACACTACCCAACTGACTTTGACTCAGTTACCTCAGGGTTTTAAAAACTCCCCCACCCTTTTTGGGGAGGCTCTCCAGCAAGATCTTGTACCATTCCGAGCTAGTCACCCTAACTGTACTCTTCTTCAGTACGTTGATGATCTTTTATTAGCTACTGGAACTATGGACAGTTGCCTGCAACATATGAGAGACCTACTTTACCTCCTTCAGGAGCTCAGGTATCAAGTCTCCACCAAAAAGGCCCAGCTCTGTCTTCCCAGAGTGTCTTACTTGGGATACGAGATAAACCAAGGAAAAAGGGCACTCACCAGTGCCCAGAAAGAAGCCATCCTATGAATCCCCGCTCCCACCACCAAGAGACAGGTACATGAATTCCTGGGGGCCATGGGATACTGCTGCCTCTGGATATTGGGGTCCACAGAGATTGCCAAGCCCCTGTACACTGCTACAGGAAGAAACGGCCCACTGGTTTGGACAGACACCGAAGAACAGGCTTTTCAAAACCTGAAAAAGGCATTAACTGAAGCCCCTGCTTTAGCCCTCCCAAATATCTCAAAGCATTTTCACCTGTTTGTCCATGAAAGCCAGGGAGTTTCTAAAGGGGTGCTTACTCAGACTTTAGGACCCTGGAGATGCCCAGTGGCCTATTTATCTAAGAGGCTGGATCCTGTGGCCTCTGGATGGCCAAGTTGTCTGCAAGCCATAGTGGCTAGAGCAATACTAGTCCAAGAGGCTGATAAGTTAACTCTGGGCCAAAATTTAACCCTTATGGCTCCTCATCCCATAGAGACTTTACTATGAAGTGCTCCTGGCAAATGGATGTCAAATGCTCACATCTTGCAGTATCAGAGTTTACTGTTAGATCAGCCTTGTTTGACTTTCTCCCCCACAAGGTGTTTAAATCCAGCTACACTACTCCCTGATCCAGACTCCACTACTCCTGTTCATGACTGTCAGGATCTGTTGGAAACTACCAAAACTGGCCAACCTGATCTTCAAGATGTGCCCCTAGAAAAGGCAGATGCCACTGTGTTCACAGATGGTAGCAGCTTCCTCGAGCAGGGAGAACGAAAAGCTGGTGCAGCTGTTACCATGGAGACAGACATGTTGTGGGCTTAGGCTTTACCAGCGAACACCTCAGCACAAAAAGCTGAATTGATTGCCCTCACTCAGGCTCTCCAATGGGGTAAGAATAAACGTATTAACATTTACACTGACAGCAGGTATGCCTTTGCTACTGTACATGTACATGGAGCCATCTACCAGGAGTGCAGGCTACTCACCTCAGCAGGAAAGACTCAAAAACAAAGAAGAAATTCTAGCCCTGCTTGAAGCCGTATGGCTCCCTCAGCAGGTGGCTGTAATCCACTGCAAAGGACATCAAAAAGAAAACACGGCCATTGCCCGTGGTAACCAGAGAGCTGATTCAGCAGCTCAGGACACAGCATGACTTTCAGGCACACCTCTAAACTTGCTACCCGCAGTTTCTTTTCCACAGCCAGATCTGCCTGACAATCCCACATACTCAACAGAAGAAGAAAAACTGGCTTCAGATGTTGGAGCAAATAAAAATCAGGAAGGTTGGTGGATTCTTCCTGACTCTAGAGTCTTCATATCCAGAACTCTTAGGAAAAGTTTAATCAGCCACCTACATTCTACCACCCATTTAGGAGGAGCAAAACTAGCCCAGCTCCTCTGGAGCCTTTTTAAGATCCCCCATCTTCAAAGCCTAACAGATCAAACAGCTTTCCAGAGCACAACCTGCACCCAGGTAAATGCCAAGCAAGGTCCTAAACCCAGCCCAGGCCACCATCTCTGAGGAAACTCACCAGGAGGAAAATGGGAAATTGACTTTACAGAAGTAAAACCACACCGGGCCGGGTACAAATACTTTCTAGTACTAATAGACACCGTCTCTGGATGGACTGAGGCATTTGCTACAAAAAAAGAAACTGCCTGCATGGTAGTTAAGTTTTTACTCAATGAAATCATCCCTCGATATGGGCTGCCTGCTGCAATAGGGTCTGATAATGGACCGGCTTTCACCTCATCCATAGCTCAGTCAGTCAGCAAGGCATTAAATATTCAATGGAAGCTCCATTGTGCCTATCGACCCCAGAGCTCTGGGCAGATAGAACACATGAACTGAACCCTAAATACACTCTTACAAAATTAATCTTAGAAACCTGTGAAAATTGGGTAAGTCTCCTTCCTTTAGCTCTACTTAGAGTAAGGTGCACCCCTTACCAGGCTGGGTTCTCACCTTTTGAAATCATGTATGGGAGAGTGCCGCCTATCTTGCCTAAGCTAAAGGATGCCCATTTGGCAGAAATATCACAAGCTAATTTATTGCAGTACTTACAATCTCTCCAACAGGTACAAGATATCATCTTGCCACTTGTTTGAGGAGCTCATTCCAATCCAGTTCCTGACCAGACGGGGCCCTGCCATTCGTTCCAGCCAGGAGACCTAGTGTTTGTTAAAAAGTTCCAGAAAGAAGGACTCACTCCTGCTTGGAAGGGACCTCACACCATCATCCTCACGACGCCAACGGTTCTGAAGGTGGATGGAATTCCTGCTTGGATTCATCACTCCCACAACAAAAAGGCCAACAGAGCCCAACTAGAAACATGGGTCCCGAAGCCTGGGTCAGGCCCCTTAAAACTGCGCCTAAGCCGGGTGAAGCCATTAGATTAATTCTTTTTATTTACCTCTCTTGTTTCTTTTTGCCTGTTATGTCCTCTGAGCCTTCCTACTCCTTTCTCCTCACCTCTTTCACAACAGGACGTGTATTCGCAAACACTACTTGGAGGGCCGGTACCTCCAAGGAAGTCTCCTTTGCAGTTGATTTATGTGTACTGTTCCCAGAGCCAGCTCGTACCCATGAAGAGCAACATAATTTGCCGGTCATAGGAGCAGGAAGTGTCGACCTTGCAGCAGGATTTGGACACTCTGGGAGCCAAACTGGATGTGGAAGCTCCAAAGGTGCAGAAAAAGGGCTCCAAAATGTTGACTTTTACCTCTGTCCTGGAAATCACCCTGACGCTAGCTGTAGAGATACTTACCAGTTTTTCTGCCCTGATTGGACATGTGTAACTTTAGCCACCTACTCTGGGGGATCAACTAGATCTTCAACTCTTTCCATAAGTCGTGTTCCTCATCCTAAATTATGTACTAGAAAAAATTGTAATCCTCTTACTATAACTGTCCATGACCCTAATGCAGCTCAATGGTATTATGGCATGTCATGGGGATTAAGACTTTATATCCCAGGATTTGATGTTGGGACTATGTTCACCATCCAAAAGAAAATCTTGGTCTCATGGAGCTCCCCCAAGCCAATCGGGCCTTTAACTGATCTAGGTGACCCTATATTCCAGAAACACCCTGACAAAGTTGATTTAACTGTTCCTCTGCCATTCTTAGTTCCTAGACCCCAGCTACAACAACAACATCTTCAACCCAGCCTAATGTCTATACTAGGTGGAGTACACCATCTCCTTAACCTCACCCAGCCTAAACTAGCCCAAGATTGTTGGCTATGTTTAAAAGCAAAACCCCCTTATTATGTAGGATTAGGAGTAGAAGCCACACTTAAACGTGGCCCTCTATCTTGTCATACACGACCCCGTGCTCTCACAATAGGAGATGTGTCTGGAAATGCTTCCTGTCTGATTAGTACCGGGTATAACTTATCTGCTTCTCCTTTTCAGGCTACTTGTAATCAGTCCCTGCTTACTTCCATAAGCACCTCAGTCTCTTACCAAGCACCCAACAATACCTGGTTGGCCTGCACCTCAGGTCTCACTCGCTGCATTAATGGAACTGAACCAGGACCTCTCCTGTGCGTGTTAGTTCATGTACTTCCCCAGGTATATGTGTACAGTGGACCAGAAGGACGACAACTCATCGCTCCCCCTGAGTTACATCCCAGGTTGCACCAAGCTGTCCCACTTCTGGTTCCCCTATTGGCTGGTCTTAGCATAGCTGGATCAGCAGCCATTGGTACGGCTGCCCTGGTTCAAGGAGAAACTGGACTAATATCCCTGTCTCAACAGGTGGATGCTGATTTTAGTAACCTCCAGTCTGCCATAGATATACTACATTCCCAGGTAGAGTCTCTGGCTGAAGTAGTTCTTCAAAACTGCCGATGCTTAGATCTGCTATTCCTCTCTCAAGGAGGTTTATGTGCAGCTCTAGGAGAAAGTTGTTGCTTCTATGCCAATCAATCTGGAGTCATAAAAGGTACAGTAAAAAAAGTTCGAGAAAATCTAGATAGGCACCAACAAGAACGAGAAAATAACATCCCCTGGTATCAAAGCATGTTTAACTGGAACCCATGGCTAACTACTTTAATCACTGGGTTAGCTGGACCTCTCCTCATCCTACTATTAAGTTTAATTTTTGGGCCTTGTATATTAAATTCGTTTCTTAATTTTATAAAACAACGCATAGCTTCTGTCAAACTTACGTATCTTAAGACTCAATATGACACCCTTGTTAATAACTGAGGAATCAACAATTTGATTCCCCGAAAACATGGGTGGTGAATGTAATGCCCAACATTGTTTTTACTAACCCTGTTTTTAGACTCTCCCTTTTGCTCTCTTAATCACCTAGCCTTGTTTCCACATGACTAAAACTCTCGCTTAGCTGAGAAAGCCGGACGAACTCCATCTGGCCCCCTTGATTTGTAAGACATTAAGGACTCCTTACCCACCCCCTTCTTCAAGGAGTTAACTTGTGTAAACAGATTCTCAACATATCAAAAGAGTCCAATTAACTGATAAGGTACTGAAACAAACAATGTACGAAGTTCCCAGGATTTTGCTCAAAAGATAACACCACAAAGCCTTGAGTCTGTGTCCGGCATAGCACCCATATCTAACATCTTATGAAGGATTTAGAGCCCCCGCACCTGCTACCGTTGCTTTTCTGTAAACATTTGTCTTTTAAATTGTCTGTTTCTCTGTAATCATTTGTCCTTTTAATTTTTGCATGTTTTTACTTCTGTAGAATTGTTGCGTTTGAGCTCCCCTCCCCTTCCTAAACCAAAGTATAAAAGAAAATCAAGCCCCCTCCTCATGGCCGAGAGAATTTTGAGCGTTAGCGGTCTCTTTGGCCACCGGCTAAATAAAGGACTCTTAATTCATCCCAAAGTGTGGCGTTTTCCTACCTTGCTCGGGTATAACATGCTAACAGAAGAGAGTATGAGATTATTCTGTTAAAAAAATGATTTATCATTAACCACCGTAAATCCCCTTAACCCAGCAGGTTTCCCAACAGGGAGTCTAAACCTTAATTACCATAGAAAAGTCTGACCAGACCTAGGAGGAACTCCCTTCAGGACAAGATGATAGATGGTTCCTCCTGGGTGATTGAGGGAAAAAGGCACAATGGGTATTCAGTAACTGATAAGGAAACTCTTGTAGAAGCAGAGTTAGGAAAATTGCCTAATAATTGGTCTGCTCAAACGTGGGAGTTGTTTGCATCCAGCCAAGCCTTAAAGTACTTACAGAATGAGGAAGGAGTCATCTATACCAATTCCAAGTTAATACGGACTGAACAAGGTCTTATTAATAGCAAATAATAATTGAAATCCCAAATTGACAAGGTTTTCAACAAAAGTAAAGTTTGCTGAAAGTTAACAGTGTTAACATGTATTATCCTAACTTCTAATCTTGTGGCCTTAAACAGTCTAGTCCACAGACAGGAAGGAAGTTCGCATTGGAGAAGAATGGTTATCATCTTTGAAAGAAAAAAAAGGGGGGGAGGAGAATTTATGTAAAAAGGGATGTTATATGGTAAATTCTTGTTCTAAAATAAATTAACTGTTTGCTTAAAGAAAGGGATGTTTGCAACAAGTCAGAAAGTTGAGGCATGTGAAGAATTATTTTTGAAAGCCTTGAAAAATGTTATAAAGGGAATTTATGCAGGAAATGTTTTATAATTTAAAAGTAATTAGGCGTCCTGAATGTAAAACTATTGAAGAAACAATTTACTTGCAAGGTGTGTAAGGAAAGTAAAATATACTTTTGGTAAAAGGATTATAAGGAGGCATAAGAATGTGGATTTTTACCTACACTTAAAGGTTAAAAAAATTTATTTTAAAGGTCTCAGCAAGTTTTGAAACATTAATTGTAAAGAAAATTCTGTGTGTAAACATATGAGCTAAAGTTAAAGGGGTATCATCCAGTTTTTCTGTGAACTGGACATTAAAATAAAAGCACAACAGGTTTTTCTTAACTTGCTCTTTAACAAACTTTAACAACTAACTTGCTCTCTAACAAAAATTATAAAAGGTTAAAAAGAGTCTATAAAAATCTTACCTTATGGTCAGACATTAAAAGTTGGATAAATATGTCTACAAGGTTTTATTAAAGTTAAGTTTAATATTAATAACACTAAATTTAGCTTATCTCATATAAAAATCATATGGGAAGCATTTTAAAATATAAAATGGTGTTTGACTTTCTTTGGTCTGAAATCTAATAAAAATAGGTACTAAAGAAAATTTCTCAACAAGAACGCACCAAGGACTATAAAGTCCACTGTTGAGGTCCCCACATTTAAAACAAAAGATCGATTTCTTAGAAATCTTATACTAAGCGTATCTTCCACTTTACTTTCCCTCAAAACTAAAAGTCTTTTAGCACAGGTACCACCCCTAGAATTTCTGGTAAACCAGCACCAGCCTTGGGATCACGTTCTCATCAAAGGGTGAAAAGAAGGAAAACTCAAGTCAGCCTGGGAAGGACCCTATCTTGTGCTGCTAACTGAGGCTGCTGTTCATACTGCAGAAGGGGGATGCACACATCACACCTGAGTCAAGCAAGCGCCATTATCATCAGAATCATGGGCCATTGTTCCTGGATCAAGCCCTACCAAATTAAAGCTAAGAAAAGCTCAGTCTAGCTATACTTTCCTTTCCTTTCTTAACCCAGTGCTTATATTCATTACTATTCCTACCACTATCAACTCTAACCCCACTTTAGAGCACTTCTATGATTTAGGAGCAGAGGTCACTGGAAAGGATCCTATACGATTCTTTAAGATGCGCATTTTTCTCCCTCCTCCACCTCCTACATCTGCCCTGTTCCCAAACCTATGACACCAAACTATGCCTCACCTCATGCCAAATGACAAAAGCAAGCTCTCGGTAGTAGAAATAGGAGATCTGAGGCAAACCATAGCCATTGAAACAGGATATAAAGATGTAAATGCCTGGATAAAATGGATTAAAGATTCCATTCACGCTTTAAACAGAAGTGGCTGTTATGCTTATGCGGATGGTAGGCCAGAGGCCCGGGCTGGGCCTTTCCACTGGGGTGGTCCTCAAATCAAGTGGACACGGAGTGCATGACCGCTGTTTTTCAAGATTCCACTGCCTGGAATAACGAATCATGCCAAGCTTTCTCTGCTATTTCCTGAAGTCCAACACCCTGTGGGTCAGCCCCTGAGCGCCATCCAGCCTCCATCTTCCAAAACCAATTTTACATCGTGTCTCCAATGACAAGGGAAAAAATTTGGCATTCCGTGGAAACTTTACAGGATGCAGTGAAGTCCGGCATTTCCTAGAGCTGACCCATTAGTCTGCTCTTATTCATCCCTGAGTGGATGTATGGTAGTATTATGGAGGACCTTTACTGGACACTCTGCCAGATAATTAAGAGCAGTACTTATGCTCTAGTTCAATTGGCTATCCCTTTTACTCTGGCATTTCCTCAACCAGAGGAAGGAAAAATAAGATATCATAAAGTGAGAGAAGCTCCTTATGGGTCTTTTGACTCTCAAGTCTATTTAAACGCAATTGGAGTCCCACGGGAAGTACCAGATCAATTTAAAGCCCAAAATCAGGCCGGGCACGGTGGCTCACGCCTGTAATCCCAGCACTTTGGGAGGCCGAGGCAGGCGGATCACGAGGTCAGGAGATCGAGACCATCCTGGCTAACACGGTGAAACCCCGTCTCTACTAAAAATACAAAAAATTAGCTGGGCGTTGTCGTCGGCGCCTGTAGTCCCAGCTACTGGGGAGGCTGAGGCAGGAAAATGGCATGAACCCAGGAGGTGGAGCTTTCAGTGAGCCGAGATCGTGCCACTGCACTCCAGCCTGGGCAACAGAGCGAGACTCCATCTTGAAAAAAAAAAAAAAAGCCCAAAATCAAATAGCTGCAAGATTTGAGTCAATATTTTGGTGGGTGGCAATTAATAAATGTAGATTGGATAAACTACATCTATTACAACCAACAGCGATTTATTAACTGCACTAGAAATGCTGTTAAAGGAATAGCTGAGCAATTAGGGCCTATTAGCCAGACGGCTTGGGAAAAATAGAATAGCCTTAGACATAATATTAACATACAGAGAAGGAGTTTGCATCATGATTAAAACTCAATGTTGTACCTTCATCCCAGACAACACTGCCCCTGATGGAAATACAACAAAGGCATTGCAAGGTCTGACTGCTCTGTCCAATGAGTTAGCCAACAATTCAAGTGTAAATGACCCCTTTACAAGATGGCTAGAAAAGTGGTTCAGTAAATGGAAAAAAATAATAGCCTAAATTCTTACTTCCCTTGCAGACGTAATGGGTATACTTCATCTTGTCAGGTGCTGTGTCACACCATGACTCCGTGAGTTGGTGCAGAGGCTTATAAAAACAGCACTTACTAAAACCTCCCTTAATTATCCACCACCTTATCCATAGAAGCTTCTTTTGGAAAATCAAGCAGAACAACTAAGCCAAGACATGTTAAAAAAAATTTGAAAAGAAAGGGCTGTAAGGAAATGCAAGAGGAGGGGTTGTTAGATATGACTTCTAAATTTCTTCTCAAAGAATCAATATGTCAGTATGTTCAATTCTTTGCCTTCTACTTTTAAGCTTAACTTCCTCATAAAGCAACCTTTTTCAATTACCTGCTCCACCCTGACTCATTCCCATTACCTGCTACCTGCTCTGCTCTGACTCATTCTCCACCCGGCATAACCACTTTTTCCTACCAAACCACTTACCCCGTCACTCTCTTTAAATTAGCCAATCGGAATGAGTTTAGCCTGTCTGGTCTAACCCTAGCCAATAGGGGAAAGACACAGCAGCAGGGTCCACGTGCATCAAAGATAAGAACCCCTTTACCTCCCTTGTCCGGGTATGCGCTCACCATTGCTCCATCTGTAAGGGTGCACCCTTCTATAGAAGTACCTCGGCTTGCTGAGAATTAAAAAGAAAATGTTATATTTGAGTGCTATTTCTTTAGCCGCACCGAAACTTTATAACAGTACCTTCTACACGTGTTCCCATGTGACTAATCTTTTACTGCATAATTTTTAATAGAAATAATAAAATAATACATATATTGTCTGAAAAAAGTAGATATATTTGCTTTTCTTATGGAGGTGTAAAATGCAAGCAACTTAGCCAGGTACTGTGGCTCATGCCTGTAATCCCAGCAGTCTGGGAGGCCAATGCAGGTTGATCACTTGAGGTCAGGAGTTCAAGACTATTAGGCCTCTGAGCCCAAGCTAAGCCGTCATATCCCCTGTGTCCCACACATATACATCCAGATGGCCTGAAGCAAGTGAAGAATCACAAAAGAAGTGAAAACAGCCAGTTCCTGCCTTAACTGATGACATTCCACCAATTTGTGACCTGGAGGGGCATTCTCAGTACACTTTTGAGTAGAAATGTTCAGGAAGCAGGATAGTAGCCTGCTGGGAACATTAGTAAGAGGGGCTGCAAAGAAGATAATCAAAATATTGAATAAGGTGGGGTCAGGAGTTTGAGACCAGTCTGGTCAACAAGGTGAAACACTGTGTCTACTAAAAATACAAAAATTAGCTGGTGGTCATGGTGGGTGCCTGCAATCCCAGATTCTCAGGAGGCTGAGGTGGGAGAACTGCTTGAACCTGAGAGGCGGAGATTGCAGTGAGCCGAGATGGCACCACTGCACTGCAGAGATGGCACCACTGCACTGCAGCCTGGGCGACAGAGTGAGACTCCATCTCAAAAATAATAATAATTTATTTTGGCCACTGAAGACAAACTCAGCTGATTGTTTTAATGAGAATAAGGAGAAAATATGCAGAGTGTGTATCTGGCATTGTGATAAGTAAGAAAAGAGAGCATTATCTAAGTCGTAATGGGAAGAGTGTTTCTTTCCACAAACTGTTACTGGAGCACACAAAGGATGTAGAATTTTATTAATCGCAAATATTTTTTATGATTTTGTGTTTCATCTTTCCCCATCTCTTTTCTTTGTTCTATGCATTTCTTCCATTTGGCTTTTCCTGGGCTGCATTTTATATATATGAAACCGGTAAACGTAACTACAGTGTTTTGCTGAGTTCTGTGAGTAGCTCTACCCAATTATTCAACTTCAGGGAGGTTATGGGAGTCCCCAGTTTTTAAGCAGCAGCTCAGAAGCATAGATGGGCCCATGGGGTTTGTGACTGGCATCTGCAGTGAGGACAATGTTGTGGAACTGAGCCCTGAATCAGGGTCTGTGCTGACTCTGGGTGGTGTCAGATTTCAAATGTTAGACAATGAGTTGGTGTTGGAGAATTATTTGATGTTCAGCAAACTACAGATTTGGTGCCAGAAAAAAGATATCATGGAGCCCTGGCCTGGAATAAAATTCTGGGTGTTTGGGAATGGGACTGAAAACTTAGAGGAAAGGAGCGCTGATGACAGACCCCCTTTTCTTGCAGCTGTTACCACAGGATTCCCACCCACTCACAAACACACACACTAGACATTGACATGTCCACACTCCTCCCAGGACTAGGCACCACCCTCAGGAACTTCACCACGGCATTTTTGATCCAAGAGTTTCTTGCCAAGAACCCACAAGTCTCTACAAATCTGGCATATCCCCCTCCCTGGACACCGAATCTGCAGCAGCAACCTGTTTTCTCCACCAACCTAGGGTTCTGGACCTGCTTTTCACAATCTCGTCTGCCTGCATTCACACAGAAATAAATCAGAGTACAGCCCCACTGGGCCACTATCTGTAGCGAAAATCAGTCCACTTACCTACATTGCAATCTCCCCGACCCAGGAATTTTTTTTCTTTTAGCTCTTATTTTTGGTTTGGGGTACACATGTGGGTTTGTTACACAGCTATGTCATGGGGTTTGGTGTGCAGATTATTTTGTCCCTGAGTTACTACCTGTAGCACCAAACAGGTATGTTTTCTGATCCTCTGAGTCGTCCCATACTCCACCCTCAACTAGGCCTCAGTGTCTGTTTCTCTCTCTCTCTTTTTTTTATTTTTATTTTTGAGACCGAGTCTCGTACTCTTTCCCAGGCTGGAGTGCAGTGGTGCCATTTCAGCTCACTGCAAGCTCTGCCTCCTGGGTTCACACCATTATCCTGCTGCCTCAGCCTCCTGAGTAGCTGGGACTACAGGCGCCCTCCACCATGCCTGGCTAATTTTTTGTATTTTTAATACAGACAGGATTTCACTGCGTTAGCCAGGATGGTCTCTATCTCTTGACCTTGTGATCTGCCCGCCTTGGCCTCCCAAAGTGCTGGGATTACAGACATGAGCCACTGTGTCTGGCCTGTTCTCCTCTTTGTGTTCATGTGTTCTTATTATTTAGCTCTTACTTATAAATAATAACATGCATTTGGCTTTCTGTTTCTGCATTAGTTTTCTTTTTTTTGTTTTGTTTTGTTTTTTTGAGAAGGAGTTTTGATCTTGTTGTTTAAGCTGGAGTGCAATGGTATGATCTCGACTCACTGCAAACTTCGTTTCCTGGGTTCCAACAATTCTCCTGCCTCAGCCTCCTGAGTAGCTGAAATTACAGGAGGGCGCCACCACTCCTAGCTAATTTTGTATTTTTAGTAGAGACACAGTTTCTCTATGTCGGTCGGGCTAATCTCAAACTCCTGACCTCAGGTGATCCGCCCAAATCGACCTCTTGAAGTGCTGGGATTATGGGCCTGAGCCATCGCCTGGCCTCTGCGTTAGTTTTCTAAGAATGTTGGTCTCCACCTTCATCAATGTTATTGCAAAGGACATGGTCATTTTTTGTGTGTGTGTGTGGCCACCCAGTATTCCATGATGTTTCGTTTTTACTAAATTTTGTTTAGTAAATTTTTGTTTTTACTAAATTTTTTATTTTATTTTTGGAGACAAGCTTATTGCCCAGGCTAGAGTGCCAAGGCATGATATTGGCTTACTTTAGCCTCAACTTCCCAGGCTCAAGCAATTCTCTCCTACCTCATCCTCCCAAGAAGCTAGGACTACACACAGGCATTACCAAGCCTGGCCAATTTTTCTTTTTGCACTTTCCGTGGAGACAGGATTTTGCCATGTTTCCCAGGCTGGTCTCAAACTTCTAAGCTCAGGCAATTCACTTGCCTCCGCCTCCCAAAGTGCTGGGATTACAGGCATAAGCCACCGCATATGACCATACCATATTACCATATTTTCTTTATTCAGTCTACCATCGATAGGCATTTAGGGCCTGTCCTTATCTTTGCTAGTGTGAATAGTGCTGCAGTGAACATACATGTGGATGTGTCTTTATAATATAATAATTTATATTTCTTTGGGTATATACCCAATGATGAGATCCCTGGGTCAAATGATAATTCTGCTTTTAGTTCTGTGAGGAATCAACACACTGCTTTTTACAGTTGTTAAACTATTTACACTCCCACCAGCAGAGTATAAGCATTCTTTTTTCGCTGCAACCTTTGTCGGCATTTGTTATTTTTTTGAAATTTTATAAATAGCCATTCTGTTGGATGCGATGTGGTATCTCATTGTGGTTTTTCTTTTAATTTCTCTAATGATTAGCGATGAGCATTTTTTTCACACGATTGTTAGCCACATGTTTGTCATCTTTTGAAAAGAATCTCTTCAAGTTTTGTGATGTTACTTTTTAATGAGGTTTTTTTTTTTTTTTTGTAAACTTGTTTAAGTTCTTGGTTTTTTTTTTTTTTTTTTTTTTTGTCTTTTGTTTTTGAGATGGAGTTTCACTCTTGTTGCCCAGGCTGGTGTGCAATGGCCCAATCTTGGCTCACCGCAACCTCCACCTCCTGGGTTCAAGAGATTCTCCTGCCTCAGCCTCCCAAGTAGGTGGGATTACAGGCATGCAGCACCACGCCCTGCTAATTTTGTATTTTTAGTAGAGATGGGGTTTCTCCATGTTGGTCAGGCTGGTCTCAAACTCCCGGCCTCAGGTGATCTGCCCACCTCAGCCTCCCAAAATGCTGGGATTACAGGGGTGAGCCACTGCACCTGGCCTAAGTTCTTAATAAATTCTGGATATTAGACCTTTGTTAGAGAAAAAGTTTGCAAATTATTTTTATTCTGTAGGTTGTCTCTTTACTCTGTTGATAGTTTCCTTTGCTGTGAAGAAGCTCTTTAGTTTAAATAGGTCCCATTTGTCAATTTTTGCTTTTGTGGCAATTGCTTTTTGTAGATTCATCATGAAGGCTTTGTGAGTTTCTATGTCTAGAATGGTATTACCTAGGTTATCTTGCAGGGTTTCTTATAATTCTAAGTTTTACATTTAAGTGTTTAATTCATCTTGAATTCATTTTTGTACATGGTGTAATGAAGGGGTCCAATTTCAGTCTTCTACATAGTGCTAGGTAATTATTCCAGCACCATTTATGAAATAGAGAATTGTTCCCACATTCCTCTTGTCAGCTTTGGCAAAAATCTGTTGGTTGTAAGAGGGTGGCATTATTTCTGGGCTCTCTATTCTGTTGCCTTGGCCTTGTGCACTTATGGATTTTTTTATAACATCTTTCTGTCTTCTGTTTTTTTCCCCCATAAACCTTCTTTCAAGTGCATATAGTGTGCAAATTTCAGATGTCCCAGAGTTCAAAAAATTTTTAAAGTTCAAAAAAAATTTTGCTTTTTCTCTTTTCTTAGGTATTTAGATTATATGTAGATGTTTTTCTCTGCTTTTTTGAAATATATGTAAATCATATTAACAGCTAAATAAACCTTTTGTCATTTTTTCTCACTCCAGATTTTCTTTATCTAGTACTTCAGATTTATTGCTTTATTTTTGGTTCTGAGGGTTTATTTTTTTCATTTTTAGTCCTCTAAAGTAGACACAGATTTGTTTAGATAAAAGCGCTTTTCAAGAGCGCACAGAAGCTTAGCACAAAGATAGGATTAAGTTTTGTAATACAGAATGATAAAGACTGAAAGATGCTAAGTTTCTTTGACAGAGACCTGATGATCCAAGGAAATTATCTAATATTTGCAGGCTGAAGTACTTATACTGCAAAAGCAAGAACAGTTCAGTGTATAAACTGAAGAGTGGAGTCTGTAGTTGTACCTTGCTTTCTATTTATTACTTCAGAACAATTAGCATAGTTATGTGTAGTGTTTGTAGACAAGCTGCATCCATATAAATTAAACAGTATTTTCTTTTTTTAAATTATACTTTAAGTTCTAGGGTACATGTGCACAACGTGCACGTTTGTTACATACGTATATATGTGCCATGTTGGTGAGCTGCACCTATTAACTCGTCATTTACATTAGGTATATCTCCTAATGCTTTCCCTCCCCCCTCCCCCCAAGTATTTTCTTTTTTTGAGACAGAGTCTCACTCTGTTTCCCAGGCTGGAGTGCAGTGGCATTATCTCAGCTCACTGCAACCGCTGTCTCCCGGGTTCAAGCGATTCTCCTGTTTTAGCCTCCTGGGTAGCTGGGATTACAGGCGCGCATGACCACGTGTGGCTATGTTTTTGTATTTTTAGTAGAGACGGGGTCTCACCACGTTGGCCAGCTTGATCTTGAACTCCTGACCTCAGGTAATCCATCCAACTCACTCTTCCAAAATGCTGGGATTATAGGTGTGAGCCATAAACAGTATTTTCTAAAATTGTATGAATGTAAAGCTGCAATGCTGACTTCGAATGAATCACTTTAATTGTTAGTTTAATATTGTTATTTATACTTTTGAAATATAAAGTGTTTTAATTGAAGTATAGTTGCTATTTAGTTATTTAGAGACAGAGTCTCACTCTTTCACCCAGGCTGGAGTGCACTGGCTTGATCTCAGCTCACTGCAATCTCTGCCTCCTGGGTTCAAGCAATTCTTCTGTCTCAGCCTCCTGGGTAGCTGGGATGACAGGCACACTCCACGATGCCTGATTTTTTTTTTTTTTTGTATTTTTAGTAGAGATGGTGATTCACCATATTGGCCAGGCTGGTCTTGAACTCCTGACCTCGTGATCTGCATGCTTCAGCCTCACAAAGTGCTGGGATTACAGGCGTGAGACACCACTCCTGGCTATAGTTGCAATTTAAAAAATGCTGCATACATTAAGACTAGTTTATTAAAATTATTCATACTTAGATATTTATATGTAATATCTAAAGAAAATTTACTACCAAGTTGTTACAGTAGATATTAGGCTTACATGTTTATTACTTTATTCTATAGGGATAATTATGAGTAAACACAATTTTAGTATATTTTATTTCACTAAATTGGTATGCTGCTATTACAGGACAATGAAGACAGGTGATGTGGCCACCCAAAATTCGTAATAGCTCTTCAGTTACCTATGTTGCAAGTTCTAATGTGTTCCACTATATGAACACAGTCAGATTCTATTTCTTCATCAAAAAGTATTGTTGGAAGTTGTCAGATGTATTTCAATATAGAACCTCCATTCAATGGCTAGGAGAGGAGAGAGCAGCAGAGATGGAACAAAAACTTGATAAAATTCATCTGAAATTCTGCCCCCTTTCTTCATAATGCTCATGTTTCTCATGCTGAGAGTAATTGTGCACTTTCGGTGGTTAGAGAGAAATTGCTTTTAGGGGACTATTTTCTGGCTGACTTGATCAATCTTACATCTAATCTGAACTTTTTCTTAAGATCTTTTTAACTTTTTTTCCTCAAAATAATCTTGCTCAGATCAAGATCTGTTTTTCTCTCCAATGCTTTTGTGTTTGTTTCAAAAGCCCTATTCATATCTCATGGTGTCTGAATGAGGGGAGCTTCTCTATATGGACTCTATATAGAGTCCATCTCTATATGGACTCATTTGGAAATTCAGCAGTATTTTTTCCACATCACCATTATAAATAGAAATGGAGGCTGAAACACTGCTCACATTCCCATGATTGTGAAGGTGCAATTCTACCCAGGAGGCCTGCGTGCTCTCCTCCTGCAGCTCAGGCCTTGTTCTCTGATGTGACACTAGAGTGCTGCTGTGGTGAATGGTGTTCATATAAATTGTGAGCTGTGCTCTGGGTTGTGCCTCAGTGGCAGATGGTAGAGGTCAAGAGAGGACACTAGCAACCAGGAGAAAGCATCCAGTGCCAAGGAGTACAGAGCCACTTCTTTTAAATGGGAAAAGTTTATTTGTATTGAATATAAGGAATTAGCATACAGAGATGGCCTCTTTAGTCTACTTGTGAAGTAATTATGGTGACTATCTTTCTGTTGTTGCAGCCTCTTAAGCAGATTGATGATGATGCATGTCACATTCAAGTTCACTTGTGTAATAAAACTGTTTTCTTTCTGTTCTATTACTGTAGAGTTTCTCTAGGGCTTGAGAAAATTTTTCTTTTTCTTTCTTTCTTTTTTTTTTTGAGACGGAGTCTCACTCTGTCACCCAGGCTGTTAGTGCAGTGGCATGATCTCGGCTCACTGCAACCCCTGCCCTCTGAGTTCAAGTAATTCTCCTGCCTCTGTCTCCCTAGTAGCTAAGATTACTGTCGCCTGCCACCGCGCCTGGCTAATTTTTTGTATTTTTAGTACAGACGGAGTTTCACTACATTGGCCAGGCTGCTCTTGAACTCCTGACCTCGTGATCCACCTGCCTCAGCCTCCCAAAGTGCTGGGATTACAGGCATGAGCAACCGCACCTGGCCAAAAATTTTTCTTTTAATTATTGTTTCCAAACACTGTCTAGAATTACCAGACATGATATAAATGCATAAGGTGCCAACCAGGATTTTCTCTAGAGAAGACTTTTTCTCTCAGGCTTCCAGTCAACTCACACGTGTGTTGCAAAGTGCATGCTGTCCCCTAAATATGCAGGCAGAATTGTGTCTCTGCCTATTTGGAATCTATAGTCCTCTACAGTCACTTCCAGAGAGGCTAGACCACATTTCTACAAACTTCACAGGGGAGCAATTAACCATTTTACCTCTTTCAATGACTCGTGTATCTTCAGACGTGACACTGATATAGAAACTATATAGACCAGAAACCCAATCAGAATAACATGTGTGCACTGTGTAGACATAGAGACGTGAGAATCTCCGTGTTCCCCTTCCTCCTCTTGCTAAAGTGCTCACAAATGTGCAGGTAACACCTGCTGCTACTCCAGCCATTCAGGCCTAAATCTGTAGCTCCACATTTTGAATCCAGGTCGTGAGATTTGGGAAATAAAAAACTTTTATCTAAAAAATTCAAGTCCTTTTGGTTACCAAACTCAGAGAGACATTAAAATAAAAGTGCAGTTATTTCTCCCCTCTTTGAACTATGTATTCATCTCTTGAAACTGTTCACTATTGGCACAAGTACCTATAAGTTAAACTAATAATGCCACATTGGACAGTATATCCCATACCCTAAACCATAACGATATATATCTAATCAATAATCAATGCCATATCTGTATATAAATAAAAATTTCCAACAAACAACTTTGTATCAGCCCACTCTCTGTCCTTCTCTTGTTGTCTTTACAAATCCTCTTGTAACTGCTGTGAATCAAAGTGTAGATTCCAGGCAAATTGAACCTTTGCTCCCAGGTTATAATCCTTAAACTTGACCCAAATAAACTGTCTACTTATATTCATGTTGTGTCAGCTTTTTTTTTTTTATGTAGACTTATCATTTAGAATGTGCTAGAGCAGCCTCTATGAGGGGATCCCTCCTTTGTACTCCATTTGCTGTAACACCAAACGATGCAGAACCAGGTGGATTCTACCTAGAATCTGCTGATAAATTCAGGCCTCTGCCTGGGATTTATAAAAATGGCCAGATATTGGATTGAGAATGTACAGAAAACAAACAAGAAATTTTCAGCATTTTGAGATATCAACATAAACATCTTACAGCCCCCATTTGGGAGTGTGGCATTTTGAGGTTTTTTTACATCTTGTTCATTGACCTGCTGCGGTTATGTGAGAGGCTCCAGGAGGAAATAGCATCTGATGCCAGAATCTGTAAGTGTAAATAAGCATCTTAGGAGTGAGAGATGAAGTCCACAAAATATCCAGAGCCATGACCACAACTATATTTACCTGTAAAATGTGATACTAGAGTGTAGAATATTTTAGTTTTTTCTCTTACCCAAGAGCTAGCAAATCAGAATAGTGATCCAGGTTCTGGAGCTCCACCAGGGTAATTCCCTATTCCATTTACATTCAGCCTGAGTCTCTCCAGCCTGGCTTATCATTGACCATCAGCCCTGCATCACTGGGAATTCTCTCACAATCACCTAGGTGTCTTTGAGGCATTTGAGGATGTCCAGAGCAGAATTATGTCAGGCTGACAAGAACGGTTAATTCGGCTTCTGTCTCAGTGTAAGAGAAATGAGTCATTCTGTGTTTGTTCATCCCCTCATAGAAGAAGTGCCATTGGTTGGTACCCAGATGAGAGTTTATCCAGTTTCCTGGTACTTGGATGATAAACAAGGAGGAGATCTGGAGACCTAAATAGATAAACTAGTTGTTTCCATTTCATATGGCCATTAAAAAAAATGAAACAGTCATGGTTCCTACAATCCAGAAACGTTTAGTCTAGACTAGCAACTGGATAAATAATTAAGTTATGCATTATATGGTTGGTACAATAAGCAGATGTGTCCAAAATCTTGGGCTTTATTTAGGCCGCTGTCTTTATATTGTTGTGACTTCTGATGTCTACACCTGAATGATATTTATGAACAGAAGAATTGCTATAATTTCTTTTTTTATTTTTGAAATGGAGTCTTACTCTGTCACCAAGGCTGGAGTGCAGTGGCACAATCTTGGCTCATTGCAACCTCTGCCACCCGGGTTCAAGCAATTCTCCTGCCTCAGCCTCTTGAGTAGCTAGGATTACAGGTGCCTGACACCGCACCTGGCTAATTTTTGTATTTTTAGTAAAGACGGGGTTTGACCATCTTAGTCAGGCTGGCCTGGAACTCCTGACCTCGTGATCCAGCCAACTTGGTCACCCAAAGTGCTGGGATTACGGGCATGAGCCACCATGCCCAGCCATATAATATCTAATTTTTTTTACCTTGTTAAGTGCATGGTATTTATTTTCCAATAAAATTACACTAGAAAACCTGAAGGGATTTGTTTAAGTTGCATATTAGTATATGGTATAAAGTTGACAGGGCAGTTGCTAGAAAAGATTAAAATTAGAGAAATTCTAGGATTTAAGTTTCTTTCATGTAAGCTTAGAAAAAACAAAACTGGTATTACCCCAGTGGCATAGAGAACAGAATTCTATAGGGTCCTTACCCTGTTCCAGACCTGTTCATATTCACACTTGTTGGAGGCCTTATTTAGATCTGAATCTAACCTGGAGTCTTGCTCTCAGAACTGATTAGTAGAGATCAGAGTTTTGGCTGGTGAATCCTGCTGCCTTTCTAGAGCTGGTGCTCACAATTTCCTGAAACCCAAAAGCAGATAAATGGGAAAAATGAAGTATGTATTGTAGGGTCTTAGTTTTTAAATTTTCTGTTAAAACCAGTGCTTGCAGAGACATTCTATTTAGCAACTTGTTTTCTATTCCTGCAGATCCAGTAGTTGCTCCACAAGTCACAAAAAAGTAAATATAAACAGAATACAATTTTCTCTAAACTACATTAAACTCTTCCTTTCTATGTCTCTTTCATCTGTCTATATTTAGCTTTTATTCTTTACAGTTTTTTTAAAAATTTGCTAACAGAGAAACAGAAGAAGAAATAAAAATGCTGGGCCCTTTATCTAAATCTTGGAAATTATTAAACCCTTAGTACCAGCTCCAGGGTGTTATGACAATTAAATCACATAATGTGTTACGCCCAGCACAGTGCTCCATATCATACTCTTGAGCACATAGTACGTGCTTAATAAACATTGCATTAGTACATGTGTACATGTTTTTTAAATCCAGACTTATTCAGACATTGCTGCCTTTTGTTTCCTCTGTAAACTTTAAAGAGCCATCAAAGAATAGGAAACTTTAGGATGGAGATGGGTTGTCCTTATTTGTACAAGAAATATTTGGTTGTGACAAGAGTTCTAAGTGTAAGGAACCCTGTGCTGTGCCTGCTTTCTCTAACTAATGCTAATAATGAGCCCAGTGGAAGAAACATCAGCATTGACAGGGAACTTGTTTAAAACACCCATTCATGGACCCTTTTCAAACCTGCAGAATCACATTACATAAAGTGGGGCCAAAATTACCAAGTGATTTATAAGCTCGTTAAAGCTTGAGAGGCAATGATTAGCTCAGTGGTTATCAGCCCAGGCTTCTCATTAGGATCACATGGCCAATTTGCAGAAACCTCTTGTGCCCTCCCCACAGCTTCTGTTTATTGTTGTGGGTAGAAATATCCATGTTGTTTTTTTTTGCCTTTTTTTTTTTCCTTTTTGTGGAGAACGGGGTCTTGCTATATTGCCCAGGAAGGTCTCAAACTCCTGGGCTCAAGCTATCATCCTGCCTCTGCCTCCCTGAGTGCTGGGACTACAGGTGTAAGCCACTGCATCTGGCTCCATGTTACTTTAATGAAGGGCCTCATGTGACTCTAAGGTGAGGTCAGAATCAAGTATGAGGGTTTCAAAATACATTCATGAGAGTTAAGTTCCAACTATGCCCTAAAGTGCGGTCACAGGGGCAGTTCTGTTTGGGTTTGGTAGGGACAGGTCAGTGTGGCACATATTTGCATTACTGTAGCAGAAATTGCTGGTGTCTGTGGCAGGGGAGGGCAACTGAGGACAGAAAAGGAGAAACTTATATTTTTATCTTCATGGAGCGGCTCATTGTTCCTGAATCTCTTCTGTTTTAAAGGACAGAAATGAGTGGACTTTTTCTGTCTTTTTCTGCCAGTTGATGTCATGCTAGCAGGTACATGTGTGGTACTGACACCTTTAAAGGCATATTCTCAACATGCAGGTGTAATTTATCCAGAGAATCTCATCTGAGAAGAAATTCCAGAGAAGGAGAAGAAAGAAAAAAAATGGCTTTTCTTCAGGTAAACAGGTGTCAGATGAAGAGCTGTGTCCACTCTGCCTCCTGGACTGCCATGAATTTAGTACTTACAAAACTTTATTTCTCTACTTGTGTTTTTCCTCCTTAATGAGTTTGATTTAACTACTTCTTAAAATTCTTATGATAGTCAAGAGTCTCTGAGAAATATTTCTTTCCAATATCCAGTAGCCTTCTCTACATTTTCTATGTTATAGCTTCTTATATGACATGAAGAATTCTCAGCAAGAATTTATGATACACAGTATTAAAAATGTTCCCTTTGTGGCTGTTGAACAGGGAAAGATGTGGGTACTCAAGATCTCTATTGGGGAAACTTGTGGTCCATAGTACACATGGAGAACATGTCATGTTGAGGCTCCATCTGTGTGTTCCATTAGCTCTATGCAGAACAGGATTAAGAAAATGCTGATTTAAATGAAATGGAATTTATTAACCAGAAAGTTCTGAAAAAAGTTATTTGGAGATATCTGTTTTCTAGGTTGCCAAATGAAGCCTATTTAAAATTACTATTAAAATTACACAACATAGGAGTTATCTGGATTTTGAAGTTTGTATACAACTGATTTTTTTTATGGTTAAATTCAGACTATAATTTACTTCTTTTGGGAGAAATATTTCAACACTGATGCTGTGTTCTTCTATGTGAATTAGCACATCATAAAAATTTGTCCTAGTGCAGTTAGTGGTTAAAGATTCACTTGGTGGAATAGCTCTCTGATGAATTATTTTCACTACAGAGTTAATTATTTTTCTCTTCATCATGAAGTATCTTTATGCAGCGGATGTGCATAGACCATCACATTTAATCTGGCAGCTGTTCTTTTTTCTAATTTTTTCTACATAATTTTCTTTGGAAAATGAAGGCTTTCATCTTTGCTTACAGGCTAGAAAAACTGGGAAAAACATGGGCTCTTCCACTTACTGGATGTCTGCCAAAATATCCTTCTTGGGCCAAAAACATTGGCATTACTGGTGAGCTTGTTAGAAATTCAAAAAATCGGCCAAGTGCTGTTGCTCAAGCATGCAATCTTACCACGTTGGGAGGCCGAGGTGGGTGGATCACCTGATGTCAGGATTTTGAGTCCAGTCTGGCCAACATAGAGAAAACCCTATGTCTACTAAAAGTACAAAATTATCTGGGTGTGGTGGTGCATGACTGTAATCCCAGCTACTCAGGAGGCTGAGGCCGGAGAATCACTTGAACCCGGGAGACTTAGGTTGCAGTGAGCCAAGATTGCATCACTGAACTTCAGCCTGGGCAACTAGATCGAAACCCTGTCTCAGAACAAAACAAAACAAAACAAAAAATTTGAGAGGTGCCTTCTAACTCAACATGTCTTTTCCATTTGAAAAATATTCACAACTCATTCTGTATGATGTAAATATAGCACTCAAAAATGTACATGTTTATGTTTATGGCCTTAATTTTATACTTTATTATATGGAAAAATATAAGAACTGATATTGTGGATGTTATGCTGCTCTTTTTTCTCAGAGTTAGAGGATATATCAGAGAATATTTCTGTGTTGATATTATTTTATTGGATAACTTTAGTCAGTCGAATAAGTCAGAACCAGTTCTCTTTACTCTCTCATTTCACCTTAAGTCAAATAAAAAATTCTGCCTATGGCCACATGGTGAAAATGTGTGTGTGTGTGTTTTTCAGGGACCATTGCAATTTAGAGATGTGGCCATAGAATTCTCTCTGGAAGAGTGGCATTGCCTATACACTGCACAGTGAAATTGATATAGGGATGTGATGTTATGGAACTACAGACACCTGGTCTTTTTTGGTGAAGATAGCATTAATATATAATTCATAATATACTCTGAAGAGTATATTATTTCTCTTTTTTATAGAATGTATTATAGTAGTTTATTCTTTGCATAAAAGAGTTTCAGCGCTGGGCATGATGGCTCATGTCTGTAATCCCAACACTTTGGGAGGCTGAGGCAGGTGGATCACGAGGTCAGGAGTTCAAGACCAGCCTGGACAAGATGCTGAAACCCCATCTCTACTAAAAATACAAAAAATTAGCCAGGCATGGTGGTGGGCACCTGTATTCCTAGCTACTCAGTAGGCTGAGGGAGAGAATTGCTTGAACCCGAGAGGCAGAGGTTGCAGTGAGCCGAGATCGGGCCACTGCACTTCAGTCTGAGCAACAGAGTGAGACTTCATCTCAAAAAAAAAAAAAAAAAAAAAAAGAGTTTCTGATCCCCCTTTATTTGTAAAATCTTCAGAATTTGGTAATATAGGAAAGAATTTCTTCAATATGTTTTATCTTAATCCAAACTTTCCACAGTACTGAGATGAGCTGTATTCTTCACTCTAAATTAGTGGTACTTCCAGAAATTTAGCGGCATAAAATATTGTTGCCCCACCTGAAAATCTAATTGCCACCACCAATTTTTGATTCAGTAGTACCAGGTATTAAAATTAAGAAACCTACAAATTGAAAGTATTTTCTAAATATTTAGAAATTTCTTTTATAATTTAGTATTTTGGTATCAATTTACTATTATATTTTATCACATCCTCTCTGCTGAGCACATTACTAGCTTGTAGTTGGAGAATATGAGCAAGATTCATGTTATTTATTCTTAATAAAACAGGTATTGTTTTCTCTAAGCCAGACCTGATCACTTGTCCGGAGCAAGGAAAAAAACCTTTGACTTTGAAGAGACTTGAGATGATTGCCATAGCCCCAGGTAGGTGCGAGTGAAAATGAATACAACAGATGACACAGATAAGAGGTCCCAAGGTCAAAGAGAAAGCCAGTCCTTAGAATGTGACTGGGGAAGCTGAGTTCCAAAGGAAATAGTTCCTGGGCATCTGGGGTTTTTTGTTTGTTTTATTTTTTTAAATTTTGCTCTCAGAAAGGGGCATCTTTTTTGTTACGCTTTTTGCTTTTTTTTTTTTTTGAGATGGTGTTTCGCTCTCGTTGCCCAGGCTGGAGTGCAATGGTGTGATCTTTGCTCACCACAGTCTCCACCTCCCAGGTTCAAGTGATTCTCCTGACTCGGTTTTTCTAGTAGCTGGGATTACAGGCATGCACCACCATGCCCGGCTAATGCTATATTTTTAGTAGAGATGGGGTTTCTCCATGTTGGTCGGGCTGTTCTCGAACTTCCAAACTCAGGTGATTTACCCACCTCAGCCTCCCAAAGTACTGAAATAACAGGCGTGAGCCACCACACCCAGCCCTGCTTTATGCCTGTAAATTCTCTAAGGATTCTATTTTTCTTTCAGTGAGCTTCCTTCAGGTTTATACTGAAAGCAAAATTCCTCTTCATGGCATATAAGAGACTGCACAATCTGGCTGCTTTTTTATTGTTTGCAGGACTCACAAATATTTGCATGATTTTGAGAAACTAAAACTCTTTTTTAGGTTTTTTTTGCATCAGATTTGAAATGTGTGAGAGCAGTAGTTTCTTTTGCATTTTTTTGTTCATTTTTCTGCACAGTCCTTTCTGTTTTTATTGCTAGTCTTGAAATATAGTTGGCAATTATAAGTATGATATCCTTCTGCTTTGCTCTTTTTCCTTGATTGCTTTGGCTATTCCAAGTTTATTTTAGTTTCATGTAAATTTTAGAATTATATTTTCCATTACTGTGAAAAAAATAGCACTGCAATTTTGATTGGCATTATATTGAATCTATAGATCACTTTGGATAATATGGCACTTTAGTAATATTTATTTTCAATTCATAGACATAAAATATTTTAAAATTTATTTGGATCTTCCCTAATTTTTTTCATTTTTTTATTGTAAAGATTTTTTTACCTCCTTGGTTAAATTTTTTCTCAGACATTTATTATTTAATACTATAGCAAATAAGATTTCTTTCTTTTTTTTTTCTTTTAGAGATAGAGTCTTGCACTGTCACCCAGGCTGGAGTGCAGTGGCATGATCTTGGCTTACTGCAAACTCCGCCTCCTGCGTTCAAGCAATTCTCTTGCCTCAGCCTCCCAACTAGAAGAGATTGCAGGTGCCCACCATCAGGCCCAGCTAATTTTTATATTTTTAGTACAGATAGACTTTCACCACGTTGGCCAGGCTGGTCTTAAACTCCTGAACTCAGATGATCGACCCCCCTCAGCCTCCCAAAGTGCTGGGATGGCAGACGTGAGCTACCATGCCCAGCATCTTCCTGTATTTTATCAGATAGTTTTAAGTGTATGAAATCATACGTATACTTGTATGTTAATTTTATATTTTGCTAATTTACTGAGTGTATTTGGTTTAGACAGGTTTTAATATACTGTTTATGGTTTCTTTGTGTTTATTTTTGAGGCAGAATCTCACTTTGTCGCCCAGGCTGGGGTTCAGTGGCACAATCTCAACTCACTTCAAGCTCCACCTCCCAGGTTCACACCATTCTCCTGCCTCAGCCTCCTGGGTAGCTGGGACTATAGGCACCTGCTGCTGTGCCCGGCTAATTTTTTGTAATTTTTTTTTTTTTTGTAGAGATGGGGTTTCACTGTGTTAGCCAGGATGGTCTCGATCTCCTGACCTCGTGATCCACCCGCCTCGGCCTCCCAAAGTGCTGGGATTACAGGCGTGAGCCACCGCGCTCGGCCCTGTTTATGGTTTCTTAAATATAAAATTTTATGATCTACAAACTGCAACTTTTTACTTTTCTTTAATTTCAATGGATTAAATTTTTTCAACTAATTCTTCTGCCACATACATCCAGTGCTAGATTAAAATAGAAGCAATGACAATGGGCAAAATATAGTTTTATATTGGTGTCTGAATTTGATGGAGCAAACACCTCTTCAAATTTTCATAAACTGATTTCAGAAGATAAAAATCTTTTGTTGGACCCTTAGGGTGATGATAAGCTCTCTGAATTTGTAGTGAAGAGGGGTTGCAGCTTGGTCACAAGGCTGCTGGGTCTGCTTTAGGGTCCACCATTAGTTGGCTTGTTACAGGGGCTTGGATAGTTGTAATTCCCATTTTATTTGTGAACAGACCACATGTTTTTCAGGACTTTGCTCCATAGGGCAGACACTAGGGCAGGTTTTTGCAGTCGGATCTGCATATGGTGGGCCTCGTATCAGGATGCGGATGAGTGTAGCTTTCACTGAGTACCAGAGAACATTTCCTCAGGTAACTGTGTGGGTTTCTATGTAGGCAGAACTGATCATAAACTGAGGCTCAGGTAACTGAAACTGAGTCATTGAACTGCTTCACAGACCCCAGTAAAGGCCAAGGTTTGCAGGCCTGCCTACATGGCTGTAAATGGGTGCCTTCCTCCAGGTCTCTGGAATGGCAGGACCTTGGCCAGACTGTGGCTGGTAGGAGTTTGGGATAATTACAGAGTAAGTTCAGAATTCTCAGTGGGATCAAGTTGGGTGAACCCTATCCTGGTCTGTAGCCAAGAACAGGGGTCATGTAGTTTTCCACCTGAATGAGGGCCTGCCTTCCGAATAGAACACTTCTCAACCTTAAGCTTTAACAGTTTTTCACAACTCCCTCCCTGGATCTCAAATCTCTCATAGAGGCCCTTATTTTGGAGATGACGTCTTGCTTCATAACCAAGGCTGGTCTCGAAATCCTGGCCTGAAGCAGTTCTCCAACCTTAATGTACCATGTAGCTGTCATTACAGGTGTGAGCCATAATGACTGGTTCTCTAATAAAGGCACTTTTTTTTTCCTCTGAGATGGAGTCTCACTCTGTCATTCAGGCTGGAGTGCAGTGGCGCCATCTCAACTCTCTGCAAACTCCGCCTCCCGGGTTCAGGCAATTCTCCTGCCTCAGCCTCCTGAGTAGCTAGGATTACAGGTGTGTGCCACCACAACCGCCTAATTGTTTTGTATTTTTAGTAGAGATAAGGTTTCACCATGTTTGCCAGGCTGGTCTTGAATTCCTGACCTCGTGATCTGCCTGCCTCAGCCTCCCAAAGTGCTGGGATTAAAGGCATCAGCCACAGCACTCAGTCAATAAAGGCATCAGGGATGGCTGATTTTTTTTGCTGTAAGGGAATATGAAAATAGGGCTCTTTTAACCTTATTGATGTCACTCTCCCTATACATTTTTACTTTCTATTTTCTATTTCAAATTGTCTGTAACTTTAGATTCAGATATTTAGGACAATATGCTAGAATTTGCATGGTATGCCTGAAGTAAATTACATAACTAGCAGGCACTCCATATTTACCAAAATACTTCGTTATAAATTCAAATTTGTTGCAGGCAAAAAGGAATTACAGAATTTTCATTTACATTCTTCAGACTATATCTAAAGAATAACAGTTTATTTCCTAATATTTGTTTCACATATCACAGTGCCTAACCCTATTCTGCCAAATATATATGTATATAATTCTTTCTATGTTTAACAATTTAAGTCTATTTTTTGCTTCTAAAGTTGGATTACAACAGTTTCATTTTGTGTAATAATAGCATATATTTTAAACATAAAGAGTAACCCTAGTTTCTTTTAAATGCTTATTAAATGTTTCTCATTAAGTCTTCTATTTATTGTTTTGGGAAAAAAAGTCTTTCTGCTACTTTTGTTATCCACATAAAAAAACATATCCTCTACAAATAATAATTAACAAATGTCCAGTTTTATTCATTACAAATATTAACATCATTTTTCTTTTATTTATCCTTTATGCATCATTTTATACATTCACACACACAAAGAACATTAAAAATATATCCAATTATTCAATTTTGGTTGAATTTTCATTAAAATAAGTGTTAAAAATATTTATTTGTTTTCTGTTTTGAGAAGGCTTTTATTGTTGTACTCCAGAGTGTTATTTCTGGAGACAAAGTTGCCTGTGCTTTAATAGGGAGATTCCTGGGAGAATCTAAACCATAAGCAACAAAATTTTAAGTTAATAAATTCAAGACAAAGCAGAAAGTATAGATTTGCTTTCAGCATTCCCGAGGTGTTTAGATTTTTATTAGTCACCTAATTAAAATATTGTTCCAATAATTGTTCTTTTCTTCTGAAAATAAGCAGAAACTCATACTTACACAAAAACACTTCATAATTTTCTTACACCTAAGGTTTATCTTCAGAATGATATGTGTATATTTAACCCTGTGCAAATTAACACTAAAAGTCTATGTTTGCAGGCAGAGACCACATGTTCAAAGAAAACTATATAACAAATATTTTTAAATAATTTTTCAGGATTTTCTATGGATTTCTATTTCTTTTTTTTCTGAGATCGAGTCTCACTGTCACCCAGGCTGGAGCACAGCTGCAGGATCTCAGCTCACTGCAACCTCCACCTCCTGGGTTCAAGTTATTCTCCTGCCTCAGCCTCCATGTGCCACCATGTCTGGCTATATTTTGTATTTTTAGTAGAGACGAGGTTTCACCACATTGGCCAGGCTGGTCTTGAACTCCTGACCTCAGGGAAACCACCTGTCTTGGCCTCCCAAAGTAGTGGGATTACAGGCATGAGCCACTGGGCTGGGCCATATTCTATTTCTGTATAATTTTTATTATGACCATAAAAATAACAATGTAGTTAATAACAATTTAATTGTACATTTTAAAATAATTAAAGTATATAATTACACTGTTTGTAATAAAAAGTATAAATGTTAGAGGTGATGGATACCTTATTTACCCTAATGTAATTACTACACATTGTAGGCCTGAATGAAAATATGCCATATAAGGCATAAATATATACACATACTATATACCCACAAATACCAATAATAAATTTCAATAAGAAAAAAGAATAAAAATCTAACCTATGGAAACAATATTCTTAAATTCATTTGCTGTTTAAAGCCACTCGCAAAGTGATTACTAGAGATGTTATTTCACTATGTACCAAATAGTATGTTGCTACCATCTTTTACCTACACCCTTGAGTAAGGTGGGATAGGTTAAAGTTAGTGGAATAATGCTTCATTAAATGCACAATAGTCTTAACATGTTAAAAAAATAAAATTAAGTTTGCACATAATCTAATGATTTTTAAATATACTGCATTTTATTACATAAAAGTACAATTAATAATATACTTATTTTAATATACTTTTAACTATAATTAACAATTCCACCATAATGTAGAAAATAGTCTGAACACCTAGCTTATACATTACTTAATATAGGTTAACTACAATGAGCCTCTCCACTTATCTTTTCATCATGCATCTTACATTTTAGTGTCCTTACTTTTATAGAAAAGGTTATAAATAATGCCCAATAAAAAAAGAATCTCTGGTATCTCTGATGCAGCAAAAATTGCTCATATGTTTTCACATGTGAATAGGAATAAAATAACAGCATAAAGTAATTTGAAAGCTGTATGACATCATTATTCACTTTTGAAAAACTTTTTTTCAAGAAAACAAGTATACTTTTAATGTAATTACAATGCTTCCAAAAATCTCCTTTTAAAGCTATATACAAATAATTTTAAACAATTTTTTATTTTTATATTTATCAAGTGTGGCAACCAAATAAAGGCTTTGTCACATTTTATACTTTTCTACAGTTTCACACTAGTATAATTTTTTTATGTATAGAAACGTTGGAGGTGTTGGGAACAGCACTGTCACATCTTTCAGGTTTGTAGAGTTCCTCTTCAGCATGAATTATTGCCATGTCTCTTAAGAATTGAGAACTTATGGCTAGGAATGGAGGCTCATGCCTGTAATCCCAGCACTTTAGGAGGCCAAAGTGGGTGGATCAACTGAAGTCAGGAGTTTGAGACGAGCCTGGCAAATATGGCAAAACCCCATCTCTACTAAAACTACAAAAATTAGCTGGGTGTCATTGTGGGTACCTGTAATCCCAGCTACCCAGGAGACGAAGGTTGCAGTGAGCCAAGATCATGCCATTGCACTCCAGCCTGGGTCACAATAGTGAAACTGCATCTCAAAAAAAGAAAAAAAAAATTGAGAACTTGTTATAGGCTTTGCCAAATTCTTCACACCTGTAGGGTTTCTGTCCAGTATGAATTATGTGTAATAAGTGTTGAGAACTTCCTTACAAAGAGGTTTGTCAGCCTGGTGCAGTGGCTTGTGCCTGTAATCCTGGCAATTTGGGAGGCTGAGATGGGTGGATCACTTGAGGTTGGCAGCTGAAGACCAGCCTAACCAACATGGAGAAACCCCATCTGTACTAAAAATACAAAATTAGCCAGGTGTGGTGGTGCATGCCTGTAATCTTAGCTACACAGGAAGGCTGTGGCAGGAGAATCGCTTGAACCTGGGAGATGGAGGTGAAGGTGAGCCAAGATTGCGCCATTGCACTCCAGCCTGGACAACAAGAGTGAAACTCCATCTCAAAAATAAATAAATAAATAAATAAATAAATAGATAAATAAATAAATAAAGCTTTGTTACAGTATTGGTTTCTGTCCACTATGAATTCTCTTATGTTTATTGAAGTCTGAGGACCAGTTAAAAGCTTTGCCACATTCTTCACATTTGCAAGGTTTCTCTCCAGTATGAATTGTCTTATATTCACTTAGAGTTGAGGATGCAGTAAAGGCTTTGCCACATTCTTCACATTTGTAAGGTTTCTCTCCAGTATGAGTTCTCCTATGTTTATGGGGGCTTGAGGACCATGTAAAGGTTTTTATACCATTTATAGCATTTCTCTCCAGTATGAATTGTCTTATGTATAGTAAGGTGTGAAAAATGGTTGAAGGCTTTGCCACATTCTTCACATTTGTAGAGTTTCTCTCCAGTATGAATCTTCTCATGTTCACTAAGGGTTGAGGATAAAATAAAGGCTGTGCCACATTTATCACACTTGTATGGTTTCTCTCCAGCATGAATTTTCTTATGCCTAGTAAGGTGTGAGGAATGGGTGAAAGCTTTGCCATATTCTTCACATTTGTAGGGTTTCTCTCCAGTATGAATCTTCTCATGTTTACTAAGGGTTGAGGATGAAATAAAGGCTTTGCCACATTTATCACACTTGTATGGTTTCTCTCCAGTATGAGTTTTGTTATGTGAAGAAAGGGTTGCAGGATGTTTAAAAGCTTTGCCACATTCTTTACATTTGTAGGGTTGCTCTCCAGTATGAGTTATCTTATGAATAGCAAGCTGTGAGGGCCAGTTAAAGGCTTTGCCACACTCTTCACATTTGTAGGATTTCTCTCCAGTATGGATTATCTTATGTTCAGTAAGCGTAGAGGAATACTTAAAGCCATTGCCACATTCTTCACATTTGTAGGGTTTCTCTCCAGTATGAGTTATCTTATGTGTAGTTAGGTGTGAGGACCATCTGAAGGCTTTGCCACATTCTTCACATTTGTAGGGTTTCTCTCCAGTATGAATCTTCTCATGTTTACTAAGGGTTGAGGAAAAAATAAAGGCTTTGCCACATTTATCACACTTGCATGGTTTCTCTCCAGTATGAGTTTTCTTATGTGAAGAAGGGGTTGTGGGATGGTTAAAAGCTTTGCTGCATTCTTTACGTTTGTAGGGTTGCTCTCCAGTATGAGTTATCTTATGAATAGCAAGCTGTGAGGACCAGTTAAAGGCTTTGCCACACTCCTCACATTTGTGGGATTTCTCTCCAGTATGAATTATCTTATGTGTAGTAAGGGTACAGGAGTACTTAAAGGCTTTGCCACATTCTTCACATTTTTAGGGTTTCTCTCCAGTATGAGTTATCTTATCTGTAGTAAAGGTTGAGTACCAGTTAAAGTCTTTGCCACATTCTTCACATTTGTAGGGTTTCTCTCCAGTATGAATTTTCTTATGTGTAGTAAGGGTTGAGGACTGGTTAAAAGATTTGCCACATTCTATATGTTTCAAAGGTTTTTTTACAGTACGTCTTCTGTCTGTTTGAATTTGAAAATTGATGAAAGACTTTCACATATTTATCACATTGAAATATTTTGCAATGGGTAGTTGTCAAGCATTGGTTAAGCCCATTATAACCTCTTTTTTGCACCTTACACTCATCCACACTTTCACATCCTTTTTTTAACTGTAAATTGCCATGTCCACATTTTTTATATCTTCTCAGTATCACTTTTTGAAAAGAATCTTTTATGTTCTGCTCTAGCCAAAGTTCTTGGGCAAAATGAGAACAAATAACTGAAAGAGACAATAAAAACACAACACTTCAACTGCTAGACTCAGATAAATATATTTTACAAATCTAACCTATAAAATTTCACAGACTACCTAAGGAAGATGACATGGCAAAATACCACAAGCTGTAATTTCTTCCTGGACATATAAATGTAACAAAAACATACTGACCAAAATACAATTTGTAAAAAATGTATAAGTGAATTAAGTGTGTGAAGGGTCCCAGGTGAGCACAATGCAAAGAGCCACATAGAAGATAAAGAAAAGCCTGTTACTTATACCCAACACAGCTCTTCCATATCTCCAGTATAACTCTGTGCCTTTAAAAGTAAATTATTGGCCTGGTGTGGTGGCTTGTGTCTGTAAACCCAACACTTTGGGAGGCAGATGTGGGTGAATCACTTGAGGTCAGGAGTTCAAGACCAGCCTGGCCAAGATGGTGAAACCCCATCTCTACTAAAAATACAAAAAATTAGCCAGGCTTAGTCATGGGCACCTGTAATCTCAGCTACTGGGGAGGCGGAGGCATGAGAATTGCTGGAACCCAGGGGGTGGAGGTTGCAGTAAGCTGAGATTGCACCACTGTACTCTGGCCTGGGTACAGAGTGAGACCCCACCACAAAAAATAAAAATTAAAAAAAAAAAGTTAATTGCCAACCAGGCATGATGGCTCATGCCTGTAATTCCAGCAATTTGGGTGAACAAGATGGAGGACAACCAGAGGTGATCAGCCTGACCAACATGGTGAAACCTCATCTCTACTAAAATACAGAAAATTAGCCAGGGGTGGTAATAGGTACCTGTAATCCTAGCTACCTGGGAGGCTAAGGCAGGATAATTGCTTGAACTCTGGAGGCAGAGATTGTACTGAGCCAAGGTCATGCCTCTGCACTCCAGACTAGTTAATAGAGTGAGGCTCTGTCTCACACATACACACAAAAATGTAAATTGCCAACTCCTGGTTTCTTTTTTAAAAAACAAGAAAAATATTGACACATACATCTTTATTTCTGGCTTCTAGGGGCTTTTTTAGACACTAGTTGATATGTCCCATGACACAAAATGCCAAAAAAAATGGTGATATATGTTAGAATGACACTTTGAGTCTGAAGGTAAATTATAGAGAAGCAGAGAAACTGCAGTAACCCAAACAGGGAATGGGTGTAGTGAATGATTACTTATTATTAACTAAACAATAAACATAAAATTTTAAACAAGACACACCTTAAAAACATGTTTGAGGAATTCTCAGAATCTAGAGTCAAGACAATTGATTTCAGACTATGCCAGGACAGAGCCATATTATAAAGACTGTAACAGGTAGCTTTTTGTTAATGTCCTAATCTCAATCAAAGGTTATAATGTATACCAAATATTAGAGCAACATGGCCCCATCAAAAAAATTATAAAATTTTCAAAAGCAACCATAAAAAGTATGTAAAGTAATTTTTAAAATTCCAAATGAATTGAACAGCCCAGTGTTGGTAGCTCATTCCTGTAATCCCAACACACTGGGAGATCAAGGTGGGAAAATCACATGAGGTCAGAAGTTTGGGACCAGCCTGAGCAACATGGTGAAACCCTGTTTCTGCTAAAAATACAAAAATTAGCTGCGCATGGTGGCATGTGCCTGTAATCCCAGGTACTTGGGAGGTTGACACAGGATAATTGCTTGAATCCAGGAGGGGAAAGTTGCAGTGAGTGGAGATTGTACCACTGCAATGCAGACTGGGCAACAGAGCAACACTGTCTCAAAAATAAAGTAAAAAAGGCCAGGCACAGTGGTTCATGCCTGTATTCCTAGCACTTTAGGAGGCTGAAGTGGGTAGATCATTTGAGGTCAGGAGTTCAAGATCAGCCTGCCCAACATGGTGAAACCCCATCTGAACTAAAAATACAAAAAATTATCTGGGCATGGTGGCAGGCACCTGTAATCCCAGCTACTCGGGAGGCTGAGGCAGGAGAATTGCTTGAACCAGGAGGCAGAAGTTGCAGTGAGCCGAGATTGAGCCACTGCACTCCAGCCTCGGTGACAGAAAAATACTCTGTATCAGAAAAAAAACCAGAAACACAGACAACTATTGAAGATCAGAAAAATGAGAACAAAAAGAAATACTAAAGTAAACACACACAAAAAATTGTGGATATAAAAAGTACAAAAAATAACTGAAAAATTTATTACAAGAAAATACGTAAACATGAAAAAGCTGAAAAAACAAACTTAGATACACACAAATATATTTATAACACCCAAATAAGCAAAATTTCAAAAATCACATATAAGAATAGAATTTTGGGTGCTGAAGATAAAAATGATGTTCCGTTTATAAGCATAGTCTCATGAGATAACCAGTGAATTTATTTAAAACATTTTTGCATGTCAAAAGGAAACTGATATTGTTAAATTTATAATAATAATAAAAAAGCTGTCAAATGGGAATAATACCATCAGCAAAATTGTACTATCAGATAAAAAGAAGTCCTTCCAAAATAACCAAATCCTGAGAAAGTATATTGGCACTGCATACACCCTACATATCAAAGATGCTGAAAGGAGTTTCTTCCACTGAAAATAACATAATGTAAGAAAACACCACATAATCATATGAAAATACATAACTTTCTGGAAAAGATATGCAAATTCACAAAAATGGTATTTCTTACTTAACATTATCATAATGATACAGAAAACATTTTTAATTATTCTCTAAATTTAAAAGATAAAAGTACAGAAATTATTAACATCTGTTAATGGATATACAACATAAGAAATATAATTAACAAAATCAATAACAAAGTTGAAGGCAGATGTTATGATGAATAATTTTGGTATGTAACTGAAGTTAATTTTTTACCACATTAAAATACATTTTTGGATATTTTAGAGGTTTTATGGAGTCCCCTGGTACCACTAAGATTATATCTGTAGAGCTACACAAAAGTAAATAAGAGGGAACTGAAAGCCTATCAATACAAAAATAAAAAAAACACAAAAAAGGCAGAAAGAGAAAATGAGAGACAAAGACACAACAATCAAATAAAACAATTAATAAAAATAACAGTAAATTTTTCTATTTCAGAAAACTATTTAAATATATATGTTATCTTTCCAATCAAGAAACATACTTTTTTTTTTTTTTTTTGAGATGGAGTCTCGCTCTGTTACCCAGGCTGGAGTACGGTGGTGTGATCGGCTCACTGCAACCTCTGCCTTCCAGTTTCAAGTGATTCTCTTGCCTCAGCCTCCTGAGAAGCTGAGATTACAGTTGCCTACCAGCACACCTGACTACTTTTTGTATTTGTTAGTAGAGACACGGTTTCACCGTGTTAAACAGGCTGGACTCAAACTGCTGACCTTGTGATTCACCCACCTCAGCCTCCCAAAGTGCTGAGATTACAGGCATGAGCCACCACACCTGGTGGAGTTTACAGTGAGCCAAGATCACACCACTGCTTTCCATCCTGGGCAATAAAGCAAGACTCAGTCTCAAAAAAAAAAAAAAGACGGTACAGAAAAACTTTAAAATTCTTTTATAAAATATAAAAAACTATGTAAATTTGCATGAATCAATCAATAGATACACCATATGAAATAATTTTTATAACAATAACAAACTAGAAAATGTAGAGGCATAGTTTTTGTGTTCAATTGAAGTTGTTATGAGATTAAAACATATTGTTTTAACTTTAAGATGTATGTAATCTCTGGTTTTCAAAATGATTACAAAGGGAATATTTGTAGAAAGTATGGAAAAGAAGATAAAAAATAATCAAAGCATGCCAGTACAAAATTAAATGAAAATTAAGAAAGTAAAACAGCAAATGAGAAAAATATAACTACTAGAAACACATAAAACAATAACAATATAACTGGTAATAACAACTTCATTTCTTTAAGTAATCATTGTAAATATAAATTAATTAAACTGCTTAATAAAATGAAATGTAATTGGAGGACTTTCAAAGGCCAAGGTAGGCTGATCACTTGATCCCAGGAGTTCAAGACCAGCCTGGGGAACATGGCAAAACTCTGTCTCTACAGAAAAAAAGCTACCTGGGTGTGATGGCACTTACTGGTAACCCAGCTACTTGAGAGGCTAAAATGAGAGGATCATCTGAGGTTTGGAGGTTCAGTCACCAGTGAACCATGCAAATCAGCCTGGTTGACAGAGTGAGACCCTATCTCAAAAATAACTGAGGCTGGGCACAGTGGCTTATGCCTGTAATCCCAGCACTTTGGGAGGCTGAGGCATGCAGATCACCTGAGGTCAGGAGTTTAAGAGACTGGCCAACATGGTGGAATCCCATCTCTACTAAAAATACAAAAAATTAGCCAGGCGTGGTGGTTGGTGCCTGTAATCTCAGCTACTCAGGAGGCTGAGGCAGTAGAATCACTTGAACTTGGGAAGTGGAGGTTGCAGTGAGTTGAGATCATGCCATTGCACTCCAGCCTTGGCAACAAGAGTGAAACTTTGTCTCAAAATAAATAAATACATACATAAATAAATATACCTAAAGAAAAATCCATAGAATGCCTCAGTGGTTTCTTAAAAAGCATACTGTATGCTGCCCACAAAAGACTCATCGTAGCATTGAGTCAAATAGGCTGAAAGTAACAGAAGGAAAAAAATGTGTATTTCATGAAAATTGTAACCACAATTGAGTGAGGTGGTCATAATTATATTAGACATAACATGCTTTAAGTCAAGCACTACCATTAGGTGAAGACTGATATTATATTATAGTAAAGTGAGTTAATTTACCAGGAATCTATAACTATATTCATCTATCTATATGTATATGTGTATATAACATCAGGGCTCCAAAATATATAAAGCAAATATTGACAAAACTGAAGCAAGACATACACAGCAACGTAATAGTTGTAGACATCAAGACCCCATTTGCAATAATAGAAAATTCAGAGAAAAAAATGAAAAACAAAACTTAGACAATATTAGACTATATTATTTTGCATACAGAGGAATACTTCAGAGATTATAATTTATAAAGAAAAAAATTATGTGGCTCACACTTTGGCAGACTGTAAAAGAAGTGTGTGCCAGCATCTGCTTCTGGTGAGGGTCTCAAAAAACTTACAATCATGGTAGAAGGTAAAGAGTAACTGGACATATTATATGGTATGAGACAGAGCAAGTGTGAGGTAAAGAAGCCAGGTTCTTTTAATGAACCAGCTCTCATCTGAATTAATAGAGTGTAAACTTTTTGGTTACCAAGAGGATGTACCAAGCCATTCATGAGAAATTTTCCCCCATGACACAAAAATGTCCCAGCAGGTCCCACATCCAACATTGAGGATTTATCTTGCAGCATGAGTTCTGGAGAACATGGACATCCAAACCATATTATAGACCAACTAGGCTTCACAGACACACACAAAACTCTCCAGTCAAAACCAAGATAATACATAATATTCCCACTTGCATCTGGTGTATTCTGTTATGACATATACCAAGTTTTATTAAATTTAAAAGTACTGACTAGGTGCAGTGGCTCTCGCCTATAATCCTAACACTTTGGGAGACCAAGGTAAGAGGATCCACTGGGGCCAAAAGTTTGAGACTAGCCTGGGCAAAATAGTGAGATCCTAACATTACAAATAAGCAAACAATTAGCCAGACATGGTAGTGCATGTCTGCAGTTCTAGCTACTCAGAAAACTGAGGTGAAAGGATAACTTGAGCCCAGGAGGCTGAGGCTACAGTGAGCCAAAATTATGCCTCTGCACTCCAGCCTCAATGTCCATAAGATCTTGTCTCAAAACAACAACAAATCAATTAAAAAACACTAAAATTACACACTCTTGTGTTTTCTAACAAAAACTGAATGAAACTAGGAATTAAAAGCACAAGCCAAACAGGCAAATTCAAAAATATGTGAATATAAGACACATTCTTCAACATATTCTTGCTCAGGGGTCAAAAAACTTTATTTTTCAAAGATGTTAATACAACCTACAGTTAAAAGCTACAGTAACATAAACAATGTGATACTGACACAAAGATAAACAGATGAAAGAACAGAATAGAGAGCTCCGGAATGAACCCTTCTGTATATGATCAAATGATCTTCCAAAAGGTTGCCATGAGTACAAAATAGAGAAAAATCATCTCTTCAAAAAATGGTGTTGAAAACTGAATATCAACATCGATAAAATAAAGTTGGATTATTTTCTTGAATGATACAAAAATATATTTTAAATAAAATACTTAGACACAAAAAACTAACAAATCTTTCAGAAAAAATACAGGAAAAAGACATGACATTGTCTTGGCACCATTTTCTTAGATATGACATTAAATGCATGAGCAACAAATACAAGAATAGAAACCATTAACTATAGTAGATGTCAAAATTTCTGTACATCAAAAGAAAATTCGAGAATGACAACATATTTAGAAAATGGGTGAATATATTTGCAAATTACATGTGAAAAAAGTTAATATTAAAAATATATCAACAACTCTAAAAACTAAACCATAAAGTTCAATAACTTGATTTATAAATGAACAAACAAAACTTTCATCAAAAAACTACACAAATGGGAAGAAACATTTGACAGGATGCACAAAATTACTCATTTGCAGAGAAATGAAAAAAAAACACAATGACAGCGAAATCATCTCACACCCATTAGAATGGCCACTATATATTTTTTAAAAAATGCCAACTCTGTTGATGATGCAATAAAAATGAAACCCATGTTGGTTGTTGGTGGAAAACAAAGATGTAGTCATTATTTTAAAATGTTATTAATGTTCCTCATTTATATATCTATATACAAAATATGTAACACAGGCCAGGTGCAGTGGCTTAAGCCTGTAATCCTAGCACTTTGGGAGGCCAAGGTGGGCAAATCACCTGAGGTCAGGAGTTTGAGACCAGCTTGGCCAACATAATGTACGCTATCTTACTAAAAATACAGAAAATTAGCTGAGCGTTTTGGCGGGCACCTGTAATCCGAGTTACTAGAGAGGCTGAAGCAGGAGAATTTCTTGAACCCAAAAGGCAGAGGTTGCAGTGAGCTGAGATCGCACCACTGCACTTCCGTCTAGGTGACAGAGCGAGACTCCATCTCTACAAAAATAAATATATAAATACATAAATCACAGGAATGAATGAATGAATGAATGAATAAATAAATGCAACAGAGGACCAGGAAGACATATTTGAAAATCCATGGCCAGGCTTGGTGGCTCATGCCTGTAATCCCAGCACTTTGGGAGGCCAAGGTGGGTAGATCGCCTGAGGTCAGAAGTTCGAGACTAGCCTGGCCAACATGGTGAAACCCTGTCTGTACTAAAAATACAAAAATGAGCCGGTGTGGTGGTGGGCATGTGTAATCCCAGCTACTCAGGAGGCTGAGGCAGGAGAATCACTTGAACCTGGGAGGTGGAGGTTGTAGTGAGCCAAGATTGTGCCACTGCACCCTGGGTGACAGAGAAAGACTCCGTCTCAAAAACAAAACAAAACAAAACAAAACAAAACAAAAAAGAAAAGAAAGAAAGAAAAGAAAATCTATGTTTATTGCATCAGTATTCACAAAAGCCCAAAGGCTGAAGCAACCCAAATTTCTCTTGATTTATAAACATATCAAAAAATATAACATATACATACAATGGAATATCGTTCCACCTTAAAAAGAACAATCTTGTCACATTTTAAGATGAACATTGAGAATATTATGTCACTTGAATTAATCCAGTAAGAACATTATGGGTACTGTATGATTCCACTCATATGAGATACCTTAAGTAGTCAAAATCATAAAAACAAAGTGGAAGGTTTGTCTGTCAAGGACGGGAGAGAGGGTAAAATGAGCAGATGTTACTTAATGGGTATTGAGTTTAAATTTTACAAGATGTAAGGTTTCTAGAAGTTTTTTGCATAACAATGTCAATATACTTAACATCCCTGAAATGAACAGCTTTTCTTTTGAGACAAGGTCTCACTCTGTCACTGAAGCTAAAGTGTAGTGGCACACCTTTGACTCCTCCTCAACGTCCCAAGTAGCAGGTACCACAGCTGCACACCACCATGCCTAGCTATTACTAAATTTATTTTATATAGAGGGGTCTCCATATGTTGCCCAGACTGATCTCAAACTTTTGGGCTCCAGGGATCCTCCTGTGTTGGCCTTCCAAAATCCTGGGAATACAGATGGGAGCCACAACCATGCATGGCCCTGAAATATAGACTTGAATAGATTTAAGATGGTAAATTTTATGTTACGTGTTCTTAAAACAATTTTTTTAAAGAAAAACTGAAAAATGTCCAGAATTATAAATCATTTTGAAAATTACCTTCAAATCACAAAAATGTTTCTCTCACAAAAGAAAATATATGTTCATCATTAAACACATGGTGAAAATAAGACTGTGTCTATGGCTACTCACTTAAACAAGAAAATTTTATGGTCAGTTCTGCCTATATAGAAACTCACACAGTTTTCTGAGGAAACGCTCTCTGGTACTCACTAAAAGCCACACTCATCCACATCCTGATATAAGGCCGAGCGTATGCAGACCTGACTGCAAAAACATGCTGTAGTGCCTGCCCTACTGAGCAAAGTCCTGAAGGATATGCAGTCTGTCCAAAAATAAAATGGGAATTACAACTACCCAAGTCCCTGTATCAAGCCAACTAAAGGGGAACCCTAGTGCAGACCCAGCAGCCTTGTGACCAAGCTACAACCCCTCTTCACTACAAATTCAGAGGGTGTCTCATCACCCTAAGGGCCCAACAAAAGATCATTACCTTCTAAAATAAGTTTATGAAAACATGAAGTGTTTGCTCCATCAAATTCAGACACCAATACAAAACTATATTGTGCCCATTGTCAATATTTCTATTTTAATGTAGCACTGGAAGCATGTGGCAGAATTAGTCAAAGAAATAAAAAAATCCATTAAAATTAAAGAAAAATAAGTAAAAATTGGTGTTTGTAAATCATACAATCTTATATTTAAAAAACCATAAACAGCACATTAAAACCTGTCTAAACTGATAAATACACTCAGTAAATTAGCAAAATATAAGATTAACATACAAGTATATGTATGGTCTCATACATTTAAAACAAACTGATAAAATAGAGAAAGACAAAAACCTTATTTACTATAGCATTAAATAATATACTTCTTAGAAAAAAAATAAACAAGGAGGTAAAAAATCTTTACAATAAAAAAAAAAGAAAAAATTAGAGAAGATCCAAATAAATTTAAAAATTGGCATATTATCCAAAGTGATCTATAGATTCAATAAACTTTCTATCAAAATTGCAGTGGTATTTTTTTCATAGTAGTGGAAAATACGATTCTAAAAGTTACATGAAACTAAGATAACTTTGATAGCCAAAGCAATCTTGAGGAAAAAGAACAAAGCAGAAAGATACCATACTTATAATTTCAAACTGTATTTCAAGACTACATAGTAATAAAAACAGAATGTATTGTGCAGAAAAATGAACAAAAAATGCAATACAAACTATTACTCTTATACATTTCAGATCTGATGCAAAAAGAGAACTTAAAAAATAGTTTTAGTTTCTCAAAATCATGCAGATATTTTTGTGTCCCCAAAACAATGGAAAAGCAGCCAGATTGAGCAGACTCATATGTCATAAAGAGGACTTTGGTTCTCACTGTGAACTTGAAAGAAGCTCAACAAAAGAATTCTTAGAGAATTTAAAAGCATGATACAGAAGATGTCCCTTGGTGAGAACAAAATTAAAAACCAACCAGCCAACCAAACAAACAAACAAAAAACAGCTGCCCAGGAACTATTTCCTTTAGAACACAGCTTCCCAGGTCACATTTTAAGGACTGGCCTTCTCTTGGATGTTGCGACCTCTCATTTGTGTCATCTGTTGTATTCATTTTCACTTGCACCTACCTGGGGGTTTGGCAATCATCTCATGTCTCTTCACGGTCAGAGGTTTTTTTCCTTGCTCCAGACAGGTGATCAGTTCTGGCTTGGAGAGAACAATACCTGTTTTATTAAAAATAAATAGCATGAATCTTGCTTATATTGTTTAATTACAAGCTAGTAGTGTGCTCAGCAGAGAAGATGAAATAAAATATTCTAGTAAATTAATGCCAAAATACTAATTTATAACAAATTTCTAAATATTAAGAAATAATTTCAACTTGTAGGTTTCTTTTGTTTTGCTCTTGTTGCCCAAGCTAGAGTACAATCACTCAATCTCGGCTCACCGAAACTTCAGCCTCCCAGGTTCAAGCAATTCTGCTGCCTCAGCCTCTGGAGTAGCTGGGATTACAGGCCTGAGCCACCATGCCTGGTTAATTTTGTATTTTCAGTAGAGATGGAGTTTCTTCACGTTGGTCAGGCTGGTCTGGAACTCCGGACCTCTGGTGATCTGCCTGCCTCAGCCTCCCAAAGTGCTGGCACCTGGCCACCACACTGGGCCCTGCTTATAGGTTTTTTAAATTTTACTACTTGGTACTACTGAATCAAAAATGGCTTGTGTCAATGAGATTTTCAGGTGGGGGCAACAATATTTTATGCAACTAAATTTCTGGAATTACCACTAATTTAGAGTGAAGAATAGAGCTCAAGTCAGGAATGCAGAAGTTTGGATTAAGGTGAAACATCTTGCAGAAATTCTTTTCTACATGAACAAATTCTGAAGATTTTCTGGAAAAAGGCCATCTGAAACTCTTATGCAAAGAATAAATTATTTAAAAACATTCCACTAAAAAAGAAATAAAACTTTTAGGGTTTTTTGTGAATTATGTATTTAAGTTGTCCTCACCAAGGAAGACCAGGTGTCTGTAGTTCTCTAACATCACATCCCTATATAAATTCCGCTGTGCAGTGTCCAGGCAATGCCACTCCTCCAGAGAGAATTCTATGGCCACATCTGTAAATTGCAATGGCCCCTGAAACACACACACACACACACACACACACATTTTTACCAAGTCGCCATGGGTGGAATTTTTGACTTAAGATGAAATGAGCGAGTAAAGAGAACTGATTCTGACTTATAGGACTAAAATTATCCAGTAAAACAATTTTCAACACAGAAATATTCCCTATTATATTCTCTGACTCTGAGAAGAGCAGCATAAGATCTACAACATTATTTCATGTATGATATTTTTCTAAATAATAAAGTATAAAATTAACAGCATGAACATGAACATGTACATTTTTGAGTGCTATATTTACATCACATGGAATTATGAATATTTTTCAGATGGAAAAGACATGTTGAGTTAGAAGGCACCTCTCAAAATTTTTTTTTTTTTTTTGAGACGGAGTCTCGCTCTGTCGCCCAGGCTGGAGTGCAGTGGCATGAACTCGGTTCACTGCAAGCTCCGCCTCCTGGGTTCAAGCCATTCTCCTGCCTCAGCCTCCAGAGTAGCTGGGACTACAGGCGCCCGCCATCATGCCTGGCTAATTTTTTCTGTATTTTTTAGTAGAGACGGGGTTTCACCGTGTTAGCCAGGGTGGTCTCAATCTCCTGACCTCATGATCCACCCGCCTCGGCCTCCCAAAGTGCTGGGATTACAGGCGTGAGCCACCGCGCCTGGCCTCAAATTTTAATATGTACAATAAGCTGAAGACCTTATGCAGGTTTTTTTTTTTTTCCAGAAGATCTGGCATAAAGTCTGATTTTTTGAATTTCTAACAAGCTCACCAATAATGTCAATGTTTTTGTCCCAAAAAGGATATTTTGTCAAACATGCAGTAAGTGGAAGAGCATGTGTTTTTCCCAGTTTTCCTGGCCTGTAAACAAAGAGCCTTCATTTTCCAAAGAAAAGTATGTAGAAAAAAAAAAAGCTGCCAGATTTAATGTGATGGTTTATCCACATCAGCTGCATAAAGATAATTAATAATGGGGCCGGGCACAGTAGCTCATCCCTGTAATCCCAGCACTTTGGGAAGCCGAGGCAGGCAGATCATGAGGTGAGGAGATCAAGACAATGCTGGCCAACACGGTGAAATCTTGTCTCTACTAAAAATACAAAAAATTAGCCGGGCATGGTGGGGGGCGCCTGTAATCCCAGCTACTCGGGAGGCTGAGGCAGGAGAATGGTGTGAACCCAGGAGGCGGAGCTTGCGTTAGCTGAGATTGCACCACTGCACTCCAGCCTGGGTGACAGAGCGAGACTCTGTCTCAAAAATAAAAAAAAAAGATAATTAATAATGAAGAGAAAAATAATTAACTCTACAGTGAAAACAATCTGTCAGAGAGCTATTTCACCAAGTGAATTATAAACCATTAACTGCACAAGGACAAATTTTCATGATGCGCTAATGCACACAGAAGAACACAACATCACTGTTGAAATATTCCTCCCAAGGAAGTAAATAAAATCTGAATTTAATAATAAAGAAACATGTTTATGCTAATTTCAAAGTACAGAAAACTCCTATGTTCTGTAATGTTCAGTAGTAATTTTAAGGAGACTTCATTTAGCACCCAAGAGATCAGGTATCTCCTAATAATTTTTTTCAGAACTTTCTGAGTAATAAATGCCATTCCATATAAATAAGTATTGTCTTAATCCTGTTCTGCATAAATTAATGAAACACACAGATGGAGCCTCAACATTACACGTTCTCCATCTTTACTAAGGACAAAAGTTTTCCCCAATAGAAATCTTGAGTAGCCGCATCTTTCCATGTTCAACAGCCACAAAGGGAACATTTTTAATATTGCAGATCATAACTTATTGCTGAGAATCCTGCATGGCATATAAGAAGCTATGACACAGAGAATGCAGAGAAAGCTCTGGGATATAGAAGAAAAATTATTTTTTCAGAGACCCTTGACTATCGTAAGAATTTTAAGTAGTTAAACCAAACCCAGGGAGAAAAAACACAAGTAGAGAAGTAAAGGTTTGTGAGTGCTACATGCATGGCAGTCCAGGAGGCAGAGTGAACACAGCTCTTCATCTGAGACATGTTTACCTGAAGAGAAGCCTTTTTTTTTTTTTTCACCTCCTCCTCTGGAATTCCTTGTCAGATGAGATTCTCTGGCCAAATTACCCCTGCATCTTGAGACTATGCCTTTAAATGTGTCAGCACCACATGTTTACCTGCTAGCATGACATCAACTGGCAGAAAAAGACAGAAAAAGTCCACCCATTTCTGTTTTTTACAACAAAAAGATTCAAGAACAATGAGATGCTCCATGAAGATAAAAATATAAGTTTCTCCTTTCATGTCCTCTGGTGCCCTTTCTGCCACAGACACCAGCAATTTCTGCTACAGTAATGGAAATATGTGCCACACTGACCTGCCCCTACCAAAACCAAACAGAACAGGTCCTGTGCGCACCACTTAGTGCAAAGGTGGAACTTCTTAACTCTCATGAAAGTATTTTGAGACCCTCATACCTGATTCTGGCCTCCCCTTAGAGTCACGTGAAGCCCTTCATTAAAACAACATGGATACTTCCACCCAGAACAATAAACAGAACCGGTGGGGAAGGCACAAGAGATTTCTGCAAATTGGCCATGTGATCCTAATGAGAAGCCTGGGCTGATAACCACTAAGCTAAGCATTGCCTCTCAAGCTTTAAGAAGCTTATAAATCACTTGGTAATTTTGACTCCACTTTATGTGATTCTGTAGGTTTGAAAAGGGTCCATAAATGGGTGTTTTAAACAAGTCCCCTGTCAATGCTGATGTTGCTTCTCCTTGGCTCATTATTAGCATTAGAGAAAGCAGGAATAGCAGAGGGTCCCTTACACTTAGAACTCTTGTCACAACCAAATACTTCTGGTACAAATAAGGACAACACATCTATGCTAAAGTTTTATATTCTTTGCTGGGTCTTTAAAGTTTACAGAGGAAACAGAAGGCAGCAATGTCTGGATAAGTCTGCATTTAAAAAACATGTACACATGTACAAATGCAATGTTTATTAAGCAGGTACTTTGTGCTCAAGAGTATGATACAGAGCACTATGCTGGGCATAACATATTATGTGATTTAATTCTTGTAACATTCTTGGAGCTAGTACTCAGGGTTTAATAATTTCCAGGATTTAGATAAAGGGCAGAGAATTTTTACTGCCTCTTCTGTTTCTCTGTTACCAAATTTTTTTAAACATTGTAAAGAATAAAAGCTAAATATATACAGATGAAAGAGATATAGAAGAGTTTATTGTAGTTTAGAGAAAATTTTATTCTGTTTATGTTTACTTTTCTGTGACTTGTGGAGCAACTACTGGATCTGCAGGAATAGAAAACAAGTTGCTAAATAGAATGTCTCTGCCAACACTGGTTTTAACAGAAAATTTAAAAACTAAGACTCTACAATACATACTTTATTTTTCCCATTTATCTGCTTTTGGGTTTCAGGAAATTGGATTCACCAGCCAAAACTCTGATATCTTCTAATCAGTTCTGTGAGGCAAGACTCCAGAGTAGGGTCAGACCTAAATAAGGCCTCCAAAAAGGGTGAATCTGAACATGTCTGGGACAAGGTGAGGATCCTATAGAATTCTGTTCTCTATGCCACTGTGGTACTAACAGTTTTCTTTTTTTCTAATCTTACCTAAAAGAAAAACCCCAGAGTTTCTGTAATTTTAATATTTTCTAGCACTGCTCTGTCAACTTTATACTGTATACTAATATGCAATTTAAACAATTCTCTTAAGGTTTTCTAGGGTAATTTTATAAGAAAATCAGTGTGTACACTTACGAAGGTAAAAGAACAGAAATTATACGGCTGGGCACAGTGGCTTACACCTATAATACCAACACTTTGGGAGGCTGAGGTAGATGGATCATGAAGTCAGGAGTTCATGACCAGCCTGACTAAGATGGTGAAACCTCTTCTCTACTAAAAATACAAAAATTAGTTGGCTGTGGTGGGAGGCACTGTAATCATAGCTATTTGAGAGGCTGAGGCAGGAGAATCGCTTAGACCCAGGTGACAGAGGTTGCAGTGAGCCAAGATCATGACACAGCATTCCAGGCTGGGTGACAGACTAAGACTCCATCTCAAAAAAAGAAAAATTAATTATAACAATTCTACTGTTCATTAATATCCCTTCAGGTGGTAGGTACCATGACTGCTTCATGTATTTTTTTTTAATGACCATAAGAAATGGAAGCAACTAGTTTATCTACTTGGGTCTCCAGATCTCCTTGTTTATCATCCAAGTACCAGGAAACTGGAGAAACTCTCATCCCTGTACAAACCAAAGACAACTCTTGTATGATGGGTTGAACAAACACAGAATGACTCATTTTTCTTTACACTGAGACAGAAGCAGAATTAACCACTCTTGTCAGCCTGACACAATTCTACTCTGGACATCCTCAAATGCCTCAAAGAAACCTAGGTGATTGTGAGGGAATTCCCAGTGACCCAGGGCTGATGGCCCAATGATAAGCCAGGCTGGAGCGACTCAGGCTGATTCTAAATAGAAAATAAAACTGCGTTGGTGGAGCCCCAGAACCTGGGTCACCTGTCCTGATATGCTAGCACTTGGGTAAAAGACAGAACAAAAATACTCTACTCCAGTATCCCATTTTACAGGTAAACATAGTTGTGGTCATGGCTCTGGATACTTTGTGGCCTGATCTCTCACTCCTAAGATGATTATTTACACTTACAGATTCTGCCATCAGATTCTATTTCCTCCTGGAGCCTCTCACATCACTGTAGCAGGTCAATGAAAAAGATGTAAAAAAACTCAAAATGCCACACTCTGAAATGGGGGCTGTAAGATGTCTATCTTGACAACTTACAATGCAGAAAATAACTTTTGTTAATTTTCTGTACATTCCATATCCAAAGTCTGGCACTTTTTAAATCCCAGGCAGAGGCCGGACCTAATCTGTAGATTCTAGATAGGATCAACCTGGCTCTGCATCCTTTGGTGTTACAGCAAATGGAGTACAATCAAAGGAGAGTACCCTCATAGAGGCTGCTCTAGAACATTCTAAGTGATAAGTCTAAATAAAAAAAGCTGACATATCAAGAATATAAGTAGACAGTTTATTTGGTTTAAGCTTAAGGATTATAACCAGGGAGCAAAGATTCAAGTTGCCTGAAATCTACACTTTGATTAGCAGCAGTTACAAGATTTGTAAAGACAAGAGAGGGACATAGAGTGGTCTGATACAAAGTTGTTTGTCAGAAGTTTTTATTTATTTAGATAAATAATATTGATTATTGATTAGATATATATCATTATTGTTTAGGGTATAGAATATAGTATCCAATGTGGCATTGTTAATTTACTTTATAGCTACTTGTGGCAATAGTGAACAGTTTCAAGGGATGAATACATAGTTCAAAGGGGAGAGAAAGATGTTAACTGCTCTTTCATTTTAACATCTCTCTGAGTTTGATAACCAAAAGTGCTTGCACTTTTTAGATAAAAGTTTTTTATTTCCCAAATCTCAAGATCTGGATTCAAAATATGGAGCTACAGATTTAGGTCCTGAATGGCAGGAGTAGCAGCAGGTGTTACTTGCACATTAGTGAGCATTTCAGCAAGAGTAGAAAGGGGATAGTGGAGACTTTCTTGTCTACATGTCTACTCAATTCACATGTTACTCCAGTTCAGTTTGTTGGCCCCACGGTCTCTGAATCTGTTTAAGGTCTGAAAATACAAGAGTCATTGAAAGAGAAAAAATTATTGATTGCTTCCCTGTGAAATTTGTAGAAATCTGATCTAGTCTCTCTAGCAGTGACTGTAAAGGACTCTAGATACCAAATAGGCAGGGACACAATTCTGCCTTCATATTTAGGGGACAGCATGCACTTTGCTGCACAAGTGTGAGTTGACTGGAAGCCTGAGAGGAATAGTCCCCTCTAGAGTAAGTTCCGGTTGGCACCTTATTTGTGTTTATATCATGTCTGGTAATTCTAGACAGTGTTTGGAAACAATAATTAAAAGACAGATTTTATCCAGCTCCAGAGAAACTCCACAATAATAGAACAGAAAGAAAATGGTTTTATTACACAATTGAACTTGAATGTGACATGCATCATGGTCAGTCTGCTTAAGAGACTGCAAAGATAGAAAGATGGTCACCAATATTAGTCCCCAAGCAGAAGAATTTCCAGCACCATGTCATACATAGTTCATCCTAAATTCACCTGGAGATTGAAGAGGCCATCTGTGTATACTAATTGCTTATATTCAATGACAAATAAACTTTTCACATCTTCATAACAGGAGGTAGTTTAGCAGCTTGAAGCCAGGTGCCTGCTGAAGGTAGCCTCTTACTCTGCTACAAAAATGGTTGAATAGGGTTCTTTTTTGCTATTTACATTTTAGAGCTGTGGTTCTGTACTCCCTGCCACTGGGCTACAGCACTCCTGCTTGCTTTCTCCTGGTTGCTAGTATGCTCTCTTGACCTCTACCATGTGCCACTGAGGCACAGCCCAGAGCACAGCTCACATTTTATGTGAATCCCATTTGCCACAGCAGCACTTTAGTGTCACATCAGATAGTGAAGCCTGAGCTGCAGGAGGAGAGCCTGCAGGCCTCCTGGGTAGAATTACACATTCACAATAATGGAAATGAGAGCAGTGTTTCAACCTCAGTTTCTACTTATAATGGTGACAAGGAAAAAATACTGCTGAATTTTCAGCATGACTCAAGATAGAGATAGCTCCAAAAGTTCTCACTATGACAGCCCACCTCATTCAGAAAAAAATGGGATATTAATAGGGTTTCTGAAACAGACACCTAAAGCTTTGGAGAGACAAACAGATCTCCGTCTGAGCAAGATTGAGAGAAAAAAGCTAAAACTATCTTAAGAAAAAGCTCAGATTAGATGTAAGATTGATGATGTCAGCCAGAAAATATTCCCCTGAAAGCAATTTCTCTCTAAACACCCAAAGTGCACAGCTACTCTCTGCATGAGAAACATTAGCATTATGAAGAAAGGGGCAAAGTCTCAGAAGAATTTTATAGTTTCTTTTCTATCTCTGCTGATCCATCATCTCCTAGTCATTGAATAGGGGTTCTGTATTGAAATACATCTGACAACTTCCCACAACACCTTCTGATGAAGAAATAGAATCTGACTGTGTTCATTTATTGGAATATATTAGAACTTGCAACATAGCTAACTGAAGAGCTACTATGGTTTTTGGTGGCCACATCACCTGTCTTTATTTGTCATGTAATAGCAGCATACCAATTTAGTGAAATAAAAGATATTAAAATTTTGTTTACTCATAATTATCCCTATTGAATAAAGTAATAAACATGTCACACTAATATCTACTTACTGTGACAATTTGGTAATAAATTTTCTTTAGATATTAGATATAAATATCAGTATGAATAATTTTAATAAACTAGTAATAATATATGTAGTTTTAAAAATTGCAACTATACTTCAGTTAAAACACTTTATATTTCAAAAGTATAAATTACAATATTAAAATAACCATGTAAGTGATTCATTCAAAGTAAGTATTGCGGCTTTATATTCATGTTACTGTAGAAAATACTGTTTATGGCTCATGCCTTGTCCACACTTCGGGAGGCTGAAATGGGTGGGTCACCTGGGTCAAAAGTTCAAGATCAAACTGGAGAACATGGTGACACCCATCTCTACTATAAATACAAAAACTTAGTCAGGAATGGTGATGCACACCTGTAATCCCAGCTACTCAAGAGGCTGAGGCAGAAGAATCGCTTGAACCCGGGAGGCAGCGGTTGCAGTGAGCCGAGATCATGCCATTGCACCCCAGCCTCAGCAACAGAGTGAGACTCTGTCTCAAAAGAAAAAAAAAAAGAGAATACTGTTAAATGTATATAAATGCAGGTTGTCTACAAACATTACGTATAACTATGCTAATTATTCTGAAGTAATAAATAGAAAGCAAGGTACAACTACTGACTCCACTGTTAAGTTTATACACTAGACTGTTCTTGTTTTTGCAGTGCAAGTACTTCAGCCTGCAAATATTGGATAATTTCCTTAGATCATCAGGTTTCTGTCAAAGAAACGTAGTATCTTTTATTGTTTACCATTCTGTGTTACTAAATTTAATCCTATCTTTGTGCTAAGCTTTTTTGTGCTCTAAAATTAGCTTTTACCTAAACAAATCTGTGTCTATTTTAAAGGACTAAAAATGAAAAAAATAAAGTTTTCAGAACCAAAAACAAACCAATAAATCTGAAGTACCAGATAACGATAATCTGGAGTCAGAAAAATGACAAAAGGGGATGGGCATGGTGGCTCACGCCTGTAATCCCAGCACTTTGGGAGGCAGAGGTGGGCGGATCACAAGGTCAGGAGGTCAAGACCATCCTGGCTAACATGGTGAAACCCCGTCTTTACTAAAAATACAAATTAGCCAGGTGTGGCAGCATGCGCCTGTAGTCCCAGCTACTTGGGACGCTGAGGCAAGAGAAGGGCATGAACCTGGGAGGCAGATGTTGCAGTGAGCCGAGATTGCCCCACTGCATTCCAGCCTGGGTGACAGAGCGAGACTCTGTCTTAAAAAAAAAAAAGAAAATGAAAAAGAAAAAATGACAAAAGACATTATTTAGCTGTTAATATGATTTACATACATTTCAAAAAAGCAGAGAAAATTGTCTATATATAATCTAAATCCCTTAAGCAAAGAGGGAATAGCAAAATATTTTTTTGGAACTTATTGAAGAGTTTTGAACTCTTGGACATCTGAAATTTGCACACTCTATGCACTTGACAGAATGTTTATGAAGGAAAAACCAGAAAAGAGAAAGATGTTATAAAAAAATCCATGAGTGCACAAGACCAATGCAACAGAATAGAGAGCCCAGAAATAATGCCACCCTCCTACAACCATCAGATTTTTGATGAAGCTGACAAGAGAAATGTGGGAAGGATTCTCTATTTAATAAACAGTGCTGGAATAACTACCTAACATTATGTAGACGACTGAAGCTAGACCTCTTCATTATACCGTATACAAAAATCAACTCAAGATAAATTAAAGACTTAAGTGTAAAACTTAAAATTATGGCGGGGCGCGGTGGCTCATGCCTGTAATCCCAGCACTTTGGGAGGCCGAGGCGGGTGGATCACGAGGTCAGGAGATCGAGACCATCCTGGCTAAAATGGTGAAACCCCGTCTGTACTAAAAATACAAAAAATTAGCCAGGCATGGTGGCGGGCGCCTGTAGTCCCAGCTACTCGGGAGGCTGAGGCAGAATGGTGTGAACCCGGGAGGCGGAGCTTGCAGTGAGCCGAGATTACACCACCGCACTCCAGCCTGGGCGACAGAGCGAGACTCCGTCTGAAAAAAAAAAAAAAAACAGAAACCAACCAAACAAAAAAACCCTTAAAATTATGAGAAACCCTCCAAGATAACCTAGGAAATACCATTCTAGACATAGAAACTGGCAAAGACTTCATGAGGAAGCTACCAAAAGCAACTGCAACAGAGGCAAAAATTGAAAAATGGGACCTATTTTTCAATTGTGAAGATCTTAAGAGCTTCTTCACAGCAGAAGAGATTATCAACAGAGTAGACAACCTACAGAATAAAGGAAAATATTTGCCTCTGACAAAGGTCGACTTTCCAGAATTTATTAAGAGCTTAAACAAGTTTACAAGAAAAAAACAAGCAACCTCATTAAAAAGTAGACAGGACGGGCACAGTGGCTCACGCTTGTAATCCCAGCACTTTGAGGGGACAAGGAGGGTGGATCACTTGAGAGGAGTTCAAGACCAACCTGGCCAACATGGTGAAACCCCGTCTCTACTAAAAATATCAAAAATTAGCTGGGCGTGGCGGCAGGTGCCTGTACTCCCAACTACTCAGGAGGCTGAGGCAGGAGAATGGCTCAAACCCAGGAGGTGGAGGCAGAGGTTGCAGCCAGCTGAGATCACGTCATTGCAATCCAGCCTGGGTGACAAGAGCAAAACTGTTGCAAAAAAAAAAAAAAAAAAAAAAAAAGTAGGCAAAGGCTGGGTGCGGAGGCTCACACCTGTAATCCCAGCACTTTTAAAGGCTGAGGTGTGCTAATCACCTGAGGTCAGGAGTTTAAGATCAGCCTGATAAACATGGATAAATCCCGTCTCTACTAAAAATACAAAATTAGCTAGGCATGGTTGTGTGCACCTGTAATCCCAGCTACTTGGGAGGCTGAGGCAGGAGTATTGCTTGAACCTGAGAGTCAAAAGCTGCCGTGAGCCAAGATCGCACCATTACACTCCAGCCTGGGCAATAAGATCAAAACTCTATCTCAAAAGACAAAACAAAATGAAACAAATAAATAAATAAATAAAACTAATGTAGAAACAGAAAACCAAATGCATGTTATTATTTAAGTAAGTGCTAAATAATAAGAACACATGAACACAAAGAGGAGAACAAGAGACACTGAGGCCTAGTTGAGGGTGGAGGGTGGGAGAACTAAGAGGATCAGAAAACATACCTGTTTGGTACTATGGGTAGGACCTCAATGACAAAATAATCTGCACACCAAACCCCCATGACATAATTTTAGCTGTATAAAAAACCCACACATGTACACCGAATCACAAATAAAACCTAAAAGAAAAAAATACTCCAAGGTGGGGGAGAGTGCAATGTAGGTGCATGGACTGCTTTTCACTATAGATAGTAGCCCAGGTGGGGCTGTACTCTGATTTATTTCTGTGTGAATGCAGGTAGATGAAATTACAAACAGGTGGCCCAGACCCTAGGCTGGTGGAGAAAACAGGTTGCTGCTGCAAATTTAGTATCTAGGGGTGGGGATATGCCAGGAGACTTGTAGAGATTTTTGGGTTCTTGGCAAGAAACACTAGGATCAAAAATGCCATGGTGAAGTTCTTGAGGGTGGTGCCGAGTCCTGGGAGAAGTGTGGATACCTCAATTTCTAGTGTGTGTGTTTGTGAGTGGGTGGGAATCCTGTAGTAGCAGCTGCAAGAAAAGGGGTCTGTCATAAGAGCTTCTTCTGAGTTTTCAGTCCTCTGTCACCCTGGGAGAAGACCTGGAATCACAGGACAATGGGCAATGTGACAGCCTGTGTACAGGAGAGCAGAGCCTCCCATTTCTAAACACCCAGAGCTTTGTTCCAGTCCAGGCCTCTGTGATATCTTTTTTCTGGCACCAAATCTGTAGAGTTTGCTGAGCATCAAACAATTCTCCAACAACTAATTGTCTAACATTTAAATTCTGACACCACCCAGAGTCAGCACAGACCCTGATTCAGGGCTCAGTTCCACAACATTGTCCTCACTGCAGATGCCAGTCACAAACCCCATGGGCCCATCTACGCTTCTGAGCTACTGTTTGAAAACTGGGGACTCCCAAAACCTCCCTGAAGTTCAATGATTTGGTAGAGCTACTCACAGAACTCATCAAAACACTGTAGTTATGTTTACCGGTTTAATATATAAGATGCAGCCCAGGAAAAGCCAAATGGAAGAAATGCATAGAACAAAGAAAAGAGATGGGGAAAGATGAAACACATAGATAATCATGAAAAATGTTTGTGATTAATAAAATTCTCCAGCCGGGCACGGTGGCTCACACCTGTAATCTCAGCACTTTGGGAGGCCGAGGAGGGTGGATCACGAGATCAGAGATCGAGACCATCCTGGCTAACAGGGTGAAACCCCATCCCTACTAAAAATACAAAAAATTAGCCGGGAGTGGTGGCAGGCGCCTGTAGTCCCAGCTACTCAGGAGGCTGAGGCAGGAGAATGGCATGAACCCGGGAGGCAGAGCTTGCAGTGACTGGAGATTGCACCACTGCACTCCAGCCCGGGTGAGAGATCGAGACTCCGTCTAAATAAATAAATAAATAAAAAATAAATTGTCCATCCTTTGTGTACTCCAGGAACAGTTTATGGAAACACCCTTCACCTTATGACTTCAATGGTGCTCTTTTTTCTTACCTATCACACAGGCAAACACACTCTCTGCACATTTTCTCCTATTTCTCATTATAAAAATCAGCTGATTTTTTCTTCAGTGGTCAATTTTTTTTTTTTTTGGTGTGATCGAGTCTTGCTCTGCTGCCCAGGCTGGAGTGCAGTGGCGCCATCTCCATTCAGTGAAACCTTCGCCTCCCAGGTTCAAGAAATTCTCCTGCCTCAGCCTTCCCAGTATCTGGCACTACAGGCGCCCGCCACAACGCTCAGCTAATTTTTGTATTTTTAGTAGACACAGGGTTTCACCATGTTGGGAAGGCTGGTCTTGAACTCCTGACCTCAGGTAATCCGCCTGCCCCGGCCTCCCAAACTGCTGGGATTACAAGCGTGAGTCACCACCCCTGGCCTAAAATAAAGTAATTCTTAATGAAATTTACTTAAGTTTATCTCCCTCCGTCAGGCTCCTGAACTTTGAGCTACCCTCGGTCTGAGTCGACATACAACCCCATTTACGTCCCTCCTAAGAACATGCTGATTTCAGGGTAAGACATTCTGTGATCTAAAATCTGACCTTTTCACCCTCCATTTGCCATTCCCTTCCCACCTCCTTTCTAATCTTGTTTAATCCTCCTTAGGAAAGAAAGTCCTTTTGTGCCTACAGTTTTGCAAGCCACAAAGACCTTATAGTAAGTTGATACTTTCTCCTATTGCAATACTTTTTTGGAATTCATTGTTTTACATAAATCTAACGTTGTTATCTTACAAAGTCTAAAACTTGCCTCAAAACAAAAACTTCATTATCAGTAAGACCCTCCCAGTTTCCTTTCATCTTAATCTTAACTGCATCTGCCTGTGGGGCTCCAGCTTTCCAGGGCTCTGTAGCTTCTCTCAGGATAAAGGCTCTTTCCATAGCTGGGGTGAGCAGGCTGGGACATCTGCAGGGAAGTCTCCCCAGCAAAAAAAGAACTGGGCCTTTAATAACCTCCTGTTGGCCGAGTGCGCTGGCTAAAGCCTGTAATCCCAGCAATTTGCGATGCCGAGGCGGGCGAAAAACCTGAGGTTGGGAGTTGGAGTCCAGCCTGAAAAACATGGAGAAACCTCCTCTCTACTACCACACAAAATTAGCCGGGTGTGATGGCGCAGGCCTGTAATCCCAGTTACTCGAGAGCCTGTGGTAGGAGAATCCCTTGAACCCGAGGTAGAGGTTGCGGCGAGCCGAGATCGAGCCATTGCACTGCACCCTGGGCAACAAGAGCTAAACTCCATCTCAAAATTTAAAAAAAACAAAAAACAAAATAAAAACACCTCCTTTTTGCAGCCTTAATATTAGCCTTAGCTTGGAATTACTAGGTTCAAGCTTCAGTTTCCATGTCAGTGTTATTCACCTGGTTTTTGAAACTAAGTGTTTGAAAAATCCAGTGAAATTACTCAAACATAGTGTTTACATAAACGGAGATTTTAAGATACTTTTTAAAATTTTATTAAACAGGAGTCTCGCTCTCTCATGCAGGCTAATGTGCAATGACGCGATCTCAGCTTACTGCAACTTCCGCCTCCCGGTTTACATAAAGGAAGGAAATTTTAAGATCCTTACTTTTTTTTTTTTGCGATGGAGTCTCGCTCTGTCGCGCATATTGGAATGCGACGGCGCGATCTCGGCTCACGGCAACCTCCGGCTCCCGGGTTCAAGCAATTCTCGTGCCTCAGCCTCCCAAGGAGCTGGGATTACAGGCATTTGCCACCACGCCTAATTTTCGTATTTTTAGTAGAGACGGTGTTTCGCCATGTTAGCCAGGCTGGTCTAGAACTCCTGACCACGTGATTCGCCCGCCTTGCTCTTTGAAAGTGTTGGGATTACGGGCGTGAGCCACCGCGCCCGACCAGGAAGTGGTTTTTTAACCCTAAGGCAGTTTTGTTTTTGTGTTCTTCCCCTATTGCCTGGGGTCAGACCAGATCATCTAAACTGATCCCGACTGGCTTAGACCCCAACTTTTTCCAAATAGGATAAACGGAGATTTGCAGGGAAAGAAGAGGGAAGAAGGCGTAGTATTGATTTACAATTTTTACAATTTATGACCTGGAAGTTGAGTCTTTCAAGAGGAACTTAGTTGTCCTAACAACCCTTTACCTCAAGGGATCCGCCCGCCTCAGCCTCCCAAAATGTGGGATTACAGGCGTAAGCCACCGCGCCTGGCCCCATAAATTTTTAATACGAGAAAAGAGAAACTGTGAACCCCACGGACCAAAGCTCTTCCCATTCGGGAACCCGCACCCCGAGTCAAGATTCTCCCCTAAAGACCCTCTCGTGGTTCCTGCACAATCTGGGAGATACCCGGAGCTGTGGGTGCAGAGCTGCCCAGAGAGGGCTCCAGGCCGGGGCACACTCGCTGCCAAGGGAAGAGTCAGGACGCCCGGGACCGGCTTATAGAGCACCCGCCATCTTTTTTTTTTTTTTGAGACGGAGTCTCGCTCTGTCTCCCAGGCTGGAGTGCAGTGGCGCGATCTCGGCTCACTGCAAGCTCCGCCTCCCGGGATCACGCAATTCTGCCTCAGCCTCCCTAGTAGCTGGGACTACAGGCGCCCGCCATCATGCCTAGCTAATTTTTTTGCATTTTTAGTAGAGACGGGGTTTCACCGTGTTAGCCAGGATGGTCTCGATCTCCTGACCTCGTGATCCGCCCGCCTCGGCCTCCCAACGTTCTGGGACTACAGGCATGAGCCACCGCGCCCGGCGGAGCAGCTTCCATCTTATGGATGGTGGGGACTAACGCCAAGCTGGGCAAGGAGAACTCAGGGCACAGATTGTGGAGCTGACTGCGGGGAGCCCTGAGTCCCGCCACTGCCACTTCCCATCAACCAGTCCCTCCCCTCTCTGGGGATGTTGGACCGGTACTCTTACCATTTCTAGACTTCTAGGGGGTCCTGGCTCTTGGCTGTGGATCTCCCAATACCTGCAGGTCAAAGGGCCTCAGAGGCTGGGCCTCTATGAGCAGAGAACACAGAGCAGTGAACAAGAGATCTGGAGCTCCAGCGGCAGCAAGAGACAAAGGCCGCGCCATACCAGAAAGCCGTCCTCTTCGCTCCAGCTGCCTGCCTGATTGGAGGGTTTCCAGACCAGCCTCCCTGATTGGATTATGCTTAAGGCTCTGCCCCCTCAGTACCTGAGTGACAGAAGATGTAATCAGATTCTGGGCTGAGTGAAGGAGTAACAGCCTAAGATGCAGCCTTTCCAGACAGGGCTTCCTCCCTGAGCTGAGCCAGGCTCACCCCAGAGAAGGGAACAATTCTGTATCTTTTTTACTCTCTCTGTTTTTGAATGTATTCAAAAGGTGAGCAGGAGTATTTTTCTGTCATATGAATAATACATAATATTTTTGTTCAAGAGAAAATCAACTTTTACTTTGGTAATAGTGTATTATCAATACTAAAGCTAATTTTAATAAAACCTTATAAATAAATCAAATTTGCCACTTTTAACCTCTCGAGATTTACACATATATTTTGTAATCTCTTGTAATTTTTTTAACTTTTTATATTTTATTTTTATCTACATTCTATTTTTTCAATTTGAAACAACCTTTAAGTAATTTCAAATTGTTGTAGGAGATAGAAAGAAATCATTTAAGGCCAGGCACAGTGGCTCATGCCTGTAATCCCAGCACTTTGGGAGGCCAAGGTGGGCAGATCACTTTAGGTCAGGAGTTCAAGACCAGCCTGGCCAACATGGTGAAACCTAATTTCTACTAAAAATACAAAAAATTAGCTGGGCATGCTGGTGCACACCTGTAGTTGTAGCTATTCCGGAGGCTGAGGCAGGAGAATCACTTGAATCCAGGAGGCGGAGGTTGTGTAATGGCCCAAGGGGTACACCTTGCCCTTTGGTTTAGACAGAGCTGATTTATCAAGACGGGCCTTTTGCCTAGACAGAGCCTATTAATTAAGACAGGAGAATTTGTGGAGGAAAAGTTAAATATTAAATTTGAACTCAATTGAATGTGGACACAGACAATGGTCACTAAGTCCCAGAATAGGTTGTGTGAGCCCCTTGAGGCATTTATCCAGTGCTGTATTGGAGAAATCTGTAATTCAATCTATTCCCATACATTTATTATTGAAAAACAATAGGCAATCACAAAAACAAATTGGCCTTTTTGTGTTCCTTGGGCCTAGTCTTGAAAGGCTGTCATAACTGGGCCTTATGCCAAACAACTTGCTACAAAAAGAGCTAGGGTCCCAGTGTAGCAGGACAAGCCACAGACAAAACCTCTCAGACATCGAGTTGTAGAAGGAAGGGCTTTATTCAGCTAGGAGCATCAGCAAGCTGCTGTTTTAAAATCCAAGCTCTCTGAATGCACAATTTCTGTCCTTTTTAAAGGCTCACAACACTAAAGATTTCACATGAAAGGGTCGTGATTGATTTGAGCAATCAAGGGTTACATGACAGGGGCTGCATGCACCGGTGGTCAGAGAGAAACAGAACAGGGCAGGGAGTTTCACAATGTTCTTCTATACAATGTCTGGAATCTACGAATAAAATCAGTTTTTAAGTTATGAGTTGATTTTTTATTATTAGGTTTAGGCCAGGCAGGCCCAGGGCTGCCTGTCTTTAACTTCACTTCCTTGTTTTTTTCTTAAAACAGGTACTGAGTATAAAACAATAAAACAATATGAGTGGGTCTCTCTCTTCCCTCATTTCCTCTCTTTGAGACTCTCACTTTTTTATTAGTGGGAGTTCTCACTCTTATTTTTGCTACTTATGTCTTTTTGTGCAATAGATTGATAGTGATTTATACAGTATGCTTGTGCTGAAGTATTTTGGTGAACTAAGGTAGCGACGAAGTTTTTTATCATTTGGAGAAATACAGGTATCAGACAAGGGAGCAGTAAGCAGGTTCCTGTTACTATTATTACTCTTATTATAAGAGTTTTAAATCTTCCTATTTCTGGAATTAATTTCTAAACATGGCTCTTGGATTGAGTCTGTGCCACACTTGCACGGGTACATGTGCTAGTTTTGTTATATCTTTAACTATATCTTCAACTACTTGCCCCTGATCATCTGTGTGTAGACAACAATTAGTAAGGTTAAATTTTCTACAAACTTCTCCTTCAGCTGCTAGCAAGTAGTCAAGAGCTAGTCTATTTTGATAGACAGCATTTCTCATCAGAGTCCCTCATGGGGCAAGAACAGTCAAGGCTTGACCAGTTTTATTAGTAATAATTTTTAAAAACAGCTTGTAACCCTATGATTTGGTTGAGCCTGTAGATGGGGGCTCGATATCCTTATGAGCCATCTTGTGCCTAAGTGGCAGGTCTATAGTATTGTATGATTTTTTCAGGGGGCCATTCATTATCTTTCTAATCACCTATGGCTATGCTTCATTTTTCATGGGAAGCATAGACTGGGAAGCCTAGAAATTCACCTGTTTTTATGGACAGCAAGAAGAAATGGACAGCTTAATGGTGCCAATTACACAGCTACCTGTCTACTGATCAGGTAGCTTAGCATAAGCTCTGTGTCTATAGATCCAGTATAACCTGGTGGGGGCTGTCCAGTCCCGTGGAATTCTGGGTGGACTTAACAGGCTGCAACTTTGGAAATTTACTGAATGGATTTCTTTCTGTGTAATTGGAACTTCACCATGTAACTGTTTTTGTGGTATTATTACACAGCTTTTGTCCTAGGCAACTAAGTCAACTTACAGAATGAGTGAATTTTGTTCTTTTTCTGGATATGCAATATTGTCCAATAATTGAGACTTTTAGAACCTAGAAATGATCAGGGTGATTCTTTTGGGCCAGGAATTCATCAGGAACTGGGTCCGTAGGCACTAATTCTTGGGCTTCTTATGGCCATTGATCTTTTATTACAGTTTATTTACAAACATAACATGAAGTGATATTTAGAGATTGGGCTACATGCTCGGCTAATTGCAAAAACAAATTTTTAGTTTTTCCTGGAATCTCAGGTACTGGCACATTTAGTTCATCATAGAAAGTCTGAAATACTGGTTCTGAAGAGTGTTTTTGAACCTCCTTTTATTAGCATGCTTATACTAGGATCTAGTCCTTTTCCATCAATGCCTAATGTTACATTATATTTTTTGTTCTACTTTGGGTCTGAGGGGTTTGTGATTATCGATTTTAAAAGGTTGCAGCTCCTACTTGTGCAGGAGGGGCTGACTTTTCCTTTTTGGAGCTAAACAGGATCTTTTTTATCTTTTTTTCAAGTAGCCTAAATGACACAAGACTAGTATTGACACATCTTAGATAAATATGATTCTTGACAGATATATACATTTTTTTTTACTGTGTAACTTTTTTTTCTAATTTAGAGAACTGCATCTTATTCCATGCTGCTTACTATCAATAGCGCACAAGCACCAAATTTTAAGGTTACATTTTTGGGGACCCCTCTTTCTTCTGTTCTAGCTATTACTTTACTTGTGTCACTTAGAAAAGGACCAGTCCTAAATTTTATTTTAAAAATGCTGATCATGGGAAGCTTAAAATGGGTCATAACATGCATCAGGTTATTTCTTGGGCTACATACCTTGGATAGAATAGCATTATACAAACAAGTTTCTTTTAGAGTCCTGGTACACCTACAATAACTATAAAATAATAGGACTGTAGCAATCTTTTGTCTTACTTCAGTGACTTGATGTATATACTGGAAACAGTTCTCAGTCTGAGGAAGGTCAGTTGAAGTCTTTACTGTACAAGTCCAAATTTTAAGGAAAATGAGTGCTGCAATGAGTTTCTTCATGCTTTGGCTATGTGTGGACCAGTCAGCTTCTGGGTGTGACTGGAGCAGGGTTTGTGGTCTTCTTCAGAGTCACTTTGCAGGGGTTGGCGAAGCTGCTCCTATCTATGTACAGCTCCTAGTCTACTGATTTTTAAGGGTAGTCTCGGAGGTTGGGCCCACTAGAATAAAATGAGCCTAATACTTCTACACAGTTTATGTTTAACTGGGCTCTCTGATACTAGGAGTAAGGTGGCGGGGTTAGGGTGTTGCAATCTTCAATGGTTGTGTGGGGATTTTCACAGAGCAAGCTTTGGTATCTAGTTAGTCTAGCATTCATTAGCTAATGGTGTCCTTTGGTATTTATTAAAATCACCACAGCATGGGGGGACTTTATGTTTAGGTTTTGTCTAAGAGTTAGCTTATCTGCTTCTTGTGGTAACAGGGCCATTGCTACTAGGGCCTTTGGACATGGGGGCTAGCCTTTGGAAACCCAAACTAGTTGTTTTGAGAGATTGGCCACTGGCCTTGGCCAGGGCCTCACAGTCTGAGTTAAAACTCTAACTGCCATTTTTTTTTTCTTTCTGACACATAGAGTGTAAACAGTTTTGTCAGGTCAGGTAGCCTCAGGGCTGTGGCTGACAAGAGTTTTTTTTTTTTAACTTGTGAAAAGCTCATTGCTGTTGGTTGTAATAGATGTAGTTTATCTAATCTACATTTTTATTGACTGTCATCTCCTAAAATATTGACTTAAATCCTGTAACTATTTGATTTCAGGCTTTAAATTGATCTGGTATTCCTTGCGGGGCTCTAATTGCATCTAAATAGATGTGAGAGTTGAAAGACCTATAAGGGCTTCTCCTGCTTTATGATGTCCTATTATTTATTTATTTATTTATTTATTTCCTCTGGTTGATGAAATGCCAGTGTGAAAGGGATAGCCAAATGGACTAAAACACAAATGCCACTCTAGTTATTCGGCAGAGTGCCCAGTAAAGGTCTACCACAATACCACCACACATCCGCTCAAGGATGAAGAAGGGCTGACTGATTGATAAGCTCTTGAAAATTCTTAAGCTCACTGTATCCTTTCAGGTCTCTAAGGAATGCTAAGTCTTAGTGTTCCTAAGTGTTAGGAAGTGAACTTAGTGTTGGGAGATGGAAGCTGGATGGCCTTCGGGGACTGACCTGCAGGGACTTCAGAATATAGCAGAGAGAACTTGGCATGACTTATTACTCTAGACTGTAGAATCCTGGAAAAGAGCTATCATGCAGCCTATGCCTGGTCAACTGGAGGACCACATTAGTGGAAGGGGGACAATCAGGGCCTCTGGCCTGCCATGTGCACAAGCATAACAATTGCTTTTGTTTAAGGTGCAGATGGAATATGTGATCTATTTTAACCAGGAATTTGCATCTTGGTATGCTGTCTTAATTGCCAAAGTTTGTTTTAACTCTTTAACTTTTATGATCCTCTAGTAAAATGAACGTCTCCTTTAGCACCAATTTTTATTAGTTTTTAGACTAAAGAAAGCTAAACACCACTTTATATTTAATAATGTTTCTTGTATGATTTTTATACCAGATAAGCTAAATTTTACCTTTATATTAGTGTGTTATTAATATTAATCTTAATTTTAACATAACCTTGTAGACATATTTATCAAATTTTTCATGTTTGACCATAAGTTAAGATTTTATAGACTATTTTTAACCTTTTATAATTTTTGTTAAAGAGCAGGTGATGCTTTAAGAAAAACCTGTTGCATTTTTACTTTAATGTCCAGTTCACAGAAAAACTGGATGATACTGTTTTAACTTTAGCTAATGTGTTCACACACAGAATTTTCTTTATAATTAACATTTTAAAACTTGCTTAAACTTTTAAAACAATAATTTTTTTAACCTTTTAATGTTGGTAAAAATCTACATTCTTATGCCCTTTTATAATCTTTTTACTAAAGGTATATTTTACTTTTCTTATACACTTTGCACATAAACTTTTTTTTAAATAGTACTTAGGAGGCTTTATTACTTTTAAATTATATAACATTTTTGAATAAATTTTTTTATAACACTTTTTCTTTCACAACTTTCACCAACAATTCTTCAACATGTCTCAACTTTTTGACTTATTACAAACATTTATTTTTTCTTTAAACAACTAGTTAATTTATTTCAGGACAAGAATTTACCATATAACACTCTTTTTACATAAATTCTACCTCCCCCCCCCCTTTTTTTTTTTTTGAAGATAACAATTCCTTTTTTTAAAGCGAACTTTCTTTATGTCTTTGGACTAGACTGTCTAAGGCCACAAGATTAGAAGTTACCATAATACACGTTACACTGTTAACTTTTAGCAAACTTCACTTTTGTTGAAAACTTTGTAAGTTTGGGATTTCATTTACCCTTTGCTATTAATAAGACCTTGTTTAGTTTAAATTAACTTGGAATTGGTATAGGTGGCCTTTTTTTCTCTCTGCCGGTCTTTCCTTGCCTCTGCCAGCCGCTTATGCTGCTGTTCTCTTAATTACTGTAGGGGGGAAGAGGGTCTAAAACCAGCTGTAACTGTCTATGTATGGAAACTGGTCTGGGTGCCTTGGCTTGCAGATTACATTGTGTCATACTTTTGAAACAAGGGACCTGTCCAGGCTTCCTTCTGATGGTCAACCCACCTCTAATGCTGGCCAGTCTATTTCACACAAAGTTCTAAGTTTTCTTGGTGTCATAGTAACACTGTAATCTCTATTAAATCTTTTCTTGAAATTTTTTTAACATAGTTCCTAATGGGGTGGGCTTACTTATGCCTGACCTATGCTTCTTTGAGACAAAACACTATGCTTACACCACACACACACCACAAAACAAAACAAAAAAAAAAACAGGTAAAAAGGGCACACACACACTTTTGCAGTTTACACCAAACTAAAATCAAAACCAAAATCAGAGTATCCAGAAATCTAAGCCAGGTCAAAACCAAAACTAAAGTATCATGCAGTCTAAGTCAGGTCAAAACCAGAACAAAAGTGCCAATGCAGGCACACTGTGGGTGATCAGGCCACTCTTCCATTCAGATGGGGTGGGGCAAGTTCCAAAGACTAATCTTACCAAGTCAAGCCAAGTCAAAACCAGAACAAAAGTGCCAATACAGGCACACTGTGGGTAATCAGGCCACACTTCCACTCAGATGGAGTGGGGCAAGTTCCAAAGACTAGTCTTACCAAGTTACAGATGTCCAGACTCCAAATGCCAGTTCCTTCTGGGTGTTCAGCCACTGTGTTAATCCTCTGTGGGGACCTGCTACTCGCTGCTCTGGTGAGGTGTTCCGCCAGGGCAATTTCCTACCTGGGAGCACTCTTTGGATCATGTAACTCAGGCTGGCTGGAGTCCCCCGCAGAGATGCTCCACAGGGCAGGCTTAAGCCACCTGAGGGGCTGCCTCAGCTGCCCATCAGTTACCTCATTTCCCAGTCAGAGAACCAAGAAATGTAGCAGGACAATCCGCAGAAAAAAACCTCTCAGACACTGAGTTGTAGAAGGAAGGGCTTTATTCAGCTGGGAGCATCAGCAAGCTACTGCTTTAAAATCCGAGCTCTCCAAATGCACGATTTCTGTCCTTTTTAAAGGCTCACAACGCTAAAGATTTCACATGAAAGGGTCAGATTGATTTGAACAAGCAAGGGGTATGTGACAGGGGCTGCATGCACCAGTGGTCAGGGAGGAACAGAACAGGGCGGGGAGTTTCACAGTGTTCTTCTATACAATGTCTGGAATCTATGAATAACATTGATTTTTAAGTTATGAGTTGATTTTTAACTACTAGGTTTAGGCCAGGCAGGCCCAGGGCTGGTTTTGGGCCTGGCGCCAGGCTGCCTGTCTTTGATTTCACTTCCTTGTTTTTTTCTTAAAACAGGTACTGAGTATAAAACAATAAAACAATATGAGAGGGTCTCTCTCTTCCCTCACCAGAGGGGGCCAAAGTTTTATGAGACATCTCCTCATCTGTGCACAGATGGGTGGCGGACTCTGGAGTCCAGGCTGTTGCTTCCCATTCTAGTGGTGAATCTTCCATAGTCTGGTGAGTGTAAATATATATACATCTCTTTTTCCTTCTCCTATTCCCATTGCAATTTGCTTTTATCAATCTGCTTATTACATTGATTTGCTTATTATATCTGAATTGCCATTTATGTGGGATAAAGTTTGTTTACCCTTAAAGGTATTGTGTGTGTGTCTTTTCTTCTCCCCTTCTGTGTTTCCCACACAGAACATTTTTGTCATTACAAACAGAAATCAAAAACAAAAGTGTGCTGCTTCTTGGCCAGAAGGACAGGGCTGATGGCTACGGGACTTCCCATAACCTGGGATGAGAACTCCCGCAGTTCTCCCCCTTTGTGATCGAATGGTCCAGGGGAACTGACCTTTGTGAGAACTGGGAATCTTAATTAGTGCAATTTAAACCTTTGCCTGTGCATGAAGTGCTGCAGGAGATTCCAGTCAGCAAAGGAGCTGCTGAGTTGATCTCCCGGAGTGGATGGTGTTTGCTTACTGCTTATAAGTTAATGTATCAAGACAGGGGATGGTTGCTACAAGAGAAATGTAAGCTGGAAAAGAAAAATGCTAGTCTGACTTCCAGACTGGCCCTGGCCCAATGCCAGGCCTATGTCTTGACTGATCAGGCTCAAAGATATCCACCTATTGATGAAAAAAGCAGCTGTCCAAATGGCCCCATCATGGTAAAACTGAAGAACTAGTTAGCTAGGCTTGGAGCAGGTAAAAACCCAGCTACTGGCCAGGCACAGTGGCTCATGCCTGTAATCCTAGCACTTTTGGAGGCTGAGGTGGGTGGATCATGAGGTCAGGAGATTGAGACAATCCTGGCAAACACGGTGAAACCCAGTCTCTACTAAAAAATACAAAAAATTAGCCAGGCGTGGTGGTGGCTGCCTGTAGTCCCAGCAACTTGGGAGGCTGAGACAGGAGAATGGCGTGAACCAGGGAGGCAGAGCTTGCAGTGAGCAGAGATTGCACCACTGCACTCCAGCCTGGGTGACAGAGTGAGACTCCGTCTCAAAACAAACAAACAAACAAACAAAATAAGCAAAACCCAGCTCCTGTCTCAAGGATGGGAAATTAACCTTAGTAAAATTCAAGGACCTGCACAAAGTGTACAATTCCTTGACATCTTATGGAATGCAGAGAAATAGCCCATTTTACCAAAGGCTAAGGCTAAAATACCAGAATTTGCAACCCCTAGCACCAAAAAGGAGGACCAGAAATTTATTGGTTTGTTTGGATTCTGGAAACATGATATTCCCCACTTGGGTAACATTTTACAACCTCTGCATGTAGTCACTAAAAAACACTATGACTTTCACTGGGGAGAGAAAGAGAGCATGGCTTTTAACAAGCTAAACAAGTGGTGCAACTGGCCCTGGATCTGTGGCCCATATGGGATGGGCCAGTAGAACTGCAAGTAACTGTCCCAGATCAACCTGCTAATTTGAGCCTTAGGCAGAAACCTTTCGGGTTTGGGACCCAGAAACTGCCAGAGGCTGGCAAAGCTTATACCCCTTTGTAGAAGAAATTGTTAGCTTGTGATTGGGCTTTGCTGAAAAGAGAACACCACTGCTTCAACCTTGATGTCTTTATGAGGCCTGAAATTCCTATCATGGCTTGGTGTCATGAATTCCCCAAAACCCACCAGATAGGACATGCCCAAGGAAGTAGCATCATAAAATGGAAATGGTACATACAAGACCAGGCTAAGCCAAAACCAAAGGGGTTATCACTTTTACATGAGGATGTACGAAACTTGTCCGCTCAAAAAACCACCAAACTATCCTGCAGATAGGAAAGAAACCCCCCCCACAATCCACCCAAAGGGGCCAATCTTTTAAATAACTAAGCCCAAATGATCAGAAACATGCTTAATTTATGGATGGATCCACAAAATACATTGGTGGGACCCAATGCTGGAAGGCTGTGGCTTCTGTTAATCCTGTTAAAACATAAGCATTACTGGCCAGATGCAGTGGCTCATGCCTGTAATCCCAGCACTTTGGTAGGCTGAGTTGGGCAGATCACGAAGTCAGGGGTTCGAGGCCAGCCTGGTCAACATGGTGAAACCCCATTTCTACTAAAAATTACAGAAATTAGCCAGGGTGGTGGTGTGCACCTGTAATCCCAGCTACTCGGGGGAGTGAGGCAGGAAAATCACTGGAATCCCAGGAATCAGAGGTTGCAATGAACCAAAATCACACCACTGTACTCCAGCCTGTGCAACAGACTGAGACTCAATCTCAAAAAGAAAAAAAAAATAACAAACAAACAAAAACATAAGCATTCCTGATGAAGGAAGTGGTGGGAGCAGCCAGTTAGCTGAACTAGTATCCATATTCTAAGCTCTTCAGGAAGAGGCCAGAGAGATCTGTCACTTGTATACCGACTCTTGGTCAGTAGCAAATGGTCTTACTACCTCTATGCTCCAATGACAACAAAACAAATGGCTAATTGGGAATAAAGGGGCTTGGGGAAAACAATACTGGAAAGATATCTCAATCCTGGCACAGACTACCATTATCACTGTTTTCCTTTTTTTTTTTTTTTTTTCTTTAACGCAGAGTCTAGCTCTGTCACCAGGCTGGAGGGCAGTGGCACAATCTAGGCTCACTGTCACCTCCGCCTCCCAGTTCAAGCCATTCTCCTGCCTCAGCCTCCCAAGTAGCTGGGATTACAGGCACACGTTGCCACCCCCAGCTAATTTTTGTAGTTTTAGTAGAGACAGGTTTTCACCATGTTGGCCAGGATGATCTTGACCTCCTGACATCGTGATCTGCCCACCTCAGCCTCCCAAAGTGCTGGGATTACAGGCATGAGCCATCGTTCCTGGCCCTTTTTCCATGTTGATGCTCATGGGTCTCTGCTTTCTTTTGACAGACCATTTAATTAGCAGGAAGATCAACAGGCCAAAATTTCCACCATAACTGTAAACTTGAATGTGCATGAATGGAATACAATGTGTTCAAGCCTTGCAATGAGAGGCATTATAATGTATGGTGCTATAATTGGTAGTGATTACCGGGGAGAGTTAAAGGACATTTTATACAATACCACTCCAGATTTTTTTGCTATAAGACCGCAGATGCCTGTTGCTCAATTATTAGTGGTACCTTGTCAACAATTATCCCGTGAGGAAATCTCTGCCCCAACAGAGGCTACATACAGAATTGGGGGATTCAGATCCACTCCTACAGGTAGCTTAAATCCTGGAGCCAATATATGGATACAGGGTTCAACAGATCCTGCCCCTAAGGCTGGTGACCTTGTAGCTATGAAAGCAGAAAATGAAGGCATAGTACAATTTCCTAAAGATGAAAAACAATATGTTCCCCTCTGTTTTTGTTATTACAAGGAATAACCTATCTACTAATGGTCAGCACCTGTGTCTTTGTGTCTAAAGCCAAGAATAAATTCATTTACTAGGTAGCCACTGCTGCAACAAAAGCCAATCACAGAGAATGTTGGCTGTACATCGAGTTGCCAGAGGCTGCCAGGAATGGGCTACCTTGAAGAATCGTCCCTGACAATATTTCTGAATGGCTATGTCGTTATCAATGGGGCCACAACAACAACACTTGTAATCCAACCTGGACTTCCTTTCACCACACTAAGCAATCTGTCTTTGCCCAGGTCAGACAAAAGGTGAACTCCACCCTCACCTTCCATCAAAAGCCTTGGTATTTTGCCCAATATTCCTGGAACGGTATATATTGGAAACCTGCTGTGCTGGTGGCTGGATTCCACACAGCCCCTGCTTCATCTGGAGGCCTTAAATGGCTCCTCTAATGTTACTCTGGGGTTTCTCCAGACAATTGTCAACACATACTCCAAATCAACAACATTGCCCCCAATGAACCACAATCTCTTTCCTATTTTAATAACACATTAGTACAGTATGTTTACAGTAGGTCCATGGCTGTCCCCTGGGGGGCCCTCTGGGTATGCAGATCCTGTGGGTGTTGGTACCTGCCCCCACACTGGGCAGGGAGATCACTTGTGGGTGGCCATTAATTCCATTCACCATCCGGGATAATATCCCCCTCCCAAGTAATCTGGATGCTTACAAACACCACTGGTTATGAATGTGCCGGCCTCCTTGGTGGCGATACCTTATCACAGTATTCTCCCCTGCCGCTAGAACAATCCTGCTTCACCAACAAATTAAAATATTAAGCTTATATGTAGAAAAAGCTCTTAATGATAGTAGCACTGGACTTATGCTGTTATCAGATGAATTTGCTCAGCTGCGTACTGTTGTGTTGCAAAATCAAATGGCATTAGATATGCTTACCGCAGCCCAAGGAGGGGTTTGCGCCTTACTGCATACTGGATGTTGTGTGTATATCCCTGGCAATTCTCACAATATTAGTCTCCTTGCAAAGCCATGAGTATGTTTTTTTTTTTAAATTGTGCTTTTAATTCTCCTATGCTTACCCTGTATCCATAATCTATGTCAACTATGAGTTCCCCATGTATCTATAACGGTATTTTAATACAATTGAGTACCGAATTGAGGCCGAATGTTGACGAAAAGTTAAGTATTAAATTTGAACTCAATTGAACGTGGACACAAATAAAGGTCACCAAGTCTTGGCACAGGTTGTGTGAGCCCCTTTGAGGCGTTCATTCAGCACTGTTTCAGAGAAGTCTCTATTTCAATCTATTCCTATATGTTAGTTATTGTAAAACAATAGCCAATCACAATAACAAGTTGACCTTTTTGTGTTTCTTGAGCCCAGTCACAAAGGGCCCTCGTGACTGGGCTTCATGCCAAACAACTTGTTACAAGAAGAGCTAGGGTCCCAGACCACACTAAAGCTTCAAGAAACCTCTCCTAGTCTGTGCAAGGACTGTTGGCTGACTCTGGAGCCCAGACTGTTGCTTCCTGGTCTGGTGATAAATCCTCCATAGTCTGGTGAGTGTAAATATATATATATATACACACATATATATATATATTCCCTTCTCCCCTTCCCATTGCAATTTTCTTATTATATAAATTTACTTACTATATCTGCATTGCCATTTACGTGGGATAAATCTTGTTTATCTTTAAAGGTATTTTGTGTGTATGTCTTTTCTTCTCCACTCACTCATTTCCTGCAAAGAACACCATATTTCTCAGAGCCTTTGTTGGTTCCTTTTTATTATTTTTTCTTTAATCGTGTCTGCATGCCTTATTTTAGCAAAGTGGTCTTCAAACTCTGATATCCTTCTTCTGCTTGGTCAGTTTGGCTATTGATACTTTTGTATGCTTCATGAAGTTCTCGTGCTGTGTTTTTCAGCTCCATCAGGTCATTTATATTCCTCTCCAAACTGGTTATTTTAGTTAGCAGTTCCTCTAACCTTTTATCAAGGTTCTTAGCTTCATTGAATTGGGTTAGAACATGTTTCTTTAGCTCAGCAGAGTTTGTTGTTAACCGTCATCTGAAACCTACTTCTGTCAATTCATGCATCTCATTCTCTGTTCAGTTCTGTACCCTTGCTCAAGAGACATTTTGATCATTTGGAAAAGAGGCACTCTGGCCTTTCAGCCATTTTTTGTTGATTCTTTCTCATCTTGAGTTTGTCTAGTTTCAATCATTTGAGGGTGCTGACCCTTGGATGGTTTTTTTTTTTTTTTGGACACAGTCTCTGTCACCCATGCTGGACTGCAGTGGCACCATATCAGTTCACTGCAAATTCTGCCTCCAAGGTTCAAGTGATTCTCATGTCTCAGACTACTGAGTAGCTGGGAATACAGGCATGCACAAGGATGCCTGGCTAATTTTTGTATTTTTTAGTAGAGAGGAGGTTTTACCATGTTGGCCAAAGTATTGGGATTACAGGTGTAAGCCACTATGTGCAGCCTTGGATGAGGTTTTTGTGGGTACTTTTTTTTCTTGTTGATGCTGTTGTTGTTGCTTTCTGTTTGTTTTTCTTTCAATGGTCAGGTCCATCTTCTGTAGGGTTGCTGCAGTTTGCTAGGGTTCACTTCAAGCCCTATCCATCTGGTTCACTCCCGTGCCTAGAGATGTTACTCAAGGAGGTTGGAGAACAGCAAAGAAGAATGTCTGTTCCTTCCTCTGTCATCTCTGACCTCAAGAGACACAAATCTGATACCAGTAGAATTGCTCCTGTATAGGGTGTCTGACAATTCCTATTGAAGGTGGAATGGGGAGCAGATGGGGAGCAGAACCCATTTAATGAAGCACTTTGACTGTCCTTTGGTGGAGGGAGGTGTTTTGCTGTGGGAAAATCCACTCATCTGGGCTGCTTAAATCCCTCAAAACTAGCAGGAGGAAAGGCTAAGTCTGCTGGTCCACAGAGACTGCAGCCACCCCTCCTGCTAGGGTTCTGCTCTGATCCTTGTTATTTCTTTTTTTCTGCTGGGTTTGGGTTTGGCTTGTTCTTGTTGCTCTAGTTCTTTGAGGTGTTATCTTAGATTGTCTACTTATGCTCTTTCAGACTTTTTAGTAGGCACTTGATGCTATGAACTTCCCTTTTAACACCACTATTGCTGTATCCCAGATGTTTTGTTAGATTGTGTCATTATTATTGTTCAGCTCAAAGATTTTTAAAATTTCCATCTTGATTTCATACAACAATCATTCAAAAACAGGTTGATTGTAAATTTTATGTTTTATTTAATTTCCATGTATTTATTTAATTTCCATGTATTTGCATGGTTTGAGGGTTCATTTGGAGTTGATTTTCACTTTTATCCCACTGTAGTCTGAGAGAGTAGTTGATATAATTTTGATTGTTTTAAATTTATTGAGACTTGTTTTGTGGCCCATCATATGTCTGTCTTAGAGAATGTTTCATGTGCTGATGAATAAAATGTATATTCTACAGTTGTTGGTTAGAATATTCTGTAAATATTTGTCAAGACTGTTTGTTCTAGATTATAGTTTAAGTCCTTTTTTTGTTGTTGTTGTCATTGACTTTGTCTTGATGACTTGTCTAGTGCTGTCAGTAGAGTATTGAAGTTCCTCATCATTATTGTGTTGCCATTTATCCCATTTCTTAGGTCTAGTAGTAATTTTTTAATAAATTGGGAGCTCCAGTGTTAGGGGCATATATATTTAGAATTGTGATATTTTCTTGTTGGACTAGTCCTTTTATCATTATGTAATGTCCCACTTTGTCTTTTTCTTTTTTTAAGTGTTTTTGCTTTAAAGTCTTTTTGTCTGATGTAAGAATGGCTACTGTTGCTTGCATTTGGGGTACATTTGCATGGACTATCTTTTCCCAACCCTTTACCTTAACTTCATGTGTGTCTTTGTGTGTTGGGTGAGTCTCTGGAAGACAGCAGATTTTTGGTTATTAAATTCTTATCCATTCTGCTATTCTGTATCTTTTAAGTGGAGCATTAAGGCCACTAATCACTATCAATTATATCACCATACATTATAATGTCTGTCATTGCAAGGCTTGGAACACATAGTAATCCATTCATCCACATTCAAGTTTGCAGTTATAATAAAAATTTTGGCCTGTTGATCTTCCTGGTGATTAAATAGTCTGTCAAAAGAAAGCAGAGACACATAAACATCAACATGGAAAACAGTGATAATGGTAGTGTGCAAGAGGATTCAGATATCTTCCCAGTATTGTTTACCCCAAACCTCTTTATTCCCAATTAACCATTTGTTTCATTACCATTGGAGCATCCAGGTAGTAAGACCATTTACTACTGACCAAGTGTTGGCATACAAGTGACAAATGTTTCTGACTTCCTCCTGAATAGCTCAAAAGACAGCTAACTGGGAGCTAACTGGCTGCTCCCACCCCTTTCTTCATCAGAAATGCTTATGTTTTTAACAGGATTATAGGTCATGGCCTTCCACCATCAGGTCCCACCAATGTATTTGGTGGATGCATCAGTAAACCAAGCATGCCTGTGATCCTCTGGACTTAGTTCTTTAAAGGAGTTGCCCCATTGTACAAGGGAGGTTTCCTTGCCTATCTGCATGACTTTGTTGGTGGTTTACTGAGCTGTCAAGTTTTTTACACCCTCATGTAAAAGTGATAACCCCTTTGGTTTTGGCTTAGACTGATCTTGTATGTACCATTTCCATTTTATGATGCTACTTTCTTGGGCGTGCCCTATCTGATGAGATTGTGTGGAACTCATGACCCAAGTCATAGTAGGAATTTCAGGTCTCATAAAGACATCATGGTTGAAGCAGAGGTGTTCTGTTTCCAGCAAAGCCCAATAGCAAGCTAAGAATTTCTTCTTGAAAGGAGTATAAGGTTTTCCAGCCTCTGGCAGTTTCTGAGTCCAAAACCCAAAAGGTAGCCTCTTCCCATCTTGTTTCTGCCTAAGGCTCCAATTAGCATGTTGATTTAGGATAGTTACTTGCAGTTCTACTGGCATATCCCATAAGGGCTATGGATCCAGGGCCAGTTGACTTGCTTGTTTAGCTTGTTCAGAAGCCATGCTCTCTTTCTCTCTCCAGTGAAAGTCATCGTGTTTTCTAGTGACTGCATGCAGAGGTTGTAAAATGTTACTCAAGTGGAGAATATCATGTCTCCAGAATCCAAACAAGCCAATACATTTCTGGGCCTCCTTTTCAGTGGTAGGGGTTGCAAATTCTAGTATTTCATCTTAGCCTTTGGTAAAATGGATGATTTCCCTGCATTCCATAGGATGTAAAGGAATTTTACACTAGATGCCTGTCCTTGAATTTTACTAAGGTTAATTTCCCATCCTTGAGATAGGAGCTGGGTTTTTACCCACTCTAAACCCCGGCTGCCTAGTTCTTCAATTTTATCCTGATGGGGCCACTGGGACAGCTGCTTTTTTCATCAATAGGCAGATATTTCTGAGCCTTATCAGTCAAGACACAGGCCTGACATGGGGCCAGGGCCAGTCTGGAAGTCAGATTAGAATTTTCCTTTTCCATCTTACGTTTCTCTTGTAGCAACCATCCCCTATCTTGATACATTAACTTATAAGCAGTAAGCAAACACCATCCACTCTGGGAGATCCCATCACCATCTCCTTTGCTGACTGGAATCCCCTGCAGCACTTCATGCACAGTCAAATTTTAAATTGCGCTAATTTAGATTCCCAATTCTCACAAAGGCCAGTTCCCCTGGACCATTCAATCGCCAAAGAGGAAAACTGGGGGAGTTCCCATCCCTGGATATGGGAATTCCTCGAGTTTCCATCCCTGTCCTTCTGGCCAAAAAGCGGCACAATTTTGTTTTCGAATTCTGTTTATGATGCCAAAAATGTTCTGTGTGGGAAACGTGAAAGGGGAGAAGAAAAGACACACACACAATACCGTTAAGGGTCAACAAGTTTTATCCCATGTAAATGGGAATGCAGATATAATAAGCAAATGATATAATAAGCAAATCAATGTAATAAGCAGATTTATATAATAAGCAAATTGCAATGGGAAGAGGAGAAGGGAAAAGATATATGTATGTGTGTGTATATATATATATATTGCCCACCAGACTATGGAGGATTCACCAGCAGACTGGGAAGCAACAGTCTGGGCTTCAGAGTAAGCCACTAGTCTGTGCACAGATGAGGACAGGTCTCATGAAGCTTCGGCACAGTCTGGGACCCTAGATCTTTTGTAACTAGTTGTTTGGCCTAAGGTTCAGTCATGAGGGCTGTTCGTGAATGGGCTCAAGTAACATAAAAAAGTCAACTTGTTTTTACAATTGTCTATTGTTTTTGAACAACTAATATATAGGAATAGATTTAAATAGAGATTTCTCCAAAAGAGCACTGGATTAAAGCCTCAAGGGGCTCACACAACCTGTTCTAGGACTTGTTGATCATTGATTGTGTCCACGTTCAAATGAGTTCAAATTTAATATTTAACTTTTCCTCCACAAATTCCTCTGTCTTGATAAATTGGCTGTGTCTAGGCCATGGGCAAGGTGAACCCCTTGGACAGTTACACAACTCTGCCCTCTGGGTTCAAGCGATTCTCCTGCCTCAGCCTTCTGAGTAGCTGGGACTACAGGTATGCACCACAACATCCAGCTAATTTTTTGTATTTTTAGTAGAAATGGGGTTTCACCATGTTGGCCAGGCTGGTCTTGAACTCCTGACCACAAGTGATCTGCCCACCTTGGCCTCCTAAAATGTTGTGATTACAGGTGTGCGCCAGTGTGCCCTAAATAATTTCTTTTTTTTTTTTTTTTTTTTGTATTTTTAGTAGAGACAGGGTTTCACCATGTTGGCCAGGCTGGTCTCAAGCTCCTGACGTCAGGTGACCCACCCACCTCAGACTCTCAAAAATGATTTCTTTCTATCTCCTATAACAGTTTGAAATTACTTAAAGTTTGTTTCAAGTAGAAAAAATAAAAAGAAAGTGAATAAAAATAAATTGTAGAGTTAAAAATATTAGAAGAAATTACAAAATATGTATGTAAACCTGGAGTGGCCAAAAATCATGAATTTGATTTATTTATAAGGTTTTATTAAAATTAGCTTTAGTGTTGACAATACACTATTACCGAAGTAAAAGTTGTTGAATACATTCAAAAAGAGAGAGAGTAAAAAAGAGATAGGACCCCCATTCAATCGCTAGGAGATGAGACAGCAGCAGAGATGGAAAAGAAACTTTATAAAATTCTTCTGAAATTCTGCCACCTTTCTTCATATTGCTCATGTTTCTCATGCTGAGAGTAGCTGTGCACTTTGGGTGTTTACAGAGAAATTTCTTTTAAGGGAATATATTCTGACTGACTTGATTAAACTTACATCTTGTCAGAGCTTTTTCTTAGGATCTTTTTAACTTTCGTCTCTCAAAATAATCTTGCTCAGATGGAGATCTGTTTTTCTCTCCAATGCTTTTTCTGTTTCAGAAGCCCTATTAGTATCCCATGGTGTCTGAATAAAGTGGGCTGTCACAGTGAGAACTTTTGGAGCTATCACTATCTAGAGACATGCTGGAAATTCAGCAGTATTTTTTCCGTGTCACAATTAAAAGTAGAAACTAAGCCTGAAACACTGCTCCCATTTCCATTATTGTGAAGGTTCAATTCTATCCAGGGGGCCTGCAGGCTCTCCTCCTGCAGCTTAGGCTTAGCTCTCTGATGTGACACTAGAGTGCTGCTGTGGCAAATGAGATTCACATAAAATGTCAGCTGTGCTCTGGGCTGTGCCTCAGTGGCAGATGATAGAGGTCCAGAGAGAACACTAGCAACCAGGAGAAAGCAAGCAGGAATTCTGTAGCCCAGTGCCAGGGAGTACAGAGCCACTGCTCTAAAATGTAAATAGCCAAAAAGATAGAACACTATTAAACCATTTTTGAGGCAGAGTGAAATCCTACCTTCAGCAGGCACCTGGCTTTAAGCTGCTAAACTACGTCCTGTTATGAAGATGTGAAAAGTTTATTTGTCGTTGAATATAAGTAATTAGCATACACAGATGGCCTCTTCAATCTCCAGGTGAATTTAGGATGAACTATGTATGACATGGTGCTGTAAATTCTTCTAATTGTGGACTAATTATGGTGACCATCTTTCTGTCTTTGTGATCTGTTAAACAGATTGACTATGATGCTTGTTACATTCAAGCTTAGTTGTGTAATAAAACCATTTTCTTTCTGTTCTATTACTGGGAAGTTTCTTTGGGGCTGGAGAACGTTTTTTTTCTGTTTCTTTTTTCTTTTTTTCTTTTTTTTTTTTTTTTGAGACAGAAGTCTCACTCTGTTGCCCAGGCTGGAGTGCAGTGGTACAGGTGTGAGCCACCACACCCAGCCCGATTTTTCTGTTAACTATTGTTTCCAAACACTGTCTAGAATTACCAGACATGATATAAACACATAAAATGCCGACCAGAATTTACTCTAGAGGGGATTTTCCTTCTCAGGCTTCCAGTCAACTTATACTTATGCAGCAAAGTGCATGCTGTCCCCTAAATACACAGGCAGAATTGTGTCTCTGCCTATTTGGTATCTATAGTCCTCTACAGTCACTTCTAGAGAGGCTAGACCACATTTCTACAAACTTCACAGGGCAGCAATCAGTCACTTTACCTCTTTCATGGACTCTTGTATGTTCAGACCTGAAACTGATTCAGATACTATGAAGCCCAGAAACTTATTCAGAGTAACATGTGTGCATTGAGTAGACATATACACACGAGAATCTCCACTTTCCCCTTCCTCCTCATGCTAAAATGCCCACAAATGTGCAGGTAAAACCTGCTGCGACTCCAGCAATTCAGACCTTAAATCTACAGCTCCAAATTTTTAATCAAGGTCTTGAGATTTTTATCTTAAGTTCCATTTTATCTGAAAAATGCAAGTCTTTTGGTTATCAAACTCAGAGAGACATTAAAATGAAAGTGCAGTTATGTATTTCTCCCCCCTTTGAACTATGCATTCATCTCTTGAAAGTGTTCACTATTGGCACAAGTAGCTATAAATTAAACAATAATCAATGTTATTTCTGTAAATAAAAATTTCTGAAAAACAACTTTGTATCATCCCAGTCCCTGTCTCTCTCTTGTCTGTAGAAATCCTCTTTTAACTGCTACTAATCAAAGTGTAGATTCCAGGCAACTTGAATCTTTGCTCCCAGATTACAATCCTTAAGTTGACCCAAATAAACTGTCTACTTATATTTATGTTGTGTCAGCTTTTTTTTCTTTTCTTTGAGGCAGAGTTTTGCTCTTGTTGCCTGGGCTAGATGGAGTGCCAAGGCCCTGTCTCGGCTCACTGCAACCTCTGCCTCCTGGGTTCAAGTGATTCTCCTGCCTCAGCCTCCCGAGTAGCTGGGATTACAGGGGCCTGCCACCACACCAGGCTAAATTTTGTATTTTTAGTAGAGAAGAAGTTTCACCGTGTTGGTCATGCTGGTCTCGAACTCCTGACCTCAGGCAATCCACTCACCATGGCCTCCCAAAGTGCTTGGATTACAGGTGTGAGCCACAGCACCTGGCTGCTTTTTTTTTTTTAATGTACACTTATCATTTAGAATGTGCTAGAGGGGCCTCTATGAGGGCATCTCTCCTTTGATTGTACTCCTCTTGCTGTGACACCAAAGGATGCAGAGACAAGTTTATTTTACCTAGAATCTGCAGATAAGGTCTGGCTACTGCCTGGGATTTACAGAAAAGGGCCAAACTTTGGATAGAAAATGTACAGAAAACTAACAAAAGGCATTTTCTGCATTGTGAGATGTCAACATAGATATCTTACAGCCTCCATTTGGGAGTGTGGAATTATGAGATTTTTCACATCTTGTTCATTGACCTGCGACAGTTATGTCAGAGTATCCAGGAGGAAATAGCATCTGATGGCAGAATCTGTAAGTGTAAATAAGCATCTTAGGAGTAAGAGATCAAGGCCACAAAGTATCCAGAGCTATAACCACAACTATGTTTACCTGTAAAATGTGATTTTTGTATTTTACCTGTAAAATGAGTATTTTTTTCTTTCTTTTATGCAAGAGCTAGCAAATCAGGACAGGTAATCCAGGTTCTGGAGCTCCAGCAAGGCAGTTTCATTTTCTATTTAGAATCAGCCTGAGCCTCTCCCGACTGGATTATCATTGGGCTATCAGCTCAGGGTCACTGGGAATTCCTTCAAAATCACCTAGATGTCTTTGAGGTATTTGAGGATGTCCAGAGCAGAATTGTGTCAGGCTGAGAAGAGTGGCTAATTCTGTTTCTGTCTTAGTATAAGAGAAATGAATCATCCTGTGTTTGTTCCTCCCCTCATACAAGAGGTGTCTTCGGTTGGTACCCAGATGAGAATTTCTCCAGTGTCCTGGTATTTGGATGATAAACAAGGAGTAAATCTGGAGGCCCAAATAGATAAACTAGTTTCTTCCATTTTATATGGCCGTTAAAAAAAATACATGAAGCAGTCATGGTTCCTACAATCCAGAAACTTTTAGTCTAGACTAGCAACTGGATAAAAAATTGAATTGTGCATCATATGGTTGGTCCAACAAATAGATGTGTCCAAAATCTTGGGCTTTATTTAGGCCACTTTCTTTATATTGTTGTGACTTCTGATGTCTACATCTGAAGGCATACTTATGAACAGCCTTGTTATTATAATTTCTTTTTCTTGAGACCGAGTCTGTTGCCTAGGCTGGAGTACAGTGGTGTGATCTCAGCTCACTGCAACCTCTGCTGCCCTGGTTCAAGTGATTCTCCTGCTTCAGCCTCCTGAGTAGCTGGGATTACAGGTGCCTGCCACCTCACCCAGCTAATTTTTGTATTTTAGGTAGATATGGGGTTTTACCATATTGGTCAGTCTGGTCTCAAACTCCTGACCTCATGATCCACTGGCCTTGGGCTCCCAAATTGCTGGGATTACATGTGTGAACCACCATGCCCAGCCTTATAATTTCTATTTCTTTTACTTTGCTTAGTGTACATATTTATTTTCTAATAAAATTTCCCTAGAAAGGCCAGGCATGGTGGCTGAAACCTGTAATCCAAGCACTTTGTGGGGGCATAGACAGGTGGATCATGAGGTCAGGAGTTTGAGACCAGCCTGGCCAACATGGTGAAACACCGTCTCTACTATTAATACAAAAATTAGCTGGGCATTGCGGTGCACACCTGTAGTTCCACCTACTCTGGAGGATGAGGCAGAAGAATCACTTGAACCCAGGAGGTGGGAGTTGCAGTGAGCTGAGATGGCAACACTGCACTCCAGCCTGGGCAACAGAGTGAAACTCCCTCTCAAATAAATAAATAAATAAATAAATAAATAAATAAATAAATGAAAAACTAGCCTAGAAAACCTTAAGGGATTTGTTTAAATTGCATATTAGTACATAGTATAAAGTTGACAAAGCAGTGTCTAGAAAAGATTAAAATTACAGAATCTCTGGGATTTAAGTTTCTTTTAGGTAAGCTTAGAAAAAACAAAACTGGTGGTACTTCAGTGGCATGGAGAACAGAATTCAACATAGGGTCCTCACTGCAGTGTCTCAGACCTGTTCAGATTTATCCTTTTTGGAGGCCTTATTTAGGTCTGACTGTACCTTGGAGTCTGGCCTCACAGAACTGAGTAGAAGAGATCAGAGTTTTGGCTGGTGAATCCTGCTGTCTTTCTAGAGCTGGTGTTCACAATTTCCTGAAACCCAAAAGCAGATAAATGGGAAAAATAAAGAATGTATTTTAGGGTCTTAGTTTTTAAAGGCTCTATTAAAACCAGTGCTTGGAGAGACATTCTATTTAGCAACTGGTTTTTTCCCCTGCAGATCCAGTAATTGCTCCACAAGTCACAAAAAAGTAAATATAAAGAGAATAAAATTTTCTCTAAACTACGTTAAACTCTTCCTTTATTATATCTCTTTCACCTGTCTGTATTTAGCTTTTATTCTGTACAATTTTATTAAAAATTTGAGAAAGAGAAATAGAAGAAGAAATAAAAATGCTGGGCCCTTTATCTAAATCCTGGAAATTATTAAACACTGAGTACCAGCCGGGCGTGGTGGCTCTTGCCTGTAATCCCAGCACTTTGGGAGGCCGAGGCGGGCGGATCACGAGGTCAGGAGATCGAGACCATGGTGAAACCCTGTCTCTACTAAAAATACAAAAAATTAACTAGGTGCTGTGGTGGATGCCTGTAGTCCCAGCTACTCAGGAGACTGAGACAGGAGAATGGCATCAACCCGGGAGGTGGAGCTTGCAGTGAGCCGAGATTGTGCCACTGCTCTCCAGCCTGGGCACAGAGCAAGACTCCATCTCAAAAAAACAAAAACAAAAACAACAAACAAACAAACAAAAAATTGAGTACCAGATTTCAGGGCATTATGAGAATTAAATCACATAATATGTTATGCCCAGTACAGTCCTCTGTATCCTAGTTTTGAGCACATAGTACCTGTTTAATAAGCATTGTATTAGTACATGTGTACATGCTGTTTTTTAAATCCAGACTTATTCAGACATTACTGCCTTCTGTTTCCTCTGTAAACTTTAAAGAGACAGCAAAGAATATAAAACTTTAGGATGGAGATGGGTTGTCCATATTTGTACCCAGAAGTGTTTGATTGCGACAAGAGTGCTGAGTGTTAAGAGACCATGGGCTGTGCCTGCTTTCTCTAACTAATGCTAGTAATGAGACAAGGGGAAGCAACATCAGCACTGACAGGGGACTTGTTTAAAATGCCCATTCATGGACTCTTTTCAAACCTGCAGAATCACATTACATAAAGTGGGGCCAAAATTACCAAGTCATTTATAAGCTCGTTAAAGCCTGAGAGGCAATGCTTAGCTTAGTGGTTATCAGCCCAGGCTTCTCATTAGGATCAAATGGCTAATTTGCAGAAATCTCTTGTGCCCTCCCCACAGCTTCTGTTTATTGTTGTGGGTGGAAGGATCCATGTTTTTGAGTGAAGGGCCTCATGTGACTCTAAGGTGAGGCCAGAATCAAGTATGAGGGTTTCAAAATACATTCATGAGCATTAAGTTCCATCTTTGCACTAAACAGCAGTCACAGGGGTGGTGCTGTTTGGATTTGGTAGGGAAAGGTCAGTGTGGCACATATTTGCATTACTGTAGCAGAAATTGCTGGTGTCTCTGGCAGGGGAGGGCACCTGAAGACAGAAAAGGAGAAATTTATATTTTTATCTTCATGGAGCAGCTCATTATTCCTGAACTTCTTCTGTTTTAAATGACAGAAATGGGTGGACTTTTTCTGTCTTTTTCTGCCAGTTGATGTCATGCTAGCAGGTAAACATGTGGTACTGACACCTTTAAAGGCATATTCTCCATATGCAGGTGTAATTTGTTCAGAGAGTCTCATCTGAGAAGGAATTCTAGAGAAGGAGGAGAAAGAAAAAAAATGGCTTTTCTTCAGGTAAACATGTGTCAGATGAAGAGCTATGTCCACTCTGCCTCCTGGACTGCCATGCATTTAGTACCCACAAACCTTTACTTCTCTACTTGTGTTTTTCCTCCCTAATGATTTTGATTTAACTACTTCTTAAAATTCTTATGATAGTCAAGGGTCTCTGAAAAATATTTTTTTCCTATATCCCAGAGCCCTCCCTACATTCTCTACATCATAGCTTCTTATATGTCATGCAGGATTATCAGCAAGAATTTATGATCTGCAATATTAAAAATATTCCCTTTGTGGCTGTTGAACATGAAAAGATGTGGATACTCAAGATTTCTACTGGAGAAAACTGTGGTACTTAGTAAAGATGGAGAACATGTAATGTTACGGCTCCATCTGTGTGTTCCATTAGCTCTATGCAGAAGAAGATTAAGAAAATCCTTATTTAACTGGGATGACATTTATTACTCAGAAAGTTCTGAAAAAAAATTAGGAGATATCTGCTCTCTAGGGTGGCAAATGAAGCCTCCTTAAAATTACTACTAACAATTACAGAACATAGGAGTTATTTGTATTTTGAAGTTTCCATAAAACTGATGTTTCTTTATGGTTAAATTCAGATTCTATTTACTTTTTTGGGGAAAGAATATTTCAACAGTGATGCTGTGTTCTCCTGTGTGCATTAGCACGTCATAAAAATTTGTCCTCCTGCAGTTAATGATTAATGAATCACTTAGTGAAATTGCTGACAGATTTTTTTTTACTATGGAGTTAATTAGTTTTCTCTTTATTAGTAAGTATCTTTATGCAGCTGATGTGCATAAATGATCACATTTAATCTGGCAGCTGTCTTTTTTTCTTATGTTTTTCTACATATTTTTCTTTGGTAAATGAAGGCTCTTAGTTTTGTTTACAGGCTTGAAAAACTGGGAAAAATACCGACTCTTGCACTTACTGAATATTTGACAAAATATCCTTCTTGGGACAAAAACATTGGCATTACTGGTGAGCTTGTTAGAAATTCAAAAAATTGGCTGAGCATGGTGGCTCATGCCCGTAATCCCAGCACTTTGGGAGGCTGAAGTGGGTGGATCACCTGAGGTTGTGAGTTCGAGACCAGCCTGACCAACATGTAGAAACCCCATCTCTACTTTAAAAAAAAAAAAAAAAAAAAAATTAGCCAGGCGTAGTCACGCATGCCTGTAACCCCAGCTACGCAGGAGACAAAGGCAGGATAATTGCTTGAATCCGGGAGGTGGAGGTTGCAGTGAGCCAGATCATGCCATTGCACTCCAGTCTCAGCAACAAGAGTGAAACTCTGTCTCAAAATAAATACATTTAAAAATCAGACTTTATACCAGATCTTCTGGAAAAAAAAAAACCCTGCAAAACAAGGTCTTCAGCTTATTCTACACATCAAAATTTGAGAGGTGCTTTCTAACTCAACATGTCTTTTCCATCTGAAAAATATTCACAAGTCATTTTGTATGATGTAAATATAGCACTCAAAAATATACATGTTTGTGTTCATGTCCTTAATTTTATACTTTATTATCCAGAAAAATATCATTATATGAACTGATCTTGTGGATATTATGCTGCTCTTTTTTCTCAGAGATAGAGAATACATTAGAAAATATTTGTGTTGAAAATTATTTTATTGGATAATTTTAGTCAGTCCTATAAGTCAGAATGAGTGCTCTTTACTCTCTCATTTCACCTTAAGTCAAATTAAAAATTCCGCTCATGGCAACTTAGTAAAAATGTGTGTGTGTGTGTGCTTTACAGTGACCACTGCAATTTAGGGATGTGGCTATAGAATTCTCTCTGGAGGAGTGGCATTGCCTGGACACTGCACAGCACAATTTATATAGGGATGTGATGTTAGAGAACTACAGACACCTGGTCTTCCTTGGTGAGGATAACTTGAGTACATAATTCATAATATATCCTAAAGATTTTATTTCTCTTTTTATTTTTATTTTTTGAGATGGAGTCTCACTCTGTTGCCCAGGCTGGAGTGCAATGGTGCAATCTCTGCTCACTGCAACCTCAGCCTCCTGGGTTCAGTGATTCTCCTGCCTCAGCCTCCCAAGTAGCTGGGATTACAGGTGACTGCCACCACGCTCGGCTAATTTTTGTATTTTTAGTAGAGATGGGATTTCACCATGTTGGCCACACTGGTCTCGAACTCCTGACCTCAGGTGATATGCCCGTCTTGGCCTCCCAAAGTGCTGGAATTACAGGCATAAGCCAACATGCTCAGCCTATTTCTCTTTTTTGTAGAATGTTTTTAGACCTTTATTCTTTGCATAAAAAACTTTCAGATCCCCTTTTTCCAGAAAATCTTCAAAATTTGTTCATTTATTAAAGAATTTCTTCAAGATGTTTCATCTTAATCCAAACTTTCCACATTCCTGAGTTGAGCTGTATTCTTCACTCTAAATTAGTGGTAATTCCAGAAATTTAGTGGCATAAAATATTTTTGTCCCCACCTGAAAATCGAATTGCCACCACCAATTTTTGATTCAGCAGTACCAGGTAGTAAAATTAAGAAACCCACAAATTGAAAGTATTTTCTAAATATTTAGAAATTTCTGTTATAACTTAGTATTTTGCTATTAATTTGCTAGAATATTTTATCACATTCTCTCTGCTGAGCACATTACTAGCTTGTAATTGGAGAATATGAGAAAAATTTATGTATTTATTTTTAATAAAACAGGTATTGTTGTCTCTAACCCAGACCTGATCACCTGGCTACAGCAAGGAAAAGAAACTTTGACCATGAAGAGACAGGTGATGATTGCCAAACACACAGGTAGGTGTTTTTTTTGCTCTCACAAAGGGGCATCTTCTGTCTTATGCTTTTAAATTCTCTAAGGATTCTGCTTTTCTTTTGGTGAGCTTCCTTCAAGTTCACAGTGAGAGCCAATGTCCTCTTCATGGCATAGAAGAGACTGCACAATCTGACTGCTTTTCCATTATTTTGGGGACACACAAATATCTGCATGATGTTGAGAAACTAAAACTATGTTTTAAGTTCCCTTTTTTCATCAGGTTTGAAATGTGTGAAAGTAGTAGTTTCTGTTGCATTTTTTTGTTCATTTTTCTGCACAGTCCATTCTGTTTTTATTATTATGTGGCCTTGAAATATAGTTTCAAATTATAAGTATGATATCCTTCTGCTTTGTTCTTTGTCTTCATGATTGCTTCGGCTATTCAAAATTTATTTTAGTTTCATGTAAATTTTAGAATTGTATTTTCCATTACTGTGAAAAAAAACCACAGCAATTTTGATAGGAAGTTTATTGAATCTATAGATTACTTTGGATAATATGGCACTACAATAATATTTATTCTTTCAAGCCATAGACAAAATATTTTAAAATTTATTTGGATCTTCTCTAATTTATTTATTTTTTTATTGTAAAAATGTTTTACCTCCTTGGTTAATTTTTTCCTCAGAAATTTACTAATTAATGCTCTAGTAAATAAACGTTTTTCTTTATCAGACAGTTTAAGTGCATGAAACCATACATACACTTGTATGTTAATTTTATATTTTGCTGATTTACTGAGTGTATTTATTAGTTTAGATAGGCTTTAATGTACTGTTTATAGTTTTTTAAATGTATGATTGTATGACCTACAAACAGCAACTTTTTACTCATTTTTCAATTTCAATGGTTTTTTTTAAATTTCTTTGACTAATTCTTCTGTTACATACTTCCAGTGCTACATTAAAATAGAAGAATTGACAAAGGGCACAATATAGTTTTGTATTGGTGTCTGAATTTGATGGAGCAGACACCTCTTCAAGTTTTTGTAAACTGATTTTAGATTGTAAAGATCTTCTTTTATTGGTTCCTTAGGGTGATGAGATGCCATCTGAATTTGTAGTGAAGAGGGATTGTAGCTTGGTCACAAGGCTGCTAGGTCTGCACTAGGGTTCACCCTTAGTTGGCTTGTTACAGGGGCTTGGGTTGTTGTAATTCCCATTTTATTTTTGGACAGACTAAATATCCTTCAGTACTTTTCTCAGTAGGGCAGGCACTACAGCATGTTTTTGCAGTCGAGTCTGCATATGCTGGGCCTTAAATCAGGATGTGGATGAGTGTGGCTTTCATGAGTATGAGAGAGCATTTCCTCAGGTAACTGTGTGGGTTTCTATGCAGGAAGAACTGATCATAAACTGTGGCTCAGGTAACTGAAACTGAGTCATTGAACCACTTCAGGGACCTGAGTAAAGGCCAAGGTCTGCAGACCTGCCTGCATGGCTGTAAATAGGTGCCTTCCTCTGGGTCTCTAGAATGGCAGGACCTCTCCCAGACAGTGGCTGGGAGGAGTTTGGGACGGTTATATGATAAGTTCAGAATTCTCAGAATCTCAGTTTGGGACCAAGTTGGGTGAACTCTATCCTGGTCTGTAGCCATAAACAGGAATCCTGCACTTTCCCACCTAATTGAGGGCCTGCTTTCTGAGTAGAACACTTTTCAATCCTAAGCTTTAACAGAGTTTCATCACTCCTTCCCTGGATCTCAAATCTCTCTTACAGGCACTTATTTTGGAGATGGGGTCTTGCTACATAACCCAGGCTGGTCTCAAAATTCTGGCCTGAAGCAGTTTTTCCACCTTAATGTACGATGTAGCTGTCATTACAGGTGTGAGCCATAATGCCTGGTTCTCTCATAAAGGCATTTTTGTCAGGGATGGCTGACATTATTTTGCTGTAAGGGGATATGAATGTAGGGGACTTTTAATCTTTTCATCTTACTGATGTCACTCTCCCTATACATTTTTACTTTCCATTTTCTATTTCAAATTTTTCTGTAATTTTAGATTCAGATATTTAGGACAATATGCTAGAATTTGCATGGTATGCCTGATGTAGTTAGAAAATTAGTAGGTACTCCATATTTACTAAAAGAGTTACTTATAAATGTAAGTTTGCTACAGGCAAAAAAGAATTATAGGATTTTCATCTACTTTCTTCAGCCTATATATAAATAATAACATAGTTTATTTCCCAATATTTGTTTTACATATCAGAGGATCTAATTCTATTCTGCAATATATACATGTATATTTTCTGTCTTTAACAATGTAAGACTATTCTTTGCTTCTAAAGTTAGAATACAGCAGTTTCATTTTGTGTAAGAATAACATATTCAAAACATAAAACTAACTCTAGTTTTTTTAAATGCTTATTTATTAAAAGTTTCTCATTAGAATCTTCTATTTATGATTATACTGCATATTTTCTGAAATTTTACTGCCACACAGTGCATGCCAATGATTCAAAATACCTGCATTTAATGAGTACACAGTAACAGCTAAATATTGCAGTTACCCAGACAAATTTTTTTAAATTATTTTTTTGAGATGGACTCACAGCCTGTCACCCAGGCTGGAGTGCAGTGCTGCAATCTTGGCTCACTGGAAACTCCACATCCTGGGTTCAAGCAGTTTTCATGCCTCAGCCTCCCAAGTAGCTGGAATTACAGGTATGTGCCACCACACCTGGCTAATTTTTGTATTTTTATGTGAGATGAGGTTTCATCACGTTGGCAAGGTTGGTCTTAAATTCCTGACCTCAGGTGATCTGCCCGCCTCAGCCTCCCATAGTGCTGAGATTACAGATGTGAGCCAATGCACCCAGCCTGACAAATTCTTTTTAATGATACATCAATGTTGCATACCAGGTTTTATGAGTAAACTCTTCTCTTATTATTGTTTTGAAGTTTCACATTAGTGTGTTTCTTTAATGAAGGTTTCTGTTTTTTTGGGGGGGACAGAGTCTCACTCTGCTGCCCAGGCTGGAGTGCAGTGGCATGATCTCAGCTCACTGCAACCTCTGCCTCCCAGGTTCAAGCAATTCTTCTGCCACAGCCTCCCAAATTGCTGGGACTACAGGCTTGTGCCACAACATCTGGCAGATTTTTGTATTTTTCATCGAGACAGGGTTTAACCGTATTGGCCAGGCTTGTCTCGAACTCCTGACCTTGTGATTCATCTGCCTCCGCCTCTCAAAGTGCTGGGATTACAGGCGTGAACCCCCGTGCCAAGCCTCATTTATATTTCAAATAGGGTCTCACTTGGTTAACCAGGCTGATTTGCAGGGCTCACTGCTGCCCGAACCTCCCAAACTCAGATGTTCCTCTCACTTCAGCTTCTCAAATAGCTGGGTTACACATTTTTGCCGTCACACCCAGCTTGCTTTTTTGTATTTTTTGTAGAGACAGAGTTTTGCCATTTGCCCAGGCTCCTGTTGAACTACTGAGATCAAGTGATCAGCCCACCTTGGCCTTCCAAAGTCCTAAGATTACATTTCATTTTATTAAGTAGTTTAATTAATTTATATTTAAAATAATTGCTTAAAAAATGAAGTTGTTATTACCAGTTATACTGTTATTGTTTTATGTGTTTCTAGTAGTTATATTTTTCTCATTTTCTGTTTTACTTTCTTAATTTTCACTTAATCTTGTACTAGCATGCTTTGATTATATTTTGTTTTCTTTTGCATACTTTCTATAAATATTATCTTTGTAATCAGCTTGAAAACTGAAGATTACATACACCTTAAAGTTAAAAAACAATATATTTTAATCTTATAACGGCCTCCATTGAATACAAAAACTATGCTTCTGTATTTTCCAGTTTGTTGTTAATATTAAAATTATTATTATTATTTTTTGAGATGGAGTCTCCCTCTGTCGCCCAGGCTGTAGTGCAGTGGCACGATCTTGGCTCACTACAACCTCCGTCGCCCTGGTTCAAGGGATTCTCTGCCTCAGCCTCCTGAGTAGCTGGGATTTTAAGCTCCTGCCACCACGCCCAGCTATTTTTGTTTGTTTTAGTAGAGATGGGGTTTCACCATCTTGACCAGTCTAGTGTTGAATGCCTCACCTAGTTTATATGGTGTATCTATTCACAGATTTATGCGGATTTACATATTGTTTTTTATATTCCATAAAAGCACTTTAAAGGTTTTATGTACCATCATTTTGGTTTTTTTGTTTTGTTTTGTTTGGTGTGGGATTATTTTTTTCAGACTGAGTCTTGCTCCATTTCCCAGGATGGAGTGCAGTGGTGCGATCTTGGCTCACTGCAACCTCCACCTCTCGGCTTCAAGCAATTCTTCTTCCTCAGCCTCCTGAGAGGCTGGGATTACAGGTGCCTACCACCATGCCCTGCTAATTGTTTGTATTTTTAGTATAGATGGAGTTTCACCATGTTGGCCAGGCTGGTCTGGAACTCCTGACTTCAAGTTATCTGCCCGCCTCAGCTTCCCAAAGTGCTGGGATTACAGGTGTGAGCCACCACTTCCAGCCTGTACCATCATTTTGATAGTAAAGAATTCCATATGTGTCCATTTATTTACATTAGTGTATAGCTTTATATTTATATATGTTTTTATGATGCTGTCCAGGGTCAATTTGTGTTTCAACATAATGGACACATTCTAACATTTCTGTATTTTTAGATATAGAATCTCATTATGTTGTTCAGGTTGATGTTGAACTTTTGGTCTCCAGTGATATGACTGCTTTGGCCTCTGAAAGATGTAGGATTACAGACATGAACAATTGTGCCTGAGCCTCTTGTAGTATTTTTTTTTACTTTTTTTTTTTTTTGAGACGGAGTCTTTCTCTCCTAGCTCAGGCTAAAGTGCAGTGGCACGATCTTGGCTCACTGCAGTTTTCGCCTCCCAGGCTCATGCGATTCTCTTGCCTAAGCCTCCCTCCCGAGGAGCTGGGGTTACAGGAGCATGCCACAATGCGCAGCTAATTTTTTTTTTTTTGTAGTTTTAGTAGAGATGGAGATTCACCATGTTGGCCATGCTGCTCTCAAACTCCTGACCTCGGGTGATCTACCCGCCTTGGCCTTTCAAAGTGCTGGGATTACAGGCTTGAGAAACCGTGCCCGGCTTTTATTTTTTTAAATTTTTTTAAGAGTGAGTCTCACTCTGTCTCCCAGGCTGGAGTGCAATGGCATGATTTTGACTCACTGCAACTCCCACCTCCTGGGTTCAAGCAATTCTGCCTCAGCCTCCTGAGTAGCTGGGACTACAGGTGTGTGCCACCATGCCTGGGTAATCTTTGCATTTTTAGTAGAAATGGGGTTTCACCATGTTGGTCAGGCTGATCTCGAACTCCTCACCTCAGGCAACCCACCCACCTTGACCTCCCAAAGTGCTGGGATTACAGGCATGAGCCAGTGCACCCAGGCCCATGTATTATATTATGAGAGACAGTGATAGTTGTGATGAATACTCTCACCTTTTATTTTGGAAAGTCTTTATTTTTATCTTCTTTTTGAAGTAAAGTAATTTTGAATCGAGTATTGTTAGAAATTTTTTTTGTTACATCAAAATTGGGGAAGTTTTCAGTTTTTTTAATCTTCGTGTAACCTCTATATTACTTTTTCCCTATATTCTAAGATTTGTTTCATGAATACATTGATCTACTTCATGGTATCCAATAAGTTTTATATTCTATGTTTTACTTTTGTTCCACAATTTTATATTTTTGTGTTATATATATTTTGGGTATGCCACATCACACCAGTTAATTGTATTTTAATTTTTTAGTTTATATTATAATTGTATATGACAATTTTTAACTCTGTACAATTTAAGACAGTATGGAGCAAAATTAAATATGAATAAGCCATATGTCTATTGCCAATATAATTATTTATATGTTTGTTTGCCTGGATAAATATTATCTTTGTATTTTTTGTCACTTGTATATTTATTGTGTAGGTTTGCTGTAACAGTTTTTTTTTTTTTTTTGGAAGAGAGGTTTGCTCTTGTTGCTCATGCTGGAGTACAATGGTGTGACCTCAGCTCACTGCAACCTCCGCCTCCTGGGTTCAAGTGATTCTCCTGCCTCAGCCTCCTGAGTAGCTGAGATTACAGGCATGCACCACCATGCCCAGCGAATTTTGTATTTTTAGTAGAGACGGGGTTTCTCCATGTTGGTCAGGCTGGTCTTGAACTCCTGACCTCAGGTGATCTGCCTGCCTCAGCCTCCCAATGTGCTGTGATTATAGGTGTGAGCCACCATTCCCAGTCTGTAACAGTTTTTTAATCCTGTCTAGGTGAGTAGTCATAAAAATTCTCCTGATTTCAGCATTTATTTATGTGTGAATCTATATTTTTTCGGTGGGGGAGAAACACCTAAAGAAATGTGTTATGTGTCAAAAACACATAACAAAATTTACAATAAAATATTTCTAGGCTGGGCACAGTGGCTCACACCTGTAATCCCAGAACTTTGGGAGGCCGAGGCGGGTGGATCACGAGGTCAGGAGATTGAGACCATCCTGGCCAACATGGTGCAACCCCGTCTCTACAAAAATGCAAAAAATTAGCTGGGCTTAGGTGGCGGGTGCCTGTAATCCCAGCTACTCAGGAGGGCGAGGCAGGGGAATCGCTTGAACACAGGAGGTGGAGGTTGCACTGAGCCGAAGTTGTGCCGCTGCACTCCAGCCTGGGAGGAAGGGTGAGACTCCATTTTAAAAGAAAAATAAGTATATATATATGTATATAAATATATATATGCTTCTAAATATTCAGTTTGGTCATATTAATTCTGTTGACATTGTTATGCAACATATCACTAGAATATTTTTATCTTGCAAAGCTAATTCTCAATAGTCATTAAACAACTACCAATTCTAGGGCCGGGCGCGGTAGCTCACGCCTGTAATCCCATTACTTTGGGAGGCCGAAGCAGGCGAATCATCTGAGGTCAGGAGTTCAAGACCAACCTGACCAATGTGCAGAAACCCCGTCTCTACTAAAAATACAACAAAATTAGCCGGGCATGGTGGCGCATGCCTGTAATCTCAGCTACTTGGGAGCCTGAGGCAGGAGAATCGCTTGAACGCGGGAGGTGGAGGTTGCGGTGAGCCAAGATCGCACCACTGCACTCCAGCCTGGGCAACAAGGTCCTAACTCGGTTTCAAAAAAAAAATAATAATAATAAAGAAAGAAAGAAACAACTACCAATTCTTCTCATTTTGTGGTACTTTTCAAACACCACTCTGTTTTCTGTTTCTAAGAGTATAATTGCTTTGTATATCTCATACAATCTCTGTCTCTTTGTGGATGGCTTATTTTATTTTGCATAATGTCATCAATATTTATCTTAATAGTTGTTAGAATATTTTCTGCTTTTTGAAATCTGAGTGATATTCCAGTATTTTTATATCTACTGAATGATTTGGAGACAGAAATTTGCATTGCTTTTACCTATTGGCTTCCAGTAACAATGTTACAATAGTTATGTGAAAGTTAATATATGTGCTGCATTCTGTTTTATTAGTCTACATTTTCACCTTTATAATCATACCGAATTGTTGTAATTCTATACGTTTTTGATGTGTTTGAAATCAGAAATTGTAATGCCTCCAACATTGTTCCTTTTTCTCAAGATTGTTGGGTACTTTATTATCTCTTTAGATTCCATATACTTTTGGAGTTGGTGTTTTTGTTTCTTCAAAAATGCAATGAGAAATTTGAGAAAGATTGTATTAAATCTGTAGATTAAATTGAGCAGTATAGACATCTTCACAATATTAATTATTTCTTTTTTCATTGTTTGTTTTTGAGATGGGGTTAAATTCACCCACCTCAGCCTCCCAAAATGCTAGGATTACAGGCATGAACCACTGCACCCAGCCCAGTTATTTCAACAAGTGCATGCTCAAGAGTGTGTTGTATCATTTCTATATAGATGTAAATTTATCATTTATTTATATTATTGTTTTGTACTCTAATTCTATTTTTGTCATAGAAAATAATCTATGAAATTTCAGTTGTAAATAATGTGTTAAGACTTTGTTTTTGGCCTAACAGGTGGTCTATAAAGAAGAATATTGTATGAGCTATCGAGAAGGCTGTGTATCCTGATGTTGTTGAGGAGTGTTCTCTATACCTTCATTAGAAATAATTGTTTTTTACTGCCTTCTAGTCCTCTGTTCCATTACTAATATTATGTCTTGTTTTATTATTATTACAGAAAGTGGGGTATTGAAATATCCTACTATAATCATATTGCTCTCTCTGTATTCAATTTTGTTAGTATTTGCTTGATATAATTGAAACCCTAATTTGAGACACACACAGAAAAATACACACACGTGTATAAACAAATTTGTCATAGGTTCCCAGTGAATGAATCTATATATTGTTTAACGCCCTTCTTTGTCTTTTTGAAGTTTTGACTTAAAGTACATTTTATAAAATATGACAGTTTTTTTACTTAAGATGTAGCTTGTGTAATATTATTTTGACCTCTTCTGCTGTAATTTGGTTAATATTTATATAAAAATTCTACTTTTGTCTTGCAACTTTCAGTCTTTTCTTGTCATTAGATCTCAACTGACTCTTTAAAAAGGTAAGTTGAGTCTGATTTTTAAAACTTTTTAATGAACCTTTTTATTGAAATTATGTCTCTTGAATGGAAAGATAATTGTATATATTTAAATAGTTTTCTGAAAGAGAAAAACTTAGTTATTTTAATTGTTTTATTTGATTATTGTATCCTTGTGTGTCATTTTCTCTGTCTTTTTGTGTTGTTTTGATTTTTATATTGACATGCTTTCAGTTTTCTCTTATTGTTTTTTGTGTATCCATATGGATTTTTTTTAGTGGTATCTTAGGGAATTACCTAAAACCTCTAAAAGATTCAACAATATATTTTAATGTAGTAAGAAATTAGCTTCAGTTGCATACAAAAATTCTTATTACATCTGCCTTAAACTTTGTTACTGACTTTACTAATTACATTTTTTATGTTGTATATTCATGAACAGATGCTTATAATTTCTATACATTTATCTTTTAAATTTTAAAGAATAATTAAAAAAGTTTTCTGTACCATTATGATAATGTTAAGTAAGAAATTCTATTTTTATGTGTGTACATATCTTTCCCAGAAATTTATGTATTTTCATATGATTATGTGTTGTTTTCTTGCATTACGTTATTTTCTGTAGAAGAAACTCCTTTCAGCGTTCTTGATATGTAGGACATATGCAGTGCCAATATAATTCTCAAGATTTGGTTATTTTGGAAGAACTTCTTTCTATTTGGTAGTACAATTTTGCTCTTATGGTAATACTCCCATTTGACAACTTATTTTGAAATTATAATTTTAAAAATATCACAGTTTCCTTCTGATCTGCAAAAATTTTTTTGATAAATTCACTGGTTATCTGATGAGACTATGCTTATAGATTATTATTATATTTATCTTGCAGCTTGCAAAATTCTTATCTGTGATTTTTGAAATTTTGCTTATATATGTGTTTGTTATAAATATATGTTTGAGTGTATCCTAGTTTGTTCAGCTTTTTCATGTTTACCCCATTTTTTCTTACTTTTAAGAAATTTTTCAGTTTTTTTTACATCCACTATTTTCATTTTCTGCTATTTTAATATTTTTTGTGGTTAATCTCATTTTTCCGATCTTCAGTAGTTGTCTGTGTTTCTATATAACTTCCTGGATATTATTCAATTTATTTTATTTATTTATTATTCTTTTTTTTTTTTTTTTTCTGAGATGGGGTCTCACCCTTTCACCCAAGCTGGAGTGCAGTTGTGTGATCTCGGCTCACTGCAACCTCTGCCTCCTGGATTCATGCAATTCTCCTGCCTCAGCCTCCTGAGGAACTGGGATTACAGGCACCTGCCAGTATGCCTGGCTAATTTTTTGTGTTTTTAAATGAGGTGGGTTTTCCCCATGTTGGCTAGGCTGATCTTGAATTCCTGATTTCAAATGAACTGCCCATCTCAGCCTCTCAATGTGTTGGGATTACAGGTGTGAGCCACCATGCTTGGCCTATTTTATTTTATTTTTGAGACAGAGTCTTGCTCTGTTGCCCAAGCTTTAGTGCAGTGGCACATCTCCACTCACCGCAAACTTCCCTTCCTGGATTCAAGCAATTCTCCTGTGTCAGCATCCCACGTAGCTAGGATTACAGTCAGATACCACCAGGCCCACTAATGTTTGTATTTTTAGTACATACAGGGTTTCACCATGTTGGCCAGGCTGGTCTCCAACTCCTGACCTGTGATTCTACCACCTTGGCCTCCCATTGTGTTGGGATTACAGGAATGAGCCTCCAAATATGGTCTGTTCAATCTATTTTGAATTTTTAAAATTACTTTATACATTTTTAATGATTGCTTTTGAAAATTTTATAATTTTTTTGATGGGGCAATGTTGCCTTAATATTTTGTATACATTGTAATCTTTGATCGATATTTGAACATTAACAAAAAGCCACCTGTTACAATCTTTATAATATAGCTCTGTCCTGGCATAGTCTGAAATCAATTGTCTTGGCTAGAGATTCTGGGAATTTCTCAAACCTGTTTTTAGGAGGTGTCTTGTCTAAAATTTTGTGTTTATTGTTTAGTTAAATCAGTTTATTAATATTTCTTCTTAATAATCAGTAATCACTTGCTACACCCATTTCCTGTTTGGGGTACTGCAGTTTCTCTGCTTTTGTAACATTTACCTTAAGCCTTGGCAGACTCAAACTGTCATTCCAACATATATCACCATTTCTTTCAGCATTTTATGTTGTGGGAGACCTTAACCAGTGCCTTAAAAAGTCCCTAGAAGCCAGAAATAAAGATGTATGTGCCAATATTTTTCTTGTTTTTTTAAAAAGAAACCAGGAGTTGGCAATTTACATTTGTGTGTGTGTGAGACAGAGTCTCACTCTGTTACTTAGGCTGGAGTGCAGTGACATTATCTTGGCTAACAACAGTCTCTGCCTCCAGAGTTCAAGCAATTCTCCTGCCTCAGCCTCCCAAGTAGCTGGATTACAGGTACCTGTTACCATGCCTGGCTAATGCTTTTTATTTTTAGTAGAGACGGGTTTTTACCATCTTGGCCAGGCTGGTCTTGAACACTTACTTACCCTTGTGATTCACCGACCTCAGCTTCCCAAAGTGCTGGGATTACAGACTTGAGCCATCCTGCCTGGCCAGGAATGTACATTTAAAGGCACAATGTTATACTGGAGAGCAGGAAGAAGTGAAGAATATTTCTTCTAAAGACAGCCATTAGAAATATAAAGGGGGTTGTAGTGCCTTTACTTGCATCATAGATCTTATTGCACACATTTTGTACTAGAGGAAAACCCTGAAGCAGTTGCTCAAGCTTTGTTCAACATTGGAATTTATATTGGAGAAGAGTCCTGAAATATAATGAATTTAAAAACACTTATATTTCAAAAACTACAGCTTAGAAAACACCAGAGAGTTTATACTAAAATATATTTTTGCAGATGCAGTAAATATAAAAAAAATTAATTTAAAATTGATTTTATGTAAATATCAGAGAATTTACGGTAGAATAACTAAGGCACTGACATTTCAGACATTACAGCAAATCAGTGTTGAGTATAAAAACTAATCTACAGCTACAGCTGTTAGATAAATTGCTTGTATATAACTTTAAAAGGAGTAGATTTTTGAAGCATGGTAATTCTATTGAAAGTATACTTATTTGCGGCCTTGAGCAGTGGCTCATGCCTGTAATCCCAGCACTTTGGGAGGCAGAGGTGGGCAGATCACGAGGTCAGGAGATCAAGACCATCCTGGCTAACATGGTGAAACCTTGTCTCTACTAAAAATACAAAAAAATTAGCTGGATGTGGTTGCACACACCTGTAGTCCCAGCTACTCAGGAGGCTTAGGCAGGAGAATGGTGTGAACCCTGGAGGTGGAGCTTACAGTGAGCCGAGATCACACCACTGCACTCCAGCCTGGGCGACACAGCAAGACTCTGTCTCAAAAAAAAAAAAAAGAAAGTATACTTATTCGCTTGAAAAAAATTTTTTGAAAAGTGAATAATGATGTAATACAGGTTTCAAGTTACTTTATGCTGTTATTTTATTCCTATATTATTCACACATGAAAGCATGTGATCAATTGTTGATGCATCAGAGATACTAGACATTGTTTTTTATTAGTTGGGCATTATTTATTACCTTTTCTATAAAAGAGTAAGAACATTAAAATGTAAGATGCATGATGAAAATGTAAGTGGAGAGGCTCTTTGTAGTAAACCTCTATTAAGTAATGTATAAGGTGGTGGTTTGTGTTCTCATTTGTGTAATCCTAGCCTATGACTTAATGTTGACACTTTGCTTTGTCTTTTGGATGGCCTAACCTACATTAACATATACGCAGAACATTTTAAACCTTTTTTTCAAAAATCATAAAGAATTACTTTATCAATAAACAAAGGTAAACAATAAGCTGAGGGTTCAGAGTAATACTTTTCTACATTATAGTGAGAGAAATAAATTATTAATTATAGTCAAAAGTATTAAAATAAATTAGTATTGCAGGCTGGGCGCCGTGGCTCATGCCTGTAATCCCAGCACTTTGGGAGGCTGAGGTGGACGGATCACGAGGTCAGGAGATCGAGACCATCCTGGCAACACATTGAAACCCTGTCTCTACTAAATATACAAAAAATTAGCCGGGTGAGGTGGCAGGCGCCTGTAGTCCCAGCTACTCGGGAGGCTGAGGCAGGAGAATGGTGTGAACCCGGGAGGTGGAGGTTGCAGTGAGCCGAGATCGTGCCACTGCACTACAGCCTGGGGGACAGAGCATGACTCAGCCTCAATAAGTAAATAAATAAATAAATAAATAAAAATAAAATAAAATAAATTAGTATTTTACTAATTGTACTTTTAAGTAATAAAATGTATTACATTTAAAAATTGTTAGATTATGTGTGAACTTAATTTTTTTACCATGTTAAGCCTATTGTGCATTTAATGAAGCATTTTTTTTAATGAAGCATTATTATGCCACTAACTTTAAACTATTTCTCCTTACCCAAGCGTGTAAATAAAAGATGGTAGCAATATACTATTTGGTATATAGTGGAATAACATCTCTAGTAATCACTTTGCCAATGGCTTTAAACTGTAAATGTATTGAAGAATATTGTTCCCATAGGTCAAATTTTTATTCTTTATTCTTATTGAAATGTATTATTAGTATTTATGAGTATGTAGTATGTGTATATATTTATGCCTTATATGGCATATTTTGAGTTAGGCATATAATATATAGTAATTACTTTAGGGTAAATAAGATAGCCATCAGCTGGGTGTGGTGGCTCATGCCTGTAATCCCAGCACTTTGGGAGGCCGAGGTGCGTGAATCATGAGGTCACGAGATTAAGACCATCCTGGCCAACATGGTGAAACCCCATCTCTATTTAAAATAAAAATATTAGTTGGGCACGGTGGTGCGCATCTGTAACCTGGAATCCCAGCTACTTGGGAAGCTAAGGCAGGAGAATCACTTGAACCTGGGAGGTGGAAATTGCAGTGAGCTCAGAATGCACCACTGCACTTCAGCCTGGTGACAGAGTGAGACTCTGTTAAAAAAAAAAGGTATCCATCACTTGTAGCATTTATCCTTTTATTACAAACTGTAATTATACATTTTTAGTGTATAATTTAGTGAGAAGGATTGCCTGGTGTCAGGATTTCAAGACCATTTTGCCCAACATGGTGAAATCCCATCTGTACTAAACATAAAAAATTTAGTTGAGCATGGTGGCACACGCCTAGAGGCTGAGTCAGGAAAATCACTTTTAACTCCAGAGGTGGAGGTTGCAGTAAGGCAAGATCATGCCATTGCACTCCAGCCTGGTTGACAGAGCGAGACTTCATCTCAAAAAAAGAGAAAGAAATATAAATAAAATCCTTACATTTCTGAGTCCTGAAAAATTATTAAATATTTGTTATATAGTTTTCTTTTAACATTTGGTCTCTCTGCCTGCGAACATATAGACTTTTAGTTTTAATTTATGTGGGGAAAAGTGAGAGAAATCAGATTGTTACTGTGTCTGTGTAGAAAGTAGACATGAGACTCCATTTTGTTCTGTACTAAGAAAAATTCTTCTGCCTTGAGATGCTGTTAATCTGTAACCCTACCCCCAACCCTGTGCTCCCTGAGACGTGTGCTGTGTCAACTCAGGGTTAAATGGATTAAGGGTTGTGCAAGATGTGCTTTGTTAAACAGATGCTTGAAGGCAGCATGCTCCTTAAGAGTCATCACCACTCCCTAATCTCAAGTACCCAGAGATGCAAAACACTGTGGAAGACCGCAGGGACCTCTGCCTAGGAAAGCCAGGTATTGTCCAAGGTTTCTCCCCATGTGATAACCTGAGATATGGCCTCATGGGAAGGGAAAGACCTGACCATCCCCCAGCCCAACACCCATAAAGGGTCTGTGCTGGGGAAGATTAGTGAAAGAGGAAGACCTCTTTGCAGTTGAGATAAGAGGAAGGCCTCTGTCTCCTGCTCATCCATGGGCAATGGAATGTCTCAGTGTAAAGTCCAATTGTATATTCCATCTACTGAGATAGGGGAAAACTGCCTTAGGGCTGGAGGTGAGACATGCTGGCAGCAGTACTGCTCTTTAATGCATTGAGATGTTTATGTATATGCACATCAAAAGCACAGCACTTTTTTCTTTACCTTGTTTATGATGCAGAGACCTTTGTTCACGCGTTTTCTTACTGACCTTCTCTCCACTATTACCCTATTGTCTTGCCACATCCCCCTCTCTGGGAAATGCCCGATAATGATCAATAAATACTAAGGGAACTCAGAGGCCACGGCAGGCAGGCGCGGTTCCCCCTTATGCTGAACGCTGGTCCCCTGGGCTGATTTTTTTTTCTCTATACTTTTTCTCTGTGTCTCTTTCTTTTCCAAGTCTCTCATTCCACCTAACGAGAAACACCCACAGGTGTGGAGGGGCAACCCAGCCCTTCAAATTTACATAGAGTTAAATATACACATATTACTCTGAAGATAAATCTTAGGTGTAAGAAAAGTATTAAGTGAGTGTTTGTGTGAGTATGAGTTTGTACATATTTTCAGGAGAAAAGAGCAATAATTGCAACAAAATGAATAAATAAGGTGACTAATAGAAAACTAAACACCTCAAAAATGCTGAAAGCAAATCTATACTTTTTGCTTTGTCTTGAATTCCTTTATTCATTTTATTTTATTTTATTTTTTTGAGACAGAGTTTCACTCCTGTTGCCCAGGCTGGAGTGCAATGGCACGATCTCGGCTCACTGCAACCTCCACCTTTTGGGTTCAAGTGATTCTCCTGCCTCAGCCTCCCAGTAGCTGGGACTACAGGCACATGCCACCATGCCCAGTTAATTTTTTTTTTTGTATTTTTAGTGGAGACTGGGTTTTACCATGTTGGCCAGGCTGGTCTTTCATTCCTGATCTCAAATGATCCATCCACCTAGGCCTCCCAAAGTGCTGGGATTACATGTGTGAACTGCCACATTCAGTGTGTCTTGAATTTATTAATGTAAAATGTTATGGCTTATGGTTTGGATTCTCCCTAGAATCTGCCTATTAAAGCACAGGCATCTTTGTCTTCAGAAATGACACTCTTGAGTAGAACAATAAAAACCCTCTTCAAACAGAAAAAAATAATCATTTTTAACACTTATTTTAATGAAAATTTAACCAACATTGAGTAATTGGATATATTTTTATTGTTTTATGTGTGTGTGAATGTATAAAATGGTACATACAGGAAAAATAATTCAAGCCAGAAAAAAGATGTAAGTTAATATTTGTAATGAATGAAACTGGAGAGTAGTTAATTATTATTTGCAGATAATATATTTGTTTATGTAGATAACAAAAGGAGCAGAAAGACTATTTTAAAAGTTTATTTAGGTGGGTAGGCAACATTTTAAGATAATACCCTGGATTACCAGTCTGTTGCACACCTGCTGTGTCATACTTTCCTCTTGAGTGAAAAAAAAATGTATGACTGTGGTGGGAAATCACTCATGAAATTAGGTTACTCAACTGTTGACTTTGTGTTTATCAAAATGGAGATTATTCTGATTGTGTTAAACTTAATCACAGGTGCTTCTAAGAGAAAGAGACACATAGAAAAACAACCTGCTGGCCTGATTGTTTTGTGTGTTTTTCTGTGCTGGCTTACTTTACTTGGCATAATATTTTTCAGGTTCATGAATATTGTTGCAAATAACAAGACTTTCTTATTTTTAAGTGCAGAGAAGTATTTCATTGTGTACATATACCACATTTTCTTTTTCTATTCAACTATTGATGGACACTTAGGATGATTCCATACCTTAGCTATTGTGAGTAATCCACTTCCTTCCCTCTGTTTTGTTTTGTTTGAGATGGAGTCTCATTCTGTTGCCCACGCTAAAGTGCAGTGGCACGATCTCAGCTCACCGCAACCTATGCCTCCCAGGTTCAAGTGATTCTAGTGCTTCAGCCTCCTGAGTAGCTGAGGTTACAGGTGTGCACCACCATGCTTGGCTAATTTTTGTATTTTTAGTAGAGGCAGGCTTTCACCATGTTGACCAGAGTAACTTTCATTTGTTTGTATATATTTTTCTTCCTTTTCTATTTCTAGAAGCATGTTAATTTTAAAATATAAATTATGAATGTTAAAAACCTTCATTCTCTGTCTTTGATTACTATTACAACTGATTTAAAAATAAGTTTTTTTGAAATTCCCTGGATAAAGGTTATTACTTCATTATTAACATAACTTGAGACAGCATAGAAATGAAAGTGAATATTTGATAGTAAAACAGCAATTATGTAGCTCCTGGTAGTCATTTAATCTCTCACCCACTCTTTGGAACTTCTATCAAGACAAGAATTCTATTTTTGAAATGCTTATGTTTTTAACAGGATTATAAGCCACAGCCTTCCAGCATCGGGTCCCACCAATGTATTTGGTGGATCCATTTGTAAACCAAGCATGTTTCTGATCTTCTGGGATTAGTTTTTTAAACGATTTGCGCCATTGGTCGGGGTGGGAAGGGTGGTTTCCTTCCATATCTACAGGACTTGCTCAGTGGTTTTTTTGAGCTGGCAAGTTTTGTACATCCTCATGTAAAACTGATACCCCCTTTGGTTTTGGCTTAGCCTGGTCATGTATGTACCATTTCCATTTTATGCTGCTACTTTCTTGGGCATGCCCTATCTGGTAGGTTTTGGGGGAACTCATGTCCCAAGTCACAATAGGAATTTCAGGCCACATAAAGACATCATGGTTGAAGCAGAGGTGTTCCATTTCCAGCAAAGTTCAATAGCAAGCTAAAAATTGCTTCTTGAAGGGATATAATCTTTGCTGGCCTCTGGCAGTTTGTAGGTCCGAAATCCAAAAGTACCCTCTTCCCATGTTGTTCCTGCCTAAGGCTCCAATTAGCATGTTGATCTAGGACAGTTACTTGCAGTTCTACTGGCCCATCCCCTATAGGCCATAGATCCAGGGCCAGCTTCACCACTTGTTTAGCTTGTTCAAAAGCCATGCTGTCTTCCTCTCCCCAAAGAAAGTCATAGCATTTTCTAGTTGCTGCATGCGGAGGTTGTAAAATGTTACCCAAGTGGGGAAAATGATGTTTCCAGAATCCAAACAAGACAATACATTTCTGGACCTCCTTCTTAGTGGTAGAGGTTGCAAATTGTAGTATTTTAGCTTTAGCCTTTGGTAAAATGGACTATTTCTCTGTATTCCATAGGATGCCAAGGTGTTGGGGTGATCAGACCCAACACCAGGTCATAGGGGCTATGAAGTCTGATAGAGTCAAAGAATGAGACAAGACAAGTTAAAAGTTCATAGGGTGGGTCCAGGGGGCCAACTCCAAGCATGGTGGCTGTGAAGACCCCAAGCTCTGGGAGCCCATGCTATTTATAACTTATAACTTATTGGTAATCAAACAAAAAAGCAGTTGGTGAGGACATGTGGACATGGGGGTAGACAGGTGAGGATGTGCGGATAGAAAGGTAGTGGTGAATCAAGCGTAGCTGTGATGGTTGAGCATATGCTCTGCTACTTGAGATAAAGGAGAACAGGTTCTTCTAATTCAAGACACAATCAATTTATGGTCTCAGGAGAGCAAGAAGCAATGGGCCAACGAGTCTGGATACATTCCAGAGGCTACAAGGGGTTTTATGCCCTGAGCCTGGGTTCTGTCCAAGCCACAAGGGGTTTTATGCCCTGGGCTTAGACTGTAGTGTGGCAGGGCAGCCTTCCACCCTTTGGCACAGAGCTTGGTGTTCCACAGGCCACAAGGGGTTTTAGACCCTGGAACCAGGACATGTTCCAAGACTCTTTTATATTATGTCAGACAAGCAAGCCCTGCCTCAGCTCTTCTGCCAACACCAAGGAATTTTACAGTTTGTGCAGGTCCTTTGAATTTTACTAAGGTTAATTTCCCATCCTTGAGATAAGAGTTGGGCTCTTACCCGCTCCAAGCCCCAGCTAACTAGTTCCTCAGTTTCACCCTGACCAGGCCATTTAGACAGCTGCTTTTTTCAGCAATAGGCTGATAGCTTTGAGCCTGATCAGTCAAGTCATAGGCCTGGCATTGGGCCAGGGCCAGTCTGGAAGTAAAATTAGCATTTTCCTTTTCCAGCTTACATTTCTCTTGTAGCAACTAGCCCTTATCTTGACACATTAACTTATAAGCAGTAAGCAAACACCATCCACTCTGGCAGATCCCTCAGCTTCTCCTTTGCTGACTGGAATCTCCTGCAGCACTTCCCGCACAGTCAAAGGTTTAAATTGCACTAATTTAGATTCCCAATTCCCACAAAGAGCAGTTCCCCTGGACCATTCAAAAGGGAGAACTGGAGGAGTTCCCATCGCGGGATATGAGGAGTCACCGAGCCTCCAGCCCTGTCCTTCTGGCCAAAAAGTGGCACACTTTTGTTTTGAATCCTGTTCGTGACGCCGAAACTGTTCTGTGCGGGAAAGAGGCAAGGGGATAAGAAAAGACAGACACACAATACCTTTAAGGGTAAACAAGCTTCATCCCATGTAAATGGCAATGCAGATATATTAAGCAAATGATATAATAAGCAAAAAAAATATAATAAGCAGGTTGATATAATAAGCAAGTTGCAATGGGAAGAGGAGAAGGGAAAAGTTTGTGAAGTTTACGCTCACCAGACTATGGAAGATTCACCACCAGAGTGGGAAGCAACAACCTGGGCTCCAGAGTCGGCCACCCATTTGTGCACAGATGAGGAGAGGTCTCATGAAGCTTCAGTGCAGTCTGGGACCTTAGCTCATTTGTAACAAGTTGTTTGGCATGAGGCCCGGTCATGAGGGCCCTTTGCAACTGGGCTTAAGGAACACAAAAAGATTAACTTGTTTTTGCGATTGTCTATTGTTTTTCAAAAATGAATGTATATGAATAGATTGAAATAGAGATTTCTCCAAAACAGCACTGGATGAATGCCTCTAGGGGCTCACAAAACCTATTCTGGGACTTGGTGACCATTGCTTCTGTCCACGTTCAATTGACTTCAAATTTAATATTTAACTTTACCTCCACAAATTCCTCTGTCTTGATGAATCGGCTCTGTCTAGGCAAAGGGCAAAGCGAACCACTTGGGCCTTACACAACCTTTACCTCCTCGATTCAAGCGATTTTCCTGCCTCTGCCTCCGAAGTAGCTGGGACTATAGGAGTGCACCACCACACCCTGCTAATTCTTTGTATTTTTAGTAGAGATGGTGTTTCACCATGTTGGCCAGGCTGGTCTTGAACTTCTGACCCCAAGTGATCTGCCCACCTTGGCCTCCCAAAGTGCTGGGATTAAAGGCGTGAGCCACCATGCCTGTCCCTGAATGATTTCTTTCTATCTCCTATAACTGTGAAATCACTTAATGGATGTTTCAAACTGAAAATAATAAAAAGAATGTACATAAAAATAAAATACAAGAAGTCATAAAAATTAGAAGAGATTACAAAATATATATGCATATCTCGAGGGGTCAAAAATGAGAAATTTTGTTTATTTACAGCGTTTTGTTTATTTATTTATTTAATTTTTTTTGAGATGGAGTCTCACTGTGTTGCACATGCTGGAGTGCAGTGGTGTGATCTTGGATCACCGCAACCTCCACCTCCCTGGTTCAAGCAATTCTCCTGCCTCAGCCTCTGGAGTAGCTGGGACCACAGGTGCATGCCAGGAGGCCTGGCTAATTTTTTTGTATTTTCAGTAGAGACGTGGTTTCACCATGTTAGCCAGGATCGCCTCGATTTCTTTCTATGTCCTATAGCAGTTTGAAATTACTTAAAAGTTGTTTCAAATTGAACAAATAAAAATAATGTGCATAAAATATAAATAGTTTAAAAAATTACAAGACATTACAAAATACGTATGTAAATCTGGAGTTGTCAAAAATGACAAATTTGATTTATATATAAGGTTTTATTAAAATTAGCTTTAATGGATACTACACTATTACCAAAGTAAAAGTTGATTTTCTCTTGAACAAAAATTTGTTGTATTATTAATATGACAGCAAAATACTTCTGTTCACCTTTTGAATACATTCAACAGGAGAGAGTAAAAAAGAAATAGAATTTTCCCATGCTCTGGGATGTAAGAATTATCCAATCAGGGACACTGTGCTGGAAACCGTCCAATCAGGCACACAGCTGTAGCGAACAGCACGGCTTCCGGGTTTGGCGGGGCCTTTGTGTCTCTCTGCAGCCTGAGCTCCAGGTCTCTTCTTCACTGCTCTGTGTCCTCTGCCCCTAGAGGCCCAGCCTCTGTGGCCCTGTGTCCTGTAGGTATTAGGAGATCCACAGCTAGGACGCCGGGATCCCGGAAGCCCGGAAATGGTAAGAATGCCGGTCCGACATCCCGAGAGAGGGGGAGGGGCTGGTTGGAACCGGAAGGAAATGTCTTTGGCAAGACTCAGCTCCAGTCAGTCAGCTCCACAATTTGTGCCCCGAGTTCTCCTTACCCAGCTCGGCCTCAGTCCTGTTCAGCCATAAGATGGCGGCTACACAGAAGCCTGGCCCCCTGGGCGTCCTCTCTTCCGTGCGCAATGACTGTGTCCTGGCCTGGAGCCCTCTGTGGGCAGCTCTGCATCTGCAGCGCTGTGTCTCTCCCAGATTGTACAGGGATCATGAGAGGGTCGTCAAGGGAGAATCCTGACTTGGGGTTCAGGTTCATGAATGGGAAGAGCTTTGGTCCGTGGGGTTCACAGTTTCTCTTTTCTCCTATTAAAAATGTATGGGGCCAGGAGTGGTGGTTCATGCCTGTAATCCCAGCACTTTGGGAGGCCGAGGCGGGCGGATCACTTGAGGTAAAGAGTTATTAGAACAAGTAAGTTCCTCTTCAAAGACTCAACTTCTTTGTCATAAGTTGTAAATCAAATTTATCCCTGCTTTCCCCTTCTCCTTTTGTTGCAAATTGCTCGTTTACCCTATTTGGAAAAAGCTGGGGTCTAAGCCAACCGGGATCAGCTTAGATTATTGGGTCTGACCCAAGCCAATAGAGGAAGGACACAAAAACAGGAACTGTGTTAGGGTTAATAACCCCTTCCTGGCTGGGTGCGGTGGCTCATGCCTGTAATCCCAGCAATTTGGGAGGCTGAAGCGGGCTGATCACGTGGTCAATGTAAGGCTCTTGTATTGGTTTGAACCGTGAGAGCGTGCCAACAGACAACACCAGGCAGTGTGGAGCAACATGCTGTTTTAGTGAGTGCCAGGGTGCAGGCCGGCTGAGGCCTACAATGGCGTCAGCACCAAATGAGGACGAGGCAGGAGTTTTATTGTCTCCAGTAAACAGGAAGTCTCCCAGTCTGATGGGGCTGCTACGTAGTACCCAGACAGCCTCTTTCTCAAACTTCAGGGTTACATGTCTTCTGGCCAGAGTTGATGTCTTCCAGACGGTTCTCTTCCTGCTTCTGCTATCTTGCTGGCACACACTGCTGATGCAGGTAGGCTTGCGCCTTGGGACTGGGCCTGGGAAGGGAGGAGTTACTCATCCCTTCAAGCTTTCAGACCCCGGGGAGATTCTTTCTTTCCTCTCTTTTTGGTTATAGAAAGAAAGGGAAAAGGGGTGACTTTCTCAATAACTACTTCAGGTGTGACATAGGGGGTGGCATTGGAACCTTGGAAAAAGGTGCGTGGCTGGGTTTAGATGGGAGCTGGTTAATTTTTGGGGTATTCTTGAGAGACGGGTTGGTGTCCATCGTGTTGTTGAAGCAGAAGCATCATCTGGATTGTCTGGCAGTTAACTGTAGTTTCAACGAGAGTTTTAATGGCTTTTATTATTAGTGGGATAACACAGGCGAGAAACAGGAGGAACCTAATGATAAAGGTAACTGTCCCTACCAGCCTTTTAAATCCTCCTAAATGAAAGAACCACCCTCCTAGGAGGTTTGTTGGGCCACATCCCTTCCAGGTTTAGACTGGTACATGGGCTACTTTTCTCATGTTTGAAGTGATTTCTAGAACAACTTTTCTGTTATCATCTATGTTAAGACAGCAATTAGGATATTAAACTTACCACAGATTCCACCCTTTCCTGCTAATAAGTAGCCTAGTGCTGGCCTGTTTTGATAAATTGCTGTGCGCATTTGATTTTGTTGTTGTGTGAACATTTCCAAGGCTGAGACCGTTTGGTTAGTGATTATCTTTAGAACAGCCTGTAATTATTCTATTTAGCATATATATGGGAGTGCGATAACCTCATGAACCATCCTCTGCCTAAATGGCAGGGCCATAATATTCGATGATCCATTGCAGAGGCCACTCGTCTTCTTGCACAGGGACTCCAAGGGTGTCACCTGCTGTTAATGTTTTGGAGGAAGGAGTAGCCTTGGAGATGAGCTTGACCCTGGTGTGATGGATCCAGTGGGGGAGTTCTTGGACTCTCACTACAGTTGGCATGCTGAGTATGACAGTGTAAGGGCCTGTCCACTTTGGTTGTACCTTTTGGTGAGGGCTGGGTTGGCAGATAAACATGTCTATGCCTGCAAGGCAGTTATGTTGAGAGGACAAGGAGGTGCTGACAGGGAGAGGCATGGCCTCATTTGCTGCTTCACGAATGAAAGACTGTGTTGGATTAAGTAGGGGAGGTAATTCCTGAGTGGCTCGGAGTCTGGTAAGGATGGAGGCCTTAAGACAAAAGTATGGCTATGTATGATTTTGAAGGGAGTATAAAAAGAGGGTGCTTTTGGTGTTGTGTGGAGTCTCATGAGGGTGAAAGGGAGATTTCTTGTCCACAACTGACAGGTTTCTAGAGCTAGCTTGGTGAGTTGGGTTTTAAGGACAGAGTTGACTTTTTAAACTTTGCCTGAAGATTGAGGCCTGTAGGGTGTATGGGGAACCTATTTGATTCTTAAGGATGTAGAGACACCTTGGGTAATTTGGCTGATAAAGGTGAGCCTGTTATCATACTGGATGGATGTTGGGAGTCCGAAACGGGGAATTATATGCATGATGAGAGTTTGTGTGATGACATTTGCACCTTCTGAAGTTGTTGGGAATGCTTCTACCTACCCGGAGAAAGTACAGACAAAGACTGGAAGATAGCGGAGCCGTTTATCGGGCAGCATGTGAGTGAAGTTTACTTGCCAATCTTGCCTGGGTACCTTGCCCTGGGCTTGGTGGGTAGGAAAAGGTGGTGGCCAGGGTAAGCCTTGGGGTGACACTAAGTGGCATATAGAGCAGGACAGGGTGATTCCTTGAACACAGCAGGAAAGATGAGGACAAGTGAGAATAGGGTGGAGAAATTGAGGGAGAAGTTTGTAACTGACATGGAAAGAGTTGTGGAGACTTTGGAGGATAGGGATTGTTTGAGATTGAGGAAGGATGAAGCACCCTTCCTTGACATACCATGGTCCTTGCTTTTGAAGGTTTTTGGCCTGGAAGTCCTCTTTTTCTTTGGAGGAGTGAAAAGGAGGGAATGAGGACAGGGACAGAGCATGGCTGGGTTTAGATGCGAGCTGTTAGCACAGTGATGTGGGGAGTTTCTATGAATAGAGCATACAGTTGGAGGAGCAGTGGGGCAGAGATGAGACTTAGTACACTGGGGTGAGCTAGCATGTCTTTGATGTTATGGGTTGAATAAACTGTTAGGTTGGCATGGAGAGATAGTTTTAGGCTTTCAAGGGTGAGAACAGCAGCTGCCGTCAAGGCTCAGAGACAGGCAGGTCATCCAAGAACTGTGGCTTCAAGCTGTTTAGAGAGTTAGGCAACATCCTGGAGGGTGGGTCCCTTATACTGGGTTAGAACACCTAGTGCAACTCTACGCTGTTCGTCGGTATAGAGGGAGAAAGGTTTGGTAAGGTCTGCGTCTGGGAGAACGAGGATAGGGGCTGAGTTGAGAGCCTTTTGGAGTAGACAGAAAGGTTGGGTAATAGGCTGTGCAGGGTTTAAAGGCTCATGGAGAGGGCCTTTAGTGGCTTGGTATAACGGATTGGCAAGTAGAGCGAAGGAGGAAACCTAGAGACTAAAATATCCCGCTAGTCCTAGAAAAGAGAATTTCTTGCTAGTTTGTGGAGGCGGGAGGGACTGGAGGAGGGATATGTGGTTGGTTGTGAGCCTTCGGTTTCGTGGGGTAAGAGCTAGGCCTAGATAGGTGACTGAGGGGGTGCATATTTGAGTTTTAGGGGAGACCTGATACCCCCATTCTGCCAAGAAGTTTAAAAGAAAGATAGTATGGGCGTTGCAGTCTCTTTGAGAGGGGCTACACAAGAGCAGATCATTAGCATATTGAAGGGGAGTGGATGGTGTTAGGAATAAGGTACAGAGGTTGCAAGCCAGGGCCTGCCCAAAAAGGTGGGGACTGTCTCTGAAACCCTGAGGTTACTACTTCAAGGGTAGGTGGGCACAGCCTGGTGGGCTTACCTGAGGGGGCATGGCCTGGTGGGCTTATCTGGGTATGCACCAGGTGAAAGGTGGGTGTCGGGGTTTTCCTACGTAAAGGCAAAGAGGTCCTGAGAATCAGGGTGTGAAGGAATTGTGAAAAAAAGCATTATTTAGTTTAGGACAGAAAAATGGGTGATATTGTAGGGAACCACGGAAAGTAAAGTGTATGGGTTAGAAACTACTGGACATACTGGGAGTACAGCTTGGTTAATAAGCCTAGGGCCTGGACTAAGTGATAAGTTCCATGTAGCTTTTTAACAGGTAGAATCAGTGTGAAAAGGGGAGTTTGTTGGGCAGAGTAGGTGATTGGCGAGGAGGCGAGAAATGATAGGGTTTAGGCCTACAAGAGCTGCTTGGGGGTTGGATACTGCTTCTGTGATAGGAACTGGGTGGGGTTTTTAAGGGTAATGTGAACGGGGGCGTGGTGTTCTGTCACTGAGGGTGTGGAAGTATCCTAAACAGTGAGGTTAACTATGGATGGGGAATAAGGAAAGGCTGCATGTTTTAAGGTGGGAGGTTGGAGGAGAAGAAGAAAATTAGAAGCCCCCGAGGGGTCTGGGTAGATGCGTTGGGTACTATGGGGAATGTGGAGGTGGAGAGTAGTGTGGAGTTTTGAGAGGATGTCTCTACTTTGGAGGGGAGTTGGGCATGAGGGCAGGACTAAGAAAGAGTGAGTAAGGAAAAGGTGTGCAGGGACCAGAAAAGTGGAGGAGTGGCTCATGGTTTGGACACTTGTCCATCAATTCCTACAACAGACTGGGAGGACTGGGAAATTAGGTAAAGCAGAGTAGGTTGCCCCAGTATTAATTTTAAAAAACATACTGGCCTACCTGCCACCATCAGTGTTACCCTTGGCTCAGATGAAGATATGGTAGTTGCTGGGATGCCCTTTCCAGGGCACCATCAGTCTTCAGCAGCAAGGCTGGTGAGATCCAAGTAGGAGGTTTTGGCTGGCTCAGGAAGGGATGAGGGCAGTGCTTCTGGGGGACGCTCACAGTCTGACTTCCAGTGGAGTCCTCCATAGAGGGGGCACGAACTGGTGGGCTTACCTGGGTTTGGGCATTGTCTGGACCAGTGGCCTTCATTGCCACACTTGAAATGTGCAGGTGCAGGTGGATTCCTAGGGGCTTCCATGTGGAGCTGTGGCCCCATGGGCCTGCAGGGCCCCTGATGGCGGAGGCAAGCATTTGAAACTCTGCCTGTTTTTGCCTTTTACTTTCCTCATCATGATTGTTAAAGACTTTGAAGGCTAAATTAAGATCTTTTTGTGGGGTTTGTGGGCTGTTACCAAGCTTCTGGCTTCTGAAGCTTGTGCTGAATATCAGGGGTGGATTGGGAAATGAACTGAAGGTTTAAAATAGTGGTTCCTTCTGAGCTGGTTGAGTCTACGTTGTTATATTTTCTCATGGCTTCAGGTAAACAAGAGGGAGAAAAAGGGCTGGGTTTTCATCAGGACATTGGGTGATTTCTGAAAGTTTTTCATAGTTGACTGCTTTATGGGCACCTTTTGAGTCCTGCAAGGAGACACACAATCATGTGGTCTTGATAGTGGCATCCAGGGTCCCTGTCTTGATAATCCTAGTGGGGGTCCTGGTTGGGGACTGCCTCTGTACCAGTAGCTGGGCAAGAGCCTGGTGATTAATTGTATTAGCATGTGCCTGAGCTAGGGTCCAGATAGTCTCAGTCTTCTGGGGTGAGAGTTGAAGAGAGGATAATGTAGAGGTCATGCCAAGTTAGTTCATAAGACTGGGTAAGGTACTGAAATTCCCTAAAATAAGAGGTAGGGTCTTTTGGAAATGAACCAAATCTTTTGTTAATTTGAGAGAGATCAGTGAGGGAGAAGGGAGCATGAACTCTCACAATACCTTCAGCTCCTGCTACTTCCCAAAGGGGGCACTCTAGCACCGACACTGAAGTAAGGGTGGGGCATGGGCCAAAGATGGCACCTGAGTGAGTATGGATGGGAGAGAAGGAAGAAGTCGGAAGTGGTTCCTACTGACCATTTGAAGGGAGAAGGGGGGTTGAGTTGATAGGCAGTGGAGGATAGATAGGGGTGTAAGGTGGTTGGATGGGTTTACAGGCCTCAAGAGAGGGCGGTGGGGGAGGAGACTGGGTACAGGCAATACTAGAATTGTCCTGAGGAGGGGACGATGTAGGAAAAGAAGTGGATACTGCTGACTGGGAAGATGGCAGCTGAGAATATAAAGAGGAGGCTTGGGGGGTTATAGAAGACAGTTGAGAGGGAGAGGTAGGGGCTGTGAGGGGTGGACAGCAGTCTGCTGGATCCAGTAAGAAAAAAGACGTAGGGTTGGGAGGAGAAAGGTGATCAGGTCGGTGAGAATGGAGAAGTATTTGAACAAGTGAGCAAGAATTGCAGAGGTCTTGTTGTGATCTGAGTGCAAAAAGGCCTGGACATAAGGCATTTCTGCCCATTTTTCCAGCAGTCAGCAATAATTGCTTTAATCAGTTAAAATTGTAAAGTCGAATGTTCCATTTGTGGGCCATTTGGACCCATTATCCAATTCATAATGTGGCCAGACTGAATTGCAAAAAAAGACAAGGTGCTTAGGGCAGATATCTTGCCTGAGGCCTAAGGTTTGCAGGTTTTTTACAAGGCAGCCTAGAAGGCTGTCCTTCAGAATGGAAAACTGGGAATTTTCTATAATGGAGGGTAGGCACTAGAGAACAGAGAAAAGGAGACCGTCCTGGATAGCCGGATGGAGACAATAAAAGGAGCAGTTGTCATCACTGCCTTTTTCATTCCTGGAACGGGATCAGATGGCTTAGAGGGGTTCCCCTAAGGCCAGATGATCAGCTAGTGCCTGACACATGCCAGAGCCTTCTTGGACCAACATTGGATTTTTGGACACAAGAACCAAGAGAGGCCATACAGATTTTTCCCTGTTAAGCGGGCTCCCACAGAAAGCTACCAGTAGGTGAGATCACTGACTGATGTGCATGTACAGAGAGGCAACTGGAGGCTGAGGAGCTTCTTTTGTCCAGCTGCTGTGGCCTGCTCTCCAGGGCAGAGGGGTAGGTCCATGGGGATGCAGACATCAGCTCTCCTGGGTTTTGGCACCAAAATGTAAGGTTCTTGTATTGGTTTGAACCCTGAGAGCACACTAACAGACAACATGAGGCAGTGTGGAGACACATGGTGTTTTAATGAGTGCCTGGTTGCAGGCGGGCTGAGGCCTAAAATGGCCCCAGCACCAAATAAGGATGGGTCAGGGATTTCATGGTCTCCTGTAAATCAGAAGTGGCCCAGTCTGACATGGCTGCTATATAGTACCTGGACGGCCTCTTTCTTGATCTTCAGGAGTACGTGTCTTCTGGCCAGGGTGGGTGTCTTCTGGCCATCTCTCTTTCTACTACTGCTATCTTGCTGGTGCACACTGCTGATGCAAGTAGCCTTGTACCTTGGGACTGGGCCTGAGAAGGGAGTTACTCATCCCTTCAAGCTTTCAGGCCCCGGGGAGAATCTATCAGTCAAGAGTTCTAGACCAGCCTGGACAACATGGTGAAACCCGTCTCTACTAAAAATACAAACATTAGTGGGGCGTGGTGGCAAGAGCCTCTAATCCCAGCTACTTAAGAGGCTGAGGCACAAGAATTCCTTGAACCCGGGAGGTGGAGGTTGCAGTGAGCTGAGATCCTGCCATCACACTCCAGCCTATGTGAAAGAGCCAGACTCATTCTCAAAAAAAAAAAAAAAAGAAAAAAGAAAAAAAAAAGGTAAGCATCTTAAAATTTCCTTTGTTTATTTAAACACTGTGAGTAATTTCACTGGATTTTTCAAACACTTAGTTTCAAACACGAAGTGAATAACTCTGACATGGAAATTAAAGCTTGAACCTAGTGATTCCAAGCTAAGACTAATACTAAGCCTACAACAGGAGGTTTTTGTTGTTGTTATTGTTGTTTTTGAGACAGAGATTCGCTCTTGTTGCCCAGGCTGGAGTACAATGGCACGATCTTGGCTCACTGCACCTTCCGGTTCAAGTGATTCTCCTACCTCAGCCTCAAGAGTAACTGGGATTACAGGCATGTGCCATCACACCCAGCTAATTTGGTATGTTTAGTACAGACGGGGTTTCTCCATGTTAGTCAGGCTGGTGTCCAACTCACAACCTCAGGTAATTTGCCTGCCTCAGCCTCCCAAAGTGCTGGGATTACAGGCCTGAGCCACCGCGCCTGGCTAACAGTAAGTTATTAAAGGCCTACTGTTTTTTTCTGGGGAGCCTCCCCTGCAGATGTCCCAGCCTGCGCATCCTAGCAATGGAAGGAGCCTTTATCCTGAGAGAAGCTACAGAGTCCTGGAAAGCTGGGGCCCCACAGCTTGATGCAGTTAAGATGAAGACGAAAGGAAACTGGGAGGTTCTAACTGATAATGAAGTTATTGTTTTGAGGCATTTTTTAGACTTTGTAAAATAACAACGTCAGATTTATGTTAAAAAAAAAAAACGAATTCCAAAATGTATTGCAACAGGAGGAAGTATCAACTAACTATAAGGCCTTTATGGCTTGCAAAAATGTAGGCAGAAAAGGGCTTTCTTTCCTAGGGAGGAGCAAACAATATTGGAAAGGAGGTGGGAGGGGAATGGCAAATGGAGGGTGAAAAAGTCAGATTTTAGATCAGAGAATGTCATACCCTGAAATCAGCATGTTCTTAGTAGGGACATAAAATGGGGTTGTATGTTGACACAGACTGAGAGTAGCTCAAAGTTCAGGAGCCTGAGGGAGAAAGATAAACTTAAGTAAAGTTTGATTAAGAAATATTTTATTTTAGGCTGAGCTCAATGGCTCACGCCTGTAATCCTAGCACTTTGAGAGGCAGAGGCAGGTGGATCACCTGAAGTCAGGAGTTCAAGACCTGGCTAACATGGTGAAACCCTGTGTCTACCAAAAATACAAAAATTAGCTGGGTGTCATTGCAGTCATCTGTAATGCCAGCTACTTGGGAGGCTGAGGAAGGAGAATTGCTTGAACCCAGAAGGCAGAAGTTGAAGTGAGCCGAGGTTGAGCCACTGCACTCCTGCCTGGGTGACACAGCGAGACTCCATCTCAAAAAAAAAAGAAAAGAAAAGAAAAGAAAATGCTTATTTAAGTGGGATGGCATTTATTAACCAGAAAGTTCTGAAAAAAATTATTAGGAGATACCAGCTCTCTACGGTGCTGAATGAAGTCTACTTAAAATTACTACTAAGGTGATTCCGTTCCAAGATGGCCAAATAGGGACAGCTCTGGTCTACAGCTCCCAGTGTGATTGACACAGAAGATGGGTGATTTCTGCATTTCTAACTGAGGTACCTGGTTCATCTCATTGGGACTGGTTGGACAGTGGGTGCAGCCCATGGAGGCAGAGCCAAAGCAGAGTGGGGCATTGCCTCACCCAGAAGCACAAGGGGTCAGGTGATTTCCCTTTCCTAGCCAAGGAAAGCCATACTTTCACCAAAGACAGTGCCTGAAAAAATAGGAAACTTCCACCCAAATACTGTGCTTTTCCAATGGTCCTAGCAAATGGCACACAAAGAGATTATATCCCATGACTTTCTTGGTGGGTCCCATGCCCACAGACCCTTGTTCACTGCTAGTGCAGCAGTCTGAGATCAACCTGCAAGGCAGCAGCCTGGCAGGGGGAGGGGCGTCTGCCACTGCTGAGGCTTGAGTAGGTAAACAAAGCAGTCAGGAAGCTTGAACTGGGCGGAGTCCACCACAGCTCAGCAAGGCCTCTGTCTCTGTAGACTCCATCTCTGGGGGCAGGGCATAGCTAAACCAAAGGCAGCAAAAACTTCTGCAGACTTAAACATCCCTGTCTGACAGCTCTAAGGAGAGCAGTGGTTCTCCCAGCACAGTGTTTGAGCTTGGAGAACATACAGACTGCCTCCTCAAGTGGGTCACTAACCCCCGTGTAGCTTAACTGGGAGACATCTCCCAGTAGGGGCTGACTGACAGCTCATACAGCCAGGTACCCCTCTGGGATGAAGCTTCCAGAGGAAGGATCAGGCAGCAACATTTGCTGTTCTGCAATATTTGCTGTTCTGCAGCCTCCACTGGTGATACCCAGGCAAACAGGGTCTGGAGTGGACCTCCAGCAAACTCCAGTAGACCTGCAGCTGAGGGAGCTGACTGTTAGAAGGAAAACTAACAAACAGAAAGAAATAGCATCAACGTTAACAAAAAGGACATCCACACCAAATCCCATATGTAGGTCACCAACATCAAACACCAAAAGTAGATTAAGCCAAAAAGATGGGGAGAAACCAGATCAGAAAAGCTGAAAATTCTAAAAACCAGAGTGCCTCTTCTCCTCCAAAGGATCGCAGCTCCTCGCCAGCAATGGAACAAAGCTGGATAGAGAATGACTTTGAAGAGCTGACAGAAGTAGGCTTCAGAATATTGGTAGTAACAAACTTCTCTGAGCTAAAGGAGGATGTTTGAACCTATCACAAGGAAGCTCAATACCTTGAAAAAAGATTAGACAAATGGCTATCTAGAATAAACAGTGTAGGAAGGAGCTTAAGTGACCTGATGGAGCTGAAAACCATGGCACAAGAACTACATGACACATGCACAAGCTTCAATAGCTGATTCAATCAAGTGGAAGAATGGGTATCAGTGATTGAAGATCAAATTAATTAAATAAAGTGAGAAGAGAAGTTTAGAGAAAAAAGAGTAAAAAGAAATGAACAAAGCCTCCCAGAAATATGGGACTACGTGAAAAGACCAATTCTACGTTTGATTCATGTACCTGAAAGTGACGGGGAGAATGGAACGAGGTAGAAAACACTCTCCAGGATATTAACCAGGAGAACTTCCCCAACCTATCAAGGCAGGCCAATATTCAAATTCAGGAAATACAGAGAACACCACAAAGATACTCCTCAAGAAGAGCAACCCCAAGACACAAAATTGTCAGGTTCACCAAAATTGAAATGAAGGAAAAAATGCTAAGGGCAGCCAGAGAGAAAGGTCCGGTTACCCACAGACTGAAGCCCAACAGACTAACAGCAGATCTCTTGGCAGAAATGCGACAAGTCAGAAGAGAGTGGGGGCCAATATTCAACATTCTTAAAGAAAATAATTTTCAACCCAGAATTCATATCCAGCCAAACTAAGATTCATAAGTGAAGGAGAAATAAAATCCTTTACAGACAAGCAAATGCTGAGAGATTTTGTCTCCACCAGGCCTGCCTTACAAGAGCTCCTGAAGGAAGCACTAAACATGGAAAGGAACCACCAGTTCCAGCCACCACAAAAACATGCTAAATTGTAAAGACCATTGATGCTAGGAAGAAAGCCCATCAACTAACAAGCAAAATAACCAGCTAACATCATAATGACAGGATCAAATTCACACATAACAATATTAACCTTAAATGTAAATGAGCTAAATGCCCCAGTTAAAAGACACAGACTGGCAAATTGGATAAAGAGTCAAGACCCATCTGTGTGCTGTATTCAGGAGACTCATCTCATGTGCAGGGACACACATAGGTTCAAAACAAAGGGATGGAGGAAGATCTACCAAGCAAATGGAAAGGAAAAAAAAAAAACAGTGGTTGCAATCCTGGTCTCTGATAAAGCAGACTTTAAACCAACAAAGATCAAAAGAGACAAAGAAGGCCATTACCTAATGGTAAAGGGATCAATTCAGTAAGAAGAGCTAACTATCCTAAATATATATGCACCCAATACAGGAGCACCCAGATTCATAAAGCCAGTCTTTAGAGAAGTACAAAGAGATTTAGACTCCCACACAATAAAAATGGGAGACTTTTTAGACAGATCAATGAGACAGAAGGTTAACAAGGATATCCAGGACTTAAACTCAGCTCTGCACCAAGCAGACCTCACAGACATCTACAGAACTCTCCACCACAAATCAACAGAATATACATTCTTCTCAGCACCCCATCACACTTATTCTAAAATTGACCATATAGTTGGAAGTAAAGCACTCCTCAGCAAATGTAAAAGAACAGAAATCACAACAAACAGTCTTGCAGACCACACTGAAATCAAATTAGAACTCAGGATTAAGAAACTTACTCAAAACTGCACAACTACATGGAAACTGAACAACCTGCTCCTGAATGACTACTGGGTAAATAACGAAATGAAGGCAGAAATAAAGATGTTCTTTGAAACCAATGAGAACAAAGACACAATGTACCAAAATCTCTGGGACACATTTAAAGCACTGTGTAGAGGGAAATTTATAGCACTAAATGCCAACAAGAGGAAGCAGCAAATATCTAAAATCAACACCCTAACATCACAATAGAACTAGAGAAGCAAGAGCAATACGCATTCAAAAGCTAGCAGAAGGCAAGAAATAACTAAGATCAGAGCAGAACTGAAGGAGATAGAGACACAAAAAACCCTTTAAAAAATCAATGAATCCAGGAGCTGGTTTTTTGAAAAGATCAACAAGATGGATAGACCACTAGCAAGACTAATAAAGAAGAAAAGAGAGAATAATCAAATAGGTGCAATAAAAAATGATGAAGGGGATATCACCACCAATCCTGCAGAAATACAAACTACCATCAGAGAATACTATAAACACCTCTATGCAAACAAACTTGAAAATCTAGAAGAAATGAGTAAATTCCTGGACACATACACCCTCCTAAGATTAAACAAGGAAGAAGATGAATCTCTGGATAGACCAATAACAGGCTCTGAAATTAAGGCAATAATTAATAGCTTACCATCTAAAAAAAGTCCAGGACCAGACAGATTCACAGCTGGTTTCTATGAGGAGGAGCTGGTACCATTCCTTCTGAAACTATTCCAATCAATAGAAAAAAAAGGAATCCTCCCTAACTCATTTTATGAGGCCAACAGCATCCTGATACCAAAGCCTGGCAGAGACACAACAAAAAAAGGAGAATTTTAGACCAATATCACTGATGAACATCAGTGCAAAAAACCTCAATAAAATACTGGCAAACTGAATCCAGCAGCACATCAAAAAGCTTATCCACCACAATCATGTTGGTTTCATCCCTGGAATGCAGGGCTGGTTCAACATACACAAATCAATAAACATAATCCATCACATACACAGAACCAAAGACAAAAAAACCACATGATTATCTCAATAGATGCAGAAAAGGCCTTTGACAAAATTCAACAACCTTCATGCTAAAAACTCTCAATAAACTAGGTATTGATGTAACATATCTCAAAATAAAAAGAGGTATTTATGACAAACCCACAGCCAATATCATACTGAATGGGAAAAAAGTGGAAGCATTCCCTCTGAAAACTTGCACAAGACAGGGATGCCCACTGTCACCACTTCTATTCAACATAGTGTTGGAAGTTCTGGCCAGGGCAATCAGGCAAGAGAAAGAAATAAAGGTATTCAATTAGGAAAAGAGGAAGTTAAACTGTCCCTATTTGCAGATGACAAAATTGTATATTTAGAAAATGCCATCGTCTCAGCCCAAAATCTCCTTAAGCTGATAATCAGCTTCAGCAAAGTCTCAGGATACAAAATCAATGTGCAAAAATCACAAGCATTCCTATACACCAATAACAGACAATCAGAGAGCCAAATCATGAGTGAACTCCCATTCACAATTGCTAGAGAGAATCAAATACTTAGGAATCCAACTTAAAAGGGATGTGAAGGACCTCTTCAAGGAGATCTACAAACCACTGCTCAATGAAATAAAAGAGGACATAAACAAATGGAAGATCATTCCATGCTCATTGATAGGAAGAATCAATATCATGAAAATGGCCAGACTGCCCAAGGTAATTTATAGATTCAATGCCATCCTTATCAAGCTACCAATCATTTTCTTCACAGAATTGGAAAAAAACTACTTTAAAGTATATATGGAACCAAAAAAGACCCCACATTGCCAAGATAATCCTAAGCAAAAAGAACAAACATGGAGGCATTATGCTACCTGACTTTATACTATACTACAAGGCTAGAGTAACCAAAACACCATGGTACTGGTGACAAAACAGATATATAGACCATTGGAACAGAACAGAGGCCTCAGAAATAACACCACACATCTACAACTATCTGATCTTTGACAAAGCTGACAAAAACAAGATATGGGGAAAAAATTCCTTATTTAATAAATAGTGTTGGGAAAACTGGCTAGCCATATGTAGAAAGTTGAAACTGGATCCCTTCCTTACACCTTACACAAAAACTAACTCAAGATGGATTAACGACTTAAATGTTAGACCTAAAACCATAAAAACCCTAGAAGGAAACCTAGGCAGTACCATTCAGGACATAGGCATGTGCAAGGACTTCATGACTAAAACACCAAAGCAATGGCAACAAAGGCAAAAATAGAGAAATGGGATCTAATTAACTAAAGATCTTCTGCACAGCAAAAGAACTACCATCAGAGTGAAGAGGCAACTTTCAGAATGAAAAAAAATTTTTGCAATGTACCCATCTGACAAAGAGCTAGTATCCAGAATCTACAAAGAACTTAAACATATTTAGAAGAAAAAAAACCTCATTAAAATTGGGCAAATAATATGAACAGACACTTCTCAAAAGAAGACATTCATGCAGCCAACAGACATATGAAAAAAATGGTCATCATTACCGGTCATTAGATAAATGCAAATCAAAACCACAGTGAGATACCATCTCACAACAGTTAGAATGGCGATCATTAAAAAGTCAGGAGACAACAGATGCTGGAGAGGTTGTGGAGAAATAGGAATGATTTTAGACTGTTGGTGGAAGTGTAAACTAGTTCAACCATTGTGGAAGACAATGTGGTGATTCCTCAAGGATCTAGAACAAGAAATACCATTTGACCCAGTGATCCCATTACTGGGTATATACCCAAAGGATTATAAATCATGCTACTATAAAGACACGTGCACATGTATGTTTATTGCAGCACTATTCACAATAGCAAAGACTTGGAACCAACTCAAATATCCATCAATGATAGACTGGATTAAGAAAATGTGGCACATATACACCATGGAATACTATGCAGCCATAAAAAATGAGTTCATGTCCTCTGCAGGGACATAGATGCAGCTGGAAACCATCATTCTGAGCAAACTGTCACAAGAACAGAAAACCAAACACCACATGTTCTCACTCATAGGTGGGAATTGAACAATGAGAACAGTTAGACACAGGGTGGGGAACATCACACCCTGGGGTCTGTCATGGGGTGGGGTGCAGGGGGAGGGATAGCATTAGGAGAAATACCTAATGTAAATGATGAGTTAATGGGTGCAGCAAACCAACATGGCACATGTATACCTATGTAACAAACCTGCACATTGTGCACATGTACCCTAGAACTTAAAGTATAATAATAAAAAATAAAAAAAAGTACTACTAAAAATTATGGAACATAGGAGTTATCTGTACATTGAAGTTTGCATAAAACATGTTTCTTTAAGGTTAAATTCAGATTTTATTTACTTTGTGTTGGAGGAATATTTCAACAGTGATGCTGTGTTCTTCTGTGTGCATTAGCACATCATAAAAATTTGTCCAGTGCAGTTAATGGTTAATGATTCACTTGCTTAAATAGCTCTCTGACAGATTTTTTCACTCTTCAGTTAATTATTTTTCTCTTCATTATTAAGTATCTTTATGCAGCTGATGTGTATAAAACGCTATACTTAATCTGGCAGCTGCCCTTTTTTCTTATTTTTTCTTCATATTTTTCTTTGGAAAATGAAGGCTTTTATCTTTGTTTACAGGTGAGAAAAACTTGGAAAACCCAGGCTTTTCCACTTACTGGATGTGTTACAAAATATCCTTCTTGGGCCAAAAACATAGACAGTATTGCTGAGCTTGTTAGAAATTAAAAAAATCAGACTTTATGTCGGATCTTCTGGAAAAAAAAAAAAAGAAAAAAACCTGTATAACAAGGTCTTGAACTTATTGTACATATCAAAATTTCAGAGGTGTCTTGTAGCTCAATATGTCTTTTTCCATCTGAAAAATATGCACAACTCATTCAGTATGATGTAAATATAGCACTGAAAAGTGTGTATGTTGATGTTCATGCTCTTAATTTTATACTTTGTTAGCTACAATAACATCATATATGAACTGATGTGGATCTTATGCTGTTCTTTTTTTCTCAGAGTTAAAAAATACATTAGAGAATATTTCTTTGTTGGAGATTATTTTCTTGGATAATTTAATTCTATAAGTAAGAACCAGTTCCTTTTACTTTCCAATTTCACCTTCAGTCAAAATAAAAACTCTGCCCATGGCCACTTGGTAAAAATGTGTGTGTGTGAGTGTGTGTTTGTTTCAGGGGCCATTGCAATTTAGAGATGTGCTTACAGAATTATCTCTGGAGGAGTGGCATTGCCTGGATACTTTACAGCAAAATTTACATAGCGATGTGGTGTTAGAGAACAACATAAACCTGGTCTTTCTTGGTGAGGATAACTTTAATACATAATTCATAATATACTCTAAAGGTTTTCTTTCTCTTTTTTGTGGAATGTTTTTTAGTAATGTATTCATTGATCAAAGAGTTTCAGAACCCATTTTCCAGAAAATCTTTAGAAATTTTTCATTTAGAAAAGAATTTGTTCAAGATGTTTTGTGTTAATCAAAACTTTACACATTCCTGAGTTGAGCTATATTCTTCACTCTAAATTAGTGATAATTCCAGAAATTTGGTGGCATAAAATATTGTTGTCCCCACCTGAAAATCTAATTATCAGCAACAAGTTTTGATTCTGTAGTACCAGGTAGTAAAATTAAAAAACCTACAAGTAGGCTGGGCGCGGTGGCTTATGCCTATAATCCCAGCACTTCAGGAGGCTGAGGCAGGAAGATCATGAGATCAGGAATTCGAGACCAGTCTGACCAACATGGAGAAATTCCATTTCTAATAAAAATACACAATTAGCCGGGCATGGTGGCACATGAATGAAATCCCAGCTACCCTGGAGACTGAGGCAGGAGAATTGGTTGAACCCAGAAGGCAGAGGTTTCACTGAGCCAAGATCGTGCCATTGCACTTCAACCTGGGCAATAAGGGGGAAACTCTGTCTCAAAAAGAAAAGAAAAGAAAAGAAAAACTGATGAATTCAAAGTGTTTTCTGGGAGCCAAGATGGCCAAATAGGAACAGCTCCAGTCTACAGCTCTCAGCATGAGTGACACAGAACACGGGTGATTTCTGCATTTCCAACTGAGGTACCAGGTTCATCTCACTGGGGAGTGCCAGAGAGTGGGTGCAGGATACTGGGTGCACTGCACCGTGTGTGAGCCAAAGCAGGGTAAGGCATCCCCTCACCCAGGAAGTGCAAGGGGTCAGGGAATTTCCTTTCCTAGTCAAAGAAAGGGGTGACAGACAGCACCTGGAAAATCGGGTCACTCCCACCCTAATACTGTGCTTTTCCAATGAGCTTAACAAACGGCACACCAGGAGATTATATCCCACACATGGCTCAGAGGGTCCTACGCCCATGGAGCCTTGCTCATTGCTGGCACAGCAGTCTGAGATCAAACTGCAAGGCAGCAGAGAGGCTGGGGGAGGTACGCCCACCATTGCTCAGGCTTGAGTAGGTAAACAAAGCTGCCAGAAGCTTGAACTGGGTGGAGCCCACCTCAGCTCAAGGAGGCCTGCCTGCCTCTGTAGGCTCCACCTCTGGGGGCAGGGCACAGACAAAAGACCGCAGTAACCTCTGCAGACTTAAATGTCTTTGTCTGACAGCTTTAAAGAGAGTAGTGGTTCTCCCAGCACGCCGCTTGAGATCTGAGAATGGGCAGACTGCCTCCTGAAGTGGGTCCCTGACCCCTGAGTAGCCTAACTGGGAGGCATCTCCCAGTAGGGGTGGACTGACACCTCACATGGCCGGGTACTCCTCTGAGACAAAACTTCCAGAGGAACAATCAGGCAGAAGCATTTGTGGTTCACCAATATCCACTGTTCTGCAACCACTGCTGCTGATACCCAGGCAAACAGGGTCTGGAGTGGACGTCCAGTAAACTCCAACAGACCTGCAGCTGAGGGTCCTGACTGTTAGAAGGAAAACTAACAAACAGAAAGGACATCCACACCAAAAACCCATCTGTACGTCACCATCATCAAAGACCAAAGGTAGATAAAATCACAAAGATGGGGAAAAAACAGAGCAGAAAAACTGGAAACTCTAAAAATCAGAGTGCCTCTCCTCCTCCAAAGGAACGCAGCTCCTCATCAGCAATGGAACAAAGCTGAGCGGAGAATGACTTTGACGAGTTGAGAGATCAAGGCTTCAGAAGATCAAACTACTCCAAGCTAAAGGAGGAAGTTCGAACCAATGGCAAAGAAGTTAAAAAATTTGAAAAAAGAATTAGACTAATGGATAACTAGAATAACCCATGCAGAGAAGTCCTTAAAGGACCTGATGGATCTGAAAACCATGGCATGAGAACTACGTGATGAATGCACAAGCCTCAGTAACCGATGCGATCAACTGGAAGAAAGGGTGTCAGTGATGGAAGACGAAATGAATGAAATGAAGCATGAAGAGAAGTCCTTAAAGGACCTGATGGATCTGAAAACCATGGCACGAGAACTACGTGATGAATGCACAAGCCTCAGTAACCGATGCGATCAACTGGAAGAAAGGGTGTCAGTGATGGAAGACGAAATGAATGAAATGAAGCATGAAGAGAAGTTTAGAGAAAAAAGAATAAAAGGAAATGAACAAAGCCCCTAAGAAATATGGGACTATGTGGAAAGACCAAATCTATGTCTAATTGGTGTACCTGAAAGTGACGGGGAGAATGGAACCAAGTTGGAAAACACTCTGCAGGATATTATACAGGAGAACTTCCCCAATCTAGCAAGGCAGGCCAACATTCAAATTCAGGAAATACAGAGAACGCCACAAAGATACTCCTTGAGAAGAGCAATTCCAAGACACATAATTGTCAGATTCACCAAAGTTGAAATGATGGAAAAAATGTTAAGGGCATCCCAAGAGAAAGGTGGGTTACCCACAAAAAGAAGCCCATCAGACTAACAGCTGATCTCTCTGCAGAAACTCTGCAAGCCAGAAGAGAGTGGGGGCCAATATTCAACATTCTTAAAGAAAAGAATTTTCAACCCAGAATTTCATATCCAGCCAAACTAAGTTTCATAAGTGAAGGAGAAATAAAATACTTTACAGACAAGCAAATGCTGAGAGATTTTGTCACCACCAGGCCTGCCCTAAAAGAGCTCCTGAAGGAAGCACTAAACATGGAAAGGAACAACCAGTACCAGCCACTGCAAAAACATGCCGAATTATAAAGATCATCAAGACTAGGAAGAAACTGCATCAACTAATGAGCAAAATAACCAGCTAACATCATAATGACAGGATCAAATTCACACATAACAATACTAATCTTAAATGCAAATGGGCTAAATGCTCCAATTAAAAGGCACAGACTGACAAATTGGATAAAGAGTCAAGACCCATCAGTGTGCTGTATTGAGGAAACCCATCTCATGTGCAGAGACACACATGGGCTTAAAATAAAGGGATGGAGGAAGATCTGCCAAGCAAATGGAAAACAAAAAAAGGAAGGGGTTGCAATCCTAGTCTCTGATAAAACAGGCTTTAAACCAACAAAGATCAAAAGAGACAAAGAAGGCCATTACATAATGGTAAAGGGATCAATTCAACAAGAAGAACTAACTGTCCTAAATATATGTGCACCCAATATAGGAGCACCCAGATTCATAAAGCAAGTCCTTAGTGACCTGCAAAGTGACTTAGACTCCCACACAATAATAATGGGAGACTTTAACACCCCACTGTCAACATTAGACAGATCAACGAGACAGAAAGTTAACAAGGATATCCAGGAATTGAACACAGCTCTGCACCAGGCAGACCTAATAGACATCTACAGAACTCTCCACCCCACATCAACAGAATATACATTCTTTTCAGCACCACACCACACCTATTCCAAAATTGACCACATAGTTCTATGGAAGTAAAGCACTCCTCAGCAAATGTAAAAGAACAGAAATTATAACAAACTGTCTCTCAGACCACGGTGCAATCAAACTAGAGCTCAGGATTAAGAAACTCACTCAAAACCGCTCAACTACATGGAAACTGAACAACCTGCTCCTGAATGACTACTGGCTACATAACGAAATGAAGGCAGAAATAAAGATGTTCTTTGAAACCAACGAGAACAAAGACACAACATACCAGAATCTCTGGGACACATTCAAAGCAGTGTGTAGAGGGAAATTTATAGCACTAAATGCCCACAAGAGAAAGCAGGAAAGATCTAAAATTGACACCCTAACATCACAATTAAAAGAACTAGAGAAGCAAGAGCAAACACATTCAAAAGCTAGCAGAACGCAAGAAATAACTAAGATCAGAGCAGAACCGAAGGAGATAGAGACACAAAAAAATCCTTCAAAAAAATCAATGAATCCCAGAGCTGGTTTTTTGAAAAGATCAACAAAATTGATTGACCGCTAGCAAGACTAATAAAGAAGAAAAGAGAGAAGAATCAAATAGACGCAATAAAAAATGACAAAGGGGATATCACCACTGATCCCACAGAAATACAAACTATCATCAGAGAATACTATAAACACCTCTATGCAAATAAACTAGAAAATCTAGAAGAAATGGATAAATTCCTGGACACATACTCTCTCCCAAGACTAAATCAGGAAGAAGTTGAATCTCTGAATAGACCAATAACAGGCTCTGAAATTAAGGCAATAATCAATAGCTTACCAACCAAAAAAAGTCCAGAACCAGATGGATTCACAGCTGAATTCTACCAGAGGTACAAGGAGGAACTGGTACCATTCCTTCTGAAACTATTCCAATCAATAGAAAAAGAGGGAATCCTCCCAAACTCATTTTATGAGGCCAGCATCATCCTGTTACAAAATCCTGGCAGAGACACAACAAAAAAAGAGAATTTTAGACCAGTATTCTTGAACATTGATGCAAAAATCCTCAATAAAATACTGGCAAACTGAATCCAGCAGCACATCAAAAAGCTTATCCTCCATGATCAAGTGGGCTTCATCCCTGGGATGCAAGGCTGGTTCAACATATGAAAATCAACAAACGTAATCCAGCATATAAACAGAACCAAAGACAAAAACCACATGATTATCTCAATAGATACAGAAAAGGCCTTTGACAAAATTCAACAATGCCTCATGCTAAAAACTCTCAATAAATTAGGTATTGATGGGACGTATCTCAAAATAATAAGAGGTATTTATGACAAACCCAAAGCCAACATCATACTGGATGGACAAAAACTGGAAGCATTCCCTTTGAAAACTTGCACAAGACAAGGATGCCCTCTGTCACCACTCCTATTCAACATAGTGTTGGAAGTTCTGGCCAGGGCACTCAGGCAGGAGAAGGAAATAAAGGGCATTCAATTAGGAAAAGAGGAAGTCAAATTGTCCTTGTTTGCAGATGACATGACTGTATATTTAGAAAACCCCATAGTCTCACCCCAAAATCTCCTTAAACTGATAAGCAACTTCAGCAAAGTCTCAGGATACAAAATCAATGTGCAAAAATCACAAGCATTCTTATACACCAATAACAGTCAAACAGAGAGCCAAATCATGAGTGAATTCCCATTCACAATTGCTTCAAAGAGAATAAAATACCTAGGAATCCACCTTACAAGGGATGTGAAGGACCTCTTCAAGGAGCACTACAAACCACTGCTCAATGAAATAAAAAGAGGATACAAACAAATGGAAGAATATTCCATGCTCATGGGTAGGAAGAATCAATATCATGAAAATAGCCATACTGCCCAAGGTAATTTATAGATTCAATGCCATCCCCATCAAGCTACCACTGACTTTCTTCACAGAATTGGAAAAAACTACTTTAAAGTTCATATGGAACCAAAAAAGAGCCCACATTGCCAATTCAATCCTAAGCCAAAAGAACAAAGCTGGAGACATTATGCTACCTGACTTCCAACTATACTACAAGGCTACAGTAACCAAAACAGCATGGTACTGGTATCAAAACAGAGATATAGACCATTGGAACAGAACAGAGCCCTCAGAAATAATGCTGCATATCTACAACTATCTGATCTTTGACAAACCTGACAAAAACAAGCAATAGGGAAAGGATTCCCTATTTAATAAATGGTGCTGGAAAAACTGGCTAGCCATATGTAGAAAGCTGAAACTGGATCCTTTCCTTACACCTTATACAAAAATTAATTCAAGGTGGATTAAAGACTTCCACGTTAGACCTAAAACCATAAAAACCCTAGAAGAAAACCTAGGCAATACCATTCATGACATAGGCATGGACAAGGATTTCATGTCTAAAACACCAAAAGCAATGGCAACAAAAGCCAAAATTGACAAATGGGATCTAATTAAACTAAAGAGCTTCTGCACAACAAAAGAAACCACCATCAGAGTGGACAGGCAACCTAAAGAATGGGAGAAATTTTTTGCAACCTACTCATCTGACAAAGGGCTAATATCCAGAATCTACAATGAACTCAAACAAATTCACAAGAAGAAAACAAACCCCATCAACAAGTGGGCAAAGGATATGAACAGACACTTCTCAAAGGAAGACATTTATGCAGCCAAAAAATACATGAAAAAATGCTCATCATCACTGGCCATCAGAGAAATGTAAATCAAAACCACAGTGAGATACCATCTCACGCCAGTTAGAATGGCAATCATTAAAAAGGAAACAACAGGTGCTGGAGAGGATGTGGAGAAATAGGAACACTTTTACACTGTTGGTTGGACGGTAAACTAGTTCAACCATTGTGGAAGTCAGTGTGACAATTCCTCAGGGATCTAGAACTAGAAATACCATTTGACCCAGCAATCCCATTACTGGGTATATACCCAAAGGATTATAAATCATGCTGCTATAAAGACACAGGCACACGTATGTTTATTGTGGCACTATTCACAATAGCAAGGACTTGGAACCAACTGAAATGTCCATCAATGATGGACTGGATTAAGAAAATGTGGCACATATACACCATAGAATACTATGCAGCCATAAAAAATTATGAGTTCATGTGCTTTGTAGGGACACGGATGAAGCTGGAAACTATCATTCTCAGCAAACTATCACAAGGACCGAAAACCAAACACTGCATGTTCTCACTCATAGGTGGGAATTGAACAATGAGGACACATGGACATAGGAAGGGGAACATCACACACTGGGGACTGTTGTGGGGTGGGGGAAGGGAGGAGGGATAGCATTAGGAGATATACCTAATGCTAAATGACAAGCTAATGGGTGCGGCACACCAACATGGCAAATGTATACATATGTAACAAACTTGCAAGTTGTGTACATGTACCCTAAAACTTATAGTATAATAATAATAACAATAAAAGTGTTTTCTAAATATTTAGAAATTTCTGTTTTAACTTAGTATTTTTGTATTAATTTACTAGAATATTTTATCACACCCTCTCAGCTGAGCACATTACTAGCTTGTAATTGGAGAATATGAGCAAGATTCATATTATTTATTTATTTATTTTTATTTTTTTGAGACAGAGTGTCACTTTGTCACCCAGGCTAGAGTGCAGTGGTGCGATCTGGGCTCACTGTAAGCTCCACCTCCCAGATTCATGCCATTCTCCTGCCTCAGCCTCCCGAGTAGCTGGGACTACAGGTGCCTGCCACCATGTGTGGCTGATTTTTTGTATTTTTTAGTAGGTACAGGGTTTCACTATGTTAGCCAGGATGGTCTCAATCTTCTGACCTTGTGATCCACCCACCTTGGCCTCCCAAAGTGCTGGGATTAGAGGCGTGAGCCACCACACCCGGTCTCATGTTATTTATTTTTAATAAAACAGGTATTGTTGTCTCCAAGCCAGACCTGATCATCTGTCTGGAGCAAGGAAAAATCCTTTGAGTATGAGGAGACATGAGATGATTGCCAAACACCCAGGTGGGTGCAAGTGAAAGTGAATACAACAGACGACACAGGTAAGAGATCCCAAGGTGAAAGAGAAAGCCAGTACTTAAAATGTGATTTGGGAAGCTGTGTTCCAAAGGAAATAGTTCCTGGGCGGTTGTTTTATAATTTTTCTCTCACAAAGGGACATCTGCTGTCTTATGCTTTCAAATTCTCTAAGGATTCTACTTTTCTTTCAGTGAGCTTCCTTCAAGTTCACAGTGAAAGCCAAAGTCTTCTTCATGGCATATAAGACACTGCACAATCTTGCTGCTTTTACATTGTTTTGATGACACAAAATTATCTGCATGATTTTAAGAAACTAAAACTATTCTCAAAGTTCTCTTTTTGCATTTTGAAATGTGCGAGAGTAGTAGTTTCTGTTGAATTTTTTTCATTATTCTGCACATTTCCATTCTGTTTTTATTACTATATAGTGTTGAAATATAGTTGGAAAGTATAAGTATGATATCCTTCTGCTCTGTTCTTTTCATCAAGATTGCTTTGGCTAATCAGTTTATTTTAGTTTCATGTAAATTTTAGAATTGTATTTTTCATTACTGAAAAAGACACCACTGCAATTTTAATAGGAAGTTTATTGAATCTATAGATCACTTTAGATAATATGGAACTCTAATAATATTTATTCTTTCAATCCATAGACATAAAATACTTTATAATTTATTTGGAACTTCTCTAATTTCTTTCACTGATTTTTTTTGGTAAAGGTTTTTCATTTCATTGGTTAATTTTTTTCTCAGAAATTATTTAATGCTATAACAAATAAGATTTTTTTGTCCTATTTTTATCAGATAGTTTGATTTAAGTGTATAAAACCGTACATATACTTGTATGTTAGTTTCATATTTTGTAATTTACTGAGTGTATTTATTAGTTTAGATAGGATTTAATGTACTGTTTATTAGTTTTTAAATATAATATTGTATGATCTACAAGCAAAAACTTTTTAGTTTTCTTAAATTTTAATGGATTTTTTTTTATTTCTTTGAGTAAATCTTCTGCCACATACTTCCAGTGTTACACTAAAATAGAAGCATTCACAATGGGCACAATATAGTTTTGCATTGGTGTCTGAATTTGATGGAGCAAAGACCTATTCAAGTTTTCATAAACTGATTTCAGAAGGTAAATATCTTCTTCTGTTGGACCCTTAGGGTGATGAGATGCCCTCTGAATTTGTAGTGAAGAAGGGTTGTAGCTTGGTCACCAGGCTGCTGGGTCTGCATTAGGGTCCACCTTTAGTTGGCTTGTTACAGGGGCTTGGGTTGTTATAATTCCCATTTTATTTTTGGACAGACTGAATATCCTTCAGAGCTTTGCTCCATAAGGCAGACACTAGGGCATGTTTTTGCAATTGGCTCTGCATATGGTGGGCCTTGTATCAGGATGTGGATGGGTGTGGCTTTCAGTGAGTACCAGAGAGCATTTCCTCAGGTAACCGTGTGGGTTACTATATAGGCAGAACTGACCATAAACTGTGGCTCAGGTAACTGAAACTGAGTCATGGAACTGCCTCAGTGACCCCAGTAAAGGCCAAGGTCTGCATGCCTGGATGCATGACTGTAAATGGGCACCTTCCTCCAAGTCTCTGGAATAGCAGGACCTCTGTCAGACTGTGGCTGGGAGGAGTTTGGGATGGTTACAGAGTAAGTTTAGAATTCTCAATGGAACCAAGTTGGGTGAACCCTATCCTGGTCTGTAGCTAAAACAGGGGTCCTGTAGTATCCCACGTGAGTGAGGGCCTGCCTTCTGAATAGAACACTTCTCAAACATAAGCTTTAACAGCATTTCACAACTGCATCCCTGGATGTCAAATCTCTCTTAGAGGTACTTATTTTGGAGATGGTGTCTTGCTACATAACCCAGGCTGGTCTCAAAATCCTGGCCTGAACTAGTTCTCCAACCTTAACGTACCATGTAGCTGTCATTACAGGTGTAAGCCATAATCCTGGTTCTCTCATAAAGGCATTTTTGTCAGGGGTGGCTGACTTTTTATGCCATAAGGGAATATGAAAATAGGGCACTTTTAATCTTTTCATCTTACTGATGTCACTGTCCTTTTACATTTTTACTTTTTATTTTCTATTTCAAATTTGTCTATAATTTTGGATTCAGTCATTTAGCACATATGCTAGAATTTGCATGGTATACCTGAAGTAAATGAGATATTAGTAGGCACCCCATATTTACTAAAATAGTTACTTATAAATTTATGTTTGCTCCGGGCAAAAAGGAATTATAGGATTTTCGTCTACTATTTTCAGCCTATATCTAAATAATAACATAGTTCATTTCCTAATATTTGTTTTACATATCAGAGGATCTAACCCTATTCTACAAAATATATATATATTTTTCTATATTTAACAATGGAAGGTTATTATTTGCTTTTAAAGTTGGAATACAGCAGTTTCATTTTGTGTAAGAATAGCATATATTTAAAACAAAAAGCAACTCTAGTTTCTTTTAAATGCTAATTTATTAAAAGTTTGTCATTGGAGTCTTCTATTTATAATTATACTGCATATTTTCTGAAATTTTAGTGCCACACAGTGCATGCCAATGATTCAAAATACAGGTATATGATGATTACATAGTAGCAGTTGAATATCACAGTTACCTACACAATTTTTTTTTTTTTTTTTTTTTTTTTGAGAAAGAGTTACCTCTCTTACCCAGGCTGGAGTGCAATAGTGTGATCTTGGCTCACTGCAACCTTCATCTCCTGGGTTCAAGCAATTCTCATGCCTCAGCCTCCCAAGTAGCTGGGATTACAGGGATGTGCCACTATGCCTGGCTAATTTTTGTATTTTTAGTAGATTTTGGGTTTCACCACATTGGCTAGGCTGCTTTTAAACTCCTCACCTCAGGTAATCTGCCCCCCTCTGCCTCCCAAAGTGCTGAGATTACAGGCATGAGCCACTGCACCTGCCTGACAATTTTTTTTTGATGATACATCAATGTGGCATACCAGATTTTGTGAGTAAATATTTCTCTTATTATTGTTTTGAAGTTCTGTGTATCAGGGGTCCCGCCCCCAATATTTCAATGTATGTTCTTTCTATTTTCCATAAGTGTCAGCTGGTTGAAAAATAAAGAGAAAGAGTACAAAGAGAGGAATTTTACAGCTGGGCCACCAGGGGTGATATCACATATCGGTAGGACCACGATGCCCACCTGAACCTTAAAACCAGCAAGTTTTTATTAAGGATTTTAAAAGGGGAGGGAGTGTATGAACAGGGAGTAGGTCACGTGCTTCAAGGGGCAAAAAGCAGAACAAAGATCACATGCTTCTAAAACAGGACCAGAGCAAAATCAGAACTCCTGATAAGGGTCTATGTTCAGCAGTGCACGTATTGTCTTAATAAACATCTTAACAGAAAAAAAGGGTTCGAGAGCAGAGAACTGGTCTGACCAAAAATTTACCAGGGTGTAGTTTCCCAATCCTAGTAATCCTGAGGGTACTGCGGGAGACCAGGGCATATCTCAGTCATTATCTCAACCACATAGGACAGACATTCCCAGAGTGGCCATTCATAGACCTCCCCCCAGGAATGAATTCCTTTCCCAGAGTATTAATATCAGTATTCCTTGCTAGGAAAAGAATTTAGTGATATCTTCCCTACTTGCACACCCATTTATAGGCTCTCTGCAAGAAGAAAAATATGGCTCTTTTTGCCCAACCCCACAGGCAGTCAGACCTTATGGTTGTCTTCCCTTGTTCCCTAAAAATCGCTGTTATTCTGTTTTCAAGGTGCACTGATTGCATATTGTTCAAACATACATGTTTTACAATCAATTTGTACAGTTAACACAATTATCATACTGGTCCTGAGGTGATGTACATCCTCAGCTAATGAAGATAACAGGATTAAGAGATTAAAATAAAGACAGGCATAAGAAATTATGAACATATTATTTGGGAAGTGATAGATGTCCATATTAAAATGAAATCTTCACAATTTATGTTCCTCTGCTGCGACTCCAGCTGGTCCCTCTGTTTGGCATCCCTGACTTCCCACAATATCTCTCCCTTTCTTTTTATATAAATGTACCAACATCGCATGCAATGTTCAAGAGTCACTAGCTGATCTCCAAGCCAAAGTATAGATTGTCTTAAATCATTAATTTGATTAGATAATTTTTGATCAATGCCTTGTTGAGAATTCCACATTTGGTTGGAATTTGCTTGCCAAAGATTAACAAAATGGGCCGTTTGAATAGATTGGTGTAATGCCACTCCGGCAGTAGTGGCCAGTGCAGTGACTATAAATAGGCCCATGATCACAGTGATTAAAGTGAAAACAAATCTCTTAGATTTTTTGAGAATTCTTTGTAACACTTCATTCATTAAATGTACTGAGAGGGAAGATTCCCAGTGTCTGGGTAAAGTTACCGAATCCAGATTCCTTCTCGAGCTCGAAGCCACATTACACTTCTCCTGGAGTCAAAATGGGAGTTAACACAAGTGTATAAATGACAATTAATGCATTGGACAGTTTGTGTGTCCAAATTTTGATATTTCCCACTAACAGCACGTAAGGAGGCTTAACACAACTTTGTATAGGAATAGTCAGGCTGGAGGTAAACAAAGCAGAACATTGATACTGAGGGAGAGTAGAGGTGGTGGCAACGCCCAATGTTGTCTGCCATAAAGAAGCAATCCGAGGTGCCCAGGGATGCTGAGGAAGTAGAGGGGCATACCTGGGTCAAGAAGAATTATCATAATGCCAATTGGAGTCCCATAAAGGAGGATCAGCATCAAAAAGAGGAAAAGGGTTCAAAGGGGATTTATCATGGGGTTCAGAGTCATGGATGCAAGGGGCAGTAGTGGGGATAACAGACAGAAAAGTTTACCCTTCCCATACTCACAGTCCAGACATGGCAATAGCCAATTTCCAAAGTTCTGAGTGTTCCAGGCTCAGAATGGGGAATATCATATGAGGCCTCGGAGGGGTAATGCCCTTATCTTCCCATTTTAAGGGAAAGAATGAGCTGAACTTCCTATGTAAAGTAGAACGATGATCCTCGTCCTCCCAATAAGAAATAAAATAAGTAGCCTCCAGGCATTCCCTTCCACCAGAGGAGCAATTGTTTTTTAAATAGCCCTTTGGTGCCCATCCTATTACTAAACCATATGCGTCATTTTTTAGTACTACTACATGTGAGTTAACACAGTCTTCCCAAATTAAAATTTTAGATGGGCCCTCAAAATTTTTAGGACATGGTTTTCCTACAGGTTTATATTGAAAGTTTGGGGTATCTCCTATTACTCCCCCTTTCATTTGTCTTAAAGGAGAAAGAGAGAGGCTGGAGATCAAATGTCCCTGTTCTCTTGTAGCTAATCTCTCCGGAAGATAAGCAGCCCAGATTTGAGCTTGTAGATGAATACAACCATCTACATGTGCATGTCCAAGGCACAGAGGAGGGTATTTATAACCCATGGTAACATTAAATTCAGTGCTTTCTTCTCCTGGTTGAGTGGGGCAATGGTCATCTGTAGCTCCATGTATCCACACACTATCATTAGTATAGATTTCTGCAGGAGCATTCATCCAGGTGAGAGGTCGAATAAGTGGAAGAAAAGGCACATAAGCCCAATAAGAATAATTTTGTGTAGCAGGTAAATCATTTTGAGGGGAAACTGATGAGACAGAAAGTTTAAGAAGAATTATTAAATAAAACCTATTGTAAGCAAGATCCTGTGCTGAAGGAGGAAGAGAAGAACAGAGGGATGTTATTTTCAGGCTAATAGAAATGGTGAGATTTTTAGGTTTAGAAGTGGCATTAATTAGAGGGGTCTCCGTTGCCATTAGGGAGGATTGAACCAGACCCATTTTGATTTGGCATGCCAGTTTTTGAGAAGTCGGCAGAGATCTCACCAGGTATGAAGGCGGTCTCTGACTTGGATGTCTTTTCCCTGTGGCTTTCTTTGTCACTATTCACACGAAGTTTGAGTCTCTCAGTGGGCACCCAGACAGGGGATTGATCTCCTGGTGAAACACAAGCATACCCTCTTCCCCATGTTATAATTGTTCCAGGTTCCCAGGTATTGGTTTGGGAGTTTTTCCGTAACACTGGCTTGCCTTCATTTAGGGAGAATTTTTTGCCTGTATAATGGCATTCAGCTGCAGTCAGAGTTGTCTTTAGGAACATTTAGAAAGTTTAAAGTAAACAATGCTAAATGTAATTGGGAGTGGGGAGTGGTTAAATTATGCTTTTGTTGCTCAGACTGTTTGGACAATTGAGTTTTTAAAGTGCAATTGGCCTGTTCCACCACAGTCTGTCCCTGAGGATTGTAAGGGATTCCGGTAGTATGGGAAATTCCCCTTGTTGCATAAATAAATCAAAAGACTTACATATCCAGGGGTGTTGTCTGTTTTTATCTGACATGGAAGCCCCATAACTACAAAGCAAGAATACTTATGTCTTTTAACATGGGCAGTGCCTTCCCCTGTTTGGCAAGTAGCCCAGATAAAGCCTGAAAAGATGTCTACAGAAACATGCATATATGAAAGTCTGCCAAAGGAGCTAACATGAGTCACATGCATTTGCCATAAGTCATTAGGAGTTAGGCCTCTGGGATTAATGCCAGATTCCTGATTTGGAAGTACAAAAACTTGGCACTGAGGGCAGCAGTGGATAATAAGCTTAGCCTCTTTCCAGGTGAGAGCAAATTTATATTTTAATCCAGTAGCATTGACATGAGTGAGATTATGGAACTCTGAGCTTCTTGGTTTGCAAAAGAGACCGGTCAACCTTTTGATTACCAGCAGGCATGGGTCCCAGTAAAGTGGTATGAGATCTGATATGTGTAGTATAGAAAGGGTGTCTACACTGGCGAACCACCTGTTGTAAACTTGAAAATAAAAAAAGCCAATTCAGAATTATCAATATGTTTGATAGTAGCGATTTCTATATTTTTAGTGGCATGTACAACATAAACAGAATCAGAGACAATATTTAACAGTTTGGGGAAATCCTGTAAGGCAATAATTACAGCAATTAACTCTGCCTTTTGAGCAGATGTGTGAGGCGTAGAAATAAGCTTGTCTGCAGGACACAGATAACCAGCATTTCCGTTACTGGAGCCATCAGTGAACACTGTAACAGCCTCAGGAATGGGCTGATCTTTGGTCTATTGAGGGACCACCCAATAAGTCATTTTTATAAAATCAAACAATTTTTTTGATAATGATTGACAATAACACAGATAAAATCAGTCAAGTGAATTTGCCACAGTATGGAATGTTGAAAAGCAGCCTGAACTTTAAGCCGATTTAAAGGAACCACAATAGATTTGGATCAAATCCAGAAATTTTAAGTGATCTACACCAAGCTTGTCCAATTAGATTGGCTATTTGGTCCAGATAAACAGACAAAGTTTTTGACACAGAATGAGGAAGAAAACACCACTCCACTAAATCATTATGTTGAACAATTAGCCCAGTAGGGGAGTGCAATGAAGCAAAAACCAGAAGCTGAAAAGGCTGAGATGGCTGTACCCTAGACAACAGGGCAGTTTGGATTCTTTCTTCCATGAATTACCGTTCCAGTGAAGCCTCAGGGGTCAAAGTCCTGAGACTGTGGAGATTGGAATCTCCACACAGTATAGAAAACAAGTTAGACAGTGCATATTTTGGAATGCCTAAGGTAGATCTTAAATAATTAATGTTACCCAAAAGTTTTTGGAAATCATTTAAGGTTTTCAAAGAATCTCTCTTAATCTGAACTTTTTGAGGTTGAATATATTCTTTATTGACCACCATTCCTAAATATTGAGCAGGAGTGGTCTTTTGAATTTTATCTTGAGTGATGTGTAATCCAGCCTCAGTGACATGGTGGCTCAAAAATTGATAACAGTCAATTAATTCTTTATCAGTGGGGGCAGCAATTAATATATCATCAATATAATGAAGAATATAGGCCTGGGGAAATTGAGCTCACACTGGTGAAAGCACCCATCCAACATAAAGCTGGCAGATGGTAGGGCTATTCAGCATTCCCTGAGGAAGTACTCTCCATTGATAATGAGCTACAGGCTCCTGATTATTGATAGATGGTACAGTAAAGGCAAATTTTTCACAATCCAATTTATGTAAAGCAATAAAAATACTTTAAGATCAATAACTATGAGAGGAAATTCTTAGGTATTAAAGCAGGGGCAGGCATGCCAGGTTGGATGGCTCCCATAGGTTTAATTACAGCATTAATGGACCTTAAATCAGTTACCATCCACCACTTGCCTGATTTCTTTTTTACTAGAAACACAGGAGAACTCCAGGGGGAAAGAGAAGATTCCACATTTCCAAGTTGTAACTGTTCAGAAACCAATTGAGTTGAAGCCTCCAGTTTTTTTTAGAGAGTGGCCACTGATCAATCCAAACAGGTGTTTTAGATTTTCATTGTAAAGGAATAGGATTAGGAGGCATGGCAGTGGCCGCCATTAAAAAGGAGAACCTAAACCAGCGCTGTCTTCTTTTACAGTAACTTGAAGAGGTTTAGCAATTCCTTCATGTTTTGGACTGAAACCGAGTCTGGGAACAAACCCCATGTTTTCCATTATATGTTGACTGGGAGCACTATAAGAGTTATGCTGAATATTAATTTCAGCTCCCCCTTGTGCCAACAAATCTCTACCCCAAAGATTAATGGGGATTGGCATGATATAAGGCTGAATTGCACCCTTTTGACCATCAGGGCCAATGCAAGGCAAGATAAATGTGCTCTGGTGAACTTCATCAGCTTTTCCAACACCTACTAGTCCCATGTTAGTGGGATGTTTAAGTCAAGAGGAAGGCCATAAATTAGAGGAAATATTAGAAATGTCAGCCCCAGTATCTACTAGGCCCTCAAACTTTTTTCCTTGAAGGCGTATGGTGCAGGTGGGCCATTGTTTAGAAATTACGTTAATCAAATAAGTGGCTTTTTCACCACCAGAGCCCATCCCAGGGCCCCGTGTCTTATCTCCTTTGTTTAAACAATATTAGGTAGTGAAAGTAATTGAGCAATTGACTCACTGGCCGGAATGGAAACAGGAACCTTGGCAGACACCATAAGTTTAATCTCATCAGAGGAATCAGAATTAATGAGACAAGTATGAACTATGATACCTTTAGCAGAGGTGGATACCCTACATCCTACATAACACCAGGCCCACCGAACCTTGAGATAAAGGGCCAGTGACCCCTCTGGGGACAATTAAAGGCAAAGAATTAGGTAGTAAATTTAGAGGAATGGTAATACAGAGATCGACCCCCCTGACCCCTACTGTGGAGGTAGACAAGCACTGTACTGAGATAGAAGAAGAGGATGGGACCCATCTGGGTTGGCTGTAGGTAAATTTGTTTGTGCTGGGGGCTACGTTGGGACCACTTGAAGTGGAAATGCAACATTGGTCTGAGTCTGAGGTGTCCCATTTGATATTGGGGTCTGGGACTGGCCCCACTTCCCATTTCCCTGGTTCTGTGGCAAGGGATTTGCATCTATATCAGACTTAGAGGGGCAAGTACTTGCCCAGTGTTTATCTTTAGACAACATGGGCAAACAGTAGTAGGAGAATTTGACTGTGTTTGTTGAGCCAGCTTGGCTGCTTTTAAGTTTTTAACAGGCTCCAAGAAAAGAATAAGTTGAGACAGTTTGACTGCCATCCTTCATGGCCTGTGCCCACAGAATAGCTTTGTGGGTCTCTGATCCAATGCCTTCCCAAGCTTTAATATATGCAGGCAACACCTCATGATCAGGAAAATTTTGTCTTTGGATGGAACACATGGCAATTTTACATTCATGGTTCACATTCTCAAAAGCTAACATATGAAGGAGAATACCTTGAGCATGCTCATGAGAGACAGATTTTTCAACAGCATCTTGTAATTTAGCCAAAAAAATGAGGGTATAATTCTGACCTTGTTTAACACTAGTAAATGAAACAGGAGCTTGGCCTGGGGTGTGTAATTTATCCCAAACTCTCATACACAACTTCGTTACTTGTTCCATGGTGAGAGCATCAAAGCCTAATTGAACGCTAGTGTCAGAGTAATTATCAGAGCCTGTGAGCTGAGCCTGAGTAATTAGAATGCCATCAGCCCAATTTAGTTGAGCCTGCAGACGGGCCTCCTCTGACCACCAGGTACAGAATTGTAAATGCTGAGATGCAGTTAGAACAGCTTTTGCCAAAAAGTCCCAGTCTAAAAGAAGCAAAATGACCTCAGTACAAAGAGTCTGTAATACCATTTTAACATATGGAGAACTAGGACCATACTGAATAAAGAGATCCTTGAATTCTTTTAAAAAGGTAAGATTGAGCAGTGCATACCAAAGCACTTGTACCCCTTGAGCATCAGGAGGTTCCAGCATGACCGGATAAGCCTACATCTCTAATCCACTTGTTTCTTTGTTCTGGTGTAATAAGTGTTGCATTAAAGTTTCAAGAACAGGCACATGAGACGGAGTTGGCATAGAAGTGACAGGAAAAGTATGTGCAGATAAGAGAAACTGAGGTTGAGGAGGTCAGACTGGTATGAGAGTGTGAGAAAGGGGCATTGGGGGAGCACAAGAGGCAGAAGCATACTGGTGATTATTGTCCCAGTCCTGTGCAACTAGAGTGGCAGGAGTGTCCTTGCATGAAGAAGCGTATAGAGAAGCAGGCTGAGTGGATGGCAAAGTGACTGATTGAGGGACCAAAATGACAGGAGGGTGAGGAGCTGTGGTGGATGGGGGAGGGCCTACAGAATTACAGGTAAATTATAGTTTGGTCCTGGAGCCATTAGGGGTCTCCGGAGGCAAAGCCTGCAAACGTTTGAAGAGGGAAGAGTTAGCATAGATATGGTCCTGGCTGTCCAAGTTGGGGCCACGGGAGCTACAAGTACCGGCTCTTCATGAAAAGAAATAAGATCATCAGGGGAGATGTTAAGCCAAAGTCACTGGAGTTAGATATTGAATTCTCAACATTGTCAGGTCAGGGAGGAGTAGGCAAAGGGAGAGGCTGAGCAGATAATGAAGGCCGAGTGGGAGAGGAAAGCTGAGGAAGAGGTAGAGGGTTGCCAGATTTAGAAAATTGTGGTAACTGCAGGGGACACGGGATTGGTATGTCATTAGGACACCAGGTACCAAGTCCCAATCACCCCAAACAGTGATGGCAACATAATTTCCTGTCAGGACCAGTTCCCAGAATTTTGCACCAACATGATCCCATAGTTCCACATCTAACGTTCCCTTTTCAGGAAACCAAGGACAGTATTCTTCCACTGCCCTGAATAGGGTGACCATATTTTCCTTGGGCACCAGAACTCCACCAAGTTTTAACAGGAGTTTAATATAGCAGAGATAAGCAAAATGTTTAGACTCCATGTGACCCATAGTTACCGCAGACAATACACAGACAACTCACCAATCGTCAGGGAGTCAAACAAGCATTTCTGTGGACTGGACCAATGAACATTCCTCCACACCTACCAAAGGGAATCAGGTTCCCACATGCACTTAGGAAAAAGAAAACAACATTGGCACACCAGTTATTGGGGAAAACCACCCCCAATACTTCAACATATGTTCTTTCTATTTTCCATAAGTGTCGGCCGGCTGAGAAATAAAGAGAAAGAGTACAAAGAGAGGAATTTTACAGCTGGGACACCAGGGGTGACATCATATATCAGTAGGACCGTGATGCCCACCTGAGCCTTAAAACCAGCAAGTTTTTATTAAGGATTTTAAAAGGAGAGGGGGTGTATGAACAGGGAGTAGGTCGCATGCTTCAAGGGGCAAAAAGCAGAACAAAGATCACATGTTTCTAAGGGAACAGGACAAGGGCAAAATCAGAACTCCTGATAAGGGTCTATGTTCTGTAGTGCATGTATTTTCTTGATAAACATCTTAACAGAAAACAGGATTTGAGAGCAGAGAACCGGTCTGACCAAAAATTTACCAGGGTGTAGTTTCCCAATCCTAGTAATCCTGAGGGTACTGTGGGAGATCAGAGCATATCTCAGTCCTTATCTCAACTGCATAGGACAGACATTCCCAAAGAGGCCATTTATAGACCTCCCCCCAGGAATGAATTCCTTTCCCAGAGTATTAATATCAGTATTCCTTGCTAGGAAAAGAATTTAGTGATATCTTCCCTACTTGCACATCCGTTTATAGGCTCTCTGCAAGAAGAAAAATATGGCTCTTTTTGCCCAACCCCACAGGCAGTCAGACCTTATGGTTGTCTTTCCTTGTTCCCTAAAAACCACGTTATTCTGTTCTTTTTCAAGGTGCACTGATTGCATATTGTTCAAACACACATGTTTTACAATCAATTTGTACTGTTAACACAATTATCATACTGGTCCTGGGGTGATGTACAGCCTCAGCTAATGAAGATAACAGGATTAAGAGATTAAAATAAAGCTAGGCATAAGAAATTATGGAGGTATTATTTGGGAAGTGATAAATGTCCATATTAAAATGAAATCTTCACAGTTTATGTTCCTGTGCTGCAACTCCAGCCGGTCCCTCCATTTGGGGTCCCTGACTTCCCCCAACGCTATGTTAGTGAGTTTTTTCAGGGTAGGTTACTTTTTTTTTTGTTTTGAGATAAAGTCTCGCTCTGTCACCCAGGCTAAAGTTTACTGGCACAATCTCAAATCACTGCAACCTCTGCCTTCCGAGTTCAACCCATTCTTCTGCCTCAGCCTCCAAAGTAGCTGAGAATACAGATGCATGCAAGCCCAGCTAATTTGTGCATTATTATTGTAGCAGGACAAGCTGCAGACAAAACCCTTCAGACACCAAGTTAGAGAAGAAAGGGCTTTATTCGGCCAGGAGCTTTGGCAAGACTCACGTCTCCAACAACTGAGCTCCCCAAGTGAGGAATTCCTGTCCCTTTTAAGGGCTTGCAACTCTAATGGGGTCCATGTGAGAGGGCTGTGATCAATTGAGCAAGCAGGGGTATGTGACTGGAGGCTGCATGCACTGGTGATTAGAATGGAACAGAATAGGACAGGGATCTTCACAGTGCTTTTCTTGTACAAATAACTGATTAGGTCAGGGTTGTCTGCTTATGGATTTCATTTCTGCTTTTTAGTTTTTACTGCTTTCTTTGGAGGCAGAAATTGGGCATAAGACAATATGAGGGGTGGTCTCCTCCCTATTCCCCCCCTTTGAGAATCTCAGTAGTGGGAGTTCTCACTTTCATTCTGGCTACCCGTGTCTTCTTACAAGGCAGATCGATAGTGATTCAAATAGTACACTTGTGCTGAAACATTTTGGTGAACTAAGGTAGCAGTGAAGCTTTTTATCATTTGAAAAAGTACAGGTAGCAAACAAGGGAGCAGTAAGCAGGTTCCTATTACTATTATAACTCTTATTATAACAGTTTTAAATGCTCCTAGCACTGGAAACCATTTTCTAAACTTGGCACCAGGATCAAATCCATGCCACATTTGCACAGGCACATGTGCCAGTTTTGTCATATCTCTAACTATGTCTTCAATTACTTGCCCTTGGTCATCTATGTGTAGACCTCAATTAGTAAGGTTAAATTTCCCACAGACCCCTCCTTCAGCTGCTAGTAAGTAGTCGAGAGCCAATCTATCTTGATAGGTAGGATTTCTCATCTGAGTTTCTTGCCAGGCCAGAATAGTCAAGGCTCTGCCAGTTTTATTAGTGGTTATTTCTAAGACAGCTTGTAACCATATCATTTGGTTGAGCATGTAAATGGGGTTGTAGTATCCCCACGAGCCGTATTGTGCCCAAGTAGCAGGCCCATAATATTGTGTGATTCTCTCAGGGAGCCATTCATCATCTTGCCAATTCCCTATGGCTATGCTTCTCTTTTCATGAGAAGCATAGACAGGGAAGCCAGGAGTTCACCTGTCTTTATGGGCAATAGGAAGAAAGATTGTTTAATAGTGCCAATAACACAACTACCTGCCCACTGGTTGGGTAATTTGGCATAAGCTCTATGCCCACATATCCAGTATAATCCAGTGGGGGCTGTCCAGTCCTGGTGGGACTCTGGGTGGGTCTACACGGTTTGCAACTTTGGGAATTTACTAAATGGATTCCTTTCTGTGTGATTTGAACTGTACCAAGTGACTGTTTTTGTGGTACCATTATACAATTTATGTCCCAGACAAATAAGTTGTCCTATGGGATGAGTGAATTATTTTCCTTCTCTAGCTATGCAATATTGTCCAATAATTGAGGCTTTTAGGGCCCAGAAATTATCAGGGTGATTCTTTTGAGCCAGGAATTCAACAGGAACTGGGTCTATAGGTACTAATCCTTGGGCTTCCCATGGCCAATGATCTCCCATTACAGTTCCTCCACACACATAACATGAAGTGTTATTGAGAGACTGGGCTATGTGCTCAGATAATTGCAAAAACAAATTTCTTGTTTTTCTGGGAATTTTTGGTACTGGTACATTTAGTTCATCATAGGAAGTTTGAAACACTGTCTCAGGAGAGCGTTTGTAAACTTCTCCTCAAACTAAGATATTTACTTGAGGATCCCATCCAGACCCGTCAATTCCTAAGGTCACACACTCCTCTTTTTTCCAGTGAGGATCAAGGGGATTTGTTATTACTAGCTCTGTGGGGTTACATTTTCCCTTAATACAGGAAAGGCTATTTTTTCCTTCCTGAAAGTGGACTGGATCCTTTTCATTTTTTATCCAAGTTGCCCAAGTGACACAAGACCAATATCCACATTCATTGCCACACAATCCTAATTCATGACAAATGTACTTTTTTTCAGTCATATAGCCTTTTTCCCAACTAAAAGAGCGACCTTGCCTTCCTAACTTATTGCTATTAATGACAGCACTGGCATCAAATCTCAAGATTATGCGTTTGGGCACCCCTTTTTATTCTGTTGTGGTCAATACTTTACTTGTATCATTTATGAGTCCCCACCAGACTTCAGTCCTTAATCTTTGTTAAAAAACTGTGGACATGGGAGGCTCAGAACGGTCATAACACACATCTGGCCAGTCTTTTCCTGGGCTACATACCTTGTACTGAGTGCCATTATATAAGCATGTTCCTTTTAAAGTCCCTAGACATTCATAGTAACTATAGAACAGAAAGATTGTTTTAACTTGTTGCCCTACCTCGGTAACCTGATGTATACACTGAGAGCAGTCCTCCATGTGGGGAAAATCAGTGGAAGTTTTTACTATACAAGCCCAAATTATAAGGAAGATGAGTCCCACGATGATCCTCCTCATGCTTTGGCCGTGCATAGACCAGTCAGCTTCTGGGTGTGACTGGAGCAGGGCTTGTCGTCCTCCTCAGAGTCACTTTGTAGGGGGTGTCCGGGCTCGGTTTTGCCTCCCAGGTTTCAGCGGCTGCAGGTTTCACACAGCTGTGGTGGATCCAGGCTGGGATTCCTTCTACCTTTACAGCTGTGGGGGTGGTCAGGATGACGGTCTGAGGTCCTTTCCACCGTGGCCTCAAAGGGGCTATGTTGCAGTCTTTGATCCAAATGCAATCACCTGGAGAGAAAAGGTGAACTGGGGAGAATAAGCTGATGGGACATCTCTCATTTACCCAAGTTGAGATTGTTTGTGTAATTTTTCCTAAAGCCTGTAGCTGTCACTGTAATTCAATTTCACCTAACTCTCAGGGAATGCCTGGAAGCCCCCATAGTATAGGAGGAGGTCTATGATACAGTATTTCATAAGGGGAGTATCCTGTTTTCTTAGAAGGAGTGCATCTAATTTTAAACAATACCATAGGAAGGGCCTGTATCCACTTTAATCCTGCTTCCTGACATACTTTCCCTAAACTATTTTTAATAGTCCGAATCATTGGCTCGACCTTTCCGGAACTCTGAGGTCGGTAGGTGGCATGTAGCTTCCAAGTGATTCCTAATGCCTTTGCTGTCTTCTGTACCAAGTCAGCCACAAACACTGGCCCATTATCTGAGCCGATTCATAAGGGCAGTCCAAACCTAGGAATAAGATCTCAGAGAAGCACACAGGTTACCTTGGGGGCCTTTTCAGTTCTTTTTGGATAAGCCTCCACCCACCCAGAGTAAGTACACACAGGAACCAGCAAATACTTGTTACCTGCACATTTCTGTGAAATCCACCTGAGGATCCTGAAAAGGAGCTGCTACATAAGCTTGTATGCCAGGCAGAACAGTGAGACATTGCCTCATATTGTGCTGTCGGCAAGTAACGCACTGTTTGGTACTGCTTTGGCAAGGGCTGGGAAGCGTGAGATGTAGAAGTACCAGCCTAACAATTTTTCAAATGACTCTTGACCTAGATGAGTGGTTTCATGCATGGCCAATACAATTGTGGCTCCCAGCAACTGCAGCACAGCTACTCTCCCATCTGGCAGTCTGATCCATCCTCCTTTTATTACTTGCCCCCTTCTGTGTGGAAGAAGTCTTTTTCTTTCTTAGGTAGGTACCAGGTCAGGTATTTGAGGGAGTAAGGGGGCTGCTACTGATGCCTAGTATGGGGTAGATGCTGCTTTTCGAGCTTCTGAGTCAGCTCGGGAGTTTCCTAAGGCCACTGAGGTGGAGCCTCACTGGTATTCCCTGCAGTGCATGACTGCCACCTTCTGAGGTTTCCACACTGCCTCCAATAATTGTAGAATTTCTTGTTGATATTTTATGTCCTTTCCCCCAGAGTTTAACAGGCCCTTTTCCTTATATAATGCTCCATGCACTTGGAGGGTTAGAAAGGCATGTCTAGAGTCAATGTAGATATTTACAGTCTTACCTTCACTGAGTTCTAGAGCTCGAGTTAAAGCAGTGAGCTCAGCCTTCTGGGCTGAAGTGCCCTGTGGCAATGGTTTGGTTTCAATGACAGCATCCAAAGTTACCACCGCATATTCTGCACATCTTTCTCCTTGTGGGTTGATGAAGCTACTCCCGTCCAAATATAACTCCAAGTCTACTGATGCCCATGGCTGGTCCCTAAGGTCAGGTCTGCTAGAATAAACTGAGTCCAACACCTCTACACAGTTATGCTCGACTGGGCTCTCTGATACTGGGAGCAGGGTGGTGGGATTTAGGGTGTTACAGACTTCAATGTTTATGTGGGGATTTTCACATAGCAAGCTTTGGTACTTGGTTAATCTAGCATTTGTTAGCCAATGGTGTCCTTTGGTGTTCATCAAAGTTACCACAGCATGGGGGCTTTTATATTCAGATTTGGCCCAAGGGTTAGTTTATCTGCTTCTTGTGCTAACAGGGCTGTTGCTGCCAGGGCCCTTACACATGGTGGCCAGCCTTTGGAGACCCCATCTAGTTGTTTTGAGAGATAGGCCACTGGCCTTGGCCAGGACCCCACAGTCTGGGTTAAAACTCCAACTGCCATTGTTTCTCTTTCTGACACATAGAGTGCAAAAGGCTTTGTCAAATCTGGTAGTCCCAGGGCTGGGACCAATGTAAGTTTTTCCTTTAACTTACAAAAGGCTTGCTGTTGTAGAGGCCCCCATTCAAAAGGCTCCCAGTTGCCCCCCTTTGTAATGCCGTACAAAGGTTTGGCTAGCACTGCAAAGTTTGGAATCCATAATGTGCAAAACCCCACAGCTCCCAGGAATTCCCTTACTTGCCTTCTGGTTTTAGGTTCCGGTAGGCTGCAGATGACCTGCTTTCTTTCTGACCACAGGCTGTGCTCCCCTTTCCAAATAGTGAATCCCAGGTAGCGTACCTGCTGTCTGCAGATCTGAGATTTCTTCTTGGGCACCTTATACCCACAGTCCTCCAGGTGCTGAAACAGGGCATCAACCCTTTTGAGCACCCAACTGCCATGGAGTGTCCCAGCAGAAGGTCATCCACGTACAGGAGCAAGACATAGCTTAGGTCTTTAGCAGGAAACTTTTGCAAGTCTCAAGTCAGAGCCTCCCCGAAGATAGTAAGGGAGTTCTTGAACCCTTGGGGAAGCCAGTTCCAAGTGTACTGAGTAGTGACACCTGACTGTAGATCTTCCCACCGAAACGCAAACAGCTTCTGGCTCTCAGGAGCTATTCTGATGCTACAGATGGCATCTTTTAAGTCCAGATGGGTAAACCAGATGTCCTCAGCCGGCAGCAGCCCTAACAACGTGTAAGGGTTAGGAACTGTTGGGTGCAGAGTCACTGTAGCTTGGTTGACCAAGCGCAAGTCCTGTACTGGTTGGTAGTCCTTGGTCCCTGGCTTAGGGACTGGCAGGAGGGGGGTGTTCCATGGACACTGGCAAAGAACTATAATTCCATAGGCTTTGAAGCACCTGAGATGAACCCGGATTCCTTCGAGAGCTTCCCTGGGAAGGGATACTGCTTTCATCTAATCAGTTGGGCCCAGGCTTAACTTCTATGAGTATGGGGGCTTGGTTGGCCGCCAGTCCTGGAGGATTATCCTCTGTCCATTCTCAAGACCAACGCTCAGCTAGAGCTGGTTGTATCTCTTCCCATTCTTCTTCCCAGGGGACTGTAAGGACAATGATAACTCCTGTTCCCAGTAACTTTAGCTGTAAAGAGCCGTGTTTTGTAAAGGAGATGGTGGCTGTCAGCTTGCTAAGCAAGTCTCTTCCCAGCAAGGGCAAGGAACAGCCAGGCATGTACAAGAACTGGTGAACTACTTCATGTCTTGCCACCGAGTAGGTCCGTGGCAGACAGTAAGTCTACTTAGTAGAAACTCCTGTTGCTCGGATTATATCAATGGTTTTCTTGGACAAGGGGGTGACCGGGGTGGTCAATACCAAATGTTCAACACCTGTATCAACCAAAAACTTAATATCTTTGCCCCCAATTGTAATCCTGACCGTGGGCTCCTTGGGGGTGATTGAGCCCAGTCCCCTTCAGTCCAATAGCCCTTCAGCCAGATTGAATAAAGCTCCCTCATCTTTATCTGAGGTCTTTTGTTCTGAATCATGTTGCTTTTCCTTCAGTTGGGGACACTTATTTTTCCAATGTCCCATTTTCTTACAATAGGCGCATTGGTTACATTGCAAGCGTGGGTGATTAGACAGGGTATTATTCCCAGAACCCCCCTTTCCCTCTCCTTTTGGGGGAATTCCCCTGATGGCCACAGCCAGTAAGTTGGCGTTTCGCCTGGCCTGGCTTTCACCTTCCTTACGGCTTTCTCTGTGGCTTGTTGCATCTCTATTCAAACACTTGATTGGCTATTTCCAGTAACTGTGAGATATTCATACACTTAAGCCCAGCCTGTTTCTGCAGTTTTCTCCTGATATCTTCCACGCTTTGACTAACTAAGGCCATGTTGATCATGTGCTGATTTTCAGGGCTATCTGGATCAAAATGAGTGTACATACTGTAAGCCTCACACCGTCTTTCATAGAATTGCGCTGGACTCTCCTCTTTTTCTTGGATGACCTCAGAGATCTTATTTACACTTGTAGCCTTTTAAGCCCCTTTCTTTAGACCTTCTATTCATGCATCATGGTACTGTCTTAGCCTCTCCATGTCTGGTCACTAGTTCAGGTCCCATTGGGGGTCTGTTCCTGGCAGCTGAATTCTTATATATTCTTGGGGATTTTGGTAATCCACTGGGATGTGCTCCTCTGGCCACTTAGTTGCCACCCGGAGCACCCTTAGCCTTTCATCAAAGAGGTACATGAACAGCTGGTGGCAATCAGCCCAAGTAGGATTATGAGTGTGTATAATAGTTTGGAGCAAGTCAATTAAAGCTTGAGGCTTTTCAGTGTAAGCAGCAGTATTATTTTTCCAATTGATGAGGTCAGCAGAGGTGAAAGGTTGATACACAAAGTCACGCCTTTCCACCATGTGTCCATCCTCATCTACCCCAGTATATCACTGCTGTCTCAGGGGCATTTGGATTCCAGTCTTGGGCCGTAAGTGAGCTGCCAAGGGAGGAGTTTCTCCCGTGGCTTCACTTCCTCTTTTGTCTACTCTGGGTGGTCTAGGAGTGTGGCTATCTGGTGGAGGTGTGGGTGCTGTGGGCTCAGGAGTGGGAAGCCCTTCCTCTTGCAATTCTGACCATGATTCTTCTGGTATTGGGTCAGACAGGGCTTTTGGTGCCGGCTTCCCTCAGCAGGTGGAGTGAGAACCTTCCTTAACTAACTGTCCCTTTGCTACTAGTACTGCTGCTGCCTGTCCTCTTAACTACTGTGGGGGGTCCAAAACTAGCTCTAACCGAGAATCTTTATACAGGAACTGATCGGGGTGCCCTGGCTTGTAGGTTACACTGTGCCATACCTTCAATACAAGGGACCTGTTCAGGCTTCCTTCTGATGGCCAACCCACCTTTAATGCTGGCCAGTCTAACTCACACAAAGTTCTAAGTTTTCTTGGTGTCATAGTAACTCCATAGTCTCCCTTAAATCCCTTTTTGAAATTTTTCAACATAGCTCCTAGTGGGGTGGGCCTACTTTGTGCCTGACCCATGTTTCCTCGAGACAAAACACTGCGCTTACACCACATGCACACCACAAAACAAAAACAGGTAAAAAGGGCACACACACACTTTTTCAGTTTACACCAAACCAGAATCAGAACCAAAATCAGAGTATCAAGAAATCCAAGCCAGGTCAAAACCAAAACCTAAGTATCAAGCAATTCAACTCAACTCAAAAACAAAAAACCTAAGTGCTGGTATGGGCACGTCATGGGTGATCAGGCCACGCTTCCACTCAAATGGAGTAGGCAAGTTCCAAAGACTAGTCTTACCAAGTTTCAGATGTCTGGATTCCAAGTGCCAGTTCCTTCCTGATGTTCAGCCACTGCAGTGATCCTCCATGGGGGCCTGCCACACACTGCTCTGGTGAGGCATTCCACTGGCGCAGTTGCCTACCCGGGAGCACTCTCAGGATCCGCGTTGCTCAAGCTGGCCAGAGTCCCCTGCAGGGATGCTTCACAGGGCAGGCCTAAGCTGCCTAAGTGGCTGTCTCAATGGTCCTTTAATCACCTGCTTCCCAGTCAGGGAACCAAGAAATGTAGCAGGACAAGCTGCAGACAAAACCCCTCAGACACCAAGTTAAAGAAGGAAGGGCTTTATTAGGCCGGGAGCTTTGGCAAGACTCACATCTCCAACAACCAAGCTCCCCAAGTGAGCAATTCCTGTCCCTTTTAAGGGGTCACAACTCTAAGGGGGTCTGCATGAGAGGGTCATGATCAATTGAACAAGCAGGGGGTACATGACTGGGGGCTGCATGCACTGGTAATTAGAACAGAACAGAACAAGACAGGGATCTTCACAGTGCTTTTCTTATACAAATAACCAATTAGGTCAGGGGTCGATCTTTAACTACCAGGCCCAGGTTTTGGTGCCAGGCTGTCTGCTTGTGGATTTCATTTCTGCCTTTTAGTTTTTACTTCTTCTTTCTTTGGAAGCAGAAATTGGGCATAAGATAATATGAGGGGTGGTCTCCTCCCTTATTATTAGAGACCACATTTCACCATATTGGCCAGGCTGGTCTTGAACTCCTGTCCTCGGTGATCTGCCTGCCTTGGCCTCCTAAAGTGCTGGGAGCACAGTCTTAAGCCACCGAGCCCAGCCTCAGTGTAGGTTTCTTAACATCAGTTTATTGTGTTTATTGGGTTTACTTACGTATTATAAATTTAGACAATTTTCAATTCTGCTTGTACTCTTTAAGTCAACTTGAGTTTCAACTGAAAAATAAATAATGCATGTGTATCCCAATCAGATTACATGTGTATGCATTGTCACACATGTCCATGTGAAGAGACCACCATACAGGCTTTGTGTGAGCAATAAAGCTTTTTAATCACCTGGGTGCAGGCTGGCTGAGTCCGAAAAGAGAGTCAGCAAAGGGAGATAGGGGTGGGGCCATTTTGTAGGATTTGGGTAGGTAATGGAAAATTACAGTCAAAGGGGGTTGTTCTCTGGTGGGCAGGGGTGGGGGTCACAAGGTGCTCAGTGGGGGAGCTGCTGAGCCAGGAGAAGGAATTTCACAAGGTAATCTCATTAGTTAAGGCAGAAACAGGCCATTTTCACTTCTTTTGTGATTCTTCAGTTACTTCAGGCCATCTGGGTGTATATGTGCAGGTCACAGGGTATATGATCGCTTAGCTTCAGCTCAGAGGCCTGAGATTCTTGTCTTCTTATATTAATAAGAAAAATAACATAAAATAGTGTTGAAGTGTTGGGGCAGTGAAAATTTTGGTGGGGTGGTATGGAGAGATAATGGGGGATGTTTCTCAGGGCCGCTTCAAGCAGGATTAGGGGTGGCGTGGGAACCTAGAGTGGGAGATATTAAGCTGAAAGAAGATTTTGTAGTAAGGGCAATATTGTGGGGCTATTAAAAAGAGCATTTGTCATATAGAATGATTGGTGATGGCCTGGATGCAGTTTTGTATGAATTGAGAAACTAAACCAAAGACACAAGGTCTGAATAAGAGAAGGAGCAAAACAGGTATTAAAGGACTAAGAATTGGGAGGACCCAGGACATCCAATTAGAGAGGGTCCAAGGGGGTTCAGAGTAATTACTTGTTTGGTTGGTGAGTTTTGGGGCTCTATTCTTGACAGAGTCCTTTTTGTTAAGTTGGAGGCTGAGCTTGCTGAGGTATGTTCTGAAAAGACCATTAATCCATTCTACCTTTCCTGAAGATTGAGGACAGTAAGGGGTATGAGGTTTCAATGAATACCAAGAGCCTGAGAAACTGCTTGGGTGATTTGACTAGTAAAGGCTAGTCCATTATTAGACTGTATAGAGGTGGGAAGGCCAAACTGAGGAATTATGTCTGACAGAAGGGAAGAAATAACAATGGTGGCCTTCTCAGACCCTGTCGGGAAGGCCTCTACCCATCCAGTGAAAGTGTCCACCCATACCAAGGAGTGTTTTCATTTCCTGACTCGGGGCATGTGAGTAAAGTCACTTTGCCAGTCCTGGGCAGGGGTAAATCCCCGAGCTTGATGTGTAGGGAAGGGAGTGGGCTTGAATAATCCCTGAGGAGTAGTAGAATAGTAGATGGAACACTGAGAAGTGATTTCCTTGGGGATAGATTTCCATGATGGAAAGGAAATGAGAGGTTCTAAGAGGCAGTCTAGTGGCTTGTAACCTACATGGAAGAAGTTATGAAATGACTACAGAATGGAATGGGTCTGTGAGGCTGGAATGAGATATTTTCCTTGGTCCAAGAATCATTTGCCTTGTGTGGGAAGAGATTGATAGGTGAAAGTTTCAGTGGGGGAGTAGGTGGGAGTGACCAGATAAGAAGGAGAAAAACTGCCATGAGGGATAGAAGTTGGAATGCTAGCTGCTTTTTAGCTACCTTATCAGCATAAGCATTGTCCTAAGTGATGGGATCTGATGCCTTTTGATGGCTGGTTTTTTAGCTACCTTATCAGCATAAGCATTGTCTTAAGCGATGGGGTCTGATGCCTTTTGGTGGCCTTTGCAGTGAATGACTCCATCTTCCTTTGGAAGTAAAGCCGCCTTGACAAGAGTTTTTATTAAAGAGGCATTAATAATGGAGGACACTTGTATAGTGAGAAAACATTTTTCAGCCTATATAACAGCATGGGGGTGCAGGATATGGAAAGCATGTTTAGAGTCAGTATAAATATTGATGCATAGTCCCTTTGCAAGATTGAGGGCCTGAGTTAAGGCAACAAGTTTGGCTTGCTGAGAGGTAGCACAGAGGGGCAGAGCGGTAGCCTCAATGATAGACATGGAAGATACTATAGCATAGCCTGCCTTTGCTGGTGAGTGGCAATTAGGCCTGGTGGAACTGCCATCAATAAACCAAGTGTGATCAGGGTTAGGAACAGGAAAGAAGGAAATATGAGGAAATGGAGTGAATGTCAGGTGGATCAGAGCGATACAGTCATGTGGGCCAGTTGTGGTATCAGGAATAATGTGGGGGCCAGCCTAAAACAGTAAGGTCAAGTTGTTTGGACAGAAAGGCTACACAGTGCAGTCCCAGCTCTTGTGTAAGAATTTTGACCACACAGCCCTGTACTTCGGCTGCATGTAATGAAAAGGGTTGCGATGAGTTAAGGAGAGCTAGTGTGGGAGTAGCTTCTAGGGCTGCTTTTAAGGAATGGAAAGAGGAGTGGTGAAAGGATTTAGGATCTGTGGGGTCAGCTAGGTTTGCTTTTTGAGTTTATACAATGGTTTAGTCAGGATGGTAAAACTAGATATCCAAAGGCAGAAGTACCTAACCATGACTAGGAGGGAAAGGAGTTGTTGTTTTCTAGAAGGGGTTGGGGTTTGGGAGATTAGCTGGACACAATCGGTAGGGAGAGCACATGTGTTTTCATGAAGAATTATGCCGAGATAGGTAATGGATGAGAAAGAAATTTGGGCTTGACTGAGGTAATGGGAGCTGTCTGTGAAGCCTTGCAGCAGTACAGCCCAGGTAATTTGCTGAGCCTAATGGGTGTCAGCATCAGTCCAAGTGAAAGAGAAGAGAGGCTGGGATGAAGGGTGCGAAGAAATAGTAAAGAAAGCATGTTTGAGATTCAGAACAGACTAATGGGTTATGGAGGGGTTGTGGAGGGAGGTATTGAGGATAGGAAAGTATATGGTTTTGACACCAATGGGTGGATAGGCAAGACAATTGGTTGATAAGGTACAGATCCTGAAATAACCTGTAAGTCTTGTCTGGGTTTTGGACAGGTAAAATGGGGGAATTGTAAGGAGAGTTTATAGGCTTTAAAAGGCCATGCTGTAACAGGCAGGTGATAACGGGCTTTAATCCTTTGGGGTAAGGGTGATTAGGTTTTAATGGGATGGTAAGAGGTGCATGAATTGTCACCAAGGAGGGAGTAGAGGTGTCCTATACTTGTGGATTAAAATGGGGAGATACAAGGGGAGGATGTGAAGGAGGCTTTGAACTGGGGAAAAGGATGGCAATGAGGTGTGGCTGTAGCCTAGGAATAGTCAGGGAAGCAGATAATTTAGTTAAAATGTCTTGACCTAATAAGGGAGCTGGGCAGGTGGGGATAACTAAAAAGGAGTGCGTAAAAGAATGTGGTCCAAGCTGGCATCAGAGTTGGGGAGTTTTAAGAGGTTTAGAAGCCTGGCTGTCAATATCCACAACAGTTATGGAGGCAAGAGAAACACGCCCTTGAAAAGAAGGTAATGTGGGGTGGGTAGCCTCCGTATTGATTAAGAAGGGTATGGACTCACTTTCCACTGTAAGAGTTACCTAAAGCATCTGTGATGGTCCAGGAGGCTTCTGAGGTGATTAGGCAGTGTCAGTCTTCAGCCGCTAAGCCAAGAATATCTGGGAAGGAGTCAGTCAGAGAGCCTTGGGCTAGAGTTCCAGGGGCTCTAGGAGTGGCTGCCAGGCGAGCTGGACAGTCTGATTCCCAGTGGGGTCCCGCACAGATGGGACATGGCTTAGGAGGAATCCTGGGCTGCAGGCATTCCTTGGCCCAGTGGCCAGATTTCTGGCACTTGAAGCAAGATCCTGAGGGAGGCGGTCCTGTAGGAATGCCTGACCACTGTGGCTTAGGCATTTTGAAGTTCTTGTGTGCTGGAGGTGTGGCTGGGTTTTGTCTCATAGCAGAGGCAAGTAATTTTTACTCTTCTCTATTATTGTACACCTTGAAGGCAAGGTTAATTAAGTCCTATTGTGGGGTTTGAGGGCAAGAATCTAATTTTTGGAGCTTTTCTAATGTTGGGAGTGGGTTGGGTAATAAAATACATATTGAGAATAAGACGGCCTTCTGCCCTTTCTGGGTCTAGGGCGGTAAACCATCTAAAGTTGTTGCCAAATGGGCCATGAACTGGGTTGAGTTTCTATATTTGATGAAAAAGAGCCTAAATGCTAACTGATTTGGGAAAGGTCAGATAAAGAAAAAGGAGTGTTAACCTTGGCTATGGCTTCAGCTCCAGCCACCTTTTTAAGAGGAAATTGTTGGGCAAGTGGGAGAGGGCTAGTCATGGAATGAAACTGTAAGCCAGACCGGGTGTGAGGAGGGGAGGTGATAAAAGGATTATAGGGTGGGGGAACGGAGGCTGATGAAGAACTGGGACCTGGCTTGGCCTGGCGAGGAGCAGCTTGGGGAGGAGAGGACAGGTGGGTCTGTAGAAAAGGAAGATTGAAAAGACTCAGTGATGCTTGGGGTTGGGACTGAAGGGACAGGTGGGAGGGAAAGAAGGAGGATTTGTGATGAGTCGCATTGGGAACAGAGATTAGGGAGGGACCAATGTGTAAAAGAATGCCTGGACATCAGGCATCTCACACCATTTGTCTTTTTTGACAAAAATCATCCAGGTCTTGTAAAATGGAGGAATCAAAAGTGCCATTTTCTGGCTATTTAGAACCATTATAGAGTTTGTATTGGGGCCAAGTGGTGTTGCAGAAGAAAATAAGATGCTTAGGTTTTAGGTCAGGTGAGAGTTGAAGAGGTTTTAAGTTTTTAAGAACACAGGCTAAGGGAGAAGATGCAGGAATGGAGGTCAGAATGTTGCCCATAGTGAAGGATGTAAGTTTAAGGAGAAAGGTAGAGACATGGAGAAGAGGGTGGTGAGCAGCCCTGGGCTGCAATATGGGTGAGCATCCAAAGCAGGTGTCCCCGCAATTAACTTGCCACCAAGGGAATGTGGGTGAATGACCAAGGCAGATGTCCCCACGGTGATCAGACGCCAATGAAATGTGGGTGAATAATCAGGCAGGCATCCCCACAGTGATTAAACACCAAGGGAAAACTGTCTTCCTGAGTCTAAGACTGGCACCGGAGTTTTGGGTCCACGGATAAAATGTGTCTCCTTTGTCTGTACTAGAGAGGAAAAAGAACTGGAGTTGGAAGGACAGGGAGATTGAAGGGTAGCAAGAGAGGCTGGAGAAGAGAGTGAAAAGACCGCTTACCCGATTTGAAATTGGTGAGATGTTCCTTGGACTGGTTGGTCTGAGGACCCGAGGTCATAGGTAGATTTCCTCACGGAGTGAGGGCGGGGACAGGCCTCCCGAAGGATTACCTCTGTCCTGGGTTTTTGGCACCAAATGTCATGCGTGTCCATGTGAAGAGCCCACCAAACAGGCTTCGTGTGAACAATAAAGCTTTTTAATTACCTGGGTGCAGGCAGGCTGAGTCCAAAAAGAGAGCGAAGGGAAATAGGGGTGGGGCCATTTTATAAGATTTGGGTAGGTAATGGAAAATTACCGTCAAAGGGGGTTGTTCTCTGGTGGGCAGGGGCGGGGGTCACAAGATGCTCAGTGGGGGAGCTTCTGAGCCAGAAGGAATTTCACAAGGTAATGTCATCAGTTAAGGCAGGAACAGGCCATTTTCACTTCTTTTGTGATTCTTCAGTTACTTCAGGCCATCTGGATGTATACATGCAAGTCACAGTGGATATGATCGCTTAGCTTGGGCTCAGAGGCCTGACATGCGTGTTTATCTATAAATACGATGCCAATTTTACTTATGGCTTATCTCATATTCTTTGTTAGCTGATTTTCGATGGTAGTTTTATCTTGTCTAAGTGAGTAGTCGTGGAGATAGTCATTATCACGATGTGTTTAATGATGAATATATATTTTCTTTTTGTGAGAGAAACACTTTTGTGATTTGAAGTTAATTTTTAAAAAGATTTACCATTCTGTATTTTTGTCAGTTTTTCCTTGAAAACGTTGTTTTAAAAACACATAACATAAAATTTACCATCTTAAATTTATTGAAGTGTATATTTCACAGCCAGCTGTGGTTGTGGCTCTCATCTGTAATCCCAGAATTTTGGGAGGTCAAGACAGGAGGATATCTGGAGCTGAAAAGTTTGAGACCAGCCTGGGGAATACATGGAGACCCCTCTCCATAAAAAAAAACTTAATAGTAGCCAGGTATGGTGGTGTGCAGCTGTGGTCCCAGCTACATGGGAGATTGAGGAGGAGTCAAAATTGTGCCTCTACACTCCAGCTTGGGTGACAGAGTGAGACCCTGTCTCAAAAAAAAAAAAAAAAAAATGCTGTTCACTTCAGGCATGTTAAGTATATTCACATTGTTGTGCAAAAGATTTCTAGAAACTTTACATATTGCAAAACTAAAACTCAGTAACCATTAAGTAACAACATCTCATTTTACCCTCTCTCCAGCTTTTGGCAGACAAAACTTCCACTTTTTGTTTTTATGATTTTGACTACTTAAGATATCTCATATAAGTGGAATCATACGGTATCCATAATTTTGTTACTGGATTAATTCAACTGACATAATATTCTCAATGTTCATCTTAAAATGTGACAAGATTGTTCTTTTTAAGGTGGAATAATATTCCATCGCATGTATATGTTACATTTTTTGATACGTTTATAAATCAAGGAACATCTAGGTTGCTTCAGACTTTTGGCTTTTGTGAATACTGGTATAATAAAGATGAATTTTCAAATATGCCTCCCAGGTCCAGTGTTGCATTTTTTTTTTTTTTTTTTTTCCCGCAGACGGAGTATTGCTTTGTCGCCTAGGCTGGAGTGCAGTGGTGTGATCTTGGTTAACTGCAACTTCTGCCTCCTGGGTTCAATCGATTCTCCTGCTTCAGCCTTTCGAGTAGCTGGGATTATAGATACCCACCACCACACCCAGCTAATTTTTTGTACTTTTAGTAGAGATGGGGCCAGGCTGGTCTCAAACTCCTGACCTCAGGTGATCTGCCCCCTCAGCCTCCTAAATTACTAGGATTATAGGCTTGAGCCACTGTGCCTGGCCTTCGTTACATATTTTGGATATAGATTTATAAATGAGGAACATTTATAATTTTTAAAATAATGGCTGCATCTTTGTTTTCCACCAACATTCAATATGGATTTCATTTTTATTGTATCATCAACAGATTTGGTGTTTTAAAAAAATTTATCATGGCCATATTAATGGGTATGAGGTGATTTTGTTTGTCATTGTGGTTTTTTTTTCATTTCTTTACAAATTAGTAATTTTATGTGTCCTTTCAAATGCTTTTTCTCATTTGTGTACTTTTCTAATGAAAATGTTGTTTGTCCGTTTCTAAATCAAGTTATTCAACCTTATTTTTTAGTTTTAAGAGTTGTTTATATATTTTGAATATTAACTTCTTTCATGTTTAATTTGCAAATGTTTTCACCTATTTTCTAAGGGATGTCATTACTCTTGAATTGTTTTTTGGTATGAAGAAATTTTGAAGCCTATTGTAGTTAAAACTTTTCTGTTATTTCATTTGCTGCTCATGTATTTAATTTTGTATCTAAGAAAATGGTGCCAAGGCCAATGTCATGTCTTTTTCCTGTAGTTTTTCTAAAAGATTTGTTAGTTTTTTTATGTCTCAGCATTTTATTTAAAATATATTTTTGTATCATTCTAGGAAATAATCCAACTTAATTTTATCAGTGCTGATATTCAGTTTTCAACATCATTTTTTTGAAGAGATTATTTCTATTTTGTGCTCATGGCAACTTCGTGGAAGATCATTTGATCATATACAGAAGGATTCATTTCTGAGCTCTCTATTCTGTTCTTTCATCTGTTCATCTTTGTTTCTGTATCACATTGTTTATATTCTTTAGCTTTTAACTGTAGGTTGTATTGACATCTTTGAAAAATAACATTTTTTGACCCCTGAGCAAGAATATGTTGATGAAGAGTGTGTTTCATATTCACAAGGTTTTGAATTTGCCAGTTTGACTTTTGCTTTTAATTCCTAGTTTCATTCAGCTTTTGTTGGAAAACACACAGTGTATAATTTTAGTGTTTTTAAAGTGATTTGTTGTTGTTGTTTTGAGACAAGATCTTACTGTCACCAGGCTGCAATGCTGTGGCATAACTTTGGCTCACTGTAGCCTCAGTCTCCTGGGCTTGAATGATGCTTTCACCTCACTTTTCTGAGTGGCTAGGACTACAGTCATGCACTACCATGTCTGGCTAATTGTTTGCTTCTTTGTAGTGTTAGGATCTCACTATGTTGCCCAGGCTGGTCTCATACTTCTGGCACCAATGGATCCTCTTACCTTGGTCTCTCAAAGTGTTAGGATTATAGGCAAGAGCCACTGCACCCAGTCAGTATTTTAAAATTTAATAAAACTTGCTATGTGTCCTAACGGAATACACCAGATGCAAATAGAAATATTGCATATTATCTTGGTTTTGACTGGAGAGTTTTGTGTGTGTCTGTGAAGCCTAGTTGGTCTATAATATGGTTTGGATGTCCATGTTCTCCAAACCTCATGCTGCAAAATAAATCCTCAATGTTGGTTGTGAGACCTGGTGGGACATGTTTTTGTATGAGGGCATATTTCTCATGAATGGCTTGGTACATCCTCTTGGTAAACAAAAAGTTTACACTCCATTAATTCAAATGAGAGCTGGTTCATTAAAAGAACCTGGCTTCTTCACCTCACACTTGCTCTGTCTCTTACCATATAATATGTCCAGTTACTTTTTACCTTCTACCATGATTTTAAGCTTCTTGATATCCTCACCAGAAGCAGATGCTGACACACACTTCTTATACAGTCTGCCAAACTGTGAGCCAAATAAACATTTTCCTTTATAAATTATGCACTCCCATGTGTTCCTCTATATGCAAAATAACTAATATAGTCTATAATGTTGTCTCAGTTTTCTGTTTCTTATTTTTTATCTGAATTCTCTATTTATTTCTTCAAATGGGGCCTTGATGTCTGCAATTATTATGTCGCTATGTATGTCTTGCTTCACTTTTGTCAATATTTGCTTTATATATTTTAAAGCCCTTATGTTATTTACACATATACATATAGATAGATAAATACTATAAATTCCTGCTAAATCAACTCACTTTACCATAATATAATATCAATCATTGTCTCATGGTAGTACTTAAAGCATATTCTGCCCAATATAATTATGACCACCTCACTCACTTGTGGTTACTATATTCATGGAATATACATTTTTTTATTCTGTTACTTTCAGCCTATTTGACTCAATGATTAAATTAGTCTCTTGTAGGCAGCATACTGTATGCTTTATAAAAAACCACTCAGGCATTCTATATCTTTTTCTTTATATAATTTTATATATATATATATACACACACACACATATATATATATACACAAGTGTATGTATATATATATATGTGTGTGTGTATGTATATTTTTTTCCAGATGGAGTTTCACTCTTGTTGCTTAGACTGGAGTGCAATGGTGTGACCCCAGTTCACTGCAACCTCTGCCTCTCAGGTTCAAGCAATTTTCCTGCCTCAGCCTCCCAAGTAGGTGGGAGTACAGGCGCCTGCAACCACACCCAGGTAATTTTTTCTATTTTAAGTAGAAATGGGGTTTGACCATGATGGCCAGGCTGGTCTTGAATTCCTGATCTCAGGTGGTCTACCTGCCTCGGCATCACAAAGTGCTGGTATTACAGGCATGAGCCACCACATCCAGCCTTGTGTATTTTGGAGATAGTGTCTCACTCTGTCAACCAGGCTGATTTGCTCGGTTCACTGCTGCCTGAATCTCCCAAACTCAGATGATCCTCTCATATCAGCCTCTCAAGTAGCTGCATTACAAGTATGTAACATCACACCCAGCCAACTTTTTTTTTTGTATTCTTTGTCGAGACAGATTATTGCCATGTTGCCGATTCTGGTCTTGAACTCCTGGGATCAAGTGATCAGCCTATCTTGGCCTTCCAAAGTCCTGAGATTATATTTCATTTTATTAAGTAGTTTAATACGTTTAAATTTAAAATGATTCCTTAAAGAAATGAAGTTGTTATTTCCAGATATATTGTTATTGTTTCATGTGTTTCTAGTAGTATATTTTTCTCATTTCCTTTTTTACTCTCTTTAATTTTGTACTGGCATGCTTTGATTATTTTTTGTTTTATTTTAGATACTTTCTTTAAACAGAATCTTTGCAATCATCTTGAAAACTGTAGATTACATACATCTTACAGTTAAAGCAATATATTTTAATCTCATGACAACTTCAATTGAATACAAAAACTGTGCCTCTATATTTTCCAGTTTGTTGTTGATTTTTTTTTATTAAAATGTGCATCATTCTTTTATTTTTATTTATTTATTTTTTATTGATCATTCTTGGGTGTTTCTCGCAGAGGGGGATTTGGCAGGGTCATAGGACAACAGCGGAGGGAAGGTCAGCAAACAAACAAGTGAACAAAGGTCTCTGGTTTTCCTAGGCAGAGTGTTTGTGTCCCTGGGTACTTGAGATTGGGGAGTGGTGATGACTCTCAACGAGCATGCTGCCTTCAAGCATCTGTTTAACAAAGCACATCTTGCACCGCCCTTAATCCATTTAACCCTGAGTGGACACAGCACATGTTTCAGAGAGCACAGGGTTGGGGTTAAGGTCATAGATCAACAGGATCCCAAGGCAGAAGAACTTTTCTTAGTACAGAACAAAATGAAATGTCTCCCATGTCTACTACTTTCTACACAGACACAGCAACCATCCGATTTCTCAATCTTTTCCCCACCTTGCCCCCTTTTCTATTCCACAAAACCGCCGTTGTCATCATGGCCCGTTCTCAATGAGCTGTTGGGTACCTCCTCCCAGACGGGGTGGTGGCCGGGCAGAGGGGCTCCTCACTTCCCAGTAGGGGCGGCTGGGCAGAGGCGCCCCTCACCTCCTGGACAGGGCAGCTGGCCAGGCGGGGGGCTGAGCCCCCCACCTCCCTCCCGGACGGGGCGGCTGGCCGGGCCGGGGGCTGAGCCCCCCACCTCCCTCCCGGATGGGGCGGCTGGCCGGGCGGGAGGGCTGAGCCCCCCCACCTCCCTCCCAGACGGGGCGGCTGGCCGGGCGGGGGGCTGACCCCCCCCACCTCCCTCCCGGACGGGGCGGCTGGCCGGGCAGAGGGGCTCCTCACTTCCCAGTAGGGGCGGCCGGGCAGAGGCACCCCTCACCTCCCGGATGGGGCAGCTGACCGGGCGGGGGGCTGACCCCCCCACCTCCCTCCCAGACAGGGCGGCTGGCCGGGCAGGGGGCTGACCCCCCCACCTCCCTCCCGGACGGGGCGGCTGGCCGGGCGGGGGGCTGACCCCCCCACCTCCCTCCCGGACGTGGCGGCTGGCCGGGCGGGGGGCTGACCCCCCCACCTCCCTCCCGGACGGGGCGGCTGGCCGGGCAGAGGGGCTCCTCACTTCCCAGTAGGGGCAGCCGGGCAGAGGCGCCCCTCACCTCCTGGACGGGGCGGCTGGCCGGGCGGGGGGCTGAGCCCCCCACCTCCCTCCCGGATGGGGCAGCTGGCCGGGCGGGGGGCTGACCCCCCACCTCCCTCCCGGACGGGGCAGCTGGCCGGGCGGGGGGCTGACCCCCCACCTCCCTCCCGGACGGGGCGACTGGCCTGACGGGGGCTGACCCCCCACCTCCCTCCTGGGCGGGGTGGCTGCCGGGCGGAGACGCTCCTCACTTCCCAGATGGGGTGGCAGCCGGGTGGAGGGGCTCCTCACTTCTCAGATGGGGCGGTTGCCAGGCGGAGGGTCTCCTCACTTCTCAGATGGGGCGGCCGGGCAGAGACGCTCCTCACCTCCCAGACGGGGTCGTGGCCGGGCCGAGGTGCTCCTCACATCCCAGACGGGGCGGCGGGGCAGAGGCGCTCCCCACATCTCAGACGATGGGCAGCCGGGCAGAGATGCTCCTCACTTCCTAGATGGGATGGCGGCCGGGCAGAGACCCTCCTCACTTTCCAGACTGGGCAGCCAGGCAGAGGGGCTCCTCACATCCCAGATGATGGGCGGCCAGGCAGAGATGCTCCTCACTTCCCAGACGGGGTGGCGGCCGGGCAGAGGCTGCAATCTCTGCACTTTGGGGGGCCAAGGCAGGCGGCTGGGAGGTGGAGGTTGTAGCGAGCCGAGATCACACCACTGCACTCCAGCCTGGGCACCATTGAGCACTGAGTTAACGAGACTCCGTCTGCAATCCTGGCACCTCAGGATGCTGAGGCTGGCGGATCACTCGCGGTTAGGAGCTGGAGACTAGCCCGGCCAACACAGCAAAACCCCGTCTCCACCAAAAAAATACGAAAACCAGTCAGGCGTGGCGGCGCGCGCCTGCAATCGCAGGCACTCGGCAGGCTGAGGCAGGAGAATCAGGCAGGGAGGTTGCAGTGAGCCGAGATGGCAGCAGCACAGTCCAGCTTTGGCTTGGCATGAGAGGGAGACCGTGGAAAGGGGAGGAGAGAGGGGAGAGGGGAGACGGGAGAGGGGAGAGGGGAGGGGAGAGGGGAGGGGAGCCGGAGTCACTCTTGTTCGAACGCCTCCAACACTATGACTAAGTAAAGGAGAATTTCTGTTGTTGATTTTAAAATTATTCTATATGGTGTATCTATTAACATTTATGCGGATTTCCATATTTTTATATTCTATAAAAGTACTTTAAAGGTTTTGTGTACCATCATTTTGTTAGTTTGTTTTGTTTTGTTTTGAATCGAGTCTTGCCCTATTGCTTAGGACGGAGTGTATAGATGTGATCTTAGCTCACTGAAACCTCGGCCTCCCAGGTTCAACAATTATCCTGCCTCTGCCTCCCTAGTAGCTGGGATTACAGATGCCTGCCACCAAGCCTGGCTAATTTCTTGTATTTTTTAGTAAAGATAGGCTTTCACTATGTTGGACAGGCTGGTCTTGAACTGCTGACCTCAGGTGATCCACCTGCCTCAGCCTCTCAAAGTGCTGGGCTTACAGGTGTGAGCCACAGCACCCAGCTGGAAATTACTTTTTATCTCACTATTCATAGCATTTCATATCAATACAAAGATTGACACATCTAGATATAAATATACATAGGGAGATAAATACTCACATAGAGAATTCTATAAATATTTCTATCTAAACATTTATGTATACAAAACATGTTCCCCAAAAGACATTTTTAATCTTTTAGCATGCACTGAAGATGCTGATGTAGAATTACTTCTTTTTTCTTTTGCTAAATAACATGTCAGAATGGAACATAGTTATACAATTTTGTTTATGTAAATATCAACAAAGCTCTATCTTCAAAGGCAGGCCACAGAAATAAGCTGAAAAGAAAGTCATGTAACACATCTGTCCAGGACAGTATTTCAGCACTCTGCATGTCTCCTCATTCTGTGCATGTTGTGTTCACACCTACCATTTGGGGCCTGTCTCGACAAAGCCACAGTCACCATTTAGATAATTTGATAATTGTATACACCTGGGCTGAGCTACTTGGCTGGTTGGGATCACCTGGGCTGTGCAAACTGGCTGATTGCAATCACCTGGTTTCTGCTAATTTGCTTAATTTATCTCAGCTTCAGGGGTAGAATACGGAGATGTCATCTGACCTACTTTATTTCTGAGGTTTTTTTTAAGGGTCATATGCAGAAATAAACATTTCATAGACATACCCATGTGACTCATTTTGTGTGTATATGTTTATCGAGCCACCTATTTTGTATCTATATGTACAGAAAGAAGCCTATAAAATAAACTTGATCTGAGGCTATTTCCATTTTCTTTACCTACAGGTTAGGTAAATCAGTCAGCTACTGAGCTCAGTGAAGATTTATTCAAACCAAGCCACACACCATATTACATTTTTTCATAAATGTAAAAATATCTTTAATAACCTGGAACCTGGGTGTTTTTAATTCTCATCCCATTAAACCAGCCCCATGAGGTTCTGTTCGTCTATCTAGGAACTGCCAGAAATGCTTGACATCAGTGGGCTGAGCCTTCCTCACAAAGCAGATTTGACCTGGCAAATAAGAGCCACCTGTGGCACTTCAGTGAATGTTCACTATCACCCATTTGAAATGTGGCCAAGTACCATGTACCATTATATTTGCTTCCATCATCATCATCATCTATCTTCTAAAAAGAGACCTAGACTTCTTTTTCATTACCATAAATACCTGACTTCTGCCTCAAAGACAAAAAGACAAGAGTGTGATTTTACATCACACACTCTTGGAAATAAATACAGTTCTTGTCTTGATGAAAGTTCTAAAGAGAAAGAATAAGTATTCTCATATTTAGGTTAGGACCTTTGGACTGGGGCTGGTTCATCTCTGACCCTACATACAACAATAAAAGAAAAGTCAATCCTGACATGGCAGTAAATAACTCCAAAGGCCTTAGTAAGTATTCATCTTCCAGAAGCGCACAACAAAGCCCAGTGCTTCCTTTGAATATATTAAGTGCAGCAGGATGTATATCAGAGCATTCCTCTATTTCTGTACTATTCTAGATATAGTATTCTATAGGGAAAAGATTTTTATACATGTATGAAAGGTTTTTGTATTACTGTTTGTAGCAATAGCTATCAATACTTCCACATTCAATGTCTTTATTCTGTATGAATATATATAAAGATTGTTCCAGCTTCATATATATATACTTATACATATTAGGTATGTATATGAATATACATACATGGTAGATACATAAACACAAACATATGAATGTGTCTTTGTAAATATTAATGTATACATATAATATTCTCCCACTTTTTAAATTATAGAGCGTATACTAAGGATGCAGGTGTAGAATTAATTGCCTTCTGTTTTGCTCAGTAGCATGTCAGAATAAAACATAGCCATACAATGTTGTTTATAGAAACATAAAGGTTCAGCTTCAGGTTTCAGGCCTTGTAAAGCTGTGTGGTATATACTGTCCAGGTGAGCAAATAAGGCCCTGCATTTCTTTTTGGTGTGCATGGGCTATTTACATTTACCATTTTGGGCATACCTGAATGAATCTGTAGCCACTAGTTAGATAATTAGCTGATCGGGATCACCTGGGCTGAGCTAATTGGCTAATTGAATTCACCTGGACTGATCAGTTGGTTGATTGGAATCACTTGGGCTGAGCTAATTCACTGATTGAAATCACCTGGACTGAGTGAATGGTGGTTCAAAATCACCTGTGCTAAACTAATGGGCTCATCAGTTGAGCTAACTGGCTGATTGGTATCACCTAGAATAAGATAGTTGGCTGTTAGAAATCACCTGGGCTAATCAGCCGGGCTGAGCTAATTTGCTGATTGGATTCTCCTGGGATGTGCTAATGGGCTGCTTGGAATCCCCTAATTGGCTGATTTAAATTATCTAAGCTGAGTTAATTGATTCAGAAAAGTTGAACACTGAGCTGGGCCGGTGGCTCATGTCTGTAATCCCAGCAATTTGGGAGGCCGAGTCAGGCAGATCATTTGATGTCAGGAATTTGAGACCAGTCTGGCCAATACAGTGAAACCCTATCTCTACTAAAAATACATAAATTAGCCAGGCTTGGTTGTGGGTGCCTGTAATACCAGGTACTGGGGAGGCTGAAGCAGCAGAATCGCTTTAACCAGGGATGTGGAGGTTGCAGTGAGCCAAGATTGTGCCATTGCACTCCAGCCTGAGCAAGAGTGAAACTCTGTCTCAAAAAAAGAAAAAATATCTATCTATCTATCTATCTATCTATCTATCTATCTACTGTCAGAGGATGATAACTTGAAGTATTTTAGAGATGTTAAGAATCTGAAATTATTTTTACTTTTAGTTTTTATAAATGTTTCTTAAGCATTTTTAATTTCCAAAAAACTTGTAAATAATGTTGTCAGTTTAATTTTTCTGAAGAATTTAAATAGAGTCAAATTATACATATCAAAAAATCTACTTTTCTGGTAGTAGATCAGCTTAATTTTCAGAACAAATGTGTTAAACTTCACGAGATTTTATGCTGACCAATTTGATCAGTAGCCTCTTTCATACAACTGGGAGAGATGACACCAAGATGTAGCATTCATGTTGGGTGAGAGACTAAATGACTACCAGTAGCTAGATAATTTCTGTTTTACTAATAAATGTTTATTTTCATTTCTATATTGTCTCAAGTTATGTTAACAATAAAGTAATAACCTTTATCCAGGAAATTTTGAAAACTTATTTTTTAATCAGCCATAACAGTAAGCAAAGACAGAGAAATGAAGGTTTTTACCAGTCATAATTTATATATTAAAATTAAAATACTTCTAGAAATAAAGAAGGAAAGGAAGAAAGAAATATACAAACAAATGAAAAGCAGCCTGGTCAACATGGTGAAAGCCTGCCTCTACTAAAAATACAAAAATTAGCCTGGTGTGGTGGCATACACTTGTAATCTCAGCTACTCAGGAGGCTTAGGCATGAGAATCACTTGAACCTGGTAGGCAGAGTTTGCAGTGAGCTGAGATTGTACCACTGCACTCCAGCTTGGGTGACAGAATGAGACTCCATCTCAAACAAAACAAAACAACAACAAAATAAAAGAGAAGGAAGGAAGTTGATTACTCACAATAGCTAAGGTTTGAAATCAACCTAAGTGTTCACCAATAGGTGAATGGAGAAAGAAAATATGGTATATATACACAATGAAATGCTATTCAGCCCTTAAAAATAAGAAAGTCTTGCTATTTGCAACAACATTCATGAACCTGAAAGATATTATGTTAAGTAAAATAAGTCAGCACAGAAAAAAAACAAAATCCTCGTTTTTTTTTTTTTTGAGATGGAATTTTGCTTTTGTCACCCAAGCTGGAGTGCAGTGGCACCATCTCCACTCACTGCAACCTCCAGCTCCCAGGTTCAAGAGATTCTCCTGCCTCAGCCTCCTCAGGACCTGGGATTACAGGCATGTGCCACCACACCCAGCAAATTTTTATATTTTTAGTAGAGATAGGATTTCCCCCATGTTGGCCAGGCTAGTCTCAAACTCCTGACCTCAACTGATCCACCCACCTCAGCCCCTCCAAGTGTTGGGATTACAGGCGTCAGTCCCTGTGCCCAGCCCACATAATCCTATTTCTATGTAAAGTGTAAAAAAAAAAAAAAAATTAAACTCATAGAAGCAGATGGTACAATAATAAAACAAACAAAAAATCCCCTATAAGGTTTTTTGTCTGGTTAAGAGAGCTTCTTCAGGATTTTTCAGGGGTTATATTTTCTTTTATTTTCCACATTTTCCTGTTCTTCAGCCAATGGATGAAAAAAGATACAGAGAAGACACATTTACCTTTTATCCGCTTCACTTCCATTCACTATTATTCAATGTGGATACAGATGAGAGTAGCAGTTTTCTAGTAGGACAGCCACTTCTCTGCAATAAACAAAAAACTGAAAAAAAATTAGCATATGCATCAGTAACCCTTCTAGTAAAATAAAGATTAATTTTGTTGATTTCTATTGAGTTCCTGTAATATTTGATCAAAAGCTAGCAAAAGCACAGTAGAAAAGGAAAATTGTTCTAAATAAGAATATTGTGAATGGTTATTTTGTCAATATAAGTAAAAATATGACCTCACACTAATAGTCTCACCTATAGTTGTACAACATCAAATGCTAATTTTTATTTAAAATTTTATTTCATATAAGTATTCAATTTATATCACCTGCCTCTGCTATTTCAATGCCTCCTTCACTTTATATCAGTGAAAAACAGGCCAGCAGGTCCTAGGAAAGCACGTCGTGCTATTGCTACTTTAACAATAAACAGGTCAAGCATGGTGGCTCATGCCTGTAATCCAGCACTTTGAGAGGCCGAGGTGGGTAGATCACAGGGTCAGGAGCTCGAGACCAGCCTGGCCAATATGGTGAAACACCGTCTCTACTAAAAATACAAAAATTCCCAGGTGTGGTGGCTCACGCCTGTAATCCCAGCACTTTGGGAGGCTGAGGCTGGTGGATTGCTTGAGGTCATCAGTTCAAGACCAGCCTGGGCAACATGGCTAAACCTCTTCTCTACTAAAAACACAAAAAATTAGCTGTGCATGGTGGTGGGTGCCTGTAATCCCAGCTACGCAGGAGGTTGAGGCAGGAGAATCTCTTGAACCTGTGAGGCCAAGGTTGCAGTGAGCCAGGATCATGCCACTGTACTAGACCCTAGGCAACAAAGTAAGACTCCTCTCAAAACAATAAAATCAGCTGGGCGTGGTGGCGGGTGCCTGTAGTCCCAGCTACTAGGGAGGCTGAGGCAGGAGAATCGCTTAAACCCGAAAGCCAGAGGTTGCAGTGATCTGAGATCATAACACTGCACTCCAGCCTGGGTGACATAGCGAGACTCTGTCTCAAAAAACAAAAAACAAAAACTGATCATGAATAGCACTTTTTTGGTTGCTACACACGTGTCAAACACTGTTATTTGGCTTAAGGTACTGGTTTTTTTTTTTTTCTTTTTCTTTTTTGAGATGGAGTTTTGCTCTTGTTGCCCAGGCTGGAGTACAATGGCACAATCTCATCTCACTGCAGCCTCTGCCCACAAGGTTCACACAACTCTTCTGCCTCAGCCTCCCCAGTAGCTGGGATTACAGGCACCTGCAACCACACCTGGCTAATTTCTTGTATTTTTAGTAGAGATGGGGTTTCACCATGTTGGTCAGGCTGGTCTCGAACTCCAGACCTCAGGTGATCCACCCGCCTCGGCCTCCCAAAATGCTGACATTACAGGCGCGAGCCACCACATTCAGCCTGGTTTTCTATTTTTTTTTTTTTTTTTTTTTTTTGAGACAGAGTCTCATCTGTCGCCCAGGCTGGAGTGCAATGGCATGATCTCGGCTCACTGCAGTCTCTTCCTCCTGGGTTCAAGTGATTCTTCTGCCTCAGCCTCCCAAGTAGCTGGGACTACAGGTGCATGCCACTATGCCCGGCTAATTTTTGTATTTTTAGTAGAGATGGGGTTTCACCATGTTGGCCAGGCTGGTCTCGAACTCCTGACCTCTTGATCCACCCACCTCGGCCTCCCAAAGTGCTGGGATTACAGGCATGAGCCACCGCACCCAGCCCTATTTTTTTTCTAAATTTACTGGTAATATAAAATTCTTCGCTAAGAAGACATGATCTTATTCAAATGTTTTATGAGATTTCATTGATGTCTGAATTATCTGGAATATTAAAATTTTTCATGAACTCAAATCAAGTACTATACATAATCTTTTAGTAAAAGCTTTTCTGAGGCAGAGTAAGATTTATAACATTTTATTATCATATGGAAGAAGTGTATTAACCATGTTTTCAGTAATCACTCTGAACACAGCATTCTCAGTTCACAGTGTAAAAAGTGAAGTAGAGGTTCCTCTTCAAAGACTTTTCTACCTAATTATGAATAGTAACTTCTCTTAGAAGCAAAGTTTATTCAAAGACCTGTGCTAACATTCTTAAATATCTGCTAAGCACAATTAAAAAATCAATGTACTTTATGTTCTTAGCTCCCACAATTTAGCCTAAATATTTGCCCTGGCATGCTTATACTAATCCAAGCAAGCATTAGGTCATAGCCTGTTCCTCCTCCTTATTTGAAGGTATTTTTACCTTTCTCAGCATTCCACAAGTTACTTCCTCCTTCCTTTGTTCTCCTCTGCCTTTGTCTCTTTTAAAAAGTTCTAAGTTGCTAAACAATTGGGACATACAGAATGTGAGGTCCCATTCCAGCCAATGAAAACCAGACACAGCAGTAGGGTGGACACGTCAAGTTATAAATGACTCTGTCTCCTCTGTTCAGTGTACTCGTGGCAAAACTGCTTTCTGCAAAAAGTAAAAATGGCCTTGCTAAGAAAAATTAAATTTATTTTCAAGTGCTATTTCTTTACAGCTCCAGAGAACAAACATTTCTAAAACCATTATGGACCCTGAGTAATTCAGGGGGAATTGGTATCTCTGTAAAGAGACAGTAAGGAAATGCTGAGTGGAGGCACCACACTGCACATCAATGCTTTCCACATGCACCCAATAGAGTCTTAATTTAATTGGGCTGTTATTTGCATAGCTAGATAATTACCAACTTTAGTCATACTATTTTTTAGCAACTAATGGCATCTGTTACCCATTAATTTTATACATTTGCTTTTTTGAAAAACAAATCTTTTGTTAATTCACTCTAAATTGAGACTACATTTACAATCTTCAGTTTTTCAGTGTTAAAGCAAATCAGAGAAGAGCAATGTGTGTACATAATGTGCATTTTCCTGCCTACCAAAATTATTCTGGCTGGGAAAAGTGGCTCATGCCTGTAATCCCAGCACTCTGGGAGGCTGAGGTGGATGGATCACCTGAGGTCAGGAGTTCAAGACAAGCCTGGCTAACATGATGAAATCCCATCTCTACTACAAAAATTATCCGGGCATAATGGCGGGTGCCTGTTATCCCAGCTACTCAGGAGGCTGAGGCGGAAGAATCACTTGAACCAGGGAGGTGGAGGTTGCAGTGAGCTGAGCACGTACCATTGCAGTGCAGCGTGAGTGACAGAGTGAGAATCCTTCTAAAAAAAAAAAAAAGAAATTCTTTCTTCAATTACTTGGAAACCCTGGGAAGCCCCTATAAAATACTCCCTTTGAATACTTTAGCCAGGATTTCAGATTTCAAAAGGTCAAAAACAATCATTGAGCAAAGCTTAAATCTTGCCTTTGTTTCTTGTTAGTCATCTGGCCATTTCTGTAAGTACGGCAATTATGCGAAGCCATTGAAAAAATGTGGTCTTGGTAAATTTTATTCCATTTCAAATGTTTTCTCTAATGTTACCTTGGTCATGTGAATCTAAAAGAAACTATCTACATAACTAATCATGGATTCAAAAAATATTCATATTAATGTGTTTACAGTTTAATCTTGTATTACAGTATAGTAGAATCCTCTATAATTAGAAGTTAATTATTTATAAATTCATTGTTTTTAAGGTTTTTCAAATATGAAAACAGACAATTAGGTATACTTTTTGAAGTAAGTTCAATTTTAGGACATTACCCACTGGTCTTCATGGCATTTCTGTAATAAATAGTGTAAACCTGTGTCACCAGAATGGTGCAGACATGCTGATTGAATTAGAATGAGTTCAGCCTTGTTGGTAGACTATTGGTATCCCAGAGGCTGATCATTCACTACAGCTTACTAAATACTGTTCCATAATGCCAGTGAGCACTTTTACCCAGGTTACCTTTTTCCTCCCATTAATGTGGACCTGTTGTGGTCTCCTGTTTCTCTTAAGCTATCCCAGATGAGAGGTGATTATTTCTTGAATGAATGAGATTCCCTTTTTTTTCCCTCTGCCATAGAATCCTCTTATGTTCCTTACTGGAAGCAACATGGAGGAGGCAGAAATGATGGCAAGATACAAACATTTTTCCCGCCATGTGGCCACCATAAGCAGCTTACAACATGTTCTACCTAGAAGTCACTTACTTTCAGGCCAGCAGGGGTGTTTTTCTGTGATGTGTCTCTTTCTCTTAAAAGCACCTCTGATTAAGTTTAGCACAATCAGGATAATCTCCATTTTGATAAACACAAAGTCTACGGATGAGTAACCTAATTTCATAAGTGATTTCCCACCACAGTCACACATTTTTTTTACACTCAAGAGGAAAGTATGACACAGCACGTGTGCAACAGACTGGTAATCCAGGGTATTATCTTAGAATGTTGCCTACCCACCTAAATAAATGTTTAAAATCATCTTTTGCTGGGCACGGTGGCTCATGATTCTAATACCAGCACCGTGGGAGGCTGAAGCAGGCAGATCATGAGGCCAGGAGTTTGGGACCAGCCTGGCCAACATGATGAAACCCTGTCTCTACTAAAAATACAAAAATTAGTCAGACGTGGTGGTGCATGCCTGTAATCCCAGCTACTTAGGAGGCTGAGGCAGGAGAATTGCTTGAACCCAGGAGGTGGAGGTTGCCATGAGCTGAGATCACGCCACTGCTCTCCAGCCTGGAAGACAGAGCAACACTCCATCATGGAAAAAAAAAAAGAGTCTTTCTGCTGCTTTTGTTATCTACATAAACAAAGATATCAACTGGATATAATAATTAACTACTTTTTAGTTTTATTCATTACAAATAACTATTTTTCTGGCTTAAATTATTTTTTATGCACCATTTATACATTCACACACACATAGAACAATAAAAATATATCCAATTATTCAATTTTGGTTGAATGTTCATTCAAATAAGTGTTAAAAATGATTTTTTTTTCCTGTTTTAAGAGGGCTTTTATTATTGTACTCAAGAGAGTTGTTTCTGGAGACAAAGTTGCCTGTGCTTTAATAGGCAGACTCTGGGGAGAATCCGAATCACAGGCCAGAACATTTTATATTAATAAATTCAATACAAAGCAGAAAGTATAGATTTGCTTTCACCATTTTAAAAGTGTTTAGTTTTGTTAATCACCTAAATAACATAATTTGTTTTGTTGCAGTAATTGCTTTTATTCTGAAAATATGTACAAACCTATACTCACACAAAAACACTCAATTCATAATTTTCTTACACCTCAGGTTTATCTTCAGAGTAATATGTGTATATTTAACTCTATGTAAATTAAAACTAAAAGTCTATGTGTTTGCAGGCAGAGACCACATGTTCAAGGAAAACTATATTACAAGTATTTATAATTTTTCAGGACTCAGAAATGTATGGATTTTATTTTTATTTTATTTTTTGAGATGGAGACTCACTCTGTCAGCCAGGCTGGAGTGCAGTGGCATGATCTCAGCTCACTGCAACCTCTGCCTCCTGGGCTCAAACGATTCTCCTGCCTCAGCCTCCTGGCATGTGCCACCATGCCTAATTTTTGTGTTTTTAGTAGAGACAAGGTTTCACCACGTTGGCCAGGCTGGCCTTGAACTCCTAACCTCAAGCATTCCACCTGTCTCGGCCTCCCAAAGTGCTGGAATTACAGATGTGAGCCACTGTGCCTGGCCGTATTTTATTTACATTTTTGTATAATTATTATGATCATAGAAATAATTCTGTAGTCAATAACAATTTAATTGTACATTTTAAAATGAATAAAAGCATATAATTACACTATTGGTAATACAAAAGATAAATGCTAGAGGTGATGGATACCTTATTTACCATAATGTAATTACTACATATTGTAGGCCTGAGTCAAAAGATGCCATATAAGGCATAAATATATACACATATTATATACCCACGAATACAAATAAAAAATTTAAATAATAAAGAGTCAAAATTTAATCTATGGGAACAATATTTAACTCATTTGCAGTTTAAAGCCACTGACAGTGATTACTAAAGATGTTATTTTACAATGTATGAAATAGTATATTCCTACAATATTGTACCTACACCCTTGAGTAAAGTGGGATACAGTTAGTGGCACAATAATGGTTCATTAAACGCACGGTAGTCTTACCATGGTAAAAATAAAATAAAATTAAGTTCACAAATAATCTAACAAACTTTTTTTTTTTTGAGACAGAGTTTTGCTCTTGTTGCCCAGACTGGAGTGCAATCGCACAATCTTGCCCCACTGCAACCTCTGCCTCCCAGGTTCAAGTGTTTCTCCTGCCTCAGCCTCCTGAGTAGCTGAGATTACAGGCATGCACCACCATGCCTGGCTAATTTTTTTTGTATTTTTAGTAGAGACTGGGTTTCTCCATGTTGGTCAGGCTGGTCTCGAACTCCTGACCTCAGGTGATCTGCCCACCTTGGCCTCCCAAAGTGCTGAAATTACAGGCATGAGCCATCAAGCCCGGCCCTAACAGTTTTAAAATGCACTGCATTTTATTACATAAAAGTACAAGTAGTAAAGTAATATACTCATTTATTTTAATATACTTTTAATTATTTCTTTGTGTCACTATAATAAAGTATTGCTCTGAACATTTACGTTATACATTACTTAATAGAATTTTACTACAAACAGCTTCTCCACTTGTATTTTCATTATGCGTCTTACATTTTAATGTTCTTACTATTTTATAGAAAAAGTCATAATGTCCAAATAATGTAAAAAAATCGAATATCTCTGATGCAGAAGCCACTGATCACATGCTTTCTCACATGTGAATAGAAATAAAATAACAGCATAATTTGAAAGCTGTATTACATCATTATTCAGCTTTCAAAAAATTTTATTCAAGGAAACAAGTATACTTTCAACGTAATTACAATGCTTCCAAAAATCTACTCCTTTTAAAGTTAAATAGAAATCATTTACCTAAAAACTGCAGTTGTGGATTAGTTTTTATATTCAATGCTCTGATTTAGTGTAATGTCTGAAGTGTCGGGGCCTTAGTTATTCTACTGTAAACTCTCTTGATATTTATATACAATCTATTTTGAATTAAATATTTTTTAATATTTACTGCATCTGCAAAATTATATTTTAGCATAAACTCTCTGTTGTTTTCTAAGCTGTAGTTTCTGGGGAAAAAAAAGTGTTTCTAAACTTAATACATTTGTAGGACTCATCTCCAATATAAATTCCCTGATGTTGAACAAACTTGAGCAACTGCTTTAGGATTTTCCTCCAGTACAAAATGTGTGCAATAAGATCTGTGATACTAGTAAATGTACTATGTAACTCCCTTTATATTTGTAATGCTTGTCTTCACAATAAATACTCTTCTTCACTTTAAAGGCTTATACTTGCTGAAAGTTTTGACAGTAATTGCCATTTTAATGCTTTTATTAAAAGGAAGATTTTTATGTTGAGTTAGATGTGAGTAGGAATTAATAGGTTTTCCATATTCCTTCTATTTGTACAATTTTTCTCAAGGATACTAGCTTTTCTGTGAGATAAGGTGTAAGAACTGATTAAAAGTTTTGCCACATTCTTCACACTTGTAGGAGTTTTGCCAGTATGAATTATCCAACCTACAATCAAGAGTGGCAACCATATAAAGGCTTTGTCACATTTTATATATTTCTAGGGTTTCACACTAGTATAATTATTGTTATGTGTAGAGAAGTTGGAGGTGTTCGTAAAAGCAATGTCACATTTTTTAGCTTTGCGGATTTCCTCTTCAACATGAATTATTGCCATGCCTCTTAAGAATTGAGAACTTGTGGCTGGGCGTCGTGGCTCACGCCTGTAATCCCAGCACTTTAGGAGGCCAAGGTGGGTGGATCACCTGAGGTCAGGAGTTCGAGACCAGCCTGGCAAACATGGCGAAGTCGCATCTCTACTAAAAATAAAAAAATTAGCTGGGCATGTTGGAGGACACCTGTAATCCCAGCTACTCAGGAAGCTGAGGTAGGAGAATGGCTTAAACCCAGGAGGCAGAGGTTGCAGTGAGCCGAGATCATGGCACTGTACTCCAGCTTGGATGACAAGCATGAAACTTCATCTCAAAAAAAAAAATATTGAAAACTTGTTATAGGATTTGCCACATTCCTCAAACTTGTAGGATTTTTGTCCAGCATGAATTATGTGTAAGAAGGGTTCAGAACTTCCTAAAAGCGTTGTCACATTCTTTATATTTGTAGGGTTTATGTTCCATATAAATTCTCATATTTAGTAAAAGTTGATAGCTGGTTAAAGGCTTTCCGACATTCATCAAACTCACAGGGTTTCTCTCCAGTACGAATTATCTTATGTCTAGTAAGGGCAGAGGTGTCCTTAAAGGCTTTGCTGCATTTTCTTATTTGTTGGGTTTCTTTCCCGCATGAATTATCTAATGTCTACTAAGGTTTGAGGATGAAATAAAGGCTTTGCCACATTTATCACACTTGTACAGTTTCCCTCCAATATGAATTTTCTTATGTGAAAAAAGCATAGTGGGATAGCTTAAAGCTTTGCCACATTCCTCACATTTATAGTTTCTCTCCAGTATGAATTACCTTATGTGTAGTAAGGGTAGAGGGGCACTTAAAGCCTTTGCCACATTCTTCACATTTGTAGGGTTTCTCTCCAGTATGAATTCTCTTATGTCTAGTAAGGATAAAGGAGCGCTTAAAAGCCTTGCCACATCGTTCACATTTGTAGGGTTTCTCTCCAGTATGAATTCTCTTATGTGCAGTAAGGTGTGAGGACGAGTTGAAGGCTTTGCCACATTCTTCACATTTGTAGGGTTTCTCTCCAGTATGAATTCTCTTATGTGTAGTAAGGATAGAGAAGCACTTAAAGGCCTTGCCACATTCTTCACACTTGAAGGGTTGCTGTCCAGTATGGATTATCTTATGTGTAGTAAGGGAAGAGGAGTACTTAAAGGCTTCGCCACATTCTTCACATTTGTAGGGTTTCTCTCCAGTATGAATTCTCTTATGTGTAGTAAGGTGTGAGGACCAGTTGAAGGCTTTGCCACATTCTTCACATTTGTAGGGTTTCTCTCCACTATGAATTATCTTGTGTGTAGTAAGGGATGAGAAGTACTTAAAGGCTCTGCCACATTCTTCACATTTGTAGGGTTTCTCTCCAGTATGAATTCTTTTATGTGTAGTAAGGACAGAGGGGTGCTTAAAGGCTTTGCCACATTCTTCACATTTGTAGGGTTTCTCTCCGCTATGAATTATCTTATGCGCAGTAAGGATAGAGGAGCGCTTAAAGGCCTTGCCACATTCTTCACATTTGTAGGGTTTCTCTCCAGTATGAATTATCTTATGTGTAGTAAGGTTAGAGGAGCGCTTAAAGGCCTTGCCACATTCTTCACATTTGTAGGGTTTCTCTCCACTATGAATTATCTTATGTGCAGTAAGGTATGAAAACCGGCTAAAGGCTTTGCCACAGTCTTCACATTTGTACCGTTTCTCTCCAGTATGAATTCTCTTATGTGTAGTAAGGTGTGAGGACCAGTTGAAGGCTTTGCCACATTCTTCACATTTGAAGGGTTTCTCCCCAGTATGAATTTTCTTATGTGTAGTAAGGGTTGAAGACTGGTTAAAAGCTTTGCCACATTCTATACATTTGAAAGGTTTTTTTCCAGTATGTCTTATCTTATGTCTGTTTGAATTTGAAAATTTATGAATGACTTTCACATATTTATCACACTGAAATATTTTGCTTTGAGTAGTTGTCAAATATTGGTTAAGTCCATTATAACCTCTTTTGTGCACCTTACACTCATCTACACTTTCACAGCCCTTTTTAAACTGTAAATTGTCATGTCCATAGTTTTCATATCTTCTCAGTGTCACTTTTTGGAAAGAATCTTTTATGCTCTGCTCTGGCCAAAGATCTCGGGCAAAATGAGAACACGTAACTGAAAGAAACAATAAAAGCACATTACTTCAATTGGTAGACTCAGATAAATATACTTTACAGATCTAACCTATATAATTATACAAACTACATAAGCAAGATGACACAGCAAAATACCACAAACTGTAATTTCTTCCTGGATACATAAATGTAACAAAAGTGGACTGCCCAAAATACATTTGTAAAAAATTTATAAGTGAGTTAAGTGTATGAAGGGCCCCAGGTGAGCACAATGCAAAGAGCCACATAGAATAAAAAGAAAATTCTGTTACTTATACCCAACAGAGCTCTTCCTGCTCTCCAGTATAATATTGTGCCTTTAAAAGTAAATTTCCAGTCGGATGCAGTCGCTCATGCCTGTAATCTCAGAACTCTGGGAAGGTGACACATGGGTGGATCATGAGAAATTCGCCCCCATGACCCAAACATATCCCACCAGGTCCCACATCTAACAGTGAGAATTTATATTGCAGCATGAGGTTTGAAGAACATAGACATCCAAACCATATTATAGACCACCTAGGATTCACAGCCACACACAAAACTCTCCAGTCAAAACCAAGATAATACACAGTATTCCTATTTGCATCTGGTGTATTCTGTTAGGACACATATGAAGTTTTATTAAATTAAAAATACTATGTGCTGTAGCTCTTGGCTATAATCCTAACACTTTGGGAGATCCACTGGGGCCAAAAGTTTGAGACCAGCCTGGGCAACATAGTGAGATCCTAATACTACAAACAAGCAAACAATTATCCAGACATGGTAGTGCATATCTACAGTCCTAGATACTCAAAAAACTGAGGAGAAAGGATCACTTGAGTCCAGGAGGCTGAGGTTACAATGAGCCACAATTATGCCACTGCACTGCAGCCTGGGTGACAGTAAGATCTTGTCTCAAAACAACAACAACCAATCATTTTTAAAACACTAAAATTACACACTGTGTGTTTTCTAACAAAAACTGAATGAAACTAGGAATTAAAAGCAAAAGTCAAACTGGCAAATTCTAAAATAAGTGAATATGAAATACACTCTACAACATATTCTTGCTCAGGGGGCAAAAAATTTTATTTTTCAAAGTTGTCAATACAACCTACAGTTAAAACCTACAGTAACATGGCCAGGCATGGTGGCTCATGCCTGTAATCCCAGCACTTTTGGAGGCCGAGGCAGGTGGATCACGAGGTCAGGAGATTGAGACCATCCTGGCTAATATAGTGAAACCCCATCTCTACTAAAAATACAAAAAATTAGCCGGGCATGGTAGCAGGCGCCTGTAGTCCCAGCTACTTCAGAGGCTGAGGCAGGAGAATGGCATGAACCTGGGAGGCGGAGCTTGCAGTAAGCTGAGATTGCGTCACTGCACTCCAGCCAGGGTGACACAGCGAGACTCCGTCTCAAAAAAAAAAAAAAAAAAAAACACCACCTACAGTAACATAAACAATGTGACACTGACACAAAGATAAACAAATGAAAGAACAGAATAGAGAACTCAGAAATGAACCCTTCTGTATATGATCAGATGATCTTCCACAAAGTTGCCATGCATACAAAATAGAAATAATCTCTTCAAAAAATGAAGTTGAAAACTGAATATCAACACTGATAAAGTTGTTTATTTCCTTGAATGACACAATAATACATTTTAAATAAAATGCTTAAACATAAAAATACACAAGTGAGGAAAAGCATTTGAAAGAACATACAAAATCATTAATTTATACAGAAATTAAAAAAACACACAATGACAAGATCAACTTACACCCATTAGGTGCAATAAAAATAAAACCCATGTTGATTGCTGGTGGAAAACAAAGACACAGCCATTATTTTAAAATGTTGTAAATGTTCCTCATTTATAAATCTCTATCCAAAATATGTAACACAGGCCAGGTGCAGTGGCTCAAGCCTGTAATCCTAGCAGTTTGGGAGGCTGAGGTGGGCAGATAACCTGAGGTCAGGTGTTTGTGACCAGCCTGGCCAACACACCATTTCTACTAAAAATAAAAGATTAGCTTGGCGATGTGACGTGCACCTGTAATCCCAGCTACTTGGGAGGCTGAGACAGGAGAATTGCTTAAACCCAGAAGGCAGAGGTTGCAGTGAGCCGAAATCGTGCCACTGTACTTTAGCCTGGGCAACAGAGTGAGACTCCATCTAAAAAAAAAAGGAAAACAACAGCAACAACAAAAATATGCAACACAGGACCTGGAAGATATAATTGAAAATCCATGTGTATTGTACCAGTATTCACAAAAGCCAAAAGGCTGAAGCAACCCAGATGCCTCTTGATTTATAAACATATCAAAAAATGTAACATATACATATGATGAAGTATTATTCCACCTTAGAAAAAACAATCTTGTCAATTTTAAGATGAACTTTGAGAATATTATGTCACCTGAACTAATCCAGTGACAAAATTTTGGATACTGTATGATTCCACATATATGATATATCTTAAGTAGTCAAAATCATAAAATCAGAAAGTGGAAGGTTTGTCTGTCAAAGGCTGGAGAGAGGGTAAAATGAGCAGTTGTTACTTAATGGTCAATGGCTTTTAGTTTTACAAGATGAAAACTTTCTAAAAGTCTTTTGCTTAACAATGTGAATATACTTAACATGACTGAAATGAACAGCTTTTTTTTTTGAGACACGGTCTCACTCTGTCACCCAAGCTGGAGTGTAGTTGTACAATTTTGACTTCCCTTAAATCTCCCAAGTAGCTGGGGCCACAGCTGCACATCACTATGGCTGGCTATTATTATTATTATTTTTTATAGAGAGGTGTCACCATATGTTGCCCTGGCTGGTCTCAAACTGTTGGGCTCCATGGATCCTCCAGTCTTGGCCTCTCAAAATCCTGGGATTACAAATAAGAGCCTCCACCAAGCCTGGCCCTGAAATGCACACTTCAATAGATTTAAGGTGGTAAATTTTATATTACGTGTTTTTAAGCAATTTTTTTTAAAGAAAAACTGAAAAAAAAAAAAAAAAAACAATTATGTATCTTTTTGAAATTTACTTTCAAATCATAGAAGTGTCTCTCACAAAAGCAAATATATATTCATTGTTAAACACATGGTGATAATAAGACTATCTCCATAAGTACTCACTTAGACAAGATAAAACTACCATCAAAAATCAGCTAAGAAAGAATATAAGCCATAACTAAAATTGGGGTCATATTTATAGATAAATACACATACAAATGTAATCTGATTATGATAGATATGCATAATTTATCTCTTAATTAAACCTTAAATTGACTTAAAGTGTACAAAAAGAACTGCAAATTGTCTAAAATTATAATACATAAGTAAAACCAAAACACCCAATAAACTAATCTTAAGAAACCTACACTGAGGCCAGAGGCAGTAGGTCACATCTGTAATCCCAGCACTTTGGGAGACCAAAGTGTGCAAATCCTGAGGCCAGCAGTTCCAGACCACATTGGCCAATATAGTGAAACCCCATCTCTGCTAAAAATACAAAAATTAGCTGAGCATGGTGGCTCATGCCTGTAGTCCCAGCTACCCAGGAGGTCAAGGCAGAAGAATCACTTGAACCTCGGAGGGGTTCAAAACTTCAAAACAACAATAAGAGAAATGTTTACTCATAAAATCTTGTATGCAACATTGAAGTATAATTAAAAAAAAATTGTCAGGCCGGGCACAGTGGCTCAAAACTGTTATCTCAACACTTTGGGAGGCCAAGATGAGCAGATCACCTGAGGTCAGGAGTTCAAGACCAGCCTGGCCGAAGTGGTGAAGCCCCATCTCTACTAAAAATACAAAAATTAGCTGGGGACGGTGACACACGCCTGTAATCCCAGCTACTTGGGAGACTGAGGTATGAGAATAGCTTGAACCCAGGAAGTGGAGGTTGCAGTGAGCCAAGATCATACCACTACACTCCAGCCTGGGTGACAGAGTGTGACTCCATCTCAAAAAAAAAAAAAAAAAAATTCTAGATAACTGCAATATTTAACTGTTGGTGTGTACTCACAAAATGCAAGTATTCTGAATCATTAGCATGCACTGTGTGGCAGTAAAATTTCAGAGATTATGCAGTATAATTATAAATAGAAGATTCTAATGAGAAAATAAATTAGCATTTAAAAGAAACTAGTTCCTTTTAATGTCTTAAATATATGGTATTCTTACACAAAATGAAACTGCTGTAATCAAACATTGGAAGCAAAGAGTACCCTTACATTGTTAAATAAGAAATATATATTTTGTAGAATGGGGTTAGACCCTCTGATATGTAAAACAAATATTAGGAAATAAACTATTTTATTATGGAGATATAGGCTGAAAAAAGTAGATGAACATCCTATAATTCCTTTTTACCTGCAGCAAATTTAAATTTATAAATAACTATTTTAGTAACTATGGGTGCCTACTAATTATGTAATTTACTTCAGGCATATCATGCAAATTCTAGCATATTGTCTTCAATATTTGAATCTAAAATTACAGACAAATCTGAAAGAGAACATAGAAAGTAAAAATATATAGGGAGAGTGACATCAGTAAAATGAAAAGATTAAAAGTGCCCTATTTTCATATTCCCTTACAGCAAAACAAGTCAGCCATCGCTGACAAAAATACCTTTATGAGAGAACCAGGATTATGACTCACACCTGTAATGACAGCTCCATGGAACATTAAGGTTGGAAAATTGCTTCAGGCCAGGATTTTGAGACCAGCCTGGGTCTCAAAGACCAGATCAAAGATGTAGCAAGATGCCATTTCCAAAATAAGTGCCTCTAAGGGAGATTTGAGAGCTAGGGTGGGAGTTGTGAAATGCTGTTAAAGCGTAAGGTTGAGAAGTGTTCTATTCAGAAGGCAGGCTCTCATTCACGTGGGAAACTACAGTACCCCTGTTCATGGCTACAGACCAGGATAGGGTTTACCCAAGTTGGTCCCACAGAGAATTCTGAACTTACTCTGTAACCAGCTCAAACTCCCAGCCACAGTCTGGCAGAGGTCCTGCCATTCCAGAGACCTGGATGAAGGCACCCATTTACAGCAATGTAGGCAGGCTTGCAGACTTTGGCCTTTACTGGGGTCCCTGAAGAGGTTCAATGACTCAGTTTCGGTTACCTGAGCCACAGTTTATGGTCAGTTCTGCCTACATAGAAGCCCACACAATTGGGCCGGGCGGGGTGCCTCATGCCTGTAATTCCAGTACTTTGGGAGGCCGAGGCAGGCAGATCATCTGAGGTCAGGAGTTTGAGACCACCCTTGCCAACATGGTGAAACCCAGTCTCTACCAAAAAAATACAAAAAATTAGCTAGGTGTTGTGGTGAGCACCAGTAATCCCAGCTACCCAGCAGGCTGAGGCAAGAGAACTGCTTGAACCCAGGAGGCGAAGGTTGCAGTGAGCCGAAATCACGCCATTGCACTTTAGCCTGGGCAACATGAGTGAAACCCCATCTCAAAAAAAAAAAAAAAAAAAAAGAAAGAAAGAAAGAAATCCATTGCAATTGAAGAAAAATAAGTAAAAGTTGCTGTTTGTGGATCATACATCTTACATTTTAAAAACCATAAACAGTACATTAAAACCTGTCTAAACTAATGAATACACTGAGTAAATTAGCAAAATATAAAATTAACACACAAGTACATGTATTGTTTCATACGCTTAAAACAAACTATCTGATAAAATAGAGGAAGAAAAAATCTTATTTAATATAGCATTAAATAATAAATTTCTGAGAAAAAAATTAACCAAGAAGGTAAGAAAATGTTTACAATAAAAAAATGAAAAAATTAGAAGATCCAAACAAATTTTAAAATATTTTATGTCTAGGGATTGAAAGAATAAATATTATTAAAGTTTCATATTATCCAAAGTGATCTATAGATTGCATAAACGTCCTGTCAAAATTGCAGTGTTTTTTTTTTACAGAAATGGAAAATACAATTCTAAAATTTACATGAAAATAAACTCTGAATAGCCAAAGCAATCTTGAAAAAAAAAAAGAACAAAGCAGAAGGATATCATACGTATAATTTCAAACTATATTTCAAGACTATAATAGTAATAAAAATAGAAAGGACTACATAGAAAAATAAACAAAAAAATTGGACAGAAACTACTACTCTCACACATCAGACCTGATGCAAAAAGAGAAATAATTCTCAAAATCATGCAGATATTTGTGTGTCCCCAAAACAATGAAAAAGCAGCCAGACTGTGCAGTATTTTATATGCCATGAAGAGGACTCTGGCTCTCACTGTGAACTTGAAGGGAGCTCACCGAAAGAAAAGTAGAATTTTTACAGAATTTAAAAGCATAAGCAGAAGATGCCCCTTTATAAGAGCAAAATTTAAAAAAGAAAAAAAAAAAAAAAACAGCTCCCAGGAACTATTTTCTTTGGAGCACAGCTTCCCAAATCACACTTTAAGGACTGGCTTTCTCTTTGACTTTGGGACCTCTTATCTGTGTCGTCTGCTATATTCATTTTCACTTGCACCTACCTGAGGGGTTGGCTACCATCTCATGTTTCTTCATGGTCAAAGGTTTTTTTCCTTGCTCCAGACAGGTGATGAGGTCTGGCTTAGAGACAACAATACCTGTTTTATTAAAAATAAATAACATGAATCTTGCTCATATTCTCCAATTACAAGCTAGTAATGTGCTCGCAAAGACAATGTAATAAAATATTATAGTAAATTAATACCAAAATACAAATTTATAACAGAAATTTCTAAATATTTAGAAAATACTTTAAATTTGCCAGGTGCAGTTACTCACGCCTGTAATCCCAGCACTTTGGGAGGCCAAGGTGGGTGAATCACGAGGTCATGAGTTAGAGACCAGCCTGGCCAGCATGGTGAAACCCCATCTCTACTAAAAATACAAACATTAGCCAAACACGGTGACTTGCCCCTGTAGTCCCAGATACTCATGAGGCTGAGGCAGAAGAATTGCTTCAACCTGGGAGGTGGATGTTTCAGTAAGCTGAGATCACACCACTGCACTCCAGCCTGGGTGACAGAGTGAGACTCTGTCCCCGAAAAAAAAAAAAAAAAAAAAGAAAAAGAAAGAAAATACTTTCAATTTGTAGGTTTCTTAATTTTCCTTCCTGGTACTACTGAATCAAAAATTGGTGGTGGCATTTAGATTTTCAGGTGGAAGCTACAATAGTTTATGTCAGTAAATTTCTGGAATTACCACTAATTTGGAGTGAAGATTACAGCTCACCTCACAAATATGGAAAATTTGGATTAAGATGAAACATCTTGAAGAAATTTTTTTCTTTTCTTTTTTTTTCCCCTTGAGACAAAATCTTGCTCTGTTGCCTGGGCTGGAGTGCAATGGCATTATTTCGACTCACTGCAACCTCCGCCTCCTGGGTTCAAGGTATTCTCCTGCCTCACCTTCCCAATTAGCTGGGATTACAGGCATGTGCCACCATGCCCGGCTAATTTCTTGTACTTTTAGTAGAAATGGGGTTTCACCATGTTGGCCAGGCTGATCTTGAACTCCTAGCCTCAGGTAATACCCCCACCTCAGCCTCCCAAAGTGCTGGGATTACAGGCATGAGGCACCAAAGAAATTATTTTCTAAATGAACAAATTCTGAAGATTTTCTTGAAAAAGTGGATCTGAAACTCTTTTATAAAAGAATAAATTACTAAAAAAATTCTACAAGAGAGAGAAATAAAGTCTTTTGTGTATATTATGAATTATGTATTAAAGTTTTTCTCACCAAGGAAGACCAGGTTTCTGTAGTTCTCTAACATCACATTCCTATATAAATTCCGCTGTGCAGTGTCCAGGCAATGCCACTCCTCCAGAGAGAATTCTATGGCCACGTCTCTAAATTGCAATGGCCCCTGAAACACACACACAACATACGTTTTTACCAAGTAGCCAAGGGTGGAATTTTTAATTTGACTTAAGTTCAAATGAGAGAGTAAAGACAAATGGTTCTGACTTATAGGACTGACTAAAATTATCCAATAAAATAACTTTCAACACAGAAATATTCTCTAAAGTATTCTCTGAGAAAAAAGAACAGCATAAGATCCACAACATCAGTTCATGTATTTTTCTAGATAGTAAAGTGTAAAATTAAGGGTATGAACACGAACATGTACATTTTTGAGTGCTATGTTTACATCATATGGAATGAGCTGTGAATATTTTTCAGATGACAAAGACATGTTGAGTTTAGAAGGCACCTCTAAAATTTAAATATATACAATAAGTTGAAGACCTTGTTATGCAGGGTTTTTTTCCAGAAGATCTGGAATAAAGTTTGATTTTTTGAATTTCTAACAAGCTCACCAATGATGTCAATGTTTTTGGCCCAAGAAGGATATTTTGTCAAACATCCAGTAAGTGGAAGAGCCTGTTTTTCCCAGTTTTTCTGGCCTGTAAACAAAGATAAGAGTCTTCATTTTCCAAAGAAAAATATGTAGAAAAAATTAAGAAAAAAGGACAACTGCCAGATTAAATGTGGTGGTTTATTCACATCAGCTGCATAAAGATACTTAATAATGAAGAGAAAAATAATCAGCTACATAGTGAAAAATATCTGTCACAGAGCTATTTAAGCAAGTGAATCATTAACCATTAACTTCACTAGAAGAAATTTTTATGTTGTGCTAATGCACATAGAAGAACACAGCATCACTGTTGAAATATTCCTCTTTTAAAAAAGTAAATAAAATCTGATTCAATCATAAAGAACCATCAGTTTTATGCAAACCTCAAAATACAGATAACTCCTGTGTTCTGTAATTTTTAGTAGTAATTTTAAATAGACTTCATTTAGCACCCTAAAGAGCAGGTATGTCCTAATAAGTTTTTTCAGAACTTTCTGGGTAATAAATGGCATCCCATTTAAATAAGCATTTCTTTTTTTTTTTTTTTTTGAGGCAAAGTCTCACTCTTGTCCCCCAGGCTGGAGTGCAATGGCATGATCTTGGCTCACTGCAACCTCCGCCTCCTGTGTTCAAGTGGGTCTCCTGCCTCAGCTTCCCGAGTAGCTGGGATTACAGGTGCCTGCCACCACGCCCGGCTAGTTTTTGTATTTTTAGTAGAGACAGAGTTCCACCACGTTGGCCAGGCTGGTCTCGATCTCCTGACCTCAGGTGATCTGCCCACCTCGACCTTCCAAGGTGCTGGAATTACAGGCATGAGCCATTGCGCCCAATCTAAATAAGGAATTTCTTTTCTTTTCTTTTCTTTTTTTTGATATGGAAAATCACTCTGTTGCCCAGGCTGGAGTGCAGTGGCGCAACCTTGGCTCACTGCAACCTCTGCTTCCCAGGTTCAAGCTATTCTGCTGCCTCAGCCTCCTGAGGAGCTGGGATTGCAGGCACCCACTGCCATGCCTGGCTAATTTTTTGCATTTTTAATAGAGACGGGGTTTCACTGTGTTAGCCAGGATGGTCTCAATCTCCTGACCTCGGGATCTGCCCGCTTCAGCCTCCCAAAGTGCTGGGATTACAGGCATGAGCCACTGCACCCGGCCAATAAGCAATTTCTTAATCCTGTTCGGCATACAGCTAATGGAACACACTAATGGAGCCTCAACATTACATGTTCTCCATCTTTACTAAGGACCACAGTTTTCCCCAATAGAACATGAGAAGTTATGATGTAGAGAATGAAGAAAAGGCTCTGGGATACAGCAAAGAAACATTTTTCAGACACCTTTGACTATCGTAAGAATTTTAAGAAGTACTTAAACCAAACTCCTTAGGGAGGAGAAACACAAGTAGAGAAGTAAAGGTTTGTGAGTACTAAACGCATGGCAGTCCAGAAGGCAGAGTGGACACAGCTTTTCAGCTGAGGCACGTTTACCTAAAGAAAAGCCTTTTTTTTTTGTTCTCCTATCTCCTCCTTCACTGGAATTCCTTCTCAGATGAGATTCTTTGGACAAATTACACCTGAATCTTGAGAATATGCCTTTAAAGGTGTCAGTACCACAAGTATACCTGCTAGCATGACATCAACTGGCAGAAAAAGACAGAAAAATCCACCCATTTCTGTCCTTTAAAACAGAAGAGGTTCAGGAAAAATGAGCTGCTCCATAAAGATGAAAATATAAGTTTCTCCTTTCCTGTCCTCAGGGGCCCTCCCCTACCACAGACACCATCCATTTCTGCTACAGTAATGGAAATATGTGCCACTGACCTGTCCCTACCAAACCCAAACAGAACAGACCCTGTGGCCACCCTTTAGTGCAAAGGTGGAACTTAACGCTCATGAATGTATTTTGCAGCCTTCATACCTGATTCTGGCCTCACCTTACAGTCACATAAGGCCCTTCGTTAAAACAACATGGATGCTTCCACCCAGAACAATAAACAGAAGCTGTGGGGAGGGCACAAGAGATTTCTGCAAATTGGCCATGTGATCCTAATGAGAGGCCTGGGCTGATAACCACTAAGCTAAGCATTGCCTCTCAAGCTTTAACGAGCTAAGCTAAGCATTGCCTCTCAAGCTTTAACGAGCTTATAATTCACTTGGTAATTTTAGCTCCACTTTATGTAATGTGATTCTGCAGGTTTGAAAAGGGTCCATGAATGGGTGTTTCAAAAACAAGTTCCCTGTCAATGCTGATGTTGCTCCCCATTGGCTCATTATTACCATTAGTCAGAGAAGCAGTCACAGCACATAGTCCCTTATACTTAGCACTCTTGTCACAACCAAATACTTCTCATACAAACAAGGACAACCCATCTCCATCCTAAAGTTTTATATTATTTGATGGCTCTTTAAAGTTTACAGAGGAAACAAGGCAGCAATGTCTGAATAAGTCTGTTTTTAAAAAACAACATGTACACATGTACTAATGCACTGTTTGTTAAACAGGTACTATGTGCACAATAGTATGATACAGAGCACTGTGCTGGGTATAACACATTAGGTGATTTAATTCTCATAACACCCGGGGAGCTGGTACTAAGGGTTTAATAGTTTTCAAGATTTAGTTAAAGGGCCCAGCATTTTTATTTCTTCTTCTGTTTCTCTCTCATCAATTTTTTAAAATTGTACAGAATAAAAGCTAAATATAGCCAGATGAAAGAGATAGAAAGAAAGAGGTTAATGTAGTTTAGACAATTTTATTCTGTTTATATTTACTTTTTTGTGACTTATGGAGCAACTACTGGATCTGCAGGAATAGAAAACAAGTTTCTAAATAAATGTCTCCGCAAGCACTGGTTTTAATAGAAGATTAAAAAACTAGGACCCTAAAATACATACTTTATTTATCCCATTTATCTGTTTGTGGTTTCAGGAAATTGTGAGCACCAGCTCTAGAAAGGCAGCAGGATTCACCAGCCAAAACTTTGATCTCTTCTAATCAGTTATCTGAAGCAAGACTACAAGATAGGGTCAGACCTAAATAAGGCCTCCAAAAAGGGTGAATCTGAACAGGTCTGGGTCTGGCTCAGGGTGAGGACCCTATGTAAAATTCTGCTCTCTATGTCACTGCAGTACTACCAGTTTTGTTTTTTCTAAGCTTACCTAAAAAAAAAAAAAAAGAAAACTTAAATCCCAGAGTTTCTGTAATTTTAGTATTTTCTAGCCACTGCCCTGTCAACTTTGTACTACATTCTAATACGCAATTTAAACAAATCCTTTAAGGTTTTCTAGGGTAATTTTTTTTTTTTTTTTGAGATGCAGTCTCCCTCTGTCACACAGGCTGGTGTGCAGTGGTGCCATCTCTGCTCACTACAGCCTCTGCCTCCAGGGTTCAAGTGATTCTTCTCTCTCAGCCTCCTGAGTAGCTGGAACTACAGGTGCATGCCACCACGCCCAGCTAATTTTTGTATTATTAGTAGAGACAGCATTTCACCATATTAGCCAGGCTGGTCCCAAACTCCTGACCTTGTGATCCACCTGCCTCGGCCCCACAAAGTGCTGGGATTACAGGCATGAGCAACCATGCCCAGCTTTTCTAGGGTAATTTTATTAGAAAATAAATATGTACATGTAGCAAGGTAAAAGAAATAGAAATTATATGGCCAGGAGTGGTGGCTGATGCCCATAATCCCAGCACTTTGGGAGGATGATGTGGGTGGATCACGACCTCAGGATTTCGAGACCAGCTTGACCAGATGGTGAAACCCCATCTCTACTAAATATACAAAGATTAAAAAAAAGATATATATAAATTAGCTGGGCATGGTGGCTGGCACCTGTAATCCCAGCTACTCAGGAGCCTGAAGCAGGAGAATCGCTTGAACCAGGGCAGCAGAGGGCAGCAGTGAGCCAAGATCACACAACTGCACTCCAGCCTGGGTGACAGAGACTCCGTCTCAAAAAAAAAAAAGAACCTATAATAACAATTCTTCTGTTCATAAATATGCCTTCAGATGTAGACATCAGAAGTCTCAAAAATATAAAGAAAGTGGCCTAAATAAAGCCCAAGGTGTTGGACACATCTATGTATTGCACCAACCATATGATGCACAATTCAATTATTTATCCAGTTGCTAGTCTAGACTAAAAGCTTCTGGATTGTAGGAAAAAAGACTGCTGCATAGTTTTTTTTTAATGGCCATATAAAATGGAAGCAACTAGTTTATCCATTTGGGTCTCCAGATCTTTTCCTTCTTTACCATCCAAGTACTAGGAAACTGGAGAAACTCTCATCTGGGTACCAACCAAAGACACCTCTTGTATGAGGGGATGAAAAAACACAGGATGACTCATTTCCCTTACACTGAGACAGAAGCAGAATTAACCACTCTTATCAGCCTAACACAATTCTGCTCTGAACATCCTCAAATGCCTCAAAGACACCCAGGTGATTGTGAGGGAATTTCCAGTGACCCTGGGCTGATGGCCCAATGATAAGCCAGGCTAGAGAGACTCAGGCTGAAGACCAATGCAACAGAATAGAGAGCCCAGAAATAATGCCACCCTCCTATAACCATCAGATTTTTGACAAAGCTGACAAGGGAAATGTGGGAAGAATTCTCTCTTTAATAAATGGTGCTGGAATAACTACCTAGCACTATGTAGAAGACTGAAACTAGCTCACTTCATTACAGCATATACAAAAATCAACTGAAGATAAACACTTAAATGTAAGCTTAAAATTATAAGAAACACTGCATGAAAACCTAGGAAATACCATTCTAGACACAGAAACTGGCAAAGAATTCATGAGGAAGCTACCAAAAGCAACTGCAACAGAAGCAAAAATTGACAAATGGGACCTATTTAAACTAAAGCGCTTCTTCACAGCAAAGGAAACTATCAACAGAGGAAAAAGACAACCTACAGAATAAAAGAAAATTTTTGCAAACTTTGCCTCTGACAAAGGTCTAATATCCAGAATTTATTAGAAACTTAAACAAGTTTAAAAGACAAAACCAAACGACCTCATTAAAAAGTAGGCAAAAAAGATGAACACTGCTTTTCAAAAGAAAATATACATGTGGCTAAGTACCTGAAAAAAATGCTCATCGCTAATCACGGGAGAAATTAAAAGAAAAACCACATGTGGCTAAGAAGTACTTGAAAAAAATGCTCATCACTAATCACTAGAGAAATTAAAAGAAAAACAACAACGAGATATCACTTCACACCAGTCAGAATGGCTATTTTCAAAAAGTCAAAAAATAATAGATGCTGGCAAGGTTGCAGAGAAAACGGAATGCTTATACTCTGCTGGTGGGAGTGTAAATAGTTTAACAACTGTAAAAAGCAGTGTGGCGGTTCCTCACAGAACTAACAACAGAATTATCATTTGACCCAGGGATCTCATAATTGGGTATATACCCAAAGAAACATAAATTATTATATTATAAAGACACATCCACATGCATGTTCACTGCAGCACTATTCACAATAGCAAAGATAAGGACAGGCCCTAAATACCTATCAGTGGTAGACTGGGTAAAGAAAATATGGTATGGTCAGATGCAGTGGTTCACGCCTGTAATCCCAGCACTTTGGGAGGCCGAGGCGGGTGGATCATGAGGTCAGGAGATCGAGACCATCCTGGCTAACAAGGTGAAACCCCGTCTCTACTAAAAATACAAAAAATTAGCCGGGCGCGGTGGCGGGCGCCTGTAGTCCCAGCTACTCGGGAGGCTGAGGCAGGAGAATGGCGTGAACCCGGGAAGCGGAGCTTGCAGTGAGCCGAGATTGCGCCACTGCAGTCCGCAGTCCGGCCTGGGCGACAGAGCGAGACTCCGTCTCAAAAAAAAAAAAAAAAAAAAAAAAATTGGCCAGGTGTGGTAATGCCCGCGTGTAGTCCAAGCTACTTGGGAACATGAGGTAGGAGAAAATTGCTTGAGCCAGGGAGGTTGAGGCTAAAGTAAACCAATATCATGCCATGGCACTCTAGCCTGGGCAATAAGGGAGACTCTGTCTCCAAAAATAAAATGAAATAAAAGATTTAGTCAAAATAAAATATGGTATATAAACCTCATGGAATACTCTGTGGCCATTAAAAAAAAAAATCATGTCCTTTGCAATAACGTCAATGAAGCTGGAGACCATCATTCTTAGAAAACAAATGCAGAGGCCTGGCGCAGTGGCTCATGCCTGTAATCCCACCACTTTGGGAGGCCAATGTAGGTTGATCACTTGAGGTCAGGAGTTCGAGACCAGCCTGCCCAACATGGAGAAAAGCCATCTCTACTAAAAATACAGAATTAGCTGGGTGTGGTGCCATGTGCCTGTAATCCCAGCTACTCAGGAGGCTGAGGCAGGAGAATCACTTGAAACTGGGAGACGGAGGTTGTGGTGAGCCGAGATCACACCATTGCACTCCAGCCTGGGCAACAAAAGTGAAACTCCGTCTCCAAAAAAAAAGAAAGAAAGAAAAAGAAAATACTGTAGAAACAGAAAACCAAATGCATGTTTTTATTTATAAGTAACAGCTAAATAATAAGAACACACAAACACAAAGAGGAGAACAACAGACGCTGCGGCCTAGTTGAGGGTGGAGGGTGGAAGACTAAGAGAATCAGAAAACATACCTGTTTGGTGCTATGCTTAATACCTCAGTGACAAAATAATCTGCACGCAAAACCCCCATGCACCAAAACAAACTCATGTGTACCCCAAAACAAAAATAAAAGCTAAAAGAAAAAATTAAATCCCTGGGTGGGAGAGATTGCAATGTAGGTGAGAGGACTGATTTTTGCTACAGATAGTTGTCCTGGTGCAGCTGTACTCTGATTTATTACTGTGTGCACGCAGACATATGAGATTATGAACAGCTGATTCAAAATGCTAGGTTGGTGGAGAAAACAGATTGCTGCTGCAGATTTAGTGTCTGGGGGTGGGGATACGCCAGGAGACTTGTAGAGACTTGTGGGTTCTTGGCAAGAAACACTAGGATCAAAAACGCCGTGGTGAAGGTCCTGAGGGTGGTGCCTACTCCTGGGAGGAGGGTGGACATGTCAATGTCTAGTGTGTGTGTTTGTGAGTGGGTGGGAATCCTGTGGTGGCAGCTGTGGGAAAAGGGGGTCTGTCATCAGAGCTCCTTTCTTCTAAGTTTTCAGTCCTCTGTCACCCTGGGAGAAGACCTGGAATCACAGGACAATGGGCAGTGTGACAGCCTGTGACCAGACAGCAGAGCTCCCATTCCCAAACACCTAGAGTTTTATTCCAGGCCAGACTTCTGTGATATCTTTTTCCTGGCACCAAATCTGTAGAGTTTGCTGAACATTAAACAATTCTCCAACACCAACTCATTGTCTAACATTTGAATTCTGACACCACCGAGAGTCAACACAGACCCTGATTCAGGGCTCAGTCCCACAACACTGTCCTCACTGCAGATGCCAATCACAAACCCCATGGGCTTATCTATGCTTCTGAGCTACTGTTTAAAAACTGGGGAGTCCCATAACCTCCCTGAAGTTCAATAATTTGGTAGAGCTACTCACAGAACTCAGCAAACCACTGCAGTGATGTTTAACAGTTTAATATATAAGATGCAGCCCAGGAAAAGCCAAATGGAAGAAATGCACAGAACGAATAAAAGAGATGGGGAAAGATGAAACACACAGATAATCCTGGAAAATATTTGTGATTAATAAAATTCTCCATCTTTTGTGTGCTCCAGGAACAGTTTATGGAAAGAAACACTGTTCCCATTATGACTTAGTGCTCTCTTTTCTTATCTATCACACAGGCACACACACACACTGCACATTTTCTCCTTTTTCTCATTAAAAAAATCAGCTGAATTTGTCTTCAGCGCTCAAAATATTTCTTCACTTTGTCACCCAGGCTGGAGTGCAGTGGAGCAATCTCAGCTCACTGCAACCTCTGCCTTCCAGGTTCAAGCAATTCTCCTGCCTCACCCTCCCAAGTAGCTGGGATTATAGGCACCCACCAACACACCTGGCTAATTTTTTTTTTTTTTTTTTGAAATGGAATTTCACTCTTGTTGCCCAGGCTAGAGTGCACTGGTGTGATCTCGGCTCACCACAAACTTTCAAGCCATTTCCCAGGATCAAGCCATTCTCCTGCCTCAGCCTCATGAGTAGCTGGGATTACAGGCATGCACCACAATACCTGATTTTTCTTTTTCTTTTTTTTTTTCTGTAGTAGAGATGGGGTTTCTCCATGTTGGTCAGGCTGGTCTCGAACTCCCGACCTCAGGTGATCTGCCCACCTCAGCCTCCCAATAATTTTTGTATTTTAGTAGAGACAGGATTTCACCATGTTGGCCAGGCTGGTCTTGAACACCTGACCTCAGGTGATCCGCCTGTCTCAGCCTCCCAAAGTGCTGGGTTTACAGGCATGAGCCACCACACTTAGCCTAAAATAAAATATCCCTTAATCGAACTCTTCTTAAGCTTATCTCCCTCCCTCAGGCTCCTGAACTTTGAGCTACCCTCAGTCTGAGTCAGCATACAACCCCATTTTATGTCCCTCCTAAGAACATGCTGATTTCAGGGTAAGACATCCTCTGATCTAAAATATGACTTTTTCACTCTCCGTTTGCCATTCACCTCCCACCTCCTTTCTAATCTTGTTTGCTCCTCCCTAAAAAAGAAAGCCCTTTTCTGCTTACATCTTTGCAAGCCATAAAGATCTTAAATTAGTTGGTATTTTCTGCTGTTGCAATTTTTTTTGGAATTCATTTTTTTAACATAAATTAATATTTTTTATTTTACAAAGTGTAGAAAGTGCCACAAAACATAACAACTTCATCATCAATAAGACCCTCTAAGTTTCCTTTCATCTTAACCTCAGCTGCATCTGCCTGTGGGGCCCCAGCTTTCCAGGGCTCTGTAGCTTCTCTCAGGATAAAGCCTCCTTCTATGGCTGGGGTGAGCAGGCTGGGACATGTGCAGGGGAGGCTCCCCAGAAAAAAACTGAGTCTTTAGTAACATCCTGTTGCAGGCTTAATATCAGCCTTAGCTTGGAGTCACTAGGTTCAAGCTTTGATTTCCATGTCAGAGTTATTCACTTGGTTTTTGAAACTAAGTGTTAGAAAAATCCAGGGAAATTACTCAAACACAGTGTTTACATAAGAAGGAAGTGCTTACTTTTTTTTTTTTTTTTTTTGAGACGGAGTCACCCTGTGGCCCAGGCTGGAGTTCAATGGCATGATCTTGGCTCACTGCAACCTCTGCCTCCCCGGTTCAAGACCTTCTTGTGCCTCAGCCTCCCATGTTGTTGGGAATACAGGCGTATGCCACCACACCCGGCTAATTTTTGTATTTTTAGTAGAGATGGGGTTTCATCATGTTGGGCAGGCTGGTCTCAAACTCCTGACCTCAAGTGATCCACTCACCTCGGCCTCCCAAAGTGCTGAGATGACAGGCGTGAGCCACTGCACCTGGCTAAGGTGCTTGCATGTGATACCTCCATAAGAAAAGTAAATATATCTACTTCTTTCAGAAAATATATGTATTATTTTATTATTTATCTTAAAAATAAGTAGGCCTGGTGCGGCAAATCATGCTTGTAATCCCAGCACTTTGGAGGGCCGAGGCAGGTAGATCACGATGTCAGAAGATCACGACCATTTTGGCCAACATGTTGAAACCCCCTCTCTACTTAAAATACAAAAGAATTAGCTGGGTGTGGTGGCACGTGCCTGTAATCCCAGCTACTCAGGAGGCTGAGGCAGGAGAATTGCTTGAACCCAGGAGGTGGAGGCTGCAGTAAGCCGAGATCACGCCACTGCACTCCAACCTGTTGACAGAGCGAGACTCTGTTTCAAAAAAAAAGTAAATAAATAAAATAATGTAGTAAAAAATTAGTCATATGGGAACACTTCTAGAAGGTACCATGTTTCATCACATATAATTTAGCATTTAACTCAGAACTCAACAGGATATAGAACTGAGATATTCACTGTCACAAATTTCCCCTGCAAAAAGAGGAACTAATGTGTTGACGAATCTATGTAACTCATCAATTATCTACCACATTTTCCTGTGGAAATATATTCATTGTCTACAGCCAAAATGGAAGAGAGATTTTCCCTATTTTTTTCCTTGGTAACTAGCATTCCTGGCTAACATACTGAAACTCCATCTCTACTAAAAATACAAAAATTAGCTGGGCGTGGTGTCGCGTGCCCATAGCCCCAACTACTCCAGAGGCTGAAGCAGAAGAATGCTTGAACCTGAGAGGCGGAGGTTGCAGTGAGCCGAGATCTGACACTGCACTCCAGCTCTGGCGACAGAGCGAGACTCCGTCTCAAAAAAAAAAAAATAAAAATAATAAATTGAGGAACATGGGGTACACTTGAGGCCTTGCTTGAGACACATGTGGAAAATGCCAGGGAAAATCAGTCCGCTGTGGCGTGTGAAAATAATTAAGTGGCAGGCAATTAGACTGAAGAAGCTCTAGTCCCTGGATTTCTACCTCAAAAAAAAAAAAATCTAAGCTCATGTGCATTTTTTGGGAAATTACTACATTAGGGGAAACAAAATTCAGGCTTAAGCAACTATAAACTGCCAATTAAACTGTAATTACATAACCAGGAATTTTTTTTTTTTTTTTGAGACGGAGTCTCACTGTCGCGCAGGCTGGAGTGCAGTGGCAAGATCTCAGCTCACTGCAACATCCACCTCCGGAGTTCAAGCGATTCTCTCACTTCTGCCTCCCGAGAAGCTGTGATTACAGACATCTGTCATCACACCCAGCTAATTTTTGCATTTTTAGTAGACATGGGGTTTCCCCATTTGGGCCAGGCTTATCTTGAAGTCCTGACCTCAAGTTATCCGCCTGCCTCGGCCTCCCAAAGTGCTGGGATTACAGGCGTGAACGACTGCGCCCGGCCCCATAAATTTTGAATAGCAGAAAACAGAAACTGTGAACTCCACGGACCAAAGCTCTTCCCATTCATGAACCTGCACCCCGAGTCAGGATTCTCCCCTGACGACCCTCTGGTGGTCCCTGCACATTCTGGGAGAGACGGGAGGCTGCGGTTGCAGAGCTGCCCACGGAGCGCTCCAGGCCAGAGCAGTCACTACGCAGGGAAGACACAGGACGCCAGGGGGCCCGGCTGTCAGCGTAGCCGCCAAATTATGGCTGAACGGGACTGAGGCCGAGCTGGGCAAGGAGAACTCAGGGTGCAGATTGTGGAGCTGACTGCGCAGAGGCCTGAGTCCCGCCACAGCCACTTCCCACCGGTTCCAACCAGCCTATCCCCCTCTCTCGGGATGTCGGACCGGCACTCTCACCATTTCTAGGCTTCCAGGGGCTCCCGGGCGTCTTAGCTGTGGATCTCCCAATACCTGCAGGACACAGGGCCACAGAGGCTGGGCCTCTAGGAGCAGAGGACACACAGCAGTGAAGACAAGACCTGGAGCTCCGGCTGCAGAGACAAAGGCCCCGCAAAACCCGGAAGCCTTCCGCTTCACTCTGGCTGCGTGCCTGATTGGACGGCTTCCAGCCCAGCGTCCCTGATTGGATAATGCTTAAATCCCCGCCCCCTCAGGCCCTGAGTGACAGAAGATATGATCAGATGCTGGGTTAAGTGAACAAAGAGTGCCAGCCTAAGCAGCTGGCTTTTCAAACAGTGCTTCCTCCCTGAGCTGAGCCAGGCCCACCCCAGAGCATGGGAATATTTTATCTCTTGTTTACTCTCTTTCTTGTTGAATGTATTAAAAAGGTGAACAGAAGTATTTTGCTGTCATTAATAATACATAAAATTTTTGTTCAACAGAAAATCAACTTTTACTTTGGTAATGGTAAAATCTATTAAAGCTAATTTTAATAAAACCTTATAAATAAATCAAATTTGTCATTTTTGAGCACTCCAGATTTACATATATATTTTGTAATATCTCGTAATTTTAAAAAACTATTTATATTTTATTTTTGTCCACATTCTTTTTATTTTTTCAATTTGAAACAATCTTTAATTTCCAACAGCTATAGGAGATAGAAATCATTTAGAGGCAGGCACGGATAGTTCACGCTGGTAATTCCAACACTTTGGGAGGCCAAGGTGAGCAGATCACTTGAGGTCAGGAGTTCAAGACAAGCCTAGCCAACATGGTGAAACCCCATCTCTAATAATAACTAATAAATAATAATAATAACTAATAATATAAAAAGTTACCTGGGTGTGGGGGTGCACATCTGTAGTCCCAGCTACACCGGAGGCTGAGGCAGGAGAATCACTTGAAGCCAGGAGGCGGAGGTTGTGTAACAGCCCAAGGGGTTTATTTTACCCTTTGCCTAGACAGAGCCGATTCATCAAGACAGGGGAATTTGTGGAGGAAAAGTCACATATTAAATCTGAACTCAATTGAATGTGGACACAAACAATTGTCACCAAGTCCCAGAACAGGTTGTGTGAGCCCCTGAGGTGTTCATCCAGCGCTGTATTGAAGAAATCTCTATTTCAATCTATTCCTATATATTAGTTGTTGAAAAACAATAGACAATCACAAAAAAAGGTTGACCTTTTTGTGTTCCTTGAGGCAAGTCGTGAAGGGCTCTCATCACTGGGCCTTATGCCAAACAACTCGTTACAAAAGAGCTAAGGTCCCAGACCGCCCTGAAGCTTCATAAGACCTCTCCTTGTCTGTGTACGATGGACGGGTGGCTGACTCTAGAGCTGTGGCTGTTGCCTCCCTCTCTGGTGGTGAATCCCCCATAGTCTGGTGAGGGAAAATATATATATATATATATATATATATATATATATATCTTTTCCCATTTCCTCGTCTTATTAAGATTGGCTTATTACATCAATCTGCTTATTATATTTATTTGCTTATTATATCATTTGCTTATTATATTATTACTTTATTATGTCTGCATTGCCATTTACGTGGGATAAAAGTTGTTTACCCTTAATGGTATTGTGTGTGTGTCTTTGTTTCTCCCCTCTCACATTTGCCTCACAGAACATTTTTGGCATCACAAATAGGATTTGAAAACAAAAGTGTACCCCTTTTTGACTAGAAGGACAGGGCTGGAGGGCTCAGGGACTTCCCATATCCTGGGATGGGAACTCCCCCAGTTCTCCCTCTTGGTGATTAAATGGTCAAGGGGAACTGGTTTTTGTGGGAATTGGGAATCTAAATTAGTGCAGTTTAAACCTTTGACTGTGCGGGAAGTGCTGCGGGGGATTCCAGTCAGCAAAGGAGATGCTGAGGGATCTCCCGGAGTGGATGGTGTTTGCTTACTGCTTATAAGTTAATGTATCGTGATAGGGGCTGGTTGCTACAAGATAAATGTAAGCGGAAAAGGAAAATGCTAATCTGACTTCCAGACTGGCCCAATGCCAGTCAATGTCTTGACTGATAAAGCTCAAAGCTATCAGCCTATCGCTGAAAAAAGCAGCTGTCCAGGTGGCCCAGTCAGGATAAAACTGAAGAACTAGTCAGCCGGGGCTTCGAGCAGGTAAAAACCCAGTTCCTATTTCAAAAATGGGAAATTAACCCTAGTAAAATTCAAGGACCTGCACAAAGTATAAAATTCCTTGGCATTTTATGGAATGCAAATAAATAGTCCATTTTACCAAAGGCTAAGGCTAAAATACTAGATTTTGCAACCCCTACCACTAATGTACTGGCTTGTTTGGTTTCTGGAGACATCATATTCCCCACTTGGGTAACATTTTACAACCTCTGCATGCAGCCACTAGAAAACGCTATGACTTTCACTGGGGAGAGAAAGAGAGCATGGCCTTTGAACAAGCTAAACAAGCAGTGCAACTGGCCCTGGATCTATGGCCCATACGGGATGGGCCAGTAGAACTGCAAGTAACTGTCCTAGATCAATATGCTAATTGGAGCCTTGGGCAGAAACAAGATGGGAAGAGGGTACTTTTCGGGATTTGGACCCAGAAACCACCAGAGGGAGGAAAAGCTTATACCTCTTTCAAGAAGCAACTGTTAGCTTGCTATTGAGCTTTGCTGGAAATAGAACACCTATGCTTCAACCATGATGTTTTTATGAGACCTGAAATTCCTATTATGACTTGAGACATGAGTTCCCCCAAAACCCACCAGATAGGGCACACCCAAGAAAGTAGCATCATATAATGGAAATGGCACATACAAAACCAGCCTAAGCCAAAACCAAAGAGGGTATCACTTTCACATGAGGATGGACAAAACTTGCCAGCTCAGGAAACACTGAACGAGTCCTGCAGATAGAGAGGTAAACACCCCCCTCCCCAACCGCCCATCAAATGGGATCAGAAACATACTTGGTTTACTGATGGACCCACCAAATACATTGGTGGGACCCAATGCTGGAAGGCTGTGGCTTATAATCCTCTTAAATACATAAGCATTTCTGATGAAGGAAGGAGTGGGAGCATTCAGTTAGCTGAACTGGCAGCCATCCTCTGAGCTATTCAGGAGGAGACCAGAGGGATTTGTCACTTGTATACGAACTCTTGCTCAGTAGCAAATGGTCTTACCACATGGATGCCCCAGTGGCAATGAAACAAATGGCTAATTGGGAATAAAGAGGTTTGGCGAGAACAATGCTGGTAAGGTATCTGAATCCTGGTGCACAACACATACCACTGTGTTCCATATTGTTTGTTGTTGTTGTTGGTTTTTTCCTAGCCCTGTCACCAAACTGAAGTGCAGTGGTGCAATCTCAGCTCACTACAACCTCTACCGCCCGAGTTCATGCCATTCTCCTGCCTCAGCCTACCAAGTAGCTGGGATTACAGGCACGGGCTGCCACGCCCAGCTAATTTTTTTTTTTTTTTAGACTCAGTCTCACTCTGTCGCTAGAATGGAGTGCAGTGGCGTGATCTGGGCTCACCGCAACATCCACGTCCCACGTTCAAGTGATTCTCCTGACTCAGCCTCCCGAGTAGCTGGGAATACAGGTGCGCACCACCATGCCCAGCTAATTTTTGTATTTTTAGTAAAGACGGGGTTCATCATGTTGGCCAGGATGGTCTCAATCTCTTGACCTCATGATCCACCCACCTCTGCCTCCCAAAGTGCTGGGATTACAGGCATGAACCACTGTGCCCGGCCCTGTTTTCCATGTTGATGTTCATGCATCTCTGCTTTCTCTTGACAGACTATTTAATCAGCAGGAAGATCAACAGGCAAAAATTTCCACCATAACTGCGATCTTGAATGTGGGTAAATGGATTACAACATGTTCAAGCCTTGCAATGAGAGGCATTATAGTGTATGGTGGTATAACTGATAGGGATTACCAGGGAGAGTTAAAGGTCATTTTATACAATAACACTCCAGATTCTTTTGCTATAAAACCACAGATGCTTGTTGCTCAATTGTTAGTGGTACCTTGTGAACAATTAACCCCTGAGGAAATCTTTGTCCAACAGAGTCTACATACAGAACTGGGGGATTCAGATCCCCTGGTACAGGTAGCTTAAATCCTGGAGTCAAAATATGGGTACGGCGTCCCTCAGATCCCAACCCTAAGGCTAGTGACCTTGTAGCTATGAAAGCAGAAAAGGAAGGCATAGTACAATTTCCTAAAGATGAAAAACAATATCATTTCCCCTCTGTTTTTGTTATTACAGGGAATAACCTATCTACTAATGGTCAGCACCTGTGTCTTTGTGTCTGAGGCCAAGAATAAATTCATCAACTTTTTAGCCACCGCTGCAACAGAAGCCAACCACAATCAATGTTGGCTATACGTCGAGTTGCAGGAGGATGCCAAAAATGGCTACCTTGGAGAATCATCCCTGACAACATTTCTGAATGGCTATATTGTTACCAATGGGCCACAACAACAACACTTGCAATCCAACCTGGGCTTCCTTTGACCACACTAAGCGATCTATCTTTGCCAAGTCAGACAAAAGGCGAACTCCTCCCTCACCTTGCATCAAAAGCCTTGGTATTCTGCCCAATATTCCTGGAATGGTATATACTACAAACCTGCTGTGCTGGTGGCTGGATTCCATACAACCTCTGCTTTGTCTGGAGGCCTTAAATGGATCCTCTAATGTTACTCTGGGGTTTCTCCAGTCACGTGTCAACACATACTCCAAATCAACAACATTATGCCCAATGAAACACAATCTCTTTCCTATGTTAATAAGAGATTAGTACACTATGATTACAGTAGCTCCATTGCTGTCCCCTGGGGGGCCCTCTGGGTATGCAGATCCTATGGGTGGCGATACGTGCCCCTACTTTGGATGGGGAGATGCACTTGGGGGTGGACATTAATTCCATTCACTATCCGGGAAAATACTCCCCTCTCCAGTAATCTAGATGCTTAGAAACATTGCTAGTTACAAATGTGCTGGACTCCCTGGTGGTGGTACCCTATCACAGTATTCTCCCCTGCCACTGGTACAATCTTGCTTCACCAACAAATTATAATACTTAGCTTACCTGTAGAAAATGCTCTTAATGCTAGTAGCACTCGACTTATGTTGTTACCAGATGAATTTGCTCAGCTGCATACTGTTGTGTTGCAAAATCAAATGGCATTAGATATGCTTACCACAGCCCAAGGAGGGGTTTGCGCCTTACTGCATACTGGATGTTGTGTGTATATTCCTGGCAAGTCTCACAATATTACTCTGTTTGCAATGCCATGTTGGGTCTAATTTTTATTAATTGTGCTTCTAATTCTCCTGTGCTTACCCTGTATCTGTAATCTATATCAACTATACCTTCCCGATGTATCTGTGAGGGTATTTTAATACAATTGAGTATCCAATTGAGGCCGAATGTAGTGGAAAAGTTAAATATTAAATTTGAACTCAATTGAATGTGGACACAAACAATGGTCACCAAGTCTCAGAACAGATTATGTGAGCCCCTTTAGGCATTCATCCGGCGCTGTTTCAGAGAAATTTCTACTTCAATCTATTCCTATACATTAGTTATTGAAAAACAATAGCCAATCACAAAAACAGGTTAACCTTTTTACAGGTGTGAGCCACCATGCCTGGCCTTGGATGGGGTTTTTGTGGTTACTTTTTTGTTGTTGATGCTGTTGTTCCTTTCTGTTTGTTTTTCTTTCAATGGTCAGGTCTGTCTTCTGTAGGGCTGCTGCAGTTTGCTGGGGGTTCACTTCAGGCCCTATTCATCCGGTTCACTCCCGTGCCTGGAGATGTCACTCAAGGAGGTTGGAGAACAGCAAAGAAGAGTCTGCTCCTTCCTCTGTGATCTCTGACCTCAAGAGGCACCAACCTGATGCCAGTAGGATCACTCCTGTATAGGGTGTCTGACAACCCCTGTTGAAGTGTCACCAGTTGGGTGGCATGGGGAGCAGAACCCATTTAATGAAGCACTTTGACTGTTCCTTGGTGGAGGGGGGTGTTTTGCTGGGGGGAAACCCACTCATCTGGGCTGCTCGAATTCCTCAGAACTAGCAGGAGGAAAGGCTAAGTCTGCTGGTCCACAGAGACTGCAGCCTCCCCTCCCCCTAGGGGCTCAGGCCCAGGGAGATCAGAGTTATGTCCCTGAGCCCCTGGCTGGAGATGTTGGAGTTCCTGCAGGGAGGCCCTGACCAGTGAGGAGAGATGGGTCAGGGTCAGGCCTGAAGAGACATTCTGGCCACAGTCTGCCACAGCCCATGTGTTGGGCTGTGGGGGACACCTCTTGAGACCAAGCTGTCCAGTTTTCCTGGATCTAGCAGAGGAAAAGTGAGGCCAGGAGCTATAGAGATGGCTGCTTCCCTTTCCCCATCCAGGGACCTTAGCCTGTTAGGCAGTTTCGAGTCCCAGTGCTGGCTGCTGTCCCTCCCTCAAGGAGCTCAAACAGCTTAGACAGCAGCCAACTGCAACGGTGGTGCTGGTCTCCCCCACCGTGGGAACTCGGCAGGCTTAAGCAGATTCTACCTGACAGGCTGTTCATAATCTGCTCAGCTCCAGGGCTGTGTCAGGCATAATAAGTTCCTCTTCAAAGGGTAACTTCCTTGTTGTTTGTTCTCAAAATCAACTTCCTTATACCTTCCCGCTCCTAGCTACCTGCTATGTAAACATCTCTTCTCCCCAGTCGCAATCCGTAATCCACATCTCTTCCTTATTTGGAAGAAGTCCTCCTCACTCCTAGTTACCTGCTCTGTAAACAACCTTCCTGCCAGTCTCGATTTAAAATAGCCGTCGAGTTAGCTCCAGCCAATGGGGGCAGCACGCAGAAGTAGGGACTGTGTTAGGGATAAAAACTCCTTCCCTCCCTTGTATGCTGTGCTCTCACAACAGCCAGAGACATGACTGGCACCCTTCTGCAGAAGTAAATTTGCCTTGCCTTGCCTTGCTGAGAAATTCCTTGTTTTCTTTGCGACTCTGAGCTCTTGTTTCCAACAGTTGGGACCTTAGGCTCCAGTGGCGTGGGTTCATGAGTGGAATCTTCTAATCTGTGGGTTGCATAGTTCCATGGAAAAAGCACAGTTTCCCAGGATGGGTAGCAGGCTCACTCACCGCCTCCCTTGGCTATTGGGCAAGGGCTCCCCAGGCCCATGTGGGTGTCAGGTGGGCTGCCACACCACACTGCTCTTCCTCTCCATGGATCACGCCATCCACCTAGTCAGTTCTGATGAGAGGACCTGGATACCTCAGGTTATGGTGCAGGATTCACATACTATTATGGTTCTTTTCTATGGGATGCTGCTTCTAGTCAGCCATCTTGGCCCTGCCACCACCAATTTTTCTTTGAAAGGCTAATAGAATTCAGCTGTGAATCCACCTGGTTCTGAACATTTTTTTTGGTTGGCAATTTTTTGAAATTATTTCAATCTCACTTCTTGTTATTAGTCTGTTCAGAGTTGTTGTTTTTTAACCTAGGAGGGTTGTACATTTCCAGGAATTTATTCATCTCCTTTAGGTTTTCTAATTTGTGCACATAAAGGTGTTCACAGTAGCCCTGAATGATCTTTTGTATTTCTCTGGCATTGGTTGCAATATCTTCTGTTTCATTTCTAATTGAGCTTATTTGGATCTTATCTCTTCTTGGTTAATGCTGTTAATGGTCTATCAATTTTGTGTATCTTTTCTAAGAGCCAGCTTTTCATTGCATTTATCATTTGGATTTTTTGTTGTTGTTGTTGTTTCAGTTTCATTTAGCTCTGCTCTGATCTTTGTTATTTCTTTTCTTCTGCTGGGTTTGGGTTTTCTTGTTTCTCTAGTTCCTTGAGGTGTTATCTTACATTGTCAGCTTATGCTCTTTCAGACTTTTTCACAGAGGAATTTGATGCTATGAACTTTCCTTTCAGCACCACTTCTACTGTATCCCAGACATTTTGATCGGTTGTGCCATTATTAATGTTCAGTTCAAAGAATTTTTAAATTTTAATCTTGATTTCATCCAATGATCATTCAGAAACAGATTGATCATAAATTTAATTTTTTGTTTAATTTCCTTGTATTTATTTAATTTCTAAAATGTATTTAATTTTCATATATTTGCATGGTTTTGATAGTTCATTTAGAGTTGATTTTCAATTTTATTCCACTGCAGTCTGAGAGTAGTTGATATAATTTGCATTGTCTTAAATTTATTGTGACTTGTTTTGTGGCCTATCATGTGTCTATCTTGGAGAATGTTCCATGTGCTGATGAATAAATTGTATATTCTGCAGGTGTTGGGTAGAATGTTCTGTAAATATTTGTCAAGTCCATTTGTTCTAGAGTATAGTTTAAGGCCACCGTGTTTTTTTGTTTTTATTGTTGACTTTGTCTTGATGACTTGTCTAGTGCTGTCAGTAGAGTATTGAAGTTCCCCATTATTATTGTGTTGCCATTTATCTCGTTTCCTAGGTCTTGCAGTAATTGCTTTATGAATTTGGGAGCTCCAGTGTTAGGTGCATATATATTTAGGATTGTTACATTTTCCTGTTGACTAGTACTTTTATCATTATATAATGTCCCTCTTTGTGTTTTTTATTTTTTACCTGTTTTTGCTTTAAAGCCTGTTTTGTCTGATGTAAGAATGGCTACTACTGCTTGCTTTTGGGGTACATTTGCATGGACTATCTTTTTCCAAACCTTTACCTTAAGTTTATGTGAGTCCTTATGTGTCGGTTGAGTCTCTTGAAGACAGCAGATATTTTGTGGGTAAACTCTTATCTATTCTGCCATTCTGTATGTTTTAAGTGGACCATTTAGGCCATTTACATTCAATGTTAGTATTGAGGTGAGAAGGACTATTCTATTCATTGTGCCAGTAGTTTCCTGAATACCTTTTATATTGTGTTATTGTTTTATAGGCCTTGTGAGATTTATGCCTTAAGGAGGTTCTATTTCAGTGTATTTTGAGGTTTTGTTTCAAGACATAGAACCCTTTTTATCAGTTCTTATAGTGGCGGCTTGTTAGTAGTGAATTCTCTCAGTATTTGTTTGTCTGGAAAAGACTGTATCTTTCCTTCATTTATGAAGCTTAGTTTCACTGAATACAAAATTTGGGCTGATACTTGTCTTGTTTAAGGAGGCTAAACATAGGACCCCAATCCCTTCTAGCTTGTAGGGATTCTGTTGAGAAATCTGCTGATAATCTGATATGTTTTTCTTTATAGGTTACTTGAGGCTTTTGTCTCACAGCTCTTAAAAATCTTTCCTTTATATTGACTTCAGATAACCTGATGACTGTGTGCCTAGGTGATGATCTTCTTGTGATGAATTTCCTTGGTGTTCTTTGAACTTCTTGTATTTGGATGTCTAGATCTCTAGCAAGTCCAGGACAGTTTTCCTCAATTACTTCCTCAAATAAGTTTTCCAAACATTTAGGTTTCACTTCTTCCCTGGGAACACCAATTATTCTTAGGTTAGGTTGTTTCCATAATTCCAAGCTTCTTGGAGGTTTGGTTCATTTTTTAAATTCTTTTTTGTCTTCGTTAGATTGGGTTAATTCAAAAGCCTTGTCTTTGAGCTCTGAAGTTCTTTCTTTTACTTGTTTGGATCTATTTTTGTAATTTTCTACTATGTTTTGCATTTCTCTAAGTGTGCCTTTCATTTCCAGAAGTTGTGATTTTTTTTTTATTTATGCTATCTATTTCTCTGGTAATTGTTTTCGTCCATATCCTGTATTTAAAAAAAATTCTTTCAGTTAGTATTTATCTTTCTCTGGTGCCTCTTTAAGTGGCTTAATAATGGACCTTGTGAATTCTTTTTCTGGCAATTCAGAGATTTCTTCTTGGTTTGCATCCATTGCTAGGGAGCTAGTATGGTCTTTCAAAGGTGTTAAAAAATCCTTGCTTTGTTGTTACCAGATTGTTTTTTTGGTTCCTTCTCATTTGGGTTTTCTATGTCAGAGGAAAGATCTGAGGCTCAAGGGGTGCTGTTCAGATTCTTTTGTTTCATGGGGTATTCCCTTGATGTGATGGTCTCCCCTTTTCCCTTGGGATGGGGCTTCTTGAGAGCCAGAGTGCAGGGATTGTTATTGCTCTTCTGGGTTTAACCACCCAGTGGAGCTACTGGTCTCTGGGCTGGTACTGGGGAGTGTCTGCAAAGAGTCCTGTGATGTGATCTGTCTTCAGGTTTCTCAGCCATGGATTCTACCACCTGCTCTGGTAGAAGCAGCAGGGGAGTAAAGTGGACTTTGTGAGGGTCGTTGGTTGTAGTTCTGTTTAGTGCACTGGTTTTTTTTTTTTTTTCTTTTGAATGCTAGTTGTTCTAGCAGTGAAGTTGTCACGTGGAAAGACTGAGGAGGACTTCTGGTTAGCCAGGATGTTACAGGTGATGGAATTAGCTGTTGTTTTCTCCTTTATTGGAGTGGGGATTTTTTGTTTGTTTGTTTGTTTGTTTGTTTTTTGAGACAGAGTTTTGCTCTTGTTGCCCAGGCTGGAGTGCAATGGTGTGATCTCGGCTCACCACAATCTCTGCCTCCCAGGTTCAACGGATTCTCGTGCCTCAGCCTCTTAAGAAGCTGAGATTACAGGCATGCAAGACCAGGCCTGTCCAATTTTGTATTTTTAGTAGAAACTGGATGCAGTTTCTCTATGTTGGTCAGGGGGGTCTGGAACTCCTGACCTCACGTGATCCGCCTGCCTCAGCCTCCCAAAATGCTGGGATTACAGGTGTGAGCCACACCACCTGGATGGGGTTGTTCTTTGATGAGTTGCTGCAATGGCTTGAGTTGGTTGACCTCCAACCTGGAGGTGGGATTTTCAATAGAGCATCAGCTGTCGTAGTATGGGGGGGATGCAAGCTTGCCATCAGGTCACCTGGATAAGTATTCAGGTTTCTCAGGCAATGGGTGGGAACATAGAGCTCCCAAGAGAGTATGTCTTTTGTCTTCAGCTACCAGGGTGGGTAGAGTAAGACCATCAGGTGAGGGCAGGGTTAGACATGTCTGAGCTCAGACTCTCCTTGGGTGGGGCTTGCTGCAGCTGCTGTGGGGTTGGGAGTATGGTTCTCAGGCCAATGGAGTTATGTTTCCAGGGGGATTATGGCTGCCTCTGCTGTATCATACAGGTCAGGATGGAAGTGAAGGAAAGCCAGCAGTGACAGGCCTCACTCAGCTCCCATGAAGCCAGCAAGGCCAGTTTCACTCACACCCTACCCACCAACAGCACCAAGTTTATAACCAGTCCGTGAGCAGTACTGAGATCTTGCCCCAGGCTATAAGCCTCCCCATTGAGAAAGCAACCTGGGCTTTCAGGCCCCACCCCTCACCACCTGCCATGGCTTCTGTGCCCATATCTGTGCTTCCCATTCACTGTCCCCGTGCCAATTTTGCCAAGGAACATTGACACTAGGTCAAAATTCTTACAGAATTTAGCTGGAAGTTTCCTTCTCCCTGTGGCCCTTCCCCAATTCCACTGGCAGCCTGTCCCAAGGACCACTGTGAGATAAAGTCAGAAACGGCTTCCCTGAGGACCAAGAGTGCCTATTGGGCTATTCCCACTGCTTCTTCTGCTTTCATATTTTGCTTGGCTCTCTAAGTTCATTTCAGCCCTAGGTGAGGCTAAATCCTTCTCTGGTAATCTGGATTTTCAGGTTTTGAGTATGTGTGTTTAGAGGTGAATGTTCCATCTCTTACACTTTTGGCACTTGCTATTTTTCAGTCATCTCGCAGAGGTTGCAGTGGCAAGCCACTTCTTTCAAAGAGTCTGTGCATTCTTTTGGTTTTCCTGGTATGTTCCTATGGTAGTTCTTGGAGCAAAAGTTCATGATGAAAGTCTCCACATGCTGTTCAGTCCATCCAAGTGGGAGATAGAAGGTAGTTCTGTCTCCTAGCCACCATTTGTTTTTCTTTTGCCTTCTGAGATAGAAATATTGATTGACTCTTCATCACAGATACAAAAAAAAAAAAAAAAGATCAGTGAGCATTCTTTCTTTATTGTTTTAAACAGCAATCTACTTTTTCTTCGGGCTACTGATTTAATTTCTCATTATACATTTATTTATTTATTTATCTGTTTCTTACTGCCTGTGCTCACCACTAGACCAGCTGCAAAAAATTCAACTACAGAAATATAAGGTAAGTATTTCATAAATGATTCTCATTAACTATAAATCCACAAAAATTTCATGTTCACATTCATCTGACTGGCCTCATTTGGCCTTCTACAGAATGTTTGAAGTTTGATTAAAAATAATCTACTGATAAATATTTATTGATAGAACACTGAAAGGTGAAGTCTACTGGTGAAAACATTGTTCCTTCATTACCAGAAATGAAGTAGATACATTTATTTCTTGACTTACTATTATGCTTCATTAGTGTGTGTTTATTTTTATTCAGTACCATGCTATTTGCTTTCTGTAGCTGTTTTTTGAGACAGATTTCACTCTGTTGCCCAGGGTGGAGTGCAGTGGCTTTATTGTGGCTCACTGCAGCCTCAACCTCACAGGATCTAGGGATCCTCCCACCTCAGCATCTCAAGTAGCAGAAACTATGGGTTTGTGCCATTACACTCTGCTAATTTTTGTATTTTTTGTAGAGATGGTGTTTTGTTATGTTGCTCAGGCTGGTCTAGAACTCCTGGGCTCAAGCAACCCAACTTGGCCTCCCATAGTGCCAGGATCACAGGTGTGAGCCACTGCACCTGGCCTTACTGTAGCTTTGTAATATATTCAGAGACTAGGTAGTGTAATGCCTATAGCTTTGTTGTTTTTCCTCACTATTGCTTAGGTTATTCTTGGTCTTTCATGAATTGATAAAGATTTGATAATTACTTTTTAAATTCTGAGAAAAATATAATTGGAATTTTTATAAGGATTGCATTAAATCTATAGATCACTTTGGGTAGTATGGACATTTTCACAATATTAATTCTTTCAATTCATGAGCATGGTGTATTTTTCAATTTTTTAGTGCCTTCAATTTATTTAATTAATGTTTTAAGAGTTTTTAGTGAACAGATCTTTTGCCTCTTTGAATAAATTTATTTCTGTGTATTTTATTCTTTTTGATGCTTTTGTAAATGAGATTACTAATCTCAATGCCTGTCTACACATCTATTCAAATTCAACAGATTTAGAGATGAAACCAAATACATGTGAAAATGCAGGAGAGGAAAGAAATTCAAAGTTTTATAGTTTTGTAAAATACAGGTGCCCAATTTAGCATCCTGTGTCATGCCCTGTGGTGACAAGCATCGCATTAAGCTTAAACTTAAGCTCAAATTGACTTCTTATTTGGGATAACCCAAAGATAGAGAAACTCATCATCCTGATTTTACACAGGTGGAGACTGCTGCTTAGAATAAATGAATATACAGAATCACATGGCTGGTACATGGTAACCTGGAACTTCTAGAACAAACCATCTGAGCCTGAACTTGAAATGAGCTGGGCAGCTTCTTACCATCTGTCTATGAATAGTCCAGAGATACCAGAGGGTGCCCTTTGAGCCTTTGGTGAATAGGTGAAAACTTCAAATGTTGATACTCAGGAGGAAGGAGTTAGATTGACCCAACACTTGATGGAACACTTATTTTTAACTTAATGCAGCCATAAAAGTGTTTATAACACTTGGGGCTTTGAGTTCTTCAATTAAGGAAGAATTTCTATAGAGTATACTTTTCCCTATAAAATGTATTTAGCCATTGATAACTCTATGTAGCTCTGTGAAATATGTGCTTATTAGACAGATCAGGTGTTTTGGCTATGAATAAGATGAATAATTGTGTTTGAAATAAAATATATTTATAAATAATTTTGATTCTGAATATTTAAAAACTATTAACTACTGTTTGAATAAGTCTTTGTCCAAAACATATATATATATACATTTTATAAAATATATAGAATATATGTATATATATAAAATACAAACATAGATAATCATATGTAATATAGATGGTAATATAACTGTACCTTCTGTGGCTATTATGAGCTTCACTGGTCACCAGCTCTAGGATATGGGGCATCAGGTACTCAAGAGTGGCAGCAAGAAACGTAAGCATGGAAGAGTCCAGGCACTGGGCACAGCAGATCTCCCACAAGAGGTGTCCAAACATATCATGGAGAATTGCAGCTCTGCTCTTGCTAAGAAGGTGAGTCTACTTTTATTTATTTATTTATTTTTAGACGAAGTCTTGCTCTGTCGCCCAGGTGGGAGTGCAGTGGTGCTATCTTGGCTCACTGCAAGCTTCACCTCCTGGGTTCTAGCGATTCTCCTGCCTAAGCCTCCCGAGTAGCTCGGACTACAGGTGTGTGCCGCCACTCTCAGCTAATTTTTTTGTATTTTTAGTATAGACGGGGTTTCACCATGTTGGCCAGGCTGGTCTCGATATCCTGACCTGGTGATCTGCCTGCCTCGGGCTCCCAAAGTGTTTGGATTACAGGCATGAGCCACTGCACCTGGCCTCTTTTTTTTTTTTTGTGACCGAGTTTCGCTCTTGTTGCCCAGGCTGGAATGCAATGGTGCGATCTTGGCTCACCTCAACATCCGCCTCCCAGGTTCAAGCGATTCTCCTGCCTCAGCCGCCCAAGTAGCTGGGTAGGCTGGTCTTGAACTCCCAACCTCAGGTGATCTGCCGGCCTCGGCCTCCCAACCTGCGGAGATTACAGGTGTAAGCCACCGCGCCCTGCTTTTTTTTTTTTTTTTTTTTAGACAGAATCTCACTCTGTCGCCCAGGCTGGAGTGATGTGGCACCAGCTCAGCTCACTCCAACCTCTGCCTCCTGGGTTCAAGTGATTCTCCTGGCTCAGTCTCCTGAGTAGCTGGGTAGCTGGGATTACAGGCGTGCGCCACCACACTCAGCTAATTTTTGTATTTTTAGTTGAGACGAGTTTTCACCATGTTGGTCAGGCTGGTCTAGGACTCTCAACCTCAGGTGATTCGCCTGCCTCCCAAAGTGCTGGGAATACAGGCATGAGCCACCGCACCCGGCTCACCAAGACCTTTAAATGCCACTGGTGTCAACTTGGCCATGATAAAGCCTGGGCCTAGAAATGCCCATGATTAAAATCTGGTCACTCTAATGACTGAACCCTCTTTTTAAAGAAACTGTAGCTATTCAGTTGACTTTTTGTTGTAGACAAAAATGTGTCATCAATAGAATATTTTGCCCTGTCTAGAGGACACCGCTACAGATTATCAGACTCTAGCCAGTACTCTTTGAGTGCTTTTACAACTTTTTGTAAGTTTTAGGTCACTGAAAGACATTCACAATGTCTTGTCCAGTAGAGTGTCAATTGTTTCTTCTCTTACAGTACAATAATATGAGTCTCCCTCCATTAACATATTTATTTAATTATTTCCAATTTATATTGCTTTTGCTGTACATTTGATTTTTTTTTTTTTTTTTGAGATGGAGTCTCTCCTTGTTACCCTGGTTGGAGTACAGTGGCACGATCTCAGCTCACTGCAACCTCCATCTCCTGGGTTCAAGTGATTCTTCTGCCTCAGCCTCCTGAGTAGCTGGGACAACAGGTGCCCACCACCACGCCTGGCTAATTTTTGTATTTTTAGTAGAGACCAGGTTTCACCATATTGGTCAGGGTGGTCTCGAACTCCTGACCTCGTGATCTGCCTGCCTTGGCCTCCCAAAGTTTTGGGATTACAGGCGTGAGCCACCGCGCCTGGCCATTTGACTCTTTTTTGTACTGGCTCTCATATCGGCTGATTCCTCAGATGTTAAATAAATATTTTAATATGTGTTCCCATCTTTATGAGTGTCACGAATTTATAATTTTTTTAAAATTATGTTTTAAGCACTTTTTATGTCACACTGATATGCCCAATGGATTTATCTACCAAAAGCATCCAAACTTCTATGACAGAGGGTTACACAGTTGAACCTGGGTGTTTTTATTTGAATATCTAGGTGACTAAAGCTTCAGTAGAACTTTGTGGACTCTGTTTTCATTTTAGTTTCAATTTTCCTTTCAGCTAACTTAGTGTTTCTGTGTTTTTCTGCTGCATTTAGAGCATATTACCTAGTCTTTACCATTGGCAACAGTGGCTTGAAGTTTGTTTATAAAATTATGTTTATCGAGATAAAATTCACATAATATCAAATTCAATATATTAATTATTTTCAGGTTTACACTTCAGTATCTTTTTGTGTATTCACAATGCTTTACAATCATTAGCAATAGGTAATTTTAGAACAGTGTAATTACCCAAAAAAGAAACCCCACACCCATCAAGCAGCCACTTTCAATTTTCCCCACTGGCCTCTGGCAAACATTAATCCACTTTCTGTTTCAAAGGATTTGCCTGTTTTGGGAATTTTATACAAATGGATTCAAAAAATACATGACCCTTTTTGTATAGCTTTTTCCATCAAGCGTAATGTCTTTAATATGTATCCATGTTGTGTGCCATATTGGCACATCATTCCTTTTTCTGGCGGAATACTATTGCCTTGTATACTACATCACATTTGTCTATCTAGTCCTCCATGGATAGGCATTTGCACTGCTCTCACCTTTTGGCCATAACAAATAATATTTCTACGGACACGCATATACTTGTTTTTGTGTGGACCTATTTTGATTTCCGTTGAGTATATACTCAGAAGTGGAATTGCTAAGCCATGTGGTAACTCTATGCTAACCTCAGGAGGAACTGCCAAAATGTTTTCCAAAACTGCTGCCTAATTTTGCCACTGCACCAGCACTGTATGAAGGTTTCAATTTCCCCACATCTTCACCCACACTGATCTGTCTTCTGAAATATACCTGTACCAGCAGGTGTGAGGTGATATATCACTGTGGTTTTGACTTGCATCTTTCTAGTGAATAAAGATGTTGTGCATCTTTTCATGTGCTCATTGGCCACTTGTACAGAATAAAAATCTTGGAGCCACTGGTCCAGATTATGAGTCTCAAACACATGTTACAAACAGATTTTTGATGCTGCACAAGAAATAGCACTCAGCAAGGCAAATTTACTTCTATAGAAGGGTTCACCTAGTAAATTAAGCAATGACAAGGGCGCATAGAACAAAGGAAGCAGGAGTTTTTATTATCTCCGGTGCAGCTTCTACCTGTGTCTTTCCCCTATTGCTTAGGTTTGGACCACACAGTCTAAACTAGTCCTGATTGGTTAAATACTTCAAACTTTTTAGATATGGTAATCATGTAAGGGAGGTAAGAGAGAATGGAGGTCCATTGGGGGGGAACTAGGAAAGCAACCTGTTCCCTAATAAGGAAAATAATGCAGATTGGGACTTAGATTGTAGCAAGTTCATGCATGTCTAGGCATAGTTAGGTAAGTTGGGGCACAGTTGAGGTAAGGAATAGTTGGAATTATAGAATAGAGAATGGGGAAACTGGATAAGCTATTTGAAGAGGGAACATAACTGTGTCAAACACAAACACCATGGAATGACGATAATGTTGTACATAGTAATCTGGTAATTCTGTTATTATCCAATGAAGAACAGTATCTTAAATCTTTTTTCTTTGTATTGTTTTTGCTGTCCAATTTGCCAATCACATGCATAGAAAAAATGGTATTTGTCAGTGTATTTCCTATCCAGGACAAGATGTTGGAGGACCCAATGTATTTGGGAGCTTGTAGTCTCAACTGTGCCCACCTGGAGTTCATGGGGCTGATAATGATGGCTGGAAGACACTCAAGAGGCAGATGGTGGTAATGTACACACCTCTGCCCACTCTGTGAACATAGAAAACATGTTTGCATGCACTATCACTGAGGAAATGCTTGAAATTAAAAGAAGTCATTGTCTGTGAAGCTGCTTTGGAGAATATGACCAAGATGTTGGCTATAGCCAGGTGCTTGAGAATCAAATCTGTGGACTTTAATATCCACCTGGTATAACAAAGTGGCAAAAAAATAAATTCCCCAATAATCCAACTGTTGTCTGAGAAAAGAAGATTATTCCTATTTCCAAATTCCTGGAGGCCATTCATTATTTTCCAATTACTAATATTTTTATTCGGAGTGAGAATATTCTGCATAGGCACATAAGGTCTGTTTTATTGTGGCAACTAAAAAGGATTATTGTTCACATACCACTGTTTTCAACTTATAATTTTGTTTTTAAATTCTACTTTTCTTTCACTAAGATGTTTTTCTATTATCTCTATATATACATATATATACACACACACATAAATTCATAAACACACACACATATATGTATATATAAATTATTTGCATTTAGCCTGTGCTTTTTAAAATAAATTCCAGTGGTTGACATCTAGCTCACATGTTGTCAGGCATTTTCCATTTTAGTAATTTAATTTTCATCTATATTATTTCATTGAAATACACTTGAATCAAATATGAAACTTTAATATGAAAGATTCCATTGGCTTTTCTTGCAAAAACCTTTAATATGAAAGATGCCATTGGCTTTGCTTTATTATTATAACTATATATAGTGTGATAACTTTATATATATATAGCATTATAAAACTACTATATTTGTGTGTTACATATAATTTTTACAACAACTCTATTAAGTGGTTTATTATTCTGATTTTACAGGTGAAGAGAGCTTAGACAAAAATAGAAAAAATGACATTTCCAAAATTACCTTCTTGTAGGAGGCAGTTTCAGGAGTTGAAGATGCTTTTAACTATTATGCTGTCTCAATATCAGATATATTTTTTTAAAAAATCCACGTATTTTAAAAACATTTCTGTATCTCTTGTTAGTTTTTTAAAGAATGTTTGTACATATTTATTTAAAATTGCAATATGAAATATTAAAATTTAAATATGATTGCATAATTTATTGGCAAATATCTATAATGATTCAAAGATTCAAGTAGAATATTAATGTTCTGATTTAGCATCATCTTAAGTGGAATTTATCGAATGCAAAAATTATTTCCTCTTGGAATTAAAACAGAAGATTTTTTCAACTTAACCAAGAAGGAGACATAATGGAATGGCTATTAAGAAAAGGAGCTTGAGGCTGGGCACTGTGGCTCACACCTGTAATCCCAGAACTTTGGGAGGCTGAGGTGGGTGGATCACCTGAGGTCAGGAGTTCAAGACCAGCCTGGCCACCAGGCAAAAACCTTGTCTCTACTAAAAATACAAAAATTGGGCCAGGTGTGGTGGCTCACGCCTGTATTCCCAGTACTTTGGGAGCCCGAGGCAGGCAGATCACAAGGTCAGGAGTTCGAGACCATCCTGGTTAGTATGGTGAAACCTGGTCTCTATTAAAAATACAACAATTAGCCGGGCATGGTGGCATGCACTTATAATCCCAGGTACTCCGGAGGCTATGGCAGGAAAATTGCTGGAAGCTGGGATGCAGAGGTTGCAGTGAGCCAAGATCAGGCCGCTGCACCTCAGCCTGGGCAACAAGAGCAAAACTCCGTCTAAGAAAATAATATATCTCTCTCTATATATATTTATATCTATCTATATCTATATATTTATATCTATCTATATCTATATTTATATCTATCTATATCTATATTTATATCTATATCTATATATTTATATATCTATATCTATATATGTTTATATACGTATATCTATATATTTATATGTATCTATAGCTGTATATTTATATATCTATATCTATATATGCATATATCTATATCTATATATTTATATATCTATATCTATGTATATTTATATATATATCTATATATATTTATATATCTATATCTATATATTTATACATCTATATCTATATATATTTATATATCTATATCTATATATATTTATATATATCTACATATATCTATCTATATCTATATCTATATATATCTACCTATCAAGTACCATGCTCACTACTTGCCTGATGAAATAATGTGTACACCAAACCCCAGTGACATGCAATTTACCCATTTCACAAACCTGCACATGGACCCTTGATCCTAAAATAGAAATTGGAAGAAAACAGCACAAATAAAATAAGATTCAGAAATTGAGTATATAAAACAACAACGATTTTAAAAACAGCTTTCTTGCTTTTCTAAAATATGGATGTTAATAGATGATCTGGATCTTCAGCCCTCATCTTGGACCATGAAGAATGGAAAACGAATGTCAGGGGTGATGGAGCAGAGACATCCCTAAAGGCTTCCTGAAGCTGCCATGCTGGCCCAGGTATGCCTAACTCCCCAGTTTTTATGTGAAAAAAAAATAATTTACGTGTTTTAAGTCAGTATGAATAGATCTCAATTATTAATAGCTGAATAAAGGAAAATGAGCTGTTGAATATGAAAAAAAAAAGCGATATTTTGAAAAATTTGCTCCAGTTACAATTTACCAATAACAATTACAGCTCTTTGCCAGGTGTGGTGGCTCCCTCCTGTAATTTCAACACTTTGGGAAACCGAAGCGGGCAGATCACCTGAGGTCAGGAGTTTGAGACCAACCTGGCCAACATGGCAAAACACCGTCTCTACTGAAAACACAAAAATTAGTCAGGTGTGATGGTGCATGCCCGTAATCTCAGCTACTTGGGAGGCAGAGGCAGGAGCATAGCTTGAACCTGAAAGGTGGAGATTGCAATGAGCCGAGATCATGCCACTGCACTCCAGCCTGGGTGACAGAGTGGGACTCCATCTCAAAACAGAAACAAACAAACAAGAAAAACTGTTACAGCTCTCTAGTGTTCCCAGAGAAATGAAGGAGTTTGGAACAGGCTTTTCTCATCTATGATTTCTGAAGAAAGAAAGAGGCTCACATGGAGAGAGCAGAAAATGCTGAGTCTTATATACGAAGAACAGACAGTGAAGTCAGTGTGTCTTTCTGGGTTCTGCGCTTCCTTAAGATGATCCTCTGCTAAAAAGCAAACTTTTTGTGAATCTTCAAATTCCTGAGCAAAACTATTCTTTAATATTTAATCAGGAAATGTGATTATATAAAAAGCTGGAGGCCAGGCACGGTGGTTCACACTTGTAATCCTAGCACTTTGGGAGGCCGAGGCAGACGAATCACCTGAGGTCAGGAGTTCGAGAACAGCCTGACCAACATGGAGAAACCCCGTCTCTACTAAAAACACAAACAATTAGCTGAGCATGGTGGTGGATGCCTGTAATCCCAGTTACTTGGGAGGCTGAGGCAGGAGACTTGCTTGAACCCAGGAGGCGGATGCAGTGAGCGGAGATCACGCCATTGCATTCCAGCCTCGGCAACAAGAGCGAAACTCCATCTCAACAAAAAACAAAAACAAACACAAACAAAAAAAGCTTGAGTAGAATATGTGAAAGGTTACAGTGCAAATAAATAACTTTGAATTTAAATATTGATATAAACATAAACATATAAACATAAATGGGGCAAATATGTGCAATTTACAGAGATGTATCTCAAAGAGTTATTCTCACACAGAAAAACACCAACTTTATATACTTGAGAGATAAATTCTACTTATTAAATAGTTGATAAACTGATGCTATCTAGACTGTTCGAGAGTTTTAATGTAGTCAATCTTCCCGCTAATGTGTAAGTGTTCATAAGAGGGATATGAGAACTTTGCTTAAGAGTTCTCATATATGAGACACATATAGAATATTACAGACATATAGAACATATAAGTATAATGTAAAAATTTTAAATATTAGTAGCCATTGTGTCAGCGTACTAAAACATATAATTATATTATGATCCAGTGTACTTTATGCCAGAAATGGAAGTGAGATTTACCATTTGGAAATCCACTAACAAATTAGTCAAATAATTGAAACCAATAGAATGTCATGTTTCATGTTCATAGATATAAATAAAGACATTACCAGAATTCTACAGAAAAGTTTATATATATTTATATATATACTTAAGATATATATATATATATATTTTTTTTTTTTTTTTGAGATGGAGTCTCACTCTGTTGCCCAGGCTGGAGTGCAGTGGTGTGATCTTGGCTCACTGCAACCTTTGCCTCCCAGGTTCAAGCAATTATTCTGCCTCAGCCTCCTGTATAGCTGGGACTACAGATGTGTGCCACCACACCCAGCTAATTTTTGTATTTTTAGTAGAGACAGGGTTTCACCATATTGGCCAGGTTTGTCTCGAACTCCTGACCTGGTGATCTGCCCACCTCAGCCTCCTAAAGTGCTGGGATTACAGGCATAAGCAACTGTGCCAGGCCTAGAAAATCATATTTTTAAAAAATTAGTAAGGATTTAGCATAAAGTATTTCTGAAAAATATGAATAACAGATTTGTACAAGTAAAAGTAGTGGCAATATATGTTTGAAAAGGATGATTCAACAGTATTGGATCAATGATCTTTTAATCAGTTTAAAAATTGAGTTTGAATGCAACAGAGACATCATCTTATTGTGTTCTGAAAATAGAAATTTTGCTGCAAAGAAGAATAAATGAATAAAGATATTCATAAAAAGCATAAAAAAAAAGTGGGCTGGGTGCAGTGGCTCACACCTGTAATTCCAGCACTTTGAGAGGCTGAGGTGGGTGGATCACCAATGGTCTGGAGTTGGATACCAGCTGACCAACATGGTGAAATCCCACCTCTACTAAAAATACAAAACATTAGCCGGGTGTGGTGGTGCATGCCTGTAATCCCAGCTACTTTCGAGGCTGAGGTAGGAGAATTGCTTGAACCCGGGAGGTGGAGTTTGCAGTAAGCCGAGATCTCACCATTGCACTCCAGCCTGGCCAAAAAGAGCAAAAAGTGTGTCTCAAAAAAAAGTAAAAATAAAAAAGAAAAGTGAAGTGACATCTTCTATGATGTGTTATAAGGAATTGAAAAGTTAAATAATGTAGTTTTAATTTATGAACAGATTTAGAGACCAATGGAATATAAAATTCAAAAATAGCATGAAATATATATGAAATGTAGTGTATAACAGATGCAGCAGTAGTGAAATTGATGTGAGGTCAATGTGTCTCCCTGGAGACTAAAGCCCACATATATGCAGTGAGGACCTTGTCTCCCAATGTTTTATTTTTGCACATCTGATGTTTTCACATGTGCAGGGAAGAGGTTTAATATTTGATTGTCTTTGGCTATGGTCTGATGGATCAGTCTCTCCTGACTCAATACACACTGTAACCTGTTCTCAGAGTTCACAGTATGTCTCTTGGTGAACGTAGGTGTTACTACTGTCTGCAAAGGTTGACCATCTACAACAGACACTCTTGCTCTGTTTGGGAATAGGTACTTATTGTTTCAGTAGTTATTTTCAGTTGGTAAATTTTCTGGGGGACTCCCCCATGCCCTTGTCCCACATGAGGTAATTCTCTTAAAGCAGTTCAGGAAGAACAACTTTGCGTAGACTCTGGAATGGGCTGCTTCAAAGTAGGATACTCCACATAACCTATATTCTAATATGCAACCAACAGAAGACAGTACACTTTTCCTTTTTCTTTTTTTTTAAAAAAAACTTTTGGAGAAGATAGGCAAGGCATGGTGACTCATGCCAATAATCCCAGGACTTTGGGAGGCCATGACAAGAGTATCACTTGAGGCCAGGAGTTTGAGATTAGGCTGGGCAACATAGGGAGACTTTGTCTCTATAAAAAAAAAAAAAAAGAAATTAATAGGGCATGTTGACATGCAACTATAGTCCCTCCTACTCAGGAGTCCAAGGCAGGAAGATCACCTGAGTTCTTCCTATGTAAATATTAAAGGTCCAGACTGTGAACAGATCTGAAGTGAGGCTACAGTGAGCTATAATCACACCACTGCACTCCAGCCTGAGTGACAAAGATCTTGTTTATAAAAAAAAAACTTGAAACAAATAAAGATTCTTTGTTATAACAAATAAAACTAATCTTAAGAGGATGTGCTATAATGTATATTAACAGATGTTTTGTGCCTATACTGAAACTTTTGTTTGTTTGTTTTTAAGACAGAATCTCACTCTGTCACCTAGGCTGGAGTGCAGTGGTGTGATCTCACCTCACTGCAACCTCTGCCTCCCAGGTTCAGCTGTAATCCCAGCCACTCAGGAGGCTGAGGCAGGAGAAATAACATGGTGAAAGTACCAATAAACATGGTGAAATACCACCTCTACTAAAAATACAAAAATTAGCCTGGCATGGTGGCATATGCCTGAAGTCCCAGCTTCTTGGGAGGCTGAGGCAGAGGGATCACTTGAACCCGGGAGGTGTAGGTTGCAGTGATCCAAGATTGCATTACTGAACTCCAGCCTGGGGGATGGAGTGAGGCTCTTGTCCTTAAAAAAAAAAAAAAAATACTTTAATGAAAGAAATCAGAAGGAGCAAAAAGTAGAAAGATACACCATGATCATGATGCAAATACTCCATATTGTTAAGATGTCAGTTCCTCCTAGCTTGATCTGTGATGCACTACAGCCTTAAACAAAATTCCATGAACTTCTTTTGGGGCTACTGAAAAACTGATTCTGAGGTTTATATATAGAGGCAAAAACCTACATGTAGAGGCAAAAGACCTAGAATAGCCAACACAATATTGTAGGAGAATAATAAAATTGGATGATTGAGACACTACTCAGCTTCAAGATTAAATATAAAGCTACAGTAATCAAGACAGTGTGATATTGGTAAAAGAATAGACAAATCAGTTGATGGAACGAATGCAGAGCCCAGAGGTAAGCCCATATTAATATACTGAATGAATCTTTGACAAAAGACTAAAGGCAATACAATGCAGCCAAGAGAATCCTTTCAACAAATGATGCTAAAACAACTGGACATCCACATACAAAAGCATGAATCACAAACATTACATCCTCACAAAAACTGACACAAATGGAACACAGACGTAAATTTAAAATGCAAAACTATAAAATTCCTAGAATGTAATTAGGAGAAAATCTAGATGACCCTGGATTTAGCAATTATAATTTAGATAAAATACCACCAGTTCATTTTCTGAAAGTAAAATATCGATGTCAAATTTACCAAAATTAAGCATTTTTGCTCTGTGAAAGACACTGTATAGAGAATGAAAAGAAAGACACAGTATGGAAGAAAATATTTGCAAAAGATATATCTGATAAGGATTGTTATCCAAAATATAGAAATAATTTTCAAACAACAATAAAACAAACGACCTGACTAAAAAATCAAAATAAAGAGTGAGCCGAAGACCTCAATCAACACCACACCTGAGGGCAGCAGGAATGAAATAACCACAGGTAAACCACTGCTTGCTAGTGTTGCCCACCTTTCTTTCAGAGAACAGACAGTGAACAAAGGATGATGGGGCCACAGAAGAAGTAAACTCTATGTCTTCAGATCTGTTCACAGTCTGGACCTTTAATATTTACATAGGAAGAAAATAAAGGCAAACTTATTTTGCTATTTGGCCTTGACCTTAAAGGCCAGGCTGTGGTTATCTGTTTTCTCCTGTGGTGTGGGAAACTGAGTGAATATAAGCACCAATCACATGCGTACATGTCCACATGTCCACATGTATTTCTGCATTTATTTTATTTATTTATTTATTTATTTATTTATTTATTTATTTACTTACTTACTTTTTGAGACGGAGTTTTGCTCTTGTTGGTCAGGCTGGAGTGCAATGGCATGATCTCAGCTCACAGCAACCTCCGCCTCCCGGGATCAAGAGATTCTCCTACCTTAGCCTCCTGAGGAGTAGCTGGGATTACAGATATGTGAAACCAGGCCCGGATAATTTTTTGTATTTTTAGTAGAGATAAGGTTTCTCCATGTTGGTCAGGCTGGTCTCAAACTCCGGATCTCAGGTGATCCACCCCACCTTGGCCTCCCAAAGTGCTGGGATTACAGGCAGGAGCGACCACACTCAGCAATACTTCTGCATTTCTCAACATTATCTTACAAGACATCTAACTTTAAATAGGGAAAAATATCAGTACTTTTACGGTGCTCAGCGTTAGAAGGTAACTGGTAATCAACCTGTCATTAAATCTTGGCATTCTATCTGCACTGGGTGCATGTATCAGTTAGCTATGCAGCATAACAAACCATCCAAAACTGATTAGCTCATAATTGAACTGCTCAGCCATTTACGCTGGACTCAGTGGGGCCATTCTTCTGTTCTCAGCTGAGCTCCTTCAGACATGTGTCACGAGCTGCTCATTGACTAGGAAGGCAGCTGTGCTTCTAGGGGTGAGCTTCTGCTTCTGGGGCTGTCAACAGGGGCACCTTGCTTCTCCTCCCCATGGTATCTTATCCTCCAGCTGGCTAATATAAGCTTGTTTCATGAAGATGGCAGCATTCTGAAAGAAAAACGGAAGCAGCCCCAGCATGGTGGCTCACACCTGTAATCCCAGAACTTTAGTAGGCCAAGGCAGATGGATCACCTTAGGTCAGGAATTTGAGACCAGCCTGGCCAACATGGTGAAACTCTGTCTCTACTAAAAATACAAAAATTAGCTGGGTGTGGTGACACATGCCTGTAGTCTCAGCTACTCGGGAGGCTGAGTCAGGAGAATTGCTTGAACCTGGGAGATGGAGGTTGCAGTGAGCCAAGATCACGCCACTACACTCCAGCCTTGGTGACAGAGAAAGACTCCTTCTCAAAAAAAGAGAAAAAAGAGAGAGAGAAAAGAAAAGAAAAACAGAAGTAGTCAAAACGGTTTGAATCTTGGCCCCAAACTAACACATTGTCATGTTCCCAGGTTTCTACTGCCCTGAGCAAGTAAGAACTGCCAGAGCAAGCGTTAGGAAAATAGATTCTGGATCTTGATGGGAATGGCTGTAAAAGCACCTGACAATGGACGTGAATACAGGAGGGATGAAAAATTGCTACCATATTTGCAGTCAGTATCCTTCTGCTGTTGTTTGTTTGTTTGTTTTGAGAGGGAGTCTTGCTGTGTTGCCAGGCTGGAGTGCAGTGGGGCTATTTTGGCTCACTGCAACCTCTGCCTCCCAGGTTCAAGCTATTCTTGTGCCTCAGCTTCTTGAGTAGCTGGGATTACAGGCCCACACCACCACACCCAGCGAATTTTTGTATTATTAGTAGAGATGGGGTTTCACCATGTTGGCCAGGGTGGTCTCTATCTCCTGAGCTCGTGATCCACCCGCCTCAGCTTCCCAAAGTTCTGGGGTTACAGGCGTGAGCCACTGCACCCAGCCCATTCTGCTTTTTCTGCATGTGTGGCCCACAGAACTCTTCCACATCAAGAAATTTTCCAAACACCCACAGCTACTAAATGGCTGGGCTGGGACTCAGGATCAACTCTGTCTGACTCCAAAGCCTATGTACCTCCATGGATCACAGTATTCAAGTAGCTGTCCTAGACTCTTAAAATCCTGGAGAGTGACACTTCAAAAATAGAAACCAGATTGCTTTTAGATTTGTGCCCACATAGTACTGTTTATTGTTGGGAATAATCTCAAGAAATTACTGAAGCACATGGTGGCTCACATCTGTAATCCTAACACTTTGCGAGGCTGAGATGGGAGAATCACTGAAGCTCAGGAGTTCAAGTGCAGCCTGGGCAACATAGTAAAATCCTGTCTCAATATAAAACAAATTTAAAAAGTTAACCAGGCATGATGATGCTCGGGTGTCTAGGGTAGGAGGATTGTTTAAGCCTGGAAGGTGGAGGTTGCATTGAGCCATGATTGATTACACCACTGCACTCCAGCCTGGGTGACAGAGTGAGACTCTGTCTCAAGCAAAACAAAACAAAAACAAAAAAGGAATTGCAAAAGCATTTTGAAAGAACATAGAATAACTTGGAAAAAATAGCTGACATAGCTGATATTGAATAACTTGGAAAACATAACTTATTTTAGATAATCAAAGCCCAACAACACATCACTTATTTTTTTATCATACAAAACATTTGAAAACTTTTAAAAGAAAAAAACTTCAGAGAAATTAAGTTTAACATAGTTTAATTGAGCAAAGAATAATTTGGAAATTAAGCAGCCTGTGGTCCCAAATAGCCTCAGAGAGACTCCAGCACAGCCACATGGAAAAAAAGATTTATGTACAGAAGAAGCAAAGTGACATTCAGAAAATAGAAGTGAGGTACAGAAACAGCCGGATTTATTACAGCTTGGGATTTGCCTTATTTGAATATGGTTTGACCAGTTGATGTTCTTTTATTAGCAAAAAGGTAGTGGTTGGTACAAGAATAAGTTACAATCTATTTACATATTCAGCTATGTTTTAGTTTACTATGTACAGAAAATCCTATTAACCAAAATTAAACAAAAGGGGTCAGCTTTAGGCTTTAATTAATTTAACAATATCTCCCTTTTGGTTATCTCCTCATTTTCAAGAAATAAACCAAAACTTTAGACATTGATATTACTTTGTCACCATTACAAATGTACTTATTTAGTCTCAAATTCTGCTATAAAATAGCAGAACTGTGGGTTTTGTAAAGTGAAAACAAGTACTTCAGGTTATTACTTTTTAAAAGGATTACAGTAGGGAAGACCTCCTTGTTTGAAATCTGCTGTTTACCAAAGAAAAACAAGACCTGGCCAGTTTTAGCATCTACCTAGTTCTTTAAATTTTCAGTTTGACTATGTCACATTTAGCATGAATGACTCCATTTTGGTTTGGTTTGGTCTGTTTGGGCCTAGTGAACAAGCTCAGTCCAGAATGATGGCCTCCAATAATTTTGTTTAAAAAATTTCCCCCTTTTGATTAAGTTTTCACATAGGTCAGAGTGTGACCAAAACTCAGGGTCTTAGTGTCACTCTCAGTTTCCATTATTTTTGGTTTCCGTTCTTATCAGGTCATTCATGGGTTATGGTGTTCTCATGGTCAAATACATTTTCTAGTTTTCATCATTCCAGTTAAAGAGAGACCACTTGACATTCTAGAGATGACTGCATGCAAAGATTTATAACTTTTGAGAGAATAGAGTGCAGTAGGGAGACTATTATTTTGACTATCAGGAAAATAATATCAAGAGTTAGAAGTATGCTTTTTTTTTTTGAGACGAAGTCTGTCTTGTCACCGAGGCTGGAGTGCAATGGCACAATCTTGGCTCACTGCAACCTCTGCCTCCTGGGTTCAGGTGATTCTCCTGCCTCAGCCACCGAAGTAGCTGGGATTATAGGCATGTGTCACCACACCTGGCTAATTTTTGTATTTTTAGTAGAGATGAGGTTTCACCATGTTGGCCAGGCTGGTCTCAAATTTCTGACCTCAAGTGATCCACCTGCCTCGGCTTCCCAAAGTGCTGGCATTACAGGTGTGAGACACCATGCCAGGCCTGAAGTATGCTTTTTAACCAAGGACCCCATGAACCAACCAATAGATCAAATAATTAGCTAGTTAAATGGTCTACTCATTTCAACCAGTCTGTTCATTAATTTCCTACAACTGAATCTCTGTAATACTCGATGTATTTCTCCATGTGCAACTACAAATACTAGCAACTGCACAGATACTTCTCTGTTTATCCAGTAAGTAAACTAGATAAATTCTTTTATTTAACACAACTTTAGTAAAAAAAAAAAAAGTCTTCCAATGACTTTTTATAAAGGTCAACACATTTTTTCCACTCTAAGTGCATCTATCATCAGTTGCAATTACAAAAGTAATCTAGTGAATTTAGTTAGCTTTGCTCAGTACTATTGTATCCGTAATGCCTTATTTAACAGTTTTACAATTTTTCTAGTGAAATAAGTATCTTTGTAATTGGAGACCTTTTCAAAAAGCTTTCATGAAGAAAAAAAAGTCTTAGTATCCTTTTAGCTACCGTTATAACATCAACCTTCTTGCATCAGAAAGCTTTTATACTACCAGAAAACATGCATTAAAAATGACAATTGCCAGGTGTGCAATTTTCTGTCCAGTGCTCACGTCTGTAATCCCAGTACTTTGGGAGGCTGAGGCATGAGGATCACCTGAGGGCAGGAGTTCGAGACCAGACTGACTAACATGGTAAAACCAAGTCTCTACTAAAAACACAAAATTTACCTGGGCATAGTGGCAGCCGACTGTAATCCTAGCTACATGGGAGGCTGCAGCAGGAGTTGCTTGAACCTGGAAGGCAGACGTTGCAGTGAGCCAAGATCGCGCCATTGCACTCCAGCCTGGGCAACAAGAGTGAAACTCAGTCTCAGAAAAAAAAAAAAAAAAAGCACACCTGTAATCCCAGTACTTTGGGAGGCCGAGGCAGATGGATCACAAGGTCAGGAGTTCGAGACCAGCCTGGCCAATATGGTGAAACCCCGTCTCTACTGAAAATACAAAAATTAGCTGGGCATGATGGCACGTGCTGTAGTCCCAGCTACTCGGGAGGCTGAGTTAGAAGAAACGCTTGAACCTGGGAGGCCAAGGTTGCAGTAAGCCGAGATCTTGCCACTGCACTCCAGCCTGGGCCACAGAGTGAGACTCTGTCTCAAAAAAAAAAAAAAAAAAAGACAATTTGTGTGTAAATGTTTAAATGATGGCCCTGAGGTAGCAGAAACTTACATAAACTTTTAATTATCTTCTGATAATTATAAGTTCGACAAAAAAAAAATCAGTCTTAAACTAGTATAGTAATTTAGAAGTCACTACACACACACACACACACATGCACATACACATTCAATTTATATTTATTATAGATTAATACAGATTACTTATCTTTTCTGTGATGAGTAGTGAAATGCAGAGTTTTTAATAATGGAAACTTCAAGAACTCAGGAATAGGAACCATATGCGGTGGCCCACGCCTGTAATCCCAGCACTTTGGGAGACTGAAGAAGGTGGATCATGAGGTCAGGAGTTCGAGACCAGCTTGGCCAACATGGTGAAACCCATTTCTACTAAAATTACAAAAATTAGTCTGGCATGGTCGTGGCCACCTGTCATCCCAGCTACTTGGGAGGCTGATGCAGGGGAATGGCTTGAACCTGGGAGGTGAAGGTTGGAGTGAGCCGAGATCATGCCATTGCACTCCAGCCTGGGTGACAAGAGTGAAACTCCGTCTCAAAAAAAAAAAAAAATTACTTTAATTAAAAAAAAAATAACTCAGGAAATATCAAGTGGCTGCCTATATTCTCCATGAGTCCACACTGAACATTAAGTTTATGTCTTCTTAAACACTAGGTTACTTTCCCCAATTTAGGTGCACAGCACTGATACCTGAGAGGTTATCATAGGTCATTTGACTTGGACCACAGAGTTGATTTAAAAAGCATATCTAAAACATTTCCGTACTGGCTGATGTAACTGAAAATGTGGCAGAGTACTTTTGTAATAGTCAATTAATTTTTGTCTTGTCTGGGCTCGCAGGTTTTTTTGTTTGTTTGTGTTTGTTTTTGTTTTTTGTTTTGTTTTGTTTTGTTTTCTTTTTGAGATGGAGTTTCTGTCTTGTTGCCTGGGCTGGAAATGTTGTGATCTCGGCTCACTGCAACCTCCACCTCACGGGTTCAAGCGAGATTGCGCCACTGCACTCCAGCCTGGGTGACACAGCAAGACTCCATCTCAAAAAATAAAAACAAAAATTTAAAAATAAAAGAAATTAAAAGCTAATTTTCACAAAACTTTATAAATAAATCCAACAAATATATCATTTTGACCACTCTAGATTTCCATACATAGTTTATAATCTCTTTTAATTACTTTTTTTGATAGGGAGTTTCACTCTTGTTGCCCAGGCTGGAGTGCAATGGCGCAATCTCGGCTCACTGCAACCTCTGCCTCCCGGGTTCAAGATATTCTCCTGCCTCAGCCTCCGGAGTAGCTGGGATTACAGGAATGTGCCACTATGTCCCGCTAATTTTGTATTTTTAGTAGAGATGGGTTTTCTCCATGTTAGTCAGGCTGGTCTCAAAATCCCGACCTCAGGTGATCCACCCGCCTCGGCCTCCCAAAATGCTGGGATTATAGGCGTGAGCCACCGCGCCCGGCCTTCTTTTAATTACTTTTTAAATTTTCTCTACTTTATTTTTTTCTACGTTCTTTTTATTTTCTCAATTTGAGACAACCTTTAAGTAATATCAAACTAGACAAAATATTTTTAACTTTCTTCATTGAAAGCATATTTTTGCTTTTGCTTGCACAATCTCTATGCAAAATTGTTTTTCTTAGATCCAGTAGTTTTAATTATATATATTAATTACATGAACTCTTTAAAACCTAATTTTTAGTGAAATCTCTAGTAAGTAATCTTGAACTGTTTGATATCAGTATTTGTAGACAACCATTTTATATTTTTAATAGAAGATGTTTTTTCAAATTCTCTGTTAACTAGCAGATCTAAATATGTTTAGCTTTTCTCTATCATATAAAAATAAGATTCTTGTTGGGGGTAGTGGCTGACGCTTGTAATCCCAGCATTTTGAAAGGCCAAGACACAAAGACTGCTTAAGCCCAGGAATTGGAGGCAAGCCTGGGCAACATGGCAAAACCCCATGTCTACAAAAAATACAAAATTAGCTCAGCATCGTTACCTGCACCTGTAGTACCAGCTACCCAGGAGGCTGAGGTAGGAGAATTGCCTGAGCCCAGGAGATCGAGAGTGCAATGAGCCGTGATGAAGTCACTTCACTCCATCCTGGATGACAGAGACCGTTTTTTAAAAAATTAAATGCCAAAGCATATAAACTTAATCTTATGGGACTTCGGGGGTGGGGGTTTGTTTTTATTATTCTCTCAACAGCTTTGTGGCTACAGGTGGTGTCTGACTGCATGAAAAAGTTTTTTACGGGTGATTGCAGAGATTTTAGGGCACCCATATCCCAAGCAGTGTACACAGTACCCAGTGTGTAGTCTTTTTTTTAATTTTTGTTTTTTGAGACAGAGTCTCGCTCTGTCTCCCAGGCTGGAGTGCAGTGGGCGGTCTCGGCTCACTGCAAGCTCCGCCTCCCGGGTTCACGCCATTCTCCTGCCTCAGCCTCCTGAATAGCTGGGACTACAGGTGCCCGCCACCACGCCTGGCTAATTTTTTTTTTTTTGTATTTTTAGTAGAGGTGGGGTTTCACCTTGTTAGCAAGGATGGTCTCGATCTCCTGACCTCATGATCTGCCCGCCTCGGCCTCCCAAAGTGCTGGGATTACAGGCGTGAGCCACAGGGCCTGGCACCAATGTGTAGTCTTTTATCCCTTTTCCCCGTACCGTTGTTTCCCAAGTCTCTAGAGTCCATTATATAATTTTTTTTTTTTTTTTGAGACTCAGTTTTGCTCCTGCTGCCTAGGCTGGAGTGCAATGGTGCGATCTTGCCTCACTGCAACCTCCACTTCCCGGGTTCAAGCGATTATCTTGCCTCAGCCTCCCAAGCAGCTGGGATTACAGGCATGTGCCACCATGCCTGGCTAACTTTGTATTTTTAGTAGAGACGGGGTTTCTCCATGTTGGTCAGGCTAGTCTTGAACTCCCCACCTCGGTGATCCACATGCCTCGGCCTCCCAAAGTGGTGGGATTATAGGCGTGAGCCACCCCACCCCACCCATTATATAATTCTTAAGCCTTTACATCTTCATAGCTTAGCATACATCCTCATAGCAATTTTGCAATGGCAAATTCTGCTGCTATAAACATGCATGTGCAAGTGTCTTTTTCATACAATGACTTATTTTTCTCTGTGTAGATACCCAGTAGGGGGATTGCTGGATCAAATGGAAGTTCTATCTTTAATTCATTTAGAAATCTCCAGACTGTTTTTGATAGTAGTTGTACTAGTTTATGTTCCCACCATCAGTGTAAAAGTGATCCCGTTGTACTACATCAATACCAACGTCTGTTATTTTTTGATTTTTTCATTATGGCCGTTCTTGCAGGAGTAAGATGATACCACATTGTGGTTTGTTTTTCAGTTCTCTGATCATTAGTGATGTTGAGTATTTTTTTAAAACGTTTTTTAACCATTTGTATGTCTTCTTTTGAGAACTGTTTACTCATGTGCTAAGCCCACTTCTTTATAGGATAGTTTGTTTTTTTCTTGCTGGTTTGTTTGAGTTTCTTGTAGAAACTTTGTCAGTCCTTTGTCAGATACATAGTTTGCGAATATTTTCTCCCACTTTGTGTGTTGTTTGTTTACTCTTCTGATTATTACTATTTTTTTCTGAGCAGAAGCTTTTTAGTTTAATTAAGTCACATTTATTGATCTTTGTTTTTGTTGCATTTGGTTTTGGGGTTTTCGTCATGAAATCTCTGCCTAAGCAAATGTCTAGAAGAGTTTTTGCTATATTATCTTGTATAGTTTCAAGTTTTCCATTTAAGTCTTTGATCCACTTTGGGTTGATTTTTGTATAAAGAGAGCAATGAAGATCCAGTTTTATTCTTCTAGATGTGGCTCGCTAATTATCTCAGCAGCATTTGTTGAATAGGGTGTCTTTTCCCTACTTCATGTTTTTGTTTAGTTTGTAGCAGATCAGTTGGCTGAAAGTATTTGGCTTTATTTCTTTATTCACTATTCTGTTCCATTGGTCTATTTGCCTATTTTTATACCAGTACCATGCTGCTTTGGTAACTATAGTCTTCTAGTATAGTTTGAAATCAGATAATGTGATGTCTCCAGATTTGTTCTTTTTGCTTAGTCTTGTTTTGGCTATGCAGGATCTTTTATTTTTCTGTATGAATTTTAGGATTGTTTTTTCTAATTCTGTGAGGAATGATGGTGGTATTTTGATGAGAACGGCATAAATTTGTAGATTGCTTCTGGCACTATGATCATTTTCACAATATTGACTCTACTCATCCATGAGCATGGGATGTGTTTCCATTTGTTTGTATCATCTTTGATTTCTTTCAGCATTGTTTTGTAGTACTCCTTGTAGAGGTCTTTCACCTCTTTGGTTAAGTATATTCCTAAGTATATTTTTTCTGCAGCTGGTATAAAGGGTTTGAGTTCTTGACTTGATTCTCAGCTCAGTCACTTGGTGTATAGCAGTGATATTGATTTGTGTACATTGATTTTGTATCCTGAAACTTTACTAAATTTATTTCTCAAATCTAGGAGCTTTTTGAATAAGTCTTTAGGGTATTCTAGGTATACAGTTATATCATCAACAAGCAGTGACAGTTTGACTTCCTCTTTACCAATTTGTATGCCCTTTATTCCTTTTTTTGTTTTTTTTTTTCGATGGAGTCTTGCTCTGTCACCAGTCTGGAGTGCAGTGGCTCAATCTGGGCTCACTGCAACCTCCACCTTCCGGGTTCAAGCGATTCTCCTGCCTCAGCCTCCCGAGTAGCTAAGACTACAGGCATGCACCACCATGCCCAGCTGATTTTTGTTTTCAGTAGAGACAAAATTTCATCATGTTGGCCAGGATGGTCTCGATCTTTTGACCTCACCATCCACCTGCCTTGGCCTCCCAAAGCACTGGGATTACTGGCATGAGCCACTGCTCACTTATACTTTGACTTGCTACATCTTTATTCTGTATGAATATTAACAGAATTATAGATAGATCTGGATATAGATATATGTAAGTACATAAACACACACATACAGGATTATATTAGTTTGTATATGTAAATATTTATGCATACAAAAGATGTTCATCAATAGACATTTCTAATTTTCCACCCTAACCTAAGGACATAGATGAAGACTTACTTTTCACCTATATGGCTTTATACCATCTCAGACTGGAACACAGCCATAAAGTGTTATATATAAACATGAACAAACTTCATGTTTATGATCATGGCCTGTGAATAAATATTTTGGTAGTGGGATGTAAGGCTTTATGTCCAGCTTAGCATTTTAGGTCCTTACTTTTCTTCTCAGAGTATGCCTGTATTATTCACATCCATTATTTTGAGCCTGCCTTGATGTCTACACTTTTCCAGTTTAGCTAATCAGTTGATTATATTTACCTGAGCTGACCTAATTGGATTTTTGCAATCACACAGGCTGAGCTAATTTGCTTATTTAATTTATCTGGGATGCAGGGGTAGAAATGAAGATGACCTTTGTCCTAAATGGGACATATGCAAAAATAACCTTTACCTATACATACATATGTGACTCATTCTTTGTGTACATGTTTATCTATCAACCTATCTTATATCCATATTTATATTTACAGAAAAAAAGGCATTGAAGTAAACTTGGTAAAAGGTAATTTCTATTTTCTTTACTTCCAGGCTACATAAATCCAATCAGCCGATTAGCACAGTGAAGATTTATAAAATCCAAGCCAAAACTTTGCCGCACTTTTTTCTTTCATAAATGTGAAAATGTCCTTCTTACCTGGCCCCCAGGTCTTTTTATTTCTGAATCTCAATAAATCAGCCTAGTGGGCTTCTGTTCAACCAGTTGAAAAAGCAGGAATGCCTGACATCAGTAAGACTATCCTTACTCAGGAAGAAGTTTTGAACTGGCCAATAAAAGCCACCATTGGCACTTTTGTGAATGTTCACTATGATCTGGTTGAAATGCAGCCTGCTACCATGTACAATCACATTTACTTTCAGTATGATTGCCTGTCTTCGAGAAAGAGTGCTAGACTTTCTTCCCATTACCATAAAGACACTACTTCAGTCACAAAGACGAAAATACCAGTTGTACTTTTACATTACATACTCATAAAAATAAACTAGATCACATGTCTTAAAGAAAGCCCTGATGAGAAAAAAAATAAACATTTTACAATTTAGATGAGAACCTTAGGACTGGGGCTGGTTGATCTCCGGCCATATGTCCAACATGAAGGGATGGATTAAACTTGACATGGCAGTGAATGACTTCCATTGGTTAGTGCATGTTCATTTTCCAAAAGTGAGCAATAAAGACCAATGCTTCCTTCGTATATGTTAAATGCAGCAGGATGTATGTCAGTGCATACCTCTATAGTGTACCCTTGTAGATCTAGTTTACAGGGCAAATATATTTATACATGTATAGAAGTTACTTTTCTTGGGGGGAGGGGGATGGAGTCTCGCTCTGTTGCCCACACTGGAGTGCAGTGGTGCAATCTCAGTTCACCACAACCTCTGCCTCCTGGGTTCAAGCGATTCTCCTGCTGGGACTACAGGGATGCACCACTATGCCCAGCTAATTTTTGTATTTTTAGTAGAGACGGGGTTTCACCATATTGGTCAGGCTGGTCTCGAACTCCTGACCTCGTGATCCATCCACCTCAGCCTCCCAAAGTGCTGGGATTACAGGCATGAGCCACTGCAGCTGGCCAGGTAAACAGATTTTTAAAACTTACATACAGGACTATATGAGTATGTCTAGGTAAATATTTATGTATACAAAAAAGTTCCCCAATAGACCATTTTTAATCACTTGGCATATACAAATTATACAGACATATAATTACTTTCAATCTCTTTTGCTCAGTAGCATTTCAGAATGGAGCATAGCCATACAATATTGTTTTTATAAACATGAACAAAACCCTTCACCTTCAGTAGCACAGGCCTCAGAAATAAGCTGACAGCAAAGCCATGTTATTCATGCTGTTCAGGTTGGCACTTCAGGGCCCTGCATTTCTTCTCAATGTATGTATGTGCCCTTCACACCCACTAGTTTGGGCCTGCTTTGATAAACCTATAGTCACTATTTAGATAATTGTTTGATTGGATCTACCTAGGCTAAGAAAATTGGCTGATTGGAATCACCTTGCGCTAATCTAATTGGCTAATTAGATTCATCTTTACTGATAAAATTGGCTAACTGGTATCACTTGGGCTCATTTAACTGGTGAATTGGAATCACCTTGGGCTAATCTAATTAGCTAATTGGATTCACCTTTACTGATATAATTGACTAATTGGTATCACTTGGGCTCATTTAATTGGCTGATTGGAATCACCTGGGCTGAGCTAACTGGCCTACTAGAATCACATGGGCTGAGTTCATTGACTGCGTCTTGAGGAGAATGAGTAAGGTAATGACCTCTTACATACTTTTCTTTTGGGGCTTTTTTTCAAGACATACTCACAAATAGACATTAATTAGACTTATGTATATAAGCCTTAGTTTTTATATGTGTTTTCCTACATATATGTCTCATATCTGTTTCTAAATCTACAGAAGAAAGTTTCCGGCCAGGCGCGGTGGCTCACGCTTGTAACCCCAGCACTTTGGAAGGCCGAGGTGGGCTGATGACCCGAGGTCAGGGGTTCCAGACCAGCGTGGCCAACGTCGTAATACCCCATCTCTACTAAAAGTACAAAAATTAGCCGGGCGTAGTGGCAGGCGCCTGTAGTCCCAGCTACTCGGGAGGCTGAGGCAGGAGAGTCGCTTGAACTTGGGAGGTGGAGGTTGCAATGAGCCGAGATCCTCGTGCCACTGCACTCCAGCCTGGCGACAGGGTGAGACTCCGTTTTAAAAAATAATCAAAAAACCAAAATAACAATGCTTACTTTATATAAGTTAAATGCCGATGGATTTAGGTAATAGTATACATCCATTTGGGTAGTATTCTAGGTATATTTCATAGTGCAGAAAATTTTATACATCTATGGAATTATCTTTATATATTAATATTGATATCAATAATGATCAACATTTTCACCTTCTACATCTTCACTTTTTATGAATATAGATACAAAGATGGATACATCTGGACATAGGTAGACAGATAAACATGCACGTACAGAATTATATAAGTACAATTATGTAAATGTTTATGAATATACAAGATGTTCCACAAATTATATTTTTAATACCTTAGTATATACTAAGAATGCAGATGTAGACTTACTAGTCTACTTTATGGCACAGTAGGAACCCCAAATGGAACATAGCCATATACAATGATGTTTATAGAAACATAAACAATACTTCACTTTCAAAGGCAAGGTCTTTGAAATAAGCTGACAATACAGCAATGTAATGCTTTATGACCAGATTAGTATGTCTGGGCACTGCTTTTCTTCTCAGTGTAGAAAAGTGCTTTTTACATCCACCATTCTGACTTAATGAATCTACAGTCACTAGATTATTGGCTGATTTGATCCACCTGGGCAGAACTAATTGCCTTATTGGAATCAACTAACATGAGCTAATTGGTTAATTAGATACTTCTGAACTGAGCTAATTGACTGATTGGAATCACAAGGTTCAACTAACTGGCTGATTGGATTCTCTAGAACCTAGCTGATTTCCTGATTAAAATCACATGAGCTGAGCTTTCTGTTTAGAATCGCCGAGGCTGAGTTAATTGGCAAATTAGATTCACCAGGGCTGATCTCATTGACTGATTGGAATTGTTAAGGCTGAACTAATTGGCTGTTTGAAATCACCTGGGCTGAGCTAATTTACTGATTGGAATCACCTGGGTTGAGTCGATTGGCAAAATGTAATCACCTGGGCTGAGCAAATTTACTGATTGGAATTGCCTAGGCTGAGCTAATTGGGTAAATGGAATCACTTGGGCTGAGCTATTTGGCTAATGGAATCACCTGGGCTCAGCTAATTGGCTATTTGAAAACACCTAGCTTGAGCTCATTGGCTTATTAAATTTGCCTGATGAAATTGTATTCATCTATCTTGAGGAGCATGAGTAGGGACATAACCTCTGATTTACTTTTCATTTGTGAGTTTTTTTGTTTTGTTTTGCTTTTTTGACGGAGTCTCACTCTGTCGCCCAGGTTGGAGTGCAATGGCTCCATCCCTGCTCACCGCAACCTCCGCCTCCCAGGGTCAAGTGATTCTCCTGCCTCAGCCTCCCCAGTATCTGGGATTACAGGCACCCACCACCACACCCAGCTTCATCTGGGAAAAAAAAAAAAAGATTCTATTTCTATGTCATGTATTTGAAAACAAAAGCCCTAAATTTGAGGGAAGCTTTAAAAAGAATTATTTCTCATTTGCAAATTTGTGTTAAGGCCTTCAAGCTGAGGCTAGTTTATCCATGTTTTCACGTTCACCAGAATTAAAAAGGCCATTTTTGACTTGGCAATAAATGACTCTCATGGCCTTAGTACATTTTTGCTAACAGATGTGAGCAACAAAAACCAATTCTTTCTTTGAAAGCATTAAATGCAGCAAGATGCAGGTCAGAGCATACCTCCACTTGTGTGCTCTTACGGATAAAATTCAAAGGGCAAATAAGATTTTGCATTTATTGAAGTTTTTCTTTACATTGCTATAAGTACAAACACCCATTTATCCTTTGACCTCTTATACCTTTATTCTGTATGCATATGGAAAAAGTGATAGTTAGATCTGTATGTAGATATACATGGGTAGACAGATAAACACACACATATAGAATTATATGAGTTTGCCTATGTAGATATTTACGTATACAAAACATATTAATCAATGAACATTTTAAATTCCCCAGCCTACACTGAGGAGGCAGATATAAACTTACTCTCAACTATATGGATCCATAGCGTCTCAGACTGGAACACAGCCATACAATGTTATGTTTAAACATCAATAAAGCTTCACGTTTAGGTGCATGGCCTGGGAAGTAAGTTTTTGGTAAAGCCATTTAAGACTTTAGTTCCAGCTTAGCATTTTCAGGGCCCTGCTTCCTTTCTCACTGTATGCTCATGTGATACATTTGCCATTTGGGTCCTGCCTGGATGTCTTCACTTTCCCAAGTTAGTTAATTGACTTATATTCATCTAAGCGGCTCATTAAACTCATCTGGGCTGCAGAAGTTGGGAAGAAAAACGACCTCTGACCTACTTATTCTGTGGCTTCTCTACAGGACATAAGCAATAATAGAAATTACATTGGTATACCTATGTTACCCATTTTCCATGTATATGTTTATCTAGCTGCCTATCTTATATATATATCTATATGTATAAAAAAGACTGCCAAAGAAGAGTAGGTTAGAGGTGATTTTTACTTTATTGTCCATTCAGGCCGGGTAAATCCAATCAGCCATTAGCTCAGTGAAGTTTTATCAAATCCAATCCACCACCAAATCACGTTGTGCTAAATGTGAAAATGTCCTCATTACTGGGCACCAAAGTGTTTTAAATTCAGAGTCTAATCAAAATAGCCCATGTGGTTCTGTCCATCCAGCTAGGAATCTTCAGACATGCCAGTAGGCCTAATTTTTTTTCACAAGCTCTGGCCTGACCAATAAGAACAACCTTTGGTGCTTCAGTGCAGTGTCATTATCAAATGCAGCCAGGTAACATGTACCATTATATTTGCTTTCAGTATCATAATCTTCTAATAAGAAACCTAGGCTTTCCATTATGATAAAGACCCTACTTTAGCCATAAAGACAAAAGGGCAAGAGTGTACTTTCACATTGCACACTCGTGGAAATAAATGAGAACCCCTGTCTTGATGAAAGTCTTAATGAGAAGAAATAAACATTCTCAAATTTTGGTGAGAAACTTTGGACTGAGTCTAGTTCAACTTTGGCCCCATGTGTAACAGAAACAGAAGGATCAACATTGACATGGCAATGAACGACTTCCATTGCCTTAGTGCAATTTTTTTTTTTTTTTTGAGATGGAGTTTCCCTCGTTTGGCCCAGGCTGGAGTGTAATCGCATGATCTTGGCTCACCACAACCTCCGCCTCCCGGGTTCAAGCGATTCTCCTGTCTCAGCCTCCTGAGTAGCTGGGATTACAGGCATGCACCACCATGCCTGGCTAATTTTCTATTTTTAACAGAGATGGGGTTTCGCCATGGTGATCAGGCTGGTCTCTAACTCTTGATTTCAGGTGATCCACCCGCCTTAGCTTCCCAAAGTGCTGGGATTACAGACGCAAGCCATCGCACCTGGCCCCTTAGTGCATTATCTCCCAGAAGCAAGAAACAACAAAAAATGCTTTTTTCATATATGTTAAATGTGGCAGGATGTATGTTAGAACATATTTTTATTTGTGTAATATTTGTGATATTGTTTATAGGGCAGATAAACTTATACATGTATGGAAGTTACTTTTTTTCGTTTTGTTTTTGTTTTTGTTTCTTGAGATGGAGTTGCACTGTGTCACCCAGGCTGGAGTGCAGTGGCGCAATCTCAGCTCACTGCAACCTCTGCCTCCCGGGTACAAGCGATTCTCTCACCTCAGCCCTCCAAGTAACTGGGGTTCCTTCACCCACCACCCTGCCTGGCTAATTTTTGTATTTTTAGTAGAGACGAGGTTTCACCATGTTGGCCAGGCTGGTCTCGAACTCCTGACCGCAGGTGATCTGCCCTCCTCCACCTCCCAAAATGCTGGGATTATAGGCGTGAACCACCGCGCCTGGGGGGAAGTTACTTTTTATCTTACTATATTCATAGTAATGCATATCAATACAAAGATTGATACATCTAGATATAAATATACATAAGAAGACAAACACATAGAGAATTCTATAAATATTTCTATCTAAATATTTATGTATACAAAACACGTTCCCCAAAAGACATTTTTAATCTTCTAACATGCACTAAAGATGCTGATGTAGAATCATTTTTTTTCTCTTGCTAAATAATGTAAATAACATGCTAAATAGAACATAACCATACAATGTTGTTTATGTAAATATCAACAAAGCTTTATCTTCAAGGGCAAAGCCGCAGAAATAAACTGAGAATAAAGCCATGTAACTCATCTGTCCAGGTTAGTATTCCAGCACCCTGCATGTCTCCTCAGAGTGTGTGTGTTCTGTTCACATCCACCATTTGGGGCCTGCCTTAATAAAGCCACAATCACTATTCAAATATTTGTATGATTGGTTTGCCCTGGGCTGAGCTACTTGGCTGGTTGGAATCACCTGGGCTATGCAAATTGGCTGATTGGAATCACCCAGGCTCTGCTAATTTGCTTATTTAAGTTACCTCAGCTTCAGGGGTAGAATGTGGAGATGTCATCTGACCTACTTTATTTCTGAGGCTTTTTTTTGAGGGACCTATGCACAAATTAACATTACGTAGACATACCCATGTGACTCAATTTGTGTGTATATGTTTATCTAGCCACGTATTTTATATCTCTATGTACAGAAAGAAGCCTATAAAATAAACTTGTTCAGAGGTGATTTCCATTTTCTTTTCCTACAGGTTAGGTAAATCCAATCAGCTACTTAGCTCAGTGAAGATTTATTCAAACCAAGCCACATGCCACATCACATTTTTTTCCATAAGGGTAAAAATGTTTTTAATAACCTGGCACCTGGGTGTTTTTAATTCTGGTCTCATTAAACAAGCGCAGTGAGTTTTTTCCATGTATCTAGGAACTGCCAGAAATGCTTGACACAAGTGGGCTGAGCCTTCCTCACAAAGATTTGATCTGGAATATAAGAGCCACCTGTGACACTTCAGTGAATGTTCACTATCACCCATTTGAAATGTAGCCAAGTACCATGTACCATTATATTTGCTTCCATCATCACCATCTGTCTACTAAAAAGATCTAGACTTCTTTTTTATTACCATAAATACCTGACTCCTGCCACAAAGACAAAAAGATAAGACTGTGATTTTACATCACACACTCTTGGAAAAAAATAGAGTTCTTGTCTTGATAGAAGTTCTAAAGAGCGGGTGAGAGATTAAATGACTACCAGGAGCTAGATAATTGCTGTTTTACTAACAAATGTTCATTTTCATTTCTATATTATCTCATTATGTTAATAATGAAGTAATAACGTTTATCCAGGGAATTTCAAAAAAACTTATTTTTTCATCAGCCATAATAGTAATCAAAGACAGAGAAATGGAGGTGTTTAACTTTCATAATTTATATTTTAAAATTAAAATGCTTCTAGAAATAAAAAAGGAAAGGAAGAAAGAAATATACAAACAAATGAAAGACAGCCTGGTCAACATGGTGAAAGCCTGCCTCTACTAAAAATACAAAAATTAGTCAAGTGTGGTGGTGCACACCTGTAATCTCAGCTACTTGGGAGGCTGAGGCACTAGAATCACTTGAACCCAGGAGGTGGATGTTGCAGTGCGCCAAGATTGCTGCACTGCACTCCAGCTTGAGTGACAGAATGAGACTCCTTCTCAAACAAAACAAAAAAATAAACAAAAGGGAAGGAAGTGGATTACTCACAATAGCTAAGGTATGGAATCAACCTAAATGTGCATCAGCAGGTAAATGGAGAAAGAAAGTGTGGTATATGTACACAATGCAATTTTATTCAGCCCTTAAAAATAAGGAAGTCTTGTTATTTGCAACAACATTCATGAACCTGAATGATATGCTAAGTAAAATAAGCCAGCACAGAAAAGAGATGGAGTTTCCCTCTTGTTGCCCAGGCAGGCAGTGGTGCAGAGGCACCATCTTGGCTCACTGCAACCTCCGTCTCCTGGGTTCAAGCGATTTTCCTGCCTCAGCCTCCCCAGTACCTGCGATTACAGGTGCCCACCACCATGTCTGGTTAATTTTTATATTTTTAGTAGAGACAGGGTTTTGCCATATTGGCCAGGCTGGTCTCAAACTCCTGACCTCAAGTGGTCCACCCACCTCGGCCCCCCAAAGTGGTGGGATTACAGGCATGAGCCACTGTGCCCAGCCCACATAATCCAACATCTATGTAAAGTGTGAAAAAAATTTAAACTCGCCAGGCACAGTGGCTCACGCATGTAATTTCAGCACTTTGGGAGGCCAAAGTGGGCAAATCACAAGGTCAGGCATTTGAGACCAGCCTGACCAACATGGTGAAACCCTGTCTCTACTAAAAATACAAAAATTAGCCAGGTGTGGTGGTATGCACCTGTAATCCCAGCTACTCAGGAGGCTGAGGCAAGAGAATTGCTTGAATCTGGGAGGTGGAGGTAGCAGTAAGCCGAGATCAGGCCACTGCACTCCAGCCTGGTCAACAGAGTGAGACTCCATCTCAAAAAAAAAAAAAAAAAAAAAATTTAACTCATAGAAGCAGAGAATACAATAATGAGAAAAAAAAAAAATCCCCCTACTGGGTTTTGGTCTGGTTAAGAGAGCTTCTTCATGATCTTTCAGGGATTATATATGCTTTCATTTTCTGCATCCCTCTGTTCTCCAGTCAAAGGGTGAAAAAAGATACAGAGAAGACAATTTGCTTTTTACCCACTTCATTTCCACTCACTATTAGTCAATGTGGGTATAGCTGAGAATAGCAGTTTTCTGGCAGGACAGCCACTTCTAAGCAATAAACAACACACTGAAAATAAAGTATAAATCTTTCATAAAAAGCTAATGAATTTTAAGAAAAACAAGCATATGCATCAGTAATTCTTGGGGTAAAATAAAGATTCATTTTGTTAATTTCTATTGAGTTCCCAAAATATTTGATCAAAAGCTAGCAAATATACAAGAGAAATGGAATATTATTCTAAATAAGAATATTGTGAATGGTTATTTTGTCAATACAAGTAAAAATATGATCTCGCACTAACAGTCTCACTTAGAGTTGTACAACATCAAATGCTGTTTTTCATTTAAAATTGTATTTCATATAGGTATTCAATTTATATCACCCTCCTTTGCTATTTCAATCCCTTCTCCACTTTATATCAGTGGAAAACAGGCCAGCAGGTCCCAGGAAAGCACATGTTGCTATTGCTGCTTTAACAATGATCATGAAGAGCACTTGTTTGGGTGCGACTCACGTGTCAAACACTGTTATTTGGCTTAAAGTGAGGCAGAAGTTTAAAAATAATAGGTACTGCATTTGTTCACCCCAAGAAAAGTAAAAGCTAAGGCCCACAATGTGGTAAGGCAAGAGTTAAAAAGAAAAGAACAAGTTTGCCTCTGCCTAGCAGCTCACTTCAAGGACAGTTAGAAGATAATACTGTCTGAATAGCCAAGGCCAAAGGAATGGGCTCCAGACATCCACCTCCCTTTCAGAGCAAGGTTGAAGGAAAAAACAAAGAGAAAGATAGGTTCTTTTACTATTACTCTTTTCCCAGGCTTCTTAAGCATGATTATGTTTTACAAATGTCTGTATTTAGCCAGTTCTTGTTTTTCTTCTAATGCAGCTACAAGGCCACCGGCTAGGTCACAAGTTATATTACGCTATAGATTACGTGACCTGTCACTGTATGATTAACTGCTATTCTTTTGCTTCTGGAATGCTGCTTCTAAAAACCCCACTCTGTCTTTGTTCAATGCTCAGCTTTTGGATGTGAATCCTCTGAGCCGGTGCATAACTAAAATAAACAAGCCCTTCGGTACTCCGTATTGGTTTCTTCATTCCTCAATTTACCACAACATTTTTGGTGACCACGAAGGGACCAGAGAGGGCAGGCTTACTGTCTCCTTTGCCTCTGGGGACTGGAGCGTGAGCCTCGGGAAACCTGTGGCCCCAGGTGCCACTGGGAGAACTTCAGCCCGGAGGGGAGATCAGCTGTCTTTTCACCCAGTGCCCCCTACCCAGCAGTGCAATAGAACCTAAAGAGGAGCTACAGGACAATTTCAGAAACAGCGTGCTTCAGGAAGCACGGTAAGGTTTTGGGGGCCCAAGGCAGGACCTGTCCCTTGGACAGAAGGGGAGCCTGATCACCTCCTGGGGTATGCCAAATAATCGGACCCAGAGGGGCTCAGGGCAATGGGAGTGGCTCATCGATTCGGATGAAACTCACAACCTGCTGACACAGGACATGAAAGTGGTTCACTAAGTTGCCTAGGAAACTGGAGGTGGTGACAGAGGCTCACCACCCCAACTGGGAACTAGAGGGGGCAAGAGTGGCTCGCCACACCAACTGTGAAACTAGAGGGGGCGGGAGTGGCTCACCACCCCAGTTATGAACATGGGAACTGAAAATGTGTGAAAGTATGTGAATGGAGGGGACTAATTAGGCTCATCAGCTGGGAAGTGGGGAGTCACAGATCTCTCAGCGTGGACTGTGTGCTCCAAGAAAGTGTGGGGTCGACTAAGACTAGTGGCAATCTACATACAGCTAATAGAAACTGCCCTACAGCTCAGAGTTGTAGCGGGAATAAGGACTTCTCCAAAGCCAAGCAGCATCTGAAAACTCCTGTAGTAAGAGACAGTGTAGTCGGCTAAAATGAGAGGAAGAGTGAGTGTGCAAGAGTGAATGTGCTGCGTCGTAAAGGGAGGAGTGCGAGGAAAGTCATCAAAACATCAAAACTTGGCGTGCATGTTACAGAACCTTAAGAAAGGTTTTGCAGGGGTTATAGAGTTAAGATTAAGATTATAGAGTTAAGATTATAGATTATAGAGTTAAGTTAACCCCCTCAGAGGTTGAGAACTTTCTGTGAATTAGAATGGCCCTCTTTTGGTGTTGGATGGCGGAGCAAACGAACTATAGACGGAAAAATTGGCCATGTATTTAGGGTGGTGACAGGGGGTGGAGGACTGCCAGTGTACCCAGATGAAATTCCTTTATATTGACTCGTGGTTAAATATAATATAGACAAAACCAGCATAGATCCAGCCCTGTTTAATGGCTTATTGCAAAAAAAGCCAAAAGTGAAAGTAAGAGCAGCTTCACTGGCAGATACAGAGTTAAACGGGGAGTCCCAGAGAAAGCAAGAGAAGCCAGTTTTGCAGGAGCTGCCAGAGGAAACAGAAGTTCTTCCTCCATATGTCCCAGCCTACCCCCCTTTACCGAGGCCAACAGCCCCCCCAGGAACAAGATTCAGGAGCTAACACGCCCCAGGTCTTTCCTCGAAGGGGAGGATCAGGCCCTTGAGAGGCTAGGGAAGGAAGTCAAGACAGTCAAGTGGGCCATTTCAGATCTGGCCATGCTCAAGCTGTGCAAATGCCTCTCAGGGAGAAGATAGGACCTATCTATTATGATGACCAGGGCCACATCCAGAGGGGGGCAATGGACTTATATCTATCAGCCCTTTTCAATTACTGATCTACTAAACTGAAAACACCATACACTGTCCAACATGGAGAAGCCTCAAGTTCTTATAGATCTGATGCAATTCCTCTTTCTGACACACAATACGACCTGGCCAGATTGCAGGCAGCTTTTCCTAATGTTGTTTAACATTAAAGAGTGCCAGAGGATGACACAGGTGGCTCTCCGCTGGCTAGAAGCCCATGCACCAACAGACATAGTGAATGCTCAGGCATACGCTCAGGGTCAGTTCCCAGACCAAGACCCCAACTGGGACCCGGAGGATGCAACTCAGCTTCAGCGTTTGCAGAGGCACCGAGAGGCACTTCTGCAGGGCCTAAGAGCTGGTGGAAGGAAAGCAATTAATATAAGGAAGATTTCAGAAATGCTTCAGGGAGCTGACAAGAGCCCAAGTTAGTTTTATAAGAGACTCTGTGAAGTATTCTGCCTTTATACCTCATTTAACACTGAGGTTGCTGAAAATCAGCCTGTGGTGAATACAGCATTTGTAAGCCAAGCCCAGGGTGACATCAAGGGGAAGCTGCAGGCATGAATACCACCCAGTCTATAAAAGTGGCCAAGGTGTATGTTAACTGTGACCAGGGAACAATATGCAAAAGCAACAAGTGTGGCAGCTAGGCATTCCAAGGGTTAACTCCCTCTCCCCAGCCCGGCTCTATTTGGAACGAGACGAGGGTGGAGACTGGCACTGGGAGAAGAGCGAAGGAGAAGGTAAGGAGAAAGAGTGTGAGAAGGGAAAGAAGAAAGTAAAACGGAAATCAGAAAGAAACAGGAGAGACAGACAGCAAGCGTGTCAGTAGGGTCCGTACTCTTGCCCAGACCCACCGCTGGCTGCAGAAGCAGGAGAACTCAGGAAGGAAAAAGGAAAGTAAATTGAAAGTTTAAGAAAAAGGCCAGTCTGTTGGCAACAGCTCTTATGGAAAGAGAGATTAGCAATGTGAGAGGACTTGGACGTGGACGCAGACATGGAAGAAGTCAAGTTAGGCAGAAATTCAAGAGCCGGACAAGGCTGGAAAGAGATTAATGTATGAGAAGCAAAAAGAAAGGACCCTGGAAAGATGAATGTTCAGAAGGCAATGACGGAAATGGCTAAGGCAGCGAGACAAAGAGGCCATCGGTCAAGGGCTGCCGCACCTTTGAGGAACCAAATACTGATCTGATTGGGCTGCCAGGAGCTGAAGGATGTAAAGACTAAGACAGATCGGGCACCTTCTCACTAGGCTTCCAGGAGCCCATGGTCACATTAGAAGTTAAAGGCATTATCCTCAGGTTTGGACTGTCTCTAACTTTAAAGTCAGACAATGGACTGGCATTTCTAGCTGAAATAGTGCAAGATTTAACAAGACTGTTAAAAATAAAATGGAAGTTACATACAGCCTATTAGCTGCAAATTTCAGGAAAAGGTGGAATGCATGAACCAGACACTCAAATAGCTACTGAAGAAATATTGCCAGGAAATTCATTTGAGATAGAATCAGGTGTTTGCATATGATCCTCCTCCAAGTCAGGTGCACCCCCACCAAACAAATTGGGTATTTGCCCAGTAAGATTTTGTTCAGTCAGGCACCCCCAAATCAAAAGTCAAATTAAAGGTGCCCTCCAGTAAGTAGGGGAATTAACCTTAAGAAAGAGATGCAGGCTTTAGGAATAGCCATACAAAGTGTTTAGAATTAGGTACATGAAAATGCCTATAAGCCTGACACCCCTTTAAATCTGGTGACTGTTTAGGTTAAAAAGTAGAATCTAATTTCTCTAGGACTCAAATAGGATGAGCCCTCTACTGTAATCTTGTCCACTCCCACTGCTGTTAAAGTTTCAGGTGCTGTGTCTTGGATCCACCACAGTCGGCTAAAACCGGCAGCTCAGGACAAGTGAACCAGCCAGCAGGACCCAGATCATCCAACCTGGCTGATCCTGAGGCGAGACCAAGCTGCTGCTGAGGACAACAGCCCTGCTCTGGTCACTCCAGAGGCTGACCAGTCTATGCATGGCTGAAGCTTGAGGAAACAACAAGCCCTGCTCTAGTCACACACCAGAAGCTGACTAGTCTATGCACGGCCAAAGCTTGAGGACTCATCAAGCAAGTAAATGCAGTTAGAAATCTTAGGACTAGTAGTTTTACTGTATACTAACTGTTTGACTGTTGTTCTGTCCCTGTGCTCAACCTTTTTCCCAGGTGAGGACCTCTTTTGCCCTTGCTGGATATGAATATGCTGTACATTGTTTTGTTGTTGTTACTCCTCTTAACCATTCTAGAATAAACACCTATAGAAGGGTGTCTCCACTGTACACATACTACTTGATTAGGGAACAGTATAACTAGAACCCTATTGTACTATACTTATGAGTGTACAGGGACTCGATTAGGAACTTGTACTTATAATCAGACCACCTATTCAATTTGTGACCCAAGAAATGGTCAGCCTTATATATGCTGTGACCCTGAGTCTTTACCTGGGACTCGGTTGGAGATTCATACTGAGTCAAAGGAAAGAAGTTTTATAGGTCAAACCCAAGCCTCTCTTCCTGGAGCTATATGCATATACTTTGATATTTGTCAGTTAACATCTATGAACCCAAACTATCTCACAATCTCTGGTCCTACAGAGTACTATACAAACTGCCAGTACAAAATTGTGTGTGCACCCTCTGTTTGTCCTTCCAAGGCCCTAGCAATAGCTTGCTGGAACTGTACAATGCAGTTCACTGACTGATCATCACCGAGGTCAAAGCCAATCTTGCTCATCAAAGTACCAGCAAAACTGGATTGTAAGACAAGCACTTGCAATCCTGTAAGTCTTACTATCTTAAAGCCAGATCTACCTATATGGACTACAGGTTACTCCATTGCATTACAAAGCTATGGTCAAAAAACTAAAATAACTTTGTATATTCTAAAGAGGACTCAAACCAAGCAGTCAGCCCAGCAGCAATTCTGAGTCTTTAAGTCATTCTTTGAGCATATAAACCAGAAGTTACCAGAGCCTCCTCCTTTAGGCAAAAACCTATTTGCTCAGCTGGCTGAAAACACTGCCAGCAGCCTAGGCGTTTCCTCATGTTATGTTTGTGAAGGGACTAACATGGGAGACCAATGGCCTTGGGAAGTAAAAGAGTTAATGCCTCAAGATAACTTTACTCTGACTGACTCTTTTCCCAAACAGATGCCCACAGGTTCAAGCGTCTGGCTCTTAAAAACTTCTATTATTGGGAGATACTGTGTTGCTTGCTGGGGAAAGGATTTTACAGACCCAGTAGAAGAACAAACCTGCTTAGGACAGCAATATTATAATGAACCATTAAGGAAAACTTTGTGGTGGGACAGAGATGACTACAAAGCACATCATCCAAATTCGTTCTCCCATTTCTCTTCTCTAAATTACACTTGGTATCAACTTGCAGCTCCAAATACTTGGCAAGCACCCCCGGTCTTTACTGGATCTGTGGGCCTCAAGCATATTGACAGTTGCCAGCTAAATGGACAGGGGGCTGTGTGCTTGGAACAATTAGACCATCTTTCTTCCTGCTCCCACTGCAACAGGGGAAAACTTTAGGGTATCCTGTCTATGATGAAGTTAGAAGAAGAAACAAAAGAGATGCAGCCATAAAAAATATATAAAAAATAGGAGATTGGGAAGACATAGGGAAGTCCCCTGAAAGAATAATTCAACACTATGGGCCAGCTACCTGGGCACAAGATGGGTCACGGGGATACTGCACTCCTATTTACATGCTTAACCACATCATAAGGTTGCAGGCAGTACTTGAAATCATCATGAATGAAAGAGCAAATGCATTAGATTTACTGGCCCAGCAAACCACAAAAATGAGAAATGCTAACTATCAGAACAGATTAGCTTTAGATTACCTCCTAGCCCAGGAAGGAGGAGTATGAGGAAAGTTCAATCTAACTAATTGTTGCCTGGAAATTGATGACAATGGAAAAGCAATTATGGAAATAACTGCAAGAATGAGAAAATTAGCCCATATTCCAGTTCAAACTTGGAAAGGGTGGTCCCCAGATTCTCTCTTTGGAGGCTGGTTTTCATTTTTCACAGGGTTCAAGATTTTAATAAGGGTGGTTCTGGCCATACTAGGAACTGCCTAATACTCCCTTGTGTCTTACATCTGCTTGTTAGAAGCATTCAATCAACTATAGAGGAAATAGTAGCTAGGCAAACTACCACACAGCTCATGACTCTGTGTAAATATCAAGCTTTGTCTAAAGAAGAAAACTTGTCTCTTCAGGCAGAACTAAGTAATAGTGATGACTTCTATTAAACTTCTTTCATAAAAGGCATCAGAAAGGGGAAACTGAGGCAAGCATTTAAAAATAATAAGTATTACAATTATTCACTCCAAGAAAAGTAAAAGCTAAGGCCCAGAATGTGGCAAGACAAGGATTAAAAAGAAAAGAACACGTTTTCCTCTGCCTAGCAGCTCACTTCAAGAACAGTTAGAAGATAACGCTGTCTGTACAGCCAAGGCCAAAGGAATGGACTCCAGGCACCCCCCTCCCTTCCAGAGCAAGGTTGAAGGAAGGAAAAAAAAAAAAAGAGAAAGACAAGTTATTTTACTGTTACTCTTTTCCCAGGCTTCTTAAGCAGGATTATGTTTTACAAATGTCTGTATTTCGCCAGTTCTTGTTTTCCTTCTAATGCAGCTACAAGGCCACTGGCTAGGTCACAAGTAATGTTATACTATAGATTACATGACCTGTCATTGTATGATTAACTGCTTTTGTTTTGCTTCTGAAAGGCCGCTTATAAAAACCCCACTCTGTGTTCAATGCTCAGCTTTTGGATGTGAATCCTCTGAGCCGGTGCACAACTAAAATAAAAAATCCTCCTGTACTCCGTATTGGTCTCTTAATTCCTCAGTTTACTGCAATAAAAGTACTGTTTTTCTACTTTTTTCTAAATTTACCTGTAATATAAAATTGTTAGCCAAGAAGACTTTATCTTATTCAAATATGTTTTATGGGATTTCATTAAGTGTCTGAATTATCTGGAGTACTTACATTTTCCATTAAGCTAAATTGAGTACTACAGATAATCTTTAACTAAAAGCTTTTCTGAGGCAGAATAAGATTTGTAACATTTTATTATCATATGAAAGAAGTGTATTAACCATGTTTTCAGTAATCACTCTGAACACAGCATTCTCAGTTCCCAGTATGCACCCTGAGTCACTCAGGGGAAACTGGTTTCTCTGTAAAGAGGCAGAAGAAAATGCTGAGTGGAGGCACCACACTGCACAGCAATGCTTTCCACATGCACCTATTAGGGTCTTCATTTAATTGGGCTGATATTTGCATAGCTACTTACTGAATTTAGTCATACTATTTTTGAGCAGCTAATGGTGTCTGTTACCTATTAATTTTATACATTTGCTTTTTTTGAAAAACAAATCTTTTGTTAATTTACTCTAAGTTGAGACTACATTTAAAATGTTCAATTTTTCAGCGTTAAAGCAAATCAGAGAAGAGCAATGTGTATATAGTGTGCATTTTCCTATCAAAATTCTTTATTGCATTGGAAACCCCAGGAAGCCAACTATAAAATACTCCCTTTGAATACTTTAGCCAGGATTTTAGACTTCAAAAGGTCAAAAACAATGAGCAAAGTCAAAATCTTGTTTTTATTTCTTGTTAGTCATCTGGCCATTTCCAAAAGCATGATAATTAAGCCAAGTCATTGAAAATATGCAGTTTTGATTAATTTTATCCCATTTGGAATGTTTTCTTTAATTGTTTTATCATGTTAATCTAAAAGAAACTGTCTACATAATTATGCTTTCAAGAATTATTCATATTGTTTACAGTTTAATCATTTACTACAGTATAGTAAAATCATTTACAATAGAATTATGAATTCATTGTTTTTAAGGTTTTTCAAATATGAAAACAGTTAGGTATGATTTGATGTAAGTTCAACTCTAGGACATTACCCACTGGTCTTCATGGTATTTCTGTAATGAATAGTATAAAACTAGGTCGCCAGAATGGTGCAGACATGCTGATTGAATTAGAATGAGTTCAGCCTTGTTGGTAGACTATTGGTATCCCAGAGGCTGATCATTCACTACAGCTTACTAAATGTAGTTCCATAATGCCAGTGAGCACTTTTACCCAGGTTACCTTTTTCCTTTCATTAATGTGGACCTGTTGTGGTCTCCTGTTTTTCTTAAGCTATCCCAGGTGAGAGGTGATTATTTCTTGCATGAATGAGATTCCCTTTTTTTCCCCTCTGCCATAGGATCCTCTTATTCTCCCTACTGGAAGCAACATGCAGAAGGCAGGAATGATGACAATAAACAAATACGTTTCCTGCCATGTGGCCACCATAAGCAGCTTACAACATGGCTCACCTAGAAGTCACTTACTTTCAGGCCAGCAGGGGTGTTTTCTATGATGTGTCTCTTTCTCTTAAAAGCACTTCTGATTAAGTTTAGCACAATCAGGATAATCTCCATTTTGGTAAACACGAAGTCAACAGATGAGTAACGTAATTTCATGAGTGATGTCCCACCACAGTCACACACTTTTTTACACTCGAGAGTATTACACAGCAGGTGCGCAACAGACTGGGAATCCAGGGTATTATCTTAAAATGTTGCCTACCCACCTGAATAAACTTTTAAAATAGTCTTTCTACTGCTTTTGTTATCTACATAAACAAAAATGTCATCTGCAAATAATAACTACTTTCCAGTTTTATTCATTACAAATATTAACTAACATCTTTTTTTCTGGCTTAAATTATTATTCCTTTATGTGTCATTTTATACATTCACACACACATAGAACAATAAAAATGTATCCAATTATTCAATTTTGGTTAAATTTTTATTAAAATAAGCGTTAAAAATAATTTTTTGAGTGTGTTTGAAGAGGGCTTTTATTGTTGTACTCAAGAGTGTTATTTCTGGAGACAAAGTTGCCTGTGCTTTAATACACGGATTCTGGGGAGAATCCGAGCCATAAGCCATAAAATTTTATATTAATAAATTCCATACAAAGCAGAAAGTATACATTTGCTTTCAGCATATTCAAGGTGTTTAGTTTTCCATTAATCACCTAAAAACTTATTTTGTTCCAATAATTGCGTTTTCTTCTGAAAATATGTACAAATGCATATTTACCAAACACTCATTTCATAATTTTCTTACACCTAAGGTTTATCTTCAGAGGAATATGTGTATATTTCACTCTATGAAAATTAAAAGTCTTTACGTTTGCAGGCAGAGTGACCACATGTTCAAAGAAACTATATAACAAATATTTATTAATAATTTTTCAGGACTCAGAAATGTAATTTTTTTTCCTTTGAGGAGTCTCATCACTCTGTCACCCAGGCTGGAGTGCAGCAGCACAATCTTGGCTCACTGCAATCTCCACCTCCCAAGTTCAAGTGATTCTCCTACCTCAGCCTCCAGGTGTGCGCCACCATGACTGGCTAATTTTTCTATTTTTAGTAGAGACAGGGTTTCACCACATTGGCGAGGCTGGTCTTGAACTCCTGAGCTCAAGCAACACACCTGCCTCAGCCTCCGAAATTGCTGGGATAATAGGCATGAGGCACTGCACATGGCCGTATTTTTTCTTTTTTTTTTTGTGACGGAGTCTTGCTCTGTTGCCCAGGCTGGAGTGCAGTGGCACGATCTCGGCTCACTGCAACCTCTGCCTCCTGGGTTACACCATTCTCCCGCCTCAGCCTCTGGAGTAGCTGGGACTACAGGCGCCCACCACCACGCCCAGCTAATTTATTTTTAGTAGAGACAGGGTTTCAACGTGTTAGCCAGGATGGTCTTGATCTCCTGACCTCATGATCCACCTGCCTGGGCCTCCCAAAGTGCTGGGATTACAGGTGTAAGCCACTGTCCTGGCTTTTTTCTTTCTTTTTGAGATGGAGTGTCCGTCTGTCACCCAGGCTGGAGTGCAGTGGTGCTATCTCAGCTCACTGAAACCTCCACCTCCCAGGTTCAAGCCATTCTCCTGCCTCAGCTTCCCGAGTAGCTAGGAATACGGGTGCACCACCATGCCCAACTAATTTTTGTTGTTTTAGTAGAGAGTTTCACAATGTTGGTCAGGCTGGTCTTGAACTCCTGACCTCATGATCTGCCCGACGTCGCCTACCAAAGTGCTGGGATTACAGGCATGAGCCACTGCGTCCAGCCCATATTCTATTTATATTTCTGTATAATTTTTATTATGACCATAAAAATCACCCTGTAGTCAATTACAATTTAATTGGACATTTAAAAGTAACTAAAAGTGTATAATTACACTGTTTGGATTAGAAAGGATAAATGCTAGAGGTGACAGATACCTTATTTACCCTAATGTAATTACTACATATTGTATGCCTGAATCAAAATATTCTCTATAAGACATATATACACATACTATATACTCACAGATAGTAATAATAAATTAAGAAAAAAGATTAAAAATTTAACTAACGGGAACAATATTCTTCATTTGCAGTTTACTGGCAAAGTGATTACTAGTGATGACATTCCACTACATACCAAATAGTATACTTCTTCCATCTTTTGCTTACACCATTTGAGTAAGGCCGGATAGGTTAAAGTTAGTGGCATAATAATGCTTCATTAAATGCACAATAGTTTTAAGATGGTAAAAAATAAAATAAAATTAGGCTGGACATATTGGCTCACACCTATAATCCCAACACTTTGAGAGCCTGAGGTGGGTGGATCGCTTGAGCTCAGGAGTTTGAGACTAGCCTGACCAATATGGGGAAACCCCATGTCTATTAAAAATATAAAAATTAGCCAGGCGTGGTGTCACGCACCTGTAGTCCCCACTACTCGGGAGGCTGAGGCAGGAGAATTTCTTGAACTTGGGAGGTGGAGGTTGCAGTCATTGTGCTGAGACTGCACTGCTGCCCTCCAGCCTGGGTGACAGAGCAAGACTCCATCTCAAAAGAAAAGTTAAGTAAGTAAATAAAATATAAGTTAAGTTCACACATCATCTAACAATTTTTAAATATATTGCATTTTATTACGTAACAGTAAAATTAGTAAAATAATTGATATACTTTAATTTATAATTTCTTTCTCTCAGTATAATGTAGAAAAGTATTACTCTGAACACCTACCTTAAACATTACTTAATATAGGTTAACTACAATGAGCCTCTCCACTTATATTTTCGTCATGCATCTTACATTTTAATGTCCTTACTGTTTTATAGAAAAGGTCATAAAGAATGCCCAACTCATAAAGAATCTCTAATATCTCTGATGCAGCAACAATTGATCACATACTTTCACGTGAATATAATAAAGTAACAGCATAATTTGAAAGCTGTATTACATCATTCACTTTTCAAAAAAATTGTTTTCAAGGAAACAAATATACTTTCAATGTAAATACAAAGCTTCAAAAAATCTCCTTTTAAAGTTATATACTAATTTATACAAACTTATATACAAATTTAACAACTTTAGTTGTGAATTCATTTATATACTCAACACTCTTATTTAATGTAATGTCTGAAGTGTCAGTGCCTTAGTTATTCTGTAAATTCTGATATTTACATACAATTAATTTTGAATTAAATATTTTTTCATGTTTACTGCATCTGCAAAAATATATTTTAGTATAAACTCTGCTGTTTTCTAAGCTGTAGTTTTTTTTTTTTAAAGTGTTTCCAAATTCATTACATTTGCAGGACCCTTCTCCAATATAAGTTCTCTGATGTTGAGCAAAGCTTGAGCAACTGCTTCAGGATTTTCCTCTAGTACAAAATGTGTGTAATAAACCTCCTGTATATTTGTAATGGTTGTCTTCAGAATAAATACTCTTCTTCACTTTAAAGGCTTATATTTTCTGAAAGATTTTTTGACAGTAATTGCACTTTTAATGCTTTCATTAACTATGAACCTTCTTATGTTGAGTAAGATGTGAGTAGGCATTAATGGGTTTTCCATATTCTTTATATTTGTACAATTTTTCTCAAGGATAATAGCTTTCCTGCAAAATAAGATGTACACATTGATTAAAGGTTTTGCCACATTCTTCATGCTTGTAGGAATTTTGCCAGTATGAATTATCTTACTATCAAATGTGGCAACCATATAAAGGCTGTTTCACATTTTATATATTTCTAGGGTTTCACACTAGTATAAATTTTTTATGTATAGAAAGGATGGAAGTGTTGAAAAAAGCACTGTCACATCTTTCAGGTTTGTAGAGTTCCTCTTCAGAATGAATTATCACCATGTCTCTTAATAGTAAGAACTTGTGGCCAGGCATGGTGGCTCATGCCTGTAATTGCAACACTTTAGGAGGCTGAGGTGGGTGGATCATGTGAGGTCAGGGGTTGGATACCAGCCTGACAAACATGGTGTAACCTTGTCTCTACTAAAAATACAAAAGTTAGCTGGGCATGGGGGTGGGCACCTGTAATCCCCCTTACTTGGGAGGTTGAGGCAGGAGAATGGATTGAACCCAGAAGGCGGAGGTTGCAGTGAGCCGAGACTGTGCTATTGCACACCAGACTGGGTGACAAGAGTTGAAACTCCATCTCAAAAAAAAAAAAAAAAAGACAGAACTTGTTATATGCTTTGCCACATTCTTCACACTTGTAGGGTTTCTTTCCAGTATGAATTATGTGTAATAAAGGTTGAGAAGTTCCTTAAAAAATCTGTCACATTCTTTATATTTGTAGAGTTTATATTTCATATCAATTCTTAGTTAGAAATTGAGGGCTGGTTAAAAGATTTTCCCCATTCATCACATTCACATGGTTTCTCTCCAGTATGAATTATCTTATGTGCAGTAAGGTGTGAGGATAGGTGAAAAGCTTTACCACATTATTCACATCTGTAGGGTTTCTCTCCAGTATGAAATCTCTTATGTGTAGTAAGTTTAGAGGAGTGCTTAAAGGCTTTGCCACATTCTTCACATCTGTAGGGTTTTTTTCCAGTATGAATTTTCTTATGTGTAGTAAGGTTAGAGAAATGCTTAAAAGCTTTGTCACATTCTTCACATTTGTAGAATTTCTCTCCAGTATGAATTATCTTATGTGTAGTAAGGTGTGAGGACCGCTTGAAGGCTTTGCCACATTCTTCACATTTGTAGAATTTCTCTCCAGTATGATTCTCTCATGTGTAGTAAGGATTGAGGACTGGTTGAAGGCTTTGCCACATTCTTCACATTTGTAGGGTCTCTCTCCAGTATGAATTTTCTTATGTGTAGTAAGGTTAGAGGAGCACTTAAAAGCTTTGCCACATTCTTCACATTTGTAGAATTTCTCTCCAGTATGAATTCTCCTATGTGTAGTAAGGATTGAGGACTGGTTGAAGGCTTTGCCACATTCTTCACATTTGTAGGGTCTCTCTCCAGTATGAATTTTCTTATGTGTAGTAAGGTTAGAGGAGTACTTAAAAGCTTTGCCACATTCTTCACATTTGTAGGGTTTCTCTCCAGTATGAATTATCTTATGCGTAGTAAGGTCTGAAGACCGCTTGAAGGCTTTGCCACATTCTTCACATTTGTAGGGTTTCTCTCCAGTATGAATTCTCTTATGTGTAGTAAGGGTAGAGGAGTACTTAAAGGCTTTGCCACATTCTTCACATTTGTAGGGTTTGTCTTCAGTATGAATTCTTTTATGTGTAGTAAGGGTATAGGAGTACTTAAAGGCTTTGTCACATTCTTCACATTTGTAGGGTTTTTCTCCAGTATGAATTATCTTATGTGTAGTAAGGGTTGAGGACCGGTTGAAGGCTTTGCCACATTCTTCACATTTGTAGGGTTTCTTTTCCGTATGAATTATCTCATGTTTACTAAGGGTTGAGGATGACATAAAGGCTTTGCCACATTTATCACACTTGTAGGGTTTCTCTCCAGTATGATTTCTCTTATGTGTAGTAAGAGTGGAGGAGTGCTTAAAGGCTTTGCCACATTCTTCACATTTGTAGGGTTTCTCTCCAGTATGAATTTTCTTATGTCTAGTAAGGCTACAAGAGTGGTTAAAGGCTTTGCCACATTCTTCACATTTGTAGGGTTTCCCTCCAGTATGAATTTTCTTATGTGTAGTAAGAGTTGAGAACTGCTTAAAAGCTTTGCCACATTCTATATATTTGAAAGGTTTTTTCCCAGTATGTCCTCTCTTTTGTCCGTTTGAATTTGGAAATTGATGAAGGACTTTCACATATTTATCACATTGACATATTTTTCTTGGGGTAGTTGTCAAACATTGGTTAAGTTCATTATAACCTTCTTTGTGCACCTTACACTCATCCACACTTATACATCCTTTTTTTAACTGTAAATTGTCATGTTCACATTTTTCATATCTTCTCAGTACCACTTTTTGGAAAGAATCTTTCATGCTCTGCTCTGGCCAAAGGTCTTGGGCAAAATGAGAACACATTACTGAAAGAAACAATAAAAACACATTACTTCAATTGGTAGACTCAGATAAATATAAATATATATATGCAGTTTGTATAGTTTTATACAAACTACATAAGCAAGATGACACAGGAAAATACCACAAGCTGTAATTTCTTCCTGGACATATGAATTTAACAAAAACATACTGATCAAAATACATTTGTAAAAAACTTATAATAAGTTGTGAAGGGCCCCAGGTGAGCACAATGCAAACGGCCAAATAGAAGAAATAGAAAAGTCTGTTACTTATACACAACACAGCTGGTTTTGCTCTCCAGTATAACATTGTGCCTTTAAAAGTAAATTGTTGACTGGCTGGGGTGACACACGCCTGTAGTCCCAGCATGTTGGGAGGCTGACGTGGGTGGATCAGAAGGTCAGGAGTTCAAGACCATCTTGGCAAAGATGATGAAATTCAATCTGTACTAAAATTACAAAAAATTAGCTGGGTGTGGCGATGGGGCACCTGTAATCCCAGCTACTCAGAAGGCTGAGGCAGAGAACTGCTTGAACCTGGGAGGTGGAGGTTACAGTGAGCTGAGATTCCCAGAATCTCTAGTTAAGACAATTGATTTCAGACTATGCCAGGACACAGCTACATTATAAAGATTGTAACAGGTAGCATTTTGTTAATGTAAAAATCTCAAAGATTACAATAAATACAAAATAGTAGAGCAACGTGATCCCATCAAAAAGTTATAAAATTTTTAAAGCAACCATAAAATGTATATGAGGTAATTTAAAAAATTCCCAATAAGTTGTACAGGTCAAGCTTAGTGGCTCATTCCTGGAATCCCAACACACTAGGGGGCCAAGGTGGGAAAACCACATTAGGTGAGAATTTGAGACCAGCCTGGCCAACATGGTGAAACCCTGTATCTACTAAAAATACAAAAACTAGCTGGGCATGGTGGCATGTGCCTGTAATCCCAGCTACTTGGGAGGCTGACACACAACACAAGAATTGCTTGAACCTGGGAGGGGACAGTTGCAGTGAGTGAATATTGTACCACTGCACTTCAGACTGGATGACAGAGCAAGACTGTCTCAAAAATAAAATAGGCTGGGCGCAATGGCTCATGCCTGTAATCGCAGCAACTTAGGAGGCCACCTTGGCCTCCTAATTTGAGGTCAGGAGTCCAAAATTAGCCTGGCCAACATGGTAAAAACCCATCTCTGCTAAAAATACAAAAAATTAGCTGGAATGCTGGCAGCCACCTGTAACCCCAGCTACTTGGGAGACAGAGGCCGGAGAATTGCTTGAACTCGGGAGGCAGAGGTAGCTATGAGCTGAGATGGCGCCACTGCACTCCAGAGCCTGGGTGACAGAAAAAGACTCCATCTCAGAAAAACTAACTAAATAAATAAATTTGAATAACATTAGGTAAGTGAAACAAACAAGTACTGAAGATAAAAATGAGGATAATAATAAGAAATATTGAAATAGCAAAAAAACAAAAATTGTGGATATAAAAAATGCAAAAAACAATTGAAAAATTTCTTAAAAGGAAAAATGATGTAAACATGAAAAAGCTGAAGAAACAAACTAGGATACACACAAAGATATTTGTAACAAACACACATACAAGCAAACCTTCAAAAATCATAGATAAGAAGAGAATTTTAGGAGCTGTAATGTAGGCAGATGTAATGATGAAGAATTTTTGTATTCAACTGAAGTTTATTTTTTACCACATTCAAATATATTGTTGGATCTTTTAGAGGTTTTATGTAATCTCCCAAAGTACCACTAAGAAAATATTTGTATGGATACACAAAAGAAAATTTAAAAAATCCTGGAAAAATACCAATACAAAAAGCAAAAAACCACGAAAACCACAGAAAGAAAAGGAAAGACAAAGATATAAGAATCAAATAAAACAAATAATAAAATAACATTAGTAAGTTTTTCTCTTTCAGAAAACCATTTAAATATATATATAATTATCTTTCCAATCAAGAGATATACTTTCAATAAACAGGTTTATTAAAAAATTTTAAAAATCAAGAGTCAACTTGCCTTTCTACAGGAGTCAGTTGAGATCTACTGACAAAAAAAGACTGAAAGTGGCAAGACAGAAGTAGAATTTCATGTAAATATATTTTTAAATTTTATTATTATTACACTTTAAGTTTTAGGGTACATGTGCACAACGTGCAGGTTTGTTACATATGTATACTTGTGCCATGTTGGTGTGTTGCACCCATTAACTCGTCATTTAGCATTAGGTGTATCTCCCAATGCTATCCCTCCCCCTGCCCCTGACGCCACAACAGTCCCCGGTGTGTGATGTTTCCCTTCCTGTGTCCATGTATTCTCATTGTTCAATTCCCACCTATTAGTGAGAACATGCGGTGTTTGGTTTTTTGTCCTTGCGATAGTTTGCTGAGAATGATGGTTTCCAGTTTCATCCATGTCCCTACAAAGGACATGAACTCATCATTTTTTATGGCTGCATAGTATTCCATGGTGTGTATGTGCCACATTTTCCTAATCCAGTCTATCGTTGTTGGACATTTAGGTTGGTTCCAAGTCTTTGCTATTGTGAATAGTGCTGCAATAAACATACATGTCCATGTGTCTTTATAGCAGCATGATTTATAATCCTTTGGGTATATACCCAGTAATGGGATGGCTGGATCAAATGGTATTTCTAGTTCTAGATCCCTGAGGAATCACCACACTGACTTCCACAATGGTTGAACTAGTTTACAGTCCCACCAACAGTGTAAAAGTGTTCCTATTTCTCCACATCCTCTCCAGCACCTGTTGTTTCCTGACTTTTTAATGATTGCCATTCTAACTGGTGTGAGATGGTATCTCATTGTGGTTTTGATTTGCATTTCTCTGATGGCCAGTAATTATCAGCATTTTTTCATCTGTTTTTTTGGCTGCATAAATGTCTTCTTTTGAGAAGTGTCTGTTCATATCCTTCGCCCATCAAAAAGATGGGGCTGTTTGTTTTTTTCTTGTAAACTTGTCTGAGTTCATTGTAGATTCTGGATATTTGCCCTTTGTCAGATGAGCAGGTTGCAAAAATTTTCTCCCATTCTGTAGGTTGCCTGTTCACTCTGATGGTGGTTTCTTTTGCTGTGCAGAACCTCTTTAGTTTAATTAGATCCCATTTGTCAATTTTGGCTTTCGTTGCCATTGCTTTTGGTGTTTTAGACATGAAGCCCTTGCCCATGCCTATGTCCTGAATGGTACTGCCTAGGTTTTCTTCTAGGGTTTTTATGGTTTTAGGTCTAACATTTAAGTCTTTAATCCATCTTGAATTAATTTTTGTATAAGGTGTAAGGAACGGATCCAGTTTCACCTTTCTACATATGGCTAGCCAGTTTTCCCAGCACCATTTATTAAATAGGGAATCCTTTCCCCATTGCTTGTTTTTGTCAGGTTTGTCAAAGGTCAGATAGTTGTAGGTAAGCGGCATTATTTCTGAGGGCTCTGTTCTGTTCCATTGGTCTATATCTCTGGTTTGGTACCAGTACCATGCTGTTTTGGTTACTGTAGCCTTGTAGTATAGTTTGAAGTCAGGTAGTGTGATGCCTCCAGCTTTATTCTTTTGGCTTAGGATTGACTTGGGGATGCGGGCTCTTTTTGGTTTCATATGAACTTTAAAGTAGTTTTTTCCAATTCTGTGAAGAAAGTCATCGGTAGCTTGATGGGGATGGCATTGAATCTATAAATTACCCTGGGCTGTATGGCTATTTTCACGATATTGATTCTTCCTATTCATGAGCATGGAATGTTCTTCCATTTGTTTGTATCCTCTTTTATTTCACTGAGCAGTGGTTTGTAGTCCTCCTTGAAGAGGTCCTTCACATCCCTTGTAAGGTGGATTCCTAGGTATTTTATTCTCTTTGATGCAATTGTGAATGGGAGTTTACTCATGATTTGGCTCTCTGTCTGTTATTGGTATATAAGAATGCTTGTGATTTTTGTACATTGATTTTGTATCCTGAGACTTTGCTGAAGTTGCTTATCAGCTTAAGGAGATTTTGGGCTGAGACAATGGGGTTTTCTAGATATACAATCATGTCATCTGCAAACAGGGACAATTTGACTTCCTCTTTTCCTAATTGAATACACTTTATTTCCTTCTCCTGCCTGATTGCCCTGGCCAGAACTTCCAACACTATGTTGAATAGGAGTGGTGAGAGAGGGCATCCCTGTCTTGTGCCAGTTTTCAAAGGACATGCTTCCAGTTTTTGCCCGTTCAGTATGATATTGGCTGTGGGTTTGTCATAGATAGCTCTTATTATTTTGAGATAAGACCCATCAATACCTAATTTATTGAGAGTTTTTAGTATGAAGTGTTGTTGAATTTTGTGAAAGGCCTTTTCTGTATCTATTGAGATAATCATGTGGTTTTTGTCTTTGGTTCTGTTTATATGCTGGAGTATGTTTATTGATTTGCGTATGTCGAACCAGCCTTGCATCCCAGGGATGAAGCCCATTTGATCATGGTGGATAAGCTTTTTTATGTGCTGCTGGATTCGGTTTGCCAGTATTTTATTGAGGATTTTTGCATCGATGTTCATCAAGGATATTGGTCGAAAATTCTCTTTTTTGGTTGGGTCTCTGCCAGGCTTTGGTATCAGGATGATGCTGGCCTCACAAAATGAGTTAGGGAGGATTCCCTCTTTTTCTATTGGTTGGAATAGTTTCAGAAGGAATGGTACCAGCTCCTCTTTGTACCTCTGGTAGAATTCGGCTGTGAATCCATCTGGTCCTGAACTTTTTTTGATTGGTAAGCTATTGATTATTGCCTCAATTTCAGCTCCTATTATTGGTCTATTCAGAGATTCAGCTTCTTCCTGGTTTAGTCTTGGGAGGATGTATGTGTCGAGGAATTTATCCATTTCTTCTAGATTTTCTAGTTTATTTGCATAGAGGTGTTTATAGTATTCTCTGATGGTAGTTTGTATTTCTGTGGGATCGGTGGTGATATCCCCTTTATCATTTTTTATTGTGTCTATTTGATTCTTCTCTCTTTTCTTCTTTATTAGTCTTGCTAGTGGTCTATCAATTTTGTTGATCTTTTCGAAAAACCAGCTTCTGGATTCATTGATTTTTTTGAAGGGTTTTTTGTGTCTCTATTTCCTTCAGTTCTGCTCTGATCTTAGTTATTTCTTGTCTTCTGCTAGCTTTTGAATGTTTGCTCTTGCCTCTCTAGTTAATTGTGGTGTTAGGGTGTCAATTTTAGATCTTTCCTGCTTTCTCTTGTGGGCATTTAGTGCTATAAATTTCCCTCTACACACTGCTTTGAATGTGTCCCAGAGATTCTGGTATGTTGTGTCTTTGTTCTCGTTGGTTTCAAAGAACATCTTTATTTCTGCCTTCATTTCATTATTTACCCAGTAGTCATTCAGGAGCAGGTTGTTCAGTTTCCATGTAGTTGAGTGGTTTTGAGTGAGTTTCTTAATCCTGAGTTCTAGTTTGACTGCACTGTGGTCTGAGAGACAGTTTGTTATAATTTCTGTTCTTTTACATTTGCTGAGGAGTGCTTTACTTCCAACTATGTGGTCAATTTTGAAGTAGGTGTGGTGTGGTGCTGAAAATAATGTATATTCTGTTGATTTGGGGTGGAGAGTTCTATAAATGTCTATTAGGTCCTCTTGGTGCAGAGCTGAGTTCAATTCCTGGGTATCCTTGTTAACTTTCTGTCTCGTTGATCTGTCTAACTTTCTGTCTAACGTTGACAGTGCAGTGTTAAAGTCTCCCATTATTATTGTGTGGGAGTCTAAGTCTCTTTGTAGGTCACTAAGAACTTGCTTTATGAATCTGGGTGCTCCTGTATTGGGTGCATATATATTTAGGATAGTTAGCTCTTCTTGTTGAATTGATCCCTTTACCATTATGTAATGGCCTTCTTTGTCTCTTTTGATCTTTGTTGGTTTAAAGTCTGTTTTATCAGAGACTAGGATTGCAACCCCTGCCTTTTTTTTTGTTTTCCATTTGCTTGGTAGATCTTCATCCATCCCTTTATTTTGAGCCTATGTGTGTCCCTGCACGTGAGATGGGTTTCCTGAATACAGCACACTGATGGGTCTTGACTCTTTATCCAATTTGCCAGTCTGTGTCTTTTAATTGGAGCATTTAGCCCATTTACATTTAAAGTTAATATTGTTATGTGTGAATTTGATCCTGTCATTATGATGTTAGCTGGTTATTTTGCTCGTTAGTTCATGCAGTTTCTTCCTAGTCTCAATGGTCTTTACATTTTGGCATGATTTTGCAGCGGCTGGTACCGGTTGCTCCTTTCCATGTTTAGTGCTTCCTTCAGGAGCTCCTTTAGGGCAGACTTGGTGGTGACAAAATCTCTCAGCATTTGCTTGTCTGTAAAGTATTTTATTTCTCCTTCACTTATGCAGCTTAGTTTGGCTGGATATGAAATTCCGGGTTGAAAATTCTTTTCTTTAAAAATGTTGAATATTGATCCTCACTCTCTTCTGGCTTGTAGAGTTTCTGCCAAGAGATCAGCTGTTAGTCTGCTGGGCTTCCCTTTGTGGATAACCCGAGCTTTCTCTCTGGCTGCTCTTAACATTTTTTCCTTCATTTCAACTTTGGTGAATCTGACAATTATGTGTCTTGGAATTCCTCTTCTCGAGGAGTATCTTTGTGGCGTTCTCTGTATTTCCTGATTTGAATGTTGGTCTGCCTTGCTAGATTGGGGAAGTTCTCCTGGATAATATCCTGCAGAATGCTTTCCAACTTGGTTCCATTCTCCCCGTCACTTTTAGATACACCAATCAGATGTAGATTTGGTCTTTTCACATAGTCCCATATTTCTTGGAGGCTTTGTTCGTTTCTTTTTATTCTTTTTTCTCTAAACTTCTCTTCTCGCTTCATTTCATTCATTTCATTTTCCATCGCTGATACCCTTTCTTCCAGTTGATCGCATCGGCTACAGAGGCTTCTGCATTCGTCACATAGCTCTCGTGCCTTGGTTTTCAGCTCCATCAGGTCCTTTAAGAACTTCTCTGCATTGGTTATTCTAGTTATCTATTCGTCTAATTTTTTTTCAAAGCCTTTAACTTCTTTGCCATTAGTTCGAATTTCCTCCTGTAGCTTGGAATAGTTTGATCATCTGAAGCCTTCTCTCAACTCGTCAAAGTCATTCTCTGTCCAGCTTTGTTCTGTTCCTGGTGAGGAGCTGCGTTCCTTTGGAGGAAGAGAGGCGCTCGGATTTTTAGAGTTTCCAGTTTTTCTGCTCTGTTTTTTTCCCATCTTTGTGGTTTTATCTACCTTTGGTCTTTGATGATGGTGATGTACAGATGGGTTTTTGGTGTGGATGTCCTTTCTCTTTGTTAGTTTTCCTTCTAACAGACAGGACCCTCAGCTGCAGGTCTGTTGAAGTTTGCTGGAGGTCCACTCCAGACACTGTTTGCCTGGGTATCAGCAGCGGTGGCTGCAGAACAGCGGATTTTGCTGAACCGCAGATACTGCTGCCTGATCGTTCCTCTGGAAGTTTTGTCTCAGAGGAGTACCCGGCCGTGTCAGGTGTCAGTCCACCCCTACTGGGGGGTGCCTCCCAGTTAGGCTACTTGGGGGTCAGGGACCCACTTGAGAAGGCAGTCTGCCCATTCTCAGATCTCAAGCTGCATGCTGGGAGAACCACTACTCTCTTCAAAGCTGTCAGAGAGGGACATTTAAGTCTGCAGAGGTTACTGCTGTCTTTTTGTTTGTCTGTGCCCTGCCCCCAGAGGTGGAGCCTAAGAGGCAGGCAGGCCTCCTTGAGCTGTGGTGGGCTCCACCCAGTTTGAGCTTCCCGGCTGCTTTGTTTACCTAATCAAACAACTAACTCGGCAATGGTGGGCGCCCCTCGCCCAGCCTCGCTGCTGCCTTGCAGTTTGATCTCGGGCTGCTGTGCTAGCAATGAGTGAGACTCCATTGGCGTAGGACCCTCTGAGCTGGGTGAGGGATATAATATCCTGGTGTGCCGTTTTTTAAGCCCGTTGGAAAAGCGCAGTATTAGGGTGGGAGTGACCAAATTTTCCAGTTGCCATCTGTCACCCTTTTCTTTGACTAGGAAAGGGAATTCCCTGACCCCTTGCACTTCCTGGGTGAGGCGATGCCTCGCCCTGCTTTGGCTCGTGCACAGTGCGCTGCACCCACCATCCTGCGCCTACTGTCTGGCACTCCCCAGTGAGATGAACCCAGTACCCCAGTTGGAAATGCACAAATCACCCATCTTCTATATCGCTCACGTTGGGAGCTGTTGACCAGAGCTGTTCCTATTCGGCCATCTTGGCTCCTCCCCCCTCATGTAAATATTATCAAAACAAGAGGAGAAGGGGTCAAAATAATGTTACACAAGCTACAAGTTAAGTTAAAAACTGTCATACTTTATAAAGTGTATTTAAGTCAAAACTTCAAAAAGACAAAGAAGGACATTAGATTCATTCACTGGGAACCTATTACAAATTTGTATATACATGTGTGTATTTATGTGTGTGTGTCTCATATTGGGGTTTCAGCTATATAAAGCAAATACTAACAAAACTGAATAAACACAAAGAGAGCAATACAATTATAGTAGGATATTTCAATACTCCACTTTCTGTAATAAAACAAGAGAGAATATTAGTAAGGAAACAGAAGACTAGAAGGCAGTAAAAAAACAATTATTTCTAATGAAGGTATAGAGAACACTCCTCGACAACATCAGGATACACAGCCTTCTCATTACCTCATACAACTTTCTTCTTTATAGACCACCTGTTAGGCCAAAAACAAAGCCTTAACACATTTTTTAAAACTGAAATTTTATAGATCACTTTCTATGACAAAAATGGAATTAGAGTATAAAACAATAATATAAATAATTGATAAATTTAAAAATATTTAGAAATGATACAACACAGTATTAAGCATGCACTTGTTGAAATAACTGGCTGGGTGCGGTGGCTCAGGCCTGTAATCCCAGCACTTTGGGAGGCTGAGGTGGGTGAATTTAACTCCATCTCAAAAACAAACAATCGAAAAAGGAGTAATATTGTGAAGATGTCTATACTGTTCAATTTAATCTACAGAATTAATGCACCATTTTTCAAATTTCTCATTGCACTTTTGAATAAAAACAGCAAATCCAAAAGTATATGGAATCTAAAGAGTTAATAAAGTACTCAATAATCTTCAAGGAATAATGTTGGAGGCATTACAATTTCTGATTTCTAAACACATCAAAAAGCTACAGAATTAAAACAATTTGGTATGAGTATAAAAGTGAAAAAGTAGAACAATAAAACAGAATGCAGCACATATGTTAGCTTTCACATAATTATTGCAGCATTGTTACTGAAAGCCAACAGGTTAAAACAATACAAATTTCTGTCATCAAATCATTCAGTAGGTAGAAAAATACTGGAATCTCATTCAGTTTTCAAATAGCAGAAAATAGTCTAACTATTAAGATAAATATTGATGACATTATGCAAAATAAAATAAGCCAGCCAGAAAAAGACAGAGATTATATGAGATATGTAAAGCAGTTATACTCCTAGAAACAGAAAACAGAGTGGTGTTTGAAAAGTGCCACGAAATTGGATGAATTGGTAGTTGTTTAATGTGTAGTGAGATTTAGCTTTGCAAGATAAAAACATTCTAGTGATGTTGCATAACAATGTCTATATAATTAATATGACCAAACTGAATATTTAGAAATATATACTTGTCACTCTAACTCTCAGGCAAAACTGCAGTGGCATTATCTCAGCTCACTGCAACCTCCGCCTCCTGGGTTTAAGTGATTCCTCTGCCTCAGCCTTCTCAGTAGCTGGAATTACAGGTGATCACCACCACGCCTGGCTAATTTTTTGTATTTTAGTAGAGACAGGGTTTCACCATGTTGGCCAGGATGGTCTCAATCTTCTGACACCGTGATCCACCCACCTCGGCCTTTGAAAGTGACGGGATTACAGGCATAAGCCACCGCGCCCAGCCTAGAAAATTTTATTGTTAATTTTGTTATGTGTTTTTGACACATAACGCATAAGTAAAAATAAACAATAATACCTAAAAGAGATACAGAGTAATTATTGTTTTTAAATTATCTTCAAATCCAAAAATGTTTCTCTGGCACAAAATTAATATAGATTCAAAAATAAATAGACGCTGAAATTGGGAGAGATTTTATGACTACTCACCTAGACAGGATTAAAAAAACTGTTACAGGCCAGGCGAAGTGGCTCATGCCTGTAATCCCAGCACTTTGGGAGGCCGAGGCAGGCAGACCACCTGAGGTCAGGAGTTTGAGACCAACCTGACCAAAATGGTGAAACCCTGTCTCTACTAAAAGTACAAAATTAGCCGGGTGTGGTGGCACATTCCTGTAATCCCAGCTACTCAGGAGGCTGAGGTAGGAGAATGGCATGAACCTAGAAGTTGGAGGTTTCAGTGAGCTGAGATCCCACCATTGTACTGCAGCCTGCATAACAAGAGTGAAATTCCCTCTCAAAAAAACCAAAACCAAAACCAAAACCAAAAACCTGTTACACCATACCTACAAAACAAATATACAAGTGACACAAAGCTACAGGGATAATATTTATACAGGCAAAGAAACACAGAAACAATTATATTGGCAATAGATACATGGCTTTTTCATATTTAATTTTGCTCTTCACTGTCTTAAATTGTACAGTTAAATATTGTTACATACAATTATAAACTAAAAAATATATTGTTATATACAATTATAATATAAACTAAAAAATCAACACATAATTAAATGATGTGATGTGACATTCCCAAAAATATATAACACAAAATATTAAATTACAAAAAAATTAAAACATGGGATGTAAAACAAGTAGATCAATGTATTCATGAAAGGACTCTTAAAATATAAGGTAAAGTAATACAGAGGTTACTTGAAGATTTAAAAAAAAAAAGCTGAGAACTTCCCAAATTTTGATGTAACAACAACAAAAACTTCTAACCAGTAATACTCGATTCAAAATTATTTTACTTCAAAAAGAATATAAAAATAAAGACTTTCCAAAATAAAAGTTGAGACTGTTCATCACCATTGGCACAGTCCTACAAGATATAATATACAGGGTTGTGCTCCCTGGCTCACGCCTGTAATCCCAACACTTTGGGAGGCCAAGGTGGGTGGATTGTCTGAGGTCAGGAGTCCAAGACCAGCCTGAATAACATGGTGAAACACCGTTTGTACTAAAAGTGCAAAAATTATTTGGGCATGGTGGCACATTCCTGTTGTCCCAGCTACTGAGGAGGACAAGGCAGGAGAATTTCTTGAATCAAGGAGGTGGCGACTGTAATGAGCCAAAATCATGCCACGGTACTCCAGCCTGTGACAGAGAAAGACTCCATCTCAAAAAAAAAAAAAAAAAAAAGGCCCAGTGCAATGGTGCCCACCACACTCCATCCTGGGCCATAGAGTGAGACTCAATCTCAAAAAACAAAACAAAACAAAACAAAAAACAAAATCGAAATGATTATTCATAAAACCTTTAAAGTTCTTTTATAGAATATAAAAAACAATATGTAAATGTGCATAAATCGGCTGGGCGCAGTGGCTCATGCCTGTAAGCCCAGTGCTTTGGAAGGCCAAGGGGGGAATCACAAGGCCAGGACTTCGAGACCAGCCTGGCCAACATGGTGAAACCCTGTCTCTACTAAAAATACAAAAATTAGCCGGGCATAGTGGTGCACACCTGTAATCCCAGCTACACGGGAGGCTGAGGCAGGAGAATCACTTGTACCTGGGAGATGGAGGCTGCAGTGAGCCAAGATTGTGCCATTGCATTCCTGCCTGGACAACAGAGTGACACTCTGTCTCAAAAAAAAAAAAAAAATTCTGCCTAAATTTGTTAATATACCATATAAAATAATTTTAATATCAATAAAAAACTGGAAAATGTAGAGACATAGTTTTTGTATTAAATTGAAGTTGTTATAAAATTAAAACATATTGTTTTAACTTTAAGATGTATGTAATCTCCAGCTTTCAAGATGATTACAAAGATAATATTTATAGAAAGTGTGCAAAAGAAAATAAAAAATAATGCATGCCAGTACAAAATTAAATAAAAATTAAGAAAGTAAAACAGGAAATGAGAAAAATAAAACTACTAGAAACACACAAAACAATAATAACGTAACTGGAAATAACAACTTCATTTCTTTAAGCAATCATTTTAAATATAAATTAATTAAACTACTTAATAAAATAAAATGTAATCTTAGGACTTTGGAAGGCCAACGTAGGCTGATCACTTGATCCCAGGAGTTCAAGACCAGCCTGGGCAACATGGCAAAACTCTGTCTCTACAAAAAATACAAAAAAGCTATTTGGGTGTGATGGCACATACTAGTAACCCAGCTACTTGAGAGGCTAAAATGAGAGGATAATCTGAGTTTGGGAGGTCTGGATAGCAGTGAGACATGCAAATCAGCCTGGTTGACAGAGTGAGGCCCTATTTCAAAAATAAATGAGGCCAGGCGTGGTGGCTCATGCCTGTAATCCCAGCACTTTGGGAGGCCGAAATGGGCAGATCATCTGAAGTCAGGAGTTCAAGACCAGCCTGGCCAACACGGTGAAACCCTGTCTCTACTAAAAATATAAAAAAATTAGCTGGGCATGGTGGCGGGCACCTGTAATCCCAGCTACTCTGGAGGCTGAGGCAGGAGAATTGCTTAAACCCAGGAGGTGGAGGCTGCAGTGAACTGAGATTGCACCACTGCACTGCAGCCTGGGCAACAAGAGCAAAACTGCATGTCTAAATAAATAAATAAATAAATAAATAAATAAAATTATATAGAGAAAAAGAAATAGAAAGCCTGAGTGGTTTTTTTAAAAAGCAATCAGTATGCTGCCTATAAGAGACTCATTTTAGCATTCAGTCAAATAGGCTGAAGTAACAGAATGGAAAAACGTATATTCCATGAAAATAGTAACCACAATTGAGTGGGGTAGTCATAATTAGACATAACATGCTTTAAGTCATGTACTACTATGAGACAAAGACTGATATTATATTATGACAAAGTTAGTTGATGTAGCAGAAATCTATAACTATAATATTTATCTTTCTATATGTATATGTGTATATAACATCAGGGCTCCAAAATACATAAAGCAAATATTGACAAAAGTGAAGGAAGACATACATAGCAACATAATCATTGTAGACATCAAGACCCCATTTGCAGTAAATGGAAAATTCAGAAAAAAAATAAGAAACAGGAAACTTAGAAAACATTATAGACTATGTTATTTATTTTGCAAATAGAGGAATAATTGAGAGTACGTTATTTATAACAAAAAGGGGTATATTTGGCTCACAGTTTGGCAGACTGTATAAGAAGTGTGTGTCAACAACTGCTTCTGGTGAAGATCTCAGGAAACTTACAATCATGGTGAAAAATAAAGAGTAACTGGATGTATTATATGGTAAGAGACAGAGCAAGTGTGAGGTGAAGGAGCCAGGTTCTTTTAAGGAACCTACTCTCATTTGAATCAATAGAGCATAAACTTTTTGGTTACCAAGAAAATGTACCAGCCATTCATGAGAAATTTGCCCCTGTGACCCAAACATGTCCCACCAGGTCCTACATCCAACATTAAGGATTTATACTGCAGCATGAGGTTTGGAGAACATGGATATCCAAACCATATTATAGACCAACTAGGCTTCACAGATGCATACAAAACTTTCCAGTCAAAACCAAGATAATACAAAATATTCTTATTTGCATCTGGTGTATTCTGTTAGGACACATACCAAGTTTTATTAAATTCAAAAATACTGATTGGGTGAAATGGCTGTTGCCTACAATCCTAACACTTTGGGAGATCAAGGTAAGAGGATCCATTGGTGCCAAAAGTTTAAGACCAGCCTGGGCAACGTAGTCAGATCCGAACACTACAAACAAACCAACCATTAAACAGACATCTAGTGCGTATCTGTAGTCCTAGCTACTCAGAAAACTGAGGTAAAAGGATCACTTGAGCCCAGGAGGCTGAGGCTACAGAGAGCCAAAATTATGCCACTGCACTTCACACGAGGTGACAGTAAAATCTTGCCTCAAAACAACAAAAACAATCATTTAAAAAAGACTAAAATTACACACTGTGTGTTTTCTAATAAAAACTGAATGAAACTAGGAATTAAAAGCAAAAGTCAAACTGGCAAATTCAAAACTGTGTATATGAAACACACTCTTCAACATATTCTTGCTCAGGGGTCAAAAAATTTCATTTTTCACAAAATGTCAATAAAATCTAGAGTTAAAAGCTACAGAACATAAACAATGTGATACTGACACAAAGATAAACTGATGAAAGAACAGAATGGAGAGCTCAGAAATGAACCCTTCTGTATATGATGAAATGATCTTCCACAAAGTTGCCATGAGTAAAAAATGGAGAAAAATAATCTCTTCAAAAAATGATGTTGAAAAGTGAATATCAACACCGATAAAATAAAGTTGGATTATTTCCTTGAATGTTACAAAAATATATTTTTAATAAAATATTATTTAAAATATTTTAATTTTTTAATATTAAATTCAATTATTTAAATAATTAAATTATTAATTTTAATTATTAAAATTATTAATTTAATTATTAAAAATAGTTTAATAAAATAACTAACAAATCTTTTAGGAAAAAATACGGGAAAAAGACATGACACTGGTTTGGCACAATTTTCTTAGATACAAAATTAAATGCCTGAGCAACAAATGAAACAGAAAAGTTTACACTAGACTTCAAAATTTCTGCATATTAGAAACAATTCAAGAGTAACAACATCCCTTAGAAAATGGGTAAAACATTTGCATATTACATGTGACAGAAATTAATATTCAAAATATATAAACAACCCTTAAAACTAAACAATGATGAATAACTTAATTTAGAAATGGACAAATGAAATTTTTATTAGAAAAGTACACAAATGAGAAAAAGCATTTGAAAGGACACAGAAAATTACTAGTTTATAGAGAAATGAAAAAAAAAAACACAATGACAAACAAAATCACCTCACACACATTAGAATGGCCACTATAAATTTTTTTAAAAACACCAAATCTGTTGATGATGCAATAAAAATGAAACCTAAGTTGAATGTTGGTGGATAACAAAGGTGCAGTCATTATTTTAAAAAGTTATAAATGTTTCTCATTTATAAATCTATATCCAAAATACGTAAAAAAAGCCAGGCACAGTGGCTCAAGCCCGTAATCCTAGCAATTTGGGAGGCCAAGGTAGGGGCAGATCACCTGAGGCCAGGAGTTTGAGACCAGGCTGTCCCTGTCTCTACTAAAAATACAAAAAACTAGCTGGGCATGGTCGTGGGCGCCTAAAATCCCAGTTACTTGGGAGGCTGAAGCAGGAGAATCGCTTGAACCCAGAAGGCAGAGATTGCAGTTAGACGAGACCACACCACTGCACTCTAGCGTGGGTGACAGAGTGAGACTCCATCTCAAAAAAAAAAAAAAAAAGCAACACAGGACCTGGAAGACATATTTGAAAATCTATCTTTATTATACCAGTATTCAAAAAAGCCAAAAGGCTGAAGCAACCCAGATGTCTCTTGATTTAAAAATACGTCAAAAAATATAACATATACATAAAATGGAATATTATTCCACCTTAAATAAAACAATCTTGTCACATTTTAAGATAAACATTGAGAATATTATGTCACTTGAATAATCCAGTAACAAAATTATGGATACTGTACGATTCCACTTATATGAGATACCTTAAGTAGTCAAAATCATAAAAATAGAAAGTGGAAATTTTGTCTGTCAAGGGCTGGAGAGAGGGTAAAATTAGCAGTTGTTATTTCATGGGTATTGAGTTTTAGTTTTGCAAGATGTAAAATTTCTAGGAGTCTTTTGCATAACAATGTGAATATACTTAACATGCCTGAAATGAACAGCTTGTTTATTTTGAGACAGGGTCTCACTCTGTCACCCAAGCTGGTGTGTAGTGGCACAATTTTGACTCCAGCTCAATCTCCCATGTAGCTGGGACCACAGCTGCACACCACGATGCCTGACTCTTATTAATTTTTTTTTTTATAGAAAGGGGTCTCCATATGTTCCCCAGGCTGGTCTCAAACTTCTGGGCTCCAGGAATCCTCCTGTCTTGGCCTCCCAAAATCCTGGGATTACAGAAGAGAGCCACAACCATGCCTGGCCCTGAAATATACACTTCAATAAATTTAAGATGGTAAATGTTATGTTACGTGTTTTTAAAACAATGTTTAAAAAAAAAAACTGAAAAAAATCCAGAATTATTAATCTTTTTGAAAATTACCTTCAAATCACAAAACTGTTTCTCTCACAAAAGGAAATATATATTCATCATTAAACCCATGTTGAAAATAAGACTATCTTCATGACTACTCACTTAGACAAGATAAAACTACCATCAAAAATCAGCTAAGAATATAAGATAAGCCATAACTAAAACTGGGGTCATATTTATAGATAAACACACACATACATATGTAATCTGATTGTGATAGACACGTGCAATTTATCTCTTAAGCCTCAAATGGACTTAAAGTGTACAAACAGAATTGCAAATTCTCTAAAATTATAATACATAAGTAAAACCAATAGGCACAATAAACTGATGTTAAGAAACCTACACTGAGACCAGGCGCAGTGGCTCATGACTATAATTGCAGCACTTTGGAAGGCCAAGGTGGGCAGATCACAAGGTCAGAAGTTTGAGATTAGCCTGAACAATATGGTGAAACACCATCTCGAATAATAATGCAAGAATTGGCCGGGGGTGGTGGCGTGCCTGTAGTCCCAGCTATTCCGGAGGCTGAGGCAGAAGAATGGCTTGAACTTGGAAGGCGGAGGTTGCAGTGAGCTGAGATCGCGCCAGTGCACTTTAGCCTGAGCAACATGGCGAAACTTCCTCTCAAAACAACAACAACAGCAGCAACAACAAACAAAAAAACTACACTGAAGAAACATGCTAATACAGAACTTCAAACAATAAGACAAATGTTTACTCATAAAATCTGGTGTAACACATGGAAGTATCATTACGAAAATTTGTCAGGCCAGGCGCGGTGGCTCATGCCTGTAGTCTCGCACTTTGGGAGGCTGAGGCGGGCGGATCACCTGAGGTCAGGTCAACCAGTCTGTCAACATGATGAAACCCCATCTCTACTAAAAATACAAAAATTACCAGGCATAGTGGCACATGCCTGTAATCCCAGCTACTTGGGAGGATGAGGCATGAGAACTGCTTGAACCCGGAAGGTGAAGGTTGCAGTGAGCCAAGATCGCACCACTGCACTCCAGTCTGGATGAGAGAGGGTAACTCCTTCTCAAAAAAAAAAAAAAAAAATTTGTTGAAGTAACTGCAATCTTTAACTAGTATTATGTACTCATCATATACAGGTATTTTGAATCATTGGCATGCACTGTGTAGCAGTAAAATTTTGAGAATATGCAGTATAATTATAAATAGATTCTAATGAGAAACTTAATAAATTAGCATTTAAAAGAAACTGGAGTTTCTTTTTATGTTTTAAATATATGCTATTCTTACACAAAACGAAACTGCTGTATTCTAACTTTAGAAGCAAAGAATAGCCTTACATTGTTAAACACAGAAAAAAATATATATATATTTTGGAGAATAGGGTTAGACCCTCTGATATGTAAAACAAATATTAGGAAATAAACTCATTATTTATATACAGGGTGAAGAAAGTAGATGAAAATTCCATAATTTTATAACTACTTATAACTAGTAACTATGTTTATATTTAGTAACTATTTTCATAAATATGGAGTGCTTACTAATTATCTAATTTACTTTCAGCATACCATGCAAATTCTAGCATATTATCCTAAATAACTGAATCTAAAATTACAAATTTGAAATAGAATATAGAAAGAAAAAAGGTATAAGGAGAGTGACATCAGTAAGATGAAAATAATAAAAGTGCTCTATTTTCATATCCCCTTATAGCAAAAAAAGTCAGCCATCCCTGACCAAAAATGACTTTATGAGACAACCAGGCATTATGGTTCACATCTGTAATGACAGCTACATGGTACATTACTGTTGGAGAGAAATGCTTCAGGCCAGGATTTTGAGACCAGCCTTGGTTATGTAGCAAGACGTCATCTCCAAAATAAGTGCCTCTAAGAGAGATGTGAGATCCAGGGATGCAGTTGTGAAACCCTATTAAAGCTGAAGTTCGAGACGTGTTCTATTCAGAAGGCAGGCCCTCATTCAGGTGGGAAATTACAGGACCCCTGTTCTTGGCTACAGACCAGGATAGGGTTCACCCAACTTGGTCCCACTGAGAATTCTGAACTTACTCTGTAGCCACCACAAACTCCTCCCAAGCCAGAGTCTGGCAGAGGTCCTGCTATTCCAGAGACCTGGAGGAAGGCATCTATTTACAGCCATGTAGGCAGGCCTGCATACCTTGGCCTTTACCATGGTCCCTGAAACAGTTCACTGACTCAGTTTCCGTTACACGAGCCACAGTTCATGGTCAGTCCTGCCTATATAGAAACCCACACAGTTACCTGAGGAAATGCTCTCTGGTACTCACTGAAAGCCACACTCATCCACATCCTGATTTAAGGCCCAGCATCTGCAGACCTGACTGCAAAAACATGCCCTAGTGTCTGCCCTACAGAGCAAAGTCCCGAAGGATATGCAGTCTGTCCAAAAATAAAATGGAAATTACAACTACCCAAGCCCCTGTAACAAGCCAACTGAAGATGAAACCTAATGGAGACCCAGCAGCCTTGTGACCAAGCTACAACCCCTCTTCACTACAAATTCAGAGGGCATCTCATCACCCTAAGGGCCCAATAAAAGAAAATCTTTACAATCTAAAATCAGTTTATGAAAACTTGAAGAGGTGTCTGCTCCATCAAATTCAAACACCAATACAAAACTATATTGTGCCCATTTTCAATGCTTCTATTTTAATGTAGCACTGGAAGTATGGGCAGAAGAATTAGTCAAAGAAATAAATAAATCCATTGAAATTAAAAAATAAGTAATCTTATATTTAAAAAACCATAAACAGTACATTAAAACCTCTCTAAACTAATAAATACACTCAGTAAATTAGCAAAATATAAAATTAACATACAAGTATATCTATGGTTTCATACACTTAAACTATCTGACAAAATAGAGGAAGAAAATTTTATTGACTATACCTTAAATAATAAATTTCTGAGGAAAATATTAACCAAGGAGGTAAATCTTTACAATAAAAAAAGGAAAAGTTAGAAAAGATACAAATAAATTTTAAAATATTTTGTCTATGAATTGAAAACATGAATATTATTGAAGTGCCATATTATCCAAAGTAATCTATAGATTCAATAAACTTCCTATTAAAATTGCAGTGGTACTATTTTCACAATAATGGAAAATACAATTCAAAAATTTACATGAAACTAAAATAAACTTTGAATAGCCAAAGCAATCATGAGGAAAATAACAAAGAGGAAGGATGTCATAATTTCAAACTATATATTTCAAGCCTAGATAGTAATAAAAACAGAATGGACTGTGCAGAAAAATGAACAAAAAAAAATTCAACAGAAACTATTACTCTCAGACATTTCAGATCTGATGCAAAGAGAACTTTGAGAGTAATTTTAGTTTCTCAAAATCATGCAGACATTTGTGCGTCCCAAAAATTATGGAAAAGCAGCCACACTGTGCAGTCTCTTATATGTCATGAAGAGGACTTTGGCTCTCACTGTGAACTTGAAGGAAGCTCACTGAAAGAAAAGGAAAATCCTTAGAGAATTTAAAAGCATAAGACAGAAGATGCCCCTTTGTAAGCAAAATTAAAAAAGAAAAAACCAAACAAACAAACAAACAAAAAATAGCTGCCCAAGAACTATTTCCTTTGGAACACAGCTCCCCAAATCACACTTTAAGGACTGGCTTTCTCTTTGACCTTGGGACCCCTTATCTGTGTCATCTGTTGTATTCATTTTCACTCACACCTACCTGAGGGTTTGGCTATCATCTCATTTCTCTTCATGGTCAAAGGTTTTCTTCCTTGCTCCAGACAGGTGATCAGGTCTGGCTTAGAAACAGTAATACCTGTTTTATTAAAAATAAATAACATAAATCTTGCTTATGTTCTCCAATTACAAGCTAGTAATGTGCTCAGCACAGAGGATGTGATAAAATATTCTAGTAAATTAATACAAAAATACTAAGTTGTAACAGAAATTTTTAAATAATTAGAAAATACTTTCAATTTGTAGGTTTCTTAATTTTACTACCTGGTGCTACTGAATCAAAAATTGGTGGTGGCAATTAGATTTTCAGGTGGAGCAACAATATTTTATGCCACTAAATTTCTGGAATTACCACTAATTTAGAGTGAAAAATACAGCTCAACTCAGGAAAGTGGAAAGTTTGGATTAAGATAAAACATGTTGAAGAAATTCTTTTCTAAACGAACAAATTCTGAAGATTTTCTGGAAAATGGGGATCTGAAACTCTTTTATGCAAAGAATAAATTACTAAAAAACATTCTACAAAAAATAAATAAATAAAATCTATAGGGTATATTATGTACTCAAGTTATCCTCACCAAGGAAGACCAGGTTACTGTAGTTCTCTAACATCACATTCCTATATAAATTCCGCTGTGCAGTGTCCAGGCAATGCCACTCCTCCAGAGAGAATTCTATGGCCACATCTCTAAATTGCAATGGTCCCTGAAAAACACACACACACACATTTTTACCAAGTGGCCATGGGCGGAATTTTTAATTTGACTTAAGGTGAAATAAGAGAGTAAAGAGAACTGGTTCTGACTTATAGGACTGACTAAAATTATCCAATAAAATGATTTCAAAACAGAAATATTCTCTAATGTATTCTCTAACTCTGAGAAGAAAGAGCAGCATAAGATCCACAACATCAATTCATGTATGTTTCTAGATAATAAAGTATAAAATTAAGGGCAAGAACAGGAACATGTAAATTTTTCAGTGCTATAGTTACATTATACAGAATGAGTTGTGAATATTTTTCAGATGGAAAAGACATGTTTAGTTAGAAGGCATCTCTAAAGTTTTAATATGTACAATAAGCTGAAGACATCGTTATGCAGGTTTTTTTTCCCCCAGAAGATCTGGAATAAAGTCTGATTTATTTATTTATTTATTTATTTAGAGATGGAGTTTCGCTCTTGTTGCCCAAGCTGGAGTGAAATGGTGCCATCTCAGCTCACCGCCACCTCCGCCTCCCGGGTTCAAGCAATTCTCCTGCCTCTGCCTCCTGAGTAGCTGGGATTACAGACATGCATCACCGCACCCGGTAATTTTTTTCGTAGTTTTAGTAGAGATGGTGTTTATGTTGGTCAGGCTGGTCTTGAACTCCCTACCTCAGGTGATCTGCCCACTTTGGCCTCCTAAAGTGTTGGGATTACAGGTGGAGAAACCACACCTGGCCAATGTGGTGAATTTCTAATAAGCTCAACAGTAATGCCAATGTCTTTGGCCCAAGAAGGATATTTTGTCAAACATTTAGTAAGTGGAACAGCCTGTGTTTTTCCCACTTTTTCTAGCCTGTAAACAAACAGCCCTCATTTACCAAAGAAACATGTGTAGAAAAAAAAATAAGGACAGTTGCCAGATTAAATGTGATGGTTTATGCACATCAGCTGCATAAAGATACGTAATAATAAAGAGGAAAAATAATTAACTCTATAGTGAAAAAAATATGTCCCAGAGATCTTTAACCAATTAATTAATGGTTAATGCATTAACTGTTAACTGCACTAGGACAATGGTTTTTTTTTTTTTTTTTTTTGAGACGGAGTCTTGCTCTGTCGCCCAGGCTGGAGTGCAGTGGCGCAGTCTCGGCTCACTGCAAGCTCCACCTCCCAGGTTCACGCCATTCTCCTGCCTCAGCCTCCCGAGTAGCTGGGACTACAGGCACCCGCCACCATGCCTGGCTAATTTTTTGTATTTTTAGTAGAGACAGGGTTTCACCGTGTTAGCCGGGATGGTCTCGATCTCCTGACCTCGTGATCCACCCACCTCGGCCTCCCAAAGTGCTGGGATTACAGGTGTGAGCCACTGCGCCCGGCCTAGGACAAATTTTTATGATGTGCTAATGCACACAGAAGAACACAGCATCACTGTTGTAATATTCCTCCCAAAAAAAGTAAATTATAGTCCGAATGTAACCATAAACATCAGTTTTAGGCCAGGCATGGTGGCTCATGCCTGTGATAGCAATTTGGGAGGCTGCGGCGGGAGGATCACAAGGTCAGGAGTTCGAGACCAGCATGACTAACATGGTATAACCCCATCTCTATTAAAAATACAAAAATTAGCCGGGTGTTGTGGCAAGCACCTGTAATCCTGGCTACTCAGCATGCTAAGGCAGAATTGCTTGAACCTGGGAGGTGAAGGTTGTGGTGAGCCGAGATCATGCCACTGTGCTCCAGCCTCAGTGACAAAGCCAGACTCCGTGTCAAAAAAAAAAAAAAAAGAATCATCAGTTGTATACAAACTTTAAAATACAGAAAACTCTATGTTCAGTAACTTTTAGTAGTAATTTTAAGTAGGCTTCATTTAGCATCCTAAAGAGCAGGTATCTCCTAATAATTTTTTTCAGAACTTTCTGGGTAATAAATGCCATCCCATTTAAATAAGCATTTTCTTCTTCTTCTTCTTCTTCTTTTTTTTTTTTCTGAGATGGAGTCTGGCTCTGTTGCCCAGGCTGGAGTGCAGTGGCGCAATCTCGGCTCACTGCAAGCTCTGCCTCCCAGGTTCACGCCATTCTCCTGCATCAGCCTACCAAGTAGCTGGGACTACAGGCGCCTGCCACCAAGCCCAGCAAATTTTTTGTATTTTAGTAGAGACAGAGTTTCACCATGTTGACCAGGATGGTCTTGATCTCCTGCATGATCCACCTGCCTCAGCCTCCCAAAGTGCTGGGATTATAGGTGTGAGCCACGGCACCTGGCCTAAATCAGCATTTTCTTAATCCTCTTCTGCATAGAGCTAATGGAACACACAGCTGGAGCCTCAACATTACATGTTCTCCATCTTTACTAAGGACCACAGTTTTCCCCAATAGAAATCTTGAGTATCCACATCTTTCCATGTTCAACAGCCACAAAGGGAACATTTTTAATATTGCAGATCATAAATTCTTGCTGAGAATTCTGCATGGCATATAAGAAGCTATGATGCGGAGAATAAGGAGAAGGCTCTGAAATATAGGAAAGAAATATTTTTCAGACTCTTGACTATCGTAAGAATTTAAAGAAGTAATTAAGCCAAACTCATTAGGGAGGAAAAACACAAGTAGACAAGTAAAGGTTTGTGAGTACTAAACGCATGGCAGTCCAGGAGGCAGAGTCGACATAGCTCTTCATCTGACACATGTTTACCTGAAGAAAAGCCACTTTTTTTTCTTTCTCCTCCTTCTCTGGATTCCTTCTCAGATGAGATTCTCTAGACAAGTTACACCTGTTATCTTGAGACTATGTCTTTAAAGGTGTCAGTACCACATGTTTACCTGCTAGCATAACATCAACTGGCAGAAAAATAAAGACAGAAAAAGTCCACCCATTTCTGTCCTTTACAACAGAAGACATTCAGGAACAATGAGCTGCTCCATGAAGATAAAAATATAAATTTCTCTTTGCTGTCCTCAGATGCTCTCCCCTGCCACGGACACCAGCCATTTCTGCTACAGTAATGGAAATAAGCGCCACACTGACTTGTCCCTACCAAACGCAAACAGAACAGGCCCTGTGACCACCCTTTAGGGCAAAGGTGGAACTTAACTCTCATGAATGTATTTTGAACCCCTCATACTTGGTTCTGGTCTCACCTTAGAGTCACATAAGGGACTCCATGGATGCTTCCACCCAGAACAATAAACAGAAGCTGTGCGGAGGACACAAGGAATTTCTGCAAATTGGCCATGTGATTCTAATGAGAAGCCTGGGTTGATAACCACGGAGCTAAGCATTTTCTCTCAAGCTTTAATGAGCTTATAAATCACTTGGTAATTTTGGCCCCAATTTATGTAATGTGACTCTGGAGGTTTGAAAAGGGTCCATGAATGGGTGTTTTAAACAAGTTCCCTTTCAATGCTGATGTTGCTCCCCCCGCCCCTTGGCGCATTAGCATTAGTTAGAGAAAGCAGGTACAGCACAAGGTCTCTTATTACTTAGCACTCTTGTCACAACCAAATACTTCTCGTACAAATAAGGACAACCCATCTCCATCCAAAAGTTTTATATCCTTTGCTGGTTCTTTAAAGTTTACAGAAAAAACAGAAGGCAGCAATGTCTGAAGAAGTCTGGATTTAAAAAACAACATGTACACACGTACTAATGCAATGTTTATTAAGCAGGTACTATGTGCTCAAGAGTATGATACAGAGCACTGTGCTGGGCGTAACATATTACGTGATTTAATTCTCATAACACCCTGGGAGCCGGTACTAAGTGTATGATAATTTTCAGGATTTAGGTAAAGGGCCCAGGATTTTTATTGCTTCTTCTGTTTCTCTGCCATCAAATTTGTTAAAAAAAAAAACCATAAAAAATTAAAACTAAATATAGACAGATGAAAGAAATATGGAAGGCAAGAGTTTAATGTAGTTCAGAGAAAATTTTATTCTGTTTATATTTACATTTTTGTGACTTGTGGAGCAATTACTGGATATGCAAGAATGGAAAACAAGTCCCTAAATAGAATGTCTCTGCAAACACTGGTTTTAATATAAAATTTAAAAACTAAGACCCTATAACACATAATTTATTTTTCCCATTTATCTGCTTTTGGATTTCAGGAAATTCTAAGCACCAGCTCTAGAAAGACAACAGGATTCACCAGCCAAAACTCTGACCTCTTCTACCTGTGAGACAAGACTCCAGGGTAGGGTCAGACGTAAATAAGGCCTCCAAAAAGGGTGAATCTCAACAGAACTGGGTCAGGAAGTGGACCCTATGTAGAATTCTGTTCTCTATGTCACTGGGGTATTTCCAGTTTTGTTTTTTCTAAACTTACCTAAAATAAACTTAAATCCCAGAGTCTGTGTAATTTTAATCTTTTCCAGCCACTGCCCTGTCAACTTTATATTATATGCTAATATGCAATTTAAACAAATCCCTTAAGGTTTTCAAGGGTAAGTTTATTAGGAAACAAATATGTTCACTTAACAGGATGAAAGAAATAGAAATACGGCTGGGCCTGGTGGCTCATGCCTGTAATCTCAACACTTTGGGAAGCTGAGGTAGGTGGATCACGAGGTCAGGAGTTCAAGACCAGACTAACCAAGATTTTGAAACCCCGTCTCTACTAAAATTACAAAAATTAGCTGGGTGTGGTGGCAGGCACCTGTAATCCCAGCTACTTGGGAGGCTGAGGCAGGAGAATCACTTGAACCCAAATGTCAGAGTTTGTGGTGAGTCGAGATTGTGCCACTGAACTCCAGCCTGGGTGACAGAGGGAGACTCCATATCAAAAAAAAAAAAAAAAAGAAATTATAACAACAATTCTTCTGTTCATAAATATCCTTTCAAGTACAGACATCAGAAGTCACAACAATATAAAGTGGCAAATAATGTCCAATATTTTGGACATATCTATTTGTTATACCAACCATATGATGCATAATTCAAGTATTTATCTAGTTGCTAGTCTAGACTAAGTTTCTGGATTGTAGGAACCATGGCTGCTTCATGTTTTATTTTAACGGTCATATGAAATGGAAGCTACTAGTTTATCTGTTTGGGTCTCCAGATCTCCTCCTTGTTTATCATCCCAGTACCAGGAAACTGGAGAAACTCTCATCTGGGTACCAACCTAAGACACCTCTTGTATGAGGGGATGAACAAACAGGATGATTCATTTCTCTTACACTGAGAAAGAAGCAGAATTAACCACTCTTGTCAGCCTGACACAATTCTGCTCTGGACATCCTCAAATGTCTCAAAGACCACTAGATGATTGTGAGAGAATTCCCAGTGACCTGGGGCTGGTGGCCCAATGATAAGCCAGGCTAGAGACTCAGGCTGATTCTAAATAGGAAATAGAACTGCCTTGGTGGAGCTACAGAACCTGGATCACCTGTCCTGATTTGCTAGCTCTTGTGTAAGAGAAAGAACACAAATACTCTACTCCAGTATCACATTTTACAGGTAAATATAGTTGTGGTCATAACTGGATATTTTGTGGCCTTGTTCTCTCACTCTTAAGATGCTTTTTTTTTACACTTACACATATTCTGTCATCAGATTCTATTTCCTTCTGGAGGTTCTCACATCACTGTAGCAGGTCAATGAACAAGATGTGAAAAATCTCACAGAACCACACTCCCAAATGGGAGCTGTAAGCTGTCTAGGTTGACATCTCACAATGCAGAAAATGCCTTTTCTTAGTTTTCTGTACATTCTCTATCCAAAGTCCGGTCCTTTTTTGTAAATCCCAGGCAGAGGCCAGATGTTATCTGCAGATTCTAGGTAGGATCCACCTGGCTCTGCATCCTTTGGTGTTACAGCAAGTGGAGTACAAACGAAGGAGAGATCCCCCCCATAGAGGCTGCTCTAGCACATTCTAAATGATAAGTCTACATGAAAAAAAAAAAAAAGCTGACACAACATGAATATAAGTAGACAGTTTATTTGGGTAAAGTTTACAGATTATATATAACCTGCGAGCAAAGATTAAAGTTGCCTGGAATCTACACTTTGAGTAGCAGCATTTACAAGAAGATTTGTAAAGACAATAAGAGAAACACAGAGTGGGCAAAATTGTTTGTCAGAAATTTCTATTTATTTACAAAAATAACATTGATTATTGATTAGATACATATCATTATAGTTTAGGGTATGGGATATAGTGTCCAATGTAGCATTATTAGTTTAATTTATAGCTACATGTGGCAATAGTGAACAGTCTCAAAAGATGAATACAGAATTCAAAGGGAGGAGAAAGACATAATTGCACTTTTATTTTAACGTCTCTGAGTTTGATAACTAAAAGGACTTGCATTTTTCAGATAAAAGTTTTTTAATTCCCAAATCTCAAGACCTGGATTCAAAATATGGAGCTGCAGATTTAGGGCTTGAGTGGCTGGAGTAGCACGCATGTTACCTGCACATTTGTGAGCTTTTTAGCAAGAGAAGGAAGAAAGAAATGGAGATTTTCTTGTCTACATGTCTACTCACTACACACGTTACTCTACTTGGGTTTGTTGGCCCCATGGTCTCTGAATCAGTTTCAGGTTTGAAGATAAAAGAGTCACTGAAAGAGGTAAAATGATTGATTGCTGCCCTGTGAAATTTATAGAAATCTGATCTAGACTCTCTAGAAGTGACTGTAGAGGACTATAGATAAGAAATAGGCAGAAACACAATTCGGCCTGCACATTTAGGGTATGGCATGCACTTTTCTGCACAAGTGTGAATTTACTGGAAGCCTGAGAGGGAATGTCCCCTCGAGTAAATTCTGGTTGGCCCTTATGTGTTTATATCATGTCTGGTAATTCTAGACTGTTTGGAAACAATAATTAAAAGAAAAATTTTCTCCAGCCCCAGAGAAACTCCACAATAACAGAACAGAAAGAAAATGGTTTTATTACACAATTAAACTTGAATGTGACATGCATCAGTCAATCTGCTTAAGAGACTGCAAAGATAGAAAGATGGTCACCATAATTAGTTCACAAGTAGAAGAATTTCCAGCACCATGTCATACATAGTTCATCCTAAATTCACCTGGAGATTGAAGAGGACATCTGTGTATGCTAATTACTTATATTCAATGACAAATAAACTTTTCACCTCTTTATAACAGGTGGTAGTTTAGCAGGATAATCGCTTGAACCTGGGAAGCAGAGGTTGCAGTGAGCCCAGATAGCACCACTGCACTCCAGCCTGGGGGACAGAGTGAGACTCTGTCCCCTGCCCTCCCAGCAAAAAAAAAAAGAAAAAGAAAAAAAGAAAAAGAAAGGAAAAGAACAGGGACATATTTTCAGAAGAATTTTATAAAGTTTCATTTCCATCTCTGCTGTTCTCTCCTCTCCTAGCCATTGAATGGGGGTCTATATTGAAATACATCTTACAACTTCCAACAACACATTTTGATGAAAAAATAGAATCTGACTGTGTTCATATACTGGAATATATTAGAACTTGCAACATAGCTAATTGAAGAGCTACTATAGTTTTTGGGTGGCCACATCACCTGTCTTTATTTGTCCTGTAACAGCAGCATACAAATTTAGTGAAATAAAAGATACTAAAATTGTGTTTCCTCATAATTATCCTGAATGAATAAAGTAATAAACATGTCTGACTAATATCTACTAACTGTAACAATTTGGTTGTAAATATTCTTTGGATATTAGATATAAATATCTAAGTATGAACAATTTTAATGAACTAGTCATAATGTATGTAGCATTAAAAAAATTAAAACCATACATCAGTTAGGCTGGGCGCAGTGGCTCAAGCCTGTAATCCCAGCACTTTGGGAGGCCGAGGCAGGTGAATCACGAGGTCAGGAGTTCAAAACCAGCCTGGCCAATATAGTGAAACCCTGTCTCTACAAAAACCATATAAAAAAATTAGCCGGACCTGGTGGCTCACAACTGTACTACCAGCTACTTGGGAGGCTGAGGCAGGAGAATTGCTTGAACCTCGGAGGCGGAGGTTGCAGTGAGCCAAGATCGCACCACTGCACTCCAGCCTGGGCAACAGAGGCCAGGCGCGGTGGCTTACACTGTAATCCCAGCACTTTGGGAGGCTGAGGTGGGCGGATCATGAGGTCAGGAGATTGAGACCATCCTGGCTAACACGGTGAAACCCCGTATCTACTAAAAATACAAAAAAATTAGCTGGGCGTGGTGGCAGGCGCCTGTAGTCCCAGCTACTCGGGAGGCTGAGGCAGGAGAATGGCATGAACCCGGGAGGCGGAGCTTGCAGTGAGCCAAGATGGTGACACTCCAGCCCGGACGACAGAGTGAGACTCCGGAAAAAAAAAAATCCATACTTCAGTTAAAACATTTTATATTTCAAAAGCATAAATAACAGTATTAAAATAACCATTTAAGTGATTAATTCAAAGTAAATATTGTGGCTTTGTATTCATACTATTTTAGAAAATACTGTTTATGGCTCACGCCTGTAATCCCAGCACTTTGGGAGGCTGTGGTGGGTGGATCACCTGAGGTCAGCAGTTCAAGTTCAAGCTGGCAAACATGGTAATACCCCATCTCTACTATAAATACAAAAATTCAGCCAGGCATGGTGATGCATGCCTGTAAACCCAGCTACTCAGGGTACTGAGGTAGGAGAATCACTTCAACCTGGGAGGCAGCAGTTGTAGGGAGCAGAGATCACACAACTGCACTCCAGCCTCGGCAACAGAGTGAGACTGTCTCAAAAAAAAAAAAAATGAAAATATGGTTTAATTTATATGAATGCAGATTATCTACAAAGATAACTGCTAATTGCTCTGAAATAATAAACAGAAAGCAAGGTACAACTACAGACTCAACTGTTCAGTTTATACCCTGAACTGTTCTTGCTTTCGCAGTATAAGTACTTCAGCCTGCAAATATTGGATAGTTACCTTGGATTATCAGGTTTCTGTCAAAGAAACTGAGTATCATTTAGTCTTTATTATTCTGTATTGCTACCTTTACTCCTATCTTTGTGCTAAGCTTCTGTGTGCTCTTAAAATGAGCTTGTATCTAAACAAATCTGTGTCTACCTTAAAGGAATAAAAATCAAAAAAATAAACTTTTCGGAACCAAAAACAAAGCAATACATCTTAAGTACTTATAATAATCTGGAGTCAGAAAAAATGACAAAACTTTTATTTAGCTGTTGACATGATTTACATATATTTCAAACAAGCAGAGAAAAATATCTACATATATTCTAAATCCCTTAAGAAAAGAGGGAATAGCGGCCAGGCACGGTGGCTCATGCCTGCAATCCCAACACTTTGGGAAGCCAAGGCAGGTGGATCACAAGGTCAGGAGATCAAGACCATCCTGGCAAACATCGTGAAACCCCGTCTCTACTAAAAATACAAAAAAAAGAACAAAAAAATTAGCTGGGCATGGTGGCGGGTGCCTGTAGTCCCAGCTACTTGGGAGGCTGAGGCAGGAGATTGGCGTGAACCCAGGAGGCAGAGGTTGCAGTGAGCCGAGATCGCGCCACTGCACTCCAGCCTGGGTGGCAGAGCGAGACTTTGCCTCAAAAAAAAAAAAGAAAAGAGGGAATAGCAAAATTTTTTTTTGGAACTTTTTGAAGAGTTTGAACTCTTGGACATCTGAAATTAGCACACTGTATGCACTTGAAATAATGTTTACAGGGGAAAAACCAGAAGAGAGAAAGATATATGAAATCCGTAAGTGCACAAGACCAACACAACAGAATAGAGAGCCCAGAAATAATGTCACCCTCCTACACTCATCAGATTTTTGACAAAGCTGACAAGAGGAATATGGGAAGAATTCTCTCTTTAATAAATGGTGCAGGAATAACTACCTAGCACTATGTAGAAGACTGAAACTGGACCCCTTCATTACACCATATACAAAAATCAACTCAAGATAAATTAAAGACTTAAATGAAAAACTTAAAATTATAAGAAACTCTGCAAGATAACATAGAGAATAACATTCTAGATATAGACACTGGCAAAGACTTCATGATGAAGCTACCAAAAGCAATTGCAACAAAAGCAAAAACTGACAAATTGGACCTATTTAAACTAAAGAGCTTCTTCACAGCAAAGGAAACTATAAATAGCTCAAACAAACAACCTACAGAATAAAAGAAAATATTTGCAAACGTTGTCTATGACAAAGGTCTAACATACAGAATTTATTAAGAATTTAAACAAGTTTACAAGAAAAAGGCAAACATCTCATTAAAAAGTAGGCAAATAACACGAACAGATGCTTGTCAAAAGAAGACATACATGTGGCTAACAAGCATTATTAAAAAAAAAAAAAAGGTCATCGCTAGTCATTAGAGAAATTAAAAGAAAAACCACAATGAGATACCACCTCACACCCATCAGAATGGCTGTTTTTCATAAGTCAAAAAATAACAGATGCTGGCAAGGTTGCAGAGAAAAGGGAATGCTTATACTCTTCTGGTGGGAGTGTAAATTAGTTCAACAACAGTAAAAAGCAGTGTGGTGATTCCTCACAGAACTAAAAACAGAATTATCAATTTGACCCAGGAATCTCATAATTGGGTATATAGCCAAAGAAATATAAATTATTATATTATAAAGACATATTCACATGCATGTTCATTGCAGCACTATTCACAATAGCAAAGACGTAGACAGGCCCTGAATGCCTATCACTGGTAGACAAGATAAAGAAAATATGGTATGGTCAGATGCGGTGGCTCATGTCTGTAATCCCAGCATTTTGGGAGGCCGAGGCAGGTGGATTGCCTGAGCTTAGAAGTTTGAGACCAGCCTGGTCAACATGGCAAAATCCTGTCTCCACAGAAAATACAAAATGAAAAATTGGCCAGGCATGGTAATGCATACGTGTGTAGTCCCAGCTACTTGGGAGGATGAGGTAGGAGAGAACTGCTTGAGCCTGAAAGATGGAAGCTAAAGTACGCCAAAATCATGCTATGGCACTCTAGCCTGGGCAATAAGCCTATCTCCAAAAATAAAATAAAATAAAAGATTTAGTAAATACAAAATATGGTACATAAACATCATGGAATACTCTGTGGCCATTAAAAAAAAATGACCATGTCCTTTGCAATAACACTGATGAAGCTGGAGACAATTATTCTTAGAAAACTAATGCGGAGTCCAGGCATGGTGGCTCACGCCTGTAATCCCAGTACTTTGGGAGGCCGAGGTGGGATAATCACCTGAGTTCAGGAGTTTAAGACCAGCCTGACCAACATGGAGAAACCCCTCTCTACTAAAAATACAAAATTAGCTAGGTGTGGTGGCATGCGACTCTAATCCCAGCTACATAGGAGGCTGAGGCAGGAGAATTGCTTGAATCCAGGAGGCGAAGGTTGCGGTGAGCCGAGGTGGCACAATTGCACTCCAGCCTGGGCAACAAGAACAAAAATCCATCTCAAAAAAACAAAACAAAAAACAAACAAAAAAAAGAAAATTAATGCAGAAACAGAAAACCAAATGCATGTTATTATTTATAAGTAAGAGCTAAGTAATAAGAACACATGAACACAAACAGAACAGACACTGAGGCCTAGTTGAGGGGGGAGGGTGGGAGCAGTAAGAGGATCAGAAAACATACCTGTTCGGTGGTATGCTTAGTACCTCAGTGACAAAATAATCTGCACTTCAAACCCCCATGACGTAATTTTAGTTGTATAACAAACCCACATGTGTACACCCAACCAAAAATCAAAGCTAAAAAAAGAAAAAAAAAAAATCCCTGCGTGGGAGAGAGTGCAATGTAGGTGAATGGACTGATTTTCATTACAGATAGTGGCCCAGGTGGGGCTGTTTTCTGATTTATCTTTGTTTGCATGCAGACAGATGAGATTATAACCGGGAGGTCCAGAACCTTAGGTTGGTGGAAAAAACAGGTTGGTGCGGCAGATTCTGTATCTAGGGGTGGGGATATGCCAGGAGACCTGTAGAGACTTTTGGGTTCTTGGCAAGAAACGCTAGGATCAAAAATGCCATGGTGAAGTTCCTGAGGGTGGTGCCCAGTACTGGGAGGAGTGAGGACATGTCAATGTCTACTGTGTGTGTTTAGGAGTGGGTGGGAATCCTGTGGTGGCAGCTACAAGAAAACAGGGTCTGTCATCAGAACTCTTTCCTCTAAGTTTTCAGTCTTCTGTCACCCTGGAAGAAGACCTTAAATCACAGGACAACAGGCAGTGTGACAGCCTGTGTACAGGAGAGCAGAGCCTCCCATTTTCAAATACCCAGAGCTTTGTTCCAGGTCTGGCCCCAGTGATATCTTTTTTCTGGCACCAAATCTATAGAGTTTGCTGAATATCAAACAATTCTCCAACACCAACTCATTGCCTAATAATTGAATTCTGACACCACCTAGAGACAGCACAGACCCTGATCCAGGGCTGGGTCCCACAACATTGTCCTCACTGCAGAGGCCAATCAAAAACCCCATAGGCCCATCTATGCTTCTGAGCTACTGTTTGAAAACTGAGGACTCCCAAAACCTCCCTGAAGTTCAATAATTTGGTACAGCTACTTACAGAACTCAGCAAAACATTGTAGTTATGTTTACCGGTTTCATATAAAAGATGCAGCCCAGGAAAAGCCAAATGGAAGAAATGCATAGAACAAAGAGATGGGGAAAGATGAAACACATAGAAAATCCTGGAAAATATTTGTGATTAATAAAATTCTCCACCTTTTGTGTGCTCCAGGAACAGTATACGGAAAGAAACGCCTTTCTCATTATGACTTAGATGGTGCTCTCTTTTCTTACCTATCACACAGCCAGACACACACTCTGTACATTTTCTCCTTTTTCTCATTAAGAAATTCAGCTGAATTTGTCTTCAGTGGTCAAAATAATTTTTTTTTTTTGAGATGGAGTCTCGCTCGGCCACCCAGGCTGGAGTGCCTTGGCACCGTCTCAGCTCACTGCAACCTCTGTCTCCATGGTTCAAGCAATTCTCCTGCCTCAGCCTCCCAAGTAGCTGGCATTACAGGTGGCCACCACAACTACCAGCTAATTTTTGTATTTTTAGTAGACACAGGGTTATCACCATGTTGACCAGGCTGGTCTCAAGCTCCTGACTTGCGGTGATCCGTCCGCCTAGGCCTCCCAAACTGCTGGGATTACATGCCTGAGCCATGGCGCTCAGCCTAAAATATTTCTTAATCAAACTTTACTTAAGTTTATCTCCATCCCTCAGGCTAGTGAGGGATGGAGATAAGCCATCTCCAATGTAGGAGAAAAGCCCTTTTCTGCCTACATTTTTGCAACCCATGAAGATTTTTTAGTTAGCTGGTACTTCTTCCTGTTGCAATACTTCTTAGGAATTCATTTTTTTTTTACATAAATCTAATATTCTTATTTTAGAAAGCGTAAAAAGTGCCTCAAAACCATAACAACTTCATTACCAGTAAGACCCTCCCAGTTTCCTTTCATCTTAATCTTGACTGCATCTGCCTGTGGGGCCCCAGCTTTCCAAGGCTTTGTAGCTTCTTTCAGAATGAAGGCTCCTTCCGTGGCTGGGGTGAGCAGTCTTGAGATATCCGCAAGGGAGACTCCCCAGAAAAAAATAACAGGGCCTTTAATAACCTCCTGTTGGCCGGGTGCGGTGGCTCACACCGATAATGCCAGCACTTTGGGAGGCCGAAGCGGGTCTGAGGCAGAGAGTTCAAGACCAGCCTGACAAACATGGAGAAAACCCGTCTCTACTAAACACCAAAATTAGCCGGGCGTGATGGTGCATGCCTGTAATCCCAGCTACTGGTGGGGCTGAGGTAGGAGAATCGCTTGAACCCAGTAAGCCGAGATCACGCCATTACATTCCAGCCTGGGCACCACAAGCGACACTGTGTCTAAAAAAAAAAAAAAAAAAAAAAAAATACCCTGTTGCAGGCTTAATATTAGCCTTAGCTTGGAGTCACTAGGTTCAAGCTTTAATGTCCACATCAGTTATTCACTTGGTTTTTGAAACTAAGTGTTAGAAACTCCAGTGAAATTACTCACAATGTTTACATAAAGGAATTTTTAAGATGCTTACTTTTTTTTTCTTTTTTTTGAGCCGGAGTCTCGCTTTGTCACGCAGGCTGGAGCGCGATGATTGGATCTCAGCTCACTGCAACTTCCGCCTCCCGGGTTCAAGCAATTCTCGTGCCTCAGCCTCCCAAGTGGCTGGTACTACAGGCACGTGCCAACACGCCGATAGTTTTCGTATTTTTAGTAGAGACGGGTTTCACCACGTTGGCCAGGCTGGTCTAGAACTCCTGACCACGTGATCCACCTGCCTCGGCCTCCGAAGTGCTGGGATTACAGGCTTGAGCCACCGCGCCCAGCAAGAAAGGGGTTTTGAACCCTAATGCAGTTCCTGTTTTTGTTTCCATCCCCTATTGGCTGGGATCAGACCGCACAATCTAAGCTGATCCTGGTAAGCTTAGACCCAAACTTTTTCCAAATAAAGTAAATGCGCGATTTGCGAGAAAAGGAAAAGGGGGTAGAAGAAGAGGTAGGGTTGATTTACAACTTTTACAACTTATGACCAGAAAGTTGAGTCATTTAAAAGGAACTTAGTTGTCCTAACACCTCTTTACCTCAAGTGATCCGCCCGCCTCGGCCTCCCAAAACGTTGGGATTACAGGCGTGAGCCACAGCGTCCGGCCCCATACATTTTTAATAGGAGAAAAGAGAAACTGTAAACCCAAAGGAACAAAGCTCTTCCCATTCATGAACCCGCACCCCGAGTCAGGATTCTCCCCTGCCCACCCTCCCCTGGTCCCTGCACAATCTGGGAGAGACGCCACGCTGCGGGTGCAGAGCTGCCCAGAGAGGGCTCCAGGCCAGGGTAGTCACCGCGCAGTGAAGAGACAAGACGCCCGGGTGCCGGCTGTCAGCGCAGCTGCCATTTTATGGCTGAACAGGACTGAGGCCGAGCTGAGCAAGGAGAACTGGGGGAGCAGACTGTGGAGCTGACTGCGGGGAGGCCTGAGTCCCGCCACAGCCACTTTTCACCGGTTCCAACCAGTCCCTCTCCTCTCTCGGGATGTCGGACCCTCACTCTCACCATTTTTGGCTTCCAGGAGGTCCCGGTGTCTTAGCTGTGGATCTCCCAATACCTGCAGGACACGGGGCCACACAGCCTGGGCCTTTAGGAGAAGAACCAGACCTGGAGCTCTGACTGCAGCGAGAGACAAAGGCCGCACCAAACCCGGAAACCGTCCTCTTCGCTCCAGCTGCGTTCCTGATTGGATGGTTTCCAGCCCACCATCCCTGATTGGATAATGCTTAAGGCCCCGCCCCCTGAGGCCCTGAGTGACAGTAGATGTGATCAGACGCTGAGCTGAGTGAAGAAAGAGTGACAGCCTAAGCTGCAGCCTTTTCAGGCAGGGCTTCCTTCCTGAGCTGAGCCAGGCCCACCCCAGAGCATGGGAGAATTCTATCTTTTCTTTACTCTCTCTCTTTTTGAATGTATTCAAAAGGTGAACAGAAGTATTTTGCTCTCATATTAATAATACATAAAATTTTTGTTCAAGAGAAAATCAACTTTTACTTTGGCAATAATGTATTATCAATACTAAAGGTAATTTTGATAAAACCTTATAAAAAATCAAATTTGTCATTTTTGACCTCTCGAGATTTACATACATATTTTGTAATCTAATGTAATTTTTTAACTTTTTATATTTTATTTTTATCTACATTCTTTTTATTTTTTCAATTTGAAACAACCTTTAAGTAATTTCAAACTGTTACAAGAGACAAAGAAATCATTTAGGGCCAGTCCGCTGGTGCACGCTTGTAATCCAAGCACTTTGGGAGGCCAAAGTGGGTGGATCACTTCAGGTCAGGAGTTCAAGACCAGCCTGGCCAACATGTTGAATCTCATCTCTAGTAAAAACACAAAAAATTAGCCAGGTGTGGTGGTACACACCTGTAGTCCCAGGTGCTACGGCGGCTGAAGCAGGGGAATCGCTTGAACCCAGGAGGCGGAGGTTGTGTAACGGCCTAAGGGCTTCATCTTGCCTAGACAGAGATGATTCATCAAGACAGGGGAATTTGTGGAGGAAAAGTTAAATATTAAATTTGAACTCAGTTGAACATGGACACAAACAATGGTCACCAAGTCCTGGAACAGGTTATGTGAGCCCCTTGAGGCATTCACCTGCCGACCTTCCCCTGGTCCCTGCACAATCTGGGAGAGACGCCATGCTGCAGGTGCAGAGCTGCCCAAAGTGGGCTCCAGGCCAGGGCACAGTCACAGCGCAGTGAAGAGGCAGGACTTCTGGGGGCCTGGCTGTCAGCGCAGCTGCCATCTTCTGGCTGAATGGGACTGAGGCCAAGCTGGGCAAAGAGAACTGGGCACAGATTGTTTTGGAGAAATCTCTATTTTAATCTATTCCTATACGTTAGTTATTGAAAAACAATAGCCAATCGCAAAAAAAACAAGTTGACTTTTTTGTGTTCCTTGAGCCCAGTTGCAAAGAGCCCAGTTGCAACTGGGCCTCATGCCAAACAACTTGTTACAAAAAGAGCTAGGATCCCAGACTGCACCAAAGCTCCAAAGACCTCTCCTTGTCTGTACAGGGATGGGTGGCCGACTCTGGAGCCCAGGCTGTTGCTTCCTGGTCTGCTGATGAATCCTCCATAGTCTGGTGAGTGTAAAGATATATATTTTTTCTCTTCTCCCCTTCCCATTGCAATGCTCTTATTATATCAATTTGCTTATTATATATGCATTGCCATTTACCTGGGATAAAGCTTGTTTACCCTTAAAGGTATTGTGTGCGTGTCTTTTCTTCTCCCCTCATGTGTTTCCTGCACAGAACATATTTCTCAAAGGCTTCATTTGTTCCTTTTTATTCATTTTTGTTTAATCTTGTCTGCATGCCTTATTTTGGCAAGGTGGTCTTCAAACTCTGATGTTCTTTCTTCTGCTTGGTCAATGCAGCTACAAATACTTTTGTATGCTTCAGGAGGTTCTCATGCTGTGTGTTTTAGCTCCATCAGATCATTTATGTTCCTGTCTAAACCAGTTATTCTAGTTAGCAGTTCCTCTAACCTTTTATCAAGGTTCTTAGCTTCTTTCAATTGGTTTAGAACATGTTCCTTTAGCTCAGCAGAGTTTATTACCCATCTTCTGAAGCCTACTTTTGTCAATTCATCCATCTCATCCTCTGTCCAGTTCTGCACCCTTGCTGAAGAGACATTTTGATAACTTGGAGGAAAAGCCGCACTCTGGCCTTTCAGAGTTCTTTTGTTGATTCTTTCTCATCTTCATGAACTTGTCTAGTTTTGATCTTTGAGGCTGTTGACAACTGAATGGTTGTTTCTGTTTTGTTTTGTTTTGTTTTGAGACAGAGTCTCACTCTGTCACCCAGGCTGGAGGGCAGTGGCACAATCTCGGCTCAATGCAACCTTCGCATCCCAGGTTCAAGTGATTCTCGTGTCTCAGATTCCCGAGTAGCTGGGATTACAGGCATGCAACACAACGCCTGGCTAATTTTTGTATTTTTTAGTAGAGATGGGGTTTTGCCATGTTGGCCAGGCTAGTTTTGAACTCCTGACCTCAAGTGATCTGCCTGTCTCAGCCTCCCAAAGTACTGAGATTACTGGTGTGAGCCACCATGCCCGGCCTTGGATGGGGTTTTTGTCGGTACTTTTTTGTTGTTGATGTTGTTGTTTTCTGTTTGTTTGTTTTTCTTTCAGTGGTCAGGTCCCTCTTCTGTAGGGCTGCTGCAGTTTGCTGGGGGTTCACTTCAGGCTCTATTCATCTGGTTCACTCCTGTTCCTGGAGATGTCAATCAAGGAGGTTGGAGAATAGCAAAGAAGAGTGTCCGCTCCTTCCTCTGGGATCTCTGACCTCAAGAGGCACCAACCTGATGCCAGTAGGATCGCTCCTGTATAGGGTGTCTGACAACCCCTGTTGAAGGGTCTCACCCAGTTGGGTGGCATGGAGAGGAGAACCCATTTAATGAAGCACTTTGTTCCTTGGTGGAGGGGAGTGTTTTGCTGGGGGGAAACCCACTCATGTGGGCTGCCCACATTTTTCAGAACTAGCAGGAGGAAAGGCTAAGTCTGCTGGTCCACAGAGACTGCAACTGTAGCAGGACGAGCCACAGACAAAACTCCTCAGACACTGAGTTAAAGAAGGAAGTGGTTTATTCGACCGGGAGCATCTGGCAAGACTCCTGTCTCAAGAGCCGAGCTCCCCGAGTGAGCAATTCCTGTCCCTTTTAAGGGCTCACAACTCTAAGGGGGTCCACGTGAGAGGGTTGTGATGGATTGAGCAAGCAGGGGGTACGTGACAGGTGCTGCATGCACCGGTGGTCAGAGTGAAACAGAACAGACCGGGAAGTTTCACAATGTCTTTTCTATACAATATCTGGAATCTATAGATAACATAACCGGTTAGGTCAGGGGTTGATCTTTAACTACCAGGCTTAGGTCAGGCAGGCTCAGGCCTGGTTTCAGGTCTGGTTCCCTGGTTTTGTGTCTGGTTTTGTTTCGCTTTTCTTTTCTTTTCTTTTCTGAGTACAAAACAATATAAAACAATATGAGAGGGTCTGTCTCTCTTCTCTCACAGCCACCCCTTCCCCTAGGGGCTCAGGTCCAGGGACATCAGAATTCTGTCCCTGAGTTCCTGACTGGAGCTGTTGGAGTTCCTGCAGGGAGGCCCAGCCCAGTGTGGAGGGATGAGTCAGGGTCAGGCCTGAAGAGACACTTTGGCCGCTGTCTGCCACAGCCAGTGTGTTGGGCTGTGGGGGACACCTCTTGAGACCAAGCTGTCCAACCTCCCTGGCTCTAGCAGGGGAAAAATGCAGCCAGGAGCTCTAGAAATGGCTGCTGCCCTTCCCGTGCCGAGGGAGCTTAGCCTATTAGGCAACTGGGAGTCTCAGTGCTGGCTGCTGTCCCTCCTCCAAGGAGCTCAAAATGCTGAGACTGCAGGCAGCCACAGCCATGGTGCTGGTCGCCCCTCCCTCGGGACCTCAGCAGGCTTAAGCAGACTCTAGCTGAGAGGCTGTTAATCCGTTCAACTCCGGGGTTGGAATCTGAGGCTCCAGTGCCGTGGGTTCACGAGCGGAATCTTCTGATCTGTGGATTGCACAGTTTCATGGAAAAAGCACGGTTTCCTAGGCTGGGTAGCCTGCTCAGTCACCGCCTCCCTTGGCTGGGAGATGGCTGTGGCAGGACTCAGGCCTGCCGCACTCAGCTCCAAAATCTGCTCCCGGAGTTTTTCTCGCCCAGCTCGGCCTCTGTTCCCTTCAGCCATAACATGTTTCTCTTCCCTGCGCAGTGACTGCGCCCTGGCCTGGAGCCCTCTCTGGGCAGCTCTGCACCCGCAGCGCGGCGTCTCTCCCAGATTGTGCAGGGACCAGGGCAGGGTAGGCAGGGGAGATTCCTGACTGGGCTGCGGGTTCACGAATGGAAAGAGCTTTGGCCCGTGGGGTTCACAGTTTTTCTTTTCTCCTATTAAAAATGTATGGGGCCAGGTGCTGTCGCTCACGCCTGTAATCCCAGCACTTCGGGAGGCCGAGGCGGGCGGATCACTTGTCAGGAGTTGAAGACCAGCCTAGCCAAAATGGGGAAACCCCATCATTATTAAAAATACAAAAATTAGCTGGATGTGATGGTGAATGCCTGTAGTCCCAGCTACTCGGGGGTCAGAGGAGAGAGAATCGCTTGAACCCGGGAGGCAGAGGTGGCAGTGAGGTGAGATCGCGCCACTGCACTCCAGTCTGGGCGACAGAGCAAGACTCTGTCAAAAAAAAAAAAAAAAAAAAAGGAAGTCACCGCAAAAATAACAAGTAATTTAAAGAGTGATTCAAGAATTGTAGAGCACCCAGCTACAGTTTGTAGTTTGTGGTCCATGGGAGAGGCTTGAAGAAAAGACATTTATAAGGTGCATGATGAAGAACACTAAATTCAATAATTGGTTAGATATAGTTAGGTAGTTTCTTAATTTGTACAATCAAGGTGGAAATTTCCTGATTATGTAATCAGAGCTTAATTGGCATTTTATAGTTGTTTAAGCTTGAATTGTGTTTCCCCTAATGTAGCGATTTACCAAAAAATGCACTCGAGTTTATATTTTTTTCTTAGAAGTAGCAATCCAGGGAATAGAGCCTCTTCAGTCTCTCAGACTCCTAAAGTCTAATTGCCTGCCACTTAATTATTTTCACACCCCACAGGGGACTGATTTTCTCTGGCATTTTTCACATGTGTCCCAAGTGGGGCCTCAAGTGTACCCCATGTTCCTCAATTAATCATTTTTAACACTATTAAATAAATTTGTTTTCTGTTTGTAAATATCTCCCCTGAGAAGAAAGAAAAGAATAATCCCCTGACACTGTATTGTAAAAATATTTGTGCCTCTTTTTCTTCTATTTTTCCAGAGAACTTACCGGAATGTTTTTAGGTCAAGATTACCCTTCGGAAACTTTATAGGGTGATGTGTCCTCAGCTATCCTTCAGTTTTTTTTCTGGGCCTGGGTTTTAGTACTTTCTGGGGATAAACCAAGATACCCACCATGGCTATGTCTGCTGGAGTGTCTAGTGACTATTAGCTCTTGGGTCATTTTCTCCCATAGGACCACGTGAAGTATGGAGTGTAGCCTCTCAAGGGAGCAGGTGGCAGCCCTGGGGCTGAAAGGCATCTCCTGGTGCACTTTTTTTTTTTTTTTTTTTTTTTTGAAAAACTAACTCCTTGAGACATGAAGATTGTCTTCAACCAACCTAGCTTCCATTTCTTGGAGACACATTGCTGGGCAGCCAATCAGATGCTGATATTGAGGGGAAAACAGATAATTTCTGCCCCCTGGATTCTCTTGAGTGGGGCAGAAAAATAGTGACAAAAAATAGTGAAAAATTTGGAAAAAAAAAAAAAAAAACTCCAACAGACAAAAAAAACTGACCCCAGTGTGATGGCATAAAAACTTATGAAGTAAAATGTACCTGGGGCACTCACTGGGGCATAGCGCACTATCTCCTGGGAGGGTGGTTATTGAGCATGTAAGTGAACAGGATGGGATAGGTAATTGGATGTGTACCTTGAAAAGATTTGTTCACTTATTTTGACCTCAGGTATTTATTTATTTATTTATTTATTTATTTATTTATTTATTTATGAGACAGTCTCCCTCTGTTGCACAGGCTGTAATTCAATGGCTCGATCTCAGATCACTGCAACCTCCACCTCCTGGGTTCAAGTGATTCTCATGCCTCGGCCTCCCAAGTAGCTAGGTCTATAGGTGTGCAACACTGCGCCTTGCTAGTTTTTGTATTTTTAGTAGAGATGGACCAGGCTGATCCCAAACTTATGGTCTTAAGTGATCCACCTGCCTCGGCCACCCAAAGTGCTGGGATTACAGGCATTAGCCACTGTACCCAGCTGCATCGGTTTTTTTTACTGTAATTTGCATTTTATTCATAGGGCTTAAAAGGTAAGAAAATATTTACAAAGGACAGAAAAGAGATGAGTTTCAAAAAATTGGTATTTAATAATATATTCCATTTATTAATAATTCTCATTTACCTTTTTCTTTCCCAGAGTAAGCTTAGGAATTTTTTCAGATGTGTTTTTTATGGCTGAGTTATTTCAAACAAAATTCCAAGCCTTAGCTTTAAGAATGCTAGCTACCAGCTAAGCGCGGTGTCTCATGCCTGTAATCCCAGCACTTTGGGAGGATGAGGCAAGCATATCACGAGGCCGGCAGTTCAAGACCAGCCTGTCCAAGATGGTGAAACACCATCTCTACTAAAAATATGAAAATTAGCCAGGCATGGTGGTGGGCGCCTCTAATCCCAGCTACCCTGGAGCTTGAGGCAGATAATTGCTTGAACCTGGGAGGCAGGGGTTGCAGTGAGCCGAGATCACGCCACTGCACTCCAGCCTGGGTGACAGAGTGAGACTCCATCCCCATCTCAAAAAAAAAAAAAAAATTAGAGCAAATCTTTCTTTCATTTTGACTGTGGACAATGAATATATTTCCACAGGAAAATGTGGTAGATAATTTATGGATTACATAGATTCGTCAAAACACCAGTTCCTCTTTTTGCAGGGTAAATTTGTGACAGTGAATATCTTAGTTCTATATCATGTTGCCTTGATTTCTTAGTTTAATGCTAAATTATATATGATAAAACTTATGTACCTTCTACAAGTGTCCCCATATGACTAATTTTTTACAACACTATTTTTAATAGAAATAATAAAATAATACATGTATTTTCTGAAAGAAGTAGACATATTTGCTTTTCTTATGGAGATACAAAATGCAGGCACCTTAGCCATTTTCAGTGGTTCACACCTGCAATCCCAGCACTTTGGGAGGCCGAGGCAGGTTGATCACTTGAGGTCAGGGTTTCGAGACCAGCCTGCCCAACATGGCGAAACCCCGTCTCTACTAGAAATACAAAAATTAGCCGGGTGCTGTGGCACATGCCTGTAGTCCCAGCTACTTGGGAGGCTAAGGCAGGAGAATGGCTAGAACCTGGGAGGCAGAGGTTGCAGTGAGCTGAGATTGTGCCATTGCACTCCAGCCTGGGTGACAGAGCGAGACTCCATCTCAAAAAAAAAAAAAAAAAAGTAAGCACCTTAAAATTTCCTTCCCTTATGTAAACACTTAGAGTAATTTCACTGGATTTTTCAAGCAGTTAGTTTCAAAATCAAGTGAATAACTCTGACATGGAAATTAAAGCTTTAACCTAGTGGCTTGAATCTAAGGCTAATATTAAGCCTGCAACAGAAGGTTATTAGAGGCAGAGTTAGATTTTTTTTTTTTTTTTTTTTTGAGACAGAGTCTCACACTGTCGCCTCGGCTGGAGTGCAGTGCCAGGATCTCGGCTTACTGCAACCTCTGCCTCCTGGGTTCAAGAGATTATCCTGCCCCAGCCTTTTGAGTAGCTGGGATTACATGTGCCCGCCACCATACCTGGCTAATTTTTTAGTATTTTTAGTAGAGACAGGGTTTCACTATGTTGGCCAAGCTGGTCTCGAATGCCTGACCACGTGATCCACCCGCCTCAGCCTCCCAAACTGTTGGGATTACAGGCGTGAGCCACTGCGTCTGGCCAAAGGCCCAGTTACTTTTTTCTGGAAAGACTTCCCTGCAGATGTGTCAGCCTGCTCACCCCAGCCATTGAAGGAGCCGTTGTTCTGAGAGAAGCTACAGCGCCCTGGAAAGCTGGGGTCGCACAGGCAGATGCAGTTGAGGCTAAGATGAAGGGAAACTGGGAGGGTCTTACTGATCATGAAGTTGTTATTGTTTTGAGGCACTTTCCAGATTTTGTAAAATAAAAATGTTAGATTTATGTAAAAAAAAGAATTCCAAAAAATTATTGCAACAGGAGAAAGCAATAACCAACTATAAGATCTTTATGGCTTGCAAAAATGTAGGCATAAAAGGACTTTCTTCCCTAGGGAGGAGCAAACAAGTTTAGAAAGGAGGTGGGAGGGAAATGGCAAATGGAGGATGAAAAAGTCAGATTTTGGATCAGAGAATGTCTTACCCTGAAATCAGCATGTTCTTAGGAGGGATGTAAAATAAGGTTGTATGTTGACTCAGGCTGAGGGTAGCTCAAAGTTCAGGAGCCTGAGGGAGTGAGATAACCCTAAGTAAAGTTTGATTAAAAAATATTTTATTTTAAGCTGGGCACGGTGGTTGACACCTGTAATCCCAGCACTTTGGGAGGCCGAGGCAGGCGGATCACCTGAGGTCAGGAGTTTGAGACCAGCCTGGCCAACATGGTGAAACCCTGTGTCTACTAAAAATACAAAAATGAGTCAGGCATCCTGGTGGGCACCTGTAATCCCAGCTACTCGGGAGACTTGAGGCAGGAGAATTGCTTCAACCTGGGAGAAGGATGTTGCAGTGAGCCAAGACTGTGCCACTACACTCCAGTCTGAGCGACAGAACGAGACTCCATCTCAAAAAATATATATATATATTGACCAGTGAAGACAAATTCAATTGATATTCTTAATGAGAAAAAGGAGAAACTGTGCAGAGTGTGTGTCTGGCTGTGTGATATGTAAGAAAAAGTCATAACAGGAAGAGTGTTTATTTCCATAAACTGTTCTTGGAGTACACAACAGATGGAGAATTTTATTAATCACAAATATTTTCCAAGATTATCTATGTGTTTCATCTTTCCCCATCTCTTTGTTCTACACATTTCTTCCATTTGGCTTTTCCTGGGCTGCCTCTTATATATGAAACTGGTAAACATTATTACAGTGTTTTTCTGAGTTCTGTGAGTAGCTTTACCAAATTATTGAACTTCAGGGAGGTTATGAAAGTACCCACTTTTTAAACAGTAGCTCAGAAGCATAAATGGGCCCATGGGGTTTGTGACTGGCATCTGCAGTAAGAACAATGTTGTGGGACTGAATCGCTGTCTGTGCTGACTTTGGGTAGTGTCAGAATTCAAACGTTTGACAATGAGTTGGTGTTGGAGAATTGTTTGATGTTCAGAAAACTCTACAGATTTGGTGCCAGAAAAAAGATATCATGGAGGCCTGGCCTGTAATAAAACTCTGGGTATTTGGGAATGGGAGGCTTTGCTCTCCTGTACACAGGCTGTCACACTGCCCATTGTCTTGTGATTCCTCCCAAGGTGACAGAAGACTGAAAACTTAGAGGAAAGAGCTCTGATGACAGACCCCCTTTTCTTGCAGCTACCACCACAGGATTCCCACCTACTCCCAAACACACACACTAGACGTGACATGTCCACACTCCTCCCAGGACTAGGCACCATCCTCAGAAACTTCACCATGGCATTTTTGATCAAAGTGTTTCTTGCCAAAAAGCCACAAGTGTCTGCAAGTCTCCTTGCATATCCCCATCCCTGAACAATGAATCTGCAGCAGCAACCTGTTTTTTCCACCAGCCTAGGGTTCTGGACCTCCTGTTCATAATCTCATCTGCCTGCATGCACACAGAAATGAATCAGAATACAGCCCCACCTGGGCCACTATCTGTAGCAAAAAATTATTCCTTTCACCTACATTACACTCTGTCCCACCCAGGGACATTTTTTTTCTTTTAGCTTTTATTTTTTGTTTGAGGTACACACGTGGGTTTGTTAAACAGCTAAAATTATGTCACAGGGGTTTGGTGTGCAGATTATTTTGTCACTGAGGTACTAAGCATAGCACCAAACACGTATATTTTCTGATCCTCTGAGTCCTCCCACCCTCCGCCCTTAACTAGGCTCCAGTGTCTTGTTTTTCTCCTCTTTGTATTCATGTGTTCTTATTACTTAGCTCTTACTTACAAATAGTAACATGAATTTGGTTTTCTGTTTCTGCAGTAGTTTTCTTTTTTTGTTGTTTTTTGTTTTGTTTTGTCTTGAGTAGGAGTTTTGCTCTTTTTGCCCAGGCTGGCGTGCAATGGTATGATCTCGGTTCACCGCAACCTTCGTTTTCTGGATTCAGGCTAGTCCATTGCCTCAGCCTCCCAAGTAGCTGGGATTACAGGCGGGCAACACCATGTGTGGCTAATTTTGTATTTTTAGTAGAGATGGGGTTTCTCCATGTTGATCAGGCTGGTCTCAAACTCCCAACCTCAGGTGATCCACCCGCCTTGGCCTCCCAAATTGCTGGGATTACAGGTGTGAGCCACAGTGCCCGGCCTCTGCATTAGTTTTCTAAGCATAATGGTCTCCAGCTTCATCAATGTTATTGCAAAGGACATGATCATTTTTTAAATGGCCACAGAGTATTCCATGATGCTTATGTACCATATTTTGTTTTTACTAAATCTTTTATTTTATTTTATTTTTGGAGACAGGCTTATTGCCCAGGCTAGAGTGCTATGGCATGATATTTGCTTACTTCAGTCTCAACCTCCCAGGCTCAAGCAATTCTGTAGCCCTCATCCTTCTAAGTAACTGGGACTACACGTGTGCGTTACCACACCTGGCCGATTTTTCATTTTGTTTTCCGTGGAGACAGGATTTTGCCATGTTGACCAGGCTGGTCTCAAACTTCTAAACTCAGGCAATCCAGCTGCCTCAGCCTCCCAAAGTGCTGGGATTACAAGCATGAGCCACCGCATCTGACCATACCATATTTTCTTTATCTTGTCTACCATTGATAGGCATTTAGGGCCTGTCCTTGTCTTTGCTATTGTGAATAGTTCTGCAGTGAACATGCATGTGGATGTGTCTTGATAATATAATAATTTATATTTCTTTGGATATATACCCAATTATGAGGTTCCTGGGTCAATTGATAATTCTGTTTTTAGTTATGTGAGGAATCACCACACTGCTTTTTATAGTTGTTGAACTAATTTACACTCCCACCAGCAGAGTATAAGCATTCCCTTTTCTCTGCAAATTTGCCAGCATCTGTTACTTTTTGACTTTTAAAAAATAGCCATCCTGATGGGTTTGTAGTGTTCTGACCAGTGTGATGTGGCATCTCATTGTGGTTTCTCTTTTAATTTCTCTAATGATTAGCGATGAGCATTTTTTTTCATTTGCTTGTTAGCCACATGTATGTCTTCTTTTGAACAGCATCTGTTCATATTTTTTCCCTCTTTTTAATGAGATTGTTTGGTTTTTTCTTGTAAACTTGTTTAAGTTCTTAAGAAATTTTGATTATTAGACCTTTGTCAGGCAAAGTTTGCAAATATTTTCTTTTATTCTCTAGGTTGTCTGTTTACTCTGTTGATAGTTTCTTTTGCTGTGAAGAAGCTCTTTAGTTTAAATAGGTCCCATTTGTCAATTTTTGCTTTTGTGGCAATTACTTTCGGTAGCTTCATCATGAAGTCTTTGCCAGTTTCTATATCTAGAATGGTATTTCCCAGGTTATCTTGCAGGGTTTATTATAATTTTAAGTTTTTCTTTTCAGTCTTTATCTTGAGTTGATTTTTTTATATGGTGTAATGAAGGGGTCCAGTTTCTGTCTTCTACATAGTGCTAGGTAGTTATTCCAGCATCATTTATTAAAGAGAGAATTTTTCCCACATTCTTCTTGTCAGTTTCGTCAAAAATCTGATGGGTGTAGGAGGGTGATATTATTTCTGGGCTCTCTATTCTGTTGCGTTGGTCTTGGGCACTCATGGATTTTTTATAACATCTTTCTCTCTTCTGCTTTTTCTCCCATAAACATTCTTTCAAGCGCATCTAGTGTGCAAAATTCAGATGTTCAAGAGTTCAAAAACTCTTTAAAAAGTTCCAAAAAATATTTTGCTATTCCCTCTTTTCTTAAGGGAATTAGATTATTTGTAGATGTTTTTCTCTGCTTTTTTGAAATACAGGTAAATCATATTAACAGCTGAATAAAGCTTTTGTCAGATAATCTGACTCCAGATTATCTTTCTCTAGTACTTCAGATTTATTGCTTTGTTTTTGCTTCTCGAAAATTTATTTTTTTTCATTTTTAGTCCTCTAAAGTAGACACAGATTTGTTTGGATAAGAGCTAATTTTAAGAGCACACAGAAACTTAACACAAAAATAGGAATAAATTTAGCAATACAGAATGATAAAGACTAAAAGACACTAAGTATCTTTGACAGAAACCTGATGATCCAAAGCAATTATGCAGTATTTGCAGGCTGAAGGACTTATACTGCGAAAGCAAGAACAGTTCAGTGTATAAACTAAACAGTGGAGTCTGTAGTTGTACCTTGCTTTCTATTGATTACTTCAGAACAATTAGCATAGTTATGTGTAGTGTTTGTAGACAACCTGCATTCATATACATTAAACAGTACTTTCTTTCTTTTGAGACAGAGTCTCACTGTGCCACCCAGGCTGGGGTGCAGTGGTGTGATCTCATTTCAGTGCAACCACTGCTTCCCAGGTTCAAGCAATTCTCCTGCCTTAGCCTCCCAAGTAGCTGGGATTACAGGTGCAAGCCACCATGCCAGGCTAAGTTTTTGCATTTTTAGTAGAGATGGGGTCTCACCATGTTAGCCAGCTTGATCTTGAACTCCTGACCGCAGGTGACCCACCCGCCTCACTCTTCCAAAATGTTGGAATTACAGGTGTGAGACATAAACAGCATTGTCTACAATCGTATGAAGATAAAGCTGAAATACTTACTTTGAATGAATCATTTAAATGGTTATTTTAGTATTTTTTTATACTTTTGAAATATAAAGTGTTTTAACTGAAATATATTTGTAATTTTTAAAAATGCTACATACATTATGACTAGTTCATTAAAATTATTCATACTTAGATATCAAATATCCAAAGAAAATTACTATGAAATTGTTACAGTAAGTAGATATTCGTCTGAAATGTTTATAACTTTATTCAATAGGGATAATTATAAGTAAACACAATTTAAGTATCTTTTATTTCACTAAATTTGTATGCTACTGTTACAGGGCAAATAAAGACAGGTGATATGGCCCCTGAGAAATTGCTAGAGTCTGTGGCACAGGAGGGCACCTGAGAACAGGAAAGGAGAAACTTATATTTTTATCTTCATGGAGCAGCTCATTTTTCCTGAATCTCTTCTGTTTTAAAGGACAGAAATGAGTGGACATTTTCTGTCTTTGTTTTTCTTCCAGTTGATGTTATGATAGCAGGTAAACATGTGGTACTGACATCTTTAAAGGCATATTCTCAAGATGCAGGTGTAATTTGTCCAGAGAATCTCAACTGAGAATAAATTCCAGAGAAGGAGGAGAAAGAAAAAAAGTGGCTTTCCTTCAGGTAAACATGTGTCAGATGAAGAGCTGTGTCAACTTTTCCTCTTGGACTGCCATGCGTTTAATACTCACAAACCTTTACTTCTCTACTTGTGTTTTTCCTCCCTAATGAGTTTGGTTTAACTACTTCTTTAAATTCTTATGATAGTCAAGGGTTTCTGAAAAATATTTCTTTCCTATATTCCAGAGCCTTCTCTACATTCTCTTCATCATAGCTTCTTATATGCCATGCAGAATTCTCAGCAAGAATTTATGATCCACAATGTAGGATACGTAAATTTATCTTCAAAGGTTTTAGCTTGTTAACTTTAAAATCCAAAAGGTGAAGATCATTAAGTACAATGAGTTCTGAGGTCCTCTTCAAAGAATCAATATGTCAGTATGTTCTGCTTTCCTGTTGTTTATTCTCCATTTTAAAGTTTAACTTCCTCAATCTTTATGTTCCTTGCTCCTAGTTTAGTAAACAACCCCCTTCTAACTCACATATTTAGAGTTTTTAGTCATCCCTCATCACCTGCTGTATCCTGAGTCACCCCAGTCACCTGCCTTGTAACTCTCCTTTCTGCCAAAACTACTCACCATGCCACTCTGGCTTGTACCCTTGGTCCCTTTAAAATAGCCTATCAAAATTAGCTTAAACTGTGTGGTCCAACCCTACCCAATAGGGGAAACACACAGAAGTAGGGACTAGCCGCCTTAGGGATAAGACCCCCTTCTCCTCCCTTGTCCAAAAGTACTCTCACCATTGTTCCATCCACGAGATGCTGCCTTCTATAGAAGTAAATTTGCCTTGCTGAGACGTTCTCTGTTTGAGTGCTTGTTTTCTGTTTGACTCTGAGCAATTGTTTCCAACATGCAATATCAAAAATGTTCCCTTTGTGGCTGTTGAACATGGAAAGAAGTAGATACTCAAGATTCCTATTAGGAAAAACTGTGGTCCTTAGTAAAGATGGAGAACATGTAATGTTGAGGCTCCATCTGTGTGTTCCATTAGCTCTGTGCAGAACAGGATTAAGAAAATGCTTATTTAAATGAGATGGAATTTATTACCCAGAAAGATCTGAAAAAACTTATTAAGAGATACCTGCTCTCTAGGGTGCTAAATGAAGCCTACTTAAAATTGCTACTAAAAATTACAGAACATAGGAGTAATCTGTACTTTGAAGTTGACATAACACATGTTTCTTCATGGTTAAATTCAGATTTTATTTACTTTTTTGGGAGGAATATTTCAACAGTGATGCTGTGTTCTTGTGCGTGTGGTCTTCCTTGGTGAGTATAACTTGAATACATAATTCATAATATACCCTAAAGGTTTTATTTCTCTTTTTTTCTAGAATATTTTTTACTAATTTATTCTTTGCATAGAAGAGTTTTGGATGCCTTTCTCCAGAAAATGTTCAGAATTTGTTCATTTAGAAAACAATTTCTTCAAGAATTTTTATCTTAATCCAAACTTTTGACATTCCTAAGATGAGTTGTATTCTTAACCCTGAATTAGTGGTAATTCCAGCAGTTTAGTGGCATAAAATACTGATACCCCCACCTGAAAATCTCATTGCCATCACCAATTTTTGATTCAGTAGTACCAGGTAGTAAAATTTAAAAACCTACAAGGAGGGTCAGGTGCGGTGGCTCATTCCTGTAATCCCAGCACTTTGGGAGGTTTAGGCATGTGGATTGCCTAAGGTCAGGAGTTCGAGACTAGCTTGACCAACATGGAGAAACTCTGTCTCTACTAAAAATACAAAATTAGCCGGGCATGATGGTGCATGTCCATAATTCCAGCTACTCTGGAGGGTGAGGCAGTAGAATCTCTTGAACCCAGGAGGCAGAGGTTGCAGTGAGCTGAGATCACGCCATTAAACTCCTGCCTGGGCAACAAGAGTGAAATTCCATCTCAAAAAAAAAACAAAAAACAAAAAGAAACCTACAAGTTGAAAGTATTTTCTATATATTTAGAAGTTTCTGTTATAACTTAGTATTTTGGTAATAATTTACTAGTGTTGCAGGAAGTCAGGGACCCCGAATGGAGGGACTGGCTGAAGCCATGGCAGAAGAACATAAATTGTGAAGATTTCATGGACATTTTTTAGTTCCCCAAATTAATACTTTTATAATTTCTTATGCCTGTCTTTACTGCAATCTCTGAACATAAATTGTGAAGATTTCACGGACACTTATCACTTCCCCAGTCAATACCCTTGTGATTTCCTATGCCTGTCTTTAATCTCTTAATCCCATCATCTTCATAAACTGAGGAGGATGTATGTCACCTCAGGACCCTGTGTTGATTGCGTTAACTGCACAAATTGTTTGTGGAGCATGTGTGTTTGAACAATATGAAATCTGGGCACTTTGGAAAAAAGAACAGGATAACAGCAATGTTCAGGGAACAAGAGAGATAACCTTAAACTCTGACCGCCAGTGAGCCGGGTGGAACAGAGCCATATTTCTCTTCTTTCAAAAGCAAATGGGGGAAATATCACTGAATTATTTTTCTCAGCAAGGAACATCCCTGAGAAAGAGAATGCATCCCTGAGGGTAGGCCTCTAAAATGGCCATTTCAGGGGGCGGCCATCTTTTATGGTCAAGCTGTAGGGATGAAATAAGCTCCAGTCTCCCATAGCGCTCCCAGGCTTATTAGGATGAGGAAATTCCCACCAAATAAATTTTTGGTCAGACCAGTTGTCTGCTCTCAAACCCTGTCTCCTGATAAGCTGTTATCAATGACAATGCATGCCCAAAACTTCATTAGCAATTTTAATTTCACCCTGGTCCTGTGGTCCTGTGATCTCACCGTGCCTCCATTTGCCTTGTGATATCTTATTACCTTGTGAAGCATGTGATCTCTGTGACCCACACCCTATTTGTACACTCCCTCCCCTTTTGAAAATCACTAATAAAAACTTGCTGGTTTTATGGCTCAGGGGCCTCCCGGAACCTGCTGACATGTGATGTCTCCCCCAGACACCAAGCTTTAAAATTTCTCTCTTTGTACTCTGTCCCTTTATTTCTCAGACTGGCCAACACTTAGGGAAAATAGAAAAGAACCTACATGAAATATTGGGAGTGAATTTCACCCAACATCTGGCTGAATTTCCCCTGATAACTGGAATATATATGCATATATATATATATATATATATATATTTTTTTTTTTTTTTTTTTTTTTTTTTTTTTTTTGAGATGGAGTCTCGCTCTGTTGCTCAGGCTGGAGTGCCGTGGTGCAATCTTGGCTCACTGCAAGCTCTGCCTCCCGGGTTCACGCCATTCTCCTGCCTCAGCCTCCCAAGTAGCTGGGACTACAGGCACCCGCCACCATGCCTGGCTAATTTTTTGTATTTTTAGTAGAGACGGGGTTTCACTGTGTTAGCCAGGATGGTCTCAATCTCCTGACCTTGTGATTCACCCACTTCGGCCTCCCAAAGTGCTGGGATTACAGTCGTGAGCCCCTGCGCCTAGCCTAATTTACTAGAATATTTTATCACATCCTCTCTGCTGAACACATTACTAGCTTGTAATTGGAGAATATGAGCAAGATTCATGTTATTTATTTTTAATAAAACATGTATTGGTGTCTCTGAACCAGACCTGATCACCTGTCTGGAGCAGGAAAAAAAACCTTTGACTATGAAGAGACATGAGATAATTGCCAAACCCCCAGGTAGGTGTGAGTGAAAATGAATACAACAGATGACACAGATTAGAGATCCCAAGGTCAAAGAGAAAGCCAGTCCTTAGAATGTGATTTGGGAAGCTGTGTTCCAAAGGAAATAGTTCCTGGGCATCTGTTCTATTGTTTGTTTGTTTGTTTTTTAAATTTTATTCTCACAAAGGGGTATCTTCTGTCTTGTGCTTTTAAATTCTCTACAAATTCCACTTTTCTTTCCGTGAGCTTCCTTCAAGTTCACAGTGAGAGCCAAAGTCCACTTCAGGGCATATAAGAGACTGCACAATCTGGCTGCTTTTCTATTGTTTTGGGGACACACAACTATCTGCATGATTTTGAGAAACTAAAAGTTTTTAAAGTTTTTTTTTGCATCAGATTTGAAATGTGTGGGAGTAGTTGTTTCTGTTGAATATTTTTGTTCATTTTTCTGCCCAGCCCATTCTGTTTTTATTACTATATAGCCTTGAAATATAGTTTGAAATTATAAGTATGATATTTTTCTGCTTTGTTCTTTTTTCTCAAGATTGCTTTGGCTATTCAAAGTTTATTTTAGTTTCATGTAAATTTTAGAATTGTATTTTCCGTTACTGTGAAAAAAATACCACTGCAATTTTGATAGGAAATTTATTGAATCTATAGATCACTTTGGATAATATGGCACTTTAATAATATTTATTCTTTCAATCTGTAGACACAAAATATTTTAAAATTTATTTAGATCTTCTCTAATTTTTTCATTGTTTTTTTTTATTGTGAAGATTTTTACCTCCTTGGTTAATTTTTTCTCACAAATTTATTATTTAATGCTATAGTAAATAAGATTTGTTTCATCTTCTATTTTATCTGGTAGTTGAAGTTTCTGAAACCATATATATACTTGCATGTTAATTTTATATTTTGCTAATTTACGAGTGTATTTATTAGTTTATGTAGCTTTTAATGTTCTGTGATGGTTTTTCTAAAATATAAGATTGTATGATCTACAAACAGCAACTTTTTACTTATTTTTCTTTCATTTCAATGGATTTTTTTGTTTCTTTGAGTAATTCTTCTGCCACATACTTCCAGTTCTACATTAAAATAGAAGTATTGACAATGGACACAATATAGTTTTGTATTGGTGTCTGAATTTGATGGAGCAAACACCTCTTCAAGTTTTCATGAACTGATTTTAGAAGGTAAGGATCTTTCTTTGGGCCCTTGGGGTTATGAGATGCCCTCTGAATTTGTAGTGAAGAGGGGTTGTAGCTTGGTCACAAGGCCGCTGGGTCTGCACTAGGGTCCACCTTTAGTTGGCTTGTTACAGGGGCTTGGGTAGTCATAATTCTCATTTTGTTTTGGACACGCTGCAAATTTTTCAGGACTTTGCTCCATGGGGCAGACACTAGGGCATGTTTTTGCAGTTGGGTCTGCATATGGTGGGCCTTATATCAGGACATGGATGAGTATGGCTTTCACTGAGTACCAGAGAGCATTTCCTCATGTAACTGTTTGGGTTTCTATGTAGGCAAAACTGGCCATGAACTGTGGCTCAGGTACTGAAACTGAGCCATTGAACGACTTCAGGGACCACAGCAAAGGCCAAGGTCTACAAGTCTGCCTGCATGGCTGTAAATGGGTATCTTCCTTCAGGTCTCTGGAATGGCAGGACCTCTCCCAGACTGTGGCTGGGAGGAGTTTGGGATGGTTACAGAGTTAAGTTCAGAATTCTCAGTGGGATCAAGTTGGGTGAACCCTATCCTGGTCTGTAGCCAAAAACAGGGGTCCTGTAGTTTCCCACCTGAATGACATCCTGCCTTCTTAATAGAACACTTCTCAATCTTAAGCTTTAGTAGTGTTTCACAACTCCCTCCTGGGATCTCAAATCTCTCTTCGAGACACTTATTTTGGAGATGGCATCTTGCTGCTTAACCCAGGCTGGTCTTGAAATCCTGGCCTGAAGCAGTTCTCCAACCTTAATGTACCATGTAGCTGTCATTACAGGTGTGAGCCATAATGCCTGGTTTCTCATAAAGGCATTTTTGTCAGGGATGGCTGACTTTTTTTTTTGCTGTGAGGGGATATGAAAATAGGGCACTTTTAATCTTTTTATCTTACTGATGTCACTCTCCCTACACATTTTTACTTTCTATTTTCTCTTTCAGATTTGCCTGTAATTTTAGATTCAGATATTTAGGACAATATGCTAGAATTTGATGGTATTCCTGAAGTAAATTAGATAATTAGTAAGCACTCCATATTTACTCAGTTATTTGTAAATTTAAGTTTGCCACAGGCAAAAAGGAATTATAGTATTTTCATCTACTTTCTTCAGCTTACATCTACATAATAAAATAGTTTATTTCCTAATATTTGTTTCACATATCAGAGGGTCTCACTTTATTCTGCAAAATATATATGTGTATATTTTCTATATTTAACAATGTAAGGCTGTTTTTTGCTTCTAAAGTTAGATTACAGCAGTTTCATTTTGTGTAAGAATAGCATATATTTAAAACATAAAAAATAACGTTGGTTTATTTTAAATGCTTATTTATTAAAAGTTTCTCATCGTGTTACCCAGACTGGTCTCAGGATTTTGGCCCCAATGGATCCTCTTATCTTGATCTCCCAAAGTGTTAGGATTATAGGCAACAGCCACTGCACTCAGTCAGTATTTTTAAATTTAATAAAATTTGGTGTGTGTCCTAACAGCATACACCAGATGCAGATAAGAATATTGTACATTATCCTGGTTTTGACTGGAAAGTTTTGTATGTGTCTGTGAAGCCTAGTTGGTCTATTACATGGTTTGGATGTTCATGTTATCCAAAGCTCATGCTGCAATATAAATCCTCAATGTTGGATGAAGGACGTGGTGGGACATGTTTTTGTATGGGGGCATATTTCTCATGAATGGCTTGGTACATCCTCTTGGTAACCAAAAAGTTTACACTCTATTAATTCAAATGAGAGCTGGTTCATTACATGAACCTGGCTCCTTCACCTCACACTTGCTCAGTCTCTTATCATATAATATGTCCAGTTACTGTTTACATTCCACCATGACGGTAAGTTTCCTGAGACCCACACCAAAAGCAGATGCTGGCACACACTTCTTATACAGTCTGCCAAACTGTGAGCCAAATAAACTTTTTTTCTTTGTAAATTATGCACTCTCAAGAATTTCTGTATATGCAAAATAATTAGTACAGTCTATAATGTTGCCCAGGTTTTCTGTTTCTTATTTTTTATTTGAATTTTCTATTTATTATTGCAAATGGAGTCTTGATGTCTACAATTATTATGTTACTATGTATGTCTTGCTTCACTTTTGTCAATATTTGCTTTATTTATTTTGGAGCTCTGATGTTATATACACACATTCATATAGATAAATAAATATTATAGTTAAAGATTCCTGGTAAATCAGCTCACTTTACCATAATATATTATCAATTTTTGTCTCATGGTAGTACTTGACTTAAAGCATAATATGTCTAATATAATTATGATCACTTCACTCACTTGTGGTTACTATTTTCATGGAATATACATCTTTTTCATTCGGTTACTTTCAGCCTATTTGACTGAATGCTAAAATGAGTCTCTTGTAGGCAGCATACTGTATGCTTTTTAGAAAAACCACTCACACTGGGCATGGTGGTTCACACCTATAATCCCAGCACTTTGGGAGGCCAAGGTGGGTGGGTCAACTGAGGTCAGTAGTTTGAGACCAGCCTGTCCAACATGGAGAAACCCCATGTCTACTACAAATACAAAAATTAGCCAGGTGTGGTGGCATGCACCTGTGATCCTAGCTACTCAGGAGGCAGAGGTGGGAGAATTGCTTGAACCCAGGAGGCAGAGGTTGCAGTTAGCCAAGATCGCACCATTGCACTCCAGCCTGGGCAACAAGAGCAAAATTCAGTCTCAAGAAAAAAAAAAAAACCACTCAGGCATCCTATATCATTTTCTTTATATTATTTATTTATTTATTTATTTTAAGATGGAGTTTCTCTCTTGTTGCCCAGGCTGGAGTGCAATGGTGCAATCTCAGCTCACTGCAATCTCCACCTCCCGGGTTCAAGTTATTCTCCTGCCTCAGCCTCCCAAGTAGCTGAAATTACAGGCACCCACAACCACACCCAGCTAATTTTTGTAGTTTTTGTTGGGGTGATCAGATCCAACACCAGGTTGTGGGGGCTACGAAGTCTGGCAGAGTCAAAGGAATGGGACAAGACAAGTTAAGAGTACATAGGGTGGGTCCAGGAGGCCAAAGCCAGTTTGGAGGCTGTGAAGGCCCTGAGTTCTGGGAGTCCACACTATTTATTGGTAATCAAACAATGAAGCAGGTGCTGAGGACGTGTGGATATGAGGGTAGACAGGTGAGGACGTGAGGATAGAAAGGTAGTGGTGCATCAAGTGTAGCTGTGACAGTTTAGCATATGCTGTGCTACTTAAGATAAGGGAGAACAGGTTCTTCTAATTCAAGATCCAATCATTTATGATCTTCCGAGAGCAAGGAGCAAGGGGCCAGCGAGTCTGGACACATTCCAGAGGTTACAAGGGGTTTTATGCCCTGAGCCCTGGGTTCTCTCCAAGCCACAAGGAGTTTTATGCTCTGGGCTTAGACTGTAGTGTGGCAGGGCAGGCTTCCACCATTTGGCACAGAGCTTGGTTTTCCAAAGGTCATGAGGGGTTTTAGACCCTGGACCCAGGACATGTTCCAAGACTCTTTTACATTATGTCAGACAAGCAAGCCCTGCCTCAGCTCTTCTGCCAACAGTTTTAGTAGAGACGGGGTTTTACCATGATGGCTAGGCTTGTCTTGAACTCCCGACTTCAGGTAATCTGCCCACCTTGGCCTCCCAAAGTGCTGGGATTACAGGTGTGAGCCACTGTGCCCGGCCTCATTTATTTTTGAGATATGATCTCAGTCTGTCAACCAGGCTGATTTGCGTGGTTCACTGCTGCCTGAACCTCCCAAACTCAGATGATCTTCTCATTTTAGCCTCTCAAGTAGCTGGGTTACAAGTATGTGCCATCACACACAGGTAGCTTTTTTGTATTTTTAGTAGAGACTGAGTTTTCCCATGTTGCCCAGGCTGGTCTTGAACTCCTGGGATCAAGTGATCAGCCTACCTTGGTCTTCTAAAGTCCTAAGATTACATTTTATTTTATTAAGTAGTTTAATTAATTTATATTTAAAATGATTGCTTAAAGAAATGAAGTTGTTATTACCAGTTATATTTATGGTTTTATGTGTTTCCAGTAGTTATATTTTTCTCATTTCCTATTTTACTTTCTTAATTTTTATTTAATTTTGTACTCACATGCTTTATTTTTTATTGTCTTTTGCATACTTTCTATAAATATTTTCTTTCTAATCATCTGAAAACTGGAGATTGCATGCATCTTAAAGTTAAAACAATATGTTTTAATTTCATAAAAACTTCAACTGAATACAAAAACTATGCCTCTATATTTTCCAGTTTGTTATTGATATATAAATTATTTTATATGGTGTATCTATTAACAGATGCACGCAGATTTACACATTGTTTTTATATTCTATAAAAGCACTTTAAAGGTTTTATTTACCATCATTTTTGTTTTTTTTGGTTGTTTGTTTTGATTTGTTTTTGAGACTGAGTCTCACTCTACTGCCCAGGATGGAGTGCAATGGTGCAATCTTGGCTCACTGCAACCTCTGCCTCCCAGGTTCAAGGGATTCTCCTGCCTCAGCCTCCCAAGTAGCTGAGGTTACAGGTGCCTGCCATCAGGCCAGCCTGGCTAATTTTTTGTATTTGTAGTATAGATGGGGTTTCACCATGTTGGCCAGGCTGGTCTTGAACTCCTGACCTCAGGTGATTAGCCCACCTCAGCCTCTTAAAGTGCTGAAATTACAGATGTGAGCCACCATTCCCAGTGTGGCTGGGATTTACCATCATTTTGATAGTAAAGAATTCTATATGTGTCCATATATTTACATTTATTGGAGAGCTTTATATTTACATATGTTTTTATGATGCTGTCCAGCACCATTTTATGTTTCTACATAACGGACACATTTTAACATTTCTCTGTTTTTATATGTAGGGTCTCATTATGTTGCTCAGGCTGGTCTTGAACTTCTGGTCTCAAGTGATGTGATTGCTTTGGCCTCCCAAAGCTGTAGAATTACAGGCATGAAGCACTGTGCCTGAGCCCCGTGCAGTATTTTTTTTTTACTTTTTTTTTTTTGAGACCGAGTCTCCCTCTGTCACCCAGGCCTGGGGTGCAGTGGCATGATCTTGGCTCACTGCAACCTCCGCCTCCCAGGTGCAAGCAAATCTCCTGCCTCAGATTCCATCCCGAGTAGCTGGGGTTACAGGTGCATGCCACCATGCTGGGCTAATTTTTATTATTATTATTATTTTTAGTAGACATGGGGTTTCAACATGTTGGCCAGGCTTATCTCGAACTTCTGACCTTTGATGATCCAACTGCCTTGGCCTCCCAAAGTGCTGGGATTACAGGCTTGAGCCATCTCACCTGGCACTTTTTTTTTTTTTTTTTGAGATGGAGTCTTGCTCTGTCGCCCAGGCTGGAGTGCAATGGCATGATTTTGGCTCACTGCAACTTCCGCCTCTTGGGTTCAAGTGATTCTCCTGCCTCAGCCTCCTGAGTAGCTGGGACTACAGGTGTGCACCACCACGCCCAGCTAATTTTTGCATGTTTAGTAGGGACGCAGTTTCACCGTATTGTTCAGGCTGGTCTTGAACTCCCGATCTCAGGCAATTCACCCACCTCGGCCTCTGAAACTGCTGGGATTACAGGCGTGAGCCAGTGTGCCCAGCCCCATGTAGTATATTTTGTAGAACTGTTAGTGGTGATGAACAGTCTCACCTTTTATTTTGGAAAGTCTTTATTTTTGTCTTCTTATTGAAGTAGTGTAATTTTGAATTGAGTTTTACTGGTTAGAAATTTTTTTTTGTTACATTAAAATTTGGGAAGTTCTCAGCTTTTTTTTTTTTTTAATCTTCAAGTAATGTCTGTATTACTTTTTCTCTATATTCTAAGATTCCTTTCATGAATACATTGATCTGCTTGATGGTATCCAATAAGTTTTACATTCCATGTGTTAATTTTGTTTTGTGATTTTATATTATTGTGTTATATATTTTTGGGTATGCCACATCACAGCAGTTAGTTGTGTTTTGATTTTTTAGTTTATATTATAATTGTATATGACAATATTTAACTCTGTACAATTTAAGACAGTGTGGAGCAAAATTAAATGTGAATAAGCTGTATGTCTATTACCAGTATAATTATTTCTATGTTTGTTGGCCTGTATAAATTTTATCCTGGTATTTTTGTGTCACTTGTATATTTGTTGTGTGTTTCTTGTAGTAGGTTTTTTGGAGTTTTTTGTTGTTGTTTGTTTGTTTGAGAGAGAGTTTTGCTCTTGTTGCCCAGGCTGGAATATAATGGTGGGATCTTAGCTCACTGCAACCTCTGCCTCCTGGGTTCTAGCAATTCTCCTGCCTCAGCTTCCCAAGTAGCTGGGATTACAGGCATGCACCACCATGCCAGGCTAATTTTGTATTTTTAGTAGAGATGGGGCTTAAACATTGGTCAGGCTGGTCTCGAACACCCGACCTCAGGTGATCCACCCACCTCAGCCTCCCTAAGTGCTGGGATTACAGGCATGAGCTACTGCACCAAGCCTATAACAGTTTTTTAATCCTGTCTAGATGAGTAGTCATAAAAAATCTCCTAATTTCAACATCTATTTATTTGTGAATCTACATTGTTTTGTGTGAAAGAAACACTTTTGGATTTGAAGATAATTTAAAAACTATAATAACTCTGTATCTCTCTTAGGTATTATTTTTACTTATGTATTTTGTGTCAAAAACATAACAAAATTTACAATAAAATATTTCTAGGCCGGGTGCAGTGGCTCACTGAGTGATATTCCAGTATTTTTGTACCTACTGAATGATTTGGTGACAGAAATTTGCATTGCTTTTACCTATTGGCTTTCAGTCACAATGCTGCAATAGTTATGTGAAAGTTAATATATGTACTGCATTCTGTTTTATTTTTCTAATTTTTCACCTTTATACTCATACCAATTGTTTTAATTCTGTAGCTTTTTGATGTGTTTTGAAATCAGAAATGGTAAAGCCTCCAACGTTGTTCCTTTTTTTGAAGATTGTTGGGTACTTTCTTGTCTCTTTAGATTCCATATACTTTTGGATTTGTTGTTTTTATTTCTTCAAAAATGCAATGAGACATTTGAAAAACATTGAGTTAAATCTGTAGATTAAATTGAGCAGTACAGACATCTTCACAGTATTAATTCTTTCTTTTTTGGTTGTTTGTTTTTGAGATGGAGTTAAATTCACCCACCTCGGCCTCCCAAAGTGCTGGGATTACAGGCATGAGCCACCGCACCCAGCCCAGTAATTTCAACAAGTGCATGCTCAAGAGTGTGTCATATGATTTCTATATATTTGTAAATTTATCAAATATTTATATTATTGTTTTATATTCTAATTTCATTTTTTGTCATAGAAAGTAATCTATAAAATCTACATTTTAGAAAATGTGTTGAGGCTGGGCGCGGTGGCTCATACCTGTACTCCCTGCACTTGGGAGGCCAACGCAGGCAGATCACCTGAGGTAAGGAGTTCAAGACCAGCCTGACCAACATGGAGAAACCGTGCCTCTACTAAAAATACAAAATTAGCTGGGCGTGGTGGTGCATGCCTGTAATCCCAGCTACTCAGGAGCCTCAGGCAGGAGAATCACTTGAACCTGGGAGGCAGAGGTTGCAGTGAGCTGAGACTGCACCATTGCACTCCATACTGGGTAACAAGAGTGAAACACTCCATCTCAAATATATATATATATGTGTTAAGATTTTGTTTTTGGACTAACAGGTGGTCTATATAGGAGAATGTTGTTTGAGCTATTGAGAAGGCTGTGTATTTTGATGCTGTTGAGGAGTGTTCTCTATACCTTCATTAGAAATAAGTGTTTTTTACTGCCTTCTAGTCCTCTGTTCCATTATTAATATTATGTCTTGTTTTATTATTATTACAGAAAGTGGGGTATTGAAATATCCTACTATAATTATATTGCTCTCTCTGTGTTTATCCAATTTTGTTAGTGTTTGCTTTATATATTTGAAACCCTAGTTTGAGACACACACACACAAATACACACATGGATAAATAAATTTGTCATAGGTTCTCAGTGAATGAATCTATATATTATTTAATGTCCTTTGTCTTTCTGAAGTTTGAACTTAAAGTACATTCTATAAAATATGACAGTTTTTGACTTAACATGTATCTTGTATAATATTATTTTGACCTCTTCTACTCTCATTTGGTTAATATTTACGTGACATTTCTACTTCCATTATTTCACTTTCAGTCTTTTTTGTCATTAGATTTCAACTGAGTCCTGTAGAAAGGCAAGTTGAACATTGATTTTAAACACTTTTTAATAAACCTGTTTATTGAAAGTATGTCTCTTGATTGGAAAGATAATTATATATATATTTAAATGGTTTTCTGAAAGAGAAAAACTTACTAATGTTATATTATTAATCATTTTATTTGATTCTATCTTTTTCTCTCATTTTCTCTTTCTGTCTTTTTTTGTGTTTTTTTATTTCTGTATTGATATGCTTTCAGTTTTTTTCTTACTTTCTTTTGTGTATCTATATAAATATTTTCTTAGATACCTTGGGGGATTACATAAAACCTCTGAAAGATCCAACAATATATTTGAATATGGTAAAAAACTAACTTCAATTGCATACAAAAATTCTTCATCATTACGTCTGCCTTCAACTTTGTTATTGATTTTGCTAATTTTATTTTTTTATGTTTTATGTTCATTAACAGATGTTTATAATCATGTCTATACTTTTACCTTTTAAATTTTAGAGAATAATTAAAAATGTTTTCTGTATCATTATGATAATGTTAAGTAATAAATTTCATTTTTGTGTATGTGCATATTGCATTATGTTATTTTCAGTGAAAGAACCTCCTTTCAGCATCTTTGATATGTAGAGCATATGCAATGTCAATATACTTTCTCAGGATTTGGTTATTTTGGAAGGACGTCTTTGTATTTGGTAGTACAATTTTGCTGATGGTATTATTCCCACTTGACAGCTTTTTAAAAATTATTATAACTTTAACAATATCACACAGTTTCCTTCTGACTTGCAAATTTTTTTTTGATAAATTCACTGGTTATCTCATGAGACTATGCTTATAAATGAAACATTTTTATATTGTAGTGCCCAAAATTCTTTTCTCATATGCCATTTTGAAATTTTGCTTATATTTGTGTCTGTTATTATCTTTGTGTGTACCTAAATTTGTTTTTTCAGCTTTTTCATGTTTACGTCATATTTTCTTTTAAGAAATTTTTCAGTTTTTTGGTAATTTTATATCCACAATTTTTGGTATTTTAATTTTTTTATCTTTATTTTTCTGATCTTCGGTAGTTGTCTGTGTTTCTATTTTTTTCTGATACGGAGTCTTTTTCTGTCGCTGAGGCTGGAGTGCAGTGGCGTGATGTCGGCTAACTGCAAACTCTGCCTCCCAGGTTCAAGCGATTCTCCTGCCTCAGCCTCCCGAGTAGCTGGGATTACAGCTGCCTGCCATCACGCCCAACGAATTTTTTGTATTTTTAGTAGAGACGGGGTTTCTCCATGTTGGCCAGGCTGATCTTGAACTCCTGACCTCAAATGATCCACCCACTTTGGCCTCCTGAAGTGCTGGGATTACAGGCACGAGCCACAAAGCCCAGCCTTTTTCATTGTATTTTTGAGACAGTGTTGCTCAGGCTGCAGTACAGTGGTACAATCTCCACTCACTGCAACATTCCCCTCCCAGGTTCAAGCAGTTCTCCTGTGTCAGCCTCCCAAGTAGCTGTGATTACAGGCAAATGCCACCATGCCCAGCTAATCTTTGTATTTTTAGTAGATACAGGGTTTCATCATGTTGGCCAGGGTGGTGTCAAACTCCTGACTTCATGTGATTTTCCCACCTTGATCTCCCAGTGTGTTGGGATTCCAGAAATGAGCCACTAACCCTGGCCTGTTCAATCTATTTTGAATTTTTAAAATTACTTTCTATACTTTCTATGGTTGCTTTAGAAAATTTTATGTTTTTGATGGGGCCATATTGTTCTAATATTTGGTATACATTATAATCTTTGATTGAGATTTGGACATTAACAAAAAGCTACCTGTTACAATCTTTATAATATAGCTTTGTGTTTGCGTAGTCTGAAGTCAATTGTCTTGGCTAAAGATTCTGGGAATTCCTCAAACATGTTTTTAGGATGTATCTTGTCTAAAATTTTGTTTTTATTGTTTAGATAAATCAGCTTGTTCACATTTCTTCTTAATAATCTGTAATCACTTGCCACACCCATTCCCTGTTTGGGGTACTGCAGTTTCTCTGCTTCTCTGTAATATACCTTCAGACTCAGCAGACTCAAACTGTCATTCCAACATGTATCACCATTTCTTTCAGCATTTTATGTCACGAGAAACATTAACTAATGTCTAAGAAAGCCCCTAGAAGCCAGAAATAAAGATATATGTGCCAATATTTTTCTAGTTTTTTTTTGTTTTGTTTTTAAAAACGAGGGGTTGGCAATTTACATGTGTGTGTATGTGTGAGACAGAGTCTCACTCTGTTACCTAGGCTGGAGTGCAGTGGCATGATCTTGGCTCACTACAATCTCTGCCACCACAGTTCAAGCAATTCTCCTGCCTCAGCCTCCCAAGTAGCTAGGATTACACATATCTGTTACCAAGCCTGGCTAATTTTTTGTATTTTTAGTAGAGATGGGATTTCACCATGTTAGTCAGGCTGGTCTCAACCTCCTGATCTCAGATAATCCTCCCGCCTTGCCCTCCCAAAGTTCTGAGATTACAGGCTTGAGCCATCATGCCTGGTCAGCAATTTACTTTTTTTTTGGAGGGGCAGGGGATGAAGTCTCTCTCTTTTGCCCAGGCTGAAGTGCAGTGGCACGATCTCTGCTCACTGCAACCTCCGCCTTCCAGGTTCAAGCAATTCTCATGCCTCAGCTTCCCGAGTAGCTGTGATTGCAGGCACCCACCACCATGCCTGGCTAATTTTTTGTATTTTTAGTAGAGATGGGGTTTCACCATCTCAGCCGGGCTGGTCTTGAACTCCTGACCTCAAGTCATCCACCCACATCAGCCTCCCAAAGTGCTGGGATTACAGGTATAAGCCACCACATCCATTTGGCAATTTACTTTTGAAGACACAATCTTATATGGAGAGCAGGAAGAGCTGTGTTGGGTATAAGTAACAGACCTCTTTTTCTTCTATGTGGCTCTTTGCATTGTGCTCACTTGGGGCCCTTCACACACTTAACTCATTTATACATTTTTTACAAACGTTTTTTGGTCAGTATGTTTTTGTTACATTTATATGTCCAGGAAGAAATTACAGCTTATGGTATTTTGCTATGTCATCTTGCTTATGTAGTTTGTATAATTTTATAGGTTAGATTTGTAAAGTATATTTATCTGAGTCTAGCAACTGAAGTAATGTATTTGTATTGTTTCTTTCAGTTATGTGTTCTCATTTTGCCCAAGACCTTTGGCCAGAGCAGAGCGTAAAAGATTCTTTCCAAAAACTGATACTGAGAAGTTAGTTATGAAAAATGTGGACATGACAATTTACAGTTAAAAAAAGAATGTGAAAGTGTGGATGAGTGTAAGGTGCACAAAGAAGGTTATAATGGACTTAACCAATGCTTCACAAATACCAAGAAAAAAATATTTCAATGTGATAAATATAGGAAAGTTTTTCATAAATTTTCAAATTCAAACTGACATAAGAGAAGACATACGGGAAAAAAGACCTTTCAAATGTATAGAATGTGGCAAAGCTTTTAACAAGTTTTCAACCCTTACTACACATAAGAAAATTCATACTAGAGAGAAACCCTACAAATGTGAAGAATGTGGCAAAGCCTTCAACTGGTCCTCATACCTTACTATACATAAGAGAATTCATACTGGAGAGAAACTCTACAAATGTGAAGAATGTGGCAAAGCCTTCAACTGGTCCTCATACCTTACTGCATATAAGATAACTCATACTAGAGAGAAACCCTACAAATGTGAAGAATGTGGCAAAGCCTTTAAGTACTCCTCGAACCTCACTACACATAAGATAATTCATACTGGAGAGCATCTCTACAAGTGTGAAGAATGTGGCAAAGCGTTTAACCATGCTGCATGCTTCTTTGTCATTTTGAAGATTTGACTTAAAGTACATTTTATAAAATATGACAGTTTTTGACTTAAGATGTAGCTTGTGTAATATTATTCTGAGCTCTTCTGCTCTCATTTGGTTAATATTTACATGAAATTTCTACTTCCATCTTTCCACTTTCAGTCTTTTTTTCTCATTAGATCTCAACTAACTCTTGTAGAAAGGCAAGTTGAATCTTGATTTAAAAATTTTTTAATAAACCTTTATATTGAAAGTATGTCTGTTGATTGGAAAGATAATTATATATATATTAAAATGGTTTTTTGAGAGAGAAAAACTTACTAATGTTATTTTATTAATTGTGTTATTTGATTTTTGTATCTTTGTCTCTCATTTTCTCTTTCTTTTTTGTGTTTTTTTATTTTTATTTTTATATTGACATGCTGTAGGGAGACCCCCTGAAACTATGGCTATGGAATGAAAGATGAAATGCTCCTGATAGTTGTAAATACAAAATTACATGCAGGATTGTGTAAAGACAATGCCAGGTTGGGCTGCCAGAATGAGCCAACAGTGCGTGATGTGCTTCGCCCTGCAGAGAGCCTATAAACGGATGTGCAGTCAGGAAGGTTTCACATCACCAAGATTCCTATCCCAGAAAAGCAGATATTCATAGCTCTGGGAATGGAATGCGACCCTTGTGGAGAGCCTACAAATGGATGCATGAGGGGTGCCTGTTCATATGGATAACATCGGGCTATAAACGCCCTTATCTTGCCATGGCTCTTCTAGGTCTCTTTAGGGTTAAGACATACTCCCTTCTGAGAATTTGTGGTCTAATCGGTTGTCTAGTTTTACATCCTCCTTTTATTGATTGTTTGCAACCAGCTTTTGCTGTAATTATTACTACTGATTAATATCTTGCTCATCATTAATCATAGATTATGGAGAGACGGGGTTTCCGTTTTAAGGCTCTGTTAAAAATTGCTGATGCACACACTATATTGTAAATTCTTATCTCTGTATACTGTACTTCTGCATATTGATGTTATGTTAAAGAATTACTTCATTCCCATGTGACCATCTCACCTCATAATCAAACGACTCTAAATCCCTCATTAACCTACCCCCACCCTCACTAAACTTAATAATAAATGCTGGTATATCCAGTGCATTGGCAGCATGGCAGGACCAGAAGGCGGTGACCCTCCTGGACTCAACTTTCACTATCTTGTGTGTGTCTTTTATTTCTTGACCTGCCGATCCACCTGGGAACAAAGAAAGAGCCCCATTGCATTGCGGGCTGCTGGCCAGATCCCGCAATAACATGCTTTCTGTTTTTGTCTTATTTCTTTTTTATGTATCTATACAGATATTTTCTAAGTGGTACTTTCAAGGATTACATAAAACCTCTAAAAGATCCAACAATATATTTGTTTGTGATAAAGAATCAGCTTCAGTTGCATACAAAAATTCTTCATCATTACATCAGCCTTCAACTTTGTTATGATTTTGCTAATTATATTTTTTATGTTGTATATTCATTAACAGATGTTTATAGTAATTCCTATACTTTTATCTTTTAAATTTTAGAAAATAACTAACAATGTTTTCTGCACCATTATGATAATGTTAAGTAAGAACTTTTATTTTTGTGTATGTACATATTTTTTCCAGAAATTTATGTATTTTCATATGATTAAGTGTTGTTTTCTTGCATTATATTATTTTCAGTGGAAGAAACTCCTTTCAGCATCTTTGATATGTAGGACATATGCAGTGCCAATATACTTTCTCAGGATTTGGTTACTTTGGAAGGACTTCTTTTTATTTGAGAGTACAATTTTCCTGATATTCTCATTCCCACTTGACAGTTTTTTTTTAATTATAACTTTAACAATATCACATAGCTTCCTTCTGACCTGCAAATTTTTTAATAAATTCACTGATTATCTCATGAAACCATGCTTATAAATAACACATCATTTTTATCTTGCACCTCCCAAAATTCTCTTCTTCTTATCTGTGATTTTTGAAATTTTATTTATATGTGTATTTGTTATGAATATCTTTGGTGTATCCTAGTTTGTTTAGCTTCTTCATCTTTATATCATGTTTTAAGAAATTTTCAGTTATTTTTTTGTATTATTTATATTCACGATTTTTTTTGCTTTTTTTTTTTTTTTTTGATGCAGAGTTTTGCTCCTGTTGCCCAGGCTGGAATGCAATGGCATGATCTCGGCTCACTGCAACCTCCGCCTCCTGGGTTCAAGCAATTCCCCTGCCTCAGCTTCCCGAGTAGCTGGGATTACAGGTGCCCACCACCACATCCAGCTGGTTTTTGTATTTTTAGTAGAGACAGGGTTTCACCACATTGGCCAGGCTGATCTTGAACTCCAGACCTCAGGTAATCCACCTGCCTTGGGCTCCCAAAGTGCTGGGATTACAGGCGTGAGCCACCGTGCCTGGCCTTTTTTTTCCTTTTTAATATTTCTTGTTGTTATCCTCATTTTTCTAATCTTCAGAAGTTGTCTGTGTTCCTATTTCACTTACTGAATATTATTCAATATATTTGATTTGATTTGATTTGATTTGATTTGATTTATTTATTATTCTTTTTGTTTTCTGAGACGGAGTCTCTTTCTGTTGCCCAGGCTGGAGTGCAGTGGCACAATTTTGGCTCACTGCAACCTCCGCCTCCTGGGTTCAAGCAACTCTCTCCCTCAGTCTCTCGAGTAGCTGGGACTACAAGCACCCAATACCATGACCGGCTAATTTTTTGTATTTTTAGCAGAGATGGGGTTTCACTATCTTGGCTGGTCTTGAACTCCTGACCTCATGATCCACCGATGTCAGCCTATCAAAGAGCTGGGATTACTGGCATGAGCCACCAAGTCCAGCCAGCTTTTTACTTTTAAAAGCACAATGTTATACTGGAGAGCAGGAGGACCTGTGTTGGGTATAAGTAACAGACTTTACTTTTTCTTCTATGTGGCTGTTTGCATTGTGCTCACCTGGGGCCGTTCATACACGTAACTTATTTATAAATTTGTTACAAATGTATTTTGGTCAGTATGTTTTTGTTAAATTTATATGTCCAGGAAGAAATTACAGCTTGTGGTATTTTCCTATGTCATCTTGCTTATGTAGTTTGTATAATTTTATAGGTTAGATTTGTAAAGTATATTTATCTGAGTCTAGCAATTGAAGTAATGTGTTTTTATTGTTTCTTTTGGTTATGTGGTCTCATTTTGCCCAAGACCTTTGGCCAGAGCAGAGAATAAAAGAATCTTTCCAAAAAGTGATACTGAGAAGATATGAAAAAAATGGACATGACAATTTACAGTAAAAAAAAAGGCTGTGAAAATATGGATGAGTGTGAGGTGCACAAAAGAGGTTGTAACGGACTTAACCAATGTTTCACAAATACCCAGAGCAAAATATTTCAATGTGATAAATATATGAAAGTCTTTCATAAATTTTCAAATTCAAACAGACATAAAAGAAGACATACTGGAAAAAACCTTTCAAATGTATAGAATGTGGCAAAGCTTTTAACCAGTCCTCAACCCTTACTACATATAAGAAAATTTATACTAGAGAGAAACCTACAAATGTGAAGAATGTGGCAAAGCGTTCAACTGGTCCTCACACCTTACTACACATAAGATAATTCATACTGGAGAGAAACTCTGCAAATGTGAAGAATGTGCCAAAACCTTTAAGCAGTCCTCTAACCTTACTACACATAAGATAATTCATACTAAGGGGAAACCCTACAAATGTGAAGAATGTTGCAAAGCCTACAATTGGTCCTCACCCCTTACTACACCTAAGATAATTTATACTAAGGAGCAACCCTACAAATATGAAGAATGTGACAAAGTCTTTAAGAACTCCTCTCAACTTACCACACATAAGATAATTCATAAAGGAGAGAAACCCTACAAATGTGAAGAATGTGGCAAAGCCTTTATGTACTCCTCTACCCTTACTACAGATAAGATACTTCATACTGGAGAGAAACCCTACAGATGTAGAGAATGTGGCAAAGCTTTTAACCATCCCACAACACTTTTTTCACATAGGAAAATTCACACTGGAGAGAAATCACACAAGTGTGATAAATGTGGCAAAGCCTTTATTTAATCACCAACCCTTAGTAAACATGAGATAATTCATACAGGAGAGAAACCCTACAAATGTGAAGAATGTGGCAAAGCCTTCAGCTGGTCCTCACACCTTACTACACATAAGAGAATTTCTACTGCAGAGAAACCGTACAAATGTGAAGAATGTGGCAAAGCTTTCAGCTGGTCCTCACACCTTACTACACATAAGAGAATTTCTACTGCAGAGAAACCGTACAAATGTGAAGAATGTGGCAAAGCTTTTAACTGATCCTCAGACATTAATAAACATATGATAATTCATATTGGACAGAAACCAAGAATGTGACAAAGCTTTTTAAGGAAGTTCTCAACCCTCATTACACATAATTTATACTGGACAGAAACCTACAAGTGTGAAAAATGTGGCAAAGCCTATAACAAGTTCTCATTTTTATTTTTTTTTGAGACAGAGTTTCAGTCTTGTCACCCAGGCTGGAGTGCAATGGCACAATCTCGGCTCACTGCAACCTCCGCCTCCTGGGTTCAAGCCATTCTCCTGCCTCAGCCTCCCAAGTAAGTGGGATTACAGGTGCCCACCACCACACCCAGCTAATTTTTGTATTTTTAGTAGAGATGGAGTTTCACCATATTTCCCAAGCTGGTCTCAAACTCCTGACCTCAGGTGATCCACCCGCCTAAGCCTCCTAAAGTGCTGGGACTGCAGGCATGAGCCACCATGCCCAGCCACAAGTTCTCAATTCTTAAGAGACATGGTGATAATTCATGCTGAAGAGGAGCTCTACAAACCTGAAAGATGTGAAAGTGCTTTTAGCAACCCCTCCAACTTTTCTATACATAAAAAAAATTATACTGGTATGAAACTCTAGAAATACATAAAATGTGAAAAAGCCTTTATATGGTTGCCACGCTTGATTGTACATAAGATAATTCATACTGCCAAAACTCCTACAAGTGTGAAGAATGTGGCAAAACTTTTCATCAGTGCTTACACCTTATTTCATAGTAAAGCTAGTATCTTTGAGAAAAATCGTACAAATATAAAGAATATGGAAAAACCATTAATGCCTACTCACATCTTACTCAACATAAGAAGATTCATAATTAATAAAAGCATTAAAAGTACAATTACTGTCAAAAAATCTTTCAGAAAATATAAACCTTTAAAGTGAAAAAAAATTTATTCTGAAGACAACCATTACAAATATAAAGGAGGTTGTGGTACCTTTACTTGTATCACAGATCTTATTGCAATCATTTTGTACTAGAGGATAATCCCTAAGCAGTTGCTCAAGCTTTGTTCAACATCAGGGATTTTATATTGGAGAAAAGTCCTGCAAATGTAATGAATTTGGAGAGACATTTTTTTTTTTACAAAAACTACAGCTTGTAAAACACCAGAGAGTTTATACTAAAGTATATTTTTGCCGTTGCAGTAAATAAGAAAAAATGCTTAATTCAAAATTGATTCTATGTAAATATCAGAGAATTTACACTAGAATAACTAAGGCACTGACACTTCAGACATTACACTTAGAGTGTTGAGTATAAAAACTAATCCACGACTAAAGTTGTTAGATAAATTATTTGTATGTAACTATAAAAGGAGTAGATTTTTTGAAGCATTGTAATTACATTGAAAGTATACTTGTTTCCTTGAAAAAAATTTTTTGAAAAGTGAATAATGATGTAATACAGCTTTCAAATTACTTTGTGCTGTTATTTTATTCCTATCGTATTCACGTGTGAAAGCATGTGATCAATTGTTGCTGCATCGAGATATTAGAGATTCTTTTTTATTAATTGGGCATATTTATGACCTTTTCTATAAAAGAGTAAGGACATTAAAATGAAAGATGCCTGATGAAAATATAAGTGGAGAGGTTCTTTGTAGTTAACCTATATTAAGTAATGCATATGGTAGATGTTCAGAGTAATACTTTTCTATATTATAGTGAGAGAAATTATTAATTATAGTTAAAAGTATATTAAAATAAATTAGTAATTTTACTGGTTGTACTTTTATGTAATAAAATGCAGTACATTTAAAAATTGTTAGATTATGTGTGAACTTATTTTTTTTACCATGTTAAGACTACTGTGCATTGAATGAAGCATTATTATGCAACTAAATTTAGCCTATCCCACATTACTTAAGGGTGTAGGTAAAAGATGGTAGCAATATACTATTTGGTGCATAGTGGAATAACATCTCTAGTAATCACTTTGCCAGTGGCTTTAAACTGCAAATGAGTTGAAGAATACTGTTCTTATAGGTTAAATTTTTACTCTTTTTTCTTACTGAAATTTATTATTAGTATTTGTGTGTATACAGTATGTGTATATATTTATGCCTTATATGGCATATTTGTATTCAAGCATACAATACGTAGTAATTACACTAGGGTAAATAGAGCATCCATCATCTCTAGCATTTATTCTTTCTATTACAAACAGTGTAATTATACACTTTATTATTTATTGTAAAATGTACAATTAAATTCTTATGGACTACAGGGTTATTTTTATGGTTATAATAAAAATTATACAGAAATATAAATAGAATACAGCCAGGAGCAGGGGTTCATGCCTGTAATCCCAGAACATTAAGAGGCCAAGACAGGTGGATTGCCTAAGGTCAGGATTTCAAGACCAGGCTGGCCATCATGGTGAAAACCCATCTCTATTAAAAATATAAAAATATAAAAATTAGCAGCGCATGCCTGGAGGTTGAGGCAGGAGAATCGCTTGAACCCAGGAGATGGAGGTTGCAATGAGCTGAGATTGCACCACTGCACTCCAGCCTCAGTGACAGAAGAGACTCCATCTCAAAAAATAAATAAATAAAATAAACAGAAATAGAAATAAAATTCATACATTTCTGAGTCCTGAAAAATTATTAATAAATATTTGTTATATAGTTTTCTTTGAACATGTGGTCTCTCTGCATGCAATCATATAGACTTTTAATTTACATAGAGTTAAGTATACACATATTACTCTGAAGATAAACCTTAGATGTAAGAAAATTATAAAGTGAGTGTGTTTGTGTATGAGTTTGTACATATTTTTAGAAGAAAAGTGCAATTATTGGAACAAAACAAATTAATTAGGTGACTAATAGAAAACTAAACACCATGAAAATGCTGAAAGCAAATCTATACTTTCTGCTTTGTCTTGAATTTATTAATGTAAAATTTTATGACTTATGGTTCGGATTCTCCCCAGAATCTGCCTATTAAAGCACAGGCAACTTTCTCTCCAGAGATAACACTCTTGAGTACAACAATAAAAGCCCTCTTCAAACAGAAAACAATTATTTCTAACATTTATTTTAATGTAAATTTCACTAAAATTGACTAAGTGGATAGATTTTTATTGTTCTATGTGTGTGTGAATGTATAAAATAGTACATAAAGGAAAAATAAGCCAGAAAGAAGATGTTAGTTAATATTTGTGATGAATAAAACTGGAAAGGAGTTAATTATTATTTGCAGATGACAGCTTTGTTTATGTAGATAACAAAAACAGCAGAAAGAATATTTTAAAAGCTTATTCAGTTGGGTAGGCAACATTCTAAGATAATACCCTGGATTCCCAGTCTGTTGCACACCTGCTGTGTAATACTTTCCTCTTGAGTGTAAAAAGATGTGTGACTGTGGTGGGAAATTACTCATGAAATTAGGTTACTCATGTGTTGACTTTGTGTTATCAAAATGGAGATTATCCTGATTGTGCTAATCTTAATCATAGGTGCTTTTAAGGGAAAGAGACACATCACAGAAAATCACCCCTGCTGGCTTTAAAGTCAGTGACTTCTAGGTGGGCCATGTTGTAAGCTGCTTATGGTGGTCACATGGCAGGAAACATGTTTGTATATTGTCATCATTCCTGCCTCCTGGATGTTGCTTCCAGTAGGGAGAATAAGAGGATCCTATGGCAGAGGGGGAAGAAAAGGGAAATTCATTCATGCAAGAAATAATCACCTCTCATCTGGGATAGCTTAAGAGAAAGAGGAGACCACAACAGGACCAAATTAATGGGAGGAAAAAGGTAACCTGGGTAAAAGTGCTCTCTGGCATTATGGAACTACATTTAGTAAGCTGTAGTGAATGATCAGCCTCTGGGATACCAATAGTCTACCAACAAGGCTGAACTCATTCTAATTCAATCAGCATGTCTGCACCATTCTGGTGACCCAGGTTTACAGTATTCATTACAGAAATACCATGAAGACCAGTGGGTAATGTCCTAGAATTGAACTTATTTCAAAAAGCATTCCTAATTATTTGTTTTCACTTTTGAAAAACCTTAAAAACAATACATTTATAAATAATTAACTTCTAATTATAGAGGATTCTACTATACTGTAATATAATATTAAACTGTAAACACCTTAACATGAATATTGAATGCATGATTAGTTATGTAGATGGTTTGTTTTAGATTAACATGACAAAAGTAACAATTAGAGAAAACATTTGACATGGGATAAAATTAATCAAAACCACATCTTTTCAATGGCTTGGCATAATTTCCATGCTTTTGGAAATGGCCAGATAATTAGCAAGAAACAAAGACAAGATTTTGGCTTTGCTCAATGATGGTTTTTGACCTTTTGAAATCTAAAATCCTTGCTAAAGTATTCAAAGGGAGTATTTTATTGGTGGCTGCCCAGGGTTTCCAAGGCAATGAAGGAAGAATTTTGATAGGCAGGAAAATGCACACTATATACACACATTGCTCTTCTCTGATTTGCTTTAACACTGAAAAATTGAAGTTGTAAATGTAGTCTCAATTTAGAGTAAATTAACAAATGACTTGTTTTTCAAAAAAGCCAATGTATAAAATTAATGGGTAACAGAAGCCATTAGCTGCTAAAAACTAGTATGACTAAATTCAGTAAGTATCTAGCCATGCAAATAACAGTCCAATTAAATGAAGACCCTCATAGGTGCATATGGAAAGCATTGCTGTGCAGTGTGGTGCCTCCACTCAGCATTTTCTTCTGCCTCTTCACAGAGAAACCAGTTTCCCCTGAGTGACTCAGGGTGCATACTGGGAACTGAGAATGCTGTGTTCAGAGTGATTACTGAAAACATGGTTAACACACTTCTTCCATATGATAATAAAATGTTATAAATCTTACTCTGCCTCAGAAAAGCTTTTAGTAAATGATTATAGTACTCAATTTGGGTTTATGGAGAATTTCAATGTTCCAGATAATTCAGACACTTAAATGTCAATGAAATCCCATAAAACATATTTGAATAAGATAAAGTCTTCTTAGCTAACAAATTTGTATTACTAGTACATTTATAAAAAAATAGAAAACCAGTACTTTAAGCCAAATAACAGTATTTGACACGTTAGTAGCACCCAAACAAGTGCTCTTCACGATCATTGTTAAAGCAGCAATAGCACCACGTGCTTTCCTGGGACCTGCTGGCCTGTTTTCCACTGATATAAAGTGGAGAAGGCATTGAAATAGCAAAGGAGGGTGATATAAATTGAATACTTATATGAAATACAATTTTAAATAAAACATAGCACTTGATGTTGTACAACTATAGGCGAGACTATTAGTGTGAGGTCATATTTTTACTTATATTGACAAAATAATCATTCACAATATTCTTATTTAGAATAATATTCCTGTTCTGCTGTATATTTGCTAGCTTTTGATCAAATATTTGGGAGCTCAATAGAAATCAACAAAATGAATCTTTATTTTACCACAAGCATTATTGATGCATATGCTTGTTTTTATTAAAATCCATTAATGTTTTATGAAAGATTATACTTTTGCTGGGTGCGGTGGCTCACACTTGTAATCCCAGCACTTTGTGATGTAAAATCACACCCTTGTCTTTTTTGTCTTTGTGGCTGAAGTCGGGTATTTATGGTAATGCAAAAGAAGTCTAGGTCTCTTTTTAGAAGAAAGATGGTGATGATGGAAGCAAATATAATGGTGCATGGTACTTGGCCACATTTCAAATGGGTGATAATGAACATTCACCTAAGTGCCACAGGTGGCTTTTATTTACCACATCAAATCTTCTTTGTGAGGAAGGCTCAGCCCACTAATGTCAAGCATTTTTGGTGGTTCCTAGATAGATGAACAAAACCTCACTGGGCTGTTTTAATGAGACCAGAATTAAAAACACCCAGGTGCCAGGTTATTAAGAACATTTTTACACTTGTGGAAAAAAATGTGATGTGGCGTGTGGCTTGGTTTGAATAAATCTTCACTGAGGTAAGTAGCTGATTGAATTTACCTAACTGTAGGTTAAGAAATGAAAATAACCTCTGACCAAGTTTATTTTACAGGCTTATTTCTGTACATATAAAATAGATGGCTAGATAAACATATACACATAAAATGAGTCACATGGATATGTCTACGTAATGTTTATTTGTGCATAGATCTCACAAACAAAAAGGCTCAGAAATAAAGCAGATCAGATGACATCTCCGTATTCTACCCCTGAAGCCGAGGTAAATTAAATAAGCAAATTAGCAGAACCCAGGTGGTTGTAATCAGCCAATTTGCACAGCCCAGGTGATTCCAACCAGCAAATTAGCTCAGATGAGGTGGATCCAATCATCCAATTATCTAAATAGAGACTGTGGCTTTATCAAGGCAGGCCCCAAATGGTGGATGTGAACAGAACATGCACACACTGAGGAGACATGCAGGGCACTGAAATACTAACCTGGACAGATAAGTTACATGGTTTTATTTTCAGCTTATTTCTGTAGACTTGCCCTTGAAGTTAAAGCTTTGTTGATATTTACATAAACAACATTGTATGGCTACGTTCCATTCTGACATGTTACTTAGCAAAAGAAAAAAGAAGTAATTCTACATCAGCATGTTTAGTGCATGCCAGAAGATTAAAAATGTCTTTTGGGGAATGTATTTTGTATACATAAGTATTTACATATAAATATTTATATAATTATGTGTTTGTCTTCCTATGTATATTTATATCTAGATATGTCAATCTTCGTATTGATATGCATTGCTACAAATAGTAAGATAAAGAGTAACTTCCAGCCGGGTGCGGTGGCTCGTGCCTGTAATTCCAGCACACTGGGAGGCCAAGGTGGGTGGATCACCTCAGCTCACGAGTTCGAGACCAACCTGGCCAACATGGTGAAACCCTGTCTCTATTAAAAATACAAAAATTAGCCGGGCGGGGTGGTGAGTGCCTGTAATCTCAGCTACTTGGGAGGCTGAGGTCAGAGAATCATTTGAATCTTGGAGGCAGAGGTTGCATTGATCCACGATTGTGCCACTGCACTCCAGCCTGGCAGACAGAGCAAGACTCTGAAAAACAAAAACAAAACAAAAACAAAAGTAACTTCCATATATGTATAAGTTTATCTGCCCTATAAACAATATCACAAATATTACACAAATAAAAATATGCTCTAACATACATCGTGCCTCATTTAACATATATGAAAGCAGCAGCTTTTTTTTTGTTTGTTTCTTGCTTCTGGGAGATAAAAATGCACTAAGGTGATGGAAGTCATTCATTGCCATATCAATGTTTACCCTTCTCTTTCTGTTGCACACAGGGCAAAAGCTGAACCAGCCTCAGTCTAAAGTTTCTCACCAAAATTTGAGAATGTTTATTCTTTTTCATTAAGACTTTCATCAAGACAGGGGCTCTTGTTTATTTCCATGAGTGTGCAATGTGAAAGTACACTGTTGTCCTTTTGCCTTTGTGGCTAAAATAGGGACTTTATGGTAATGGACAGAAAGCCTAGGTTTCTTTTTTTTTTCTTTGTTTTTTTTTTTTTTTGAGATGGAGTTTTGCTTATGTTGCCCAGGCTGCAGTGCAATGGCGCGATTTCAGCTCACTGCAACCTCCGCCTCCCAGGTTCAAGTGATTCTCCTGCCTCAGCCTCCCAAGTAGCTGGGATTGCAGGCGTGCACCATCACACCCGGATACTTTTGTATTTTTAGTAGAGACGGGGTTTCACCATGGTGGTCAGGCTGATCTCTAACTCTCGAACTCAGGTGATCTGCCTGCTTCAGCCTCTCAAAGTGCTGGGATTACAGGCATGAGCCACCATGCCCCACCAAAAGCCTAGGTTTCTTATTAGTAGACTGTCATACTGAAAGCAAATATAATGGTACGTTACTTGGCTGCATTTCAAACAAGTGATAGTGACACTACACTGAAGCACCAAAGGTGGTTCTTATTGGTCAGGCCAGAGCTCCTTGTGAAAAAGGTTAGGGCCACTGGCATGTCTGAAGGTTCCTAGCTGGATGGACAGAACCCCATGGGCTATTTTGAATAGACACTGAATTTAAAACACCTTGGTGGCCAGTAATGAGGATATTTTCACATTTAGCAAAACGTGATTTGATGTGTGGCTTGGAGTTGATAAATCTTCACTGAGGTAATGGCTGATTGGATTTACCCGGCCTGAATGGAAAATAAAATAAAAATCACCTCTGACCTATTCTTCTTTGTGGTCTTTTTTATGCACACAGATATATATATATATAGATAGATATAAGATAGGTGGCTAGATAAACATATACACAGAAAATGGGTAACACAGGTATGTCAGTGTAATTTCCATTATTGCATATGTCCTGCAGAGAAGCCTGAGAATAAGTAGGTCAGACGCCATTTTTCTTCCCAACTTCTTCACACCACGTGAATTTAATGAGCCACTTAGATCAGCGTAGATGGATATAAGTCAATTAGCTAAATTGGGAAAGTGAAGGCATCCAGGCAGGACCCAAATGGCAAATATGAATCACATTGGCATACGGTGAGAAAGGAAGCAGGGCCCTGAAATGCTAAGCTGGAACTAGAGTCTTATATGGCTTTACCAAAAACATACTTCCCGGGTCATGCACCTAAAAGTGAAGGTTTGTTCATGTTTAAACATAACATTGTATGGCTGTGGTCCAATCTGAGATGGTATGGATCCGTATAGGTGAGAGTAAGTTTATATCTGCATCCTCAATGTAGGCTGGGGAACTTAAAATGTTTGTTAAGGCCGGGCGCGGTGGCTCACACCTGTAATCCCAGCACTTTGGGAGGCCGACGTGGGCGGATCACGAGGTCAGGAGATCGAGACCATCCTGGCTAACACAGTGAAACCCCGTCTGTACTAAAAATACAAAAAAATTAGCCGGGCGTAGTGGCGGGAGCCTGTAGTGCCAGCTACTCGGGAGGCTGAGGCAGGAGAATGGCGTGAACCTGGGAGGCGGAGCTTGCAGTGAGCCGAGATCACACCACTGCCCTCCAGGGTGGGCGACACAGGGAGACTCCATCTAAAAAAAAAAAAAGTTTGTTTATTAATATCTTTTGTACAAATAAATATCTACGTAGGCAAACCCACATAATTCTATATGTGTGTGTTTATCTGTCTACCCATGTATGTCTATATACAGATCTAGCTATCATTTTTTCCATATGAATACAGAGTAAAGATATAGGAGGTAAAAGGATAAATAGGTATTTGTACTTATAGCAATGTAAAGAAAAACTTCAATGACTGCAAAATCTTATTTGCCCCTTAAATTTTATCCATAAGAGTACACAAATGGAGGTATACTCTGACCTGCATCTTGCTGCATTTGATGTTTTCAAAGAAAGAATTGGTTTTTGTTGCTCACAATCTGTTAGCAAAAGTGCACTAAGGCCATCGAGTCATTTATTGCCAAGTCAAACATGGCCTTTTTAATTCTGGTGAATGGGAAAATATGGATAAACTAGCCTTAGCTTGAAAGCCTTAATCCAAATTTGCAAATGAGAAATAATTCTCTTTAAAGCTTCCCTCAATTTTAGAGCTTTTATTTTCAAATATGTGACATAGAAATAGAATCTTCTTCTCTTTCTTTCTTTCTTTTCTTTTTTTTTTGAGACAGAGTCTCACTCTGTCACCCAGGCTGGAGTGCAGTGGCACGATCTCAGCTCACTGTAACCTCCGCCTTCCAGGCTCAAGCAGTTCTTCTGCCTCAGCCTCCTGGGTAGCTGAGTTTAAAACCACATACGCCACCGCGCCTGGCTAATTCTTGTATTTTTAGCAGAGATGGGGTTTCACCATGTTGGTCAGGCTGGTCTCCAATTTCTGACCTTGTGATCTGCCCACTTCAGCCTCCCAAAGTGCTAGGATTACAGGCATGAGATACTGTTTCCGGCTTTTTTTTTTTTTTTTTTTTTTTTTTTTTTGCAGAGTTTCACTCTTGTTGCGGAGGCTGGAGTGCAATGGCAACATCTTGACTCACTAAAACCTCTACCTCCCAGGTTCAAGTGATTCTCGTGCCTCAGCCTCCCGAGTAGCTGGGATTACAGGCACCCAACAACACACCTGGCTAAATTTGTATTTTTAGTAGAGACGGGGTTTCTCCATGTGGGTCAGCCTGGTCTTCAACTCCTGACCTCAGGTGATCTGCCTGCCTCAGCCTCCCAAACTGCTGGGATTACAGATGTGAGCCACAGTGCCTGGCAGAAATAGAATCTTATCATATTGTTGTGTTTGCTCAAGTAGTAACATTTTGGGTAAGAAAATTAAACAAGAGGTCTCTGACTTTAAGATGGACTGCTATACTGAAAGCAAATTTCAGGGTGTTTTCAGATGCTTTTTTCTTTGGATTTAGATACAGATATAACATATGTAGCTAGAGAAATATATACAGCCAGGTGCAGTGGCTCATGCCTGTAATTCCAGCACTTTGGGAGGCCAAGGCAGGTCCTTCACTTGAAGCCAGGAGTTCAAGACCAGCCAAGCCAACATAGCGACACCCCATCTCTACTAAAAATACAAAAATTAGCTGGGCATGGTGAGACCAGCTGAGCCAACATGGCAAAATCCCGTCTCCACTAAAAATACAAAACTTAGTTGAGCATGGTAGTACACACCTGCAATCCCAGATACTAGGTAGGCTGAGGCATGAGAATTGCTTCAACATGGGAGGTGGAAGTTTCAGTGAACCATGATCACACCACTTCACTCCGGCTTGGGTGACAAAATGAGACTCTGTCTCAAAAAGAAAAAAAAAAAAAATACAAAGACCCAGGGTCATAGAAACATATAGAGACATACATATGTAACCTGAATTTGTGACTATGTTTTATAACATCTCACAAATGTAAAGTAAGTCAGAGGTTATGTCCGTACTCATGCTCCTCAAGATAGATGAATGCGATTCCATGAGGCAAATTTAATAAGCCAATGAGCTCAAGTCAGCTGTTTTCAATCAGCCAATTAGCTGAGCCCAGGCGATTCCTATTAGCCAATTAGCTCAGCGCAAGTGATTCCATTAGGCCAATTATGTCAGCTTAGGCAATTACAATCAGTAAATTTGCTCAGCCCAGGTGATTACATTTCGCCAATTGACTCAATCCAGGTGATTCCAATCAGTAATTCGCTCAGCCTAGGTGACTTTAAACAGCCAATTAGCTCAGCCTTAACAATTTCAATCAGTCAATGAGATCAGCCCAGGTGACTCTAATTGGCCAATTAACTCAGCCTCAGTGATCCTAATCAGAAAGCTCAGCTCATGTAATTTTATTTTACTTTTTTGACGGAGTCTCTCACTCTGTCGTCCAGGCTGGAATGCAATGGCATGATCTCGGCTCACTGCAACCTCCACCTCCCGGGTTCAAGGGATTCCCCTGCCTCAGCCTCCCAAGTAGCTGGGATTACAGGCATGTGCCACCACACCCAGCTAATTTTGTATTTTTAGTAGAGACAAGGTTTCTCCATGTTGTGCAGGCTGGTCTTGCACTCCCGAGCTCAGGTGATCCACCTGCCTCGGCCTCCCAAGGTGCTGGGATTACAGGCATGAGCCACCGCACCTGGCTAGCTCATGTGATTTTAATCGGGAAATTAGCTAGAGAAATTCTAGAGAATCCAATCAGCCAGTTAGTTAGAACTGTGATTCCAATGAGTCAATTAGTTCAGTTCAGAAGTATCTAATTAACCAATTAGCTCAGGTTAGTTGATTTCAATAAGACAAATAGTTCTGCACAGGTGGATCAAATCAGCCAATAATCTAAATAGTGACTGTAGATTCATTAGATCAGAATGGCAGATTTAAACAGCATTTTTCTACACTGAGAAGAAAAGCAGGGCCCAAAGACTCTAATCTGGTCATAAAGCATTACATTGCTGTATTGTCAGCTTGTTTCCAAGACCTTGCCTTTGACAGTGAAGCTTTGTTTATGTAAACATCATTGTATGTCTGTGTTCCATTATGGATTTCTATTGTGCCATAAAGTAGACTAGTAAGTCCACATCTGCATTCTTAGTATATACTAAGGTATTAAAAATGTCATTTGCTGAAATCTTGTATATTAATAAACATTTATGTAATTATAATTATATAATTCTGTACGTGTGTGTTTATCTACCTACATCCAGATGTATCCAGGTTTGTACCTATATTCACAAAAAATAAAGATGTAGAAGGTGAAAGTGTTGATCGTAATTGATATCAATAGTAATATACAAAGATAATTCCATAGAGGTATAAAATTTTCTGCCGTATGAAATATACCTAGAATGCTACTCAAATGGATGTATGCTATTACCTAAATCTATCATCATTTAACTTATACAAAGTAAGCATAGTTTTTTTTTTTTAATGGAGTCTTGCTCTGTCACCAGGCTGGAGTGCAGTGGTGCTATGATCTTGGTTCACTGCAATCTCCGCCTCCTGGGTTCCAGTGATTCAACTGCCTCAGCCTCCTGAGTAGCTGCGACTACAGGTGCCTGCCAACAGGTCTGGCTAATTTTTGTATTTTTACTTAGAGGCAAGGTTTCACCATGTTGGTCAATCTGGTCTCAAACTCCTGACCTCTGGTGATCAGCCCACTTCAGCCTTCCAAAGTACTGGGATTACAGGCGTGAGCCACCGCGCCTGGCCAGACACTTTCTTCTGTAGATTTGGAAACAGATATAAGACACATATGGCTGGGCATGGTGGCTCACACCTGTAATCCCAGCACTTTGGGAGGCCGAGGCAGGCAGATCATTTGAGATAGGGAATTCAAGACCAGCCTGGCCAACATGGAGAAACCTTGTCTCTACTAAAAGTACAAAAAAATTAGGTGGGCATTGTGGCACATGCCTGTAATCCTGGTTACTCAGGAGGCTGAGGCAGGAGAATCACTTGAACCCAGGAGGCAGAGGTTGCAGTGAGCTGAGATCATGCCATTGCACTCCAGCCTGGGCAGCAAGAATGAAACTCTATTTTAAAAAAAAAAAAGACATGTATATAGGAAAACATAAACAAACACAAAGGCTTATATACATATGTCTAATTAATGCCTATTTGTGAGTATGTCTTGACAAAAAGCCCCAAAAGAAAAGTATGTAAAAGGTTATTACCTTACTCATTCTCCTCAAGACACAATCAATGAACTCAGCCCATGTGACCCTAGTCAGCCAGTTAGCTCAGCCCAGGTGATTACAATCAGCCAATTAAACGAGCCCATGTGATACCAATTAGTCAATTATATCATAAAGGTTAATACAATTAGCCAATTAGATTAGCCCAAGGTGATTCCAATCAGCCAATTAAATGAGCCCAGGTGATACCAATTAGCCAATTATATCAGTATTGGTGTGTTGGTGTGATCAGACCCAACACCGGGTTGTGGGGGTGACAAAGTCCAGTGGAGTCAAAGGATTGAGAAAAAGTTTGAGAGAGAAAAGTGGGACCAGGGGGCCATTGCTAGTGTATGGAGGCTGCGAAGGCCCCGAGCTCTGGGATGCCATGCTATTTATTGGTAATCCAACAAAGAAACAGATGGTGAGAATGTGGGGTCGAAAGGGCAAGTGCATGATCTACAGCTGTGATGGTTTAGCATATGCTCTGCTACTTGAGATAATGGAGAGCAGGTTCTTTTAACTCAAGATACAGTCAATCCTGGAAGAGCAAGGAGCAAGGAGCCAGCAAGTCTAGACACATTCCAGGGCCACGAGCCCTGGATTCTATTCAAGCCATGAGGGATTTTATGCCCTGGGCTTAGATTATGGTGCTTCAGTGTAGCCTTCCACCCTTTAGCACAGAGCTTGGTGTTCCAAAGGCCACAGAAGTTTTTATACCCTGGACCCCAGACATGTTCCAAGACTCTTTTACATTATGTCAGACATGCAAGCCCTGCCTCAGCTTCTCTCCCAACACTCAGCTTTTCTCCCAACATGCCCCCCTTTTCTTTTTCATAAAACCGCCACAGCTATCATTGCTTGTTCTTGAAGTCAGCTTTCTCTCAGAGGTGGCTTCATCTTCAGAGGCAGCTTTCGCATCTGCAGACTAAAAGAAGACAGCACAAGCACACAACCACCAGAACAAAATCCACAAATGTAGAGCCTCCAATGGCCTTCAACTATAAATCTTTTAGAATGGGATAATAGTTTTTTAAGGGTCTCAGTTACAATATAAATAGATGGTGATGTCTCCATGGTCTATTTAGAGGTACAGGGATCCAAACTCCTTCTCTGGCTTTAATTATCAAGATAGTTTGATTTTTATCAAAGGTTGAATTAATGTAGGTAAACAAGTGACATTCGGGGCAAGTAATAAGGCATATATTTATATCAAGAGTAACATTTCCTATTGCTAGCACAACTTTGAATCCAAAAGGTCCTGTTGGAGAGAAAAGAAAGAGCATTTTTATCCTTACCTTCCTCCCCTCTATTCCTTGTATATTTGCCCTCTCAGATTTTGCTTGGACTTTGAGCCATAGCTAATTTCCATAATTCAGAATGTTCCTGTCTGTCCCTGCAAATCTCTGCTAGTCTTTGCTAGCCTCAACTTTTGTACCTCTTTAGGGCACTGACCTTATATTGCTAGTCTTTGCTTTTGTACCTCTTTAGGGCACTGATCTTATATTGCTAGTCTTCATCTATCTCTATTTATCTCTATCTCTCTATTTATCTCTGTTTATCTCTATCTCTCTATTTATCTCTATCTCTCTATCTCTATCTCTACTTATCTCTAGCTCTACTTACTTAGCTCTACTTACTTAGCTCTTATTCAAAATGGAGTTGCTCTGGTTTGAATTCTTCCCACATATCTCCCTTTTCCCTTTTACAAGAGGACCCTTAATCCTAGGGGTTGCAGAAGGATGAAGGTCCATCTTCTGTAACTTCTTCATGCTGAATAGGAGTGACGATAATCCTGCCTAACTATTAGGGACTCTTGTATTCAGGGTAGAGAGGAGCTCAGTCAGAAAGCATTGGTCCGTTAAGCATCCATAGGTAAAACCCTGGCATTCCAGTAGTTTCTCAGCTTCCTGTGCTGTTTTCTTGCTCTGTCCCATGTTATAGGGGTTGCATCCACATGGTTTCATTCATCTCCTGCAAAAACACAAGCGTACCCTCGATCCCACATTAGTAAACCTAGCGAAACAGAAGCAAAAAGTTTTGTGGTTGTAACTGGGAGGCATGCCATTGCTGAAGCATTTGTTAACTCAGCTTCTGCCTCTTTGGTTAATTACAGTGAGGTAAAACTTTCCACTGATAATGAGAAACAGGCCCCTTCTAACAGAAGGCACAGAGAAAGCAAATCAAGGCTTCTCAAACCTTCAATTTGCACTGTACCGGTGGGCCCACTAGATGCTGTGGCTCATGATAGATCTTCAGATATTTGGTGGGTACCCCATTGTTGCAATAAGTCTCTACCCCATAAATTGACTGGAAGAGGTGTAATAATATGCTGAATTGTCCCTTCCTGACCAGGTGTCCCTTGACATGGTAAAATCAAGGAACTCTGAAAAACTTCCTAGGCTGTTCCTATGCCAATGATACCCATGGAAGCCTTTAGTTTGGGCCAGTGCTGGGGCCATTGATATAAAGCAATAATAGAGACACCAGCTCCAGTATCCACTAGTCCTTCAAAATCCTTTCCCTGAATAGTTACTGTGCAAATAGGTCTTTTGTCAAACACTTGAATAACCCAATATACAGCCTTTCTTGCTGAATTAGTACTACCAAAGCCTCCTGTTCTTTTCACTGTGCTGCTTCCTGGTTTTATGTAAGGTAAGAGCCACAACTGAGCAATTCTTTCTCCTGGGGAAGCAGACCACGGAGTTGAGGAACTAATAACTAATTGAATTTCTCCACTATAATCACAATCAATTATTCCTGTATGCACAGCGACACCTTTCAAATTTAGACTAGACCTTCCAAGTAATAGATGAACTGTTCCTGAGGGTAAGGGTCCCCTAACTCCCATAGGGACCTTCTTTGGTTGCTCCCCTGGAAGTAAGGAGACTGGAATTGTGCTGCAGAGGTCTACGGCAGCACTGCCTGCTGTGCAAGGAAACAATTGTTGTACATTTGTAAGGGCACTGGCTGTGTCATATATGCCTCAGTTTGTTGAGGTGCTCTCTGAATAAACAAGCCTCAGATTCCACTGGGTCTTACCGCATGCCTCACCCTCTTCATAATAAATTCCTTAAGAAATTCAAGTAAGCAGAATGTTTGCTTTCACTTTGTGCCATTGTTATCCTGGTTCTTCCGAGCATTCCGCTTTCCTACCGAGCTTCTTTTAGTTGTCCTTGGGTGTCCTTTGAGGATGCGTCATCCACTTTCACACACTGTAGGGTTTCTTCACCGGGGTCTCTGTTGCCCCACATTGGGCAGCCAGGAATGTTGGGGTAATCAGACCCAACACCAGGTCGTGGGGGTGACAAGGTCCAGTGGAGTCAAAGGATTGAGAAAAAGACAGTTTGAGAGAGAAAGATGGGACCAGGGGCCATCGCTAGTGTATGGAAGCTGTGAAGGCCCAGAGCTCTGGGAGCCCACACTATTTATTGGTGATCAAACAAAGAAACAGGTGGTGAGAATGTGGGGTTCGAAAGGGCAAGTGCATGATCTACAGCTGTGATGGTTTAGCATATGCTCTGCTACTTGAGATAATGGAAAGGAGATTCTTTTAACTCAAGATACAATCAATCTTGGGAGAGCAAGGAGCCAGGAGCCAGCATGTCTAGACACATTCCAGAGCCATTAGCCCTCTGGATTCTATCCAAGCCACGAGGGATTTTATGCCCTGGGCTTAGATTATGGTGTGTCAGGGTAGCCTTCCATCCTTTAGCACAGAGCTTGGTGTTCCAAAGACCACAAGGGGTTTTAGACCCTGGACCATGGACATGTTCCAAGACTTTTTACATTATGTCAGACATGCAAGCCCTGCCTCAGCTTCTCTCCCAACACCCAGCTTTTCTCCCAAGAATGGTGAATCTAATTAGCCAATTAGATTAACACAAGGTAATTCCATTCAGCCAATTTTCTTAGTCTAGTTAGATCCAATGAGCCAATTATCTAAATAGTGACTACAGGTTTATCAAAACAGGCCCAAACTAGTGGATGTGAAAAGCACATACAAACATTGAGAAGGAATGCAGGGTCCTGAAGTGCAAACCTGAACTGCATGAGTAACCTGACTTAGTGTCAGCTTATTTCTGAGGCCTATGCTACTGAAGATTAAGGATTTTTTATGTTTATAATATTGTATGTCTATGTTCAATTCTGAAATGCTACTGAGCAAAAGAGATTGAAAGTAATTATATATCTGTAATTATATATCAATTCTGAAATGCTACTGAGCAAAAGAGATTGAAAGTAATTATATATATGTATATAAGTTCTAGATCCATGAGGATCTAGAACTAGAAATATGATTTGACCCAGCCATCCCATTACTGGGTATATACCAAAAGGATTATAAATCATGCTACTATAAAGACACATGCACATGTATGTTTATTGTGGCACTATTCAAAATAGCAAATACTTAGAACCGTCCCAAATGTCCATCAATAATAGGCTGGATAAAGAAGATGTGGTACATATACGCCATGGAATACTGTGCAGCCATAAAAAAGCATGAGTTCATGTCCTTTGCAGGGATATGGATGAAGCTGGAAACCATCATTCTCAGCAAACTATCACAAGGATTGAAAACCAAACACCATATGTTCTCACTCATAAGGGGAGTTAATCAATGAGAACACATGGAACAGGGAGGGAAACATCACTCACTGGTGCCTGTTGGGAGGTGGGGGGTTGGGGGAGGGATAGCATTAGGAGAAATACATAATGTAAATGATGAATTGATGAGTGCAGCAAACCAACCTGGCACATGTATGCCTATGTAACAAACCTGCACATTGGGCACATGTACCCTAGAACTTAAAGTATAATAATAAAAAAAGATTTTAAAAATCATATTCTTAAAGAGTGTAAGCTAAAAGGCAGCTAGTTGATTCTACAAAGGTCAGAAAATTGACTTGTGTGTAAGAAGCCTCACTGATACAAGCTATGAGATTTGGGATCACTGCTTGAATTCATGGAGTCTATCAAAATATCATTATTCCTTTCCACTTTGTAGAATCATGAGTCCTAAGGGTAAATAATATACAGAAATAAAGTAAAATCAGAAGCTTCAAACACTTAACATCTTCAAACTAATAGTACCTATAGTGTCAACCAGAGAATATAAGGGCAACCAGCAGGTGGTGGAAATATCAGCAAACAAAAGAAGGTTGGTGTAAACCAGCTGGCCAGAGTTCTGTGGAAAGAGAATAGTTGCCAAGAGCAAGAGAAATTAAGTCTATCATTTTTCCTACCTGGAAACCACCAAATAGAAATGCCTGTTATACTGGAAGTAACTTGTAAAACAGAAGGTTGTTGAAGAGGTGGGGATGTCATTAAAACATTTTAAAAGCCCATAAAAATCTTAGGAAAATTTCTTACTCTTCAAGAAAGCTTTAAGAGTACATCCAGCATGGGCCACATGTATCTAAGATTACTCAGATCCAGCTGGTTTCTCTTTGACACTTTATGGCAAACTAAAATCTATCTTCCAAAAAAACAGTGAAGCATTGACCTTAGATATTTAATTGTCTATTGAGATGACAACTCAATGACCTTGTCTAGTTTGGAAAATACAAAGAAATAGCCATTTAGGTAACCGTATATGAGCCAGAATTTGGTGGAATCTAATCTTATATATGGCCCTAACTCTGACCATTAATGAGATGTTGGGTTCCATTAGTTCATTTTATTTAAAAATTGGAAAACATATTAATTCTTGCAATAGTCTCATCCCTATGCAAGCAGGTGTCTCTTTGCTTATGAAGATAATTAGACCATAGGTTTGATGGCACTTTGACTTTAAAAAAAAGACTTACTAGGTTGTTTTTTTTTTTTTTCCAAAAAAAGGAGAGACAGTCCTGATTAGGTCTCTGTTGCCAAATCCTAAAGATTCTAGGCCCTATAAAGTGAGACATTAAAAGGATTATGCATCATAATAAGGCCATTCTGGGTAAAGTCATTTCTATTCATCTCCATTACTTTGAGAGTAATCTGTCAAAGACAAATTAACTGCCAGAGGAAACTTATGAAAAAATATTTGTTCTCAAAAGCTGTAACGTATTTATTTTACCTTCAGTCTCCACTTGCCAAAACCATAAATTGCAGAATATCTCCATTAAAGCTCATGCCAAATTCCAAGTCTCTCCTCTGGCTGTCATTTGCGAGATGGCTCCTCTTCAGGTTCCTGTTAGCTATGTGCAAAGACAGCCTAGGCAATGACAAATCAAGAGATAAATAATTTCTGAGATTTCCTGAGTTGATTCTTTCGATCCCAGCACTGCTTTTCATTAGAATTTCTAAGTCCCTCTTCCTATAACAGAACTACCAGCCCCAATGTGCTTGGGAGCAACTTATTTGCTCTGGAAATTAGCACAATATGAAGACTCAAGGCTGAGACCTACAAAACTTGGGTTCAAGTTAAGTTGTTTTTTGTTTGTTTTGTTTGTTTTTATCAAATGGGAGTATGACTTTGAGTTTATCACCTCACATCCTACTTGGAGGATCCAAAGCATTTTTCTTTGAGCGTACTCTTGAGATATCATAAATACAATCCCATTGTTAGGAGAGGTCCCAGAGCCCAATTCCAACCCACTTGTCCTTGAACCTTCTCTAAAACAACCTGAAAAAGAATGGTCTTGGAGCTTATGCCTGAAAGCTTCCATGCCAGAGAACTCACCCCCACCCACTGCCACCACCAGAAAACCAGTCCAGCTGCCCTGTTTGTTTGGTTTGATTCAGTTGTGAAGCAGCTTTGTAGAGAGTGAAGAGCAAGATACTAGAAGGTACACAAACTTCAGTGTTATGGAAAATTGATTGTATTTCTATCCTATGACTAATTATTTGTCCTCACTTTTGTTTACAAAATAGAAGGCTATTATAACCTTGTGTCTTACAAGTTTGGTGATAATTACAAACAGGCTAAGCATTCAGTAAAACATCATTTTTCTCCTATTTGCTCTAACTGAAGACAGGATTACTTTGAATGACCAGAACAGTCGTATGCTTGCAATAGCTAATTTACAATAACTCTAGAGTTCTTGAAGTTTGCCCTAGGGCATTAAAGATGCCAACTATGGCCTATGAGAAATATCAAAGCATGAGACAAGGCCATTCAATAAGAAGAGGTCAGAAATTTCTCAACTGCTGCAAAATTTTTTAGCAATAAACTCATTTCTGGTAAGTCTTTTACATCACCCACTCCTACCTTTACATACAAATGTGAATTATTACCTAATTTTTGTATCAGTGAAAGAATTTGAGGATAGCCTGAAATGATATTGTGGGTTTTGGAGCTTACAAATCTTGGAGAAAACTTATCTCAGAGTCAAACATGGCCTGGTGATTACCTAATTCCCAGGTAGGCCTGTAAAGTCTCTCTGCGATCCTGCTGGCAAATGCTCCCTGTCTTCATTACACAAGACCAGCCACGGAAACAAATGGGTATCAGTTATTTTAACTCCAACTCTTAGAAAGTGCTTGTATTTAAGTTTTTGATCAAATGTATCTATTCATATGTTTTGGAAAATTAAATCGAATAGAGAGATTAAAATGAAAAATAAACTTCCTGCCCCATGCCTAACAGTCTCTAACCTCTTTTCGTACAGGCTAACTGTGTTTGGCCTTTTCTGCATTGCTACAGAGAAATATCTGAGGCTGGATAATTTATAAAGAAAAGAGGTTTAATTGACTCCTGGTTCTGCAGCCTGCACAAGAAATGTGGTGCCAGCATCTGCTCAGCTTCTGGTGAGGCCTCAGGGAGCTTTACTCGGCAGAAGGTGAAACACCTCCCACCAGGCCTCACCGCCAACACTGGGGATTACATTTCAACATGAGATTTGGAAGGGACAAATATCCAAACTATATCAGTAACACTATTTAACTCTTAAAACTATTTCTAGGCTGGGCATGGTGGCTCGTTCCTGTAATCCCGGCACTTTGGAAGGCAGGTCACTTGAGGTCAGGAGTTTGAGACCAGCCTGGTCAACATGGTGAAACCCCACCTCTACAAAAAATTTGAAAATTAGCTGGGTGTGATGGTGCATGCCTGTAATTGCAGCTACTCAGGAGGCTGAGGTGAGAGAAAGGCTTGAGCCTGGGGGGCAGAAGTTGTAGTAAGCCAAGATTATGCCAAGGCACTCCAGCCTGGGGGATAGAGCAAGATTCTGTCCCCACTCCCACACACAAAAAAAAGATTTCTAAACTTATATTTCTGATTATCATCCACCTTTAATCTGTTATTGCACTATATTCCTTGATTAATTTGAAATAGCATTTACTGACGCGCTATTCTGACAAAAGATTTAACTTCCTTATATCATCCCAAGCCTTCCCTTAATACTCCTGCCAGTATGATTCTTTGCCTACTTTTTTTGTTTTTCTATTAATTACTTTTGTAACTTTAAATAAATGTTCACCATTATATTTCTTTTTACAGCAACTATAGGAAATACCTCTTCTCTAGTTGAGATAAAGTTTATTCTCTAATTTACTAATGTTTCAAAGATCACCTGACCTTATTTGCAGAGATAATATTTTTTAAATCTCAACCTTGCAAACTGTCAGGGTTGATAATATTTGCATTCCTTTCCAAGATGATACCTGTCTTCTGTCCTTTATCTATGGTTTATTATGAAAGCAGGAAGTGAATCATGTTTTGTTTGTTATTCCTCTTCCAAGTACTATTTGCTGCAGAACCAAGCCCTTGTTTAGGATTAATTTTGTGGGTTTTGTATAGCTATTTGGATTTTTCTGGAGTTTCTAATTCTCTTCTTACTTCTTCATATTGTCTTTAATATGTTTTTAAGTAGTTCTATCTTCCTAGGGATCATATGAAATCTATGAAACACCATTTTTTACAAAATGTCTCCTTGTTGGAGCCTCTGTTTTCTTCCTTCTGTCTGGAGTGCTGCTTCCAGGCCTGCTCCAAAGCTGCATCCTGGCACTCCTCCTTCTCTCGGTCACCCTGGATCCACCTTTCTTTGGATCCCATGTCTTCCACATTCTTAGCCTCCTCATTTTGCTTAAGAAAATCATCCAGTAACATCCTAAGAAAGTTTGAGGAGAAACTTCTTAGTTTCTGTAAATATTTTTTTATTCTCTATTCATCCAGATTGAGTGTTTGGCTTGGTATTTTTCTCTTTTTTTGGTTTTGCAATGCATTTTTCTCTTTTTTATAATACTTTAAGTTCTAGGGTACTTAAGTTCTAGGTTTGTTACATAGGTATACATGGGCCATGTTGGTTTGCTGCACCCATCAACTCGTCATTTACATTAGGTATTTCTCCTAATGCTATCCCTCCCCCAGCCCCCAACCCCCTGACAGGCTCCAGTGTTTGATGTTCCCCACCCTGTGTCCATGTGTTCTCATAGTTCAACTCCCACCTATGAGTGAGAACATGCGGTGTGTGGTTTTCTGTCCTTGTGATTGTTTGCTTAGAGTGATGGTTTACAGCTTTATCCATGTCACTGCAAAGGACATGAACTCATTCTTTTTTATGGCTGCGTAGTATTCCATGGTGTGTATGTGCCACATTTTCTTTATCCAGTCTATTATTGATGGACATTTGGGTTGGTTCCAAGTCTTTGGTATATTGCATAGTGCCAAAATAAACATGCGTGTGCTGTGTCTTTATAGTAGCATGATTTATAATCCTTTGGGTATATACCCAGTAATGGGATTGCTGAGTTAAATGGTGTGGCTAGTCTTAAATCCTTGAGGAATCACTACACTGTCTTCCAGAGTGGTTGAACTAATTTACACTCCCACCTACAGTGTAAAAGCATTCTTATTTCTCCCCATCCTCTCCAATATCTGTTGTTTCTTGACTTTTTAATTATCACCATTCTAACTGGCATGAGATGGTATCTCATTGTGGTTTTGATTTGCATTTCTGTAATGACCAGTGATGATGAGCATTTTTTCATATATCTGTTGGCTGCGTAAATGTCTTCTTTTGAGAAGCATCTGTTCATATCCTTTGCCCACTTTTTGATGAGGTTGTTTGTTTTTTTCTTGTAAATTTGTTTAAGTTCTTTGTAGATTCGGGATATTAGCCGTTTGTCAGATGGGTAGATTGCAAAATTTTTCTCCCATTCTGTAGGTTGCCTGTTCACTCTGATGATAGTTTCTTTCACTGTGCAGAAGCTCTTTAGTTTACTTAGATCCCATTTGTCTATTATTGCTTTTGTTGCCATTGCTTTTGGTGTTTTATTTACGAAGCCTTTGCCCATGCCTATGTCCTGAATGGTATTGCCTAGGTTTTCTTCTAGAGTTTTTACAGTGTTAGCTCTTACATTTAAGTCTTTATTCCATCTTCAGTTAATTTTTGTGTAAGGTGTAAGGAAGGGATCCAGTTTCAGCTTTCTACATATGGCTAGCCAGTTTTCCCAGCACCATTTATTAAATAGGGAATCCTTTCCCCATTGCTTGTTTTTGTCAGGTTCATAAAGATCAGGTGGTTGTAGATGTGTGGTGCTATTTCTGAGGTCTCTGTTCTGTTCCATTGGTCTATATTTCTGTTTTAGTACCAGTACCATGTCATCTTGATTACTGTAGCTTTATAGTATAGTTTGAAGTCAGGTAGTGTGATGTCTCCAGCTTTGTTCTTTTTGCTTAGGATTGTCTTGGCTATGCGAGCTCTTTTTTGGTTCCATATGAAATTTAATGTAGTTTTTCCAATTCTGTGAAGAAAGTCATTGGTAGCTTGATGGGGATAGCATTGAATCTATAAATTACCTTAGGCAGTATGGCCATTTTCACGATATTGATTCTTCCTATCCATGAGCATGGAATGATCTTCCATTTGTTTGTGTCCTCTGTTATTTCATTGAGCAGCAGTTTGTAGTTCTCCTTGAAGAGGTTCTTCACATCCTTTGAAAGCTGGAGTCCTAGGTATTTTATTCTCTTTGTAGTAATTGTGAATGGGAGTTCACTCATGATTTGGCTCTCTGTTTGTCTGTTTTTGGTGTATAGGAATGCTTGTGATTTTTGCACATTGATTTTGTATCCTGAGACTGCTGAAGTTGCATATCAGCTTCAGCAGGTTTTAGCCTGAGATGATGGGGTTTTCTAAATATACAGTGTCATCTGCAAACAGAGACAATTTGACCTCCTCTTTTCCTAATTGAATACCTTTTATTTCTTTCTCTTGCCAATTGCCCTGGCCAGGACTTCCAATACTATGTTGAATAGGAGTGGAGAGCGAAATAATCATTGTCTTTTGCCTGTTTTCAAAGGGAATGCTTCCAGTTTTTGCCCATTCAGTATGATATGACAAACTGTAGGTTTGTCATAAATAGTTCTTATTATTTTGAGATATGTTCCATCAATACCTAGTTTATTGAGAGTTTTTAGCTTGAAGCATTGTTGAATATTTTTGAAGGACTTTTCTGCATCTACTGAGATAATCATGTGGTTTTTTTTCATTGGTTCTGTTAATGTGATGGATTACCTTTATTGATTTACATATGTTGAACCAGCCTTGCATCCCAGAGATGAAGCCAACTTGATTGTGGTGGATAAGCTTTTTGATGTGCTGCTGGATTAGGTTTGCCAGTATTTTACTGAGGATTTTCACATCGATGTTCATCAGGGATATTGACCTAAAATTCTCTTTTTTTGTTGTGTCTCTGTCAGGCTTTTGTATCAGGATGATGCTCACATCATAAAATGAGTTAGGGAAGATTCCCTCTTCTTCTATTGATGGAAATAGTTTCAGAAGAAATGGTACCAGCTCCTCTTTGTGCTTCTGGAAGAATTCAGCTGTGAATCTGTCTGGTCCTGGACTTTTTTGGTGGGTAGGCTATTAATTATTGCCTCAATTTCAGAACCTGTTATTGGTCTATTCAGAGATCCAACTCTTTCCTAGTTTAGACTTGGGAGAATGTAAATGTCCAGGAATTTATCCATTTCTTCTAAATTTTGTAGTTTATTTGTGTAGAGGTGTTTATAGCATTCTCTGATGACAGTTTGAATTTCTATGGGATCAGTGGTGATATCCCTTTTATCATTTTTTATTTCATCTATTTGGTTCTTCTCTCTTTTCTTCTTTATTAGTCTAGCTAGTGGTCTTATTTTGCTGATCATTTCAAAAAACCACCTCCAGGATTCATCGATTTTTTAAAGGTTTTTTTTTTGTCTCTATCTCCTTCATTTCTGCTCTGATCTTAGTTATTTCTTGTCTTCTGCTAGCTTTTGAATTTGTTTGCTCTTGCTTCTCTATTCTTTTAATTGTGATGTTAGGGTATCGATTTTAGATCTTTCCTGCTTTGTTTTGTGGGCATTTAATGCCATAAATTTCTCTCTACACACTGCTTTAAATGTGTCCCAGAGATTCTGATACATTGTGTCTTTGTTCTCACTGATTTCAAAGAACACTTTATTTCTGCCTTCATTTAGTTATTTACCCAGTAGTCATTCAGGAGCAAGTTGTTCAGTTTCCATGTAGTTGTGTGGTTTTGAGTGAATTTCTTAATCCTGAGTTCTAATTTGATTGCACTGTGGTCTGAGAGACAGTTTGTTGTGATTTCTGTTCTTTTACATTTGCTGAGGAGTGTTTTACTTCCAATTACGTGGTCAATTTTAGAATAAATGCAATGCGGTGCTGAGAAGAATGTATATTCTCTTGATTTGGGGTGGAGAGTTCTGTAGATGTCTATGAGGTCTGCTTGGCCCAGAGCTGAGTTCAAGTCCTGGATATCCTTGTTAATTTTCTGTCTCATTGACCTGTCTAATATTGACAGTGGGATGATAAAGTCTCCCATTATTATTGTGTGGGAGTCTAAGTCTCTTTGTAGGTCTCTAAGGACTTGTTTTATGAATCTGGGTGCTCCTGTATTGGGTGCATATATATTTAGGATAGTTAGCTCTTCTTGTTGAATTGATCTCTTTACCATTATGTAATGGCCTTCTTTGTCTCTTTTGATCTTTGTTGGTTCAAAGTCTGTTTTATCAGAGACCAGGATTGCAACCCCTGCTTTTTTTTTTTGCTTTCCATTTGCTTGGTAGATCTTCCTCCATCCCTTTATTTTGAGCCTATGTGTGTCTTTGCACATGAGATGCATCTCCTGAATACAGCACACCAATGGGTCTTTACTCTTTATCCAATTTGCCAGTCTGTGTCTTTTAATTGGGGCATTTGACCCCAATATATTTAACTTTCTTCATGAAAAGCAAATTTTTGCTTTTTTTACACACTCTTTATGCAGAATTGTTTTTCTTAGATCTAGTAGTTTTTATTATATATATTAATTACATTAACTCTTAAAAACCTAATTTTTAGTGAAATCCCTAGGAAGTAATTTTGGAGTGTTTGGCATCAGTATTTGTAGACAAAAACCATTTTATATTTTTAATAGAAGTTTTTTTCCAAATTCTCTGTTAATTAGCAGATCTAAATATGATTAGCTTTTCTATATCATATAAAAATAAGATTCTGGTCAGGCATGGTGGCTCATGCTTGTAATCCCAGCATTTTGAAAGGCCAAGACACAAAGATTGCTTAAGCCCAGGAATTCGAGGCAAGCCTGGGCAACATGGAAAAACCCCATGTCTACAAAAAATACAAAAATTAGCTCAGCATGGTTACCTACACCGGTAGTACCAGCTACCCAGGAGGCTGAGGTAGGAGAATTGCCTGAGCCCAGGAGATTGAGAGTGCAGTGAGCCATGATAAAGGCACTTCACTCCATCCTCAATGACAGAGACTCTTTTTTAAAAAATTAAATGCCAAAGCAGATAAAGTAGAACTTATTGGACTTTGGGGGCTGGGGCTTGTTTTTATTATTATCTCAACAGCTTTGTGGCTACAGGTGGTGTTTGATTACATAAAAGTTTTTCAGTGGTGATTTCTGAGATTTTAGTGCACCCATATCCCAAGCAGTGTACACTGTACCAAATGTGTAGTCTTTTATCCCTTTCTCCCATCTCTTTCTTTTCCCCAAGCCTCTGGAGTTCATTGTATAATTCTTATTCTTTCCTTTTTTTTTTGAGACAGTGTTTCGCTCTTGTTGCCCAGGCTGGAGTGCAATGGTACAATCTCAGCTCACTGCAACCTCTGCCTCCTGGGTTCAAGTGATTCTCTTGCCTCAGCCTCCCATGTAGCTGGGATTACAGGCATGCGCCACCACACCCAGCTAATTTTGTATTTTTAGTAGAGACAAGGTTTCTCCATTTTGGTCAGGCTGGTCTTGAACTCCTGACCTCAGGTGTTCCACCCACCTCGGCCTCCCAAAGTGCTGGGATTACAGTTGTGAGCCCCAGCACTTGGCTAGCTCATGTGCTTTTAATCAGGAAATTAGCTATGTTCTAGAGAATCCAAGCAGCCAGTTAGTTGAAACTGTGACTCCAATCATTCAATTAGCTCAGTTCAGAAGTATCTAATTAACCAATTAGCTCAGGTTAGTTGATTCCAATAAGGCAAATAGTTCTGTACAGGTGGATCAAATCAGACAACAATCTAAATAGTGACTATAGATTCATTAAGTCAAAATGGTGGAAGTAAATAGCACTTTTCTACACTGAGAAAAAAAGCAGAGCCCAGACATGCTAATCTGGTCATAAAGGATTACATTGCTGTATTATCAGCTTATTTCCAAGACCTTGCCTTTGAATGTGTATCTTTGTTTATGTATCTGTAAACATCATTGTATGGTTATGTTCCATTTTGGATTTCTATTGTGCCATAAAGTATACTAGTAAGTCCACATCTGAATTCTTAGTATATACTAAGGTATTAAAAATGTCATTTGCTGAGCATCTTCTATATTAATAGACATTTACATAAGTGTACTTATATAACTCTGTATGTGTGTATTTATCTGTCTAACTATATGCAGATGTATCCAGGTTTGTATCTATATTCACAAAAAATAATGATGTAGAAGGTGAAACTGTTGATTGTTGATATCATTAGTAATATACAAAGATAATTCCATAGAGGTATAAAATTTTCTGCTCTATGAAATATACCTAGAATACTCCTCAAATGGATGTATGCTCTTACCTAAATCCATTGGCATTTAACTTATACAAAGTAACCATTGGTTTTTTGTTTTGTTTTGTCTTTGTTTTTTTGAGTCAGACTCTCACTCTGTCACCAGGCTGGAGTGCAGTGGTGCAATTATCTCGGCTCACTGCAACCTCCACCTCCCAGGTTCAAGCAATTCTCCTGCCTCAGCCTCCCAGGTAGCTGGGACTACAGGTGCCTGCCACTGTGCCTGGCTAATTTTTGTATTTTTAGTAGAGATGGGGTTTCACCATGTGGGTCAGGGTGGTCTCAAACTCCTGACCTGAAGTGATCAACCCACATCGGCCTTCCAAAGTGCTGGGATTACAGGCATGAGCCACCGCATCCAGCCGGACACTTTCTTCTGTAGATTTAGAAACAGATATAAGACATGTATATAGGAAAACAGATACAAACACAAAAGCTTATATCATATGTCTAATTAATGTCTATTTGTGAGTATGTCTTGAAAAAAAGCCCCCCAAAAGAAAAATATGTAAGAGGTCATTACCTTACTCATTCTCCTCAAGACGCAGTCAATGAACTCAGCCCATGTGATTCTACTCAGCCAGTTAGCTCAGCCCAGGTGATTCCAATCAGCCAATTAAAGGAGCCCAAGTGATACCAATTAGTCAATTATATCAGTACAGGTGAATCCAATTAGCCAATTAGGTTAGCCCAATGAAATTCCAATCAGCCAATTAAATGAGCCCAAGTGATACCAGTTAGCCAATTATATCTGTAAAGGTGAATCTAATTAGCCAATTAGATTAGCCCAAGGTGATTCCATTCATCCAATTTTCTTAGCCTAGTTAGATGCAATCAGCCAATTATCTGAATAGTGACTGCAGGTTTATCAAAGCAGGCCCAAGCTACTGGATGTGAAAAGCACATACCTACATTGAGAAGGAATGCAGGGCCCTGAAGTGCCAAACTTAACAGCCTGTATAACGTGACTTTGCTGTCAGCTTATTTCTGAGGCCTATGCTACTGAAGGTGAATTTTTTTTATGTTTATACAAACAATATTATATGGCTATGTTTGGTTCTAAAATGCTACTGAGCAAAAGAGATTGAAAGTAAGTATATGTCTGTATAATTAGTATATGCCAAGTGATTGAAAATGGTCTATTGGGGAACATTTCTTGTATACATAAATATTTACATAAATATACTCATATAATCCTTTATGTAAGTTTTAAAAATCTATTTACCTGCCCAGGAATGGTGACTCATGCCTGTAATCCCAGCACTTTGCGAGGCTGAGGTGCATGCATCATGAGGTCAGGAGTTCGAGACCAGCCTGGCCAATATGGTGAAACTCTGTCTCTACTAAAAATACAAAAATTAGCCTGGTGTGGTGGCACTTGCCTGTAGTCCCAGCTACTCCAGAAGCTGAGGTAGGAGAGTCACTTGAACCCGGGAGGCAGAGGTTGCAGTGAGCCAAGATTCTGCCACTGCACTCTAGCCTGGGTGACACAGCAAGACTCTGTCCCCATCTCCAACAAAGTAACTTCTATACATGTATAAATCTATTTGCCCTGTAAACTAGATCTAGAAGAGTACACGAATAGAAGAATGTTGTGGCATACATCCTGCTGCATTTAACATATACGAAGGAAGCACTGGTCTTTTTTGCTCACTCCTGGAAAATGAACATGCACTAACCAATGGGAGTCATTCACTGCCATGTCAAGGTTGACCCTTCCCTTCATGTTGCACATATGGCCAGAGGTGAACCAGCCCCAGTCCTAAGGTTCTCACCTAAATTGTGAAATGCTTATTTTTTCTCATCTGGGCTTTCTTTAAGACATGGGATCAACTTCATTTTTATGAGTATGTAACGTAAAAGTACAATTTGGTCTCTTCATCTCTGTGGCTGAAGTAGTGTCATTATGGTAACGGATAGAGTCTAGCACTCTTTCTGGAAGATAGACCATCATACTGAAAGCAAATGTAATTAATTGTTCATGGTACCAGAACACATTTCAACCAGACCATAGTGAACATTCACAGAAGTGCCAATTGTGGCCCTTATTGGCCAGGCCAAAACTTCTTTCTGAGTAAGGATAGTCTTACTGATGTCAAGCATTCCTGCTTTTTTTTTTTTTTTTTTTTTAACTGGACAGAAACCCACTAGGCTGATTTATTGAGATTCACAAATAAAAAGACCTGGGTGCCAGGTAACAAGGACATTTTCACATTTATGAAAAAAAAAGTGTGGCTTTTGGCTTGGATTTTATAAATCTTCACTGAGCTAACCATCTGATTGGATTTATGTAGCCTGGAAGTAAAGAAAATAGAAATTACCTTTTACCAAGTTTACTTCAGTGCCTTTTTTCTGTAAATGTAAATATGGATATAAGATAGGTTGATAGACAAACATACACACAAAGAATGAGTCACATATGTATGTATAGGTCAAGTTTATTTGTGCATATGTCCCATATAGGACAGAGGTCATCTTCATTTCTACCCCTGCATCCCAGATAAGTTAAATAAGCAAATTACCTCAGCCTGTGTGATTGCAAAAAGCCAATTAGGTCAGATCAGGTAAATATAACCAACTGATTAGCTAAACTGGAAAAGTGTAGACATCAAGGCAGGCTCAAAATGATGGTTGTGAATAACACAGGCATACCCTGAGAAGAAAAGTAAGGATCTAAAATGCTAAGCCAGACATAAAGCCTTACGTCACACTACGAATGTATTACTTCACAGGCCATGCTCATAAACATGAAGTTTCTTCATGTTTATACATAACACTTTATGGCTGTGTTCCAATCTGAGATGGTATAAAGGCATATAGGTGAAAAGTAAGTCTTCATCTGTGTCCTCAGGTTAGGCTGGAAAATTAGAAATGTCTATTGATGAACATCTTTTGTATGCATAAATATTTACATATACAAACTAATATAATCCTGTATGTGTGTGTTTATGTACTTACATATATCTATAGCCAGGTCTATCTATAATTCTGTTAACATTCATACAGAATAAAGATATAGCAAGGCAAAGTATAAGTGAGCAGTGGTTCATGCCTGTAATCCCAGCACTTTGGGAGGCCAAGGCGGGCAGATAATGAAGTCAAAAGATCAAGACCAACCTGGTCAACATGGCGAAATTCCGTCTCTACTAAAAACACAAAAATCAGCTGGGTATGGTGGCGCATGCGTGTAGTCTTAGCTACTCGGGAGGCTGAGGCAGGAGAATCACTTGAACCTGGAAGGTGGAGGTTGCAGTGAGCCCAGATTGCACCACTACACTCCAGCCTGGTGACAGAGTGAGACTCCTTCTCAAAAAAGAAAAAGAAATAAAGGGCATCCAAATTGGCAAAGAGGAAGTCAAACTGTCACTGCTTGTCAATGATATAATTGTATACCTAGAAAACCCTAAAGACTCATTCAAAAAGCTCCTAGATTTGAGAAATAAATTTACTAAAGTTTCAGGATACAAAATGAATGTACACAAATCAATATTGCAGGTATACACCAACAGTGACCAAGCTGAGAATAAAGGCAAGAACTCAACCACTTTACATCAGCTGCAGAAAAAATATACTTAGGAATATACTTAACCAAAGAGGTGAAAGACCTCTACAAGGACTACTACAAAACACTCCTGAAAGAAATCAAAGATGATACAAACGAGTGGAAATACATCCCATATTCATGGATGAGTAGAGTCAATATTGTGAAAATGATCATAGTGCCAGAAGCAATCTACAAATTCATGCCATTCTTGTCAAAATACCACCATCATTCCTCACAGAACTAGAAAACACAATCCTAAAATTCATATAGAAAAATAAAAAAGCCTGCATAGCCAAAACAAGACTAAGCAAAAAGAACAAATCTTGAGACATCACATTATCTGACGTCAAAGTATACTAGGAGACTATTGTTACCAAAGCAGCATGGTACTGGTATAAACATAGGCAAATAGACCAATGGAACAGAATAGTGAATAAAGAAATAAAGCCAAATACTTTCAGCCAACTGATCTTCTACAAACTAAACAAAAACATGAAGTAGGGAAAAGACATCCTATTCAACAAATGCTGCTGAGATAATTAGCAAGCCACATCTAGAAGAATAAAACTGGATCTTCATTGCTCACTTTATGCAAAAATCAACCCAAGATGGATCAAAGACTTAAATGGAAAACTTGAAACTACAAAAGTTCTACAAGAAAACATTGGGAAAAACTCTTCTACACATTGGCTTAGGCAGAGATTTCATGACCAAAAACCCAAAAACAAATACAACAAAAACAAAGATCAATAAATGTGACTTAATTAAACTAAAAAGCTTCTGCTCAGCAAAATAATAATAATGATAATCAGAAGAGTAAACAAACAACACACAAAGTGGGAGAAAATATTCACAAACTATGCATCTGACAAAAAACTGACAAAGTTTCTACAAGAAACTCAAACAAATGAGCAAAAAACCCCACAAACTATCCTATAAAAAAGTGGGCTTAGCACATGAGTAAACAATTCTCAAAAGAAGATATACAAATGGTTAAAAAACATTTTAAAAAGTGCTCAACATCACTAATGATCTGAGAACTAAAAATCAAACCACAATGTGATATCACCTTACTCCTGCAAGAATGGCCATAATCAAAAAAATCAAAAAATGACAGATGTTGGTATTGATGTAGTTCAAAGGGTACACTTTTACACTGCTGATGGGAATATAAACTAGTACAAGTACTATCAAAAACAGTCTGGAGATTTCTAAATGAATTAAAAGTAGAACTTCCATTTGATCCAGCAATCCCACTACTGGGTATCTACACAGAGAAAAATAAGTCATTGTTTGAAAAAGACACTTGCACATGCATGTTTATAGCAGCAGAATTTGCAATTGAAAAATTGCAAATGTTGGGAAGCAGGCTAAATGCCCATCAACCAATGAGTGGACAAAGAAAATGTGGTGTATATATACCATAGAATACTACTCAGCCACAAAAAGGAACAAAATAATGGCATTCACAGCAACCTTGGTGGAGTTGGAGATTATTATTGTAAGTGAAGTAACTCAGGAATAGAAAATTGAACACCATATATTCTCATTTATATGTGGGAGCTAAGCTATAAGGATGTAAAGGCTTAAGAATTATATAATGGGGAGGGTGCGGTGGCTCACGCCTGTAATCCCAGCACTTTGGGAGGCCAAGGCGGGTGGATCACCTGAGGTTGAGAGTTCGAGACTGGCCTGACCAACATGGAGAAACCCCGTCTCTACTGAAAATACAAAATTAGCCAGGCGTGGTGGCACATGCCTGTAATCCCAGCTGCTTGGGAGGCTGAGACAAGATAGCGCTTGAACCTGGAAGGCAGAGGTTGCAGTGAGGCAAGATCGTGCCATTGCACTCCAGCCTGGGCAACAAGAGTGAAACTCAAAAAAAAAAAAAAGAAGAAGAAGAAGAAGAAGAATTATATAATGGACTCTAGAGGCTTGGGGGAAAGAACAGGAAGGGGGAAAGGGATAAAAGACTACACATTGGGTACTGTGTACACTGCTTGGGCTATAGGTGCACTAAAATCTCAGAAATCACCACTAAAAAACTTTTTCATGTAATCAAACACCACCCATAGCCACAAAGCTGTTGAGATAATAATAAAAACAACCCCCCGCCCCCAAAGTCCCATAAAATTAATTTTATATGCTTTGGCATTTAATTTTTTAAAAAAGAGTCTCTGTCATCAAGGAAGGAGTGAAGTGGCTTGATCATGGCTCACTGCAGTCTCGGCCTCCTGGGCTCAGGCAATTCTACCTCAGCCTCCTGGTTAACTGGTACTACAGGTGCAGGTAATGATGCCGAGCTAATTTTGTATTTTTTGTAGACATGGGGTTTTGCCATGTTGCCCAGGCTTGCTTCCAATTCCTGGGCTTAAGCAGTCTTTGTGCCTTGGCCTTTCAAAATGCTGGGATCACAAACGTGAGCCATCGTGCCTGACCAGAATCTTATTTTTATATGATATAGAAAAGCTAAACATATTTAGATCTGCTAGTTAACAGAGAATTTGAAAAAACGTCTCCTATTAAAAATGTAAAATGGTTTTTGTCTACAAATACTGATACCAAACAGTTCTAAATTACTTCCTAAAGATTTCACAAAAAAAATTAGGTTTTTAAGAGTTAATGTAATTAATATATATAATTAAAACTACCGGATCTAAGAAAAATACTTCCACATAGTGAGCAAACATAAGAAAAATATACTTTCAATGAAGAAAGCCAAAAATATTTTGTCTAGTTTGAAATTACTTAAATTGTCTCAAATTGAAAAAATAAAAAGAATGTAGATAAAAATAAAATACAGAAACTTTTAAAAGTAATTTAAAAAAGGTCGGGTGTGGTGGCTCATGCCTGTAAACCCAGCATTTCGGGAGGCCGAGGCAGGTGGATCACCTGACGTTGGGAGTTGGAGACCAGCCTGACCAACATGGAGAAACCGAATCTCTACTAAAAATACAAAATTAGCCGGACATGGTGGCGCTTGCCTGTAATCCCAGCTACTTGGAAGGCTGAGGCAGGAGAATATCTTGAACCCGGGAGGCAGAGGTTGCAGTGAGCCGAGATTGCACCATTGCATTCCAGCCTGGGCAATAAAAGTGAAACTCCAAATAAAAAAAAAAGTAATTAAAAAAAGTATAAGCTATGTATGGAAATCTAGAGTGGTCAAAATGATATATTTGATGGATTTATTTATAAAGTTTTATGAAAATTAGCTTTTAATTTTTTTAAAATTTTAAAATTTTAATTTTTATTTTTTGAGATGGAGTCTTGCTGTGTCACCCAGGTTGGAGTGCAGTGGTGCAATCTTGGCCCATTGCAACTTCCACTTCCTGGGTTCAAGTGATTCCCCTGCTTGAGCCTCCCAAGTAGCTGGGACTACAGGCACCTGCCACCATGCCAGGCTAATTTTTGTAATTTAGTAGGGACGGGGTTTCACATGTTAGCCAGGCTGGTCTCAAACTCCTTACCTCAGGTGATCTGCCTGCCTCGACCTCCCAAAGTGTTGGGATTACAGGCGTGAGCCACTGCGCCTGGTCAAAATTAGCTTTAGTATTGATAGCACACTAATACAAAAGTATAAGTTGATTTTCTCTTGAACAAAAATTTTGTGTATTATTACTATAACACAATAACCTATTTTTATTCACCTTTTGAATTAATTTAAAAAGAGGGAGAGTAGAGATGGGTTTTTCTCATGCTGTCTTTCTTGGGTCATTTGACTGGAAAACTGAATTTCCTGCATCGAACAGTAAAAGGTTTTGTTTTTATAAGTCTTCTAATAGGCCAGGCACTGTGACTCATGCCTGTAATCTCAGTACTTTGGGAGGCTGAGGCAGGCGGATCACCTGAGGTCAGGAGTTCGAGACCAGCCTGGCCAATATGCCAAAAGCCCGTCTCTACTAAAATACAAAAATTAGCCAGGCAAGGTGGTGACCGCCTGTAGTCTCAGCTACTTGGGAGGCTGAGGCAGGAGAGTTGCTTGAACCCAGGAGGCAGAGGTTGCAGTGAGCCAAGATCACACCACTGCACTCCAGCCTGGGTGGCAGAGTGAGACTCTATCTCAATAAATAAATAAATACATAAATAAAAATAATAAATAAATCTTTTAATTATTGCTTTGGCTAAATGAATGATTATTATTTAATAGTGGACTGTGATCCCATTTTGTTCAAGTATTTTAACCCTTTGACATATTTGGCAGGCTTCCCAAAATTAAAATTCAGCTTAAAAGTTGTGTGTATTTGACCCCTAATATTTGAATGCTACATAAGTCCAATGCAGCATTTGAAAGAGTGATAAACAGAATTCTTTGATATGTTAAATTACATGGAAAGCATTGTCAAATTAAAAATTTGACCTTTATCAACATATTTTAATAAATGTTATGATATTCATTTCAAAATTATATGAAATCTCTAAAAATCCAATGTATCTGAGTATATGCTACTAGTAATAATTATGGTTTTTATGATAAATTATTATAGACTACAGGTATAATCATTTTTTCATTTATTTCTTCATAACCATTTTAAGTCATTTTCACAGTTAATGGTTTAATTCTGATGTAGTTTCTAAAAACTTCAAAAGCACATAACATCCTAGAGGACTGTGTCTTTAAAGAGTTGTACGAAAAGATGGAAAGGGTCCACACAAGTTAAGTACAGGCTTCTGATAATTTTAGGATCATATTATATTTGGACTGGCTAAGGATTGTGAGAATTTGAATGAAGAGACAGACTCCTAAAAAACTTTGAGCCCAGGCTGGGGTGTGGTGGCTCATGCCTATAACCCCAGCACTTTGGGAGGCCAGGGCAGACAGATCCCCTGAGGTCGGGAGTTCAAGACCAGCCTGACCAACATGGAGAAACCTCGTATGTATTAAAAATTCAAAATTAACAAGGTGTGGTGGCGCATGCCTGTAATCTCAGCTACTTGAGACTGAGGCAGGAGAATCACTTGAACCTGGGAGGCAGAGGTTGCAGTGAGCAAAACTCGTGCCATTTCCAGCCCAGGCAATAAGAGAGAAACTCCATCTCAAAACAAAACAAAACAAAACAAAACAAAATGAAAACAAAAACAAACAAACAAAAACACCTGTAAGCCTACACAAGACAAAAATTAATTGACTATTACAAAAATACTGTGCCACATTTTTAAAGTTATATCAGGCAGTATGGAAATGTTTTAGATATACTTTGTAAATCAACTCTGTGGTCCAAGTCAAATGACCTATGATAACCTCTCAGGTATCAGTGCTGCGCACCTAAATTTGGGAAAGTAACCTAGTGTTTAAAAAGACATAAACTTAATGTTCAGTGTGGACTCATGGAGAACCTAGGCAGCCACTTGATATTTCCTGAGTTCTTTTTTTAAAAATTAATTAATTAATTATTATTATTATTATTTGAGATGGAGTTTTGCTGTTGTCACCCAGGCTGAAGTACAATGGCATGATCTTGGCTCACTGCAACCTCCACTTCCCAGGTTCAAGCGATTCCCCTGCCTCAGCCTCCCAAGTAGCTGGGATGACAGGTGGTCACCCCCACGCCTGACTATTTTTTGTAATTTTAGTAGAAATTGGGTTTCACCATGTTGGCCAGGCTGGTCTCAAACTCCTGACCTCGTGATCAACCCCCTTCAGCCTCCCAAACTGCTGGAATTACAGGCGTGAGCCACCACATTCGGACCCTATTCCTGAGTTCTTGAAGTTTCCATTATTTAAAGCTACGCATTTCACTACTAATCACAGAAAAGATAAAGTAATGTACATTAAATATAAATTGAATGTGTGTTTGTGTGTGTATGTCTGTGTGTGTGTGTGTGTGTGTGATGACTGTTCTAAATTACTACACTAGGTTAAGACCAATTCCTTTTTCAAACTTATAATTCTTAGAAGAATATTAAAAGTTTATGTATGTTTCTGCTACCTCATGTGTGATTTAAACATTTATACAGAAACTGTCTTTTATTTTTTTGAGACAGAGTCTCACTCTGTCACCCAGGCTGGAGTGCCGTGGCACGATCTCAGCTTACTACAACCTTGGCCTCCTGGGTTCAAGCGAATCTTCTGCCTCAGTCTCCCTAGTAGCTGGGACTACAGGCACACACCACCATGCCCAGCTAATTTTTGTATTTTTAGTAGAGACAGGGTTTCACCATATTGGCTAAGGTGGTCTTGAACTCCTGACCTCGTGATCTGCCCGCCTTGGCCTCCCAAAGTGCTGGGATTACAGGCATGAGCCACTTCGTCCGGCTTTTTTTTTTTTTTTTTTTTGACTGAGTGTCACTCTTGTTGCCCAGGCTGGAGTGCAATGGCACCATCTTGGCTCGCTGCAACCTCTGCCTTCTGAATTCAAGCAATTCTCCTGCCGCAGCCTCCCGAGTAGCTAGGATTACAGGCACCCACCACTACTCCCAGGTAATTTTTGTGTTTTTAGTAGAGATGGGGTTTTACCATGTTAGTCAGTCTGGTCTTGAACTCCTGCCCTCAGATGATCCTCACGCCTCAGCCTCCCAAAGTACTGGGATTACAGATGTGAGCACCAGACAGAAAATTGCATGCCTGGCAATTGTCATTTTTAATGCATGTTTTCTGGTAGTATAAAAGCTTTCTGATGCAAGAAGGTTGTTATTATAGCGGTAGCTAAAAGGATACTAAGACTTTCTTTTCCTCATGAAGACTTGCTGAAAAGGTCTCCAATTACAAAGATACTTATTTCACTAGAAAAGTTGTAAAACTGTTAAATAAGATATTACAGATACAATAGTACTGAGCAAAGCTAACTAAATTCACTAGATTGTTTTTGTAATTGCAATTGATGACACTCAGATCCACTTAGAGTGGAAAAAACGTGTTGACTTTTATAAAGAGTCATTGGAAGACCTATGCACCTAATAATAGAACGTCATGTATAATCTGCTACTGAAGTCTAATATTACTAAATGTGGCAAGGCTCTAATGCATTATGGCAAAGCATATTTTCACAAGGTAAAGAAAGCTTTTTTTTTTTTTTTGATGGTCTCACTGTCACCCAGGGTTCAGTTTTGTGATCTCAGCTAACTGCAACCTCTGCCTCCTGGGTTCAAGTGATTCTCATGCCTCAGCCTCCTGAGTAGCTGGGATTACAGGTGTGCATCACCACGCTCTACTAATTTTTCTGTTTTTAGGCTAGGCTGGTCTCATACTCCTGGCCTCAAGTGATCCACCTGCCTTGGCCTCCCAAAATGCTGCTATTACAGGCATGAGCCACTGCATCTGTCCAGAAAAGCTTTTAATAGTCTACTGACTGGGAACAGGAAAACCTTTTATAATTTAGAACAAAGAGACTGAATCTGCTTGCCATCTACAATGTAGCAAGACTTCGGGACTTTAAACCTTGGGTTCATAACGTTACAACTCAAAGGGGACCCTCTAAACTCTTGTAATCTTATTGGAGATTTTAATTGGAGATCTTGAGGTAAAGCTAACCGGAGAAGTTTCTCCTCAAAAGAAGATGACAACCTTGAGGTAGAAAGCTGTTTCCACAAGATAAAAAATGAAGACCTCTCTGATATCATGACGCTCTTAGTTCACAGTTTCTTTTTTTATGCCTCTACACACAACAGAAATAAAAAAGGGATCTCTTGTGTGCTCTCATGGGGTATACTTATATATGTAAATAATTTTACAGCCAACATTTAAAAAAACTTATGTCTTAATAGGTAAAAGATGAAGGGCCACTGCGGGTGAGAAATTGTAATGGGAAATTTGTTGCCTCATAATATCAGAAACAGAATATTGATCAACTGCTCTTGGAGCAATATTAAGTTAAAGATAAACTTATTCAGAATAGCATAAAGAGCATTGCCAGGAGGCCATTAGTCTTCTGAGTGATCATTTGTTAGGTCTTTTTTTCAAAGGCTTAGAGTAAATAAGGCAATGATTAGAAATTTATCTTCCATAACAGGCTCTATAGCAGATTCCACCATAAAGGCTATGGTTACACAATAGAATTTAATATTTTTTTAATAAAGTTGTGCTAAATAAAATAATTTATCTAGTTTACTTACTGGATAAACAGAGAAGTATCTGTGCAGTTGGTAGTATTTGTAGTTGCACATGGAGAAATACATCGAGTATTACAGAGATTCAGTTGTAGGAAATTAATGAACAGACTGCTTGGTTGAAATGAGTAGACCATTTAACTAGCTAACTGTTTGATCTATTTAATCTTAGTTGGTTGGTTCATGGGAACCTTGGTTAAAAAGCATACTTCTGGTCGGGTGCGGTGGCTCACGCCTGTAATCCCAACACTTTGGGAAGCCGAGGCAGGTGGATCACCTGAGGTCAGAAATTCGAGACCAGCCTGGCCAGCATGGTGAAACCCTGTCTCAACTAACAATACAAAAATTAGCCAGGTGTAGTGACACATGCCTGTAACCCCAGCTACCTGGGAGGCTGAGGCAGGAGAATCACTTGAACTCAGGAGGCAGAGGTTGCAGTGAGCTGAGGTCGCACCATTGCACTCCAGCCTGGGTGACAAGAGTGAGACTTCGTCTCAAAAAAAAAAAATCGTACTTCTAACTCTTGATATTATTTTCCTGATAATCAAAATATAGTCTCCCTACTGCATTCTATTCTCTCAAAAGTTATAAATCTTTGCATGCAGTCATCTCTAGAATGTCAAGTGGTCTCTCTTTAACTGGAATGATGAAAACTTGAAAATGTATTTGACCATGAGAACACCATAACCTATGAATGACCTGATAAGAACGGAAATCAAAAATAATGGAAACTGAGAGTGACACTAAGATGCTGAGTTTTGGTCACACTCTGACCTATGTGAAAACCTAATCAAAAGGGGGACATTTTTTAAACAAAATTATTGGAGGCCATCATTCTGGACTGAGCTTGTTCACTAGGCTCAAACAGACCAAACCAAACAAAAATAGAGTCATTCATGTTGAATGCGACATAGTCAAACTGAAAGTTTAAAGAAATAGGTGGATTCTAAAACTGGCCAGGTCTTGTTTTTCTTTGGTGAAAAGCAGATTTCGATACAAGGAGGTCTCCTCTACTGTAATCATTTTAAAAAATAATAACCTGAAGTACTTGTTTTCACTTTATAAAACCCACAGTTCTGCTATTTTACAGTGGAATTTGAGACTAAATAAGTACATTTTTGATGGTGACAAAGTAATATCAACGCCTGAAGTTTTGTTTAATTTCTTGAAATTGAGGAGATAACCAAAAGGGAGATATTGTTAAATTAATTATAGCCTAAAGCTGATCGCTTTTATGTTTAATTTTGTTAATAGGATTTTCTGTACACAGTAAACTAAAAGCTAGCTGAATATGTAAATAGATTGTAACTTATTCTTGTACCAACCACTATGTTTTTGCCAATAAAAGAACATCAGCTGGTCAAACCATATTCCAATAAGGCAAATCCCAAGCTGTAATAAATCTGGCTGTTTCTGTACCTCATTTCTATTTTCTGTATGTCACTTTGCTTCTTCTGTATATAAATCTTTTTTTCCACGTGGCTGTGCTGGAGTCTCTCTGAGGCTACTCGGGACCCATAGGCTGCTTAAAATTTGCAAATTATTCTTTGCTCAATTAAACTATGTGAAACTTAATTTCTCTGAAGTTTTTTTCATTTAAAAGTTTTCAAATGTTTTGTATGATAAAAAGATAAGTTATGTGTTGTTGGACTTTGATTATCAAAAATAAGTTATGTTTTCCAAATTATTCCATATCAGCTATGTCAGCTATTTTTTCCAAGTTATTCTATGTTCTTTCAAAATGCTTTTGCAATTTCTTTTTTGTTTTTGTTTTGTTTTGTTTGAGAAAGAGTCTCACTCTGTCACCCAGGCTGGAGTGCAGTGGTGTAATCAATCATGGCTTAATGCAGCCTCCACCTTCCAGGCTTAAACAATCCTCCTACCCTAGACACCTGAGTATCATCATGCCTGGTTAATTTTTTAAATTTGTTTTGTATTGAGACAGGATCTTACTATGTTGCCCAGGCTGCACTTGAACTCCTGAGCTTCAGTGATTCTCCCATCTCAGCCTCGCAAAGTGTTAGGATTACAGATGTGAGCCACCATGTGCTTCAGTAATTTCTTGAGATTATTCCCAACAATAAACAGTACTATGTGGGCACAAATCTAAAAGCAATCTGGTTTCTATTTTTGAAGTGTCACTCTCCAGGATTTTAAGAGTCTAGGACAGCTACTTGAATAGTGTGATCCATGGAGGTACATAGGCTTTGGAGTCAGAGTTGATCCTGAGTCCCATCCCAGCCACGTAGTAGCTGTGGGTATTCAGACAATTTCTTGATATGGAAGAGTTCTATAGACCACATATGCAGAAAAAGCAGAATGGGCTGGGTGTGGTGGCTCATGCTTGTAATCCCAGCACTTTGGGAAGCCGAGGCGGGTGGATCATGAGGTCAGGAGATGGGGACCATCCTGGCCAACATGGTGAAACCCTGTCTCTATTAATAATACAAAAATTAGCTGGGTGTGGTGGTGTGGGCCTGTAATCCCAGCTACTCAAGAGGCTGAGGCACAAGAATAGCTTGAACCCAGGAGGCGGAGGTTGCAGTGAGCCAAAATGGCATCACTGCACTGCAGCCTGGCAACAGTGAGACTCCCTTTCAAAACAAACAAACAAACAAACAAACAAAGAGACAAACAACAGCAGAAGGATACTGATTACAAATATGGTAGCAATTTTTCATCCCTCCTGTATTCATGTCCATTGCCAGGTGCTTTTACAGCCATTCCCATCAAGATTCAGAATCTATTTTCCAAACACTTGATCTGGCTGGCCTTTTTTGCTTAGGGCAGTAGAAACCTGGGAACATGACAATGTCTTATTTTGGGGCCTAGGTTCAAATAGTGTTGGCTACTTCTGTTTTTCTTTTCTCTCTTTTTTTTTTTTTCTTTTTTTGAGAAGGAGTCTTTCTCTGTCACCAAGGCTGGAGTGCAGTGGCGTGATCTTGGCTGACTGCAACCCCCATCTCCCAGGTTCAAGCAATTCTCCTGACTCAGCCCCCTGAGTAGCTGGGACTACAGGCATGTGCCACCACACCCAGCTAATTTTTGTATTTTTAGTAAAGACAAGGTTTCACCATGTTGGCCAGGCTGGTCTCAAATTCCTGACCTAAGGTGATCCAACCACCTTGGCCTACTAAAGTTCTGGGATTACAAGCGTGAGCCACCATGCTGGGCCTGCTTCTGTTTTTCTTTCAGAATGCTGCCATCTTCATGAAACAAGCCCATATTAGCCAGCTGGAGGATAAGATACCATGGGGAGGAGAAGCAAGTTGCCCCTGTTGACAGCCCCAGAAGCAGAAGCTCACCCCTAGAAGCACAGCTGCCTTCCTAGTCAATGAGCAGCTCATGATACATGTCTAAAGAAGCTCAGCTGAGAACAGAAGAATGGCCCCACTGAGTCCAGCCTAAATGGCTGAGCAGTTCAATTATGAGCTAATCAGTTTTGGATGGTTTGTTATGCTGCATAGCTAACTAATACGTGCACCCAGTGCAGATAGAATGCCAAGATTTAATGACAGGTTGGTTACTAGTTACCTTCTAATGCTGAGCAGCATAAAAGTACTGATATTTTTCCCTATTTAAAGTTAGATGTCTTGTAAGATAATGTTGAGAAATGCAGAAATGTTTTTTTTTGAAATGCAGAAATATTGCTGGGTGTGGTGGCTCATGCTTGTAATCCCAGTACTTTGGGAGGCCAAGGCGGGCAGATCACCTGAGGTTGGGAGTTTGAAACCAGCCTGACTAACATGGAGAGACCCCCTCTCTACTAAAAATACAAAAGATTAGCTGGGCGTCGTTTCACATACCTGTAATCCTAGCTACTCATCAGGAGGCTGAGGTAGGAGAATCACTTGAACCCAGGAGGTGGAGGTTGCTGTGATCTGAGGTCATGCCATTGCACTCCAGCCTGGGCAACAACTGCAAAACTCCGTCTCAAAAAATAAAGAAAAGAAAAGAAATGCAGAAATACATGTGGACATGTATGCATGTGATTGGCGCTTATATTCACTCAGTTTCCCACACCACAGGAGAAAACGGATAACCCCAGCCTGACCATTAGTGTCAAGGCCAAATAGCAAAATAAGTTTGCCTTTAATCTATTTTCTTCCTAGTAAATATTAAAGGTCCAGACAGTGTAGAGATCTCAAGACATAGAGTTTTCTTCTCTTGTTGCCCCATCATCCTTTGTTCACTGTCTGTTCTCTGAAAGAAAGGTGGGCAACAGTAGTAAGCAGTGGTTTACCTGTGGTTATTTCATTCCTGCTGCCCTCAGGTGTGGTGTTGATTGAGGTCTTTGGCTCACTCTTTATTTTTATTTTTTAGTCAGGTCGTTTGTTTTATTGTTGTCTGAAAATTATTTCTATATTTTGGATAACAATCTTTATCAGATATATCTTTTGCAAATATTATCTTCCATACTGTGTCTTTCTTTTCATTCTCTATACAGTGTCTTTCACAGAGCAAAAATGCTTAATTTTGGTAAATTTGACATCAATATTTTACTTTCAGAAAATGAACTAGTGGTATATTATCTAAATTCTAATTGCTAAATCCAGGGTCATCTAGATTTTCTCCTAATTACATTCTAGGAATTTTATAGTGTTGCATTTTAAATTTAGGTCTGTGATCCATTTGTGTTAGTTTTTGTGAGGTTGTAATGTTTGTGATTCATGCTTTTGTATGTGGATGTCCAATTGTTTTAGCATCATTTGTTGAAAGGATTCTCTTGGCTGCATTGTATTGCCTTTAGTCTTTTGTCAAAGATTCATTCAGTGTATTAATATGGGCTTACCTCTGGGCTCTGCATTCTTTCCATCAACTGATTTGTCTGTTCTTTTACCAGTATCACACTGTCTTGATTACTGTAGCTTTATATTTAATCTTGAAGCTGAGTAGTGTCTCAATCATCCAATTTTATTATTCTTCTACAATATCGTGTTGGCTACTCTAGGTCTTTTGCCTCTGCATGTAGGTTTTTGCCTCTATATGTAAACTTCAGAATCAGTTTTTCAGTAGCCCCAAAAGAAGTTCATGGAATTTTGTTTAAGGCTGTAGTGCATCACAGATCTAGCTAGGAGGAACTGACATCTTAACAATATGGAGTATTTGCATTCATGATCATGGTATATCTTTCTACTCTTTGCTCCTTCTGATTTCTTTCATTAGATAAAAGTATTTTTTTTTTAAGGACAAGTGCCTCACTCCATCCCCCAGGCTGGAGTTCAGTGATGCCATCTTGGTTCACTGCAACCTACACTTCCCAGGTTCAAGTGATCCTTCTCCCTCAGCCTCCCAAGTAGCTGGGACTACAGGCATGTGCCACCATGCCAGGCTAATTTTTGTATTTTTAGTAGAGATGGTATTTCACCATGTTTATTGGTACTTTCACCATGTTATTTCTCCTTCTTCAGCCTCCTGAGTGGCTGGGATTACAGCTGAACCTGGGAGGCGGAGGTTGCAATGAGGCGAGATCACACCACTGCACTCCAGCCTGGGCAACAGAGTGAGACTCTATCTCAAAAACAAACAAACAAACAAACAAACAAAAGTTTCAATATAGGCATAAAACATCTGTTAATTTACATTATAGCACATCTACTTAAGATTAGTTTTATTTCTTATAACAAAGAATCTTTGTTTCAATTTTTTTTATAAACAAGATCTTACTTTGTCACTCAGGCTGGAATGCAGTGGTGTGATTATAGCTCACTGTAGCCTGGAATTCCTAAACTCAGGTGATCTTCCTGCCTTGGGCTCCTGAGTAGGTGGGAGTACAGTTGTGTCAACATGCTCTATTAATTTCCTTTTTTTGTAGAGACTAGGTCTCCCTATGTTGCCCAGCCTAATCTCAAACTCCTGGCCTCAAGTGATACTCCTATCATGGCCTCCCAAAGTTCTGGAATTATTGGCATGAGCCACCATGCCTTGCCTATTTTCTCTAAAAGCTTTTTTTCACACACACACAAAAAATGTACTGTCTTTTGTTGGTTGCATATTAGAATATAGGTTATATGGAGTATCCTACTTTGAAGCAGCCCATTCCAGAGTCTACGCAAAGTTGTCCTTCCTGAACTACTTTAAGACAATTACCTCATGTGGGACAAGGGCATGGGGGCGTCCCCCAGAAAATTCAACTGAAAATAACTACTGAAACAATACATACCTATTCCCAAACAGAGCAAGAGTGTCTGTTGTAGATGGTCAACCTTTGCAGACAGTAGTAGCATCTATGTTTACCAAGAGACATACTGTGAACTCTGAGAACAGGTTACAATGTTTATTGAGTCAGGAGAAACTCATCCATCAGACCATAGCCAAAGACAATCAAATATTAAACCTCTTCCCTGCACATGTGAAAACATCAGATGTGCAAAAATAAAACATTGGGAGACAAGGTCCTCACTGCATATATGTGGGCTTTAGTCTCCAGTGAGACACATTGAGTGCACATCAATTTCACTACTGCTGCATCTGTCATACACTACATTTCATATATATTTCATACTATTTTTGAATTTTATATTCCATTTGTCTCTAAATCAGTTCATAAATTAAAACTACATTATTTAACTTTTCAATTCCTTATAACACATGACAGAAGATGTCACTTCATATTTCTTTCTTTCTTTTTTTATTTTTATTTTTTTGAGGCAGAGTTTTTGCTCTTTTTGTCCAGGCTGGAGTGCAATGGCGTGATCACAGCTCACTGCAACCTCCACCTCCCGGGTTCAAGTGATTCTCCTACCTCTGCCTCGCAAGTAGCTGGGATTACAGGCATGCACCACCATGCCCAGCTAATGTTTTGTATTTTTAGTAGAGGTGGGATTTCACCATGTTGGTCAGCTGGTATCCACCTCCAGACCTTAGGTGATCCACCCACCTCGGCTTCTCAAAGTGCTGGAATTACAGGTGTGAGCCTTTATACTTTTTACATATATCTTTATTCATTTATTCTTCTTTGCAGTAAAATTTCTATTTTCAGAACACAATAAGACGGTGTCTCTGTTGGATTCAACTCAATTTTTAAACTGATTAAAAGATCATTGACCCAATTCTGTTGAATCTTCCTTTTCAAACATGTATTGCCACTAACTTTTACTTGTACAGATCTGTTATTCATGTTTTTCAGAAATACTTTCTGCTAAATCCTTACTAATTTTTTAAAAATATAATGTTCTAGGCCAGGCACAGTGGCTCACACCTATAATCCCAGCACTTTAGGAGGCCGAGGTAGGCGAATTACGAGGTCAGGAGTTTGAGACAAGCCTGGCCAATATGGTGAAACCCCATATCAACCAAAAATACAAAAATTAGCTGGGTGTGGTGGCACAAACCTGTAGTCCCAGCTACTCGGGAGGCTGAGGCAGAATTGTTGCTTGAACCTGGGAGGCAGAGGTTTCAATGAGCCAAGATCGCACCACTGCACTCCAGCCTGGGCAACAGAGCGAGACTCTATCTAAAAAAAAAAAAAAAAAAAAAAAAAAATATATATATATATATATATATGTACAAATATATATATAAATTTTTCTGTAGAATTCTGGTAATGTCTTTATTTATAGCTATGAACATGAAACATGACATTCTATTGGTTTAAATTATTTAACTAATTTGTTAGTGGATTTCCAAATGCTAAATCTGACTTGCATTTCTAGCATAAAATACCCTGGATCATAATATAATTATATGTTTTAGTATGCTGACACAATGGCTTCCAATATTTAAAATTTTTACATTATATTTATATGTTCTATATGACTGTAATATTCTATATGTGTTTGTTTAAGCAAAGTTCTCATATCCCTCTTATGAACACTTACACATAAGTAGTGGGAAGATTGCCTACATTAAAACTCTTGAACAGTCTAGATAGCAACAGTTTATCAACTATTTAATAAGTAGAATTTCTCTCTCAAGTATATAATGTTGGTGTTTTTCTATATGAGAATAACCCTTTGAGATATGTCTCTGTTTCTTCTGTAAATATTGAACATTTTACAATCTCTAACTCTGTGAGGATAAATGCTGATAACATTTATTCCTAAAATAAATCAACATTTGCATGTTAGTTTACATTAAATTGCACATATTTGCCCCATTTATGTTTATATCAATATTTAATTTCAAGGTTTTTTTTTGCACTGTAACCTTTCACATATTCTACTCAAGGTTTTTTTTTTTTTTTTTCCTTTGAGGTGGAGTTTCGCTCTTGTTACCCAGGCTGGAGTGCAATGGCGTGATCTCCGCTCACTGCAACCTCCGCCTCCCGTGTTCAAGTGATTATCCTGCCTCAGCCTCCCAAGTAACTGGGATTACAGGCATGCACCGCCACACCCGGCTAATTTTTTGTGTTTTTAGTAGAGACAGGGTTTCTCCATGTTGGTCAAGATGTTCTCGAACTCCCAACCTCAGGTGATTTCGCCCGCATATGCCTCCCAAAGTGCTGGGATTACAAGCGTGAGCCACCGCCCCCGGCCTCAAGCTTTTCATATGCTCACATTTCCTGATTAAATATGAAAGAATAGTTTGGGCCGGGCGCGGTGGCTCAAGCCTGTAATCCCAGCACTTTGGGAGGCCGAGGTGGGCGGATCACGAGGTCAGGAGATCGAGACCATCCTGGCTAACACGGTGAAACCCTGTCTCTACTAAAAATATACAAAATTAGCCTGGCGTGGTGGTGGGCGCCTGTAGTCCCAGCTACTTGGGAGACTGAGGCAGGAGAATGGCGTGAACCCAGGAGGCGGAGCTTGCAGTGAGCCGAGATCACGCCACTGCACTCCAGCCTGGGCGACAGAGTGAGACTCCGTCTCAAAAAAAAAAAAAAGAATAGTTTTGCTCAGGAATTTGAAGATTCACAGAAAATTTGCTTTTTAGCAGAGGAACACCTAAAGGAAGCGCAGAACCCAGAAAGACACGCTGACTTCACTGTCTGTTCTTCGTATATCACACTCAGCATTTTCCTCTCCCTCCATGTGAGCCTCTTTCTTTCTTCAGAAATCATAGATGAGAAAAGCCTGTTCCAAATTCCTTCATTTCTCTGGGGACAATAGACAGCTGTAATCATTTTTCTTGTTTGTTTTTTTCTGTTTTGAGAAGGAGTCCCACTCTGTCACCTAGGCTGGAGTTCAGTGGCATGATTTTGGATCATTGCAACCTCCACCTCCCAGGTCGAAGCTATTTTCCTGCCTCCGCCTCCCAAGTAGCTGGGATTACAGGCGCGCACCACCACACCTGACTAATTTTTGTGTTTTCAGTAGAGACGGTGTTTTGCCATCTTGGCCAGGCTGGTCTCAAACTCCTGACCTCAGGTGATCCGCCTGCTTCAACTTCCCAAAGTGCTGAAATTACAGGAAGGAGCCACCACACCTGGCAAAGAGCTGTAATTGCTGTTGGTAAGTTGTAACTGGAGCGAATTTTTCAAAATATTGCTATTTTTTTTCCAAGTGCAACAGCTCATTTCACTTTATTTAGCTATGAATAATTGCGATCTATCCATACTGACTTAAAACACACAAGTTATTATTTTTTTTTCACATAAAAAGTCAGGAGTTAGGCATACCTGGGGTGGTATGGCAGCTTCAGGAAGCCTTTAGGGATGTCTCTGCTCCATCACCCCTGACATTTGTTTTCCATTCTTCATGGTCCAAGATGAGGGCTGAAGATCCAGAACATCTATTAACATCCATATTTTAGAAAAGCAAGAAAGCTGTTTTTAAAATCATCGTTGTTTCATCTACTTAATTTCTGAATCTTATTTTATTTGTGCTTTTTTCTTCCAACTTCTATTTTAGGTTCAAGGGTGCATGTGCAGGTTTGTGAAATGGGTAAATTGCATGTCTCTGGGGTTTGGTGTACACATTATTTCACCAGCCAGATAGTGAACATGGTACTTGATAAGTTGTTTGTTTGTTTGTTTGTTTGTTTGTTTGTTTTAGAGGGAGTTTTGCTCTTGCTGCCCAGGCTTGGGTGCAGTTGCGTGATCTTGGCTCATTACAACCTCCGCCTCCAGGTTCAAGTGATTCTCCTGCCATAGCCTCCTGAGTAGCTGGGATTACAGGTGCATGCCACCATGCCTGGCTAATTTTTGTATTTTTAATAGAAACCAGGTTTCACCATATTGACCAGGATAGTCTTGCCCTCCTGACCTTATGATCCGTCCACCCCAGCCTCCCAAAGTGCTGGGATTACAGGAGTGAGCCACCGTGCCTGGCCCAATTTTTGTATTTTTAGTAGAGACAAGGGTTTAGCATGGTGGCAAGGCTGGTCTTGAACTCCTGACCTCAGGTGATCCACCCGCCTCAGCTTCCCAAAGTGCTGGGATTACAGGTGTGAGCTGCCGTGCCTGGCAGATAGGTAGATTTTTTATCCTCACCCTCCTCACACCCTCTACTCTCAAGTAGACCCTGGTGTTTATTGTTTTCCTCTTTGAATTCATGTGTACTCAATGTTTAGCTTCAATTTATAAGTGAGAACATGCAGTATTTTGTTTTCTGTTCCTGCATTAATTTGCTTATAATAATGGCCTCCAGCTGTATCCATGTTGCTGCAAAGCACGTAATTTTATTCTGTTTTATGGCTGACTCGTATTCCATGGTGTACATGTGCCTCATTTTTCTCATTCAGTCCACTGTTGATGGGCACCTAGATTGATTACGTATCTTTGCTATTGTCAAAAGTGCTACAATGAACATATGTGTGCATGTGTCTTTATAGTAGAATGATTTATATCCCTTTGGTATATATCTGGTAATAGTGTAGCAGGATGAGTCGCAGACAAAACTCCTCAGACGCCAGATTAAAGAAGGAAGAGGTTTTTTATTCGGCCGGGATCATTGGCAGACTCGTGTCTTAAGAGCCGAGCTCCCCGAAAAAGAAATTCTTAGCCCTTTTAAGGGCTTACAACTCTAAGGGGTCTACATGAAAAAGTCATAATAGATCAAGTAAGCGTGAGAAACATGACTGGGGGCTACATACATCAGCTAACAGAACAAAAAGTTTTACAGTATTTTCTCATACAGTGTCTGGAATTTACAGATAACACCAATAGTTTTGGTCAGGGGTTAATAATATTATTATTATTTTAGCCACCAGGGCCAGGTGGTGGTGCCAAGGTCGTCTAGCTATTTATCTTACTTCTGTTTCTTTTCAACTTTTTGCTTTCTCCCTTTTCTCCTGTCTTATAAACTAGGGAAAAGGGGAGGTTGGGGAGAAACTGAGAAGGACAACAGGAGAAGTGGCGACCTCATACCATATTTCCCCCCCTTTGAGAATTTTCACTTTTAGTGGGAGTTCTTACTCTCGTCCTCACTTTTTTAGTCTCTTTGTGAGATAGAGCGATAGTGATTTGTATAATACACATGTGCTGAAGTTTTCTGATGAACTAAAGTAACAACAAAATATTTTATCATTTGAAAAAGCAAGGGTAATACACAGGGGAGCAGCAAGCAAGTTCCTATCACTAGCAATACACCTACAATGAGGGTTTTAAATCCTCCTATAGCTGGAAACCATTTTCCAAATAAAGACTCAGGATTAAACTTGTGCCAAACCTGTACAGGCACATGTGCCACCTTTGTCATGTCCCTGACTATGTTTTCAACCACCTGTCCTTGATCATCTATTTGTAGGCAGTAATTGGTTAAGTTAAATTTTCCACAAACTCCTCCTTCAGCTGCTAGCAAGTAGTCCAAGGCCAGTCTATTCTGATAGATAGCATTCCTCGTTTGGGTTTCCTGCCGAGCTAAAACAGTCAAAGCTCTGCCAGTTTCATTAGTAATTATTTCTAAGATGGCCTGCAACCGTATGATCCGATTGAGCATGTAAATGGGGGTTCGGTATCCCCATGAGCCGTCTTGTGCCCATGTGGCAGGCCCATAATACTGTATGATCCTTTCAGGGCGCCACTCATTATCTTTCCAGTTTCCTATAACTATGCCTCTCTTTTCTCGGGAGGCATAGACAGGGAAACCTAGGGTCTCACCTGTTTTTATGGGTAATAAGAAAAAGGACGACTTAATAGTGCCAATAACACAACTGCCTGCCTATTTATTAGGTAACCGAATGTAGGCTCTGTGCCCACATATCCAGTATAGTCCAGCGGGAGCCATCCAGTCCTGATGAGATTCTGGATGAGCCCAAGCAGTTTTTAATTTTGAAAATTTACTAAATGGATTCTTTTCAGTGTGGTTTATGCCCCACCAAGTAATTGTCTTTGTTGTACTGTTATACAACTTCTGTCCTATACAATTAAGCTTTCCTACAGGGATGATAAAGTCTTTCCCTTCTCTAGCTATACAGTATTGTCCAATAATTGAGGTTTTTAGGACCCAGAAGTTGCTAGCTTGGGTTTTCTGAACTGGAATTATATCAGGAGCTGGATCAGTAGGCACCAACTCTCGGGCTTCCCAAGGCCATCGGTCTCCGATAGTGGTTCCCCCGCATACATAACAAGAAGTAACATTAAGGGAATGAGCTACATTTTCTGCTAATTGGAGAAACAAATTTTTTGTCTTTTTTGGAAATTCTGGTGCTGGCAGATTCAGCTCCTTATAAAAGGTTTGAAATACTGGTTTGGGAGAGCACTTGTGGACCTCCCCTCTAATTAAAATGGCAACTTGGGGGTTTAACCCTGTCCCATCAATCCCCAGGGTTACACGTTCTCCCTTTTTCCAATGGGGATCTAGGGGATTGGTAATTATTAGTTCTAGTGGGTTACAGTGACCAGCAGCACAGGAGGGGTTGGCTTCCCCCTTCTGAAGATAAACCGGGTCCTTTTTGTTCTTTTTCCAAGTAGCCCAAATAACACATGGCCAATAGGCACAATTTTCACAAACCCCTGACTCATGACAAACATATTTATTTTTTATTCTGTAGCTCCTTTCCCAGTTAAGAGAATCACATCCTATTCCTAGCTTTTTACTATTAATGGCTGCACAAGCATCAAATCTTAAAGTTATTTGTTTGGGGATTTCTTTTTCTTCTGTTCTAGTTATTATTTTACTTGTATCACCTAGGAAAAGGCCAGTTCTTATTCTTATTTCAAAAATGGTGGTTGCAGGAGGCTCAGATGGGTTATAACACACATCAGGTCGGTCATTTCCTGGGCTACATACATTGTACTGAGTAGCATTATACAAACAAGTTTCTTTTAATGTTCCTATACATTTATAATAACTATAGAACAGAAACATTGTTTTAATTTGCTGTCCTACCTCGGTGACCTGATGAATACACTGGGAACAGTCCCCAGTTTGAGTAAGATCAGTTGAAGCCCTTACTGTATAAGTCCAAAATTTAAGAAAAATGAATCCCATGATGAGCTTCTGCATGCTTCGGCCGTGCGTGGACCAGTCAGCTTCCGGGTGTGACTGGAGCAGGGCTTGTTGTCTTCTTCGGGGTCACTCTGCAGGGGTTTTCTGGGCTTGGTCTTGCCTCCCAGGTTTCAGGCACTGCAGGTTTTACACGGCTGTGGTGGATCCAGGTTGGGATTCCCTCTACCTTCACAGCGGTGGGAGTGCTCAGGATGACAGTCTGGGGTCCTTTCCACCGTGGACACAAACAGGCTACGTTTCAGTCCTTGATCCACACTAGATCACCTGGGGAGAAAGGGTGAACTGGGGAGAATAAGTTAACAGGGCATCTCTCATTTACCCAGGCCGAGATTGTTTGTGTAATTTTTCCTGAAGCCTGTAGCTATCGCTGTAACTCAATTTCACCTAACTCTCGGGGAGTGCCTGGAAGTCCCCGCAATATAGGAGGGGGCCTATGATATAATATTTCATAAGGGGAATATCCTGTTCTTTTAGAAGGGGTACATCTAATTTTAAATAATACCATAGGAAGAGCCTGTATCCATTTTAATCCTGTTTCTTGACATACTTTCCCTAAACTATTTTTGATAGTCCGATTCATCCGCTCTACCTTTCCGGAACTCTGAGGCTGGTAGGCAGCATGCAGTTTCCATGTGATCCCCAATACCTTTGCCGTCTTCTGTACCAAGTCAGCCACAAACACCAGCCCATTATCTGAGCCAATCCGTAAGGGCAGTCCAAATCTAGGAATAAGATCTCGAAGAAGCACACGAGTTACTTCATGAGCTTTCTCAGTTCGTGTTGGATAAGCCTCCACCTGCCCAGAGTAGGTACACACAAGAACTAGTAAATACTTGTTACCTCCACACTTTGGCATCTCTGTGAAGTCCACCTGGAGATCTTCAAAGGGGGCTGCTCCATAAGCTTGTATGCCAGGGGGAACAGCTGGACCTTGTCTCGCATTATGCTGTCGGCAGGTAACACACCGCTGCGTCACTGTTTTGGCAAGGGCTGACAAATGCGAGATGTAGAAATACCAGCCTAACAACTTTTCAAGTGATTCCTGACCTAGATGGGTGGTTTTATGCACAGCCAGTACAACTGCAGCTCCTAGCAGCTGTGGCACAGCTACTCTCCCATCTGGTAACCAAATCCATCCTTCCTCCATCACTTGTCCTCCCTCTGCCTGGAGAAAGTCCTTTTCTTCTTTAGAATAAGTAGGTACAAGATCAGGTGCTTGAGGGAGCAGGGGGGCTGTCACTGATGCCCGGAAGGGGGCAGATGCTGCTTTTTGAGCCTCTAAGTCAGTGCAGGAATTCCCCAAACCCACCAAGGTGGAAGCTCACTGGTGTCCTCCGCAATGTATAACAGCCACCTTGTGGGGTTTCCATACTGCTTCTAATAATTGCAAGATTTCTTGTTGATATTTTATGTCTTTTCCCCCAGAGTTCAATAGGCCCTTTTCTTTACATAATGCTCCATGCACTTGAAGGGTTAAAAAGACATATCAAGAGTCAGTGTAAATGTTTACAGTCTTACCTTCACTGAGTTCTAAGGCCCGAATTAAAGCAATGAGTTCAGCTTTCTGAGTTGAAGTGCCCTGGGGAAACGATCTGGCTTCAGCAACAGTGTCCAGAGTTACCACCGCATACCCTGCACATCTCTCTTCTTGTGGGTTGACAAAGCTGCTCCCATCCACGTATAGTTCCCAGTCTACTGATGCCCAGAGTAAACTGAGTCCAACACTTCTACACAGTCATGCTCGACAGGGATCTCTAATACTGGGAGCAAGGTAGCGGGGTTCAGGGTGTTACAAACTTCAATGGTTATATGGGGATTTTCACAAAGCAAACTTTGGTACTTAGTAAGTCTAGCATTCGTTAGCCAATGATGTCCTCTAGTATTCATTAAAGTCACCACAGCATGGGGGTCCTTTATGTTCAGGTTTTGCCCAAGAATCAGCTTATCTGCTTCTTGTACTAGCAGGGCAGTTGCTGCCAAGGCCCTCAAACACGGGGGCCATCCTTTAGAAACCCCGTCTAGTTGTTTAGAGAGGTAGGCCACCGGCCTCAGCCAGGGCCCCACAGTTTGGGTTAAAACTCCAACTGCCATCTTTTCACTCTCTGACACATACAATGTAAAAGGCTTTGTCAGATCAGGTAGCCCCAGGGCTGGGACTGACATAAGTCTTTCCTTTAACTCATGAAAGGCTTGCTGTTGCTGGGATCCCCATTCAAAAGGTTCCTGGTCCCCCGCCTTTGTGACCTCATACAAAGGCTTAGCTAATACTGCAAAGTTTGGGATCCACAGTCTGCAAAAACCCACAGCCCCTAAGAATTCTCTCACCTGCCTTCTGGTCTTAGGCTCCGGTAGATTACAAATGACCTGCTTTCTTTCTGATCCCAGGCTGTGCTCCCCCTGTTGGATAGTAAATCCCAAGTAACATACCTGCTGTCGGCAGATCTGAGCTTTTTTTCTTGGACACCTTATACCCACAGTCCTCCAGGTGCCGGAGTAGAGCATCTGTTCCCTTGGCGCACCCGACTGCCGTGGGGTGTCCCAGCAAAAGGTCATCAACGTACTGGAGCAACACGCAGCCTAGGTCTCTGGTGGGAAACTTCTGGAGGTCTCGAGCCAACGCCTCCCCAAAGATGGTGGGGGAGTTCTTGAACCTTTGGGGAAGCTGGGTCCAAGTGTATTGAGTAGTGACACCTGACTCTGGATCTTCCCACTGAAAGGCAAACAGCTTCTGTCTCTCAGGGGCTAATCTGATGCTAAAGAAAGCATCTTTCAGGTCCAAGCAGGTGAACCAGCTGTCCTCAGCTGGCAGCAACCCCAGCAATGTGTACAGGTTAGGTACTGTTGGATGTAAAGTCACTGTAGCCTGATTAACCAAGCGCAAATCCTGTACCGGCCTGTAGTCCTTGGTCCCAGGCTTGGGAACAGGCAGGAGGGGAGTGTTCCATGGAGACTGACAAGGAACTATAATTCTAAAGGTTCTTAGGCACTTGAGATGGACCTGGATACCTTCAAGAGCTTCTCTGAGGACCGGGTACTGTTTTTGCCTAACCGGCTGGACCCCAGGCTTAACTTCTATAAGCACGGGGGCTTGGTTGACTGCCAACCCTGGAGGGTTGTCTTCCGCCCACACTCTTGGCCACCGCTTAGCCAGAGCTGGTCTTATCTCTTGGCCCGGCTCAGTTAAGAAAAGTCTCCATTCCTCCTCTCGGGGGAGCATAAGGGTCATAATGACTCCTGTTCCGGGTAACTTTAGCAGCAAAGAGCCGTGCTCTGTAAAAGAGATAGTGGCTCTCAGTTTGCTAAGCAAGTCTCTTCCCAACAAGGGCAAGGGACAATCAGGCATGTACAAAAACTGATGAATCACTTTATGTCCTCCTATAGTACAAGTCTGGGGCAAGCAGAAAGCTTGTTTTGCTGAAACTCCCATGGCTCCGATGATGTCAATAGTCTTTTTGGATAAGGGGGCGACTGAGGCAGTTACTACCGAATGTTCAGCACTGGTATCTACAAGAAAATCAATGTCTTTACCCCCAACTGTCATCCTGACCATAGGCTCTTTGGAGGTCCTTGAGCCCAGTCCCCCTCAGTCCAATAACCCTTCTGCCAGGTTGAGCAGGGCCCCTTCCTCCTTGTCTGGAGCCTCCTGCTCCGAGTCACCTTGTTTTCCTTTTAGCTGAGGGCATTTGTTCTTCCAATATCCTATTTCTTTACGATAAGCACACTGATTACACTGCAAGCTCTGACAGCCAGGCTGAGTTTCTTTCCCAGGGCCCCCCTTTTCCCTTGCCTCTTTGGGGGGACCCCTCTAATTGCTGCAGCTAACAGGTCGGCGTTTCGCCGGGCCTGACGTTCATTCTCTATGTGGTTTTCCTTACGGCTTGCTGCATCCCTGTTTACAAACACCTGGTTGGCTATTTCTAATAACTGTGATGTGTTCATCCCTGCAAACCCAGCCTTTTTCTGCAGTTTTCTTCTAATGTCTTCTGTGCTTTGACTAACTAAAGCCATGTTAATCATGCGTTGATTTTCAGGGCTATCGGGATCAAAGGGAGTATACATACAATAAGCCTCACACAGTCTCTCGTAGAATTTTGCTGGACTTTCTTCTTTTCCCTGAATGACCTCAGAGACCTTGTTAATGTTTGTGGCCTTCTGGGCTCTCCTCTTTAATCCTTCTAAGAGAGCTTTCCTGTATCGGTTTAGCCTTTGCATATCCTCTCTTTAATTTGGGTCCCACTGGGGGTCGGTTCCTGGTAACTGTGTCCTTACATACTCTTGGGGGTTTTGGTAATCAGCCAGTGCATGTTCCTCTAGCCACTTAGTTGCTGCTTGAAGCACCCTTCACCTTTCATCTGTTTTAAAGAGGAACATGAGCAACTGGTGGCAATCAGCCCAAGTGGGGTTATGGGTCTGGATAATAGTTTGGAGCAAATCAATTAGAGCTTGCGGCTTTTCAGTATAGGACGGGGTATTGTTTTTCCAGTTGAGAAGGTCGGCAGAGGTGAAGGGCTGGTACACAAAAACACGACTCTCCACCATGTGCCCATCCTCATCTATTCCAGTATACTGCTGCTCTCTCAGGGGCATTTGTATCCCTGTTTTGGGTCTTAAATGAGCTGCCAAGGGAGGGGTTTCTCCCGAGGCTTCACCTCCTCTCTTGTCTACTCTGAGTGGCCTAGGGATACATTTGTCTGGCAGAGGCGCAAGCACTGTGGACTCAAAAGTGGGGAGCCTCTCTCCCTGATAAGGGGAGGGCAACACTGGGATCACTGGTGCCATCTCCTGCAATGGATCTTCTGATGTTTGGTCGAACAGAACTTCAGGAGTTGATTTCCCTCAGCGGGTGGAGCAGAATCCTTCCTTGACTATCTGTCCCTTTGCTACTAGCACTGCTGCTGCCTGCCCTCTTAGCCACTGTGGGGGGTCTAGCACCAGCTGTAACCAAGTGTCTATGTATGGAAACTGGTCTGAGTGTCCTGACTTACTAGTTACCTTGTGCCATACCTTAGAAACAAGGGACCTGTCCAGGCTTCCTTCTGATGGCCAACCCACTTCTAATGTTGGCCAATCTATTTCACACAAAGTTCTAAGTTTCCCTGGTGTCATAGTAACCCCATAGTCTCCATTAAATCCCTTCTTAAAATTTTTCAACATAGTTCCTAGAGGAGTAGGCTTATTTTGTGTCTGATCCATGTTTCCTCAAGACAAAACACCAAGCTCACACCACATGCACACCACAAAACAAAGAATGGGTAAAAAGTGCACACACACACTTTTTCAGTTTTCACCAAACCAGAATCAAAACCAAAATCAGAGTATCCAGAAATCCAAGCCAGGTCAAACCAAAACCAAAGTATCAAGCAATTCAAGTCAAGTCAAAAACAAAAACCAAAGTGCCAGTACAGGCATGCCGTGGTTGATCAGGCCACGCTTCCACTCAAATGGAGTGGGCAAGTTCCGAAGACCAGTCTTACCAAGTTTCAAATGTCTGGACTCCAAGTGCCTGTTCCTTCCCAGTGTTCAGCCACTGCATTGATCCTCCACAGGGGCCTGCCACGCACTGCTCTGACGAGGCTTTCCACCGGGGTAATTGCCTACCTGGGAGCGCTCTCAGGATCCGCGTCACTCAAGCTGGCCAGAGTCCCCTGCAGGGATGCTCCACAGGGCAGGCCTAAGCCACCTAAGGGGCTGCCTCGACTGTCCTTCAATTACCTTGCTTCCTGGCCAGGGAACCAAGAAATGTAGCAGGACGAGTCACAGACAAAACTCCTCAGACACCAGATTAAAGAAGGAAGAGGTTTTTTATTTGGCCGGGAGCATTGGCAGACTCGTATCTTAAGAGCCGAGCTCCCCAAAAAAGAAATTCCTAGCCCTTTTAAGGGCTTACAACTCTAAGGGGTCTACATGAAAAAGTCATAATAGGTCAAGTAAGCGTGAGAAACATGACTGGGGGCTACCTACATCAGCTAACAGAATAAAAAGTTTTACAGTACTTTCTCATACAATATCTGGAATTTACAGATAACACCAACAGTTTTGGTCAGGGGTTAATAATATTATATTTTAGCCACCAGGGCCAGGTGGTGGTGCCAAGGTCATCTAGCTATTTATCTTACTTCTGTTTCTTTTCAACTTTTTGCTTTCTCCCTTTTCTCCTGTCTTATAAACTGGGGAAAAGGGGAGGTTGGGGAGGAACTGAGAAGGACAACAGGAGAAGTGGTGACCTCATACCATATTTCGATGGCTGTGTCAAACAGTTTAAAGTTATTTGAGAAATCTTCACACTGCTCTTTCCACAGTGGCTGAACTAACTTACACTCCCTTTGCTCTGCATCCTCACCAATACAATACTGTGGTTTTTATTTGCATTTCTCTAATAATTAGCAACGTTTACATTTTTTTAATGTGCTCTTTTGCTGTGTGTATGTCTTCTTTTGAGAAGTGTCTGGTTTTTGTTTTTGTTTTGAGATGGAGTCTTGTTCTGTCACCCAAACTAGCGTGCAGTGGCAGGATCTCAGCTTACTGCAACCTCTACCTCCTGGGCTTAAGCAATTCTCCTGCCTCAGTCTCCCAAGTAGCTGGATTACAGGCGCCCACCACTGTGCCTGGCTAATTTTTGTATTTTTAGTAGAGATGGAGTTTCACCATGTTGGCCAGGCTGGTCTCAAACTCCTGACCTCATGATCCACCTACCTCGGCCTCCCAAAGTGCTAGGATTACAGGCATGAGCCACTGTGCCTGGCTGAGAAGTGTCTATGTCTTTGCTCATTCTTTGATTGGATTGTTTATATTTTGCTTGTTGATTTATTTATGATTCTTTATAGATTCTGGATATTAGATCTTTTTCAGATGCATAGTTTGCAAATATTTTCTCTCATTCTGCAGGTTGTCTGTTTACTTTATTGATAGTTTCTTTCACTGTGTAGAAGCTCTTAAGTTTAATTAGGTCCTGCTTGTCAGTTTCTGTATTTGTTGCAATTGCTTTGGGAGTCATCATCATGAAATCTTTGTCAAGACCTATGTGCGGAATGGTATTTCCTAGGTTTTCTTCAAGGGATTTTACAGTTTTAGATTTTATATTTAAGTCTCCAATCAATGTTAGGTTGATTTTGTACATGGCGAGAGAGAGAGGTCCAGTTTCAAACTTCTGCATATGGCTAGTCCATTATCTCAGCACCATTTATTGAATAAGAAGTTCTTTCCCCATTGATTGTTATTGTCAACTTTGTCAAAGATCAGATAGTTATAAATGGGTGGTTTTATATCTGGGTTCTCTAACCTGGTCCATTGGTCTCTGTGTCTGATTTCTTACCCGTACCACGTTATTTAGATTATTGCAGCCTGTAATGTAGTTTGAAGTTGGGAAGTGTGATGCCTCCAGGTTTGTTCTTTCTGCTTAAGATTATTTCAGCTATTTAGACTCTGTTGATTTTATGTAAATTTTAGAATGAATTCTGGGGATAATATTATTTGTAGTTTGATAGGAATAGCCTTGAATCTGTACATTATTTTGGACAGTATAGCCTTTTTAACAATATTGATTCTTTTTATTCATGAGCATGGAATGTTTTCCATTACTTTGTGCTTTCTCTGATTTCTTTCAGCATTGTTTTGTGATTCTAATTGCAGAGATCTTTCATCCCCCTGACATAATTTTATTTGATATTTTGCATTCACAAATACTAATTTTCTCTATATAATTATGATAATTCAGTTTCTCTATGCAATATTTTACAAATTTTACATTCTACTCATGTTTCCCTTTTCTTTTCTCTTTTTTTCTTTGAGATGGAGTCTAGCCCTGGTGCCAGGCTAGAGTGCCATTCTCCTGCCTCAGCCTCCTGAGTAGCTGGGACTACAGGCATGCACCACCATGCCCAGCTAATTTTTGTATTTTTAGTAGAGACGGGGTTTCACCATGTTGGCCAAAATTGTCTCAATCTCTTGACCCCGTGATCTGCCTACCTCAGCCTCCCAAAGTGCTGGGATTACAGGCCATGGTGCCTGGCCTCAAGCCTCTTTTCTTAATAGGCATTCCATTATGTGCTCCTTCTTGGTTAAGTTGAAAAAGGCTTCTGTTTTAATTCCAAGAGGAAACCATTTTTGCATTTGATAAATTCCACTTATTTTAAGATGATGCTAAATCAGAACGTTTATATTCTCCTTGAATCTTTGAATCATTATAGATAATATTTGCCAATAAATTATGCAATCCTATTTAAATTTTAAATTTTCATATTGCAATATTAAATAAATACGTACAAACATTCTTTAAACAACTAACAAGAGATACAAAAATGTTTTTAAAATATGTGGATTTTTTAAAAAATATATCTGATGTTGAGACAGCATGATAGTTAAAAGCATCTTCAACTCCTGAAACTGCCTCCTACAAGGAGGTGATTTTAGAAATGTCATTTATCCTATTTTCATCTAAGCCCTCTTCATAGGTAAAATCAGAATAATAAACCACTTCATAGAGTTGTTGTAAAAATTGTATGTAACACATTAATATAACACATTAATATAGTAGTTTTATAATGCTATATCTATAAGGTTATCACACTATATATAGTTATAATAATAAAGAAAAGCCAATGGCATTTTCATATTAAAGGTTTTTCCAAGAAAAGCCAGTGAGATCTTTCATATTAAAGTTTTATATTTGATTCAAGTGTATTTCAATGAAATAATATAGGTGAAAATTAAATTACTAAAATAGAAAATGCCTGACAACATGTGAGCTAGATATCAACCACTGGAATTTATTTTGAAAAGCACAAGCCTAATGCAAATAATTTATAAATATATATATGTGTGTTTATGTGTGTGTGTGTGTATATATACACATATATATATAGAGAGAGAATAGAAAAAATCTTAGTGAAAGAAAAGTGGAATTTAAAAACAAAGTTTTAAGTTGGAAACAATGGTATGTGAACAATAGCCCATTTCAGTTGCCACAATAAAACAGACCTTATGTGTCAATGCAGGATATTCTCACTCTGAATGAAAATATTAGTAATTGGAAAATAATGAAAGGCCTCCAGGAATTTGGAAATAGGAATGATCTTCTTTTCTCAGACAACAGTTGGATTATTGAGGAATTTTTTTTTTGCCACTTTGTTATACCGGGTGGATATTAAAGTCCACAGATTTGATTCTCAAGCACCTGGCTATAGCCAACATCTTGGTCATATTCTCCAAAGCAGCTTCACAGACAATGACTTCTTTTAATTTCAAGCATTTCCTCAGTGATATTGCATGCAAACATGTTTTCTATGTTCACAGAGTGGGCAGAGGTGTGTGCTTTGCCACCACCTCCCTCTTGAGTATCTTCCAGCCATCATTGTCAGCCCCATGAACTCCAGGTGGGCACAGTTGAAACTACAAACCCCCAAATATATTGGGTCCCCCAACATCTTGTCCTGGATTGGAAATACACTGATAAATACCATTTTTTCTATGCATGTGATTGGCAAATCGAACAGCAAAAACAATTCAAAGAAAAAAGATTTAAGATACTGTTCTTCATTAGATAATAACAGAATTACCAGCTTACTGTGCACAACATTATCATATTGCATGGTGTTTGTGTGTTAGATACAGTTAGGTTCACTCTTCAAATAGCTTATCCAGTTTCCCCATTCTCTATTCTATAATTCCAAGTATTCCTTACCTCAACTGTGCACCAACTTACCTAACTATGCCTAGACATGAATGAAATTGTTGCAACCCAAGTCCCAGTCTGCATTATTTTCCTTTTTAGAGAATAGGTTGCTTTCCTAGTTCCCACATAATGGACCCCATTCTCTCTCTCTTAACTCCCTTATGTGACTAACTTATCTAAAAAATTTGAAGTATTTAGCCAGTTGGGACTAGTTGAGACTGTGCGGTCCAACCCTAACCGATAGAGGAAAGACACAGAAGTAGAAGCTGCATTAGAGATAATAGAAACTCGCACTTCCTTTGTTTTGTGTGCCCTTGCCATTGCTTAATTTACGAGGTGCACCCTTTTATAGAAGTAAATTTGCCTTGCTGAGTGCTATTTCTTGTGGAGCACCGAAAATCTGTTTGTAACATGTGTTTGAGACTCATAATCTGGACCAGTGGCTCCAAGATTTTTATTCTGTACAAGTGGCCAATGAGCACATGAAAAGATGCACAACATCTTTATTCACTAGAAAGATGTAAGTCAAAACCACAGTGATATATCACTTCATACCTATGGGTACAGGTATATTTCAGAAGACAGATCAGTGTGGGTGAAGATGTGGAAAAATTGAAACCCTCATAGAGTGCAAAATTAGGCAGCAGTTTTGGAAAACACTTTGGCAGTTCTTCCTGAGGTTAACATAGAGTTACTACATGTCTTAGCAATTCCACTTCTGAGTATATACTCAACTGAAATCAAAATAGGTCCACACAAAAACATGTATATGCGTGTCCATAGAAACATTATTTGTTATGGCCAAAAGGTGAGAGCAGTGCAAATAGTCCATGGAGGACTAGATAGACAAATGTGATGTAGTATACAAGGCAATAGTATTCCGCCAGAAAAAGGAATGATGTGCCAATATGGGACACAACATGGATACATATTAAAGACATTATGCTTGATGGAAAAAGCTATCCAAAAAGGGTCATGTACTTTATGAATCCATTTGTATAAAATTCCCAAAATAGGCAAATCCTTTGAAACAGAAAGTGGATTAATGGTTGCCAGAGGCTGCTAGGGAAAATAGAAAGTGGCTGAATGATGGGTGTGGAGATTTTTTTTTGTTAATTATACAGTTCTAAAATTACACAGTGGTAATGATTGTAAAGCATTGCAAATACACAAAAAGATACTGAAGTGTAAACCTGAAAATAATTAATATATTGAATTTGATGTTATGTGAATTTTATCTCGATAAACATAATTTTATAAACAAACTTCAAGCCACTGTTGCCAATGATAAAGACTAGATAATATGCTCTAAATGCAGCAGAAAAACACTGAAACACTAAGTTAGCTGAAAGGAAAATTGAAACTAAAATGAAAACAGAGTCCACAAAGTTCTACTGAAGCTTTAGTCACCTAGATATTCAAATAAAAACACCCAGGTTCAACTGTGTAACCCTCTGTCATAGAAGTCTGGGTGCTTTTGGTAGATAAATCCATTGGGCATATCAGTGTGACATAAAAAGTGCTTAAAACGTAGTTTTTTTAAAAAATTATAAATTCGTGACACTCATAAAGATAGGAACACATATTAAAATATTTATTTAACATCTGAGGAATCAGCCGATATGATAACCAGTGCAAAAAAGAGTCAAATGGCCAGGCTCACACCTGTAATCACAAAACTTTCAGAGGCCCAAGTGGGCAGATCACGAGATCAGGAGTTCAAGACCACCCTGACCAATATGGTGAAACCTGGTCTCTACTAAAATTACAAAAATTAGCTGAGCATGGTGGCTGTAATCCCAGCTACTCAGGAGACTGAGCCTGTAATCCCAGCTACTCACGCCTGTAATCCCAGCTACTCAGGAGACTGAGCCAGGAGAATCTCTTGAAGTCAGGATGCAGAGGTTGGACTGAGCTGAACTCATGCCACGTCACTCCAGCCTGGGCGACAGAGTGACACTCTGTCTAAAAACAAAACAAACAAACAAAGCAAAAAAATAGCCAGGCACGGTGGCTCATGCCTGTAATGTCAGCACTTTGTGAGGCCGAGGCCGGTGGATTACCTGAGGTTCAGAGTTCAAGACCAGCCTACCCAGCTACTTAGGCGGCTGAGGCAGGAGAATCATTTGGACCTGGGAGGCGGATGTTGTGGTGAGCCGAGATCGTGCAATTGCACTCCAGCCTGGGCAACAAGAGCAAAACTCGGTCTCAAAAAAAAAAAAAAAAAAAAAAAAGAGGCCAGGAGCGGTGGCTCATGCCTCTAATCCAAACACTTGGGAGGCTGAGGCGGGCAGATCACCAGGTCAGGATATCAAGACCAGCCTGGCCAACATGGTGAAACCCCATCTATACTGAAAATACAAAAACATTAGCTGGGCGTGGCTGCGCACGCCTGTAGTCCCAGCTGCTCGAGAGGCTTAGGCGGGAGAATTGGTAGAACCTGGCAGGTGGAGCGTGCAGTGAGCCAAGATAGCGCCACTGCACTCCAGCCTGGGTGACAGAGAGAGACTTCTTCTCAAAAAAAAAAAAAAAGAAAAAAAATGCAGATTCACCTTCTTAGCAAGAGCAGAGCTGCAGTTCTCCATGATATGTTTGGACACCTCTTGTGGGAGATCTGCTGTGCCCAGTGCCTGGACTCTTCCATGCTTATGTTTCTTGCTGCCACTCTTGAGTACCTGATGCCCCATATCCTGGAGCTGGTGACCAATGAAGCTCATAATAGCCACAGAAGGTACAGTTATATTATCATCTATATTACATATGATTATCTATGTGTGTATTATATATATACATATATTCTATATATTATATAAAATGTATATATATGTTTTGGACAAAGACATATTCAAACAATAGTTAATAGTTTTTAAATATTCAGAATCAAAATTATTTATAAATATATTTTATTACAAACACAATTATTCATCTTATTCTTAGCCAAAACACCTGATCTGTCTAATAAGCACATATTTCACAGAGCTACATAGAGTTATCAATGGCTAAATACATTTTATAGGGAAAAGTATACTCTATAGAAATTCTGCCTTAATTGAAGAACTCAAAGCCCCAAATGTTATAAACACTTTTATGGCTGCATTAAGTTAAAAATAAGTGTTCCATCAAGTGTTGGGTCAATCTAACTCCTTTCTCCTGAGTATCAACATTTGAAGTTTTCACCTATTCACCAAAGACTCAAAGGCCACCCTCTGGTATCTCTGGCCTTTTCATAGACAGATGGTAAGAAGCTGCCCAGCTCATTTCAAGTTCAAGGTCAGATGGTTTCTTCTAGAAGTTCCAGTTTACTGTGTACCAGCCATGTGATTCTGTATATTCATTTATTCTCTCTAAGCAGCCGTCTCCATCTGTGTAAAATCAGGATGATGAATTTCTCTATCTTTGGGTTATCCCAAATAAGAAGTCAATTTGAGCTTAAGTTTAAGCTTAATGCAATGCTTGGCACCACAAGGCATGACACAGGATGCTAAACTGGGCACCTGTATTTTACAAAACTAGAAAACTTTGAGTTTCTTCCCTCTCCTGCATTTTCACATGTATTTGGTTTAATCTCTAAATCTGTTGAAGTTGAATAGATGTGTAGACAGGGATTGAGATTAATAATCTCATTTACAAAAACATAAAAAAGAATGAAATACGTAGAAATAAATTTATTGAAAGAGGTAAAAGATCTATACACTAAAAACTCTAAAACATTAAATAAATTGAAGGAACTAAAAAATTGAAAGATACACCATGCTTATGAATTGAAAGAATTAATATTGTAAAAATGTCCATACTACCCAAAGTGATCTACAGATTAAATGCAATCCTTATAAAAATTCCAATTATATTTTTCTCAGAATTTAAAAAGTAATTATCAAATCTCTATCAATTCATGAAAGACCCAGAATAGCCTAAGCAATATTGAGGAAAAACAACAAAGCTGGAGGCATCATACTACCTGGTTTCTGAATATATTACAAAGCTACAGTAAGGCCAGGTGCAGTGGCTCACACCTGTGATCCCAGCACTTTGGGAGGCCAAGGTGGGTTGCTTGAGTCCAGGAGTTCTAGACCAGCCTTGGCACCATAGCAAAACACCATCTCTACAAAAAATAGAAAAATTAGCAGAGTTTAATGGCACAAACCCATAGTCTCAGCTACTTGAGATGCGGAGGTGAGAGGATTCCTAGATCCTGTGAAGTTGAGGCTGCAGTGAGCCACGATGAAGCAACTGCACTCCACCCTGGGCAACAGACTGAAACCTGTCTCAAAAAAAAGCTACAGTAAGCAAATAGCATGGTACTGGATAAAAATAAACACACACAAATGAAGCATAATACCAAGTCAAGAAATAAATGTATCTACTTCATTTCTGGTAATGAAGGAACAATGTTTTCACCAGCAGGCTTCACCTTTCAGTGTTCTATCAATGAATATTTATCGGTAGATTATTTTTAATCTAACTTCAAGCATTCTGTAGCAGGCCAGATGAGGGCAGATCAGATGAATGTTAACATGAAAATTTTGTGGATTTATAGTTAATGAGTAATCATTTATGAAAGACTTACCCTATATTTCTGCAGTTGAATTATTTGCAGTTGGTCTAGTGGTGAGCACAGTCAATAAGAAACAGATAAATAAATAAATAAATGTATAATAAGAAACTAAATCAGTAGCCTGAAGAAAAAGTAGAGTTCTATTTGAAACAATAAAGAAAGAGAGAGAATGCTTACTGATCTTTTTTTTAAAATCTGTGATGGTCAATCAATATTTCTCTCTCAGAAGGCAAAAAAAAAAAAAAAAGGTAGCCAGGAGACAGGATTAATTTGTATCTCCTGCTTGGATGGACAGAACAGCATGTGGAGACTCTCATCATGAACTTTTACTCCAAGAACTACCATAGGAACATACCAGGAAAACCAAAAGAATGCACAGACTCTTTGAAAGAAGTGGCTTGCCACTGCAACCTCTGCGAGACAACTGAAAAACAGCAAGTGCCAAAAGTGTAAGAGAAGGAACATTCACCTCTAAACACACATACTCAAAACCTGAAAATCCAGATTACCAGAGAAGGATTTAGCCTTACCTAGGGCCGAAATGAATTTAGAGAGCCAAGCAAAATATAAAAGCAGAAGCAGTGGGAAGAGCCCCATAGGCACTCTTGATCCTCAGGGAAGCCATTTCTGACTTTATCTCACAGGGGTCCTTGGGAAGGGCTGCCAGTGGAATTGGGGAAGGGCTACAGGGAGAAGAAAACTTCCAGCTAAACCCTGTAAGAATTTTGACCTAGTGTCAATGTTCCTTGGCAGAATCGATGAGGGGACAGTGAATGAGAAGCACAGATACGGGCACAAAAGCCATGGCAGGTGGTGAGGGGTGGCGCCTGAAAGCCCAGGTTGCTTTCTCAATGGGGAGGCTTATAGCCTGGGGCAAGATCTCAGTACTGCTCACGGACTGGATATAAACTTGGTGCTGTTTGTGGGGTAGGGTGTGAATGAAACTGGCCTTGCTGGCTTCATGGGAGCTGAGTGAGGCCTGTCACTGCTGGCTTTCCTTCACTTCCATCCTGACCTGTATGATACAGCAGAGGCAGCCATAATCCCCCTGGGAACATAACTCCATTGGCCTGAGATCCATACTCCCAACCCCACAGCAGCTGCAGCAAGCCCCACCCAAGGAGGGTCTGAGCTCAGACAGGTCTAACCTTGTCCTCGCCTGATGCCCTTACTCTACCCATGCTGGTAGCTGAAGACAAAAAACATACTCTCTTGGGAGCTCTATGTTCCCACCCATTGCCTGAGAAACCTGAATACTTATCCAGGTGACCCAATGGCAAGCTTGCCTACACCCTATACTACCACAACTGATGCCGTATTGAAAATCCCACCTCTAGGTTGGAGGCCAACCAACTCAAGCCATTACATCAACTCATCAAAGAACCCCAACCAGGTGGTGTGGCTCACACCTGTAATCCCAGCATTTTGGGAGGCTGAGATGGGTGGATCACCTGAGGTCAGGAGTTCCAGACCCCCCTGACCAACATAGAGAAACCACATCCAGTTTCTACTAAAAATACAAAATTAGACAGGCTTGGTGGTGCATGCCTGTAATCCCAGCTACCTGGGAGGCTGAGGCAGGAGAATCCCTTGAACCTGGGAGGCAGAGATTGCGGGGAGCCAAGATCGCATGATTGCACTCCAGCCTGGGCAACAAGAGCATAACTCCATCTCAAAAAAAAAAAAAAAAAAAAAGAACAACCTCACTCCAATAAAGGAGAAAACAACAGCTAATTCCATCACCTGTAACATCCTGGCTAACCAGAAGTCCTCAGTCTTTCATGTGACAACTTCACTGCTAGAACAACCAGCATCCAAAAAAAGAAAAAAAAAAACCAGTGCACTAAACAGAACTACAACCAACCACCCTCACAGAGTCCACTTTACTCCCCTGCTACCTCTACCAGAGCAGGTGGTAGAATCCATGGCTGAGAAACCTGAAGACAGATCACATCACAGGACTCTTTGCAGACACTCCCCAGTACCAGCCCAGAGCCCAGTAGCTCCACTGGGTGGTTAAACCCAGAAGATCAATAACAATTCCTGGCTCTCAGGAAGCCCCATCCCAAGGGAAAAGGGGAGACTATCATGTCAAGGGATCACCCCATGAAACAAAATAATCTGAACAGCAGCCTAGAGCCTCAGCTCTTTCCTCTGACATAGAAAACCCAAATGAGAAGGAACCAAAAAAACAATTTTGGTAACATAACAAAGGAAAAATTTTTTAACACCTTGGAAAGACCACACTAGCTCCCTAGCAATGGATGCAAACCAAGAAGAAATCTCTGAATTGCAGAAAAAAGAATTCATAAGGTCCATTATTAAGCCACTTAAAGAGGCACTGGAGAAAGATAAATACTAACTGAAAGAATTTTTTTTTTAAAATACAGGATATGGGTGAAAAAAATTACCAGAGAAATAGATAGCATAAATAAAAAAAAATCACAACTTCTGGAAATGAAAGGCACACTTAGAGAAATGCAAAACATAGTAGAAAATTACAAAAATAGATCCAAACAAGTAAAAGAAAGAACTTCAGAGCTCAAAGACAAGGCTTTTGAATTAACCCAATCTAATGAAGACAAAAAAGAATTTAAAAAATGAACCAAACCTCCAAGAAGCTTGGAATTATGTAAAAAACCAAACCTAAGAATAATTGGTGTCCCCAGGGAAGAAGTGAAATCTAAAAGTTTGGAAAACTTATTTGAGGAAATAACTGAGAAAAACTTTCCTGGCCTTACTAGAGATCTAGACATCCAAATACAAGAAGTTCAAAGAACTCCAAGGAAATTCATCACAAGAAGATCATCACCTAGGCACACAGTCATCAGGTTATCTGAAGTCAATATACAGGAAAGATTTTTAAGAGCTGTGAGAAAAAAGCATCAGGTAACCTATAAAGAAAAACATATCAGATTACCAGCAGATTTCTCAACAGAATCCCTACAAGCTAGAAGGGATTGGGGTCCTATGTTTAGCCTCCTTAAACAAGACAAGCATCAGCCCAAATTTTGTATTCAGTGAAAATAAGCTTCATAAATGAAGAAAGATACGGTCTTTTCCAGACAAACAAATGCTTAGAGAATTCACCACTACCAAGCCACCACTGTAAGAACTGCTAAAAAGTGTTCTAAATCTTGAAACAAAACCTCAAAATACACTGAAATAGAACCTCCTTAAGGCATAAATCTCACAAGGCCTATAAAACAATAACACAATATAAGAGGTATTCAGGAAACTACTGGCACAATGAATAGAACAGTCCTTCACACCTCAATACTAATGTTGAATGTAAATGGCCTAAATGCTCCACTTAAAACATACACAATAGCAGAATAGATAAGAGTTTACCAATAAAATATCTGCTGTCTTCCAGAGACTCACCCAACACATAAGGACTAACATAAACTTAAGGTAAAGGATTGGAAAAAGATATTCCATGTAAACGTACCCTGATACCCTGAAAGCAAGCAGTAGTAGCCATTCTTACATCAGACAAACAAGCTTTAAAGCAAAAACAGGTAAAAAATAAAAAACACAAAGAGGGACATTATATAATGATAAAAAAGGACTAGTCCAATAGGAAAATATCATAATCCTAAATATATATGCACCTAACATTGGAGCTCCCAAATTCATGAAACAATTACTACTAGATCTAAGAAAAGGGATAAATGGCAACACAATAATAATGGGGAACTTCAATACTCTACTGACAGCACTAGACAAGTCATCAAGACAAAGTCAACAATAACAACAAAAAAGGGAATGGACTTAAACTATAACCTAGAACAAATGGACTTGACAAATATTTACAGAACATTCCACACAACAACTGCAGAATATACATTTTATTCATCAGCACATGGAACATTCTCCAAGATAGACACATGATAGGTCACAAAACAAGTCGCAATAAATTTAAGACAATCAAAATTATATCAACTACTCTCTCAGACTGCAGTGGAATAAAATTCAAAATCAACTCTAAATGAACCATCAAAACAATGCAAATACATGGAAATTAAATAAATTGTAGAAATTAAATAAATACATGGAAATTAAATAAATAATTAAATTTAAGATCAACCTGGTTCTGAATGATCTTTGGATGAAATCAAGATTTAAATTTAAAAATTCTTTGAACTGAACAATAATAATGGCACAACCTATCAAAACGTCTGGGATACAGCAGAAGTGGTGCTGAAAGGAAAGTTCATAGCATCAAGTTCTTCCATCAAAAAGTCTGAAAGAGCATAGGTTGACAATGTAAGATAACACCTCAAGGAACTAGAGGCACAAGAACAAGCCAAGCCCAAACCCAGCAGTAGAAAAGAAATATCAAAGATCAGAGCAGAACTAAATGAAACTGAAACAACAACAACAACGAAAATCCAAATGATAAATGAAATGAAAAGCTGGCTCTTAGAAAAGATAAACAAAATTGATAGACCATTAACAGCATTAACCAAGAAGAGAGAAGATCCAAATAAGCTCAATTAGAAATGAAACAGAAGATATTGCAACCGCTGCCACAGAAATACAAAAGATCATTTAGGGATACTGTGAACACCTTTATGTGCACAAATTAGAAAATGTAAAGGAGATGAATAAATTCCTGCAAATGTACAATCCTCCTAGATTAAAAAAAAAACAACTCTGAACAGACTAATAACAAGAAGCAAGATTGAAATAATAATTTAAAAAATTGCCAACCAAAAAAAAAATGTTCAGAACCAGGTGGATTCACAGCTGAATTCTACTAGCCTTTCAAAGAAAAATTGGTGGGGGTAAGGGAGGAGACCACCCCTCATATTGTCTTATGCCCAATTTCTGCCTCCAAAGAAAGAAAAAGTAAAAACTAAAAGGCAGAAATGAAATCCACAAGCAGACAGCCCAGCGCCACACCCTGGGCCTGGTAGTTAAAGATCGACCCCTGACCTAATTGGTTATGTTATCCATACATTACAGACATTGTATAGAAAAGCACTGTGAAAATCCCTATCCTGTTATGTTCCATTCTAATTACCAGTGTATGCAGCCCCCAGTCATGTACCCCCTGCTTGCTCAATCGATCATGACCCTCTCACGCAGACCCCCTTAGAGTTGTGAGCCCTTAAAAGGGACTAGAATTGCTCACTCGGGGAGCTCAGCTCTTGAGACAGGAGTCTTACCGATGTCCCCAGCCGAATAAACCCCTTCCTTCTTTAATTTGGTGTCTGAGGAGTTTTGTCTGTGGCTCATCCTGCTACAGGGGCAGGGCCAAGATGGCTGATTAGAAGCGGCATCCCATAGAAAAGAACCATAACAGTGTGTGAATGCTGTACCATAACCTGAGGTATCCATGTTCTTTCATCAGAACTGACTAGGTGGCTGGCGTGATCCATGGAGAGGAAGGAAGAGCAGTGTGGTGTGGCAGCCCACCTGACACCCACATGGGCCTGGGGAGCCCCCACCCCACAGCCAAGGGATGCAGTGAGTGAGCATGCTACCCAGCCTGGGAAACTGCTTTTTCCATGGAACTATGCAACCCACGGATTAGAAGATTCCACTCATGAACCCACACCACTGGAACCTAAGGTCCCAACTGTTGGAAGCAAGAGCTCAGAGTCGCAAAGAACATGGGCACTGAAACAAGGAATTTCTCAGCAAGGCAAGGCACATTTACTTCTGCAGAAGGGTGCCAGTCATGTCTCTGGCTGTTTTGAGAGCACAGCATACAAGAGAGGGAAGGAGTTTTTATCCCTAACACAGTCCCTACTTCTGTGTGCTGCCCCCATTGGCTGGAGTCAGACCACACAATCTAAGCTAACTCGATGGCTATTTTAAATCGAGACTGGCAGGAAGGTTGTTTACAGAGCAGGTAACTAGGAGTGAGGAGGACTTCTTCCAAATAAGGAAGAGATGTGGGTTACGGATTGCGACTGGGGAGAAGAGATGTTTACAGAGCAGGTAGCTAGGAGCGGGAAGGTATAAGGAAGTTGATTTTGAGAACAAACAACAAGGAAGTTACCCTTTGAAGAGGAACTTATTATGCCTGACACAACCCTGGAGCTGAGCAGATTATGAACAGCCTGTCAGGTAGAATCTGCTTAAGCCTGCCGAGTTCCCACGGTGGGGGAGACCAGCACCACCGTTGCAGTTGGCTGCTGTCTAAGCTGTTTGAGCTCCTTGAGGGAGGGACAGCAGCCAGCACTGGGACTCGAAACTGCCTAACAGGCTAAGATCCCTGGATGGGGAAAGGGAAGCAGCCATCTCTATAGCTCCTGGCCTCACTTTTCCTCTGCTAGATCCAGGAAAACTGGACAGCTTGGTCTCAAGAGGTGTCCCCCACAGCCCAACACATGGGCTGTGGCAGACTGTGGCCAGAATGTCTCTTCAGGCCTGACGCTGACCCATCTCTCCTCACTGGTCAGGGCCTCCCTGCAGGAACTCCAACATCTCCAGCCAGGGGCTCAGGGACATAACTCTGATCTCCCTGGGCCTGAGCCCCTAGGGGGAGGGGTGGCTGCAGTCTCTGTGGACCAGCAGACTTAGCCTTTCCTCCTGCTAGTTCTGAGGAATTTGAGCAGCCCAGATGAGTGGGTTTCCCCCCAGCAAAACACCCCCCTCCACCAAGGAACAGTCAAAGTGCTTCATTAAATGGGTTCTGCTCCCCATGCCACCCAACTGGTGACACTTCAACAGGGGTTGTCAGACACCCTATACAGGAGCCATCTTAATGGCATCAGGTTGGTGCCTCTTGAGATCAGAGATCACAGAGGAAGGAGCAGACTCTGCTTTTCTCCAACCTCCTTGAGTGACATCTCCAGGCATGGGAGTGAACCAGATTAATAGGGCCTGAAGTGAACCCCCCTCAAACTGCAGAAGCCCTACAGAAGATGTACCTGACCATTGAAAGAAAAACAAACAAACAGAAAGGAACAACAGCATCAACAACAAAAAAGTACCCACAAAAACCTCATCCAAGGCCAGGCATGGTGGCTCACACCTGTAAAAAGGTTAACGTGTTTTTGTGATTGGCTATTGTTTTTCAGTAACTAACGTATAGGAATAGATTGAAACAGAAATTTCTCTGAAACAGCGCCGGATGAATGCCTAAAGGGGCTCACACAACCTGCTCTGAGACTTGGTGACCATTATTTTTGTCCACGTTCAATTGAGTTCAAATTTAATATTTAACTTTTCCAGTACATTCGGCCTCAATTGGATATTCAATTGTATTAAAATACCCTTACGGATACATCGGGAAGGCATAGTTGATATATATTACAGATACAGGGTAAGCACAGGAGAATTAAAGGCACAATTAATAAAAATTAAACCCCACATGGCGTTGCAAGCAGAGTAATATTGTGAGACTTGCCAGGAATATACACACAACATTTAGTATGCAGTAAGGCGCAAACCCCTCCTTGGGCTGTGGTAAGCATATCTAATGCCATTTGATTTTGCAACACAACAATACGCAGCTGAGCAAATTCATCTGATAACAACATAAGCCCAGTGCTACTATCATTAAGAGCTTTTTCTACATGTAAGCTAAATATTATAATTTGTTGGTGAAGCAAGATTGTACCAGTGGCAGGGGAGAATACTGTGATAGGGTACCACCACCAGGGAGTCCAGCACATTTGTAACCAGCGATGTTTGTAAGCATCTAGATTACTGGGGAGGGGAATATTATCCTGGATGGTGAATAGAATTAATGGTCACCCCCAAGTGCATCTCCCCATCCAAAGTGGGGGCAGTATCACCACCGATAGGATCTGCATACCCAGAGGGCCCCCCAGGGGACAGCAATGGAGCTACTGTAATCATAGTGTACTAATCTCTTATTAAAATAGGAAAGAGATTGTTGTTCATTGGGTGCAATGTTGTTGATTTGGAGTATGTGTTGACAATTGAGTGGAGAAACCCCAGAGTAACATTAGAGGAGCCATTTAAGGCCTCTAGACAAAGCAGGGGCTATATGGAATCCAGCCACCAGCACAGAAGGTTCGTAGTATATACCATTCCAGGAACATTGGGCAGAATACCAAGGCTTTCAATGCAAGGTGAGGGTGGAGTTCATCTTTTGTCTGACTTGGCAAAGATTGATTTTTTAGTGTGGTCAAATGAAGTCCAGGTTGGATTGCAAGTGCTGTTGTTGCAGCCCCATTGGTAACAACATAGCCATTCAGAAATGTTGTCAGGGATGATTCTCCAAGGTAGACCATTTTTGGCGGCCTCTAGCAACTCCACGTATAGCCAACATTGATTGCAGTTGGCTTCTGTTGCAGCAGTGGCTAAAAAGTTGATGAATTTATTCTTGGCCTCAGACACAAAGACACAGGTGCTGACCATTAGTAGATAGGTTATTCCCTGTAATAACAAAAACAGAGGGGAACATCATATTGTTTTTCATCTTTAGGAAATTGTACTATGCCTTCATTTTCTGCTTTCATAGCTACAAGGTCACCAGCCTTAGGGTTGGGATCTGATGGACGCTGTACCCATATTTTGGCTCCAGGATTTAAGCTTCCTGTACCAGGGGATCTGAATCCCCAAGTTCTGTATGTAGCCTCTGTTGGGCAAAGATTTCCTCAGGGGTTAATTGTGGACAAGGTACCACTAACAATTGAGCAACCAGCATCTGTGGTTTTATAGCAAAAGAATCTGGAGAGGTATTGTATAAAATGTCCTTTAACTCTCCCCGGTAATCACTATCAATTATTCCACCATACATTATTATGCTTCTCATTGCAAGGCTTGAACATGTTGTAATCCATTTACCCACATTCAAGATCACAGTTATGGTGGAAATTTTTGCCTGTTGATCTTCCTGCTGATTAAATAGTCTGTCAAGAGGAAGCAGAGACACACTAGCATCAACATGGAAAACAGGGCCAGGCACAGTGACTCACACCTGTAATCCCAGCATTTTGGGAGGCTGAGGTGGGCAGATCACAAGGTCAAGAGATTGGGACCATCCTGGCCAACATGGCAAAACCCCGTCTCTAAAATTACAAAAATAAACTGAGCATGGTGGCTCATACCTCTAATCCCAGCACTTTGGGAGGCCAAGGCCTGCTGATCAGGAGGTCAAGAGATGGAGACCATCCTGTTTAACATGGTGAAACCTCATCTCTACTAAAAATACAAAAATTAGCTGGGTATGGTGGTGTGTGCCTGTAGTCCCAGCTACTCGGGAGGCTGAGGCAGGAGAATTGCTTGAACCTGGGACATGAAGGTTGTGGTGAACCCAGATTGTGCCACTGCACTCCAGCCTAATGAAAGAGTGAGACTGCATCTAAAAAATGAATAAATAAAAAATAATACAAAATTAGCTGGGCGTGGCAGCCTGTGCCTGTAATCCAAGCTACTTGGGAGGCAGAGGCCAGAAGAATCACTTGAACCGTGGAGATGGAGGTGGCAGTGAGCTGAGATTGCACCACTGCACTTCAATTTGGTGACAGGGCTGGATTCCATCTCAAAAACAAAAAACAACAACAAAAAAACATGGAACACAGTGACGATGGGAGTATGCACCAGGATTCAGATACCTTACCAATATTGTTTTCCCCAAACCTCTTTATTCCGCATTAACCATTTGTTTCATTGCCACTTGGGCACCCAGGTAGTAAGACCATTTGCTACTGACAAAGAGTTGATATAAAAGTAACAAATCCCTCTGGCCTCCTCCTGAATAGCTCGGAGAAACGACTACTAGTTCAGCTAACTGGCTGCTCCCACCCCTTCCTTCATCAGAAATGCTTATGTTTTTAACAGGATTATAAGCCACAGCCCTCCAGCATTGGGTCCCACCAAAGTATTTGGTGGATCCATCAGTAAACCAAGCATGTTTCTGATCCTCTGGGCTTAGTTCTTTAAAGGATTTGCCCCATTTGATGTGTGTGTGTGGGGGGTGTTTCTTTCCCTATCTGCAGGACTTGCTTGGTTGTTTCCTGAGCTCGCAGGTTTTCCACATCCTCATGTAAAAGTGATAGCCCCTATGATTTTGGCTTAGCCTGGTTTTGTATGTCCCATTTCCATTTTATGATGCTACTTTCTGGGCATGCCCTATCTGGTGGGTTTTGGGGGAACTCATGACCAAAGTCATAATAGAAATTTCAGGCCTCATAAAGACATCGTGGTTGAAGCAGAGGTGTTCCATTTCCAGCAAAGCTCAATAGCAAGCTAACAATTGCTTCTCAAAAGAGGAATAAGCTTTTCCAGCCTCTGGCAGTTTCTGGGTCCAAAACATGAAAAGTACCCTCTTTCCATCTTGTTTCTGCCTAAGGCTCCAATTAGCATGTTGATCTACGACAGTTACTCGCAGTTCATCAGGCCCATCCCATATAGGCCATAGATCCAGGGCCAGTTGCACTGCTTGTTTAGCTTGTTCAAAAGCCATGCTGTCTTTCTCTCCACAGTGAGAGTCATACCTTTTTCTAGTGGCTGCATTCAGATGTTGTAAAATGTTACCCAAGTAAGGAATATGATGTGTTCAGAATCCAAACAAGTCAATACATTTCTGGGCCTCCTTCTTAGTGGTAGGGGTTGCAAATTATAGTATTTTAGCCTTAGCCTTTGGTGAAGTGGACTGTTTCTTTGCATTCCATAGGATGCCAAAGAATTTTACACTTTGTGCGGATCCTTAATTTTACTAGGCTTAATTTCCCATTTTTGAGATAGGAACTGGGTTTTTACATGCTCTAAGCCCCGGCTGACTAGTTCTTCAGTTTTACCCTGATTGGGCCACCTGGACAGCTGCTTTTTTCAGCAATAGGCTGATAGCTTTGAGCCTGATCAGTCAAGACATTGACTGGCATTGGGCCAGGGCCAGTCCGGAAGTCAGATTAGCATTTTCCTTTTCCAGCTTATATTTCTCTTGTAGCAACCAGCCCCTATCTTGACACATTAACTTATAAGCAGCAATCAAACACTATCCACTTTGTGAGATTCCCTCAGCATCTCCTTTGGTGACTGGAATCCCCTGCAGCACTTCACGCACAGTCAAAGGTTTAAATTGCACTAATTTAGATTCCCAATTCCCACAAAGGCCAGTTCCCCTGAACCATTCAATCACAAAGAAGGAGAACTGGGAGTGATCCCATCTCAGGATATGGGAAATCCTTGAGCCTCCAGCCCTATCCTTCTGGTCAAAAAGGGGCCCACTTTTGTTTTCAAATCCTGTTTGTGATGCCAAAAATGTTCTGTATGGGAAACGTGGGAGAGGAGAAGAAAAGACATACATACAATAACTTTAATGGTAAACAAGCTTTAACCCACATCAATATCAATGCAGACAGAATAAACTAATGATATAATAAGCAAATGATATAATAAGCAAATAAATATAATACACAGATTGATATAATAAGCAAATTGCAGTAAGAAGAGGAGATGGGAAAAGATATATATATATATTTACCCTCACTAGACTATGGAGGATTACCAACTGAGTAGGAAGAAACAGCCCAGGCTCCAGAGTCGGCCACCCATTCATGCACAGACAAGGAGTCTCATGAAGCTTCAGGGTGGTCTGGGACCCTAGCTCTTTTGTAACGAGTTGTTTGGCATAAGGCCCAGTGAGGAGGGCCATTTGGGACTTGCCTCACGGAACACAAAAGGGTCAAGTTGTTTTTGTGATTGTCTATTGTTTTTCAACAACTAATGTATAGTAATAGAATGAAATAGACATTTCTTTGATACAGCTCTGGATGAACACCTCAGGGGCTCACAACCAGGACCTGTTCTGGGACTTGGTGACCATTGTGTCCACGTTCAATTGAGTTCAAATTTAACATTTAACTTTTCCTCCATAAATTCTCCTGTCTTCATGAATTGGCTCTGTCTAGGCAAAGGGCAAAATGAACCCCTTGGGCTGTTACATAACCTCCACCTCCTGGGTTCAAGTGATTCTCCTGCCTCAGCCTCCGGAGTAGCTGGGACCACAGATGTGCACCACCATACCCAGCTAATTTTTTACATTGTGAGTAGAGATGGGGTTTCACCATGTTGGCCAGGCTAGTCTTGAACTCCTGACCTCAAGTGATCCACCCACCTTGGCCTCCCAAAGTGTTGGGATTACTGGCATGAGCTACCTGTGCCTGACCCTAAATTATTTCTATCTCTTATAGCAGTTTGAAATTACTTAAAGGTTGTTTCAAGTTGAAAAAATAAGAAGAATGTGGATAAAAATAAAATATAAATAGATAAAAAAATTACAGGGATTACAAAATATATATGTAAATCTGGAGTGGTCAAAAATGACAAATTTGATTTATTTATAAGGTTTTATTAAAATTAGCTTTAATCGTTAATACACTATTACCAAAGTAAAAGCTGATTTTCTCTTGAACAAAAATTTTATGTATTATTAATATGACAGCAAAATACTTCTGTTCACCTTTGAATACATTCAACAAGACAGAGAGTAAAAAAGAGATAAAATGTTCCCATGCTCTGGCATGGACCAGGCTCAGCTCTGGGAGGAAGCCCTGCCTGAAAAGGCTGCAGCTTAGGCTGTCACTCTTTTCTTCACTCCGCCCAGCAGCTGATCACATCTTCTGTCACTCAGTGTCTGAGGGGGCGGGACCTTAAGCATTAGCCAATCAGAGGCGCTGGGCTGGAAACCGTCCAATCAGGCACGCAGCTGGAATGAACAGGACGGCTTCCGGATTTGGCGGGGTCTTTGTCTCTCCCTGCAGCTGGAGCTCCAGGTCGTCTGTTCACTGCTCTCTGTCTTCTTCTCCTAGAGGCCCAGCCTCTGTGGCCCTGTGTCCTGCAGGTATTGGGAGATCCACAGCTAAGACGCCAGGACCCCCTGGAAGCCTAGAAATGGTGAGAGTGCCGGTCCAGCATCCCGAGAGAGGTGAAGTGTCTGTGGCGGGACTCAGGCCTCCCCTCAGTCAGCTCCACAATCTGCACCCCGAATTCTCCTTACCCAGCTCTGCCTCAGTCCCATTCAGCCATAAGATGGCGGCTACGCTGACAGCCTGGCCCCCGGGCGTCCTGTCGCTTCCCCGCGCAGTGACTGTGCCCCTGGCCTGGAGCGCTCTGTGGGCAGCTCTGCACCCGCAGTGCCGTGTCTCTCCCAGATTGTGCAGGGACCACCGGAGGGTCTTCAGGGGAGAATGCTGACTCGCGGTGCGGGTTCATGAATGGGAAGAGCTTTGGTCTGTGGGGTTCACAGTTTCTCTTTTCTGCTATTAAAATTGTATGGGGCCGGGCGCGGTCGTTCAAGCCTGTAATCCCCGCACGTTGGGAGGCCGAGGCGGGCGGATCACTTGAGGTCAGGAGTTGAAGACCAGACTGACCAAAATGGGGAAACCCCTTGTCTACTAAAAATACAAAAATTAGGTGGATATGTTGGCGAATGTCTGTAGTCCCAGCTTCTCGGGAGGCAGAAGTGAGAGAATCGCTTGAACCCGGGAGGCGGAGGTTGCAGTGAGCTGAAATCCTGCCACTGCACTCCAGCCTGGGCGACAGAGCAAGACTCTTGTCTAAAAAAAAAAAAAAAAAAAAAAAATTATGGGAGTCACTGCAAAAATATCAAACAATTTAATCAAAGAGTGATTCAAGAATTGTAGAGCACCCAGCTATAGTTTGTAGTTTGTGGTCCATGGGAGAGGCTTGAAGAAAAGACATTTATAAAATGCATGATGAGGAAAACCAAATTCAATAATTTGTTAGGTTTAGTAATGTAGTTTCTTAATTTGTACAATCAAGGTGGAAATTTCCTGGTTATGTAATTAGAGCTTAATTGGCAGTTTATAGTTGCTGAAGCCTGAATTTTGTTTCCCCTAATGTAGTAATTTGCCAAAAAATGCACTTGAGCTTAGATTTTTTTTTTTTTTTTTTTTTAGAAATAGAAATCCGGGGACTAGAGCCTCTTCAGTCTAATTGCCTGCCACTTAATTATTTTCACATCCCACAGGGGACTGACTTTCCCTGGCATTTTTCACATGTGTCCCAAGCAGGGCCTCAAGTGTCCCCCATGTTCCTCAATTAATTATTATTATTATTATTATTTTTTGAGACGGAGTCTTGCTCTGTCGCCAGGCTAGAGTGCAGTGTCAGATCTTGGCTCACTGCAACCTCCACCTCATGGGTTCAAGCGATTCTCCTGCTTCAGCCTCTCCAGTAGTTGGGACTACAGGCAAGCGCCACCACTCCCAGCTAGTTTTCATATTTTTAGTAGAGATGAGGTTTCACCATGTTTGCCAGGAATGCTAGTTACCAAGGAAAAATATAGGGAAAATCTCTCTTCCATTTTGGCTGTAGACAATGAATATATTTCCACAGGAAAATGTGGTAGATAATTGAGGAGTTACATGGATTCATCAACACATTAGTTCCTCTTTTTGCAGGGTAAATTTTTTCTATATCCTTTTATTTTGATTTCTGAGTTAAATGCTAAATTTTAAGTGATGAAACATGGTACCTTCTAGAAGTGTTCCCATATGACTAATTTTTTACTACATTATTTTATTTATTTACTTATTTTTTTGAAACAGAGTCTCACTCCGTCACCAGGTTGGAGTGCAGTGGCGTGATCTCGGCTCACGCAACCTCTGCCTCCCAGGTTCAAGCAGTTCTCCTGCCTCAGCCTCCCAAGTAGCTGGGATTACAGGTGTGTGTCACCACGTCCAGCCAATTTTTTTGTGTTTTTAGTAGAGACAGGGTTTCACCATGTTGGCCAAAATGTTCTCAATCTTCTGACCTCGTGATCTACCCACCTTGGCCTTCCAAAGTGTTGGGATTAGAGGCGTGAGCCACAGTGCCCGGCCTACTGCATTATTTTTAAGATAAATAATAAAATAATACATACATTGTCTGAAAGAAGTAGATATATATGCTTTTCTTATAGGGGTATAAAATGCAAGCATCTTAGCCAGGTGCAGTGGCTCATGCCTGTAGTTTCAGCACTTTGGGAGGCCTAGACAGGTTGATTACTTGAGGTCAGGAATTTGAGACCAGCCTGCCCAACATGGTGAAACTCATCTCTACTAAAAATACAAAAGTTAGCCAGGTGTGGTGGCATATGCCTGTATTCCCAGCTACTTGGGAGGCTGAGGAACAAGAATGTCTTGAACCCGGGAGGTGGAGGTTGCAGTGAGCCGAGATCATGCCACTGAACTCCAGCCTGGGCCACAGAGTGAGACTTCGTCTCAAAAAAAAAAAAAAAAAAGTAAGAACCTTAAAATTTCCTTCCCTTATGTAAACACTGCGTTTGAGTAATTTCCCTGGATTTTTCAAACACATAGTTTCAAAAACTAAGTGAGTAATTCTGACATGGAAATTAAAGCTTGAACCTAGTGACTCCAAGCTAAGGCTAATAATTAAGCCTGCAACTGGATATTGAAGACTCAGTTAGTTTTTTCTGGGGAGCCTCCCGTGCAGGTGTCCAGCCTGCTCACCCCAGCCATAGAAGGAGCCTTTATCCTGAGAGAAGCTACAGAGCCCTGGAAAGCTGGGGTCCCACAGGCAGATGCAGTTGAGGTTAAGATGAAAGGAAACTGAGAGGGTCTTACTGATGATGCAGTCGTTATGTTTTGTGGCACTTTCTGTACTTTGTAAAATAAAAACATTAGATTTATGTAAAAAAAAAATGAATTCCAAAAAATTATTGCAACAGGAGAAAGTACCAACTAAATATAAGATCTTTATGGCTTGCAAAGATGTAGGCAGAAAAGGGCTTTCTTTTTTAGGGAGAGGTAAACAAGATAAGAAAGGAGGTGGGAGGTGAATGGCAAATGGAGAGTGAAAAAGTCAGATTTTAGATCAGAGGATGTCTTACCCTGAAATCAGCATGTTCTTAGGAGGAATGTAAAATGGGGTTGTATGTTGACTCAGACTGAGGGTAGCTCAAAGTTCAGGAGCCTGAGGGAGGGAAATAAACTTAAGAAAAGTATGATTAAGAAATATTTTATTTTAGTCCGGGCCCAGTGGCTCATGCCTGTGATCTCAACACTTTGGGAGTCTGAGGCAGTCGGATCACCTGAGGACAGGTGTTTGAGACCAGCCTGGCCAACATGATGAAATCCTGTCTCTACTAAAAATACAAAAATTACTGGAAGGCTGAGGTGGGCGGATCACCTGAGGTTGGGAGTTTAAGACCAGCCTGACCAACATGGAGAAATCCCATCACTACAAAAAAAAAAAAAAAATCAACAGGTGTGGTGGTGCATGCCTGTAATCCCATCTACTCGGGAGGCTGAGGCAGGAGAATCGCTTGAACTCGGGAGGTAAATGTTGTACTGAGCTGAGATTGCACCAGTGCACTCCAGCCTGGGCAACGAGAGTGAAACTCTGTCTCAAAAAAAAAAAAAAAACACCAAAACAACAAAAATTCGCCAGGTGTGGTGATGGGCACCTGTAATCCCAGCTACTTGGGAGGCTGAGGCAGGATAATTGCTTGAACCCAGGAGGTGGAGGTTGCTGTTAGCCAAGATCGCATCACTGCACTCCAGCCTGGGTGACAAAGTGAAGAAATTATTTTGAGCACTGAAGACAAATTCAGCTGTTTTTTTAATGAGAAAAAGGAGAAAATGTGCAGAGCGTGTGTCTGCCTGTGTGATAGGTAAGAAAAGAGAGCACTATCTTAGTCATAATGGGAAGAGTGTTTGTTTGCATAAATTGTTCCTGGAGCACACAAAGAATGGAGAATTTTATTAATCACAAACATTTTCCAGTATTATCTATGTGTTTCATCTTTCCCCATTTCTTTTCTTTGTTCTATGCATTTCTCCCATTTGGCTTTTCCTGGGCTGCGTCTCACATATTAAACTGGTAAACATAACTACAGTGTTTTGCTAAGTTCTGTGAGTAGCTCTACCAGATTATTAAAATTCAGAGAGGTTATGGGACTAACAAGTTTTTAAACAGTAGCTCAGAAGCATAGATGGGCCCATGGGGTTTTTGACTGGCATCTGCAGTGAGGACAGTGTTGTAGGACCAAGCCCTGAATCAGGGTCTGTGTTGACTCTGGGTGGTGTCAGAATTCAAATGTTAGACAATAAGTTGGTGTTGGAGAATTGTTTAATGTTCAGCTAACTCTACAGATTTGGTGCCAGAAAAAAGATATCACAGAGGCCTGGCCTGGAATAAAACTAGGTGTTTGGGAATGGGAGCTCTGCTTTCCCATACACAGGCTGTCACACTGCCCATTGTCCTGTGATTCAGGTCTTCTCCCAGGGTGACAGAGGACTGAAAACTTAGAGGACAGGAGCTCTGATTACAGACCCCCTTTTCCCACAGCTGCCACCACAAGATTCCCACCCACTCACAAACACACACACTAGACATTGACACGTCCACACTCCTCCCAGGACTAGGCACCACCCTCAGAAACTTCACCACAGCATTTTTGACCCTAGTGTTTCTTGCCAAGAACCCACAAGTCTCTGCAAGTCTCCTGGCATATCCCCATCCACAGATGCTAAATCTGCAGCAGCAACCAGTTTTCTCCACCAACCTACCATTTTGGATCAGCTGTTCATAATCTCATCTGCCTGCACACAGTAATAAATCAGAGTATGGCTGCATTGGGACCACTATCTGCAGCAAAAATCAGTCCTCTCACCTGCATTGCACTCTCTCCTGCCCAGGGATTTAATTTTTTATTTTAGCTTTTATTTTTGATTCGGGGTACACGTGGGTTTCTTTTACAGGTAAAATTATGTCATGGGGGTTTTGTGTGCAGATTATTTTGTTAACTTACGTACTAAGCATAGCACCAAACAGGTATGTTTTCTGATCCTCTGAGTTCTCCCACCCTCCACCCTCAACTAGGCCTCAGTGTCTGTTGTTCTCCTCTTTGTGTTCGTGTGTTCTTATTATTTAGCTCTTACTTATAAATGATAGTACATTCATTTGGTTTTCTGTTTCTGCATTATTTTATCTTTTTTTTTTTTGGAGACGGAGTTTTACTCTTGTTGCCCAGGCTGGAGTGCAATGGTGTGATGTAGGCTCACCTCAACTTCCACCTCCCGGTTCAAGTGATTCTCCTGCCTCAGCCTCATGAGTAGCTGGGATTACAGGTGCATTCCACCATGCCCAGCTAATTTTGTATTTTTAATAGAGATGGAGTTTCTCCATGTTGGGCAGGCTGGTCTCCAACTCCTAACCTCAAGTGATCAACCCACCTCGGCCTCCCAAAGCGCTGGGATTACAGGTGTGAGCACTGCGCCAGGCCTCTGCATTTGTTTTCTAAGAAAAATAGTGTCCAGCTTCATTGATGTTATTGCAAAGGACGTGATTTTTTTTTAATGGCCACAGAGTATTCCATGATGTTTACGTACCATATTTTGTTTTGACTAAATCTTTTATTTTATTTTATAGTTGGAGACAGAGTCTCACTTATTGCCCAGGCCAGAGTGCCATGGCGTGATATTGGCTTACTTTAACCTCAACCTCCCAGGCTAAAGCAATTCTCTCCTACCTCATCTTCCCAAGAAGCTAGGACTACACCTGGGCGTTACCACACCTGGCCAAATTTTCTTTTTGTATTTTCCGTGGAGACAGGATTTTGCCATGTTGCCCAGGCTGTTCTCAAACTTCTAAGTTCAGGCAGTTCACCTGCCTTGGCCTCCCAAAGTGCTGGAATTACAGGCATGGGCCACCGCTTCTGACCATACCATATTTTCTTTACCCAGTCTACCATTGATAGGCATTTAGGGCCTGTCCTTGTCTTTGCTATTGTGAATAGTGCTGCAGTGAACATGCATGTGGATGTGTCTTTATAATATAATAATTTATATTTCCTTGGGTATATACCCAATTTTGAGATTTCTGGGTCAAATGATAATTCTGTTATTAGTTCTGTGAGGAACCGCCACACTGCTTTTTACAATTGTTAAACTAATTTACACTCCCACCAGAAGAGTATAAGCATTCTGTTTTCTCTGCAACCTTGCCAGCATCTGTTATTTTTTGACTTTTTAAAAATAGCCATTCTGACTGGTGTGAGGTGGTATCTCATTGTGGTTTTTCTTTTAATTTCTCTAGTGATTAGTAATGAGCATTTTTTTCATATGCTTGTTAGCCACATGTATATCTTCTTTTGAAAAGAATCTGTGTTTTTGCCTACAATTTAATGAAGTTGTTTGGTTTTTTCTTTTAAACTTGTATAAGTTTTTAATAAATTCTGGATATTAGACCTTTGTCAGAGGCAAAGTTTGCAAATATTTTCTTTCATTCTGTAGGTTGTCTTTTTCCTCTGTTGATAGTTTCCTTTGCTGTGAAGAAGTTCCATTTGTCAATTTTTGCTTTTGTTGCAATTGCTTTTGGTAGCTTCATCATGAAGTCTTTGCCAGTTTCTGTGTCTAGAATGGTGTTTCTTAGGTTATCGTGCAGATTTTCTTATAATTTTAAGTTTACATTTAAGTGTTTAATTTATCTTGAGTTGATTTTTGTATATGGTGTAATGAAGGGATCTAGTTTCAGTCTTCTACATAGTGCTAGGTAGTTATTTTAGCACCATTTGTTAAATAGAGAATTCTTGCTGCATTCCTCTTGTCAGCTTTGTCAAAAATCTGATGGTTATAGGAGGGTGGCATTATTTCTGGGCTCTCTATTCTGTTGCATTGGTCTTGTGCACTCGTGGATTTTTTATAACATCTTTCTCTCTTCTCCTTTTTCCCCATAAACATTCTTTGAAGTGCATACAGTGTGAAAAATTCAGATGTCCAAGAGTTCAAAACTATTTAAAAAGTTCCAAAACAAATTTTGCTATTCTGTCTGTTCTTAAGGGATTTAGATTATATGTAGATATTTTTCTCTGCTTTTTTGAAATATATGTAAATCATATTAACAGCTAAATAAACCTTTTTCATTTTTTATGACTCCAGATTATCTTTATCTGGTACTTCAGATTTATTGCTTTGTTTTTGCTTCTGAAAAGTTTATTTTTTTCATTTTTAGTCCTTTAAGGTAGACACAGATTTGTTTAGTTAAAACTCATTTAAGAGCACACAGAAGCATAGCACAAAGATAAAATTAAATTTAGCAATACAGAATGATAAAGACTAAAAGATACTAAGTTTCTTTGACAGAAACCTGATTATCCAAGGTAATTATCCAATATTTGCAGGCTGAAGTACTAATACTGCAAATGCAAGAACAGTTCAATGCATGAACTCAACAGTGGAATCTGTAGTTGTACCTTGTTTTCTATTTATTACTTCAGAACAATTAGCATAGTTATGTTTAGTGTTTGTAGACAAACTGCATTCATATAAATTAAACAGTGTTTCCTCTTTTTTGAGACAGACTCTCACTCTGTTTCCCAGGCTGGAGTGCAGTGGCGTGATCTCAGCTGACTGCAACTGCTGCCTCCCAGATTCAAGTGATTCTCCTGCCTCAGCCTCCTGAGTAGCTGGGATTACAAGTGCACACCACCATGCCTGGCTAAGTTTTTGTATTTTTAGTAAAGATAGGGTCTCACCATGTTGTCCAGCTTGATCTTGAACTCCTGACCTCAAGTGATCTACCCATCTCAGCCTCAAGTTGCTGGGATTACAGGGGTGAGCCATAAGCAGTATTTTCTACAATATTATGAATATAAAGCCACAATACTTACTTTGAATCACTTAAATGGTTATTTTAATATTGTAATTTATACTTTTGAAATATAAAGTGTTTTAACTGAAGTATAGTTACAGTTTTTAAAAATGGTACATATACTATGACGTTCATTAAAATTATTCATACTTAGATATTTATATCTAATAGCCAGAGAAAATTTACTACCAAATTATTACAGTAGATATTTGTCTGACATATTTATTACTTTATTCAATAGGAATAACAATGAGTAAACACAATTTAGGTATCTTTTATTTCACTAAATTGGTATGTTCCTATTACAGGACAGATAAAGACAGGTGATGTGGCCACCCCAACACCATAATACCTCTTCAGTTAGCTATGTTGCAAGTTCTAATATATTCCACTATACGAACACAATCAGATTCTATTTCTTCATCAAAAAGTGTTGTTTGAAGTTGTCAGATGTATTTCAATATAGAACCCCCATTCAATGGCTAGAAGATGAGACAGCAGCAGAGATGGAAAAGAAACTTTATAAAATTATTCTTTCTGAAAATCTGCACCCTCCTAATGCTCATGTTTCTCATGGTGAGAGTAGCTATACACTTTGAGTGTTTCGAGAGAAATTTATTTTAGGAGAATATTTTCTGGCTGACTTAACAATCTTATATCTAATCTGACCTTTTTCTTAAGATCTTTTTAACTTCCTTCTCTCAAAATTATCTTGCTCAGAGGGAGATCTGTTTTTCTCTCCAATGCTTTGTCTGTTTCAGAAGCCTTACTAGTATCCCGTGGTGTCTGAATGAGGTGGGTTGTCACAGTGAAAACTTCTGATGTTATCTCTATCTGGACTCATGTTGGAAATTCAATATTTTTTCCATGTCACCATTATAAGTAGAAAGTGAGGCTGAAACACTGCTCCCAGTTTCATTATTGTGAAGATATGATTCTACCCAGGAGGCCTGCAGGCTCTCCTCCTGCAGCTCAGGCCTCACTCTCTGTTGTGACATTAGAGTGTTGCTGTGGCAAATGTAGTTCACATAAAATGTGAGCTGTGCTCTGGGCTGTGCCTCAGTGGCAGATAGTAGAGGTCAAGAGAGGAGACCAGCAACCAGGGGAAAGCAAGCAGGAGTGCTGTAGCCCAGTGCCAGGGAGTACAGAGCCACTGCTCTAAAATGTAAATAGCCAAAGAGAGAATCCTATTCAACCATTTTTGTAGCAGAGTGAAAGCCTACCTTCAGCAGCCACTGGGCTTCAAGCTGCTAAACTACCTCCTGTTCTGAAGATGTGGAAAGTTTATTTGTCATTGGATATAAGCATTTAGCATACCCAGATGCCCTATTCCATCTCCAGGTGATTTTAGGATGAACTATGTGTGACATGGTGCTATAAATTCTTCTACTTGTGGACTAATTATGGTGACCATCTTTCCATCTTTGTATTCTGTTAAACATATTGACCATGATGTATGTCACTTTCAAGTTTAATTTTATAAGAAAGCCATTTTCTTTCTCTGGGGCTGAAGAAACCATTTTCTTTTTCTGGGGCTGGAGCTTCTCTGGGGCTGGAGAAAATTTTTCTTCTTTTTCTGTTTTTGTTTGTTTGTTTGTTTGTTTTTTGAGATAGAGGTCTCACTCTGTCACCAAGGCTGAGTGTAGTGGCATGATCTCAGCTCACTGCAACCTACAGCTCCCGGGTTCAAGTGACTCTCCTGCCTCAGCCTCCTGAGTAGCTGGGATTACAGGCACCTGCCACTGTGCTGGGCTCATTTTCATGTTGTTAGTAAAGATGGGGTTTCACTGTGTTGGCTAAGCTGGTCTCAAACTCCTGACCTCAGTTGATCTGCCCACCTCAGCCTCCCAGAGTCCTAGTCCTGGGATTACAGGTGTGAGTCACTACTCCCAGCCCAATTTTTCTTTTAATTATTGTTTCCAAACACTGTCTAGAATTACCAGATGTGATATAAACACATAAGGTGCCAACCAGAATTTACTCTAGAGGGGACTTTCCCTCTCAGGCTTCCAGTCAACTTATACTTGTGCAGCAAAGTGCACGCTGTCCCCTAAATATGCAGGCAGAATTGTGTCTCTGCCTATTTGGTATCTAGAGTTCTCTACAATCACTTCTAGAGAGGCTAGATCAAATTTCTACAAACTTCACGGGCAGCAATCAATCATTTTACCTCTTTCACTGACTCTTGTATCTTCAGACTGAAACTGATTCAGAGAATATGGAGCCCAGAAACCCAATCAGAGTAACATGTGTGCATTGAGTAGACATAGAGACATGAGAATCTCCACTTTCTTCTTCCTCCTCTTGCCAAAATGCCCACAAACGTACAGGTAATACCTGCTGCTACTCCAGCCATTCAGGCCATAAATCTGCAGCTTCAAATTTTGAATCCAGGTCATGAGATTTGAGAAATAAAAAACTTTTATCTGAAAAATGCAAGTCCTTTTGGTTATCAAACTCAGAGAGACATTAAAATAAAAGTGCAGTTACATCTTTATCCTATTAACTATGTATTAATCTCTTGAAACTGTTCCCTATTGGCACAAGTAGCTATAAATGACACTAATAATGCCACATTGGACACTATATTTTTGTTTGTTTGTTTTTGAGATGGAGTTTCAATCTTGTTGCCCAGGCTGAGTGCAATGGCACAATCTTGGCTCCCTGCAACCTCTGCCTCCTGGGTTAAAGCAGTTCTTCTGTCTCAGCCTCCCCAGTAGCTGGGATTACAGACATATGCCACTATGACCAGCTAATTTTGTATTTTTAGTAGAGATGGGATTTCTCCATGTTGGTCAGGCTGGTCTTGAACTTCTGACCTCAAGTGATCTGCCCACCTCGGCCTCCCAAAGTGCTGGGATTACAGGCTTGAGCCACTGAGCCTGGCCTGGACACTATATTTTATACCCTAAACCATTATGATATATATCTAATTAATAATCAATGCTATTTCTGTAAATAAAAATTTCTGAAAAACAACTTTGTGTCAGCCCACTCTCTGTCCCTCTGTTGTTGTCTTTACAAATCCTCTTGTAATTGCTGCTAATTAAAGTGTAGATTCCAGGCAACTTGAATCTTTGCTCCCAGGTTATGATCCTTAAACTTGACCCAAATAAACTGTCTACTTATGTTCATGTTGTGTCAGCCTTTTTTAATATATATATAGACTTATCATTTAGAATGTGCTAGAGCAGCCTTCATGAGGGGATCTCTACTTAGATTGTATTCCACTTGCTGTAACATCAAAGGATGCAGAGCCAGGTTGATCCTACCTAGAATCTGCAATTAAGGTCTGGCCTCTGCCTGGGATTTACAAAAAAGCCTGGACTTTGGATAGAAAATGTACAGAAAACTAACAAAAGGCATTTTCTGCGTTGTGAGATGTCAACCTAAACATCTTACAGCCCCATTTTGGGAGTGTGGCTCTTTGAGATTTTTCACATCTTGTTCATTGACCTGCTACAGTGATGTGAGAGGCTCCAGGAGGAAATAGAATCTGATGGCAGAATTTGTAAGTGTAAATAAGCATCTTAGGCATGAGAGATCAAGGCCACAAAGTATCCAGAGCCATGATCACAATTATAATTACCTGTAAAGTGGAATACTGGAGAAGAGTTATTTTTGTTATTTCCTTTACCCATGAGCTAGCAAATCAGAATGGGTGTTCCAGGTTCTGGAGTTCCACCAGGGCAGTTCCATTTTCTATTTAGAATCAGCCTGAGTCTCTCCAGCCTGGTTGATCATTGGGCCATCAGCCCAGGGTCACTGGGAATTCCCTCAAAATCACCTAGGTGTCTTTGAGGTATTTGAGGATGTTCAGAGCAGAATTGTGTTAGACTGACAAGAGTGGTTAATTCTGCTTCTGTCTCAGTGTAAGAGAAATGAGTCATCCTGTGTTTTTTCATCCCCTCATACAAGAGGTATCTTTGGTTGCTACCCAGATGAGAGTTTCTCCAGTTTCCTGTTACTTGGATGATAAAGAAGGAGGAGATCTGGAGACTCAAACAGATAAACTAGTTGCTTCAATTTCATATAGCCATTAAAAAACCATGAAGCAGTCATGGTTCCTACAGTCCAGAAATGTTTAGTCTAGACTAGCAACTGGATAAATAATTATGCATCATATGGTTGGTACAATAAACACGTGTCCAAAATCTTGGGCTTTATTTAGTCTACTTTGTTTATATTGTGACTTCTGATGTCTACATCTCAAGGCATATTTATGAACAGAAGGATTATTATAATTTTTATTTTGAGACGGAGTCTGTGTCACCCAGGCTGGAGTACAGTGGTGTGATCTTGGCTCACTGCAACTTCTGCCACCCTGGTTCAAGTGATTCTCCTGCTTCAGCCTCCTGAGTAGCTGGCATTACAGTTGCTGGCCACCATGCCCAGCCAATTTTTGCATTTTTAGTAGAGACAGGGTTTCACCATCTTGGTCAGACTGGTCTCAAACTCCTGATGTTGTGATCTACCCGCGTCATCCTCCTGAAGCGCTGGGATTACAGGTGTGAGCCACCACGCCTGGCCATATAATTTCTATTTCTTTTACCTTGCTAAGTGTACATATTTATTTTCTAATAAAATTACCCTAGAAAGGCTGGGCATGGTTGTTCATGCTTGTAATCTCAGCACTTTGGGGGTCTAAGGCAGGTGGATCACAAGGTCAGGAGTTTGAGACCAGCCTGACCAATGTGGTGAAACGCCGTCTCTACTAATAATACAAAAATTAGCTGGGCGTGGTGGCACACATCTGTAGTTTCAGCTACTCAGGAGGCTGAGGTAGAAGAATCACTTGAACCCAGGAGGCAGAGCTTGTAGTGAGCTGAAATGGCACCACTGCACTCCAGCCTGTGCAATAGAGTGAGACTTCATCTATTTAAAAAAAAAAAAGTTACCCTAGAAAACCTTAAAGGATTTGTTTAAATTGCGTATTAGTATGTAGCATAAAGTTGACAGGGCAGTGGCTAGAAAATATTAAAATTACAGAAATTCTGGGATTTAAGTTTTTCTTTTAGGTAACCTTTGAAAAAAGAATACTGGTAGTACTGCAGTGGCATAGAGGGAAGAATTCTACATAGAGTCCCCACCCTGCCTCAGACCTGTTCAGATTCACCCTTTTTGGAGGCCTTATTTTGGTCTGACTATACCTTGGAGTCTTTCCTCAGAGAACTGATTAGAAGAGATCAGAGTTTTGGCTGGTGAATCCTGTTGCCTTTCTAGAGCTGGTGTTCACAATTTCTTGAAACCCAAAAACAGATAAATGGGATAAATAACGTATGTATTTTAGGGTCCTAGATTTTAAATGTTCTATTAAAACCAGTGTTTGCAGAGACATTATATTTAGACACTTGTTTTCTATTCCTGCAGATCCAGTAGTTGCTCCATAAGTCACAAAAAAGTAAATATAAAGAGAATAAAATTTTGTCTAAACTACATTAACCTCTTTCTTTCTGTATCTCTTTCATCTGTCTATATTTAGCTTTTATTCCTTATAATTTAAAAAAAATTGATGACAGAGGAACAGAAGAAGAAATAGAGATTCTGGGCCCTTTTTTGAAATCCTGGAAATTATTAAACCCTTAGTACCAGCTCCCAGGATGTTACGAGAATTAAATCACATAATGTGTTATGCCCAGCACAGTGCTCTGTATCATGCTCTTGAGCACACAGTATCTGTTTAATAAACATTGCATTAGTACATGTGTACATGTTGTTTTTAAAATACAGACTTATTCAGACATTGCTGCCTTCTGTTTCCTCTCCTTGTTTGTACCAGAAGTATTTGGTTGTGACAAGAGTGCTAAGTGTAAGGGATCCTGTGCTGTGCCTGCTTCTCTAACTAATGTAAATAATGCGCCAAGGGGGAGCAACATCAGCTTTGACAGGGGACTTGTTTAAAACACCCATGCATAGACCCTTTTCAAATCTGCAGAATTACATTACATAAAGTGGGGCCAAAATTACCAAGTGATTTATAAGCTTGTTAAAGCTTGAGAGGCAATGCTTAGCTTAGTGATTATCAGCCCAGGGTTCTCATTAGGATCACATGGCCAATTTGCAGAAATCTCTTGTGCCCTCCCCACAGGTTCTGTTTATTGTTCTGGGTGGAAGCATCCACGTTGTTTTAATGAAGGGCCTCATGTGACTCTAAGGTGAGGCCAGAATCAAGTATGAAGGCTTCAAAATACATTCATGAGAGTTAAATTCCACCTTTGCACTAAAGGGTGGTCACAGGGCCTATTCTATTTGGGTTTGGTAGGGACAGGTCAGTGTGGTGCATATTTCCATTACTGTGGCAGAAATTGCTGGTGTCTGTGGCAGGGGAGGGCACCTGAGGACAGGAAAGGAGAAACTTATATTTTCATCTTCATGGAGCAGCTCATTGCTCCTGAATCTCTTCTGTTTTAAAGGATAGAAATGGATGGATTTTTCTGTCTTTTTCTGCCAATTGATGCCATGCTAGCTGGTAAACATGTGGCACTGACACCTTTAAAGGCATATTCTCAAGATGCAGGGGTAATTTGTCCAGAGAATCTTCATCTGAGAAGGAATTCCAGAGAAGGAGGAGATCAGAAAGAGAAAAAAAAAGGGCTTCAGGTAAACATGCCTCAGCTGAAAAGCTATGTCCACTCTGCCTCCTGGAATGCCATGTATCTAGTACTTGAAAACTTTTACTTCTCTACTTGTGTTTTTCCTCCCTAAGGAGTTTGGTTTAAGTACTTCTTAAAATTCTTATGATAGTCAAACGTGTCTGAAAAGTATTTCTTCCCTGTATCCCAGAGCCTTCTCTTCATTCTCTACATCATAACTTCTTATACGCCATGCAGATTTATCAACAGGAATTTATGATCTGCAATATTAAAAATGTTCCGTTTGTGGCTGTTGAACATGGAAAGATGTGGATACTCAAGATTTCTATTGGGGAAAACTGTGGTCCTTAGTAAAGATGGAGAAAATATAATGTTGAGGCTCCATTCATGTGTTCCATTAGCTGTATGCTGAACAGGATTAAGGAATTGCTTATTTAGGTCGGGCGTGGTGGCTCATGCCTGTAATCCCAGCACTTTGGGAGGTCAAGGCAGGCAGATCGCCTGAAGTCAGGAATTCGAGACCAACCTGGCCAACATGGTGGAACCCCGTCCCTACTAAAAATATAACAATTAGCCTGGCGTGATGGCAGGCACCTGTAATCCCAGCTACTTGGGAGGCTGAGGGAGGAGAACCACTTGAACCCAGGAGGCGGAGGTTGCAGTGAGCTGAGATCGTGCCATTGCACTCCAGCCTGGGGGACAAGAGTGAGACTTAATCTCAAAAAAAAAAAAAAAAAAAAGAAAATTGCTCATTTAAATGTGATGGCATTTATTACCCAGAAATTCTGAAAAAAATTATTAGGAGATACCTGCTTTCTAGGGTGTTAATGAAGCCTGCTTAATATTACTACTAAAAATTACAGAACATAGGAGGTATCTGTATTTTGAGGTTTGCATAAAACTGATGATTCTTTTTGATTACATTCAGATTTTATTTGCTTTTTTTAAAAAGGAATATTTCAATAGTGATGCTGTATTCTTCTGTATGCATTAACACATCATAAAAATTTGTCCTAGTGCAGTTAATGGTTAATGATTCACTTGCTTAAATAGGTCTCTGACAGACTTTTTTTTACTATATAGCTAATTATTTTTCTCTTCATTATTAAGTTTCATTATGCAGCTGATGTGAACAAACAATCATTTAATCTGGCAGCTGTTCTTTTTTCTTTTTTTCTACATATTTTTCTTTGGAAAATTAAGGCTCTTATCTTTGTTTACAGGCCAGAAAAACTGGAAAAAACACAGGCTCTTCCACTTACTGGATGTTTGACAAAATATTCTTCTTGGGCCAAAAACATTGACATTATTGGTTAGCTTGCTAGAAATTCAAAAAATCAGACTTTATTCCAGATCTTCTGGAAAAAAACCCTGCATAACAAGGTCTTCAGCTTATTGTACATATTAAAACATGCCTTTTTCATCTGAAAAATATTCACAACTCATTCCATATGATGTAAATATAGCACTCAAAAATGTACATGTTTGTGTTCATGCCCTTAATTTTATAGTTTATTTTCTAGAAAAATATATGAACTGATGTTGTGGATCTTATGTTCCTTTATTTTCTCAGAGTTAGAGAATACTTTAGAGAATATTTCTGTGTTGAAAATTATTTTATAGGATAACTTTAGTCAGTCCTATAAGTCAGAACCAGTTATCTTTACTCTCTCATTTCACCTTAAGTCAAATTAAAAATTCCGCCCATAACCACTTGGTGAAAATGTGTGTGTGTATATTTTTCAGGGGCCATTGCAATTTAGAGATGTGGCCATAGAATTCTCTCTGGAGGAGTGGCATTGCCTGGACATGGCACAGCGGAATTTATATAGGGATGTGATGTTAGAGAACTACAGAAACCTGGTCTTTCTTGGTGAGAAAAACTTTAATACATAACTCATAATATACACAAATTGTTTTATTTCTCTTTTTTGTAGAATGTTAGTAATTTATTCTTTTTATAAAAGAGTTTCAGATCCAGTTTTTCAAGAAAATCTTCAGAATTTGTTCATTTAGAAAAGAATTACTTTGGTGCCTCATGCCTGTAATCCCAGCACTTTGGGAGGCTGAGGCAGGGGGATTACCTGAGGCCAGGAGTTTGAGACCAGCTGGCCAAAATGCTGAAACCCCAACTCTAATAAAAGTACAAAAAATTAGCTGCGGGCTGTGGCATGCACCTATAATCCCAGGACTCAGGAGGGTGAGGCAGGAGAATCACTTGAACTCAGGAGGTGAAGGTTGCAGTGAGTTGAGATCATGACATTGCACTGCAGCCTGGGCAACAGAGCAAGATTCTGTCTCAAGGAAGAAAAAAAAAAAAGAAAGAAAAAAATTTCTTCAAGATATTTCATCTTAATACAAACTTTCCACATTTCTGAGGTGAGTTATATTCTTCACTCTAAATTAGTGGTAATTCCAGAAATTTACTGACTTAAAATATTGTAGCTTCCACCTGAAAATCTACTTGCCACCACCAAGTTTTGATTCAGTAGTACCAGGTAGTAAAATTAGGAAACCTACAAATTGAAAGTATTTTCTTTTCTTTTCTTTTCTTTTCTTTTCTTTTCTTTTTTTTTTTTTTTTGAGACAGAGTCTCACTCTGTTCCCCAGGCTGGAGTGCAGTGGTGCAATCTGGGCTTACTGCAACATCCACCTCCCAAGTTTCTCCTGCCTCAGCCTCCCGAGTATGTGGGACTACAGGCACACATCACTATGCTCCGCTAATTTTTGTATTTTCAGTAGAGATGGGGTTTCACCATGCTGGCCAGGCTGGTCTCAAACTCCTGACCTTAGGATCTGCCTGCCTCGGCCTCCCAAGGTGCTGAGATTACAGGCATGAGCCACTGCACCAGGCAAATTGGAAGTATTTTCTAAATATTTAGAAATCTCTGTTACAAATTTGTATTTTGTTATTAATTTACTAGAATATTTTATCACATCATCTTTCCTGAGCACATTACTAGCTTGTAATTGGAGAATGTGAGCAAGATTCATGTTATTTATTTTTGATAAAACAGGTATTGTTGTCTCAAAGCCAGACCTCATCACCCATCTGGAGCAAGGAAAAAAACCTTCGACTATGCAGAGACATGAGATGGTAGCCAACCCCTCAGGTAGGTGTGAGTGAAAATGAATACAACAGACAACACAGTAAGAAGTCCAAGGTCAAAAAGAAAGCCAGTCCTTAAGGTGTGATTCTGGAAGCTGTGTTCCAAAGGAACTTCTGGGCAGCTGTTTTTTTTGTTTTTTGTTTTTGTTTTTGTTGTTTTAAATTTTGCTGTCACAAAGGGGCATATTGTCTTATGCTTCTAAATTCTCTAAAAATTCTACTTTTCTCTCAGTGAGCTTCCTTCACATTCACAGTGAGAGCCAAAGTCCTCTTCATGACATATAAGAGACAGCACAATCCAGCTGCTTTTTCATTGTTTTGGGGACACACAAATATCTTCCTAATTTTGAGAAACTGAAACTATTTTTTAGTTTTCTTTTTGTATCCGGTCTGAAATTTGTGAGAGTAGTAGTTTCTGTTGCATTTTTTTTTGTTCATTTTTGTGCACAGTCCATTCTATTTTTATTACTATATAGTCTTGAAATATAGTTTGAAATTGTAAGTACGATATTCTGTTTTCTTCTTTTTCCTCAAGATTGCTTTGGCTATTCAAAGTTTATTTTAGTTTCATGTAAATTTTAGAATTGTATTTTCCATTATTGTAAAAAAAAACACTGCAATTTTAATAGGAAGATTATTGAGTCTGTAAATCACTTTGGATAATATGATTCTTTAATAATATTTATTCTTTTAATTCATTGACATAAAATATTTTAAAATTAATTTTTATCTTCTAATTTTTTTATTTTGTTATTGTAAACTTTTTTTTACCTCCTTGGTTAATTTTTTTCTCAGGAATTTATTTAATGCTATATTAAATAAGATTTTTTCTTCCTCATCAGATAGTTTGTTTTAAGTGTAAGAAACCATACATATACTTGTGTGTTTAATTTTATATTTTGCTAATTTACTGAGTGTATTTATTAGTTTAGACAGGTTTTAATGTACTGTTTATGGTTTTTTAAATATAAAATTGTGTGATTTACAACCAGCAACTTTTTTTTTTTTTTTTTTGAGAGGGGCTTTCACTCTTTTTGCCCAGGCTAAAGTGCAATGGTGTGATTTTGACTCACTGCAACCTTTGCCTCCTGGGCTCAAGTGGCTCTCCTGCCTCAGCCTCCTGAGTAGCTGGGATTACAGGTGTTCACCACAACACCCAGCTACTTTTTTGTATTTTTTTGGTAGAGACGGTGTTTCACCATGTTGGCAAGGCTGGTCTCAAACTCCTGACCTCAGATGATCTGCCCGCCTCTGCCTCCCAAAATGTTGGGATTACAGCCATGAGCCACCATGCCTGGCTGGATTTTTTTATTTCTGTGAATAATTCTTCTGCCACATACTTCCATCACTACATTCAAATAGAAGCATTGACAATGGACACAATATAGTTTTGTATTGGTGTCTGAATTTGATGGAGTAAACACCTCTTCAAGTTTTCATAAACTGATTTTAGAAGCATTTCCTTAGGGAACTGTGTGGGTTTCTTTTTTTCTTTTTCTTTTTTTTTTTTGAGATGGAGTTTTGCTCCTGTTGCCCAAGATGGAGTGCAATGGTGCGATCTCATCTCACCACAACCTCCGCCTCTTGGGTTCCAGTGATTCTCCTGCCTCAGCCTCCCAAGTAGCTGCAAATACAGGCATGCGCCACCATGCCTGGGTAATTTTGTATTTTTAGTAGAGAAGGTGTTTCTCCATGTTGGTCAGGCTGGTCTTGAACTCCTGACCTCAGGCGATCCGCCCGCCTCAGCCTCCCAAATTGCTGGAATTACAGGTGTGAGGCACTGTACCCTGCCCAATTGTGTGGGTTTCTATGTAGGCAGAACTGACCATAAACTTGGCTCAGGTAACTGAAACTGAGTCATAGAACCGCTTCAGGGATCCCAGTAAAGTCCAAAGTCTGCAGGCCTGCCTACATTGTTGTAAATGGGTGCCTTCCTCCAGGTCTCTTGAATGTCAGGACCTCTGCCAGACTCTGACTGGGAGGAGTTTGGATTGGTTACAGAGTAAGTTCAGAATTCTCAGTGGGACCAAGTTGGGTGAACCCTATCTGGTCTGTAGCCATGAGTAGGGGTCCTGCAGTTTCCCACCTGACTAAGGGCAGGTTCTCTTCTGAATAGAACACTTCTCAATCTTAAGCTTTAGCAGCATTTCACAACTCCCTCCCTGGATCTCAAATCTCTCTTAGTGGCGTGTATTTTGGAGATGGGGTCTTGCTACATAACCCAGGCTGGTCTCAAAATCCTGGCCTGAAGCAGTTCTCCAACGTTAATGTACCATGTATCTGTCATTACAGGTGTGAGCCATAATGCCTATTTCTCTCATAAAGGCATTTTTGTCAGAGATGGCTGACTTTTTTTTTTGCTGTAAGGGAGTATGAAAATAGGGACTTTTAATCTTTTCATCTTACTGATGTCACTCTCCCTATACATTTTTACTTTCTATTTTCTCTTTCAGATTTGTCTGTAAATTTAGATTCAGATATTTAGGACAATGTGCTAGAATTTGCATGGTATGCCTGAAGTAAATTAGATAACTCATAGGGACCCATATTACTAAAATAGTTACTTATGAATTTAAGTTTGCTGCAGGCAAAAAGGAATTAAAGGATTTTCATCTTTTTTTTAGCCTATATCTAAATAATAACATAGTTTATTTCTCAATATTTGTTTTACATATCAGAGGGTCTAACCCTATTCTGCAAATTGTATAATTTTAAATTTAACAATGTAAGGCTACTCTTTGCTTCTAAAGTTTGATTATAGCTGTTTTATTTTGTGTAAAAATACCATATATTTAAAACATTAAAAGTAACTAGTTTCCTTAAAATGCTAATTTTTAAGTTTCTCATTAGAATCTTCTATTTATAATTATACTGCATATTCTCTGAAATTTTACTGCCACACAGGGCATGCCAATGATTCAAAATACCTGCATTTAGTGAGTACACACTAACAGTTAAATATTTCAGTTACCTAGAAACATTTTTATTTTTTTTGAGATGGAGTCACACTCTGTCACCCAGCCTGCGGTGCAGTGGTGTGATCGTGGCTCACTGCAACTTCCACCTTCCAGGTTCAAGCAATTCTCATGCCTCAGTCTCTCAAGTAGCTGGGGTTACAGGCATGTGTCACCACCCCTGGCAAATTTTTGTATTTTTAGTAGAGACAGGGCTTCACCAAGTTCGCCAGGCTGGTCTTGAACTTATGACCTCAGGTGAGCTGCTTGCCTTGGCCTTCCAAAGTGTTGAGATAACAGTTGTGAGCCACCACACCCGGCCTGACAATTTTTTAATAATGCATCAATGTTGCATGCTAGATTTTTTTTTTTTTTTTTTTTTTTTTTTTTTTTTTTTGAGACGGAGTCTCGCTGTCGCCCAGGCTGGAGTGCAGTGGCGCAATCTCGGCTCACTGCAGGCTCCGCCCCCTGGGGTTCACGCCATTCTCCTGCCTCAGCCTCCCGAGTAGCTGGGACTACAGGCGCCCGCCACCTCGCCCGGCTAATTTTTTGTATTTTTAGTAGAGACGGGGTTTCACCGTGTTAGCCAGGATGGTCTCGATCTCCTGACCTCGTGATCCGCCCGCCTCGGCCTCCCAAAGTGCTGGGATTACAGGCGTGAGCCACCGCGCCCGGCCGATTTTATGAGTAAACATTTATTATTGTTTTGAAGTTTTATATTAGTGTGTTTTTCAGTGTAGGTTTTTTTTTTTTGGGATGGAGTCTTGCTCTGTCACCCAGGCTGGAGTGCATTGGCGTGATCTTGGCTCACTGTAACCTCTTCCTCGAGGGCTCAAGTGATTCTTCTGCCTTGACCTCCTGAGTAGCTGGGACTACTGGCGTGTGCCACCATGCCTGGCTAATTTTTGTATTTTTAGAAGAGATGGGGTTTCACCATATTGGCCAGTCTGGTCTGGAACTGGTGACCTCGTGATTTGCACACCTCAGCCTCCCAAAGTACTGGGATTACAGTTATGATCCACTGCACCTGGCCTCAGTGTAGGTTTCTTACCATTAGTTTATTGGGTGTTTTGGTTTTACTTATGTATTATAATTTTAGACAATTTGCAATTCTGCTTGTATACTTTAAGTCAATTTTAGGTTTAAGAGATAAATTATGCATGTCTGTCACAATCAGGTTACATATGTATGTCTGTTTATAAATATGACACCAATTTTAGTTATGGCTTATCTTATACTCTTTCTTAGCTTATTTTCCATGGTAGTTTTATCTTGTCTAAGTAAGTACTCATGGGGATAGTCTTATTTTACCATGTGTTTAGTAATTAATATGTATTTCCTTTCATGAGAGAAACATTTTTGTGATTTGAAGGTAATTTTCAAAAAAATATGTAATTTTTTTTTCAGTTTTTCTTTAAAAAAATTGTTTTAAAAACACATAATGTAAAATTTACCATCTTAAATCTATTGAAGTGTACATTTCAGGGCCAGGCGTGGTGGTGGCTCTGATCTGTAATCCCAGGATTTTGGGAGGCCAAGACAGGAGGATACCTGGAGCCCAAAAGTTTGAGACCAGCCTGGGCAGCATATGGAGACTCTCCTCTATAAAAAAAATTAATAATAGCCAGGCATGGTGGTGTGCAGCTGTGGTCCCAGCTACTTGGGAGATTGAGGGGGAGTCAAAATTGTGCCACTACACTTTAGCTTAGGTGACACAGTGAGACCCCGTCTCAAAAAAAGAGCTGTTCATTTCAGGCATGTTAATTATATTCACACTGTCATGCAAAAGGCTTCTAGAAACTTTACATCTTGTAAAACTAAAACTCAATGCCCATTAAGTAACAACTGCTCATTTTACACTCTTTCCAGCCCTTGACAGACAAACCTTCTACTTTCTGATTTTATGATTTTGACTACTTAAGATATCTCATATAAGTGGAATCATACAGTATCCATAATTTTGTTACTGGATTAATTCAGGTGGCATAATATTTTCAATGTTCATCTTAAAATGTGACAAGATTATTCTTTTTAAAGTGGAATAATATTCCATTGTATGTGTATGTTATATTTTTTGATGTGTTTATAAATTAAGAGATATATGCTGGTTTAGCCTTTTGGCTTTTGTGAATACTGGTACAAAATACATGTATTTTCAATTATGTCTTCCAGGTCCTGTGTTGCATATTTTGTTTTTTTGTTGTTGTTTTCTTTCTTTCTTTCTTTTTCTTTCTTTCTTTTTTTTTTTTTTGAGATGGAATCTTGCTCTGTTGCCCAGGCTAAAGTGCAGTGGTGCGATCTCAGCTCACTGCAAGCTCTGCCTTCTGGGTTCAAGTGATTCCCCTACCTCAGCCTCCCAAGTAGCTGGGATTACAGGTGCACGTCACATCGCCAAGGTAATTTTTGTGTTTTTAGTAGAAATGGTATTTCACCATGTTGGCCAGGCTCGTCTCAAACTCCTGACCTCAGGTTATCTGCCCACCTCAACCTCCCAAAGTGCTAGGATTACAGGCTTGAGCTACTGCACCTGGCCTGTGTTACATATTTTAGATATAGATTTATAAATGAGGAATATTTATAACATTTTAAAATAATGGCTGTGTCTTTGTTTTCCACCAGCAATCAACATGGATTTTATTTTTACACCTAATGAGTGTGAGGCGATTTTGTTGGTATTGTGTTTTTTGTTTTCATTTCTCTACAAATTAGTAATTTTGTGTGTTTTTTCAAATGCTTTTTCCCATTTGTTTATTTTTATGTCTAAGTATTTTATTTAAAATATATTATTGTATCATTCAAGGAAATAATCCAACTTCATTTTATCAGTGTTGACATTCAGTTTTCAACATCATTTTTTGAAGAGATTATTTCTCTCTATTTTGTATGCATGGCAACTCTGTGGAAGATCATTTGATCATATACAGAACGGTTTATTTCTGAGCTCTCTATTCTGTTCTTTTATCTGTTTGTCTTTGTGTATCACATTGTTTAAATTCCATAGCTTTTAACTGTAGGTTGTATTGACATCTTTGAAAAATAAAATTTGTTGCCCCCTGAGCAAGAATATGTTGAAGAGTGTGTTTCATATTCACATATTTGTGAATCTGCCAGTTTGACTTTTGCTTTTAATTCCTAGTTTCATAAAGTTTTTGTTAGAAAACACACAGTGTATAATTTTAGTGTTTTTAAAGTGATTGGTTGTTGTTTTGAGACAAGATCTTACTGTCACCCAGGCTCCAATGCAGTGGCATAATTGTGGCTCACTGTAGCCTCAGCCTCCTGGGCTCAAGTGATCCTTTCACCTCAGTTTTTTGAGTAGCTAGGACTACAGACATGCACTACCATGTCTGGCTAATTGTTTGCTAGTTTATAGTGTTAGGATCTCACTATTTTGCCCAGGCTGGTCTCAAACTTTTGGCCCCAGTGGATCTCCCAAAGTGTTAGAATTATAGGCAGGAGCCATGGCACCCAGTAGGTATTTTTAAATTTAATAAAGCTTGGGTATGTGTCCTAACAGAATACACCAGATGCAAATAAGAATATTGTGTATTATCTTGGTTTTGATGGGAGAGTATTTTATGTATCTATGAAGCCTATTTGGTCTATAATATGGTTTGGATGTCCTTGTTGTCCAAACCTCATGCTGCAATATAAATCCTCAATGTTGGGTGTGGGACCTGGTGGGACATATTTGGGTCATGAGGGTGAATTTCTCATGAATGGCTTGGTACATACTCTTGGCAACCAAAAAGATTAGACTCTATCAATTCAAATAAGAGCTGGTTCATTAAAAGAACATGGCTTCTTCACCTCACACTTACTCTGTCTCTTACCATATAATATATCCAGTTATTCCTTACCTTCCACCATGATTTTAAGCTTCCTGAAATCCTCATTAGAAGCACATGCTGACACACACTTCTTGTACAGTCTGCTGAGCTGTGAGCCAAATAAACCTTTTTTCTTTATAAATTATGCACTCTCAAGTATTGCTCTATATGCAAAATAATTAATATGGTCTATAATATTGTCACAGTTTTCTCTTTCTTAGTTTTTATCTGAATTTTCTATTTATTAATTGCAAATGGGTTCTTGCTGTCTACAATTATTATGTTGCTATGTATGCCTTGCTTCACTTTTGTCAATATTTGCTTTATATATTTTGGAGCCCTGATGTTATATACACATATACATATAGATAGATAAATATTATAGTTATAGATTCCTGCTAAATCAATTCACTTTACCATAATATAATATCAGTCATTGTCCCATGGTCGTACTTGACTTAAAGCATATTCTGTCTAATATAATTATGACCACCTTACTCAATTGTGGTTACTATTTTCATGGTACATAACTTTTTTTCATTCTGTTACTTTCACCCTATTTGACTCAATGCTAAAATGAGTCTCTTGTAGGGAGCATAGTGTATGCTTTTTAAAAAACCACTCAGGCATTCTATATCTTTTTTTAATATTTTCATTATGCATATATTCATTTATTATTCATTTTATTTTATTTTATTTTTTGAGATGGAGTTTCACTGTTGTTACCCAGGCTGGAGTGCAATGGTGCAATCTCAGCTCACTGCAATCTTCACCTCCTGGGTTCAAGTGATTCTCCTGCCTCAGCCTTCCAAGTAGCTGGGATTACAGGCACATGCCACCACACCTGGCTAATTTTTTGCATTTTTAGTAGAGATGGGGTTTTCCCATGATGGCCAGGCTCATCTTGAACTCCTGACCTCAGGTAACCTGCCCACCTTGGCCTCCCAAACTATTGGGATTACAGGTGTGAGCCACTGCATCCGGCCTCATGTATTTTTGAGATAGGGTCTCACTCTGTCAACCAGGCTGATTTGCATGGCTCACGGCTGCTTGAACCTCCCAAACTCAGATGATCCTCTCATTTCAGCCTCTCAAGTAGCTGGGTTACATGAATGTGCCCTCACACCCAGCTAGCTTTTTTTGTATTTTTCATAGAGACAGAGTTTTGCCATGTTGCCCAGGCTGATCTTGAACTTTTGGGATCAAGTAATCGGCCCACCTTGGCCATCCAAAGTCCTAAGATTACATTTCAAAGATTACATTTCATTTCATTAAGTAGTTTAATGAGAGTCCTGTATTTTTGTATCTACTGAATGATGTGGTGACAGAAATTTGCATTGCTTTTACTATTAGTAAAATTAGTAACAATGCAGTAATTATGCAAAAGCTAATATATGTGCTGCCTTCTGTTTTATTGGTTTACTTTTTCACCTTTATACTCATAACAAATTATTTTAATTCTGTAGCTTTTTGATGTGTTTTGAAATCAGAAATGGTAATGCCTCCAACATTGTTCCATTTTGGTAGATTGTTGGGTACTTTATTGTCTCTTTAGATTCCATATACTTTTGGATTTGCTGTTTTTATTTCTTCAAAAATGCAATGAGACATTTGAAAAACATTGAATTAAATCTGTAGATTAAATTGAGCAGTACAGACATCTTCACAATATTAATTATTTCTTTTTCAGTTTGTTTTTGAGGTGGAGTTAAAATCACTCACCTCGACCTCCCAAAGTGCTGGGATTACAGGTGTGAGTCACTGCACACAGCCCAGTTTTCTGAACAAGTGCATGCTCAAGAGTGTGTTTTCTCATTTCCATATATTTGTAAATTTATCAATTATTTATATTATTGTTTTATACTCTAATTCCATTTTTGTCATAGAAAGTAATCTATAAAATTTCAGTTTTAAAAAATGTGTTAAGGCTTCATTTTTGGCCTAACTTGTGGTCTATATAGGAGAATGCTGTATGAGCTATTGAGAAGGCTGTGTATCCTGATGTTGTTGAGGAGTGTTCTCTATACCTTCATTAGAAATAATTGTTTTTTACTGCCTTCTAGTCCTCTGTTCCCTTATTAATATTCTGTCTTGTTTTATTATTACAGAAAATGAAGTATTGAAATATCCTACTATAATTATATTGCTCTCTGTGTGTATTCAATTTTGTATTTGCTTTATATATTTGAAACTCTAATCTGAGACACACACATGCAAATACATACATGTATAAACAAATTTGTCATAGATTCCCAGTGAAAGAATACATATATTGTTTAAAGCCCTTCTTTGCCTTCTTGAAGTTTTGACTTAAAGTACATTTTATAAAATATGACATTTTCTTACTTAAGATGCAGCTTGTGTAATATTATTTTGAGCTCTTTTGCTCTAATTTGGTTAATATTTACATGAAATTTCTACTTCCATCTTGCCACTTTCAGTCTTTTTTTATCATTAGATCTCAACTGACTCTTGTAAAAAGGCAAGTTGAATCTTGATTTTTAAAATTTTTTAATAAACCTTTTTATTTAAAGTATGTCTCTTGATTTGGAGAGATAATTATATATATTTAAATAGTTTTCTGCAAAAGAAAAACTTATTTTATTGTTTTATTTTATTCTTGTGTCTTTGTCTCTCATTTTCTCTTTCTGTCTTTTTTTTTTATCTTTGTATTGACATGCTTTCAGTTTCTTATTTTCTTTTGTGTATCTGTACAGACATTTTCTAAGTGGTACCTTCTGGGATTACATAAAACCTCTAAAAGATCCAACAATATATTTAAATGTGGTAAAAAATCAACTTCAGTTTCATACAAAAATTTTTCATCATTACATCTGCCTTCTATTTTGTTATTGAGTTTGCCAATTATATTTTTTATGTTTGTATATTCATTAACATGTTTATAATAATTTCTATAGTTTTTATCTTTTAAATTTTAGAGAACAATTAAAAATGTTTTCTGCACCATTATGATAATGTTAAGAAATTCCATTTTTGTGTATGTGCATATCTTTCCCAGAAAGTTACATATTTTCATATGATTATGGGTTGTTTTCTTTCACCATGTTATTTTCAGTGGAGGAAACTCACCATCTTTGATATGTCAGGCATATGCAGTGGCAATATACATTCTCAGGATTTGGTTATTTTGGAAGTGCTTCTTTCTATTTGGTAGTAAAATTGTGGTGATGCTATTATTCTCACTTGAAAGCTTTTTTTAAATTATTATTTTAACTTTAACAATATCACAGTTTCCTTCTCACTTGCAAAAATTTTTTTGATAAATTCACTTGTTATATCATGAGACTATGCTTATAAATGACACATCATTTTTATCTTACAGCTCCCAAAATTCTCTTATCTGTGATTTTTGAAATTTTGCTTATTATGTGTGTTTGTTATAAATATCTTGGTGTGTACATTTTTAAAGAAATTTTCCAATTATGTTTTGTATTTTTATATCCACGATTTTTGTTTTTTGCTATTTAAATGTTTCTGGTTGTTATTCTCATTTTTCTGATCTTCAGTAGTTGCCTGTGTTCCTATTTAACTTACTGAATATTATTCAATTTATTTTATTTTATTTATTTATTTTATTATTATTTTCTGAGACAGAGTCTGTCTCTGTCACCTCAACTGGAGTGCAGTGGTGCAGGCTCACTGCAACCTCCATCTCCCAGGTTCAAGCAATTCTCTTGCCTCAGCCTCCTCAGTAACTGGGATTATAGGTGCTCACAACCACACTTGGCTATTTTTTTATATTTTTAGTAGAGATAAGGTTTCACCATGTTGGCCAGGCTAATCTTGAACCTCTGACCTCAAATGATCCATCCACCTTGGCCTCTCAAAGTGCTGGGATTACAGGTGTGAGCCATCCTGCCCACCCTATTTTATTATATTTTTGAGACAGGCTTCCTCTGTTGTCCAGGCTGTAGTGCAGAGGTACAATCTTCACTCACTGATGGGGCCATGTTGCTCTAATATTTTGTATTCATTGTAATCTTTGATTGAGCTTTGGACATTAACAAAAAGCTACCTGTTAGAATCTTTAAGATATAACTTTATTCTGGCATAGTCTGAAATCAGTTGTCATGGCTAGAGATTTTGGGAATTTCTCAAACATGTTTTTAGGATGTGTCTTGTCTAAAATTTTGTGTTTATTGTTTAGTTAAATTGGCTTATTCATATTTCTTCTTAATAATCAGTAATCACTTGCTAGACTTATTCCCTGTTTGGGGTAGGGCAGTATCTCTGCTTCTGTGACATTTATGTTTAGACTCAGCAGACTCAAACTGTTAATCCAACTTATATCGTCATTTCCTTCAGCATTTTATGTCATGGGAGACATTTACCAGTGTCTAGAAAAGCCCCTAAAAGCCAAAAATTAAGATGTATGTGCCAATATTTTTCCTGCTTTTTAAAAGAAACCAGGATTTGGCAATTTACATTTGTGTGTGTGTGTGTGTGTGAGAGAGAGAGAGAGAGAGAGAGAGTCTCGCCCTGTTACCTATGCTGTAGTTCAGAGGCATGATCTTGGTCACTACAATATCTGCCATTACAGAGTCTCACTCTGTCACCCAGGCTGGAGTGCAGTGGTATGATGTCAGCTTACTGCAACCTCTGCCTCCTGGGTTCAAGCAATTCTCTGCCTCAGCCTCCTGAGTAGCTGAGATTACAAGTTCCTGCACCATGCCTGTCTAGTTTTTTGTGTTTTTAGTAGAGATGGGTTCTCACCATCTTGGCCAGGCTGCCTTTGAACTCCTGACCTCATGATCAACCCATGTCAGCCTCCCAAAGTGCTGAGATTACTGGTGTGAGCCATCACACCTGACCAGCAATTTACTTTTAAAGGCACAATGTTATACTGGAGAGCAGGAAGAGCTCTGTTGGGTATAAGTAACAGACTTTTTTTTTTTCTTCTATGTGGCTCTTTGCATTGTACTCACCTTGGGCCCTTCATACACTTAACTCATTTATAAATTTTTTACAAATGTATTTTGGGCAGTATGTTTTTTTTACATTTATATGTCCAGGAAGAAATTACAGCTTGTGATATTTTGCTACATCATCTTGTTTATGTAGTTTGTATAATTTTATAGGTTAGATTTGTAAAGTATATTTATCTGAGTCTAGCAAGTGAAGTAGTGTGTTTTTATGGTTTCTTTCAGTTTTGTGTTCTCATTTTAACCAAGACCTTTGGCCAGAGCAGAGCATAAAAGATTCTTTCCAAAAACTGATACTGAGAAGGCATAAAAAATGTGGACATGATAATTTGCAGTTAAAAAAAGGCTGTGAAAGTGTGGATAAGTGTAAAGTGCACAAAAGAGGTTATAATGGACTTAACCAATGTTTGACAACTACCCAAAGCAAAATGTTTCAATGTGATAAACATGGGAAAGTCTTTCATCAATTTTCAAATACAAACAGACATAAGATAAGACATACTGGAAAAAACCCTTGCAAATTTACAGAATGTGGCAAAGCTTTTAACCGGTCCTCAACCTTTACTACACATAAGAAAATTCATACTGGAGAGAAACCCTATAAATGTATAGAATGTGGCAAAGCCTTCAACCGGTCCTCACACCTTACTACACATAAGATAATTCATACTGGAGAGAAACGGTACAAATGTGAAGACTGTGGCAAAGCCTTTAACCGCTCCTCTAACCTTACTACACATAAGAAAATTCATACTGGAGAGAAACCCTACAAATGTGAAGAATGTGGCAAGGCCTTTAAGCGCTCCTCTATCCTTACTACACATAAGAGAATTCATACTGGAGAGAAACCCTACAAATGTGAAGAATGTGGCAAAGTTTTTAAGTACCTTTCTTCCCTTTCTACACATAAGATAATTCATACTGGAGAGAAACCCTACAAATGTGAAGAATGTGGTAAAGCCTTCAACTGGTCCTCACACCTTACTACACATAAGAGAATTCATACTGGAGAGAAACCCTACAAATGTGAAGAATGTGGCAAAGGCTTTAAGTACTCCTCTACCCTTACTAAACATAAAATAATCCATACTGGAGAGAAACCCTACAAATGTGAAGAATGTGGTGAAGCCTTTAAGTACTCCTGTTCCCTTACTGCACATAAGATAATTCATACTGGAAAGAAACCTTACAAATGTGAAGAATGTGGCAAAGTGTTTAAGCACTCCTCTCCCCTTTCTAAACATAAGAGAATTCATACTGGAGAGAAACCCTACAAATGTGAAGAATGTGGCAAAGCCTTCAGTCGGTCCTCTATTCTTACTACACATAAGATAATTCACACTGGAGAGAAACCCTACGAATGTGAAGACTGTGGCAAAGCCTTTAACCGCTCCTCTAACCTTACTAAACACAAGAAAATTCATACTGGAGAGAAGCCTTACAAATGTGAAGAATGTGGCAAGGCCTTTAAGTGCTCCTCTATTCTTACTACACATAAGAGAATTCATACTGCAGATAAACCCTACAAATGTGAAGAATGTGGCAAAGACTTTAAGTACTCCTCTACCCTTACTAGACATAAGAAAATTCATACTGGAGGGAAACCACACAAGTGCAATAAATGTGGCAAAGCCTTTATTTCATCCTCAAACCTTAGTAGACATGAGATAATTCATATGGGAGGGAATCCCTACAAATGTGAAAATGTGGCAAAGCCTTAGACACTCCTCTACCCTTACTAGACATAAGATAATTCATACTGGAGAGAAACCCTATGAGTTTGATGAATGTGGGAAAGACTTTAACCAGCTATCAACTTTTACTAAATATGAGAATTTATGGAACACAAACACTACAAATATAAAGAATGTGACAAAGCTTTTAGGAAGTTCTCAACCCTTATTACACATAATTCATACTGGATAGAAACCCTACACCTGTGAAGAATGTGGCATAGCCTATAACAATTTTCAATCAATTCTTTTTTTTTTTTTTTGAGATGAAGTTTCATGCTTGTCACCCAAGCTGGAATACAATGTGATGATCTCGGATCACTGAAACCTCTGCCTCCCGGGTTCAAGCCATTTTCCTGCCTCAGCTTGTCTAGTAGATGAGATTATGGGGGGTGGAGCCAAGATGGCTGAATAGGTACAGCTCCTGTCTACAGCTCCCAGCCTGAGCGACGCAGAAGATGGGTGATTTCTGCATTTCCGTCTGATGTACCAGGTTCATCTCACTAGGGAGTGCCAGACAGTGGCTGCAGGACAGTGGGTGCAGTGCACTGTGCATGAGCTGAAGCAGGGCGAGGCATTGCCTCACTCACGAAGCGCAAGGAGTCAGGGAGTTCCCTTTCCTAGTCAAAGAAAGGGGTGACAGATGGCACCTGGAAAATTGGGTTACTCCCACCCTAATACTGCGCAATTCCAATGGGCTTAAAAAATGGCACACCAGATTATATCCTGCAGCTGGCTCAGAGGGTCCTATGCCCATGGAGTCTCACTGATTGCTAGCACAGCAGTCTGAGATCAAACTGCAAGGCAGCAGCGAGGCTGGGGGAGGAGCGCCTGCCATTGCCCAGGCTTGCTTAGGTAAAGCAGCTGGGAAGCTAGAACTGGGTGGAGCCCACCACAGCTCAAGGAGGCCTGCCTGCCTCTGTAGGCTCCACCTCTGGGGTCAGGGCACAGACAAAAAGACAGCAGTAACCTCTGCAGACTTAAACGTCCCTGTCTGACAGCTTTGAAGAGAGTAGTGGTTCTCCCAGCACGCAGCTGGAGATCTGAGAACGGGCAGACTGCCTCCTCAAGTGGGTCTCTGACCCCCGAGCAGCCTAACTGGGAGGCACACCCCAGTAGGGGCAGACTGACACTTCACACGGCTGGGTACTCCTCATATAAAACTTCCAGAGGACCGATCAGGCAGCAGCATTTGTGGTTCATGAAAATCCGCTGTTCTACAGCCACTGATGCTGATACCCAGGCAAACAGCGTCTGGAGTGGACCTCTAGCAAACTCCAACAGACCTGCAGCTGAGGGTCCTGTCTGTTAGAAGGAAAACTAACAAACAGAAAGGACATCCACACCAAAAACCCATCTGTACATCACCATCATCAAAGACCAAAAGTAGATAAAACCACAAAGATGGGGAAAAAACAGAGCAGAAAAACTGGAAAGTCTAAAAAGCAGAGCACCTCTCCTCCTCCAAAGGAACACAGTTCCCCACCAGCAACAGAACAAAGCTGGATGGAGAATGACTTTGATGAGTTGAGAGAAGAAGGCTTCAGACGATCAAACTACTCCGAGCTACAGGAGGAAATTCAAACCAAAGGCAAAGAAGTTAAAAAATTAGACGAATGTATAACTAGAATAACCAATGCAGAGAAATGCTTAAAGGAGCTGATGGAGCTGAAAGCCAAGGATCAAGAACTACGTGAAGAATGCAGAAGCCTCAGGAGCCAATGCGATCAACTGGAAGAAAGGGTATCAGTGATGGAAGATGAAATGAATGAAATGAAGTGAGAAGGGAAGTTTAGAGAAAAAAAATTAAAAAGAAACAAAGTCTCCAAGAAATATGGGACTATGTGAAAAGACCAAATCTACCTCTGATTGGTGTACCTGAAAGTGAGGGGGAGAATGGAACCAACTTGGAAAACACTCTGCAGGATATTATCCAGGAGAACTTCCCCAATCTAGCAAGGCAGGCCAACATTCAGATTCAGGAAATACAGAGAACGCCACAAAGATACTCCTTGAGAAGAGCAACTCCAAGACACATAATTGTCAGATTCACCAAAGTTGAAATGAAGGAAAAAATGTTAAGGGCAGCCAGAGAGAAAGGTCGGGTTACCCACAAAGGGAAGCCCATCAGACTCACAGCTGACCTCTTGGCAGAAACTCTATAAGCCAGAAGAGAGTGGGGGCCAATATTCAACATTCTTAAAGAAAAGAATTTTCAACCCAGAATTTCATATCCAGCCAAACTAAGCTTCATAAGTGAAGGAGAAATAAAATACTTTACAGACAAGCAAATGCTGAGAGATTTTGTCACCACCAGGCCTGCCCTAAAAGAGCTCCTGAAGGAAGCACTAAACATGGAAAGGAACAACTGATACCAGCCGCTGCAAAATCATGCCAAAATGTAAAGACCATCGAGACTAGGAAGAAACTGCATGAACTAACGAGCAAAATAACCAGCTAACATCATAATGACAGCATCAAATTCTCACATAACAATATTAGCTTTAAATGTAAATGGGCTAAATGCTCCAATTAAAAGACACAGACAGGCAAATTGGATAAATAGTCAAGACCCATCAGGGTGCTGTATTCAGGAAACCCATCTCACGTGCAGAGACACACATAGGCTCAAAATAAAAGGATGGAGGAAGATCTACGAAGCAAATGGAAAACAAACAAAAAAAGAGGCAGGGGTTGCAATCCTAGTCTCTGATAAAACAGAATTTAAACCAACAAAGATCAAAAGAGACAAGGCCATTATATAATGGTAAATGGATCAATTCAACAAGAAGAGATAACTATCCTAAATATATATGCACCCAATACAGGAGCACCCAGATTCATAAAGCAAGTCCTGAGTGACTTACAAAGAGACTTACACTCCCACACAATAATAATGGGAGACTTAAACACCCCACTGTCAACATTAGATCAATGAGACAGAAAGTTAACAAGGATATCCAGGAATTGAACACAGCTCTGCACCAAGCGGACCTAATAGACATCTACAGAACTCTCCACCCCAAATTAACAGAATATACATTTTTTTCAGCACCACACCACACCTATTCCAAAATTGACCACATAGTTGGAAGTAAAGCACTCCTCAGCAAATGTAAAGGAACAAAAATTATAACAAACTGTCTCTCAGACCACAGTGCAATCAAACTAGAACTCAGGATTAAGAAACTCACTCAAAACCGCTCAACTACTTGGAAACTGAACAACCTGCTCCTGAATGACTACTGGGTACATAACGAAATGAAGGCAGGAATAAAGATGTTCTTTGAAACCCATGAGAACAAAGACACAACATACCAGAATCTCTGGGACACATTCAAAGCAGTGTGTAGAGGGAAATTTATAGCACTAAATGCCCACAAGAGAAAGCAGGAAAGATCCAAAATTAACACCCTAACATCACAATTAAAAGAACTAGAATTGCAAGAGCAAACACAGTCAAAAACTAGCAGAAGGCAAGAAATAACTAAAATCAGCAGAACTCAAGGAAATAGAGACACAAAAAAACCTTCAAAAAATTAATGTATCCAGGAGCTGGTTTTTTGAAAGGATCAACAAAATTGATAGACCGCTAGCAAGACTAATGAAGAAAAGAGAGAAGAATCAAATAGATGCAATAAAAAATGATAAAGGGAATATCATCACTGATCCCACAGAAATACAAACTACCATCAGAGAATACTACAAACACCTCTATGCAAATAAACTAGAAAATCTAGAAGAAATGGATAAATTCCTCAACACGTACACCCTCCCAAGACTAAACCAGGAAGAAGTTGAATCTCTGAATAGACCAATAACAGCCTCTGGGGTTGAGGTGATAATCAATAGCTTACCAACCAAAAAGAGTCCAGGACCAGATGGATTCACAGCCGAATTCTACCAGAGGTACAAGGAGGAGCTGGTACTATTCCTTCTGAAACTATTCCAATCAATGGGAAAAGAGGGAATCCTCCCTAACTCATTTTATGAGGCCAGCATCTTCCTGTTACCAAAGCTGGGCAGAGACAAAACCAAAAAAGAGAATTTTAGACCAATATCCTTGATGAACATTGATGTGAAAATCCTCAATAAAATACTGGCAAACCGAATCCAGCAGCACATCAAAAAGCTTATCCACCATGATCAAGTGGGCTTCATCCCTGGGATGCAAGGCTGGTTCAACATACGCAAATCAATAAATGTAATCCAGCATATAAACAGAACCAAAGACAGAAACCACATGATTATCTCAATAGATGCAGAAAAGGCCTTTGACAAAATTCAACAACACTTCGTGCTAAAAACTCTCAATAAATTAGGTATTGATGGAATGTATCTCAAAATAATAAGAACTATGACAAGCCCACAGCCAATATCATACTGAATGGGCAAAAACTGGAAGCATTCCCTTTGAAAACTGGCACAAGACAGGATGCCCTCTCTCACCACTCCTATTCAACATATTGTTGGAAGTTCTGGCCAGGGCAATGAGGCAGGAGAAGAAAATAAAGGGTATTCAATTAGGAAAAGAGGAAGTCAAATTGTCCCTGTTTGCAGATGACATGATTGTATATCTAGAAAACCCCATTGTCTCAGCCCAAAATCTCCTTAAGCTGATAGGCAACTTCAGCAAAGTCTCAGGATACAAAATCAATGTACAAAAATCACAAACATTCTTATACACCAACAACAGACAAACAGAGAGCCAAGTCATGAGTGAACTCCCATTCACAATTGCTTCAAAGAGAATAAAATACCTAGGAATCCAACTTACAAGGGACATGAAGGACCTCTTCAAGGAGAACTACAAACCACTGCTTAACGAAATAAAAGAGGATGCAAAGAAATGGAAGAGCATTCCATGCTCATGGGTAGGAAGAATCAATATCATGAAAATGGCCCATACTGCCCAAGGTAATTTATAGATTCAATGCCATCCCCATCAAGCTACCAATGACTTTCTTCACAGAATTGAAAAACACTACTTTAAAGTTCATATGGAACCAAAAAAGAGCCCACATTGCCAAGTCAATCCTAAGCCAAATGAATAAAGCCGGAGGCATCACGCTACCTGACTTCAAACTATGCTACAAGGCTACATAACCAAAATAGCATGGTACTGGTACCAAAACAGAGATATAGATCAATAGAACAGAACAGAGCCCTCAGAAATAATGCCACATATCTACAACTATCTGACCTTTGACAAACCTGACAAAAACAAGCAATGGGGAAAGGATTCCCTATTTAATAAATGGTGCTGGGAAAACTGTCTAGCCATAAGTAGAAAGCTGAAACTGGATCCCTTCCTTACACCTTATACAAAAATTAATTCAAGATGGATTAAAGACTTACATGTTAGACCTAAAACCATAAAAACCCTAGAAGAAAACCTAGGCAATACCATTCAGGACATAGGCATGGGCAAGGACTTCATGTCTAAAACACCAAAAGCAATGGCAACAAAAGCCAAAATTGACAAATGGGATCTAATTAAACTAAAGACCTTCTGCACAGCAAAAGAAACTACCATCAGAGTCAACAGGCAACCTACAAAATGGGAGAAAATTTTCGCAACCTACTCATCTGACAAAGGGCTAATATCCAGAATCTACAATGAACTCAAACAAATTTACAGGAACAAACAACCCCATCAAAAAGTCGGCAAAGGACATGAACAGACACTTCTCAAAAGAAGACATTTATGCAGCCAAAAAACACATGAAAAAATTCTCACCATCACTGGCCATCAGAGAAATGCAAATCAAAACCACAATGAGATACCATCTCACACCAGTTAGAATGGCAATCATTAAAAAGTCATGAAACAACAGGTGCTGGAGAGGATGTGGAGAAATAGGAACACTTTTACACTGTTGGTGGGACTGTAAACTAGTTCAACCATTGTGGAAGTCAGTGTGGCGATTCCTCAGGGAGCTAGAACTAGAAATACCATTTGACCCAGCCATCCCATTACTGGGTATATACCCAAAGGACTATAAATCATGCTGCTATAAAGACACATGCACACGTATGTTTATTGCAGCACTATTCACAATAGCAAAGACTTGGAACCAAGCCAAATGTCCAACAACGATAGACTGGATTAAGAAAATGTGGCACATATACACCATGGAATACTATGCAGCCATAAAAATGATGAGTTCATGTCCTTTGTAGGGACATGGATGAAACTGGATATCATCATTCTCAGCAAACTATCGCAAGGACAGAAAACCAAACACTGCATGTTCTCACTCATAGGTGGAAATTGCACATTGAGAACACATGGACACAGGAAGGGGAACATCACACTCTGGGGACTGTTGTGGGTTGGGGGGAGGGGGAAGGGATAGCATTAGGAGATATACCTAATGCTAAATGATGAGTTAATGGGTGCAGTACACCAACATGGCACATGTATACATATGTAACAAACCTGCACATTGTGCACATGTACCCTAAAACTTAAAGTACAATAATAATAAAATAAAAAAATTAAAAAAGATTACAAGTGCCTACCACCATGCCCAGCTAATTTTCATATTTTTAGTAGAGATGCAATTTTATCATGTTTTTCAGGGTGGTCTCAAACTCCTGACCTCAGGCGATCCACCTGCTTTGGCCTCCTAAAGTGCTGGAATTACAGGCATGAACCATGATGCCTGGCCACCATTTCTTAATTCTTAAGAGATTTGGTGATAATTCCTGCCGAAGAAGAACTCTACAAACCTAAAAAACATGTGACAGTGCTTTTACCAACACCTCCAAATTCTCTATGTATAACAATAATTATTGTGGTGTGAAACCCTAGAATTATATATAATGTGACATAGCCTTTATGTGGTTGCCACACTTGATTGTAGGTAAGACTGCAAAACTCCTACTGTCATACTGGCAAAACTCCTACAAGTTTGAAGAATGTGGCAAAACATTTAATCAGTTCTTACCCCTTATTTCACAGGAAAGCTATTATCCTTGAGAAAAATTGTACAAATATAAGGAATATGGAAAAACCATTAATTCCTACTCACATCTTAACATAAAAAGGTTCCTTTTAATAAAAGCATTAAAAGTGCAATTACTGTCAAAAAAATCTTTCAGAATCTATAAGCCTTTAAAATGAAGAAAAGTATTTATTTTGAAGACAACTATTACAACTATAAAGGGGGTTATAGCGCATTTACTTGTTGCACACATTTGTACCAGAGGAAAACAGTGAAGCAATTGCTCAAGCTTTGTTCAACATCAGGGAATTTATGTTGGAGATTAGTCCTGCAAATGTAATAAGTTTAGAAACACTTTTTTTTTTTCAGAAACAACAGCTTAGAAAACACCAGAGAGTTTATACTAAAGTATAATTTTGCAGATGCAGTAAATATAAAAACAATTCAAAATAGAATGTATATAAATGTCAGAATTTACAGTAGAATAACTAAGGCACTGACACTTAAGACATTACACTAAATCAGAGTGTTGAGTATAAAAACTAATCCACAACTACAGTTTTTAGATAAATGATTTGTATGTAACTTTAAAAAGATTTTTGGAAGCATTGTAATTACATTGAAAGTACACTTGTTTCCTTGAATAAAATTTTTTGAAAACTGAATAATGATATAATACAGCTTTCAAATTACTTCATGCTGTTAATTTATTCCTGTTTTATTCACATGTGAAAGCATGTGATCAATTGCTGCTGCATTAGAGATATTAGATATTTTTAAAAATTATTTGGATATTATGACCTTTTCTATAAAAGAATAAGGACATTAAAATGTAAGATGCATAATGAAAATATAAGTGGAGAGGTTCTTTGTAGTAAACCTCTATTAAGTATAAGGTAAATGTTCAGAGCAATACTTTTCTACATTATAGTGTCACAAGGAAATAATTATAGTTAAAAGTATATTAAAATAAAATAGTATATTATTTTACTAATTGTACTTTTATGTAATGAAATACAGTACATTTAAAAATTGCTAGGGCTGGGCTCAATGGCGCATGCCTGTAATCCCAGCACTTGGGGAGGTCGAGGTGGGTGGAACACCTGAGGTCAGGAGTTCGAGACCAGCCTGACCAACATGGAGAAACCCCATCTCTACTAAAAATACAAAAAATACAAAAAATACTTAGGAGGCTGAGGCAGGAGAATTGCTTGAATAAGGGAGGCAGAGGTTGTGGTGAGCCAAGATCTTGCCATTGCACTCCACCCTGGACAAAAAGAAAAAAACTGCCTCCACCCCCCCCAAAAAAGTTAGATTATGTGTGAACTTAATTTTATTATTTTTTAACCATGTTAAGACTACTGTGCATTTAATGAAGCATTATTATGCCACTAACTTTAAACGATCCTACCTTACTCAAGGGTGAAGCTACAAGATGGTAACAATACACAATTTGGCATATAGTGGAATAACATTTCTAGTAATCACTTTGCCCGTGGCTTTAAACTGCAAATGAGTTAAAGAATATTGTTCCCACAGATTAAATTTGTACTCTATTTTCTTCTTGGAATTTGTTATTTGTATTTGTGCGTATATAGTATGTGTATGTATTTATGCCTTATATGGCATCTTTTGACTCAGGCCTACAATATGCAGTAATTACATTAGGGTAAATAAGGTGTCCGTCACCTCTAGCATTTATCCTTTGTATTACCAAAAGTGTAATTATATGCTTTTGTTCATTTTAAAATGTACAATTAAATTGTTATTGACTACAGGATTTTTTTATGGTTATAATAATTATACAAAAATACAAATAAAATATGTCCAGGTGCAGTGGCTCACGCCTGTAATTCCAGCACTTTGGGAGGCCAAGGCAGGTGGAATGCTTGAGGCTAGGGGTTCAAGACCAGCCTGGCCAACATGGTGAAACCCCTTCTCTACTAAAAATACAAAAATTGACCAGGCATCTTGGTGCACACCTGGAGGCTGAGGCAGGAGAATTGTTTGAACCCGGGAGGTGGAGGTTGCAGTGAGCCAAGGTCGCACCACTACACTCCAGCATAGATGACAGAGTGAGACTTCATTTCAAAAAAAAAAGAAATAGAAATAAAGTCCATACATTTCTGAGTCCTGAAAGTTTATTAATAAATATTTGTTACATAGCTGTCTTTGAACATGTGGTCTCTCTGCCTGCAAGCATATAGACTTTTAGTTTTAATTTACATAGGGTTAAATATACTCATATTACTCTGAAGATAAACCTTAGGTGTATGAAAATTATGAAGCGAGTGTTTTTGTGAGTATGAGTTTGTACATATTTTCAGAAGGAAAGAGCAATTATTGCAACAAAACAAATCATTTTAATTAGATGATTAACAAAACTAAACACCTTGAAAATGCTAAAAGCAAATCTATACTTTCTGGTTTGTATTCAATTTATTAGTGTAAAATGTTATGGCTTATGATTCGGATTCTCCCCGGAATCTGCTTATTAAAGCACAGGCAACTTTGTCTCCAGAACCAACACTCTTGAATACAACAATAAAACCCCTCTTCAAACAAACAAAAAAATCATTTTAACACCTATTTTAATGAACATTCAACCAGAATTGAATAATTGAATATATTTTTATTGTTCTATGTGTGTGTGAACATATAAAATGGTGCATAAAGGAAAAATGAGCCAGAAAAAAATGTTAGTTAAGATTTGTAGTGAATAAAACTGGAAAGTAGTTAATTATTATATCCAGTTGATATCTTTGTTTATGTAGATAACAAAAGCAGCAGAAAGACTTTTTTTTTTCTTTTTCAAGATGGAGTCTTGCTCTGTCACCCAGGCTGGAGTGCAGTGGCGTGATAGCCCACTGTAACCTCCACCTCCTGAGTTCAAGCAATTCTTGTGCCTCAGCCATTTTAGTAGCTGGGATTACAGGTGTGTGCTACCACGCCCGACTAATTTTCATATTTTTAGAAGAGACAGGGTTTCATCATGTTGGCCAGACTGGTCTCAAACAGCTGACCTCATGATCTGCCTGCCTCAGCCTCCCACAGTGCTGATATTACAGGTATGAGCCACTGTGACAGGCAAAAGACTATTTTAAAAGTTTATTTATGTGGGTAGACAACGTTCTAAGATAATACCCTGAATTCCCAGTCTGTTACACACCAGCTGTGTAATACTTTCTTCTTGAGTGTAGAAACGTGTGACTGTGGTAGGAAATCACTCATGAAATTAGGTTACTCGTGTTGCCTTTGTGTTTATCAAAATGGAGATTATCCTGCTTGTGCTAAACTTAATCAGATGTGGTTTTGAGAGAAAGAGACACGTCATAGAAAAACACCCCTGCTGGCCTGAAAGTAAGTGACTTCTTGGTGGAACATGTTGTAAGCTGCTTATGGTGGCCACATAACAGGAAACATGTTTGTATATTGTCATCATTCCTGCCTCCTGCATGTTGATTTCAGTAAGGAGAATAAGAGGATCTTATGGCAGAGGGTAAAAAAGGGACTTTCATTCATGCAAGAAATAATCACCTCTCATCTGGGATAGCTTAAGAGAAACAGGAGACCACAACAGGACCACATTAATGGTAGGAAAAGGGTACCCTGAGTAAAAGTGTTCACTGGCATCATAGAACAATATTTAGTAAGCTGTAGTGAATGATCAGCCTCTGGGATACTGATAGTTTACCAACAATGCTGAACTCATTCTGTTTTAATCAGCATGTCTGCACCATTCTGGTGACCCAGTTTTATAGTATTCATTACAGAAATACCATGAAGACCAGTGGGTAATGTCCTAGAATTGTACTTATTTCAAAAAGCGTACCTAATTGTTTTCACATTTCAAAAACCTTAAAAGCAATGAATTTATAATTAACTTCTAACTATAGAGGATTCTACTATACTGTAATACAAGATTAAACTGTAAACACCTTAATATGAATATTTTTTGAATGTATGATTAGTTAGTAGACAGTTTCTTTTAGAGTCACAGGACAAAATAACAACTAGAGAAAACATTTGAAATGGGATAAAATTAACCAAAACCACATCTTTTCAATGGCTTGGCTAAACTAAACACCTTGAATATTGTCATCTTTTCAATGGCTTGGCGTAATTGCCATACTTACGGAAATGGCCAGATGACTAATGAGAAACAGGAAGATTTTGGCTTTGCTCAATGATTGTTTTTGACCTTTTGAAATCTAAAATCCTGGCTAAACTATTCAAAGGGAATATTTTATAGGTGGCTTCCCAGGGTTTCCAAGTAAATGAAGGATGGATTCTCTCTCTGTCACCCAGGCTGCAGTGCAATGGTGTGTTCTCATTTCACTGCAAACTCTGCCTCCCTGGTTCAAGCGATTCTCCTGCCTCAGCCTCCCGAGTAGCTGGGATAACAGGCAACCACCATTATGCCCGGATAATTTTTGTATCTTTAGTAGAGATGGGATTTCACCTTGTTAGCCAGGCTCATCTTGAACAGCTGACCTCAGAGTGCTGTGACTGCAGGTATGAGCCACTGTGCCCGGCCAGAAGAATTTTGATAGGCAGGAAAATGCACATTATATACACACATTGCTCTACTCTGATTTACTTCAACACTGAAAAATTGAAGATTGTAAATGTAGTCTCAATTTAGAGTGAATTAACAAAAGATTTGTTTTTCAAAAAAGCAAATGGATAAAATTAATGGGTAACAGATGCCATTAGCTGCTAAAAAATAGTATGACTAAATTTAGTAAGTATCTAGCTATGCAAATAACAGCCCAATTAAATTAAGACCCTAATAGGTGCATGTGGAAAGCATTGATGTGCAGTGTGGTGCACCTCCACTCAGCATTTTCTTCTACCTTTTTACAGAGATACCAATTCTTCCTCAGTTACTCAGGGTCCATACTGGGTTAGAAATGCTTGTTCTCTGGTGCCATAAGGAAATAGCACTCGAACATTAATTTTCTTAGCAAGGCCATTTTTACTTTTTGCGGAAAGTGTGCACTCTTCAGCAGTTTTGCCATCAAAGTACATCAAACAAAGGAGACAAGGTCATTTATAACCTGACGCATCCTTTCTACTGCTGTGTCTAGTTTTCATTGGCTGAAACAAGACCTCAAATTCTGTATTTCCCCCCATTGTTTAGCGACTTAGAACTTTTTAAAAGAGGCAAAGGCAGAGGAGAATGAAGGAAGGAGGAAGTAACTTGTGGAATGCTGAGAAAGGTAAAAACACCAAATAAGGAAGAGTAACAGGCTATGACCTAATGCTTGCTTGGACTAGTATAAGCATGCCAGGGCAAATATTTAGGCTAAATTGTGGGAGCTAAGAAGAAAGTACATTGATTTTTTTATTATGGCTGGCAGATATTTAAGAATGTTAGCACAGGACTTTGAATAAATTTTGCTTCTAAGAGAAGTTACTGTTTATTCCTAATTAGATGGGGAGGAAAGTCTTTGAAGAGGAACCTCTACTTTACTTTTTGCACTTGGAACAGAGAGTGCTGTGTTCAGAGTGATTACCGAAAACATGGCTAATACACATCTTCCATATGATAATAAAATGTTATAAATCTTACTCTGCCTCAGAAAAGCTTTTACTAAAAGATTATCTATGGTAATCAATTTGAGTTCATGGAAAATTTCAATATTCCACATAATTCAGACAGTTAAATGTCAATGAAATCTCAAAACATTTGAATAAGATAAAGTCTTCTTAGTGAAGAATTTTATATTACCGGTAGTTAGAAAAAAAAGAAAACCAGGCTGAATGCGGTGGCTCATGCCTGTAATCTCAGCACTTTGGGAGGCTGAGGCAGGTGGATCACCTATGGTCTAGAGCTCGAGACCAGCCTGACTAACATGGTGAGACCCCCATCTCTACTAAAAATACAAAAAATTAGCTGGGCATGGTGGCAGGTGCCTGTAATCCCAGCTACTGGGGAGGCTGAGGTAGAAGAATTGTGGGAAACTCGGGGACAGAGGTTACAGTGAGCCAAGATCATGCCATTGCCCTCCAGCCTGGGCAACAAGAGCAAGACTCCGTCTCAAAAATAAAATAAAATAAAAACCAGTACCTTAAGCCAAATAACATTGTTTGACATGGGAGTAGCAACCAAACAAGTGCTATTCATGATTTCATAATAACTTTTTTTTTTTGAGACAGTCTCACTAGGTCACCCAGGTTGGAGTGCCGTGACATGATCTTGGCTCCCTGCAACCTCTAACTTTCTGGTTTACATGATTCTCCTGCCTCAGCCTCCCTAGTAGCTGGGAGTACAGGTGCCCACCACCATGCCCAGCTAATTTATTTTTTTTTTAAGAGGAGTCACTCTGTCATCTTGGCTGGAGTGCAGTGGCACAATCATGGCTCACTGCAACCTTGGCCTCCAGGTTCCAGCGATTCTCCTGCCTCAGCCTCTTAAGAAGCTGGGATTACAGGCACCTGCCACCACGCCCAGCTAATTTTTTATATTTTTAGTAGAGACCAGATTTCACCATGTTGCCCAGGCTGGTCTCAAACTGCTGACCTCAAGCAATCCACTGCCCTCCACCTCCCAAACTGCTGGGATTACAGGCATGAGCCATTGTGCTCAGCAATTTCTGTACTTTTAGAAGAGACAGGGTTTCACCATATTGGCCAGGCTGGTCTCAAACTTCTGACGTTGTGATCCACCCACCTCGGCCTCTCAAAGTACTGGGAATACAGGCATGAACCACCATGCTCGGCCTGATCATTGTTAAAGTAGCAATAGCACCTTGTGCTTTCCTAGGACTTGCTGGCCTGTTTTTCACTGATATAAAGTGAAGAAAGCATTCAAATATTGCTGAGAAGTGGCTGTCCTCCCAGAAAATAGCTATTCTCGGCTGTACCAACATTGACTAATAGTAAGAGGAAGTGAAGTGGATAAAAGGCAAATGTGTCTTCTCTGTATCTTTTTTCAACCATTGGCTGAAGAACAGGAGAATGCAGAAAATTAAAAAAAAAAAATCCCTGAAAGATCATGAAGAAGCTCTCTTTATCAGACAAAAAACCTCTTAGGGGATTTTTTTTGTTTCATTATTGTACTGTCTGCTTCTATGAGTTTAAATTTTTTTTTACACTTTACATAGAAATAGGATTATATGAGTCAGGCACAGTGGCTCATGCCTGTAATCCCAACACTTTGAGAGGCCGAGGTGGGTGGATCACTTGAGGTCAGGAGTTTGAAACTAGCCTGGCCAACATAGGAAAACTCTGTCTCTACAGAAAATATAAAAATTTGCTGGGTATGGTGGCAAGTGCCTGTAATCCCAGGTACTGAGGAAGCTGAGGCAGGAGAATCTCTTGAACCTGGAGGCAGATGTTGCAGTGAGTGGAGATGGTGCCACTGCACTCCAGCCTGGGTGACAAGAGCAAAACTCCACCTCAAAAAAAAAAAAAAAAGGATTATGTTTTCTGTTTTTTTCCGTGTTGACTTATTTTACTTAGTATAATGTCTTTCAGGTTCATGAATGTTGTTGCAAATAACAAGACCTTATTTTTAAGGGCTGAATAGCATTTCATTGTGTACACATACCATATTTTCTTTTTCCATTCACCTATTGATGGACACTTAGGTTGATTTCATACCTTAGCTATTGTGAGTAATCCACTTCCTTCCTTCTATTTTGATTTTGTTTTTGTTTTGCTTTGTTTGAGATGGAGTCTCATTCTGTCGCCCATGCTGGAGTGCAGTGGCGTGATCTCTGCTCACTGCAAACTCTGCCTCCCAGGTTCAGTGATACTCATGCCTAAGCCTCCTGAGTAGCTGAGGTTACAGGTGTAAGCCACCACACCAGGCTAATTTTTGTAATTTTAGTAGAGGCAGGCTTTCACCATGTTCACCAGGCTGCCTTTCATTTGTTTGTATATTTCTTTCTCCTTTCCCGTCTTTATCTCTAGAAGTATTTTAATTTTAATATATAAATTATGACTGTTAACCTTCATTTCTCTGTTTTTGCATACTATTATGGCTGATTAAAAGATAAGTTTTTTGAAATTTCCTGGATAAAGTTTATTACTTCATTATTAAGATAACTTGAGACAATATGGAAATGAAAATCAACATTTGTTAGTAAAACAGAAATTAGCTACTGGTAGTCATTTAATCTCTCACCCAACATGAACGCTACGTCTTTGTGTCATCTCTCCCAGTTGTATGTAAGAGGCTACTGAGCAAACTGGTCAGCATAAAATTTTGTGAAGTTTAACATATATGTTCTGAAAATTAAGTTGATCCATTACCAGAAAAGTAGGTTTTCTGATGTGTATAATTTTACTCTATTTAAATTCTTCAGAAAAATGAAACTGACATTATGTAAAAGTTTTTTTTGGAAATTAAAAATGCTTAAGAAATATTTATAGAAACTAAAAGTAAAAATAGTTTTAGATTCCTAGAGAACATCTTTAAAATACTTCAAGTTATCTTCTGACACTATATATATATAAAATATATATAATATATAAATATATATAATATATAATAAATATAATATATAAAAATAATATATAATATATAATGTATAAAATATATATTTACATTATATATTATATATAATATGTAATGTATAAAATATATATTTACATTATATATTATATATAATATGTAATATTTATATGTTTATATATTTAAATATATAATTATATTTAAATTATATATTTAAATATATAATTATATTTAAATTATATGTTTAAATATATAATTATGTTTAAATTATGTTTAAATATATAATTATGTTTAAATTATATGTTTAAATATACAATTATGTTTAAATTATATGTTTAAATATACAGTTATGTTTAAATTATATATTTAAATACACAGTTATGTTTAAATTATATATTTAAATATACAGTTATGTTTAAATTATATATTTAAATATACAGTTATGTTTAAATTATATATTTAAATATACAGTTATGTTTAAATTATATATTTAAATATACAGTTATGTTTAAATTATATATTTAAATATACAGTTATGTTTAAATTATATATTTAAATATACAGTTATGTTTAAATTATATTTTAAATATACAGTTATGTTTAAATTATATTTTAAATATACAGTTATATTTAAATTATATATTTAAATATATAATTTAAATATAAAATTATATTTAAAATATAATTATATTTATATACTACATAAATATATGATATATCATATATAAATATATATAATATCATATATGATATATATCTCATATATGTGAGATATATGATATATATCTCACATATGAGATATTTATGATATATCTCATATATATGAGATATTTGATATATCTCATATATATGAGATATTTGATATATCTCATATATATGAGATATATATCATATATGATATATATTATATACTATATATCATATATGATATATATTTATATATTATATATAATATATAGAAATATATAATATATAATATATATCATATATATGTAAATATATATTTAATATATATGTATATTTATATATGAATATATATTTTGTATATGTAAATATATATTATATATAATATATATTTTTATATAATATATAATATATTATATATGTTTTTATATAATATATAATATATTATATATATTTTTTTCTTTTTTTGAGACAAAGTTTCACTCTTGCCCAGGCTGGAGTGCAATGGCACAATCTCGCCTCACTGCAACCTCCACCTTCCGGGTTCAAGTGATTCTCCTGCCTCAGCCTTGCCAGTACCTGGGCTTACAGGCGCCCACCACCACACCTGGCTAATTTTTACAGTTTTACTATAGATGGGGTTTCATCATGTTGGCCAGGCTGGTCTCGAACTCCTGACATCAAGTAATCCCTCTGCCTTGGCCGCCCAAAGTACTGGGATTACAGGCATGAGCTGCTGGCTGGGTCAAGTGTTGAACTTTTCTGAATAAATTATCTCAGCTCAGATAATTTAAGTCAGCCAATTAGCTTACCTCTGGGGATTCCAAGCAGCCCATTAGCACATCCCAGGAGAATCCAATCAGCAAATTAGCTCAGCCCAGCTGATTAGCCCAGGTAATTTTTAAGAGCCAGCTAACTTACTCCAGGTGATATTAATCAGCCAGTTATCTCAGCTGATGTGAATCTTATAAGCCAATTAGTTTAGCACAGGTGATTTTAAACCACCGCGTCACTCAGCCCAGGTGATTTCAATCAGTGAATCAGCTTAACCCAGGTGATTTCTATCAGCCAATTAATCAATCCAGGTGAATTCAATTAGCTAATTAGCTCAGTCCAGGTGATCCCAATCAGCCAATTATCTAGCAGCTGCCAATTCATTAAGGCATGCCCAAAATGGTAAATGTAAATAGCCCAGGCACACCAAGAAGAAATGCAGGGCCCTATATGCTAAGCTGGACAGTATGTACCATACAGCTTTACTGTCAGCTTATTTACAAGACCTGAAACCTGAAGCTGAAGGTTTTTGTTTATATAAACCACATTGTATGGCTATGTTTTATTCTGTTATGCTATTGAAAAAAACAGAAGGCAATTAATTCTACATCTGCATCCTTAGTATATGCTCTATATTTTAAAAAGTGGGAAAATATTTTATGTATACATTATTTACATATACACATTCATATAAGTTTGCGTTTATGTATCTACCAGGTGTGTACATATATTCATATATATACCTAAGTATATATAAATATATATATAATATCTGAAGCTGTAACAATCTTTGTATTTATATTCATACAGAATAAAGATGTTGACTGTGGAAGTATTGATAGGTATTGCTACAAACAGTAATACAAAACCTTTCATACATGCATAAAATATTTTCCCTGTAGAATACTATTTCTAGAATAGTACAGAAATAGAGGAATGCTCTGATATACATCCTGCTGCACTTAATATATTCAAAGGAAGCACTGAACTTTGTTGTGCACTTCTGGATGATACAAATTTTCTAAGGCCATTGGAGTTATTTACTGCCATATCAGGGTTGACTTTTCTTTTATTGTTGTACGTAAGGTCAGAGATGAACCAGCCCCAGTCCAAAGGTTCTAACCTAAATATGAGAATACTTACTCTTTCTCTTTAGAACTTTCATCAAGACAAGAACTGTGTGTATTCCCAAGAGTGTGTGATGTAAAATCACACTCTTGTCTTTTTGTCTTTGTGGCAGAAGTTGGGTATTTATGGTAAGAAAATATTAGTCTAGGTCTCTTTTTAGAAGACAGATGGTGATCATGGAAGCAAATATAATGGTACATGGTACTTGGCCACATTTCAAATGGGTGATAGTGAACATTCGCTGAAGTGTCACAGGTGGCTCTATTTGCCAGGTCAAATCTTTGTGAGGAAGGCTCAGCCCACTGGTGTCAAGCATTTCTGGCAGTTTCCAGAAAGATGAAAAGAAGCTCACCGGGCTGGTTTAATGAGACCAGAATTAAAAACACCCAGGAGCCACATTATTAAACACATTTTTACATTTATTTAAAAAAATGTGGTGTATGGCTTGGTTTGAATAAATCTTCACTGAGCTCAGTAGCTGATTGAATTTATCTAACCTGTTCGGAAAGAAAATGGAAATAACCTCTGATCAAGTTTATTTTATAGGCTTCTTTCTTTACATACAGATATAAAATAGGTGGCTCGTTAAACATATACACACAAAATGAGCCACATGGTTATGTCTATGTAATGTTTATTTCTGCATACGACTCTCAAAAAAAAGCCACAGAAAAAAAGTAGGTCAGAAGACATCTCCATATGCTACCCCTGAAGCCAAGATCAATTAAATAAGTAAATGAGCAGAAACCGGGTGATTGCAATCAGCCAATTTGCACAGCCTTGGTGATTTCAACCAGCCAAGGAGCTCAGTCCAGGTGGATCCAATCATCCAATTATCTAAATGGTGACTGTGACTTTGTCAAGACAGGCGCCAAATGGTGCATGTGAACGGAACATGTACCAAATGCAGGGCGCTGAAATACTGTCCTGGACAGATGTGTTACATGACTTTATTTTCAGCTTATTTCTGTGGACTTGCCCTTGAAGATAGAGCTTTGTTGATATGTTCCATTCTGAAATGTTATTTAGCTAAAGAAGGAAAAATTGATTCTACATTAGCGTCTTTAGAGCATGCTAAAAGGTTAAAAATATCTCTTGGGGAATATGTTTTGTATACATAAATATTTAGATAGAAATATTTATATAATTCTCTATGTGGGTTTTTGTCTTCCTATGTATATATGTAGATGTGTCAATCTTTGTATTGATATGAAACGTTGTGAATAGTGAGATAAAAAGTAACTTCCAGTTGGATGCTGTGGCTCACACCTGTAAGCCCAGCACTTTGAGAGGCTGAGGTGGGTGGATCACCTGAGGTCAGAAGTTCAAGAATAGCCTGGCCAACATGGTGAAACCTTATCTCTACTAAAACCAAATCTACGTCTGATTGATGTACTTGAAAGTGATGGGGAGAATGGAACCAAGCTGGAAAACACTCTGCAGGATATTATACAGGCTCAAAATAAAGGGATGGAGGAAGATCTACCAAGCAAATGGAAAACAAAAAAAAGGCAGGGGTTGCAATTCTAGTCTCTGATAAAACAGACTTTAAACCAACAAAGATCAAAAGAGACAAAGAAGGCCATTACATAATAGTAAAGGGATCAATTCAACAAGAAGAGCTAACTATCCTAAATATATATGCACCCAATACAGGAGTACCCAGATTCATAAAGCAAGCGTTAGAGACCTACAAAGAGACTTAGACTCCCACACAATAATAATGGGAGACTTTAACACCCCACTGTCAACATTAGACAGATCAACGAGACAGAAAGTTAACAAGGATATCCAGGAATTCAACTCAGCTCTGCACCAAGCAGACCTAATAGACATCTACAGAACTCTCCACCCCAAATCAACAGAATATACATTCTTCTTAGCACCACACTGCAGTTATTCCAAAATTGAACACATAGTTGGAAGTAAAGCACTCCTCAGCAAATGTAAAAGAACAGAAATTATAACAAACTGTCTCTCAGACCACAGTGCAATCAAACTAGAACTCAGGATTAAGAAACTCACTCAAAACCGCTCAACTACATGGAAACTGAACAACCTGCTCCTGAATGACTACTGGGTACATAACAAAACAAAGGCAGAAATAAAGATGTTCTTTGAAACCAATGAGAACAAAGACAGAACATGCCAGAATCTCTGGGACACATTCAAAGCAGTGTGTAGAGGGAAATTTATAGCACTAAATGCCCACAAGAGAAAGCAGGAAAGATCTAAAATTGACACGCTAACACCACAATTAAAAGAACTAGAGAAGCAAGAGCAAACACATTCAAAAGCTAGCAGAAGGCAAGAAATAACTAAGATCAGAACAGAACTGAAGGAAATAGAGACACAAAAAACACTTCAAAAAAATCAATGAATCCAGGAGGTGGTTTTTTGAAAAGACCAACAAAATTGATAGACCACTAGCAAGACTAATAAAGAAGAAAACAGAAGAATCAAATAGACGCAATAAAAAATGATAAAGGGGATATCACCACCAATCCCACAGGAATATAAACTACCATCAGAGAATACTACAAACACCTCTACGCAAATAAACGAGAGAATATATAAGAAATGGATAAATTCCTCAACACATACACCCTCCCAAGACTAAACCGGGAAGAAGTTGAATCTCTGAATAGACCAGTAACAGCCTCGGGATTGAGGTGATAATTAATAGCTTACCAATCAAAAAAAGTCCAGGACCAGATGGATTCACAGCTGAATTCTATCAGAGGTACAAGGAGGAGCTGGTACTATTCCTTCTGAAACTCTTCCAATCAATAGAAAAAGAGGGAATCCTCCCTAACTCATTTTATGAGGCCAGCATCAATATGATACCAAAACCTGGCAGAGACACAACAAAAAGAGAGAATTTTAGACCAATATCCCTGATGAACATCGATGCAAAAATCCTCAATAAAATACTGGCAAACTGAATCCAGCAGCACATCAAAAAGCTTATCCACCATGATCAAGTGGGCTTCATCCCTGGGATGCAAGGCTGGTTCAACATACACAAATCAATAAACATAATCCAGCATATAAACAGAACCAGTAACAAACACCATATGTTATCTCAATAGGTGCAGAAAAGGCCTTTGACAAAATTCAACAACCTTCATGCTGAAAACTCTTAATAAATTAGGTATTGATGGGACATATCTCAAAATAATAAGAGCTATCTATGACAAAGCCACAACCAATATCATACTGAATGGGCAAAAACTGGAAGCATTCCCTTTGAAAACTGGCACAAGACAGGGTTGCCCTCTCTCACCACTCCTATTCAACATAGTGTTGGAAGTTCTGGCCAGGGCAATCAGGCAGGAGAAGGAAATAAAGGGTATTCAATTAGGAAAAGAGGAAGTCAAATTGTACCTGTTTGCAGATGACATGATTGTATATCTAGAAAAATCCCATTGTCTCAGCCCAAAATCTCCTTAAGCTGATAGGCAACTTCAGCAAAGTCTCAGGATACAAAATCAATGTGCAAAAATCACAAGTATTCTTATACACAAATAACAGACAAACAGAGAGCCAAGTCATGAGTGAACTCCCATTCACAATTGCTTCAAAGAGAATAAAATACCTAGGAATCCAACTTACAAGGGACGTGAAGGACCTCTTCAAGGAGAACTACAAACCACTGCTCAACGAAATAAAAGAGGATACAAACAAATGGAAGAACATTCCATACTCATGGGTAGGAAGAATCAATATCATGAAAATGGCCATGCTGCCCAAGGTAATTTATAGATTCAATGCCATCCCCATCAAGCTACCAATGACTTTCTTCACAGAATTGGAAAAAATTACTTTAAAGTTCATATGGAATCAAAAAAGAGCCTGCATTGCCAAGTCAATCCTAAGCAAAAAGAACAAAGCTGGAGGCATCACACTACCTGACTTCAAACTATCCTACAGTGCTACAGTAACCAAAACAGCATGGTACTGGTACCAAAACAGAGATATAGACCAACGGAACAGAACAGAGCCCTCAGAAATAATGCCCCATATCTACAAGAATCTGATCTTTTGCAAACCTGACAAAAACAAGAAATGGGGAAATGATTCCCTATTTAATAACTGGTGCTGGGAAAACTGTCTAGCCATATGCAGAAAGCTGAAACTGGATCCCTTCCTTACACCTTATATAAAAATTAATTCAATATGGATTAAAGACTTAAATGTTAGACCTAGAACCATAAAAACCCTAGAAGAAAACCTAGGCATTACCACTCAGGACATAGGCATGGGCAAGGACCTCATGTCTCAAACACCAAAAGTAATGGCAACAGAAGCCAAAATTGACAAATGGGATCTAATTAAACTAAAGACCTTCTGCACAGCAAAAGAAACTACCATCAGAGTGAACAGGCAACCTACAAAATGGGAGAAAATTTTCGCAACCTACTCATCTGACAAAGGGCTAATATCCAGAATCTACAATGAACTCAAACAAATTTACAAGAAAAAAACAAACAACCCCATCAAAAAGTGGGTGAAGGACATGAACAGACACTTCTCAAAAGAAGACATTTATGCAGCCAAAAAACACATGAAAAAATTCTCACCATCACTGGCCATCAGAGAAATGCAAATCAAAACCACAATGAGATACCATCTCACACCAGTTAGAATGGCAATCATTAAAAAGTCATGAAACAACAGGTGCTGGAGAGGATGTGGAGAAACAGGAACACTTTCACACTGTTGGTGGGACTGTAAACTAGTTCAACCATTGTGGAAGTCAGTGTGGCGATTCCTCAGGGATCTAGAACTAGAAATACCATTTGACCCAGCCATCCCATTACTGGGTATATACCCAAAGGACTATAAATCATGCTGCTATAAAGACACATGCACACGTATGTTTATTGTGGCATTATTCACAATAGCAAAGACTTGGAACCAAGCCAAATGTCCAACAATGATAGACTGGATTAAGAAAATGTGGCACATATACACCATGAAATATTATGCAGCTATAAAAAATGATGAGTTCATGTCCTTTGTAGGGACATGGATGAGATTGGAAATCATCATTCTCAGTAAACTATTGCAAGAACAAAAAAACCAAACACCACATATTCTCACTCATAGGTGGGAATTGAACAATGAGAACACATGGACACAGGAAGGGGAACATCACACTCTGGGGACTGTTGTGGGGTGGGGGGAGGGGGGAGGGATAGCATTGGAAGATATACCTAATGCTAGATGACGAGTTAGTGGGTGCTGCGCACCAGCATGTCACATGTATAGATATGTAACTAACCTGCACATTGTGCACATGTACCCTAAAACTTAAAGTATAATAATAATTAATTAATTAATTAATTAAATTAAATTTAAGAAAGTAAAAAAGGAAATGAGGGAAATATACTACTAAAAACACATAAAACAATAACAATATAACTGGCAATAACAACTTCATTTCTTTAAGCAATCATTTTAAATATAAATTAATTAAACTATTTAATAAAATGAAATGTAATCGTAGGACTTTGTAAGGCCAAGGTAGGCTGATCACTTGATCCCAGGAGTTCAAGAGCAGAATGGGCAGTATGGCAAAACTCTGTCTCAGCAAAGAATACAAAAAAGGTAGCTGGGTGTGATGGCACATACTTGTAATCCAGCTACTTGAGAGGCTGAAATGAGAGGATCATCTGAGTTTGGGAGGTTCGGGCAGCAGTGAACCCAGCAAATCAACCTGGTTGACAGAGTGAGACCCTATCTCCAAAATACACGAGGCTGGGTGTGGTGGCTCAGGCCTGTAATCCCAACACGTTAAGATGCTGAGGTAGGCCGCCTGGTCTCTACTAAAAATAGAAAAAAATTAGCCAAGCATGGTGGCAGGTTCCTGTAATCCCAGCTACTTGGGAGGCTGAGGCAGGAAAATCGCTTGAACCTGGGAGGCAGAGGTTGCAGTGAGCTGAGATTGCACCATTGCACTTGTCCAGTCTGGGCAACGAGCGAAACTCCATCTGGAATAAAAAAGCAAAGAATTTATAAATAAATACAATTATATGAAGAAAAAATAGAATGCCTGATTGGTTTTTTTATAAAGCAAACAATATGCTCCCTACAAGAGACTCATTTTAGCATTGATTCAAGTAGGCTGAAAGTAATAGAATAAAAAAAGTATATTCCATGAAAATAGTACCACAATTGAGTGAGGTGGTCATAATTATATTAGACATAATATGCTTTAAGTCAAGTACTGCCATGAGACAATGACTGATATTATATTATGATAAAGTGAGTTGATTTAGCAGGAATCTATAACTATTTATCTATCTGCATATGTGTATATAACATCAGAGCTTTAAAATATATAAAGCAAATATTGACAAAAGTGAAGCAAGACATACATAACAACATAATAATTGTAGACATCAAGACCCCATTTGCAGTAATAAATAGAAAATTAAGGTAAAAATAAGAAACAGAAAACTAAGACATTATAGACTATATTAACTATTTTGCATATAGAGGAATACTTGAGAGTGCATAATTTATAAAGAAAAAAGGTTTATTTGGCTCACAGTTTGGCAGACTGTATAAGTGTGTGCCAGCATCTGCTTCTGGTGAGGATTTCAGGAAGCTTAAAATCATGGTGGAAGGTAAAGAGTAACTGGACATATTATATGATAAGAGACAGAGCAAGTGTGAGGTGAAGGTGCCAGATTATTTTAGTGAACCAGTTTTCATTTGAATTAATAGAGTGTAAACTTTTTGGTTACCAAGAGGTTGTACGAAGCCATTCATGAGAAATTTTCCCCCCGTGACAAAAACATGTCCCACCAGGTCCCACAATCAACATTGAGGATTTACATTGCAGCTTGAAGTTTGGAGAACATGGACGTCCAAATAATATTATGAACGAACTAGGCTTCACAGACACATACAAAACTCTCCAGTGAAAACCAAGATAATACACAATATTCCTATTTGCACCTGATGCATTCTGTTAGGACACAGCAAGTTTTATTAAATTTAAAAATACTAACTGGGTGCAGTGGCTCTTGCCTATAATCCTAACACTTTGTGATACCAAGGTAAGAGGATCCATTGGTGCCAAATGTTTGAGACTAGCCTGGACAACATTGTGAGATCCTAAAACTACAAACAAGCAAACAATTATCCAGACATGGTAGTGCATGTCTGTAGTCCTAACTACTCAGAAAACTGAAGTGAAAGGATCTCTTGAGCCCAGGAGGCTGAGGCTATAGTGAGCCAAAATTATGCCACTGCACCGCAGCCTGGGATGCAAGATGTTGTCTCAAAACAACAACAAATTACGTTAAGAAGACTAAAATTATACATTGCGTGTTTTCTAACAAAAACTGAATGAAACTAGGAATTAAAAGCAAAAGTCAAACTGGCATATTCAAAACTATGTGAATATGAAACACACTCTTCAACATATTCTTGCTCTGTGTCAAAAAATGTCATTTTTCAAAGATGTCAATCCAACCTACAGTTAAAAGCTACAGAACATAAACAGTGTGATATTGACACAAAGATTAACAGATGAAAGAACAAAATAGAGTTCAGAAATGAACCCTTCTATATATGATCAAATGATCTTCCACAACGTTGCCATGAGCACAAAACAGAGAAAAATAATCTCTTCAAAAAATGATGTTGAAAACTGAATATCAAAACTGATAAAAAAGTTGGATTATTTCCTTGAATTAAAATATATTTTAAATAAAATGCTTGGACATAAAAAAACTAACAAATCTTTTAGAAAAACTACGGAAAAAAGACATGACATTGGTCTTGGCATCATTTTCTTAGCTACAAAATTAAATGCATGAGCAGCAAATGAAATAACAGAAAAGTTTAACTACACTAGACTTCAAAATTTCTGCATACCAAAAAACAATTCAAGAGTAACAACATCCCTTAGAAAACGGGTGAAAACATTTGCAAATCACATGTGAAAGAAGTTAATATTCAAAATATATAAACAACTCTTTAAACAATAAAATTGAATAACTTGATTTAGAAATGGACAAAAAATTTTTCATTAGACAAGTACACAAATGGGAAAAAGCATTTGAAAGGACACAAAAAATTACTAACTTGTAAAGAAATGAAAAAAAAAACAAAAAAACAAAAAAAACCACTGACAAACAAAATCACCTCACACCCATTAGGAGGACCACTACAAATATTTTTAAAAACATCAAATCTGTTGACGATGCAATAAAAGTGAAACCCATGTTAATTGTTGGTGGAAAACAAAGATGCAGCCATTATTTTAGAAAGTTACAAATGCTCCTCATTTATAAGTCTATATCCAAAATATGTAACAAAGGCCAGGTGCAGTGGCTCAAGCCTGTAATCCTAGCAATTTGGGAGTCCAAGGGGGGCAGATCAACTGAGATCAGGAGTTTGAGACCAACCTGATCCCTTCTCTACTAAAAATACAAAAAATTAGCTGGGCATCATGGTGGGAACTTGTAACCCCAGCTACTTGAAAGGCTGAAGCAGAAGAATTGCTTGAAACCAGGAGGCAGAGGTTGCAGTTAGCTGAGATCTCACCACTGTCAACAGCCTAGGCGACAGAGCAAGACTCCATCTGAAAAAAAAAAAAAAAAGCAACACAGGATATGGGAGGCATATTTGAAAATCCATTTTATTGCAGCAGTATTCACAAAAGCCAAAGGGCCGAAGCAATAACCCAGATGTCTCTTGATTTATAAACATATCAAAAAATGTAACCTATACATACAATAGAATATTATTCCACCTTCAAAAAAATCTTGTTACATTTTAAGATGAACATTGAGAATCTTATGTCACCTGAATTAATCTAGTAACAAAATTATGGATACTGTACCACTTATGTGAGATATCTTAAGTAGTCAAAATCATAAAAACAGAAAATGGAAGGTTTGTCAAAAGCTGGAGAGAGGGTAAAATGAGAAGTTGTTACTTAATGAGTACTGAGTTTTAGTTTTGCAAGATGTAAAGTTTCTAGAAGTCTTTTGCATAACAATGTAAATAAACTTAACATGCCTGAAATGAAAAGCTTTTTTTTTTTTTTTTTTGAGACAGGGTCACCCGAGCTGGAGTGTAGTGGCACAATTCAATCTCCCATGTAGCTGGGACCACAGCTTCACACCACCATACACGGCTATCATTAATTTTTTCTTTTTATAGAGAGGGGTCTCCCTATGTTTCCCAGGCTGGTCTCAAACTTTTGGGCTCCAGGGATCCTCCTGTCTTGGCCTCCCAAAATCTTGGGATTACAGATGAGAGCCACAACCATGCCTGGCCCTGAAGTATACACATCAATAAATTTAAGATGGTAAATATTATGTTATGTGTTTTTAAAACAATGTTTATAGAGAAAAACTTTAAAAAATCCAGAATTATAAATCTTTTTGGAAATTAACTTCAAATCACAAAAGTGTTTCTCTCACAAAAAGAAATATATATTAATCATTAAACACATGGTGAAAATAAGGCTATCTCCATGACTACTCAGACAAGATAAAATTACCATCGAAAATTAGCTGAGAGAATATGAAATAAGCCATAACTAAAATTTGGGTCATATTTATAGGTTAGCACACATACACATGTAATCCGGTTGTGATAGACATGCGCAATTTATTTCTTAGATAAAACTCATATTGACTTAAATATACAAACGGAATTGCAAATTGTCTAAAATTATAATACGTAAGTATAACCAATAGACACAATAAACTGATGTTGGGAAACCTACACCGAGGCTGGACTCGGTGGCTCATGACTATAATCCCAGCACTTTGGGAGGCTGAGGCAGGCGTATCACGAGGTCAGGAGTTTGAGACCAGCCTGGCCAATAAGGTGAAACACTGTCTCTAATAATAATACAAAAATTAGCTGGGCTTGGTGGCGTGCCTGTAGTCCCAGCTACTCAAGAGGCTGAGGCAGAAGAATGGCTTAAACTCGGAAGGCAGAAGTTGCTGTGAGCTGAGACTGTGCCACTGCACTTTAGCCTGGGTGACGGAGAGAGACTCCCTCTCAAAAAAAAAAAAAAAGTAATAAATAAATCTACACCGGAGAAACTCACTAACATAGAACTTCAAACAATAATAAGAGAAATGTTTGCTCATAAAATCTGGTATACTACATTGATGTATCATCAAACAAAATTTGTCAGGCAGGGTGTAGTGATTCATGCCTATAATCTCAGCACTTTGGGAGGCCAAGGGGGACAGATCACCTGAGGTCAAGAGTTTAAGACCACCCTGGCTAAAGTGGTAAAACCACATCTCTACTAAAAATACAAAAATTAGCTGGGCATGGTGGCACATACCTGTAATACCAGCTACTTGGGAGGCTGAGGCACAAGAATTGCTTGAACCCGGGAGGTGAATGTTGTAGTGAGCCAAGATCACCCGACGGCAATCCAGCCTGGGTGAGAAAGTGTAATTGCTTCTCAAAAAAAAAACAAAAAAAAAAAACTATGTAACTGCAATATTTAGCTGTTACTATGTACTCATCATATACAAATATTTTAAATCATTGGCATGCATTGTGTGGCAGTAAAATTTCAGAGAATATGCAGTATAATTATAAATAGAAGATTCTAAAGAGAAACAATAAATTAGCATTTTAAAGAAACTAGAGTTGCTTTTTATGTTTTAAATATATGCTATTGTTAAACAAAATGAAACTGCTGTAATCCAACTTTAAAAGGAAAGAATAGCCTTACGTTGTTAAGTACAGAAAAAGATATATATTTTGCAGAATATGGTTAGGCCCTCTCATATGTGAAACAAATATTAAGAAATAAACTATGTTATTATTTAGATATAGCCTGAAATAAGTAGATGAAAATCCTATAATTCCTTTTTGCCTGTATCAAACTTAAACTTATATGTAAATGTTTTAGTAAATATGGAGTGCCTATTAATTATCTAATTTACTTGAGGCATACCATGCAAATTCTAGCATATTGTCCTAAATATCTGAATCTAAAATTACAGAAAAATTTGAAATAGAAAATAGAAAGTAAAAATGTATAAGGAGAGTGACATCAGTAAGATAAAAAGATTAAAAGTGCCCTATTTTCATATTCCCTTACAGCAAAAAAAGTCAGCCATCCCTGACAAAAATGCCTTTATGAGAGAACAGGGCATTATTGCTCACATCTATAATGACAGCTTCATGGTACATTAGGTTGGAAAACTGCTTCAGGTGAGGATTTTGAGGCCAGCCTGGGTTATGTAGCAAGATGTCATCTCCCAAATAAGTGCCTCTAAGAGAGATGTGAGATGCAGGGACGCAGTTGTGAAACGATGTTAAAGCTTAAGTTTGAGAAGGATTCTATTCGGAAGGCAGGCCCTCATTCATGTGGGATACTGCAGGACTCCTGTTTTAGCTACAGACCAGGATAGGGTTCACCCAACTTGGTTCCACTGAGAATTCTAAACTTACTCTGTAACCATCCCAAACTCCTCCCAGCCACAGTCTGGCAGAGGTCCTGCTATTCCAGATACCTGGAGGAAGGTGCCCATTTACATCCATGCAGGCAGGCCTGCAGATCTGGGCCTTTACTGGGGTCACTGAGGCAGTTCAATGACTCAGTTTCAGTTACCCGAGCCACTGTTTATGGTCAGTTCTCCCTATATAGAAACCCACACAGTTACCTGAGGAAATGCTCTCTGGTACTCACTGAAAGCCATACTCATCAACATCCTGATACAAGGTCCACCATATGCAGACCGAACTGCAAAAACTTGCCCTAGTGTTTGCCCTATGGAGCAAAGCCCTGAAGGATATTCAGTCTGTCCAAAAATGAAATGGGAATTACAACTACCCAAGCCCCTGTAACAAGCCAACTAAAGGTGAACCCTAGTTCAGACCCAGCAGCCTTGTGACCAAGCTACAACCCCTCTTCACTACAAATTCAGAGGGCATCTCATCACCCTAAGGGCCCAACAAAAGATCTTTACCTTCTGAAATCAGTTTATGAAAATTTAAAGTGGTGTTTGCTCCATCAAATTCAGACACAAATACCAAACTATATTCTGTCCATTGTCAATGCTTCTACTTTAATGTAGCACTGGAAGTATGTGGCAGAAGAATTAGTCAAAGAAATTTTAAAAATCCATTAAAATTGAGGAAAAATAAATAAAAAATTGCTGCTTGTAGATCATATAATCTTATATTTAAAAACCCATAAAGAGTACATTCGAAGCTGTCTAAACTAATACATACACTCAGTAAATTAGCAAAATATAAAACTAACATACAAGCATATGTACGGTTTTATACACTTAAACTATCTGATAAAATAGAGGAAGAAAAAAATCTTATTTACTATAGCATTAAATAATAAATTTCTGAGAAAAAAATTAACCAAGGAAGTAAAAAATCTTTACTAAAAAAATGAAAAAATTAGAAAAGTTATAAATAAATTTTAAAATATTTTATGTCTATGGATTGAAAGTATAAATATTATTAAAGTGCCATATTATTCAAAGTGATCTATAGATTCAATAAACTTCCCATTAAAATTGCAATGGTATCTTTTTGACAGTAATGAAAAATACAATTCTGAAATTTACATGAAACTATAATAAGCTTTGAATTGCCAAAGCAATCTTGATGAAAAGAACAGAGCAGAAGTATAAGCAAAACTTATACTTTTGAAGTCTATTTCAAGATTATATAGTAATAAAAACAGAATGGACTGTGCAGAAGACTGAGCAAGAAAAATTCAACAGAAACTACTACTCTCACACATTTCAGACCTATGCAAAAAGAGAACTTTGAGAATAGTTTTAGTTTCTCAAAAAAAATCAGATATTTGTGTCCCCAAAACACTGGAAAAGAAGCCAGATTATGCAGCCTCTTATATGCTGTGAAGTGGACTTTGGCTCTCACTGTGAACTTGAAGGGAGCTCACTGAAAGAAAAGAAGAATTCTTAAAGAATTTAAAAGCATATGACAGAAGTGTCACTTTGTGAGAGAAAAATTAAAACAAAAACAAAAACAGCTGCCCAGGACTATTTCCTTTGGAACACAGCTTCCCAAAACACATTTTAAGGACTGGCTTTCTCTTTAACCTTGGGATCTCTTATCTGTGCCATCTGTTGCATTCGTTTTCACTCGCACCCACCTTGGTGTTTGGCAATCATCTCATGTCTCTTCATAGTTTTTTTTCTTATTCCAGACAGGTGATCAGGTCTGGCTTAGAGACAACAATAACTGTTTTATTAAAAATAAATAACATGAATCTTTCTCATATTCTCCAATTACAAGCTAGTAATGTGCTCAGCAGAGAGGATGTAATACAATATTCTGGTAAATTAATACCAAAATACTAACTTATAACAGAAATTTCTAAATATTTAGAAAATACTTTCAAACTGTAGGTTTCTTTTTCTTTATTTTTTAATTTTTTTTATTTTTTTGAGACCGAGTTTGGCTCTTGTTGCGCAGGCTGAAGTGCAATGGTGCGATCTCGGCTCAGTGAAACCTCTGCCTCCCGGGTTCTACCAATTATCCAGCCTCAGCCTCTGGAGTAGCTGGGATTTCACGTGTGTGCCACCATGCCTGGCTAATTTTGTATTTTTAGTAGAGATGGAGTTTCTCCATGTTGGTCGGGCTGGTCTCGAACTCCTGACCTCAGGTGATCTTCCTGCCTCAGCCTCACAAAGTGTTGGGATTATAGGCGTGAGCCACTGTGCCAGGTCCTGCACGTAGGTTTTTAAATTTTACTACCTGATACTACTGAATCAAAACTTGGTGCTGGCAGTTAGATTTTCAGGTGGGAGCAACCATATTTTATGCCAAAATTTCGGGAATTACCACAAATTTAGAGTGAAGAATACAGCTCAACTCAGGAATGTGGAAAGTTTGGATTAAGATGAAATATCTTGAAGAAATTCTTTTCTAAATGAAAAAATTCTGAAGATTTTCTGGGAAAAAAGCATTCTGAAACTCTTTGATGCAAAGAATAAATTACTAAAAAACACTCCACAAGAAAAGATAAATAAAACCTTCAGGGTATGTTACGAATTATGTATTAAGGTTATCCTCACCAAGAAAGACAAGGTTTCTGTAGTTCTCTAACATCATATCCCTATATAAATTTCACTGTGCAGTATCCAGACAATGACACTCCTTCAGAGAGAATTCTATGGCCACATCTCTAAATTGCAATGGCCCCTGAAACACACACACACACACACACACACACACACACATATTTTTACCAAGTGGCCGTGGGCGGAGTTGTTATTTTGACTTAAGGTGAAATTGGAAAGTAAAGAGAACTGGTTCTTACTTATAGGACTGACTAAAATTATCCAATAAAATAATTTTCAACACAGAAATATGCTCTAATGTATTCTTTAACTCTGAGAAAGAGGAGCAGCGTAAGATCCACAACATCATTACATATATGATATTTTTCTAGGTAACGAAGTATAAAATTAAGGGATTGAACATGAACATGTACATTTTTGAGGGCAACATCCACCTACTGGGCTCAAGTGATTCTCCTGCCTCAGCCTCCCGAATTCTGTTACTACAGGCTTGTACCACCATGCCTGGCTCATTTTTTTTTTTTTTTTGAATTTTTAGTACAGATGGGGTTGCACCATGTTAGCCAGGATGGTCTCAATCTCCTGACCTCGTGGTCCACCAGCCTCTCAAAGTATCGGGATTACAGGAGTGTGCCACTGCATCTGGCCACAAGCATTTTCTTAATCCTGCTCTGCATAGAGCTAATGGAACACACAGATGGAGCCTCAACATTACATGTTTTCCATCTTTACTAAGGACCACAGTTTTTCCCAAGAGAAATCTTGAGTATCCACACCTTCTCATGTTCAACAGCCATAAAGGGAACATTTTTAATATTGCATATTGGAAACAACTGCTCAGAGTTTCAGAGTAAGTGAGCACTCAAATCGAGAACGTTGAAGCAAGGCAAATTTACTTCTATACAAGGCTGCATCTCACAGGTGGAGAAATAGCAAGAGCACAATTGGACAAGGGAGGGGAAGGGGGTCTTATCCCTTACACCGCTAGTCCTTAGTGATGTGTCTTTCTCCTATTGGCTAGGGTTAGACCGCACAGTCTTAGCTAATTCCAATTAGCTATTTTAAAGAGAGCAAGGGTGGCGAGGTGAGTAGTTTCAGCAGGAAGGATGGTCACAAGGCATTTGACTGGGGGTGACTCAGAATAGAGCAGGTAACTAGGGATGATTCACAGCAGGTGACTAGGGGTGACTCAGAACAGATTAGGTGACTGGGGATGAGTAAGGACCCTAAATATGTGAGTTAGAAGGGGGTTGCTTACTGAAACTAGGGGCAAGGAGACATAAAGATTGAGGAATTTAAACATTAAAATGGAGAACAAAGAACAGGGAAGCTGATAATACTGAAATATTGGTTCTTTGAAGAGGACTTCAGAACTCATTGTACTTAACGATTTTCCTCTCTTGGATTTTAAAGGAAGTTAAGCTGAAACCTTTAAAGAGATATTTACTGTATCCTACATTTCAGATCATAAATTCTTGCTGAGAATTCTGCATGGCATATAAGAAGCTACGACATAGAAAATGTAGAGAAAGTTCTGGAATATAGGAAATAAATATTTTTCGGAGACCCTTGACTATCATAAGTATTTTAAGAAGAACTCAAACTGAGAATAGGGGGTGGAGCCAAGATGGCCGAATAGGAACAGCTCCAGTCTACAGCTCCCAGCATGAGCGACGCAGAAGACGGATTTCTGTATTTCCAACTGAGGTACCGGGTTCATCTCACAGGGGAGTGCTGGACAGTGGGTGCAGCACACACTGTGTGAGCCAAAGCAGGGCGAGGCATTGCCTCACCCAGGAAGCGCAAGGGGTCAGGGAATTCCCTTTCCTAGTCAAAGAAAGGGGTGACAGATGGCACCTGGAACATTGGGTCACTCCCACCCTAATACTGTGCTTTTCCAATGGGCTTCACAAACGGCAGGCCAGGAGATTATATCCCACACCTGGCTTGGAGGGCCCTACACCCACGGAGCCTCACTCATTGCTAGCACAGCAGTCTGAGATCAAACTGTAAGGCGGCAGTGAGGCTGGGGGAGGGGTGCCCGCCATTGCTCAGGCTTGAGTAGGTAAACAAAGCAGCCTGGAAGCTCGAACTGGGTGGAGCCCACCACAGCTCAAGGAGGCCTGCCTACCTCTGTAGGCTCAACCTCTGGGGGCAGGTCACAGACAAACAAAAGACAGCAATAACTTCTGCAGACTTAAATGTCCCTGTGTCACAGCTTTGAGGAGAGTAGTGGTTCTCCCAGCACACAGCTTGAGATCTGAGAATGGGCAAACTGCCTCCTCAAGTGGGTCCCTGACCCCTGAGTAGCCTAACTGGGAGGCACCCCCCAGTAGAGGCAGACTGACACCTCACATGGCCGGATACTCCTCTGAGACAAAACTTCCAGAGGAATGATCAGGCAGCAGCATTTGTGGTTCACCAATATCCACTGTTGTGCAGCCACCGCTGCTGACACCCAGCCAAACAGGGTCTGGAGTGGACCTCCAGTAAACTCCAACAGACCTGCATCTGAGGGTCCTGACTGTTAGAAGGAAAACTAACAAACAGAAAGGACATCCACACCAAAAACCCATCGGTACGTCACCATCATCAAAGACCAAAGGTAGATAAAAACACAAAGATGGGGAGAAAACAGAGCAGAAAAAATGGAAACTCTAAATATCAGAGCACCTCTCCTCCTCCAAAGGAACGCAGCTCCTAACCAGCAACAGAACAAAGCTGGATGGAGAATGACTTTGACTAAATGGGAGAGGAAGGCTTCAGAAGATCAAACCACTCCGAGCTAAAGGAGGAAGTTTGAACCCATGGCAAAGAAGTTAAGAACTTTGAAAAAAAATTAGATGAATGGATAACTGGAATAATCAATGCAGAGAAGTCCTTAAAGGACCTGATGAAGCTGAAAACCATAGCATGAGAACTACGTGACGAAGGCACAAGCCTCATTAACCAATGCAATCAACTGGAAGAAAGGGTATCAGTGATGGAAGATGAAATGAATGAAATGAAGCATGAAGAGAAGTTAAGAGAAAAAAGAATAAAAAGAAATGAACAAAGACTACAAGAAATATGGGACTATGTGAAAAGACCAAATCTACATCTGATTGGTGTACCTGAAAGTGACGGGGAGAATGGAAACAAGTTGGAAAGCACTCTGCAGGATATTATTCAGGAGAACTTCCCCAACCTAGCAAGGCAGGCCAACATTCAAATTCAGGAAATACAGAGAACACCATAAAGACACTCCTTGAGAAGAGCAACTCCAAGACACATAACTGTCAGATTCACCAAAGTTGAAATGAAGGAAAAAATGTTAAGGGCAGCCAGAGAGAAAGGTCAGGTTACCCACAAAGGGAAACCCATCAGACTAACAGCTGATCTCTTGGCAGAAACTCTACAGGCCAGAAGAGAGTGGGGGCCAATGTTCAACATTCTTAAAGAAAAGAATTTTCAACCCAGAATTTCATATCCAGCCAAATTAACCTTCATAAGTGAAGGAGAAATAAAATACTTTACAGACAAGCAAATGCTGAGAGATTTTGTCACCACCAGGCCTGCCCTAAAAGATCTCCTGAAAGAAACACTAAACATGGAAAGGAACAACTGGTACCAGCCAATGCAAAAACATGCCAAATTGTAAAGACCATCAAGACTGGGAAGAAACTGCATCAACTAACGAGCAAAATAACTGGCTAACATCATAATGACAGGATCGAATTCACACATAACAATACTAACCTTAAATGTAAATGGGCTAAATACTCCATTTAAAAGGCACAGACTGGCAAATTGGATAAAAAGTCAAGACCCATCAGTGTGCTGTATTCAGGAAACCCATCTCATGTGCAGAGACACACATAGACTCAAAATAAAGGGATGTAGGAAGATCTACCAAGCAAATGGACAGCAAAAAAAGGCGGGGGTTGCAATCCTAGTTTCCGATAAAACAGATTTAAAACCAACAAAGATCAAAAGAGACAAAGAAAGCCATTACATAATGGTAAAGGGATCAATTCAACAAGAAGAGCTAACTATCCTAAATATATATGCACCCAATACAGGAGCACCCAGATTCATAAAGCAAAGTCCTTAGTGACCTATAAAGAGACTTAGACTCCCACACAATAATAATGGGAGACTTTAACACCCCACTGTCAACATTAGACAGATCAATGAGACAGAAAGTTAAGAAGGATATCCAGGAATTCAACTCAGCTCTGCACCAAGTGGACCTAATAGACATCTACGGAACTCCCCACCCCACATCAATAGAATACACATTCTTTTCAGCACCACACCACACCTATTCCAAAATTGACCATATAGTTGGAAGTAAAGCACTCCTCAGCAATGTAAAAGAACAGAAATTATAACAAACTGTCTCTCAGACCACAGTGCAATCAAACTAGAACTCAGGATTAAGAAACTCACTCAAAACTGCAAAACTACATGGAAACTGAACAACCTGCTCCTGAATGACTACTGGGTAAATAACGAAATGAAGGCAGAAATAAAGATGTTCTTTGAAACCCATGAGAACAAAGACATAACATACTAGAATCTCTGGGACACATTCAAAGCAGTGTGTAGAGGGAAATTTATAGCACTAAATGCCCACAAGAGAAAGCAGGAAAGATCTAAAATTGACACCCTAACATCACAATTAAAAGAACTAGAGAAGCAAGAGCAAACACTTTCAAAAGCTAGCAGAAGGCAAGAAATATCTAAGATCAGAGCAGAACTGAAGGAAATAGAGACACAAAAACCCCTTCAAAAAATTAATGAATCCAGGAGCTGGTTTTTTGAAAAGATCAACAAAAGTGATAGACCACTAGCACGACCAATAAAGAAGAAAAGAGAGAAAAATCAAATAGATGAAATAAAAAATGATAAAGGGGATATCACCACCAATCCCATAGAAATACAAACCACCATCAGAGAATACCATAAACACCTCTAAGCAAATAAACTAGAAAATCTAGAAGAAATGGATAAATTCCTCAACACATACACTCTCTCAAGACTAAACCAGGAAGAAGTTGAATCTCTGAATAGACCAATAACAGGCTCTGAAATTGAGGCAATAATTAACAGCTTACCAACCAAAAAATTCCAGGACCAGATGGATTCACAGCCGAATTCTATGAGAGGTACAAGGAGAAGCTGATACCATTACATCTAAAATTATTCTAATCAGTAGAAAAAGAGGGAATCCTCCCTAACTCATTTTGTGAGGCCAGCATCATCCTGATACCAAAGCCTAGCAGAGACACAACAAAAAAAGAGAATTTTAGACCAATATCCTTGATGAACATTGATGCAAAAATCCTCAATAAAATACTGGCAAACCGAATCCAGCAACACATCAAAAAGCTTATCCACCATGATCAAGTGGGCTTCATCCCTGGGATGCAAGGCTGGTTCAACATATGAAAATCAATAAATGTAATCTAGCACATAAACAGAACCAAAGACAAAAACCACATGATTATCTCAATAGATGCAGAAAAGGCCTTCAACAAAATTCAACAACATTTCATACTAAAAACTCTCAATAAATTAGGTATTGATGGGTCCTATCTCAAAATAATAAGAGTTATCTATGACAAACCCACAGCCAATATCATACTGAATGGGCAAAAACTGGAAGCATTCCCTTTGAAAACTGGCACAAGACAGGGATGCCCTCTCTCACCACTCCTACTCAACATAGTGTTGGAAGTTCTGGCCAGGGCAATGAGGCAGGAGAAGGGAATAAAGGGTATTCAATTAGGAAAAGAGGAAGTCAAATTGTCCCTGTTTGCAGATGACATGATTGTATATCTAGAAAACCCCATCGTCTCAGCCCAAAATCTCCTTAAGCTGATAAGCAACTTCAGCGAAGTCTCAGGATACAAAATCAATGTGCAAAAATCGCAAGCATTTTTATACACCAATAACAGACAAACAGCCAAATCATGAGTGAACTCCCATTCACAATTGCTTCAAAGAGAGTAAAATACCTAGGAATCCAACTTACAAGGGATGTGAAGGACCTCTTCAAGGAGAACTACAAACCACTGCTCAATGAAATAAAAGAGGATACAAACAAATGGAAGAACGTTCCATGCTCATGGGTGGGAAGAACCAATATCATGAAAATGGCCATACTGCCCAAGGTAATTTATAGATTGAATGCCATCCCCATCAAGCTACCAATGACTTTCTTCACAGAATTGGAAAAAGCTACTTTAAAGTTCATATGGAACCAAAAAGGAGCCCACATCGCCAAGTCAATCCTAAGCCAAAAGAACAAAGCTGGAGGCATCACCCTACCTGACTTCAAACTATACTACAAGGCTACAGTAATCAAAACAGCATTGTACTGGTACCAAAACAGAGATATACACCAATGGAACAGAACAGAGCTCTCAGAAATAATGCCACATATCTACAACTATCTGATCTTTGACAAACCTGACAAAAACAAGCAATGGGGAAAGGATTCCCTATTTAATAAATGGTGCTGGGAAAACTGGCTAGCCTTATGTAGAAAGATGAAACTGGATCCCTTACTTACACCTTATACAAAAATTAATTCAAGATGGATTAAAGACTTCCATGTTAGAACTAAAACCATGAAAACCCTAGAAGAAAACCTAGGCAATACCATTCAAGACATAGGCATGTGCAGGGACTTCATGTCTAAAACACCAAAAGCAATGGCAACAAAAGCCAAAATTGACAAATGGGATCTAATTAAACTCAAGAGCTTCTGCACAGCAAAAGAAACTACCGTCAGAGTGAACAGGCAACCTACAGAATGGGAGAAAATTTTTGCAACCTACTCATCTGACAAAGGGCTAATATCCAAAATCTACAATGAACTCAAGCAAATTTACAAGAAAAAAACAAACAACCCCATCAAAAAGTGGGTGAAGGATATGAACAAACACTTCTCAAAAGAAGTTATTTATGCAGCCAAAGAACATGAAAAAATGCTCGTCATCACTGGCCATCAGAGAAATGCAAATCAAAACCACAATGAGATACCATCACACACCAGTTAGAATGGCGATCATTAAAAAGTCAGGAAACAACAGGAGTTGGAGAGGATGTGGAGAAACAAGGAACACTTTTACACTGTTGGTGGGACTGTAAACTAGTTCAACCATTGTGGAAGTCAGTGTGGCGATTCCTCAGGGATCTAGAACTAGAAATACCATTTGACCCAGCAATCCCATTACTGGGTATACACCCAAAGGACTATAAATCATGCTGCTATAAAGACACATGCACACATATGTTTATTGCAGCACTATTCACAATAGCAAAGACTTGGAACCAAGCCAAATGTCCAACAATGATAGACTGGATTAAGAAAATGTGGCACATATACACCATGGAATACTATGCAGCCATAAAAAATGATGAGTTCATGTCCTTTGTAGGGACATGGATGAAGTTGGAAACCATCATTCTCAGCAAACTATCGCAAGGACAAAAAAACAAACACCACATGTTCTCACTCATAGATGGGAATTTAACAATGAGAACACATGGACATAGGAAGGGGAACGTCACACACCGGGACCTATTGTGTGGTGGGGGTAGGGGGTAAGGATAGCATTAGGAGATATACCTAATGCTAAATGATGAGTTAATGGGTGCAGTGCACCAGCATGTCACATGTGTACATATGTAACAAACATGCACGTTGTGCACATGTACCCTAAAACTTAAAGTATAACAAAAAAAAAAAAAAAGAAGCACTTAAACTAAACTCATTAGGGAGGAAAAACACAAGTAGAGAAGTAAAGGTTTGTGAATACCAAACGCATGGCAGTCCAGGAGGCAGAGTGGACACTGCTCTTGATGTGAGACATGTTTACCTGAAGAAAAGCCATTTTTTCTCTTTCTTCTCCTTCTCTGGAGTTCCTTCTCAGATGAGACCCTCTGAACAAATTACACCTGCATCTTGAGAATATGCCTTTAAGGATGTCAGTGCCACATATTTACCTGCTAGCATGACAACAACTGGCAGAAAAAGAAAAAGTCCAGCCATTTCTTTCCTTTAAAACAGAAGAGATTCAGGAACAATGTGCTGCTCCATGAAGATAATAGTATGTTTCTCCTTTCCTTTCCTCAGGTGCCATCACCTGCCACAGACACCAGCAATTTCTTCTACAGTAATGCAGATATATGCCACACTGACCTGTCCCTACCAAATCCAAACAGAACAGGACTTGTAACCACCCTTTAGTGCAAAAGTGGAACTTAATTCTCATGACTGTATTTTGAAGTGTTCATACTTGATTCTGGCCTCACCTTAGAGTCACATGAGGCCCTTAATTAAAACAACCTGAATGCTTCCACCCAGAGGAATAAACAGAAGCTGTGGGGAGGGCACAAGATATTTCTGCAAATTGGCCATGTTGTCCTAGTGACAAGCCTGGGCTGATAACCACTAAGCTAAGCATTTTCTCTCAAGCTTTAACGAGCTTATAAATCACTTGGTAAATTTGACCCCACTTTATGTAATGTGATTCTGCAGGTTTGAAAAAGGTCCATAAATAGGTGTTTTAAACAAGTTTCCTGTCAATGCTGATGTTGCTCCCCCTTCGCTCATTATTAGCATTAGTTAGAGAAAGCAGGCACAGTACAGGGTTCCTTACACTCTGAACTCTTGTAACAACCAAATACTTCTGGTACAAATAAGGACAACCCATCTGCATCCTAAAGACATATTATTTGCTGGCTCTTTAAAGTTGACAGAGAAAATAGGAGGCAGCAATATCTCAATACGTTTGGATTTAAAAACAACATGTACACCTGTACTAATGCAATGTTTATTAAGCAGGTACTATGAGCTCAAGAGTAGGATACAGAGCACTGTGCTGGGCATAACACATTATGTGATTTAATTCTGATAACAACCTGGGAGCTGGTACTAAGGGTTTAATAATTTCCAGGATTTAGATAAAGGGCCCAGCATTTTTATTTCTTCTTGTTTCTCTGTCATCAAACCTTTTAAAAATTGTAAAGAATAAAAGCTAAATATAGACAGATGAGAGAAATATAGAAAGGAAGAGTTTAATGTAGTGTACAGAAAATTTTATTCTGTTTATGTTTACTTTTTTTGTGACTTGTGTAGCAATGACTGGGTCTGTAGGAATAGAAAACAAGTTACTAAATAGAATGTCTCTGCAAGCACTGGTTTTAATAGAAAATTTAAAAACTAATACCCGACAATACATAATTTATTTTTCCTATTTATCTGCTTTTGGGTTTCAGAAATTTGTGAGCACCAGGTCTAGAAATGCAACAGGATTCCCCAGCCAAAACTCTGATCCCTTCTAATCAGTTCTGTGAGGCAAGACTTCAGGGTAGGTTCAGACCTAAATAAGGCCTCCAAAAAGGGTTAATCTGAACAGGTCTGTGACAGGAGGAAGACCCTATGTAGAATTCTGTTCTCTATGGCACTACAGTACTTCCAGTTTTGTTTTTTCTAAGCTTACCTAAAAGAAACTTAAATCCCAGAGTTTCTGTAATTTTAGACTCTTCTAGCCACTATCCTGTCAACTTTATACTATATACTAATATGCAATTACATAAATCCCTTAAAGTTTTCTAGGGTAATTTTTTTTGGTGGGGGGTATGGAGTCTTGTTCTGTCACCCATGCTGCAGTGCAGTGGCATGATCTTGGCTCACTGCAACCTCTGCCTCCCTGGTTCAGGCGATTCTTTTGCCTCAGCCTCCTGAGTAGCTCGGATGCCAGGCATGCACCACCATGCCTGGCCAATTTTTGTATTATTACAAAACCATATATTTGCCAAGCTGGTCTTGAACTCCTGACCTCGTGATCCACCCATCTCAGCCTCCCAAAGTGCTGGATTACAGGCATGAGCCACTGCGCCCAGCTTTCTAGGGTAATTTTATTAGAAAATAAATATGTACACGTAGCAAGGTAAAAGAAATAAAAATTATACAGCTGGGCACAAAGGCTCATGCCTGCAATTCCAGCACTTTGAGAGGCCAAGGCAGTTGGATCGTGATGTCAAGAGTTCAAGACCAGCTTCACCAAGATGGTGAAACACGATGTCGACTAAAAATACAAAAATCAGCCAGGTTCAGTGGGAGCCACCTACAACCCCAGCTACTCGGGAGACTGAGGCAGGAGAATCACTTGAACCCAGGAGACAGAGATTGCAGTGAGCCGAGTTTCTGCTATTGCACTCTAGCTTGGGTGATAGAGTGAGACTATCTCTCTCTCTCTCTCTCTCTCTCTCTCTCTCTATATATATATATATATATACACACACATACATACACACACATATATATTTAATAACAATTCTGTTCATGAATATCCCTACAGGTGTAGCCAACAGAAGTCACAGCAATATAAAGAAAGTGGCCTAAATAAAGCCCAAGATTTTGGACACATCTCTTTGTTGGACCAACCATATGATGCTTAATTTAATTATTTACCCAGTTGCTAGTCTAGATTAAAAGTTTCTGGATTGTAGGAACCATGACTTCTTCATTTTTTTTTTAACGACTACATGAAATGGAAGCAACTAGTTTATCTATTTGGGTCTCCAGATCTTTTCCTTGTTTATTATCCAAGTACCAGGAAACTGGAGAAACTGTCATCTGTGTATCAACCAAAGACACCTCTTGTATGAGGGGATGAACAAATACAGGATGACTCACTTCTCTTACACTGAGACAGAAGCAGAATTAACCACTCTTGTCAGCCTGAAACAATTCTACTCTGGCCATCCTGAAATGCCTCAAACACACCTAGGTGATTGTGAGAGAATTCCCAGTGACCCAGGGCTGATGGCCCAATAATAAGCCAGGCTGGAGAGACTCAGGCTGATTCTAAATAAAAAATGGAACTGCCTGGCTGAGTGCGGTGGCTTCTGCCTGTAATCCCAGAACTTTGGGAGGCCAAGGTGGGTAGATCACTTGAGGTCAGAAGCTTGAGACCAGCCTGACTAACAGGGAGAAACTCTGTCTCTACTAAAAATACAAAATTAGCCAGGCGTGGTAGCACATGCCTGTAATCTCAGCTACTCGGGAGGCTGAGGCAGGAGAATCAGTTGAACCCAGGAAGTGGAGGTTGCAGTGAGCCGAGATTGGGCCATTGCATTCCAGCCTGGGGAAGAAGACTGAAACTCTGTCTAAAAAAAAAAAGAAAAAAGGAAAATGAAACTGCCTTGGTTGAGCTCCAGAACCTGGATCACCTGTCCTGGTTTGCTAGCTCTTGTGTAAGGGAAAGAACAAAAATACTCTACTCCAGTAACACATTTTACAGGTAAATATAGTTGTGGCCATGGCTCTGCATATGTTGTAGCCTGATAATGGGAATGGGAGCAGTGTTTCAGCCCCAGCTTCTACTTATAATGGTGACATGGAAAAAATACTGCTGAGTTTCCAGCATGAGTCCAGATAGAGATAGCTCCAAAAGTTCTCACTGCGACAGCCCACCTCATTCAGGCACCATGGGATACTAATAGGGCTTCTGAAACAGACAAAGCACTGGAGAGAAAAACAGATCTCCATCTGAGCAAGATTATTTTGAAAGAAGAAAGTTAAAAAGATCTTAAGAAAAAGCTTAGATTAGATATAAGATTGATTATGTCAGCCAGAAAATATTCCCCTAAAAGAAATTTCTCTCTAAACACCCAATGTACATAGCATGAGAAACATATGAGCATTATGAAAAAATGGGGCATATTTTCAGAGGAATTTTATAGAAGTTTCTTTTCCATCTCTGCTGCTCTCTCATGTCATAGCCATTGAATGGGGGTTCTATACTGAAATACATCTGACAACTTAACACTTTTTGATGAATAAATAGAATCTGACTGTGTTCATATAGTGGAATACATTAGAAATTGCAACATAGCTAACTGAATAGTTATTATGGTGTTTGGGTGGCCACATCACCTGTCTTTATTTATCCTGTAATAGCAGCATTCCAATTTAGTGAAATAAAAGATACTAAAATTGTGTTTAGTCATAATTATTCCTATTGAATAAAGTAATAAACACGTCAGACTAATATCTACTGTAACAATTTGGTAGTAAATTTTCTTTTGATATTAGATATAAATAAGTATGAATAATTTTAATGAACTAGTCATAATGTATGTAGCATTTTTAAAAATTGTAACTATAGTTAGTTTAAAACACTTTATATTTCAAAAGGGTAATTAACAATATTAAAATAACCATTTAAGTGATTCAAAGTAATTATTGTGGCTTCATATTCATACTATTGTAGAAAATACTGTTTATGGCTCACACCTGTAATCCCAGCACTTTGGGAGGCTGAGGGTGGGTGGATCACCCAAGGTCAGGAGATCAAGATCAAGCTGGACAACATGGTGAGACCCCATCTCTACTAAAAATACAAAAACTTAGCCAAGCGTGGTGATGCAAGCCTGTATTCCCAGCTACTCAGGAGGCTGAGGCAGGAGAATTGCTTGAACCCAGAGGCAGTGGTTGCAGTCAGCTGAGATCACAAAACTGCACTCCAGCCTGTGCAAGAGAGTGAGACTGTCTCAAAAAGGGGGAAAATACTGTTTAATTTATATGAATGCAGGTTGTCTACAAACACTACACATAACTATGCTAATTGTTCTGAAGTAATAAATACAAAGCAAGATAAAACTACAGACTCCACTGTTCAGTTTATGCACTGAACTGTTCTTCCTTTTGCTGTATAGGTACTTCAGCCTGCAAATATTAGATAATCACCGTGTGGAAAAGGTGACATAGAGGTTCCTCTTCAAAGACTTTCCTCCCTATCTAATTAGGAATAAATAGTAACTTCTCTTAGAAGCAAAATTTATTTGATGGGTCCATTCCAAGATGGCCGAATAGGAACAGCTCCGGTCTGCAGCTCCCAGTGTGATCGATGCAGATGATGGGTGATTTCTGCATTTCCAACTGAGCAAATGGCACACCAAGAGATTATATCCCATGCTTGGCTCAGCGGGTCCCATGCCCATGGAGCCTTGCTCACTGCTTGTCCAAGACCAAACTGCAAGGTGGCAAGCCTGGCTGGGGGAGTAGTGTCTGCCATTGCTGATGCTTAAGTACATAAACAAAGCAGCCTGGAAGCTCAAACTGGTTGGAGCCCACCACGGGACACTGAGGCCAACCTGCCTATGTAGACTCCACCTCTGGGGGCAGGGAATAGCTGAACAAAAGGGAGCAGAAATTTCTGCAGACTTAAACGTCTCTGTCTGACAGCTCTGAAGAGAGCAGTGGTTCTCCCAGCACAGTGTTTGAGATCTCAGAATGGATAGAATGCCTCCTCAAGTGGGTCCCTGACCCCTATGTAGCCTAACTTGGAGACAGCTCCCAGTAGGGGCTGACTGACACCTCATACAGCCGGGTGCCCCTCTGAGATGAAGCTTCCAGAGGAAGGATTAGACAGCAATATTTGCTGTTCTGAAATATTTGCTGTTCGGCAGCCTCTGCTGGTGATACCCAGGCAAACAGGATCTGGAGCGGACCTCCAGCAAACTCCAACAGACCTGCAGCTGAGGGACTTGACTGTTAGAAGGAAAACTAACAAACAGAAAGGAATGGCATCAACATCAACTAAAAGGACATCCACACCAAAACCCCATCTGTGGGTCACCATCATCAAAGACAAAGGTAGATAAAACCACAAAGATGGGGAGAAAGCAGAGTAGAACAGCTGAAAATTCTAAAAACCAGAGCATCCCTTCTCCTCCAAAGGATCAAAGCTCCTCACTAGCAATGGAACAAAGCAGGATGGAAAATGACTTTAACAAGCTGACGGAAGTAGGCTTCAGAAAGTCAGTAATAACAAACTTCTCCGAGCTAAAGAAGGACGTTTGAATCCATCACAAGGAAGCTAAAAACCTTGAAAAACGATTAGATGAATGGCTAATTAGAACAAACAGTGTAGAGAAGACCTTAAATGACCCCATGGAGCTGAAAACCATGGCAAAAGAACTACATGACACATGCACAAGCTTCAGTAGCTGAATCGATCAAGTGGAAGAAAGGTTATCTGTGATTGAAGATCAAATGAATGACATGAAATGAGAAGAGAAGTTTAGAGAAAAAAGAATAAAAAGAAATGAACAAAGCCTCCAAGAAATATGGGACTATGTGAAAAGACCAAATCTACATTTGATTTGTGTACCTGAAAGTGAGGGGGAGAATGGAACCAAGCTGAACAACACTCTTCAGGATATTATCCAGGAAAACTTCCCCAATCTAGCAAGGCAGGCCAACATTCAAATTCAGGAAATACAGAGAACACCACAAAGATACTGCTCAAGAAGAGCAACCTGAAGACACATCATTGGCAGATTCACCGAAGTTGAAATGAAAGAAAAAAAGTTAAGGGCAGCCAGAGAAAAAGGTCGGGTTACCCACAAAGGGAAACCCATCAGACTAACAGCTGATCTCTTGGCAGAAACTCTACAAGCCAGAAGAAAGCGGAGGCCAATATTCAACATTCTTAAAGAAAAGAATTTTCAAACCAGAATTTCATATCCAGCCAGACTAAGATTCATAAGTGAAGGAGAAATAAAATACTTTACAGACAAGCAAATGCTGAGAGCTTTTTTCACCACCAGGCCTGCCCTAAAAGAGCTCCTGAAGGAAGCACTATACATGGAAAGGAACAACTGGTACCAGCCACTGCAAAAACATGCCAAATTGTAAAGACCATCAAGGCTAGGAAGAAACTGCATCAACTAATGAGCAAAATAACCAGCTAACATCATAATGACAGGATAAAATTCACACATAACAATACTAAACTTAAATGTAAATGGGCTAAATGCTCCATTTAAAAGGCACAGACTGGCAAATTGGATAAAGAGTCAAGACCCATCAGTGTGCTGTATTCAGGATACCAGTCTCATGTGCCGAGACACATATAAGCTCGAAATAAAGGGATGGAGGGAGATCTACCAAGAAAATAGAAAGCAAAAAACAGCAGGGCTAGCAATCCTAGTCTCTGATGAAACATACTTTAAACCAGCAAAGATCAAAAGAGACAAAGAAGGTCATTACATAATGGTAAAAGGATCAATTCAACAAGAAGAGCTAACTATCCCAAATATATATGAACCCAGTACAGGAGCACCCTGATTCATAAAGCAAATCCTGAGAGACCTACAAAGAGACAGACTCCCACAAAATAATAATGGGAGATTTTAACACTCCACTGTCAATATTAGACAGATCAATGAGACAGAAGGTTAATAAGGATATCCAGGACTTCAACTCAGCTCTGCACCAAGTGGACCTAATAGACATCTACAGAACTCTCCACCCCAAATCAAAAGAATATACATTCTTCTTCTCAGTACCACATCACACTTATTCCAAAATTGATCACATAATTGGTAGTAAAACACTCCTCAGCAAATGTAAAAAAAAGAAATCACAACAAACTGTCTCTCAGACCACAGTGCAATCAAATTAGAACTCAGGATTAAGAAACTCACTCAAAACCGCGCAACTACATGAAAACTGAACAACCTGCTCCTGAATGACTACTGGGTAAATAACGAAATGAAGGCAGAAATAAAGATGTTCTTTGAAACCAATGAGCACAAAGACACAATGTATCAGAATCTCTGGGACACATTCAAAGAAGTGTGTAGAGGGAAATGTATAGCACTAAATGCCCACAAGTGAAAGCAGGAAAGATCTAAAATTGAAACCCTAACATCACAATTAAAGGAACTAGAGAAGCCAGAGTAAACAAATTCAAAAGCTAGCAGAAGACAAGAAATAACTAGGATCAGAGCAGAACTGAAGGAGATAGAGACACAAAAAAAAACCCTTCAAAAAAATCAATGAATCCAGGAGCTGGTTTTTTGAAAAGATCAACAAAAGTGATAGACACTAGCAAGACTAATAAAGAAGAAAAGAGAGAAGAATCAAATAGATGCAATAAAAAATGATAAAGGGGATATCACCATCCATCTCACAGAAATACAAACTACGATCAGAGAATACTATAAACACCTCTATGCAAATAAACTAGAAATGGATAAATTCCTCAACACATACACTCTCCCAAAACTAAACCAGGAAGAAGTTGAATCTCTGAATAGACCAATAACAGGCTCTGAAATTGAGGCAATAATTAATAGCCTACCAACCAAAAAAAGCCCAGGACCAGGCAGATTCAGAGCTGAATTCTACCAGAGGTACATACAGGAGTTGGTACCATTCCTTCTGAAACTATTCCAATCAATAGAAAAAGAGGGAATCCTCCCTAACTCGTTTTATGACAAGAGCATCATCCTGATACCAAAGCCTGGCAGAGACACAACAAAAAAGAATTTTAGACCAATATCCCTGATGAACATCAATGCAAAAATCCTCAATAAAATACTGGCAAACCGAATCCAGCAGTACATCAAAAAGCTTATCCACCATGATCAAGTTGGCTTCATCCCTGGGATGCAAGGCTGGTTCAACATATCCAAATCAGTAAACATAACCCATCACATAAATAGAACCAAAGACAAAAACCCCATGATTATCTCAATAGATGCAGAAAAGGCCTTTGGCAAAATTCAACAGCACTTCATGCTAAAAACTCTCAATAAACTAGATATTGATGGAATGTATCTCAAAATAATAAGAGCTATTTATGACAAGCCCACAGCCAGTATCATACTGAGTGGGCAAAACCTGGAAACATTCCCTTTGAAAACTGGCACAAGACAGGTATGCCCTCTCTCACCTCTCCTATTCAACATAGTGTTGGAAGTTCTGGCCAGGGCAATCAGGCAAGAGAAAGAAATAAAAGGTATTCAATCAGAAAAAGAGGAAGTCAAAATTGTCCCTGTTTGGCTGGGCATGGTGGCTCACACCTGTAATCCCAACACTTTGGGACACCGAGGTGGGTGGATCACAAGGTCAGGAGATCGAGACCATTCTGGCTAACATGGTGAAACCCTATCTCTACTAAAAATACAAAAAAATTAGCCAGGCATGGTGGCAGGTGCCTGTAGTCTCAGCTACTCAGGAGGCTGAGGCAGGAGAATGGTGTGAACCTGGGAGGCAGGTTTGCAGTGAGCCAAGATTGTGCCACTGCACTCCAGCCGGGCAATAGAGACTGCGTCTCAAAAAAAAAAAAAAAAATTGTCCCTGTTTGCAGACAACATGATTGTATATTTAGAAAACCCATTGCCTCAGCCCAAAATGTCCTTAAGCTGATAAGCAACTTCAGCAAAGTCTCAGGATACAAAATCAATGTGCAAAAATCACAAGCATTCTTATACACTAATAACAGAAAAACATGGGTGAACTCCCATTCACAGCTGCTACAAAGAGGATAAAATACCTGGGAATCCAACTTATAAGGGATATGAAGGACCTCTTCAAGGAGAACTACAAACCACTGCTCAAAGAAATAAAAGAGGACACTAACAAATGGAAACACATTCCATGCTCATGGATAGGAAGTATCGATATATGGTCATCAGAGAAATGCAAGTCAAAACCACAATGAGATACCATCTCACACAATTTAGAATGGTGATCATTAAAAAGTCAGGAAACAACAGGTGCTGGAGAGGATGTGGAGAAATAGGAACGCTATTACACTATTGGTGGGAGTGTAAACTAGTTCAACCATTGTGGAAGACAGTGTGGCAATTCCTCAAGGATCCAGAACTAGAAATACCATTTGACCCAGCAACCCCATTACTGGGTATATACCCAAGGGATTATGAATCATGCTACTATAAAGACACATGCACATGTATGTTTATTGTGGCACTATTTGCAATAGCAAAGACTTGGAACCAAGCCAAATGTCCATCAATGATAGACTGAATTAAGAAAATGTGGCACATATACACCATGGAATACTATGCAGCCATAAATAATGATGAGTTCATGTCCTTTGTAGGGACATGGATGAAGCTGGAAACCATCATTCTGAGCAAACTATCGCAAGGACAGAACACCAAACATTGCATGTTCTCACTCATAAGTGGGAATTGAACAATGAGAACACTTGGACACTGGGGGGGAAACATCACACACCGGGGCCTGTTGTAGGGTGGGGGGATGGAGGAGGGATAGCATTAGGAGAAATACCTAATGTAAATGACAAGTTAATGGGTGCAGCAAACCAACACGGCACATGTATACATATGTAACAAACCTGCACATTGTGCACATGTACCCTAGAACTAAAGTATAATACTAAAAAAAGCAAAATTTATTCAAAAACCTGTGCTAACGTTCTCAAATATCTGATAGCTGTAATAAAGAAATCAATACACTTTATGTTCTTAACTCCCACAATTTAGCTAAATATTTCCTGGACATGCTTATACTGGTCCAAGCAAGCATTAGGCCATAGCCTGTTCCTTATTTGAAGGTGTTTTTACCTTTCTCAGCATTCCACAAGTTACTTCCTCCTTCCTTTGTTCTCATCTGCCTTTGCCTCTTTTAAAAAGTTCTAAGTTGCTAGCCAATTGGGACAAATACAGAATGTGAGATCCTGTTCCAGCCTTTGGAAACTGGACACAGCAGTAGGGTGGATGCTTCAGGTTATAAACAACCCTGTCTCCTTTGTTCAGTGTACTCTCATGACAAAACTATTAATGAGTGTACCCTTTCTGCAGAAAGTAAAAATGGCCTTGCTGATAAAATTAAACTTATGTTCTAGTGCTATTTCGTTATGGCACCGGGGAACAAGCATTTCTAACAATTTTGTTGGCCCATATGGGGATACCTTCTCCTCCAGGTGTGGTCTCCCATCCTCTCTCATGAGGAAGCGTGCTCCTCTGCCTCATTGCAGTGGCCTCAGGGATAAGGAATCAAGACCCATCCAGTGTGACAAATAAACCTGGACTCTCACCAATGCAGAAAAAAAACAAAAAACCTGACCAGTGACCAGGAGTAAAGGATTCTCACATATCACATGAACCAGAAAACTCTGTGCACAGACCGAGGTAAAAAAACACCGGGAGAGCTGCTAAAGTATTTCCTTTGTGGTTGGGACTAAGGAAAAAGCTGCAGGGCGGTAACACATTCCTTGATTAGGATATACCAAGGAGAGAAATGCAGGGGTGGTAAATCATTCCTTAGATGGGTCTAGGGAAAGAAAACCAGGGGGGGCTGTGAAATATTCCTTAGCTGGGATATCTTGGAGATTAAAAAGAGGGGAGAAATCCCCATTTGGGGGGTTTGAATCTCAAAAAGAGGTAAGAAATCCCCACTGCGGGAGTGGAACCTCAAAAAGAGGTAAGAAATCCCCAATGTGGGGATTGAACCTCAAAAAGAGGTGAGAAATCCCCATGGTGGGGTGAACCTCACACAAACCTCTGGTAGTAAAAAAAAGAATTCAAAACTTCCCTTTCCCCTCTTCTTGGGGAAAGAAAAATGCTAAGCTCCATTGCCACCAGTCGCTCCCCTAGGGGAAAGGGAAGGAGAGGGGGGAAATCAGCAGGTGGCTGTTAGAGGCAAAAGAAAGACCACAGAGAGGAAAAAGAAACTAGGAGAAGACGTCAAAGTAAAAGAGAGCAAAAACAGTAAGCGCAGTGCCAGACAGCCAGGCATGCCAAGGGTTAAGTCCCTTTCCCCAGCCCAGCTCTATGTGAAAAAGAGGGTGGGGACCAGTAGCAGGAGTAGAGCAGAGTAGGTGAAAGAACACAATTCTTGCAACTTGCGGCAGGCACCTTCCAAGCCTGTGGGCCAGTGATGGCCCAGCACCCAGACTGCAGCCATACAAATCCCACCCAGCCTGAGAAACTAAGTGTAGGAAAAAAGAAAGAAAATAAAAAGGGAAATCGGAAAAAAAAATAAAAACCAGGAGAAACAGATGGCAGCACTTTCACAGAGGTGGGGCCTATGCCATTGCCCAGCCCCGCCAGAGAACTCGGGAGGGAAAAAGGAAACAGGACATGACAGAGAGAGAGACAAAAAGGAGCACAAATGAGAGAGAGAGAAATAGAGGGAAATAATAAGTAAGAGAGAGACTGGAAGAGAGAAATCAAAGGAAGACTCAGAGGGTGAAACTAGGAAAAGAAATAGTGTAAAAGGAAGGCAGAAAGTTAAAACATGTTGAAGATTGTGAAAGTCATAAGAAAAATTATAAAAGGGAATTTATGAGAGAAATATTATATAATTTAAAAGTAATTAGGCCTCCTGAATGTAAAACTATTCAAAAAAACAGTTTATGTACAAGGTATATAAGAAAAATAAAATATACTTTTCACCATAGAATAGTGTGCAGCCATAAAAAAGGATGAATTCATGTCCTTTGCAAGGACATGGAGGAAGCCGGAAACCATCATTCTCAGCAAACTATCACAAGGACAGAAAACCAAACACTGCATGTTCTCACTCATAGGTGGGAACTGAACAATGAGAACACTTGGACACGGTCAGGGGGGAACATCACACACTGGGGCCTGTCAGGGGGTGGGGGTCTGGGGGAGGGATAGCATTAGGAGAAATACCTAATGTAAATGATAAGCTGATGGGTGCAGCAAACCAACACGGCACATGTATACCTATGTAACTAACCTGCACATTGTGCACATTTACCCTAGAAGTTAAAGCATAATAAAAAACAAGTAAATAAAAGTGAGTTAGAAAAAAATAAAGAAAAATAAATATACTTTTAATAAAAGGATTATAAGGAGGCATACGAATATGGATTTTTATCTACATTAAAAGGTTAAAAAACATTTTGTTTTAGAGGTTTAAGCAAGTTTTAAAATATTAATTGTAAAGGAAACTCTGTGTGAAAACATATTGGCTAAAGTTAAAGGGGTATCATCCAGTTTTCCTGTGAACTGGACATTAAAATAAAAGCACAATAGATTTTTCTTAAAGCACTAACCTGCTCTTTAACAAAAATTATAAAAGGTTAAAAAGAGTCTATAAAAATTTTACCTTATAGTCAGACATTAAAAGTGAATAAATAATGTCTACAAGATTTTATTTAAATTAAGTTTAACATTAATAGCACATTAATATAAAGGTAAAATTTAACTTATCTGGTATAAAATCATACAAAAATCATTGTCAAATATAAAATGATGTTTAGCTTTCCTAAGGCCCGAGGGCGGCCGGTTAAGTCACAAGGGCCCTCATCCCCAAGGCCACAACACGCGGGGACAGTGAAGGTCACAAGAAGGCCAAGACCTTAAGAGGGGGCAGGGCCACAGCATCCCCTGGACAGCGCTAAGCAGGAATGGAGCGGGAGGCATCACCATGGGTCCTCAAGCCCCAGGATATGCAGCAGAAATTATATACTTAATTTATCTTCCACTTTCCCTTCCCTCAAAACTAAAAGTCTTTTAACACAGGTACCACCCCTAGAATTTCCAGTACACCAGCACCAGCCTGAAAACCAAGTCCTCATCAGAAGCCAGAAAGGAAAGAAAAAACTCAAGCCAGCCTGGGAAGGACCCTATCTTATGCTGTTAACTACTGAGACTGCCATCTGCACAGCCGAGAAACAATGGACCCACCATACCCGAGTCAAGAAAACATATTCCTCATCAGAATCATGGGTTACCGTACTAGGATCAAGCCCTGCTAAGTTAAAGTTTAAAAAAAGCTTAATTTTCATATACCTTCTATATTGCTTCCCTTCCTTTCCTTATTCCCTTACTAGCTCCTTTTTTATTAATGTTACTAAGTCTGACTCACCTCAGACCATTGCCTTTAATGCTTGCTCTGTCATACATTATGGAAATGTAAAAAATCAATGACAGCTAGCCTTTTCACACAAATATTTATGTCCCAGTCCTCTAATTGACATAGTTACCCCTGGCACTCATCGTTGTAATCACCTGTAGCCAAGACGTCAATTTTCTGCTCCTACAGCCTGGAAACCTTGTAGTAAATGGGACTACTTCCTTTAAACTACTCAGGAGCAAAGTTGGACTTCCATGAAAAAGGTTTGTGCATATCTAAAACCCCTCATCTATTTCACAAAAAGAACTACCCCTTCTAACTGTCAGCCTTATCAATGAAACCCTGTCCTTCTCTCTATCACTACCTCCACCTTAACTAACTCTAGACCTGCCCTTAGTCGCTTCTATGGTATGGGGATTGACATAAATGGAAAAGACCCCCTAGGTATTTTTAAAATATGCATCATTCCCCCATCTTCCCCTTCTTCAGTAGCCTCAGTTCTAGATCCCACACCGGTTGCTCCTACATCTAATAATAAAACTAGGGTGTCTATTGTAAAAATAAGAGATCTAAGATAGACCTTAGCCATCAAGATAAAATATCAAGATGCAAATGCCTGGTTGGAATGGATTAAATATTCTGTTCAGACTTTTTAAAAAAGTGATTATTATGCTTGTTCACACCATAGGCCAGAGGCCCAGATTATCCCCTTTCCACTCAGATGGTCTTCTTGTCAACCAAATATGGACTGTATGGGGCCTCTCTTTCAGAAACCCATTGCTTCGGATAATCCATCATGCTGAGCTCTCTCTCTGCTATTTCCTGAGAGTCAGCCCCTGAGGGCAATCCAGCTTCCACCTCTAGATGCCAAGTTTACTTCGTGCCTCTCACAGCAAGGGGAAAATGTGGTGTTCCTTGGAAGCATAAAAGGATGCAAAGACCTCAATCCTTTCCAAGAGCTTGACCATCAGTCCATGCGTAGCCATCCCCAAGCAAATGTATGGTTGTACTGTGGAGGACCTTTACTGGACGCTGCCAAATAATTGGAGCAGTACTTGTCCTCTAATCCAGTTGGCTAACCCATTCACCCTGGCATTTCATCAATCTAAAAAAAGTAAAAACAAAACAGTGCAGGCCAAGGGAAACTCCTTATAAATCCTTTAATCCTCAGGTTTACGTAAATGCTATTAAGGTCCTGTGAGAAGTGCCAAATAAGTTTAAAGCACAAAATCAAATAGCTACAAAATTTAAATCCACGTTGTTCTGGTAGGTAACTATAAATAAAAAAAGTTAACTAAATACACTATATCTATTACAATCAGCAACAATTCACAAATTGCACTAGGGACGCCATCAAGGGGATAGCTAAGCAATTAGGACGTACCAGCCGGATGGCCTAGAATAATAAAATAGCTTTAAATATAACACTAGCAAACAATCTAAGCTGATCCCGGTTGACTTAGACCCAAACTTTTTCCAAATAGGGTAAATGCGCGATTTGCGAGAAAGGGAGAAGAGGGAAGAAGAAGCGGTGTGGTTGATTTACAACTTTTACAACTTATCACCAGGAAGTTGAGTCTTTGAAAAGGATCTTTGTTGTCCTAACAACCCCTTACCCCAAGTGATCCACCCACCTGGGCCTCCCAAAATGCTGGGATTAAAGGAGTGAGCCACTGTGCCTGGCCCCACAAATTTTTAATAGGAGAAAAGAGAAGCTGTGAACCCCATGGATCAAAGCTCTTCCCATTCATGAACCTGCACCCTGACGCAAGATTCTCCCCTGATGACCCTCCCATGGTCCCTGCACAATCTGGGAGAGACGCCGTGCTGTGGGTGCAGAGCTGCCCAGAGAGGGCTCCAGGCCAGTGCACAGTCACTGAACAGGGAAGAGACTGGATGCCCAGGGGCCTGCCTGTCAGCGGAGCCGCCATCTTACGGCTGAACGGGACTGAGGCTGAGCTGGACAAGGACACCTCAGGGCGCAGATTGTGGAGCTGACTTCGGGGAGGCCTGAATCCCACCACAGCCACTTCCCACTGATTCCAACCAGTCCCTCCCCTCTCTTGGGATGTCCAATTGGCACCCTCACCATTTCTAGGCTTCCAGAAGGTCCCAGCATCTTAGCTGTGGATCTCCCAATACCGGCAGGACACAGAGCCACAGAGGCTGGGCCTCTAGGAGCAGAGGACACAGAGGACTGAAGACGAGACCTGGAGCTCCTGCTGCAGCAAGAGACAAAGTCCGCGCCAAACCCAGAAGTTGTCCTGTTCTCTCCAGCTGGGTGTCTGATTGGACGGTTTCCAGCTCAGAGTTCCTGATTGGATAATGCTTAAGGTCCCGCCCCCTCAGGCCTTGAGTGACAGAAGATGTGATCAGGTGCTGGGCTGAGTGAAGAAAGAGCAACAGCCTAAGCTGCAGCCTTTTCAGGCAGGGCTTCCTCCCTGAGCTGAGCCAGGCCCACCCCAGAACATGAGAAAATTCTGTCTCTTTTTCACTCTCGGTCTTTTTGAATATATTCAAAAGGTGAACAGAAGTACTTTGCTGTCATATTAATAATACATAAAATTTTTGTTCAAGAGAAAATCAACTTTTACTTTGGTAATAGCGTATTATCAATACTAAAGCTAATTTTAATAAAACCTTAAAAATAAATCAAATTTGTCATTTTTGACCTCGAGATTTACATATATATTTTGCATTCTCTTGTAATTTTTTTATCTTTTTATATTTTCTTTTTCTCTACATTCTTTTTATTTTTTTTCTATTTGAAACAACCATTAAGTAATTTCAAACCGTTATAGGAGATAGAAAGAAATCATTTAGGGCCAGATGCAGTGGTGCACACCTGTAATCCCAGCACTTTGGGAGGCCAAGGTGGGCAGATCACTTGAGGTCAGAAGTTCGAGACCAGTCTAGCCAACGTGGTTAAACCCAATCTCTACTAAAAATGCAAAAAATTAGCCAGGCACGGTGGTGCACACCTGTAGTCCCAGATGCTCCGGAGGCTGAGGCAGGAGAATCGCTTGAACCCAGGAGGCAGAGGTTGTGTGACAGCCCAAGGGGTTCCCCTTGCCCTTTGCCCAGAGAGAGCTGATTCATCAAGACAGAGGAATTTGTGGAGGAAAAATTAAATATTAAATTTGAACTCAATTAAACATGGACACAAAAAATAGACACCAAGTCCTGAAACAGGTTATGTGAGCCCCCTTGAGGTGTTCATCCTGCACTGTTTTGGAGAAATCTCTATTTCAGTCTATTCCTACACATTAGTTATTGAAAAACAATAGACGATCACAAGAAAACAAGTTGACCTTTTTGTGTTCCTTGAGCTCAGTCGCAAAGGGCCCTCATGACTGGGCCTCATACCAAACAACTCATTACAAAAAGAGCTAGGGCCCCAGACCACACCGAAGCTTCAGGAGACCTCTCCTTATCTGTGCAAGGATGGATGACCAACTCTTGAGCCCAAGGTGTTGCTTCCCAGTCTGGTGGTGAATCCTCCATAGTCTGATGAGTGTGGTGTTCAACTCTGGAGTCCAGCCTGTTGCTTCTTGGTCTGGTGGTGAATCCTCCATAGTCTGGTGTGGAGGCAAAGTTAAATAGCAAATTTAAACTATATGAATGTGGACACAAACAGTGGTCACCAAGTCCTGGAACAAGTTGTGTGAGCCTATTGAGGTGTTCATTCAGTGCTGTTTTGGAGAAATCTCTATTTCAATGTATTCCTCTACATTCGTTATTGAAATCAATAGACAATCGCAAAAATAAGTTGACCTCCTTGAGCCCAGTTGCGAAGGGCCCTCATGACTGTCACACGTGTCCGTGTGAAGAGACCACCAACAGGCTTTGTGTGAGCAATAAGGCTGTTTATTCACTTGGGTGCAAGTGGGCTGAGTCTGAAGAGAGTCAGCGAATGGAGATGGGGAAGGGGTTGCTTCATAGGAGTTGGGTAGGTAATGGAAAATTACAGTAAAAGGTGGTTATTATCTATTGTTAGCAGAGGAGGGGGTCACAAGGTACATGGTGGGTAGATCATAAGACTCACTGTCCAGAAGAAGAATGTCACAAGGTCGATTGATCAGTTAAGGTAGGGCAGGGACAAGTCACAATGGTGTAACGGTGTAACGTTGGTTAATCAGTTGAGGCAGGAACTAGCTCTTTTACTTGTTTTGTGTTTTTTCAGCTGCCCCAGATTTCTTGGCTCCTGCAGGCCACCTGGATGTGTATGTGCAGGTCACAGGGGTTACAATGGCTGAGCTTTGGCTCAAAGGCCTGACATTCCTGTCTTTTTATTTATAAAATATAAAGTTACAAGATAAGATAAAGAAAATGTAAGTTTTTACTGAGGATAATTGGGGTAGGGGTGAAGTTTCTCAGGGCTGCTTCAGGCATGACTTAGGGGTGGTGTGAACACCTAAAGAAAATGTAATTTTATAGTGAGTTGGTCTAGAAAGTTTTTGGGTACAATTCTGTGTGGCAAACAAGGCATCAGCTAGCATATTTTTGAGCTTGGAATTGTCCTAATATAGTAAATTCTCTAAAAAATCGTAATTAAGCATAATAGCTTTAAGGTAGGTGGCAGTGAGTTTTTAGGCCAAGGTAAGAATAATGTTTTATATAGTAAAGCTTTTTGTCTCCATTTTCCATCCTACAAATAGGATCCCTAGAGTGAAGCCAAAAGTCTATTATATTACCTTTTTCCTAAAGGTGTGAGTGGAGTTTTGAATGGAAGAGTTCAATAGTCCTGATTGCAGACCTTATACAGGAAAGATAATAAGTACAATAGTCCCTGTATCCTGGAATAAGTTGGGGCTGGCAAAGAGAGAAATGTCCTAGGCCTTCTAACAACCAACGACAGACCATATGTTGTCCTGGATGTTCACCTGAATGCCAGATATGTGGAACTAGTCCTGTATATGCATATTGCTGGTAATTTTTATATGAGTAGGCCTGAGGACACCATGGGTGAGGATTTGACACCTGTCAATCCAGGCATTTTAGATTTTTAATCCAGAGATCTTTGATTTTGGGGGTGGGGAAAATCTTGGAGGACAAGGCCTGAAGAAAGTTGTTTTTAGAGACAACAGGTCCTAAGAGATTAGCGTTTAGAGGACTGGGTGAAGCAGGCCTGGAAGTATGTTTGGACAGCCATTTGGAAGGGGTGTTGCATGGAAGCTTGGTCTTGTCTGGATGCTGCCAGGAGTTCATCATTGACTTAGTCTTAAAGGTGAGAAGGTGAGAAGGAGTATAAAGATGAGAAGGAGTGAGAAGGAGTATAATAGGTGAGAAGGTGAGAAGGAGTATAACAGGATGAGGAATAGAAGTTTAGGCTGTGGGGCGATTTTAGGGTACATGATAGTACTGTGGGGTTGTTAGAAGCAGCAACTGCCATATGGAATGATTGGTGATGGCCTGGATGCAGTTTTGTATGAATTGAGAGACTAAACGAAAGACCTTTCACTGTCACACACTCATTTTCACAGTAAGAACCTGTTCGCTGTCATCCAATCATTCACAACAGTGGGAACAAGTTCACTGTCACCCACTTGTTTACAGCAGTAAAAACCTGTTCACTGTCAGCCATGCAGTCACCACATTGGTAACCTGTTACTGTTAAACACTCATTCAACATATTGGGAACCATTTCACTATCACAAACACATTCAACACCCTGAGAACCTGTTCACTGTCACTTACTCATTCACCACAGTGAGTACCTGTTCACTGTTACCCACTCATTCACCACAGTGGGAACCTCTTCACTGTCAGCCACTCACTCATCATAGAGGAAACCTGTTCACTGTCATCCACTCTTTCACCACAGTGGATACCTGTTCACTGTCACCCACAAATTCACAACAGTGGGAATCTGTTCACTGTCAGACACTCATTCATCACAATGGGAACCTATTCACTCTCACCCACTCATTCATCTCAGTGGAAACCTGTTCACTGTCAGCCACTCACTCATCACAGTGGGAAACTCTTCACTGTCACCCACTCATTCACCACAGTGGGAACGTGTTCACTGTCATTCACTCATTCATCACAGTGGTAATGTGTTCACTGTCACCCATCCCATCATTACAGCAGGAACCTGATCACTGTCATCTACTCATTCATCACAGTGGGAACCAATTCACTGTCAGCCACTAATTCACCACATTGGTAACCTGTTTCCTGTCAGCCACTCATTCACCACAGTGGGAACCAGTTCACTGTCATCCCCTCATTTACAGCAGTAGAAACCTGTTCACTATCAGCCACTCAGTCAGAACAGTGTGAACCAGTTTACTGTCAGCCACACCCTCATCAGACTGGGAACTTGTTCACCCTAACCCACTCATTTATCACAGTGGGAACCTGTTCACTATCACCCACTCATTCACCACAGTTGGAACCTCTTCTCTGTCACCCACTCACACATCACAGTGGGAAGCTGTTCATTGTCGACCACCCCTTCATTGCAAGAGGAACATTTAACTGTCACCCACTCATTCTTCACAGTGAGAACCAGTTTACTGTCACCTGATCATTCACCATAGTGAGAACCAGTTAACTGTCACCCACTCATTTGCTGCAGTAAAAACCGGTTCACTATCAGCCACTCAGTCACCACATTGGGAAACTCTTTACTGTAAATTACTCATTCACTGCAGTGGGACCCAGTTCACTTTCACCCACACATTCATCACAGTGAGAACCTCTTCACAGTCACCCACTCACTCAACATAGGGGGTACCTGTTCACTGTCTTCCACTCATTCATCACAGTGGGAACCTGTTCACTGTCCCCCACATATTCATTACATTCTGGGAACCTGTTCACTATCACCCACTCATTCATCACAGTGTGAACATGTTCACTGTTGCCCACTTACTCACCACACTGGGAACTTGTTCACTGTCACCCACTCAATCATCAAAGTTGGAACCTGTTCACTTTCACTGACAAATTCACCACAGTGGGAACCAGTTCACTCCCACACACTTATTCACCACAGTGGGAACCTGACTACTGTCACCCACTCATTTATCAAATTGGGAACCTGCTAACTGTCACCCACTCATTCATTACAGGAGGAACCTGTACACTGTCACCCACTTATTCATTACAGGAGGAACCTGTACACTGTCACCCACTCAGTCTACACAGTGGGAATCTGTTCATTATCAACCACTCATTCACAACTGTGGAAACCTGTTCACGGTCACCCACTCGTTCACCTCAGTAGAAACCTGTTCACTGTCACCACTCACTCACTCACTACAATGAAAACCTGTTGTCAGCCACTCATTCATCAGAGTGGGTACCTGTCACTGTAACCCACTCATTCATTACTGGAGGAACCTGATCACTGTCACTCACTCATTCACCACAGTGAAAATCTCTTCACTGTCAGCCACTCATTCATCACAGTGGGATCCTGTTCACTGTCACCCACTCTGTCCTCACAGTGGGAATATGTACACTGTCACCAACTCACTCATCACTGTGGGAACCTGTTCACTCTCACCCACTCATTTACCTCAGTGGGAACCTGTTCATTGTCACCCACTCAATCATCACAGTGGGAACTTTTTCACTGTCATCCACTCACTCTTCACAGAGGGAACCTGTTCACAGTCAGCCACTCACTAAAAACACTGGGAACCTGTTCACTGTCACCAACTCACTCATCACAGTGTGAACCTTTTCCCTGTCACTCACTCATTCATCACATTCAAAACCTGTTCACTGTCACCCACTCATTCATCACAGTGAGAACCTGTTCACTGTCACCCACACAGTCCTCACAGTGGGAACCTATTCATTGTCACCCACTCATTCATTACAATGGGAACCCGTTGTAATTCACTCTCACCCACTCATTTACCCCAGTGGGAGCCTGTTCAGGGTCACCCACTCACTCATCACAGTGTGAACCTGTTCACTTTCACCCACTCCTTTCTCACAGTGGGAACCTGCTCACTGTCACCCACTAATTCATCATAGTGGGAACCCGTTCACTGTCACCTACTCACTCATCATAGTGGGAAAAAGGACACTTTTACACAAACATTCACTACAGTAGGAACCTGTTCACTATCAACAACTCACTCATCACTGTGGGAACCTGTTCACTCTGACCCACTCATCCATCACAGAGGTAGCCTATTTGCTGTCACCCACTCATTCATCACAGTGAGAACCAGTTCACTCTCACTCTCTCATTCACCAAAGTGAGAACATCATCACTGTCACCCACTCACTCATCTCAGTGGGAACCTGTTCACTGTCAGCCACTCATTCCTCACAGTAGGTACCTGTTCACTGTCACCCAATAATTCATTACAGGAGGAAACTGATCACTGTCACTTATGCGTTCACCACTATAGAAACCTGTTCACTGTCACACACTCATTCACCCCAGTGGGAACATGGTCACTGTCAGCCACTCATTCACCATTCTGGGAACCCGTTCACTGTCACCCACTCACTCACCCAGGGGGAACCTGTTCACTGTCGCACACTTCCTCATCACAGTGGGAAACTGTTAACTGTCAGCCACTCATTCATCATAGTGGGAACCTGTTCAATGTCAGCCACTCATTCACCACAGTGGGAACCTGTTCACTCTCACAAACTCACTCACCAGAGCAGTAACCTGTTTACTGTCAGCCACTCATTCACCACAACAGGAACCTGTTCACTCTCACCCAATTACTCATCACAGTAGGAACCTATTCACTGTCACCCACTCATTCATCACAGATGGAACCTGTTCACTCTCAACCACTCCTTCACCACCTTGGGAACCTGTTCAATGTCACCCACTCATCATCAGAGTGTGAACTTGTTAACTGTCAGCCACACATTCCCCATAGTGGGAACCAGTTCACTTTCATTCAGTCGTTCACGGCAGTAGAAACCTGTTCACTGTCACCCACTTATTTATCACTGTGGGATCCTGTTCACTGTCAGACACTGATTAATCACAGTAGGTAACTGTTCACTGTCATTCACTCATTCATTACAGGAGGAACGTGATCACCATCCACCACTGGTTCACGACAGTAGAAACCTGTTAACTCTCACCCACTCATTCACCACAGTGGAAACCTGTTCACTGTCAGCCACTCATTTACCATAGTGGAAACCTGTTCCCTGTCACCCTGTCACTCACCACATTAGGAAGCGGTTCACTGTCACCCACTCAGTCATCACAGTGGGAACCTGTTTACTGTCACCCACTCAATCATCACAGTGGAAACCTGTTCACTCTCACCCAACCATTAACCACAGTGGGAACCTGCTCACTGTCACGCACTAATTTATCACTGTTCACTATCACACACACATTCACCGGAGTAGAAACTTGTCCCGTCACCCACTCACTCATCACAATGTGAACATGTTCACTGTTAGCCACCCATTCATCACAATGGGTACATGTTCACTGTCACCCACTCTTTCATTACAGGAGAAACCTGATCACTCTCATGCACTCATTTACCACAGTAGAAACCTGTTCACTGTCACTCAATCACTCACCACAGTGGAAATCTGTTCACTGTCAGCCACTCATTCATCACTGTGGGAACCTGTTTACTATCAGCTACTCTACCACCACAGTGGGAAACTGTTCACTGTCACCCACTCACTAGTCACAGTGAAAACCCGTTAACTGTCATTCACTCACTCATCACAGTAGGAAACTGTTCACTGTCAGCCACTCATTAACCACAGTGGGAACTTGTTCACTGTCACGTAATAAATCATCACAGTGCGAAACTCTTCACTCTCACAAACTCATTCACCACAGTGGAAACCTGTTCACTGTCACACACTCGTTCATCACAGTGGGAACCTGTTTACTGTCACCCACTCATTCATTACAGGAGGAGCCTCTTCACTGTCAGCCCCTCATTCATCACATTGGGAAGCTATTCACTGTCAGCCACTCACTCACCATAGTGGGAACCTTTTTAATGTCACCAACATGTTCTCCGCAGTAGAAACCTGTTCACTGTTACTCATTTACTCATCACAGTGGGAACATGTTCACTGTCATACCCTTATTCATCGCAGAGGAAAGCTGTTCACTATCAGGCACTCATTCACCAGAGTAGAAACCTATTGACTCACTCACACACTCATCACAGTGAGAACTTGTTCATTGTCAGCCACTCATACATGACAGTGGACAGCTGTTCACTGTCACACACTCATTCACTACAGGAGGTACCCCATTACTGTCACCCACTCATTCACCACAGTAGAAACCGGTTCACTGGCACCCATTCATTCACCACAGTGGGAAACTGTTCACTCTCAACCACTCATTTATTACAGTGGGAAACTCTTCACTGTCAACCACTCATTCAGCACAGTGGGAAACTGTTCACTGTCACCCACTTATTCACCACAGTAAGACCCTGTTCACTGTCACACACGCATTCATCATAGTACAAGCCTGTTCCCTGTCACCCACTCATTCATCTAAGTTGGGACCTCTTTACTCCAACCCTCACATTCACCACAGTGGGAACCTGTTCACTGTCACACACTCATTAATCACAGTGGAAACCTGTTCATTGTCACGCACTCATTTATTACAGGAGAAATTGGTTCATTGTCACCCACTTATTCATCACAGTGGGAACTTGTTCATGTTAGCCACTGATTCACAACAGTGGGAAACTGTTCACTGTCACCCACTCGTTCACTGCAGTAGAAAACTTTCCACTGTCACCCACTCATTCATCACAGTGGGAAACTCTTCACTGTCAGCCACTTATTCACCACAGTGGAAACCTGTTCACTGTCACCCATGCATTCACTGCAGTATAAAACTGTCCACTGTCACCCACTCACTCATCACAGTGTGAAAATGTTCACTGTCAGCCAGTCATTCATCACAGTGGGTACCTGTTCACTGTCACCCACTCATTCATTACAGGATAAATCTGATAACTCTCACCCACTCATTCACCCCAGTAGAAATCTGTTCACTGTCATCCACTCATTTAACACAGTGGGAACCTGTTCACTGTCAGTCATTCATTCATCGCAGTGGGATCCTGTTAACTGTGAGCCACTCATTCACCACAGTGGGAACCAGTTCAGTGTCAGCCACTCATTCAACACAGTGGGACCCTGTTCACTGTCACCCACGCATTCATCACAGTGGAAGCCTGTTCACTGTCACCCACTCATTCATTACAGGAGGAACCTATTCACTGTCACCCGCTCTGTCTTTAAAGTGGAAACCTCTTCACTATAATCCACACATTCACCACAGTGGTAACCTGCTCACTGTTACCCACTTATTCTTTACAGGAGGAACCTGTTCACCTTCAGCCACTCGTTTTCACAGTGGGAACATGTTCACTGTCAGCCAGTCATTCACCAAGTTGGGAACCAGTTTACTGACACCCACTCATTTGCCACAGTAGAAACCTGTTCACTGTCAGCCTCTCAGTCACCACATTAAGAACCTGCTTACAGTCAGCAACTCACTCATCACAGTGGGAACCTGTTCACTGTCACCCACTCATTTCTCACACTGGGAGCGTGTTCATTGTCAGTCACACATTTACCACAGTGGTTACCTCTTCTCTCTCAGCCACTTATTCACCACAGTGAAAACCTGTTCACTATCACCCACTCACTCTTCACAATGGGAACCTGTTCACTGTCACCCACTCACTCATCACAGAGGGAACGTCTTCACTGTTACCCACTTATTCACCACAGTGGGAACCTGTTCACTCTCAGCCGCTCCCTCATTACATTGGGAATCTGTTGGATGTAACCAACTTATTCATTACAGGAGGAATCTATTAACTGTCACCCACTCATTCATCACAGAGGAAACCTGCTTACTGTCACCCATTCATTCATCACACTGGCAACCTATTCATTGTCACCACTCACTCATCACAGTGGGAACCTGTTCAATGTCATCCACTCATTCATCACAGTGGAAACGTCTTCACAGTCACCCAATAATTCATTACAGGAGGAATTTGTTCACTGTCACTCGCTCATTCTTCACAGTTTGAAACTTTTCACTGTCTCTCCTTTTTCATCACACTAGGAAACTGTTCACTGTCAGTTACTAATTCACCACAGTGGGAAACTGTTCCCTGTCAGGCACTCACTCACCACAGTGCTATCCTGTTCAGTGTCACCCACTCACTCATCACAGTGGGAACCTGTTCACTGGCACCCAATCATTCATCACAGTGTGAACCTGTACACTCTCATCCACTCATTCCTGACAGTTGGAACCTGTTGACTGTTACACACTCATCACAGTTGGAACCTGTTCGCTCTCACCCACTCACCACAGTGGAAACCTGTTCACTCTCACCCACTAACTTATCACAGTAGGAAGCTGTTCACTTGAACCCAATCATTCATCACAGTGGGGACCTTTTCACTCCCAGTCATTTATGACAGTGGGAACCTGTTCACTGTCACCAATGCATTCATTACAGTGGGAACTTATTCCTGTCACCCACTCATTCCTTACAGGAGAAACTTCTTCACTGTTACCCACTCATTCATTACAGTGGGAACCTGTTCACTGTCAGCCACTCTTTCACCACAGTGGGAAACTGTTCACTGTCACCCACTCATTCACCACAGTAGAAATCTGCTCACTGTCACTTACTCACTCATCAAGTGAGAACCTGTTCACTGTCACCCACCCATTCACCACAGTAGAAACCTGCTCACTGTCACTTACTCATCAGGCGAGAACCTGTTCACTGTCCCCCACTCATTCATCACAGTGGGTACCTGTTCATTGTCACCCATTCATTCATTATGGGAGGAACCTGATCCTGTCAACCACTCATTAATCACAGTAGAAGCCAGTTCACTGTCACCAACTCACTCACCACAGTGGGAACCTGTTCACTGTCAGCCACTCATTCATCACAGTGGGAAACAGTTCTCTTTCAGCCACTCAATCACCACAGTGAGAACAATTTCACTGTCACCCCCTCATTCACAGCATTAAAAACTTGTTCACTATCAGCCAGTCTGTCACCAGAGTGGGAACTTGTCTACTGTCAGCGACTCACTCATCACAGTGGGAACCCACTCACTGTCACTCACTTATTAATCACAGTGGGAACCTGTTCAATGTCACCCACTTATTCATCACAGGGGAACCTGTTCACTTTCACTTAATCATTACAGAAGGAACCTGTTCACTGACACCAACACATTCATCACAGTGGAACCTGTTCACTGTCACCCACTCACTCCCCAACGTGGTTACCTCTTCACAGTCACCCACTCAATCATTACATTGGGATTCTGTTTACTGTCACCCATTCATTCATTGAAAAAAGAACCTGTTCACTGTCAGCCGCTCATTCATCACAGTGGGAACCCGTTCACTGTCAGGCACTCATTCACCAAAGTTAACCGTTTCCCTGTCACCCACTCGTTCTCCGAAACAGAAATTTGTTCCCTGTCACCCACTCACTCATCCCAGGGAGAACCTGTTCACAGACAGCCACTCATTCCTCCTAGTGGGTACCTCTTCACTGTCACCCACTCATTCATTACAGGAGGAACCTGATAACTGTCACTGACCTGTTCACTAGAGTAGGAACCTTTTCACAGTCAGTCACTCATTCATCATAGTGGGAACCTGTTTTCCATCAGCCACTCACTCACCACAGCAGGAACCATTTCACTGTCACCTACTCATTCATCGCTGTAGAAACCTTTTCACTGTCAGCCACGCAGTCATCAGAGTGGAATCTGTTTACTGTCAGTCACTTAGTCATCACAGTGGGAACCTGTTCATTGTCATTCACTCATTCATCACTGTGGGAACCTGTTGAATGTCACCCATTCATTCTCCACAGTGGGAACCACAACACTGCCATCCACTCATTAATCACATTGAGAACCTGTTCACTGTCACCAAGTCATTCATTACAGGAGGAACCTGTTCACTGTCACCCGCTAATTCTTCACAGTGAAAACCAATTCCATATCACACACTCACTCACCGCAGTGGGAGTCTCTTCAGTGTCACCCATTCACTTATCAAAGTGGGAACCTCTTCACTCTTACCCACTCATTTACCACGGTGAGAACCTGTTCATTGTCACCCACTCATTCATCACAGTGGGATCCTGTTCACTGTCACCCACCCATTCATTACGGGAAGAGCCTGTTCACTGTCACTTATTCATTCATCAGAGTGGGAAACTGTTCACTGTCAGCAACTCATTCATTACAGTGGGAACATGTTCACTCTCACCCACTCATTCACTACAGCAGAAACCTGTTCAGTTACCTTCTCACTCATCCCAGTGGAAATGTCTTCATTGTCAGCCACTCATTCATCACAGTGGATACCTGTTCACAGTCACCTTCTCCTTCATTACAAGAGAAACCTGATCACTGTCACCCACTCGTTCATCACAGTAGAAATATATTCACTGTCACCATCTAATTCACCACAGTGGGAACCTGTTCCCTGACAGCCACTCATTCCACAGTGGGAAACTGTTCACTCTCACCCACTCATTCACTACAGTGGGAATCTGTTCACTGTCACCCACTCATTCACTACAGTGAGATCCTGTTCACTCACATGCACTCACTCATCACAGTGGGAGCCTGTTCACTATCAGCCACAGTGGGAACTTGATTACTCTCACCAACTCTTTCACCACAGTGGGAAACTGTTCACTCTCATCCACTCATTTACCACATCAGGAACCTGTTGATTGTCACCCACTCATTCATCACAGTAGGAAACTGTTCACTGTCACACACTCATTTATCACAGGGGGAACATGGTCACTCTCACTCATTCATTCACCACAGTGGAGACCTGTTCACTGTCACCCACTCATTCACTACAGTGAGATCCTGTTCACTCACACGCACTCACTCATCACAGTGGCAACCGATTCACTCTAAACCACTCATTCACCACAGTGCGAATTCGTTCAGTGTCAGCCAATCACGCATCACAGTGGTACCCTGTTCACTGTCGGGTTGTCATTCACCAGAGCGGGAATCTGTTCACTCTCACCCACTCATTCACCATATCGGGAACCTGTTGATTTTCACCCACTCATTCATCACAGTAGGAACCTGTTCACTGTCACACACTCATTTATCACAGTGGGAAACTGTTCACTCTCATTCACTCACCAGAGTGGGAACCTGTTCACTCTCACAAACTATTCCACCAAAGTGGGAACCTGTTCACTCTCACCCACTCATTCACCACATCGGGAACCTCTTGTCATCCACTCATTCATCACAGTAGGAACCTGTTTACTGTCACACACTCATTTATCACTGTGGGAACCTGTTCACTCTCACTCTCTCACTCATCACAGTGGAAACCTGTTAACTCTCAGCCACTCATTCACCACATTGGAAACCTATTCACTGTCACCCACTCATTCATCACAGTGGGAACCTGTTAACTGTCACCCACCCTTCATTACAGAAGGAACCTGTTCACTGTCACCCACTCATTTATCTCCAGTGGGAACCTGCTCACTGTCAGCCACTCATTCATCACAATGGGAACCTGCTCACTGTCACCCACTCATTCATCACAGTGGAAACTTGTTCACTCTCACTCACACATTCATCAGATTGGGAACCTATTCACTGGCACCCACTCACTCATCATAGTAGGAACCTGCTCAGTGTCACCCACTCACTCACAAGTGTGAAAACCTGTTCACTGTCAGTCCATCATTCATCACATTGGGAACCTGTAAACTGTCAGCTACTCATTCATCACAGTGGGAACCTTTTCACTGTCACCCACTCATTCATCACACTGGCAAGCTATTCATTGTCATCCACTCACTCATCACAGTGGAAAGCTGTTCACTGTCATCCAATCACTCATCATAGTGGGAACCTGTTCACTCTCAGCCACTCATTCACCACAGTGGGAACCTATTCACTCTGACCCACTCAGTCACCATGTGGTAATCTGTTGACTGTCACCCACTCATTCATCACAGTGGGAACCTTTTCACTGTCATTCACTGATTCATCACAGTGGGAACCTGTTCACTCTCACATACTCACTAGTCACGTTTTGAACATGTGCACTGTAAGCCACTCGTTCATCACATTGAGAACCTGTTCACTCTCACCCACTTATTCAACACAGTGGGAACCTGTTCATTGTCACCCACACATTCATTACAGGAAGAACTTGTTAACAGTAACACACTCTTTCATCACAGTGGGAAACTGTTCACTGTCAGCCATTCATTCACCACAGTGGTAACCTGCTTACTGTCAGCCACTCACTCACCGCAGTGAAAACCTGTTCACTGTCACCCACCTGATGACCTGAGTAGAAACTTGTTTACTTGCAGTCACTCATTCACCACAGTGGGAAATTTCATTGTCACCCACTCATTCTCAAAAGTGGGAACCAGTTCGCTGTCACCTACTTGTTCACCGCAGTCGAAACCTGTTCATGGTCAGCCCCATGGTGATGACAGTGGGAACCTGTTTACTTTCAGCCACTCATTCAACAAAGCAGGAACCAGTTCTTTGTCACCCACTCATTCATCACAGTGAGAACGTGTTCACTGTCATCCGCTCATTCATCACAGTGGGAACTAGTTCACTGTCAACCACTCACTCATCTCAGTGGGAACCTGTTCACTGTCATTCACTCATTCATCACAGTGAGAACATCCTGTATTTCAGCCACTCATTCTCCACTGTGGGAACAAGTTCACTGTCACCCACTCATTCACCTTAGTAGGAACCTGTTCACTATCAGCCACTCAGTCACCACAGTGGGAACCATTTTACTGTCAGCCAGTCACTCATCATAGTGGGAACCTGCTCACTGTCACTTTCTCATTCTTCCCTGCGGGAACCTGTTTACTGTCACCCACTGATTCACCACAGTGGGAACCTGTTCACTGTCACTCACTCATTCATTACAGTGGAAAACTGTTCCCTGTCACCCACGCACTCATTACATGAGGAACTTGTTCACTGTCACCCACTCATTCATCACAGTTGGAATCTGTTCACTCTCACCTATGCATTCACCACAGTGGGAAAATTTTAACTGTTACCCACTCATTCATCAAAGTGAAAACCTGTTCACTCTCACCCACTCATTTACGACAATGGGAACCAGCTCACTGTCACCCACCTGTTCATCACAATGGGAACCTGTTCACTGTCAAACACTCATTTATTGCAGGAAGAACCTGTTCACTGTCACACACTCTTTCATTACACTGGGAACCTGTTCACTGTCACGCACTCATTCATTAGAGTTGGAACCTGGTGACTGTAACACACACATTAATTGCAGTGGGAACTTATTCACTGTCAGTCACTAATTTGCCACAGTGGGAACCAGTTCACTGTCACCCACTAGTTAACCACAGTAGAAACCTGTTAACAGTCAGCAACTCACTCATCACAGTGGGAAGCTGTTCCGTGTTAGCCACTCATTCATGACAGTGAATACCTGTTCACTGTCACCCACTTATTTATCACAGGAGTAACTTAATTACTGTTACCCACGCATTCACCACAGTAGAAACCTGTACACTGTCACCCACTCATTCGCCCCAGTGTGAACCGGTTCAATATCAGCCACTCATTCATCACAGTGAGAACCTGTTCCCTGTCAGCTTCTCATTCATCACAGTTGGAACCTGTTCACTGTCACCCACTCATTCACCAAAGTGGGAAACTGTTTACTGTCACTCACTTATTCATCACAATGGGAACCTTTTCACTGTCACCCACACATTCATTACATGAGGAACCTGTTCACCATCACCCACTCATTCATTACAGTGGGAACCTGTTCACTGTCAGCCACTCATTCACAAGAGTGGGAACCTGTTCACTGTCACCAACTCATTTACCACAGCAGAAATCTGTTCACTGCCACCAACTTACTCATCACAGTGGGAATCTGTACACTGTCCGCCACTCATTCATCACAGTGGGTACCCGTTCACTGTCACCCACTCATTCATTACAGAAGGAACCTGCTCATTGTCACCCACTCGTTCACCACAGTAGAAACTTGTTCACTGTCACCCACACATTCACCATATTGGGAAAGTGTTCACTGTCAGCCACTCAATCATCACACTGGAAACCTGTTCACTGTCAGACACTGATTCACCATAGTAGCAACCAGTTCACTGTTACCCACTCATTCACCACGATGGAACCTCTTCACTGTAAGCCACTTATTTATCACAGTGCAAAGCTGATCACTGTCAGCCACTCATTTACCTCAGTAGAAACCAGTTTACTGTCACCCACTCACCACACTTGGAAACTGTTCACTGTCACTGAGTCACTCATCAGAGTGGGAACGTGTTTACTGTTACACACTCATTCATCACAATGGGAACCTGTTCAATGTCAGCCACTCATTCACCACAGTGGGAATTTGTTCACTCTCATTCACACATTCACCAGAGTGATAACCTTTTAACTGTTAGCCACTCATTCACCACAGTGGGACCTGTTCTTTTCACCCACTCATTCATCACTGTGAGAACCAGTTCACTCTCATCAACTCACTCATCACATTGGGATTCTGTTCAGTGTCAGCCACTCATTCATCACAGTGTGAAACTGCTCACTGTGAGTCATGCATTCACCACAGTGGCACCCTGTTCACTGTCACCAACTCTTTCACCACAGTAAAAACCTGTTCACTGTCACACACTCACTCATCACTGTGGATACCTGTTCACTGTCAGACACTCATTCATCACAGGGGGAGCCTGTTCATTTTCACCAGCGTATTGATCACAGTGGAAACCTGTTCAGACACTCATTCACCATAGCGGAAAACAGTTCAGTTTCACTCACTTGTTTACCGCAGTAGAAACCCGTACATTGTCAGCCACTCAGTCACCACTGTGGGAACTTGTTTATTGTCAGCCACTCAGTCATCACGTGAAAAATTGTTTACTGTCACCCACTCATTCATCACAGTGGGAACCTGTTCCACGTTACCCCACCATTCACCACACTGGGAAACTCTTCTCTGTCGTCCTCCCATTCATCAGAGTGGGAACGTGTTCTATGTCATGCACTCATTCATTACACCAGAAACCCGTTCACTGTTACCCACTCATTCTTCACAGTGGAAACCTGTTCACTGTCACCCACTCATTTACCACAGTGGGAACCTGTTCACTGTCAGTCACTAATTCATCACACTAAAAACTTATTCACTGTCAGCCACTCATTCATCACTGTGGGAACGAGTTCACTGTCACCCACTCATTCATCACAGTGAGAACCTGTTCACTGTCCCCACCTCATGCATCACAGTGGTAACCTGTTCACTGTCACCCACTCACTCACCACAGTGGGTACGTGTTCACTGTCACCCACTCATTCACCACAGCGGGAACCTGTAAACTGTAACACACTCAGTCATCACAGTAGGAACTTGTTCACTTTTAGCCACTCATTCACCTCAGTGGGAACCTGTTCACTGTCACCCACACATTTATCACAGTAGAAACGTTTTCACTGTCAACCACTCACTCATCAGAGTTAAGAATCTGTTCACTGTCAGCCACTCACTCATCACAGTGGGTACCTGTTCACTGTCAACCACTCACTCATCTCATCGGGAACCTGTTCACTGTCACCCAGTCATTCATCACAGAGGGAACATGTTAAATGTCAGCCACTCATTCACCACAGTGGGAACTTGTTCACTGTCACTCTTTCACCACAGTGGGAACATGTCCCCTGTCAGCCACTCATTCTCCACAGTAGGAACCGGTTCAGTCTCTCCAACTCACTTATCATGGTTGGAAACTTTTCACTGTCACCCTCTCATTGACCACATTGGGAACCTGTTCACTCTCACCTACTCACTCATTACAATGAGTACCTGTTCAATGTTAGCCACTCATTCACCACAGTGTGAACCTGTTCAGTGTCACCCACTCACTCATCACAATGAGAACCTGTTCACTGTCACACACTCACCACATTGGGAACCATATCACTCTCACCCACTCATTCACCACAGTGGGAGCCTGTTCTCTGTCACACACTTATTTATCAGTGTTTGAACCTGTTCTCTGTCACCCACTCACTCATCAGAGTGAGAACTTGTTTGCTGTCACCCACTTAATAACCACACTGTGAACCTATTCATGGTCTCACACTCACTCATCACAGTGGAAAACTGTTCACTGTTACCACACATTCACCAGAGTGGGGAACTTTTCACTGTCAGGCACGCAATCACCACAATGGGAACTTGTTCGCTCTCACCCACTCACTCACCACCCTGGGAATATATTTATTGTCACCCACTTATTCATCAACGTGGAAACCTGTTCACTCTCACCCACTCATTTATGACAGTGAGAACCAGTTCACTGTCATCCACCTATTCATCATAGTGGAAACCTGTTCACTGTCACCCACTCGTTTATTACAGAAGGAACCTATTCACTATCACACACTCATCACAGTGGGAACCTGTTCACTGCCAAGCACTCATTCATTACAGAAGGTACCTGTTGACTGTGATTCACACATTCATCACTGCGGGAACTTGTTCACTGTCAGTCACTCATTCAAACCAGTTCACTTTCACCCACCAGACCACCGCAGTAGAAACGTGTTCAGAGTCACCAACTCACTCATCAGAGTGGAAACCCGTTCAGTGTTAGCCACTCATTCATCACAGTCAACACCTGTTCACTGTCACCCACTTATTCATTACAGGAATAACTTAATCACCGCCACCCCCTTACTAATTACAGTAGAAACCTGTACACTGTCATACACTTATTTACCCCAGTGGGATCATGTTCACTATCAGTCAGTCACTCATCACATGTGAACCTGTTCCCTGTAAGCCACTCATTCACCACAGTTGGAATGAGTTCGCTGTCACCATCTCCTTCAACTTAGTAGGAATCTGTTCACCATCAGCCACTCAGTCACCACAGTGGGAACCAGGTTACTGTCAGCCACTCACTCATCACAGTGAGAACCTGCTCACTGTCACCCTCTCATTCCTCACAGTGGGAACCTGTTCACTGTCACCTACTCATTCACCACAGTGGGAACTTGTTCACTATCACCCACTCATTCACCACAGTGGGATCCTGTTCACTGTCACTCATTCATTCATCACAGTGGGAACCTGTTCACTGTCACCCACGCATTCATTACATGAGGAACCTGTTCATTGCCACCCACTCATTTATCACAGTGGGAACCTCTTAACTATAAAACACACATTCACCACAGTGGGAGCCTCTTCACTGTCACCCACTCATTCTTCATATTGAGAACCTGTTCACTATCACCCATTCATTAATTACAGGAGAAACCTGTTCACTGTCACCCACTTATTCATCACTGTGAGAACCTGTTTACTGTCACCCAGTCACTCACCAAAGTGGGAAAGTGTTCACTATCACCCACCCATTCATCATGGTGGAAACTTGTTCACTGTCGCCCACTCATTCACCACAGTGGTTACATGTTCACTGTCACCCACTCATTCATCAAAGTGGGAACCTCTTTACAGTCAGCCACTCATTCACAACAGTGGGAACCTGTTGCCTGTCAGCCACTCATTCATTACAGTGGGAACCTATTCACTGTCACCGAGTTATTCATTACAAAAAAACCCTGATCACTGTCACCCACTCGTTCACCACAGTAGAAACCTATTCACTGTCAACCACTGTCACTCCAGTGGAAACCTGTTCACTGTCTGCCACTTGTTCACCACATTGAGAACCAGTTCACTGTCAATAACTCACTCACCACTGTGGGAATCTCTTTGTCACCCACTCATTCAACACAGTTGGAACCTGTTCACTGTCACCCTCTCATCCATTACAGGGGAAAACTGTTTACTGTAACTCCCTCATTCATCACAGTGAGAACATGTTCACTGTCACCCAGTCACTCACCACAGTGGCAACCTATTCACTGACACCCACTCACTCATCATCATGGGAACCTGTTCACTCTCACCCACTCATTCACTACGGTTGGAACATGCTCATTCTCACCACCTCATGCATCACAGTGGGAACCTGTTCACTGTCAGGCACTCTTTTACCACAGTGGGTACCTGTTCACTGTTACCCACTCACTCTTCACAGTGGGAACCTGTTCACTGTCACCAACTTATTCATTACAGTAAGAACCTTATCACTGTCAACGACATATTCACCACTGTAGGAACCTGTTCACTCTCATCAATTCATTCACCACAATGTGAACGTTTTCCCTGTCAGCCAACCATTCCCCAGAGTGGGAAGCTGTTCACTGTCACCCACTCATTCATCACAGTGTGTACCCATTAACTATAAGCCATTCATGCATCCTGATGGGAACTTCTTCACTGTCACCCACACACTCATTACAACCTGATCAATGTCAACCATTCACTCACCAAAGTGGGTACTAGTTCATTCTCAACCACTAATTCATCACAGTGTGAACCTGTTCATTGTCACCCAATCATTCATTACAGGAGGAACCTGTTCACTGTCACCCACAAAGTCATTAGATTGGGAACCTGTTCACTGTCACACACTCATCCATCACAGTGGAAACCTGTTCACTGTCAAGCACTCATTCACTACTGTGGGAACCTCTTCATTGTCAACGACTCACTCAAAACTGTTGGAACCTGTTCACCGTCACCCATTCTCTCATTACAGTGGGAACCTGCTCACTGTCGTCCTCTCATTCATCACAGTAAGAACCTGTTCACTGTAAACCACATACTCACAACTGTGGGAACCTCTTCACTCTAAATCACTCATTCACCACAGTGAGAACAAGTTCTACATCAGCCACTTATTCACCATATTGGGAACCTGGTCACTGTCACCACTAATTCATCACAGTCAGAACCCGTTCACTATAAGCCACTCATTCATCACAGTGGGAACCTGTTCACTGTCATCCACTCACTCATCACTTTGGGAACATATTCACTGTCAGTCAAACATTCTCCACAGCAGGAAACCGTTCACTGTCATGCACTGTTTCATTACAGTTAGAACCTGTTCATTCTCACCCACTTACTCATCAGGATGGGAACTTTCACTGTCCACCTTTCACTCACCACAGTGGGAACATGTTCACTCTCACTTACACATTCACCATAGTGGGAACCTGTTCAGTGTCAGGCACTCATTAATCACAGTGGGATCCTCTTCACTGTCAGCTATTCACTCAACACATTGGGAACCTATTCACTGTCACCCATTCATCACAGTGGAAACCTGTTCACTGTCAGCCAGTCATTCACCACAGGGACAACATGTCCACTTTCAGCCACACATTCACCACAGTGCGAACCTGTTCACTATCACCCACTCTTTCATTACCGTGCAAACCTGTTCGTTGTCACCCAATCATTCATTGTGGGAAGAACCTGTTCACTGTCACCCACAAGGTCATTAGAGTGGGAACATGTTCACTGTCACACACTCATTCATCATAGTGGAAACCCGTTCACTGTCAAGCACTCATTCACTACTGTGGGAACCTGTTCACTGTCACCCACTCACTCAAAACTGTCAGAACCTGTTCACTGTCACCCACTGTCTCATTACAGTGGGAACCTGCTCACTGTCACCCTCTCCTTCATCATAGTAAGAACCTGTTCACTGTAAACCACACACTCACAACTGTGGGAACCTATTCACTCTAAACCACTCATTCTCCACAGTGAGAACCAGTTCTATGTCAGCCACTCATTCACCACAGAGGAAACCTGCTCACTGTCACCCACTCATTCATCACAGTCAGAACCCGTTCACTATAAGCCACTCATTCATCACAGTCGGAACCTCTTCACTGTCACCCACTCACTCATTACAGTGGGAACCTGTTCCCTGTTGACCACTCATTCACCACAGTGGGAACCTGTTCATTCACACCCACTCAATCATCACAGTGGGAACCTCTTGGCTGTCAAGCACTCACTAACCACAGTGAGAATCTGTTCATACTCACCCACTCACTTACCACTGTTAAAATCTGTTCACTGCCACCCATTCCTTCTCTCAGTGAGAACCTGTTCACTGTCACCCACTCACTCATTAGAGTGGGAACCTGTTCACTGTCACCCACTTATACATCAAAATTGTAACCTGTTCGCTGTCACCCACTCACTGATCAAATCAAGAATGTGTCAAAAGTCACCCAGTCACTCATCACAGTTTGAATCTTTTCGCTGTCACTCACTGACTCATCACAATGCAAACGGATTCACTGCCACCACTCATTCATCACAGTGGGAAGCTGCACATTGTCACTCAATAATTTATCACAGTTGGAACCTGTTCACTGTCACCCCACTCATTCATCACACTGCAGCCTATTTATTGTCACCCACTCACTCCTCATAATGGGAACCTGTTCACTGTCACCCACTCACACACCATAGTGGGAACCTGCTCACTGTCAGCCACTCATTCTCCACAGTGGGAACGTGTCCACTCCCACCCACTCATTCACGACAGTGGGGAATCTATTGATTGTCTCCCACCCATTCATCACAGTGGTAATCTGTTCGCTGTCACACACACATTCATCAAAGTGGGAACCTGTTCACTGTCATCCATTCACTTATGACAGTGAGAAACTTCACTGTTAGCCACTCATTCACCACAGTGGGAACATTTTGTCTCTCACCCAAACATTCACCACAGTGGCAACCCGTTTACTATCACCCACTAAATCTTTATGGTGGGAACCTGTTCACTGTCACACACTCATTCATTACAGGAGGAACGTGTTTACTGTCACCTACTCATTAATCACAGTGATTAATCACATTAAACCTGTTTAATGTCAGCCACTCACTTCCCACAGTGGAAACCCGTTCACTTTCAGCCACTCACTCCCAATAGTGGAAATTTGTTCACTGTCACCCACTCATTCACCTCTGTAGAAACCTGTTCACTGTCTCCCAATTATTCGCCAAAGTGGGAACCAGTTCACGGTCACCCACTCATAAATCACACTGGGAAACTGTTCACTGTCGCCCACTCATTCATCACTGTGGTAACCTATTCATTGTGAGCCACTCGTTTATCACAGTGGGAGCCATTTTACTCTCACCCACTCATCGAGAGCAGTGGGAAGTAGTTCATTGTCATTCACTCGTTCACTGCACGAGAAACCTGTGCACTGTAAGCCACTCAGTCACCACAAAGAGAACCTGTTTAATTTCTGCCACTCATCCACCACAGTGAGAATCACTGTCATTCACTCATTCACCACAGTGAGAACCTGTTCACTGTCACCCACACATTCATCACAGTGGGAACCTGTTCACTGTCACCCACTCACTCATCGCAGTGAGAACCTATTCATTATCAGACACACATTCAACACAGTGGGAATCTTTTCACTCTCACTCACTCATTCACCAAAGTGGGACCCTGTTCACTATCTCCCACTTATTCATTAATGGAGGAACCTCTTTACTGTCAGCAAGTTATTCATTACAGTGGGAACCTGTTCACTGTCACTCACTCGTTAACCGCAGTAAAAACCTATTCACTGTCAGCCATACGTTGACCAAAATGGGAACCTGTTTAGCGTCACCCACTTATTCATCACAGTTGGGACCTATTCACTGTCGCCCACACATTCACCACAGAATGAACCTGTTCACTTTCAAACACTCATTCCCCACAGTGGTAATCAGTTCTCTCTCACCTACTCATTCACCACAGTGGGAACCATTTCACCTTCACCCTCTCGCTCACCACAGTATAAACCTGTTCACTGTCAGCCACTCAGCCACTACGATTGGAACCTGTTTACTCTCAGGCACTCATTCACCACAGTGGGAACCATTCACTGTCACCCACTCATTCATCACAGTGGGAACCTCTTCACTGTCACACAGTCATTTATTACAGAGGGAACCTGTTCACCTTCATGGACTCATTCATTACAGAAGGAAAGTGTTCACTGTCTCCCACTCATTCATTACAGTGGAAACCTGATCACTGTCACCCACTCACTCACCTCTGTGCTAACCTGTCACTGTCAGTCTGTCACTCATCACAGTGGAAATCTGTTCACTCTCACCCACTCATTCACCACATTGGGAACCTGTTCACCTTAACCAGTCACTCATCACACTGGGAAGCTCTTCACTGTCACACATTCATTCTTCACATTGGGAACCAGTTCACTTTCACCCACTCATTCACCACAGTGTGAACGTCTTCACTGTAACCCACTCATTCATCAGAGTGGGAACCATTTCACAGTCACTCACACATTCATTACAAAAGGAAACTGTTTGATCTCACGCACTCACTCATCAAAGTGGGAACCTGTTCACTGTCACCCACTTACTCACTAGAGTGTGAACCTGTTCACTGTCAGCCACTCATTCATCACAGTGGCAGCCTACTCACTGTCAGCCACTCACTCACCACAGTGGGAACCAGTTCACTGTAACCCACTCGTTAACCGCAGTAAAACCCTGTTTACTGTCAGCCACTCAGGCACCATACTGGGAACCTGTTTGCTGTGAGCCACTCATCCACCACAGTGGGAAGCAGTTCACTGTCACCCACTCTTTCATCTCTGTTAGAACATGTTCACTGTCAACCACTCATACCTCACAGTGAAAACCTGTTCACTGTCACCCACGCACTCACCACAGTAAAAACCTGTTCACTGTCACCATCTCATTCACCACAATGAAAACCTGTTCAATGTCAGCCACACATTCACTACAGTGGGTACCTGTTCACTGTCAGCCCCTCACTCATCACAATGGGAACCAGCTAACTGTCACAAACTCATTCATCACAGTGGGAAACTGTTCACTATCAGCCACTCATTCACCACAAGGGGAACCTGTTCGGTTTCAGCCACTCATTCACCACTGTGGGATCCTGTTCACTGTTACCCATTCATTCATCACAGTGCAAACTTTTTCACTGTTTCCCACTCATTAATTACAAGAGGAAGCTTTTCACTGTCACCCACTCATTCATCACCATGGAAACCCGTTCACTGTCACCCACTTATTCATCACAGTGAGAACCTGTTCACTCGCCCACTTGTTCACCACATTGGGAAGCTGTTCTCAGTCAGCCACCCACTCACCACAGTGGGAACCTGTTCACTGTCACCTACTCACTCATCACAGTGGGAAAATATTCATTGTTGCCCACTCACTCATCAGCTTGGGAACCTGCTCACTGTCAGCCACCCAATAACCACAGTGGGAACCTCTTCACTCTCACCCACTCATTCAGCACAGTGGGAAACTTCTGACTGTCACCCACTCTTTCATCTCTGTTAGAACATGTTCACTTTCACCCACTCATTCCTCACAGTGAAAACCTGTTCACTGTCACCCACTCACTCACCACAGTAAAAACCTTTTCACTGTCACCATCTCATTCACCACAATGAAAACCTGTTCAATGTCAGCCACACATTCATCACAGTGGGTACCTGTTCACTGTCAGCCCCTCACTCATCACAATGGGAACCAGTTAATGGTCACAAACTCATTCATCACAGTGGGAAACTGTTCACTATCAGCCACTCGTTCACCACAAGGGGAACCTGTTTACTTTCAGCCACTCATTCACCACGGTGGGACGCTGTTCTCTGTTACCCACTCATTCATCACAGTGCAAACTTGTTCACAGTCTCCCACTCATTAATTACAAGAGGAAACTTTTCACTGTCACCCACTCATTCATCACCATGGAAACCTGTTCACTGTCACCCACTTATTCATCACAGTGAGAACCTGTTCACTCGCCCACTTGTTCACCACATTGGGAAGCTGTTCTCAGTCAGCCACCCACTCACCACAGTGGGAACCTGTTCACTGTCACCTACTCACTCATCACAGTGGGAAAATATTCATTGTCACCCACTCACTCACCAGCGTGGGAACCTGTTCACTGTCAGCCACCCAATAACCACAGTGGGAACCTATTCACTCTCACCCACTCACTAACCACAGTGGGAATGGGTTTAATGTCAGCCACTCATTCACCACAGTGGGAACCTATTCACTCTCACCCACACATTCAACACATTGGGAACCTGTTGACTGTCACCCACCCATTCATCTCAGTGGGATCCTGTTAATGGTTACCTACACATTTATCACAGTGGGAACCTATTCACTCTCACCCACACACTCATCACAGTGAGATACTTTTCATGGTCAATCACTCTTTCACCACAGTGGGAACCTGTTCACTCTCACCCACTCATACATGACAATGGTAACTTGTTAACTGTCACCCACTAACTTATCACAGTTGGAAAGTTTTAACTGTCACCCATTCACTCATCACAGTGGGTACCTGTTCACTGTCACCCACTCACTCATCACAGTGGGAACCTCTTTACTGTGAGCTACTCATTCCTCACAGTGGGAACCTGTTCACTGTCACCCACTCATTCACCACTGTGGGAAACACTTCACTGTCACACACTCATTCATCAGAGTGGGAACCCTGTTCACAGTCACTCACACATTCATAACAAAAGGCAACTGTTCCCTCTCATGCAATCACTCATCACAGTGGAAGCCTGTTCTTTGTCACCCACTTATTCACCAGAGTGGGAACCTGTTCACTGTCAGCCACTCATTCATCACAGTGGAAACCTATTCACTGTCAGCCACTCATTCACCACAGTGGGAACCTGTTAACTCTCCCCCACTCACTCATCACAGTGGGAACCTGTTTATGGTCACCAACACATACATCACAGTAAGACCCTTTTCAGTGTCAACCACACATTCACCACTGTGGAATCCTGTTCACTCTCACCCACTCATTCATTACAACGAGACCCTTTTCCCTGGCAGCCACTCATTTCCCACAGTTGGAACCTGTTCACTGTCACCCATTCATTCATCACAGTGGAAACCCGTTAACTATAAGCAACTCATTCATCACAGTGGGAACCTCTTCACTTTCACCCACACACTCAGTACAATGGGAACCAGATCAATGTCACCCACTCACTCACCACAGTGGGAACTTCTTCATTCTCAACCACTCATTCATCACAGTGAGAACCTGTTCACTGTCACCCACTCATTCATCACAGTGGAAACGTGTTCACTGTCATCCACACACTAATTACAATGGAAACCTGTTCTCTGTTACCCACTCATGCATCACAGTGATACATTTTCTCTGTCACCAACTCACTCATAACATTGGGAACATGTTCACTCTCAGTCACTCATTCTCCTCAGTGGGAAGCAGTTCACTGTCACGCACTGATTTATCACAGTGAGAACCTGTTCACTGTCAGCCACTCATTCACCACAGTGTGAACCTGTTCACTGTCACTTACTCATCCACCACAGTGGGAACCTGTTCATTGCCCACTGGTTCATTACAGAAGAAACCTGTTTACTCTAACCCACTCATTCACCACACTGAGAACCTGTTCCATGTCAGCCACTTATTTACTACAGTGGCAACCTGTTCACTGTCAACATTCATCAGAGTAGAAATCCGTTCACTATAAGCCACTCATTTATCACAATGGGAACCTCTTCACTGTCACCCACTCACTCATTATAATGGGAACCTGTTCACTATTAACCACTTGTTCACTGTCACCCATACATTCTCAAAGTGGGGACCTGTTCACTGTCAGCCACTCACTCATTAGAGTGGGAACCCTTTCACTGTCTTCCACTCATTCATAACAATTGTAACCTCTTAACTGTCCAGCACTCACTCATCACATCAGGAACCTGTTGAAAGTCACCCACTCACTCATCACAATGGGAATCTGTTCAATATCACCCACTTACTCATCACAGTGGGAATGTGTTCACTGTCAGCAACTCATTCATCCCAGTGAGAAGCTGCTCACTGTCACCCACTCTTTTATCATAGTGGGGACCTGTTCACTGTCACCCACTCATTCATCACACTGGGAATCTATATATTGTCACCCATTCTCTCATCATAATGGGAACCTTTTCACTGTCATACACTCACACACCATAGTGGGAACCTGTTCACTGTCAGTCATTCCTTCACCACAGTAGGAGCCTTTTCCCCCTCACCCTCTCTTTCACCACAGTGGGAATCTGTTGATTGTCACCTAATCATTCATCACAGTGGGAACCTGTTCACTGTCACCCACATTTTCATCACAGTGGGAACCTGTTAACTTTCACCAACTCATTCATCACAGTGGGAACCCATTCACTGTCAGCCATACATTCACCACAGTGGGAACATTTTCACTCTCACCAAAACATTTTCCACAGTGTAAACATGTTCACTGTCACCCACTGAACCATCATGGTGAGAACCTGTTCACTGTCACACACTCATTCATTACAGGAGGAACGTCTTTACTGTCACCAACTCATTCATCATGGTGGGAACCTGTTCAATGTCAGCCACTCATTCACCACAGTGGGAACCTGTTGACTGTCAGGCACTCATTTCCCACATTGGGAACCTGTTCACTGTCATCCACTCGTTCACCATAGTAGAAACCTGTTCACTATCACCAACTTACTCACCAAAGTGGGAACATGTTCACTGTCACCCACTAATTTATCAAAGTGGGAAACTGTTCACTGTCGACCACACATTCACCACAGTGGTAACCTGTTCACTGTCAGACATTCATTCATCAGAATGGGAACCATTTCACTGTCACCCACTCATTCACCACAGTGGGAAGTAATTTACTGTCAACCACTCGTTCACCGCAGTAGAAACCTGTTCACTGTAAGCCACTCAGTCACCACAGTGGGAACCTGTTTACAGTCAGCCACTCATTCACCACAGTGGGAACCAGTTTACTGTCATTCACTCCTTCACTACAGTGGAAATCTGTTTACTGTCACCCACACATTTATCATAGTGGGAATCTGTTCACTGTCACTCACTCATCACAGTGAGAACCTGTTCATGGTCAGCCATTCATTCACCACATTAGGAATCTTTTCACTCTCACCCACTCATTCACCACAATGGGAAACTGCTCACTGTCTCCCACTTATTCATTACTGGACGAACCTCTTTACTCTCAGTAACTTATTCATCACAGTAGGAACCTGTTCACTGTCAGCCACCCATTAACCACAGTGAGAAGCTGTTCACTGTCAGCCACTGACACATCACAGTGGCAACCTGTTCACTGTCACCCACACAGTCACCACAGTGAAAACCTGTTCATTGCCACCAACTCAATTGCCACCGTGGAACCTGTTCACTCTCACCCACTCATACATCACAGCGGTAACTTGTTAGCTGTCACCCACTCACTCATCACAGTAGATACCTATTCACTGTCACTCACTTACTCATCACAGTGGGAACCTGTTCACTGTCAGCTGCTCATTCTTCACATTGGGAACCTGTTCACAGTAAACCCCTCATTCATCACCATGGGAACCTGTTCACTGTCACCCACTCATGCATCACACTGGGATCCTATTAATTTTCACCCACTCACTCATCACACTGGGAACCTGTTCACTGTCACTCACTCAATCCCCAGAGTGGGAACCTGTTGACTGTCAGCCACTCACTCACCACAGTGAAAACCTGTTTATTCTCACCCACTCATTCACCACAGTGGAAACAATTTAACTGTTACCCACTCCTGCATCACAATGGGAACCTGTCACTGTCACTCACTCATTCATCACAGTGGGAACCTGTCACTCTCAAAAACTCAGTAATCACAGTGGGAACCTGTTCACTGACAGCCACTCATTCACCATTCACCACGATGGGAAGCTGTTCACTCTCACCCATTCTTTCACCACTGTGGAAAGCTTTTCTTTTTTATTTTTTTATTATTATTATTATTATACTTTAAGTTTTAGGGTACATGTGCACAATGTGCAGGTTAGTTAAATATGTATACATGTGCCATGCTGGTGTGCCGCACCCATTAACTCGTCATTTAGCATTAGGCATATCTCCTAATGCTATCCCTCCCCCCACTCCCACCCCACAACAGTCCCCAGAGTGTGAAGTTCCCCTTCCTGTGTCCATGTGTTCTCATAGTTCAATTCCCACCTATGAGTGAGAACATGCAGTGTTTGGTTTTTTGTCCTTGCGATAGTGTGCTGAGAATGATGATTTCCAATTTCATCCATGTCCCTACAAAGGACATGAACTCATCATTTTTTATGGCTGCATAGTATTCCATGGTGTATATGTGCCACATTTTCTTAATCCAGTCTATCATTGTTGGACATTTGGCTTGGTTCCAAGTCTTTGCTATTGTGAATAGTGCTGCAATAAACATATGTGTGCATGTGTCTTTATAGCAGCATGATTTATAGTCCTTTAGGTATATACCCAGTAATGGGATGGCTGGGTCAAATGGTATTTCTAGTTCTAGATCCCTGAGGAATTGCCACACTGACTTCCACAATGGTTGAACTAGTTTACAGTCCCACCAACAGTGTAAAAGTGTTCCTATTTCTCCACATCCTCTCCAGCACCTGTTGTTTCATGACTTTTTAATGATTGCCATTCTAACTGGTGTGAGATGGTATCTCATTGTGGTTTTGATTTGCATTTCTCTGATGGCCAGTGATGGTGAGCATTTTTTCATGTGTTTTTTGGCTGCATAAATGTCTTCTTTTGAGAAGTGTCTGCTCATGTCCTTCACCCACTATTTGATGGGGTTGTTAGTTTTTTCTTGTAAATTTGTTTGAGTTCATTGTAGATTCTGGATATTAGCCCTTTGTCAGATGAGTAGGTTGCGAAAATTTTCTCCCATTTTGTAGGTTGCCTGTTCACTCTGATGGTAGTTTCTTTTGCTGTGCAGAAGCTCTTTAGTTTAATTAGATCCCATTTGTCAATTTTGGCTTCTGTTGCCATTACTTTTGGTGTTTGAGACATGAGGTCCTCGCCCATGCCTATGACCTGAGTGGTAATGCCTAGGTTTTCTTCTAGGGTTTTTATGGTTTTAGGTCTAAAGTTTAAGTCTTTAATCCATCTTGAATTGATTTTTGTATAAGGTGTAAGGAAGGGATCCAGTTTCAGCTTTCTACATATGGCTAGCCAGTTTTCCCAGCACCATTTATTAAATAGGGAATCCTTTCCCCATTGCTTGTTTTTGTCAGGTTTGTCAAAGATCAGATAGTTGTAGATATGGGGCATTATTTCTGAGGGCTCTGTTCTGTTCCATTGATCTATATCTCTGTTTTGGTACCAGTACCATGCTGTTTTGGTTACTGTAGCCTTGTAGTATAGTTTGAAGTCAGGTAGCATGATGCCTCCAGCTTTGTTCTTTTGACTTAGGATTGACTTGGTGATGCGGGCTCTTTTTTGGTTCCATATGAACTTTAAAGTAGTTTTTTCCAATTCTGTGAAGAAAGTCATTGGTAGCTTGATGGGGATGGCATTGAATCTATAAATTACCTTGGGCAGTATGGCCATTTTCACAATATTGATTCTTCCTACCCATGAGCATGGAATGTTCTTCCATTTCTTTGTATCCTCTTTTATTTCATTGAGCAGTGGTTTGTAGTACTCCTTGAAGAGGTCCTTCACATCCCTTGTAAGTTGGATTCCTAGGTATTTTATTCTCTTTGAAGTAATTGTGAATGGGGGTTCGCTCATGATTTGGCTCTCTGTTTGTCTGTTATTGGTGTATAAGTGTGCTTGTGATTTTTGTACATTGATTTTGCATGCTGAGACTTTGCTGAAGTTGTTTATCAGCTTAAGGAGATTTTGGGCTGAGACAATGGGGTTTTCTAGATATACAATCATGTCGTCTGCAAACAGGGACAATTTGACTTCCTCTTTTCCTAATTGAATACACTTTATTTCCTTCTCCTGCCTAATTACCCTGGCCAGAACTTCCAACACTATGTTGAATAGGAGTGGTGAGAGAGGGCATCCCTGTCTTGTGCCAGTTTTCAAAGGGAATGCTTCCAGTTTTTGCCCATTCAGTATGATATTGGCTGTGGCTTTGTCATAGATAGGTCTTATTATTTTGAGATACGTCCCATCAATACCTAATTTATTGAGAGTTTTTAGCATGAAGTGTTGTTGAATTTTGTCAAAAGCCTTTTCTGCATCTATTGAGATAATCATGTGGTTTTTGTCTTTGGTTCTGTTTATATGCTGGATTACATTTATTGATTTGTGTATATTGAACCAGCCTTGCATCCCAGGGATGAAGCCCACTTGATCATGGTGGATAAGCTTTTTGATGTGCTGCTGGATTCGGTTTGCCAGTATTTTATTGAGGATTTTTGCATCAATGTTCATCAAGGATATTGGTCTAAAATTCTCTCTTTTGGTTGTGTCTCTGCCCGGCTTTGGTATCAGGATGATGCTGGCCTCATAAAATGAGTTAGGGAGGATTCCCTCTTTTTCTATTGATTGGAATAGTTTCGGAAGGAATGGTAACAGTTCCTCCTTGTATCTCTGGTAGAATTCGGCTGTGAATCCATCTGGTCCTGGACTCTTTTTGGATGGTAAGCTATTGGTTATTGCCACAATTTCAGAGCCTGTTATTGGTCTATTCAGAGACTCAACTTCTTCCTGGTTTAGTCTTGGGAGGTTGTATGTGTCGAGGAATTTATCCATTTCTTCTAGATTTTCTAGTTTATTTGCGTAGAGGTGTTTGTAGTATTCTCTGATGGTAGTTTGTATTTCTGTGGGATCGGTGGTGATATCCCCTTTATCATTTTTTATTGAAAATGATCATTTTTATTGAAAATGATAAAGGAGATATTAACCTGTTAACTTTCAGCCACTCTGTTATCACAGTGGGAACCTCTCCACTGTCACCTAATAATTCATCACAGTGGGAACCTCTTCACTGTGAGCCACTTATTCCCTGTTGTGGGAACCTGTTCACTCTCAATCTCTAATTCACCACAGTGAGAATCTGCTCACTGTCAGCCACTCAGTCATCACAGTGGGAACCAGTTCACTGTCACCTACTCGTTCACCGCAGTAGAAACTTGTTTACTGTCACTGATACACGCATCACAGTGGAAACCTGTTTACTGTCAGCCACTCATTCACCACAGTGGGAACCAGTTCGCTGCCACCCATTCCTTCATGAAAACGAGAACCTGTTCACTGTCACCCACTCATTCCTCACAGTTGGATCCTGTCACCATCATTCACTCACTCACCACAGTGGGAACCTGTTCACTGTCACCCACTCATTCACCAGAGTCTTAATCTGTTAACTTTCATCCACTCTGTTATCACAGTGGGAACCTGTCCCCTGTCACCTAATCACTCATCAGAGTGGGAACCTCTTCACTGTGAGCCACTTACTCCCTGTTGTGGGAACCTGTTCACTCTCAATCTCTAATTCACCACAGTGAGAATCTGTTCCCTGTCAGCCACTCGTTCATCACACTGGAACCAGTTCACTGTCACCTACTCATTCACCGCAATAGAAACTTGTTTCCTGTCACCAAAACACGCATCACAGTGGAAACCTGTTCCCTGTCCACCACTCATCCATCAGAGTGGGTACTTGTTCACTGTCACCCACTCGTTCATTACAGGGGAAACTTGGTCTTTGTCACCCACTCTTTTACCACAGTAGAATCCTTTTCACTGCCACCCACTCATTCAACACAGTGGGAACCTGTTCACTGTCAGCCGCTCATTCATCACATTGGTAACCTGTTCACTGTCAGCGACTCCATCACCACATTGAGAACCTCTTTACTGTCATCCACTCACCATCATAGTGGGAACCTATTCACTTTCACACACTCATTCAGCAGAGTGGGAACCTGTTCAGTTTCACATACTCATTCACCACAGTGGGAAACTATTCACTGTCACCCACTCATTCATCATAGTGGGAACCTTTTCACTGTCACCCACTCATTCATCATAGTGGGAACTTTTCACTGTCACCCACTCATTCATTACAGGAGGATCCTGTACACTGTCATCCACTCATTCATCACAGTGGAAACCGGTTCACTGTCATTCATTCACTAATCACATTGCGAACCTGTTTACAGTCACCCACTCGCTCATCACAGAGGGAACTTGTTTTCTTTCTCACACTCATTCACCACAGTGGGAACCTTTTCACTGTCACCCACTAACTCAACACGGTGGAACCTGTTAACTTTCTCCCACTAATTAACCACAGTGGGAATCTCTACACTGTCACCCACTCACTCATCACAGTGGGAACCTGTTCACTGTCACCCCTCACTCATCACAATGGGAACTTCTTCACTTTCATCCACCCACTCATCACAGTAAGAGCCTGTGCACTGTCACCTACTCATTCATCACAGTGGGAACCTGTTCAGTGTCACCCACTCACTCATCACTGTGGGAACGTTTTCACTGTCACTCACTCTTTCATCACACTGAGAACCTGTCCATTGTCAGCTACTCACTCAACACAGTGTGGACCTGTTGACTGTCATCAATTCACTCACCACGATGAAAATCAGCTCACTGTCAGCCACGCATTCACCACAGTACAAACCTCTTCACTCTCTCCCACTCATTCACCACAATGGGAACCTGCTGACTTTCACACACTCATTCATCACAGTGGGAACCTGGTCACTGTCATGTGCTCATTTATCACAGTGGCATGCTGTTCACTGTCACATACTTACTCATCACAGTGAGAATCTATTAACTATTAGCCACACAATCACCGCAATGGGAACCTGTTCACTTTCACCTACTCATTCGCCACAGTGGGAACATGTTTACTGTCACTCACTCATTCATCTCAGTGGGCAGTGGTTCACTGTCACCCACTCATTCATTACAGGGGTAACTTGTTCACTGTCACCCACTCATTCACCACAGTGGGAACCTATTCACTACCAGCCTCTCATTCACCACAATGCAAACCTGTTAACAATCAGCCACTCACTCACCACAGTGGCAACATTTTCACTGTCACCCACTCGTTTGCTGTAGTAGAAAGCTGTTCACTGTCAGCCACACATACAACACAGAGGGAACCTTTTCACTGTCAGTCATGCATTCATCACAGTAACAACCTGCACACTGTTGCCCTCTCATTCACCACATTGAGAACCTGTTCATTTTTTAGCCACTCATTCATTGCAGCGGGAACCTGTTCACTCACCAACTTTTTCTCCGCAGTTGGAAGGAATTCACCATCACCCACTCATTCACACACTCTTCCACCCCAGTAGAAAGCTGTTCACTGTCAGCCACTCAGTCATCACAATGGGAACCTGTTTACTATCAGCCACTTGTTCACCACAGTGGGAACCAGTTCACTGTTCACACACTCATTCATCACAGCGAGAACCTGTTCAATGTCACCCCACTCATTCATCACAGTAAGAACCTGTTCACTGTCACCAACTCACTCACCATGATAGGAACCAGTTTACTGTCACCCATTCATTTACCAGAGTGGAAACCTGTTCCTTGCCAGCCACTCAGTCATCACACTGGGAAACTGTTCTCACCCACTCACTTGTCACAGTGGGAAACTCTTCACTGTGAGCCACTCAATCACTACTGTGAAAAACCTGTTCACTCTGAGTCACTCGTTCAACACAGTGAGAAGCTATTCACTGTCAGCCACATATTCAACAAGTAAGAACCTGTCCACTGTCAGCCATTCATTCACAACAGTGGGAAAGTGTTCACTATCACCCATTCAGTCATCACAGTGGGAACATTTTCACTGTCAAAAACTCATTCATTTCACTGGGAACCTGTTCACTGGGAACCTGTTCACTGTCACCCACTCATTCACCATAGTGGTTACCTGTTCACTGTCTCCAACTCACTCATCCCAGTGGGAACCTGTTCCCTCTCACCCACTCATTTGCCACAGTGGGAACCTGTTCACTGTCACCCACTCATTTATCACAGAGGGAACATCTTCACTGTCACCCATTCATTACAAAAGGAACCTGTTCACTGTCACCCACTCATTCATCATAGTGAGAACTTGTTCACTGTCAGTTGCTCATTCACCACAGTGGGAACCAGTTAACTGTCAAGCACTCATTCACCACAGTAGATACATGTTCACTGTCACCCACTCACACATCACAGTGGTATCCTGTTCACTGTCAGCCACTCACTCATCACAGAGGGTGCCAGATCACTGTCACCCACTCATTCATTACAGGAGGAACCTAATCACTGTCACCCACTCGTTCACCACAGTAGAAACCTGTTCACTGTCAACCATTCATTCACCAGAGTGGGAACCTGTTCACTGTCAGCCACTCATTCACCACAGTGGAAACAGTTCACTGTCACCCATTTGTTCACTGCAGTAGAAACCTGCACACTGTCAGCCACACAGTCACCACAGTGGTTACCTGTTTACTGTCAGCCATTCACTTATCACAGTGGGAACATGTTCACTGTCACCCAATCATTTATCAAACTGGGAACATGTTCACTGCCACCCTCTCATTCACCACAGTGGGAACCTCTTCACTGTCGCCCACTCACTCATTGCAGTGGGTACCTGTTTACTGTCACAAACCCATTCATTACAGGAGGAACCTGTTCACTGTCAACCACATATTCATCACAGTCAGATATTGTTCACTGTCAACCACTCACTCTCCACAGTGAGAACCTGTTCACTCTCAACCACTCATTCACCACAGTGGGAAACTGTCCACTGTCACACACTCATTCATCACAGTGGGAACATGTTCACTGTCATCCACTCATTCATTACAGGAGGTACCTTATCACTGTCACTCACTCTTTCACAACAGTAGAAACATGTTCACTGTCCTCCAATCACTCACCACAGTGTGAACCGGTTCACTGTCAGCCATTCGTTCACTACTGTGGGTACCTCTTCACTCTCACCCACCCATTTAGCACAGTGAGAACCTTTTCACTGTCAGCCACTCATTCACCACAGTGGGAACCTGTTCACTGTCACCCATTCACTCATCACATTGAAAATCTGTTCATTGTTACCCACTCACTGACCACAGGGGGACCGGTTCACTCTCACCCACTCATCACAGTGGGAACCCGTTTACTGTCACACACGCATTAATCACAGTGGGAACCCGTTTATTCTCACCCACTCACTTATCACAGTGTGTTCTTGTTCACTGTCAGCCACTCATTCACCACTGTGGGAAGCTGTTCCCTCTCACCAACTCACTCATCACAGTGGGTACCTGTTCACTGTCACCCACTCACTCAGCACAGTGGGAACATGTTCTCTCTCATGACCGCATTAACAATGGTGGGAACTTGTTCACTGTCACCCACACACTCATCACATTGGGAACCTGTTCACTGTCACCCACTCACTATTCACAGTGGGAACCTGTTCGGTGCCTTTCACTCATTCATCAGAATGGGAACCTCTTCACTTTCACCCACTCACTCATCACAGTAAGAACCTGTTCACTGTCACCCACTCATTCATCAGGGTAAGAACTTGTTCACTGTCACTCACTCATTCATCACAGTGAAAACCAGTTCACCCTTACCCACTCATTCCCTACAGTTGGAACCTGTTCACTCTCACCCACTAAATCATCAAAGTGGAAACCTTTTCACTGTCACCCACACATTCATCACAGTGCAAATATTTTCATTCTCACCCACTCATTACTATGGGCACCGCTTCACTGTCAGCCACACATTCACTACAGTGGGAACCTGTGCACTCTCGCCAACTCACCCACCACAGTGGGAACCTAATTACTGTCATCAACTAACTCAACACAGTGGGAAACTGTTCACTGTCACCCACTCATGCATAACAATGGAAACCTGTTCACTGTCAGCCACTTCTTCATCACAGTGGGAACATGTTCATTTACCACAGTGGGAAGTGGTTCAGTGTCACCCATTAGTTCACTGCAGTAGAAACCTGTTCGTTGTGACCAACTCACTTACCACAGTGAGAAGCTGTTTACTGTCGGACACTCAATTCACCACAGTGGGAACCAGTTCACTGTCACACTCTCATTCATCACAGTGAGAATATGTTCAGTGTCACCCACTCAATAACGACAGTGGGAAGCAGTTCACTGTCACCAACTCATTCACCACAGTGGGAACCTGTTCACTCTCAGTCCCTCACTCATCACAGTGTGAACCTGTTCACTGTCACCAACTCACTCATCACATTTGGAACTTGTTCACTGTGAGCCACTTATTCACTATGGTGGGAACTTGTTAACTTTCACCCACATATTCAGCACATTGAGAACCTGTTCTCTGTCAGAAACTCATCCGCAGCAGTGGGAAACTGTTCACTGTCACCCAATCCATCATCACACTAAGAATATGTTCACTGTAAGCCACTCATTCACTTCTGTGGGAACCTGTTCACTCTCACCCACTCACTCACCACAGTAGGAACTTGTTCACCCTCACCCACTCACTCATCACTGTGGGAACCTCTTCACTCTCACCCACACATTCGCCACAGTGGGAACTTGTTCACTGTCACCCACTTTTCAATACAGGAGGAACCTGTTCACTGTCACCAACTCATTCATCACAGTGGGAACCTGTTCACTGTCAGCCACTCATTGAGCACAGTGGGAACCTGTTCATTGTCACCCAGTCTTTCACAATACAAACGTGTTCACTGTCACACACTCACTCATCACAGAGGGTACCTGTTCATAGTCAGCCACTCATTCGTCACAGTCGGTAACTGTTCACTGTCACACTCTCATTCATTACAGGAGGAACCTGATTACTGTCAGTCATTCTACACAGTAGGAAACGGTTCACTGTCAGCCACTCATTCATCACAGTGTTAACTTCTTCACTGTCAGCCACTCATTCACCACAGTAGGAAGAAGTTCACTGTCACCCACTCTTTCAGCTCAATAGAAATTTGTTCACTGTCAGCCACTCAGTCACCAAAGTGTCAAGTTGTTTACTGTCAGCCTCTCACTCATCACTGTGTGAAACTCTTCACTGTCAACAACACATTCATCACAGTGGGAACCTGTTAACTGTCACCCACTCATTCACCACAGTGGGAATCTGTTCACTCTCACCAACTCATTCATCACAGTGGGTACCTATTCACTGTCACCAATTCACTTACCACAGTGGGATCCTGTTCTCTCTCACCCACTAATTCACCACAGTGGGAACCAGTTCACTGTCACCCACTCATTCCTCACAGTGGGAACCTGTTCACTGTCACTCACTCATTAATAATATAGTAAATAGTTCACTGTCACCAACTCATTCAAGGCAGTGGGAACCTGTTCACTGTCACCCACTCACTAATCACTGTGGAAACCTGTTAACTGTCACCCACTCACTCATCACAGTGGGAAACTATTCACTGTTTCCCACTCATTCATCACAATGGAAACCTGTTCACTGTCACCCACTCACTCATCACAATGGGAACCGGTTCACTGTCACCCACTCACTCATCAAAGTAAGAACCTGTGGCTGGGCACAGTGGCTCACGCCTGTAATCCCAGCACTTTGGGAGGCTTAGGCGGGCAGATCACGAGGTCAAGAGATCAAAACCATCCTGGCCAATATGGTGAAACCCTGTCTCTACCAAAAATACAAAAATTAGCCGGGCATGGTGGTGGATGCCTGTAATCCCAGCTACTCGGGAGGCTGAGGCAGGAGAATCACTTGAACCCAGGCAGCAGAGGTTGCGGTGAGCCGAGATCATGCCATTGCACTCCAGCCTGGGCAACAAGAGCGAAACTCCGTCTCAAAAAAAAAAAAAAAAAGTAAGAACCTGTTCACTGTCATCCACTCACTCATCAGAGAGGGAACCTGTTTGCCCTTACCCACTAATTCACCACCGTGGGAGCCTATTCACTCCCACCCACTCAGTCGTCATGGTGGAACTTGTTCACTGTCACCCACACATTCATCATAGTGGGAACTTGTTCACTCTCACCAACCCACTCATCACAATGGCTACTCCTTCACTGTCAGCCACTCATTTATCACAGTGGGAACCTGTGAACTCTCACCTACTCCCTCATCACAGTGGAACCTGATCACTGTCACAGACTAACTCACAACAGGTGGAACCTGTTCTCTCTCACCCACTTATTTACCACATTGGGAACCTGTTCACTGTCAGCCAGTCATTCATCACAGTGGGAACATGTTCACTGTCACCCACTCACTCATCACAGTGGGAACCTATTCACTGTCACCCACTCATTTATCACAGGGGGAACCAGTTCACTGCAACTCACTGACTCATTACAGTGGGAAACTGTTCACTGTCACCCACTCACTTATCACAGTGGAAACCTGCTCACCATCAGCCACTCTTTCATAACATTGGGTACCTGTTCACTGTCACCCACTCATTCACCACAGTGGGAAGCATTTCAATGCCACCCACTCGTTCACCGCAGTAGTAATCTGTTCACTGTCAGCCACTCAGTCATCAGAACCTGTTTACCGTCAGACACTCATTCTCAACAGTGGGTACAAGTTGACTGTCACCCTCTCATTCATCACAGTGAGAACCTATTTCCTGTCACCCACTCACCACAGTGGGAACCTGTTCACTGTCACCCATTCATTCACCACAGTGGGAACCTGTTCACTGTCAACCACTCACTCTTCAGAGTGGGAACCGGTTCACTGTCATTAACTCACTCATCACATTGAGAATCTGTCTACTGTGAGCCACTAATTCACTATGGTGAGACCCTGTTCACTCTCACCAACCCATTCAGCACTGTGAGAACCTGTTCACTGTCAGCAACTCATTCACAACAGTGGGAACCCGTTCAATGTCACCCAATCCATCATCACAGTAAGAACATGTTCATTATGAGACACTCATTCACTACTGTGGGTACAAGTTCACTGTCACCTTCTCATCACAGTGAGAACCTATTCACTGTCACCCACTCATTCACCACAGTGGGAACCTGTTCACTGTGAGCCACTCACTCTTCACAGTGGCAATGGGTTCACTGTCATTAACTCACTCATCACATTGGGAACCTGCTACTGTGAGCCACCTGTTCACTATGGTGCGAACCTGTTCACTCTCACCAGCCCATTCATCACAGTGAAAACCTGTTCACTGTCAACAATTCATTCACAACAGTGGGAACTTATTCCTTGTCACCCAATCCGTCATCACAGTAAGAACATGTTTATTGTGAAACACTCATTCACTACTGTGGGAACCTGTTCACTCTCACTCACTTGTTCACTGCAGTAGAAACCTATTCATGCTCACCCACTCACTCATCACTTTGGGAACCAGTTCACTCACCCACTCTTTCACCCCAGTGGGAACCTGTTCACTTTCACCCACTCATTCATCACAGTGAGTACTTATTCACTGTCACCCACCCTTATCACACGAGGAACATGTTCACTGTCACCCACACATTCAGAACATTGGGAATCTGTTCACTGCCAGCCACTCATTCACCACAGTGGGAACATGTTCACTGTCAACCTTTTATTTACCACAGTAGAAACCTGTTCACTGTCATCAACCCATTCATCACAATGGGAACCTGTTCACTGTCACCCACTCATTCACCACAGTGAGAACCTCTTCTCTGTCATCCACACATTCATCACACTGGGAACCTGTTCACTGTCACCCACTCATTCATTACGAAAGGAGCCTCTTCAGTTTCACCCACTCATTCTTCACAATGGGAACCTGTTCACCTTCACTGCCTTATTCACCATAGTGGGAACCTCTTCTCTGTCATCCACACATTCATTACAGTGGAAACCTGTTTATTGTCACCCACCCATTCATTACAAAAGAAACTTCTTCACTTTCACACACTCATTTTTCCCAATGGCAACCTGCTCACTGTCACTCACTCATTCACCACAGTGGGAACCTGTTCACTGTCAGCCACTCATTCATCACGGTGGTAACATATTCACTGTCAGTGAGTCATTCACCAAATTGGGAACCTGTTCACTGTCACCCACTCGTTCACTGCATTAGAAACCTGTTCACTGTCAGCCACTCATTTACCAACGTGTGAAACTGTTCACTGTCACCCGCTCACTCACCACAGTGGGAATCAGTTTACTGTCACCCACTCATTCACCACAGTGGGAACCTGTTCATTGTCAGCCTCTCACTCATCTCAGTAGGAACCTGTTCACTGTCACACACTCACTCATCACAGTGCGAACCTGTTTACTGTCAGCCACTCATGCACTACAGTGGGAACCTGTTCACTGTCACCCACTCAGTCATCACAGTGGGAACCTGTTCACTGTCTTTAACTCATTCATTACAGTGGGAAGCTGTTCACTGTCACTTACTCATTCACCACAGTAAGATTCTGTTCACTGTAACTCAGTCATCACAGTTGGAACCTGTTCACTGTCACAAACTCATTCATTCCTTTGGGAACCTGTTCACTGCTACCCACTCATTCACCAGAGTGGGAACCTGTTCACTGTCACCGATACATTCATTACATGAGGAACCTGTTTACTGTCACCCACTCATTCATCATAGAGGGAAACTGTTCACTGTCAATCACTCACTCACCACAGTGGGAACCTGTTCACTATCACCCACTCATTAATCACAGTGGAAACCTGTTCACTGTCAGCCACTCATTCGTTACAGTGGTTACCTATTCATTGTTAACCACTGGTTTACCGCAGTAGAAATCTGTTCACTGCCACACACTCATTCATCACAGTGGGAACCTGTTCACAGTCAGCCATTCTTTCTTCACACTCAGTACCTGATCCTTGTCACCCATGCATTCAATACAGGAGGAACCTGATTTCTATCACACATTCATTCAACACAGTAGAAACCTGTTCACTTTCCACATTCATTCACTGCAGTAGAAAACGGTTCACTGTCAGCCACTCATTCATCACAGTGAGAATGTCTTCTCTGCCATCCACACATTCATCATAGTGGGAACCTGTTCACTGTAAGGCACTCATGTACTAAAAAAAGGAACCTCTTCACTTTTACCCACTCATTCTTCACAATGGGAACCTGTTCACCTTCACCCGCTTATTCACCACAGTGGGAACCTCTTTGTTGTCAGCCTCTCACTCATCACAGTGGGAACCTGTTCACTGTCACCCACTCACTCATCACAGTGTGAACCTGTTTACTATCAGCCACTCATTCACCACAGTGGGAACATGTTCACTGTCACCCACTCATTCACTAAAGTGAAAAGTTTTCACTATCTCTCACTCATTCACCACAGTGGGATCCTTTTCACTGTAACCCACTCAGTCATCACAGTTGTAACCTGTTCACTGTCACAGACTCATTCATTCCTTTGGGAACCTGTTCACTGTCACCCACTCAGTTATGACAGTGGGGACCTGTTCACTGTCACCCACACATTCATTAAAGGAGGAACCTGTTCACTGTCCCCCACTCATTCATTACAGTTGGAACCTGTTCTTTACCACCCACACATTCATTACATGGGGTACCTGTTCACTGTCACCCACTCATTTCTCACAGTAAGAAACTGTTCACTGTCAGCCACTCATTCACCACCGCTAGAACAAGTTCACGGTCACCCACACTTTCACCACAGTGGGAAGCTGTTCAATGTCACACAGCCGTTCACAGCAGTAGAAACCTGTTCACTGTCAGCCACTCAGTCACCACAATGGGAACCTGTTTACTGTCAGACACTCACTCATCACAGTGGGAACCTGTTCACTGTCTACTCACTCATTCATCACATTGGGAACATGTTCACTCTCACCAACTCACTCATCACAGTGAGAACTTTATCACTGTCACCAACTAACTCACCACAGGGGAAGCCTGTTCTCTCTCACCTACTCATTCACCACAGCGGGAACCTGTTCACTGTCAGCCACTCATTTATCACAGTGGGAACATGTTCACTGTTGTCAACTCACTCATCATATTGGGAACCTGTTCACTGTGAGCCACTCATTCACTACGGTCACAACCTGTTCACTCTCACCCACCCATTCAGCACAGTGAGAACCTGTTCACTGTCAGCAACTGACTCACAATAGTGGGAACCTCTCCACTGTCACCCAATCCGTCATCACACTAAGAACATGTTCACTGTCAGCCATTCATTCACTAACGTGGGAACCTGTTCACTCTCACCCACCCATTCACCACGGTAGGAACCTGTTCACACTCAGCCACTCACTCATCACTGCAGGAACCTGTTCACTCTCACCCAATCATTCACCACAATGGGAACCTGTTCATTGCCACCTACTAACTCATTACAGTGGTATCCTGTTCACAGTCAGCCACTCATTCGTCACAGTCAGTACTTGTTAACTGTTACCCACTCATTCATTGAAGGAGGACCCTGATTACTGCCACCCATTCATCCAACACAGTAGAAACCTAGTCACTGTCCCCACACATTCACCACGGTGTTAACCTGTTCACTGCCAGCAACTCACTCACTACAGTGAGAACCTGTTCACTGTCACCGACTCACTCATCACAGTGGGAACCTGTTCAATGTCACCCAATCACTCATCACAGTGGGAACTTGTTCACTGTCGCCCACTCACTCATCCCTATGAGAATCTGTTCACTGTCACCCACTCATTCACCACAGTGGGAATCTGTTCACTCTCACCAACTCACTCATCACAGTGGGTACCTATTCACTTTCAGCAAACTCACTCATCACAGTGGAAACCTGTTCTCTCTCACCAACTCATTCACCACAGTGGCAACCTGTTCACTGTCACCCATTCATTCATCATAGTGGGAACCCGTTCACTGTCACGCTCTCACTCATCACTGTGGGAACATGTTTACTGTCACCCACTCATTCATCAATATGATAAACTCTTCACTGTCACCAACTCACTCATGACAGTAAGAACCAGTTCACTGTCACCCACTCTCTAATCACAGTAGAAATCTGTTCACTGTCACCCACTCACTCATCACAGTGGGAAACTGTTCACTGTTTTCCACTCGTTCATCACAATGGAAACCTGTTCACTGTCACCCACTCACTCATCACAACGGAAACCGGTTCATTGTCACCCACTTACTCATCACAGTAAGAACCTGTTCACTGTCACCCACTCATTCATCACAGTGAGAACCTGTTCACTGTCACCCACACATTCAGCACAGTGGGAATATGATCACTCTCACCCACTCACTCATCACAGTGGGTACCCCTTCACTGTCAGCCACTCATTAATCTCAGTGGGAACCTGTGAACTCTCACCGACTCACTCATCACAGAGGGAACCTGATCGCTTTCACAAACTAACTTACCACAGGGGAACCTGTCCTTTCTCACCCACTCATTCACCACATTGGGTACCTGTTCATGGTCAGCCACTCATTCATCACAATGGGAACATGTTCACTGTCACCCACTCACTCATCACAGTGGAAACCAGTTCACTGTCACCCACTGATTCATCACAGTGGGAACCTGTTCACTGTCACCCATTTTTCATCACACTGGGAACCTATACATTGTCTCCCAAACTCTCACTACAGTGGGAAACTTATCACTGTCATCCACTCACTCATCACAATGGGAACTTGTTCACTGTCAGCCACTCCTTCATCACGGTGGGAACCTGTTCACTGTCACCCACTTATTCATCACAGTTGGAAGCTGTACGTTGTCAGCCACTCATTCACCACTGTGGGAACCTGTTCAACCTCAACCATTCATTCACCACAGTGGAAACCTGTTCACTGTCAGCCACTCATTCATCACAGCAGGAACCTCTTCACTTTCACACACTCATTCATCACAGTTGGAACCTGTACACTGTCACCCACTCATTCACTACAGTGGGAGCCTCTTCACTGTCAATCACTCATTCATCACAGTGGGAACCTGTTCACTTTCACACACTCTAATCACAGCGAAACTATCACCCACTTATCCATCACTTTGGGAACTTGTTCACTGTCACCCACTTACTCATCACAGTGGTAACTGGTTGACTGTCATGCACTCACTTATTACAGTGGGAACCTGTTCACTGTCGCCCACTCACTCATCCCTATGGGAACCTGTTCACTGTGAATCACTCATTCATCACTGTGGGAACCTGTTCACTCTCACCCACTCAGTCACCTCAGTGAAAACCTGTACACTCTCAGCCACTCATTCACCACAGTGGGAACATCTTCACTGTCACCCACTCATTCATTACAATGGGAACCTGTTCAACGTCACACACTCATTCATTGCCAGAGAAACATTTTCACTGTCACCCACTCATTTATCACAGATGAAACCTGTTCACTTTCACTCACTCACTCACCACAATGAGAACCTGTTCACTTTCACCCACTCACTCATCACAGTGGGAACCTGCTCATTGTTACCCAGTCATTTATCACAATGGAAACCTGTTCACTCTCACCCACTCACTCATCACAGTGGGAACCTGTTCACTGTCACCAACTTATTCATCACAGTGGGAACTTGTTCACTCTCACCAACTCACTCATCAAAGTGGTTACCCTTTCAATGTTAGCCACTTATTCACCACAGTGGGAATCTGTTCACCCTCACCAACTCACTCATCACTGTGGGAACGTGTTCACTGTCACCCACTCACTCACCACAGTGGGAAGCTGTTCTCTCCCACCCACTCATTCACCACAGTGAGAACATGGTCACTGTCACCCACGCATTCATCACAGTTGGAACCTGTTCACTGTCACCCACTCAGTCACCACCATGGGAACCCGTTCACTGTCACTTAGTCATTTACCACATTGGAAAACTGTTCAGTGTCACCCACACATTCATCACAGTGGGAACAAGTTGACTGTCACCCACTCATTCATTAGAGTGAAAACTTGTTCACTGTCACCCACTCACTCACCACAGTGGGAACCTGTTCACTTTCATCCACTCATCACAGTGAAAACCTGTTCTCTTTCACCCACTCATTCACCACATTGGATAACTGTTCACTGTCACCCACTCATTCATTACAGGAGGAAACTGTTTACTGTTACCCACTAATTCACCAGAGTGGGAAGCTGTTCACTCTCACCCATTCTCTCTTCACAGTGGGAACCTGTTCACTGTCACCCACATATTCATCACAGTGGGAACCTGTTCACTCTCACTAACTCGCTCATCACAGTGGGTACCCATTCACTGTCAGCCACTTATTCACCATAGTGGGAATCTGTTCACCCTCACCACCACACTCTTTACAGTGGGAACATGTTCACTGTCACCCACTCACTAACCAAACTGGAAACTTGTTCTTTCACACCTACTCATTCACGACAGTGAGAACCTGTTCTCTGTCACCCATTCATTCATCACAGTGGGAACCTGTTCACTGTCACTCAGTCACCACAGTAAGAACTTGTTCACTGTCACCCACTCATCATAACAGGAGTAACCTGTACACTGTCACACATTCATTCATTAGAGTGAGAATGTGCTCAATGTCACCTGCTTAATCACCACAGTGGGAACCTGTTCTCTGTCACCCACTCACCCATTACAATGAAATACTGTTCACTCTCACCCACTCATTCGCCACAGTGGAAAACTGTGCACTGTCACCCACGCATTCTTCACAGTGGAAGACTGTTGACTGTCACCCACTCATTCATTACAGGAGGAAACGTTTCACTGTCACCCACACACTCATCATAATGGGACCCTGTTCACTGCCAGCCACTCTTTCACCACAGTGGGAACCTGTTCACTGTCACACAATCGTTCAACACAGTAAACACTTATTCACTGTCACTCACTCATTTATCATACAAGGAACGTGTTCACTGTCACCCAATCATTCATCAAAGTGGGAAACTGTTCACTGTCAGGCACTCATTCACCACAATGGGAACCTGTTCACTGTCAGCCACTCACTCACCACAGTTGGAACCTGTTCACTTTCACTGACTCACTCATCAGAGAGAGAACCTGTTCACTGTCAACCACTCATTCGCCACTGTGAGAACCTGTTCACTCTCACCCACTCATTCATTACAATGAGAACCTGTTCACTGCCACCCACTTATTCACCACAGTGGGAGCCCGTTCACTGTCACATACACATTCGTCACGGTGTAAACCTATTCACCATAACCAACTCATTCATCACAGTGGAAACCTGTTCACTGTCAACCACTCACTCATTACTGTGGGTACCTGTTCTTTGTCATTCACTTTTTCACCATAGTGGGAACCAGTTCACCCTCACCCACTCATTAAACACAGTGGGAACCTGTTCGCTGTCACCACTCATTGATCACAATGGGAACCTGTTGATTGTCAACCTCTCATTCATTACAAGGGGAACCTGTTCACCGTCACCACTCATTCATCAAACTGTGAAACTGTTCACTGTCAGACACCCATTCATTACAGTGGGAAACTGTTCACTGTCACCCACTTGTTCACTGCAGTAGAAATCTGTTCATTGTCTGCAACTTACTAAGCACAGTTGGAACTTGTTCACTCTCACTTTCTTATACATCACAGTGGGAACTTGTTCACTGTCACCAACTCATCAATCACAGTGGGAACCTGTTCTTTTTCAGCCACTCATTCATCACAGTGGGAACCTATTCACTGTCACCCCTCACTCACCAAAGTTGAAACCTGTTCACTGTCACCCACTCACTCATCAAAGTGGGAGCCTGTTCACTGTAAACCACTCATTCATCAAAGTGGGAACTTGTTCATTGTCAGCCACTTATTCACCACAGTGGGAACCTGTTCACTCTCAACCACTCATTCACCATAGTGAGAACCTGTTCACTGTCAGCCTCTCACTCATCACAGTGGGAACCTCTTCACTGTCACCCACTAATTCATCACAGTGGGAACCTCTTCACTGTCACACACTCACGAATCGCAGTGGAAACCTGTTCACTGTTACCCGCTCACCCATCACAGTGGGAACTTGTTCACTGTCACCCATTCCCTTATCAAAATGGGAACCAATTTACTGTCACCCACTCAGTCAACACAGTGGGAACCTGTTCACTGTTACCCACTCCCTCATCACAGTCAGAACCTGTTGACTGTCACCCACACTTCCATTACATTGGGAACATGTTCATGGTCAACATGCACTCATCACGGTGGGAAACTGTTCACTTTCACCCACTCATTCATTACAAGGGGAACCTGATTATTGTCACCCACTTTTTCATCACAGTGGGAACCCGTTCCCTTTCACCCACTCATTCATTACAGGAGGAACCTGTTTACTGTCACACACTCATTCATCAAAATGGGAACCTGTTCACTTTCAACCACTCACTCATTATAGGCAGAACCTGTTTACTGTCACCCACTCGTTCATTGCAGTGTGAACCTGTTCACTGTCAGCAACTCATTCATTACAGTGGGAACCTGTTTACTGTCACCCACTCATTCACCACTATGAGAACCTGTTCACTGTAACCCACTCATTTACCGAAGTAAAAACCTGTTCACTTTCACCCACACATTCATCACTGTGAGAACCTGTTCACTGTCAACCACATATGAACCACAGTGAGAACCTGTTCACTGCCACCCGCTCCATCACCACAATGAGAACTTTTTTTACCGTCATTCACTCACTAATCAGAGTGGCAGCCTGTTAATTGTCACCCACTTTTTCATCACAGTGGGAACCTGTTCACTGTCACCCATTCATTCATCACAGTGGAAATCTCTTCCCTGTCACCCATTCATTCATCACAGTGGGAACCTGTTCACTGTTACCCATTCATTCTCAACAATGGGAACTAGTTCACTGTCACCCACTCATTCATCACAGTGGGAACGTGTTCACTGTCAGCCACTCATTCATCACAGTGGGAACTTTTCACTCTCACCCATTCATTCATCACAGTGGGAACCTGTTCACTGTCACCCACTCATTCATTACAGGACTAACATTTTCAGTGTCGCTGACTCATTCATCACAGTGGGAACCTCTTCACTGTCAGCCACTTATTTACCACAGTGGGATGCTCTTCACTTTCACCCACTCATTCACCATACTAGAAACCAGTTCACAGTCACCTACTAACAGTGGAATTCTGTTTACTGTCAGTTACTCATTTATCACAGTGGGTACTTATTCACTGTCCCCAACTCATTCATTACAGGAGGAACCTGATCACTGTCACCCACTCATTCACCACAGTAGATTCCTGTTCACTGTCACCCACTTATTCATCACAGTGGGAACCTTTCCCTGTCAGCCACTCGTTCAACACCGAGGGAAATATTTCATTGTCTCTGACTCATTCACCACAGTAGAAACCTGTTCAGTCAGCCACTCTGTTACCACATAGGAACCTATTTACTGTCAGCCACTCACTCATCACAGTGGGAACCTGTTCACTGTCACCCATCCATTCATCACAGTGGGAACCTGTTCATTGCCTCCCACTCATTGATCACAGGAGGAACCTGTTCACTGTCACCCACTCATTCATCACAGTGGGAAACTGTTGACTGTCTCCCACTCATTCACCAAGGTGGGAATCTGTTCACTGTCAGACACTCATTCATTGCACTGGAAACCTGTTCACTGTCAGCCACTCACTCACCAAAGTGGAACCTATTCACTGTCACCCACTTATTTATCACAGTGGGAAAGTGATCACTGTCAGCCACATTCACCACAGTGGGATATTGTTGACTGTCAGCCCCTCACTCACCACAGTAGGAAACTTTTCACTTTCCCCCATTCACTCACCACAGTGGGAACCTGTTCACTGTCACCCACTCACTCATCACAGTGGGAACCTGTTCACTGTAACCTACTCATTCATCACAGTGGAACCCTGTTCACTGTCACCCACTCATTCATCACAGGAGAAACCTGTTCACTGTCACCCTCTCATTCATCACAGTGGGAAGTTGTTCCTCTCAGCCACTCATTCACCACAGTGGGAACCAATTCACTGTCACCCACTTGTTCACTGCAGCATAAAATTGCTCACTGTCAGCCACTCAGTCACCAGAATGGGAACCTGTTAACTGTCACTCACTCATTCATCACACTGGAAACCTATTCACTGTCACCCACTCAGTCATCACAGTGGGAACCTCTTCACTGTCACCCACTCATTCAACACAGTGGCAACCTTTTCACCGTCAGCCCCTCATTCATCACATTGGTAACCTGTTCACTGTCAGCCACTCATTAATCACAGTGGTAACTTGTTCACTGTCACCCACTCATTCATCACAGTGTGAAACTGTTCACTGTCTCCCACTCTTTCATCACAGTGGGAACCTGTTCACTGTCACCCACTCACTCACCACAGTGGGAACTTGTTCACTGTCACCCACTCCCTCATCGCAGTGGGAACCTGTTCACTGTCATCCTCTCATTTATCTCAGTGAGAAACTGATCACAGTCAGCCACTCATTCACCACAGTGGGAACCTGTTGACTGTCAACCTCTTACTCTCCACAATGGGAACCTGTTCACTGTCTCCCACTCATTTATCACAGTGGGAACCTGTTCACTCTCAGCCACTTATACACCACTTTGGAAACCTGTTCACTGTCGCCCACTCATTTACCACAGCGGGAACCTGTTCACTGTCACCCACTCACTCATCACGGTGCTAAACTGTTGACTCTCACCCGCTCATTTACCCAGTGGGAACCTGTTCACTGTCACCCCCTCATTCATCACAGTGGGACTCTGTTCACTGTCACCCACTCATTAATCATAGTGGGAACCTGTTTACTCTCAGCCACTCATTCACCACAGTAAGAACGTGTTCATTGTCCCCCACTCGTTCACCACAGTAGAAACCTTTTCCCTTTCACCCAATCACTAATCACAGTGGCAACCTCTTCACTGTCACCTACTCATCCATTACCAGAGGAATATGATCACTGTCACCCCCTCGTTCAAAACAGTAGAATCTTGTTGACAGTCACACACTCATTCACCACAGTAGGAACGTGTTCACTGTCAGCACTCATTCATCACAATGGAAACCTTTTCCCTGTCAGCCACTCATTCACCACAGTGGGAACCAGTTCACTGTCACCCACTCAATCACTGCAGTAGAAACCTGTGCACTGTCAGTCACTCAGTCACCAGAGTGGGAATTTTTTCACTGTCGCTTACCCTTTCACCACAGTGGGAACCTGTTCTCTGTCAGCCACTAATTTATCACAGTGGGAACCTGTTCACTGTCACCAACACATTCATCACTGTGAGAACGTGTTCACTGTCACCCACTTATTCATTACAGTAGAACCCTGTTCAGTCTCACCCACTCACTCATCACAGTGCAAACCTGTTTACTGTCAGCCACTCATTCATTACAGGAGAAACCTGATGACTGTCATCCACAGGTTCACCATCTTAGAATTTTTTTCACTGTCACCCACTCATTCACCACAGTGGGAACTTTTTCACTTTGGCCGCTCATGCATCACAGTGGGAACCAGTTCACTGTCACCCACTCGTTCACCGCTATAGAAACCTGTTCACTGTCAGCCACCCTGTCACCACAGTGGGAACCTGTTTACTGTCAGCCCCTCACTCATCACAGTGGGAAACTGTTCATTTTCACCCACTCATACACCACAGTCAGAACCTGTTCACTCGCACCCACTCACTCATCACAGAGGGAACCTTTTCACAATCAGCCACTCATTCATCACAGTGGGAACCTATTCACTGTCAGGCATTCATTCACCACAGTAGGAACCTGTTCAATTTTAGCCACTCATTCACCACAGTGGGAACCTGTTCACTGTCACCCACACAATCATCATATTGGGAACCTGTTCATTGCCTCCCACTCATTTATTACAGGATTAACCTGTTCACTGTCACACACTCATTCATCACAGTGGAATCTGTTCACTGTCTCCCACTCATTAATCACAGGGGGAACATGTTCACTGTCTGACACCCCTTCACCACAGTGGGAACCTGTTCACTGTCAGCCACTCACTCACCTCAGTGGAACCTGTTCACTCTCACCCACTCATTCACCACAGTGGGAACCTGTTCATTCTCACCCACTCATTCACCACAGTGGGAACCTGTTCACTGTCAGTCACTCACTCATCACAGTGGGAACCTGTTCACTCTCACCCACTCACTCAACACAGTGGGAACCTGTTCACTCTCACCCACTCATTCACCACAGTGGGAACCTGTTCACTGTCACTCACACAGACATCACAGTGGGAACCTGTTCACTGTCACCCACTCATTCATTACAGAAGGAACCTATTCACTGTAACCCACTCCTTCATCACAGTGTGAACCTGTTCAGCCATTGCTCCTGGCCAGAAAAGCTTTTAATCATCTACTGACTGGGAACAGGAAAACCTTTTATAATCTAGAACAAAGAGAATGAGTCTGCTTGCCACTTACACTGCATCAAGATTTTGGGATCTTAAACCTTGGGTTCATAATCTTTAAACTCACAAAGGGCCCTCTAAACTCTTGCAATCATACTGGAGATCTTAATTGGAGACTTTTAGGTAAATCTAAGCAGAGAAGCTTCTCCTCAAAAGCAGATGGCAACCTTGACATTGATAGCTTTCTCCAGAAGATCAAAAACAAAGACATCTCTTCTATCATGACACTCCTAGTTCACTTTTTTAATGGCTCTACAAACAACAGAAATAAAAAAGGGATCTCTTGTGTGCACTTTTGGGGTATACTTATATATGTAAATAATTTCACAACTAACCTTATATATCAACAAACTTATGTCTGGATAGGTAAAAGATGAAGGGCCACTATAGGTGAGAAATAAGAAATGTCTCGCATTCTTGCTAAATGTGACATGGGAAATTTGTTGTCTCATAATATAAGAAACAGAATATTTATCCACTGCTCTTGGAGCAATATTGACTTAAAGAGAAACTTATGCAGAATAAGTTAGAGCACATTGCCAGGAGGCCATTACTCTTCTGAGTGGTCATTATTCGTTAGGTCTTTCTTTCAAAGGCTTAGAGTAAATGAGGCTATGGTTGGAAATTTATCTTCCATAATAGGCTCAATAGCAGATTCTACTGTAAAGGCTATGGTTACCCAATAGACTTTAAAATTTTTTACTAAAGTTGTGCTAAATAAAAGAATTTATCTAGTTTACTTACTGGATAAACAGAGAAGTATCTGTGCAGTTGCTAGTATTTGTAGTTGCACATGGAGAAATACATCGAGTATTACAGAGATTCAGTTGTAGGGGATTAATGAACACACTGCTTGGTTGAAATGAGGAGACCACTTATCTAGCTAATCATTTGATCTATTTAATCATAGTTGGTTGGTTCAATGGGGACCTCGGTTAAAAAGCATACTTCAGGCTGAGCATGGTGGCTCATGCCTGTAATCCTAGCACTTTGGGAGGCCAAGGCAGGTGGATCACTTGAGGTCAGGAGTTTGAAACCAATCTGGCCAACATGTTGAAACCCCGTCTCTACTAAAAATACAAAAATTAGCCAGCTGTGGTGACACAAGTCTATAATCCCAGCTACTTGGGAGGCTGAGGCAGGAGAATCCCTTGAATCCCAGAGGCAGAGGTTGCAGTGAGCCAAGATCACATCATTGCACTCCAGCCTGGGTGACAAGAGCAAGACTTCGTCTCAAAATAAATAAATAAATAAATAAATAAATAAATAAATAAATAAATAAATAAATCCATACTTCAAACTCTTGATATTATTTTCCTGATAGTCAAAATAATAGTCACCCTACTGCACTCTATTCTCTCAAAAATTATAAATCTTTGCATGCAGTCATCTCTAGAATGCCAAGTGATCTCTCTTTAACTGGAATGATGAAAACTTGAAGATGTATTTGACCATGAGAACACCATAACCTATGAATGATCTGATAAGAACGGAAACCTAAAATAATGAAAACTGAGAGTGACATTAAAACTCTGAGGTTTGGTTACACTCCGATCTATGTGAAAACTTAATCAAAAGGGGGGAATCTTTTTAAACAAAATTATTGGAGGCCATCATCCTGGACTGAGCTTGTTCACTGGGCCCAAACAGACCAAAATGAACCAATTAGTCATTCATGCTAAATGTGACATAGTTAAACTGAAAATTTAAAGAAATAGGTAGATTCTAAAACTGACCAGGTCTTGTTTTTCTTTTGCAAACAGCAGATATCAATACAAGGAGGTCCCATCCACTGTAATCCTTTTAAACAATAATAACCTGAAGTCCCTTTTTTCACTTTACAAAACCCACAGTTCTACTATTTTACAGTGGAAATTGAGACTAAATACATCTTTTTTCTTTTCTTTTCTTTCCTTTTTTTGAGACGGAGTCTCACTCTGTCACCCAGGCTGGAGTGCAGTGGCATGATCTCGGCTCACTGCAACCTCTGCCTCTCAGGTTCAAGCAATTCTCCTGCCTCAGCCTCCCGAGTAGCTGGGACTATGGGTGCCCGCCACCACGATGGGCTAATTTTCATATTTTTAGTAGAGATGGGGTTTCACCATATTGGCCAGGCTGGTCTTGAACTCCTGACATTGTGATCCGCCTGCCTTGGACTCCCAAAGTGCTGGGGTTACAGGCATGAGCCACCATGCCCGTCCATAAGTAAATTTTTGATGGTGACAAAGTAATATCGATGTCTAAAGTTTGGGGTTATTTCTCAAAATTGAGAAGCTAACCAAATGAGAAATATTGTTAAATTAATTATAGCCTAAAGTTAACCCCTTTTATGTTTAATTTCGGTCAATAGGTTTTTCTGTACATAGTTAACTAAAACCTAACTGGATATCTAAATAGATTGTTACCTATTCATGTACCAACCACTATGTTTGTGCCAATAAAAGAACATCAACTGTTCAAGCCATATTCAAATAAGGCAAATCCCAAACTGTAATTAATCTGGTTATTTCTGTACCACTTCTATTTTCTGTATGTCACTTTGCTTTTCCTGTGCATAAATCTTTTTTACCATGTGGCTGTGCTGGATTCTCTCTGAGGCTACTCAGGTCCCACAGACTACTTAATTTGCAAATTATTATTTGCTTAATTAAACTATGTTAAATTTAATTTCTCTGAAGTTATTTTTCTTTTAAAAGTTTTCAAATGTTTTCTTTCATATATATATACAAGTATATATACATGTATATATATGTGTATATATATATATTTTTTTGTGTGTGTGTGTGTGTGACAGTGTCTCACTCTGTTGCCCAGGCTGGAGTGCAGTGGCGCGATCTCGGCTCACTGCAATGTCCGCCTCCCGAGTTCAAGTGATTCTCATGCCTCAGCCTCCTGAGTAGCTGGGATTACAGGAGCGAGCCACCATGCTTGGCTAATTTTGTATTTTCAGTAGAGACGGGGTTTTACCATGTTGGTCAGGCTGGTCTCGAACTCCCAACATCACGTGATCTGCCCGCCTCAGCCTCCCAAAGTGCTGGAATTACAGGTGTGAGCCACCACGCCCGGCCTCAAATTTGTTCTATGATAAAAAATAAGTGATGTGTTGTAGGGCTTTGATTATCTAAAATAAGTTATGTTTTCCAAATTACTCTATATCAGCTATGTCAGCTATTTTTTCCAAATTATTCTATGTTCTTTCAAAATGCTTTTGCAATTTCTTTTTTGTTTTTTCATTTTGTTTGAAATAGAGTCTCACTCTATCAACCAGGCTGGAGTGTAGTCGTGTAATCAATCATGGCTTAATCCAGCTTCCACCTTCCGGTCTTAAACAATCCTCCTGCCCTAGACACCTGAGTATCATCATGCCTGGTTAATTTTTTAAATTTCTTTTATTGAGCCAGGATCTTATTATGTTGCCCAGGCTGCACTTGAACTCCTGAGCTTAAATGATTCTCCCATCTCAGCCTCCCAAGCCTCCCAAAGTATTGGAATTAAGGATTTAAGGCCACCATGTGCTTCAGTAATTTCTCGAGATTATTTCCAATAATAAATAGTACTTTATGGGCACAAATCTACAAGCAATCTGGTTTTTATTTTAGAAGTGTCACTCTCCAGGGTTTTAAGAGTCTAGGGCAGCTACTTGAGTAGTGTGATCCATGGAGGTACATAGGCTTTGAAGTCAGACAGAGTTGATCCTGAGTCCCGGCCCAGCCACTTAGAAGCTGTGAGTGTTTGGACAATTTCTTGATGTGGAAGAGTTCTACAGACTACATATGCAGAAAAAGCAGAATGGACTGGGCATGGTGGCTCACGCCTGTAACCCCAGCACTTTGGGAAGCTGAATTGGGTGAATCACGACGTCAGGAGATCAAGACCATCCCGGCCAACATGGAGAAACCCCATCTCTACTAAAAATACAAAAATTAGCTGGGTGTGTTGGTGTGGGCCTGTAATACCAGCTACATGGGAGGCTGAGGCACAAGAATCACTTGAACACAGGAGGCAGAGGTTGCAGTGAGCCAATATCACACCACTGCACTCCAGCCTGGTGACAGAATGAGACTCCATCTCAAAAAAAAAAAAAAAAAAAAAAAAGCAGAAGGATACTGATTGCAAATATGGTAGCAATTTTTCATCCCTCCTGTATCCATGTACATTGACAGGTGCTTTTACAGCCATTCCCATGAAGAGTCAGAATCTATTTTCCAAACGCTTGATCTGGCTGGCCTTATTTGCTCATGGCAGTAGAAACCTGAGAACATGACAATGTGTTGGTTTGGAGCCTAGGCTCAAACAGTTTTGACTGCTTCTGCTTTTCTTTTCTTTCCTTTTCTTTTCTCTGTTTTTTTCTTTTTTTGAGAAGGAGTCTTTCTCTGTCATCCAGGCTGGAGTGCAGTGGCATGATCTTGGCTCACTGCAACCTCCACCTCCCAGATTCAGGCAATTCTCCTGACTCAGCCTTCTGAGTAGCTAGGACTACAGGTATATGCTACCACACCCAGCTAATTTTTGTATTTTTAGTAGAGGTGAGGTCTCGCCATGTTGGCCAGACTCGTTTCAAACTTCTGACCTAATGTGATCCACCTGTCTTGGCCTACTAAAGTTCTGGAATTACAGGCATGAGCCAGCATGTCCGGCCTGCTTCTGTTTTTCTTTCAGAATGCTGCCATATTCATGAAAAAAAGCCCATATTAGGCCAGGCACGGTGGCTGGTGCCTGTAATCGCAGCACTTTGGGAGGCCAAGATGGACAGATCAAGAGGTCAGGAGATCGAGAACATCCTGGCTAACACAGTGAAACCCCGTCTCTACTCAAAATACAAAAAAATTAACCGGGTGTGGTGGTGGGCACCTGTAGTCCCAGCTACTCAGGGGGCTGAGGCATGAGAATCACTTGAACCTAGGAGGTGGAGCTTGCAGTGAGCAGAGATCGCACCACTGCACTCCAGCCTGGGCGACAGAACGAGACTCCGTCTCAAAAAAAGAAAAGAAAAAAGCCCATATTAGCCAACTGGAGTATAAGATACTATGAAGAGGAGAAGTAAGGTATCCCTGTTGACAGTCCCAGAAGCAGAAGCTCACCTCTACAAGCACAGCTGCTGCTTTCCTAGTCAATGAGCAGCTCATGATACATGTCTGAAGGAGCTCAGCTGAGAACAGAAGAATGGCCCCACTGAGCCCAGCCTAAATGGCTGAGCATTTCAATTATGAGCAAATCAGTTTTGGATGGTTCATTATGCTGCCATAGTTAACTAATATGTGCACCCAGTGCAGATAGAATGCCAAGATTTAATAACAGGTTGATTACTAGTTACCTTCTAACATTGGGCACCATAAAAGTACTGATATTTTTCCCGATTTAAAGTTAGATGTCTTGTAAGATAATGTTGAGAAATGCAGAAATATGGCCAGGGGTGGTGGCTTATGCCTATAATCCCAGCACTTTAGGAGGCCAAGGCGGTTGGATCACCTAAGGTCAGGAGTTCAAGACCAGCCTGACCAACATGGAGAAATCCCGTCTCTACTAAAAGTACAAAAAATTAGCCGGGCGTGGTAGTGCATGCCTGTAATCCCAGCTACTCGGGAGGCTGAGGTAGGAGAATTGCTTGAACCCAGGAGGCAGAGGTTGCAGTGAGCCAAGACCACACCATTGCGCTTTAGCCTGGGCAACAAGAGTGAAACTCCATCTCAAAAAAAAGAAATGCCGAAATACATGTGGACATGTATGCATGTGATTGTGCTTATATTCACTCAGTTTCCCACACCACAGAAGAAAACAGGTAACCACAGCCTGAACATTAGAGTCGAGGTCAAATAGCAAAATAAGTTTGCCTTTAATCTATTTTCTTCCTATGTAAACATTAAAGGTCAAGACTGTGAACAGATCTGAAGACATAGTTTTTTTTCTCCTGTGGCCCATCATCCTTTGCTCACTGTCTGATCTCTGAAAGAAAGATGGGCAACAGGTGGTAAGCAGTGGTTTACCTGTGATTTATTCCTGCTGCCATCAGCTTTTTCTATAGCCACTATTTGTTTCACCCTCGGAACTGAAAAGAGACGTTGATAAATAGAGGCTGTCCCCTCACCTGTGGCAGAAAAGGGGTGTTCAGGCCCTCCACCCCCACTGACATCACAGCTGTACTTCAATGTGGCAGCTATTGGCCATGTGTGGCTCCTGGGTGCCTGGAATGTGGCTGGTCTGAACTGCGATGTGCTAGAAAGGTAAAATACAGAATTAGTTTCAAAGATTTTGTTTCAAATGTATTTATATTTCATTAATAATTACATATTGCTCACATATTAAAATGAAAATATTTTGAATATATTGGGTTAAATAAATTGCTACAATCAATTCCACTTGTTTCTTCTTTCTTTTTAAAGTTTGGCTACTAGAAAATTTAAAATTCACCTGTGACTCACATTTTATTTCAGAGGATTGCCTGTTCAAAGGACCAGAATACAGGAAGGTCATAAAATCTAAAATTTTAGAACAATTGTTGTTATACTTTGTTCATTTGTGAATAGCCATATAATATATTATTTTTGAATGCATATAAATTGATACACAAGGTAAGGGCAAATACTCTCTGGTGTGAGCCTGGCTCAGCTCAGGAAGGAAGCCCTGTCTGAAAAGGCTGCAGCCTAGGCTGTCACTCGCTCTTCTTTCAGCCCAGCATCTGATCACATCTTCTGTCACTCAGGGCCTGAAAAGAAGGTGCCTTAAATATCATCCAATCAGAGACGCTGGGCTGGGAACCGTCCAATCAGGAACGCAGCTGGTGCGGATAGGGCGGCTTCCGGGATGTGGCGGGGCCTTTGTCTCTCGCTGCAGCCTGAGCTCTAGGTCTTGTTTTCCCTGCTTTGTGTTTTCTGCTCGTGGACGCCCAGCCTCTGTGGCCCTGTGGCCTGCAGGTATTGGGAGATCCACAGCTAAGACGCCGGGACCCCCTGGAAGCCTAGAAATGGTGAGAGTGCCAGGTCCGCCATCCCGAGGGGGAAAGGGGTTGGTTGAAACCGGTGGGAAGCGGCTGTGGCGGGACTCAGGCCTCCCTGTAGTCAGCTCCACAATCTGCGCTCCAGTTCTTTTTGCCCAGCTCGGCCCCAGTTCCTCCAGCCATAAGATGGCGGCTGCGCTGACAGCCGGCCCGGGCGTCCTGTCTCTTCCCTGCGCAGTGACTGTGCCCTGGACTGGAGCCCTCTCTGGGCAGCTCTGCATTCGCAGCACCGCGTCTCTCCCAGATTGAGCAGGGACCACGGGAGGGTTGTCAGGGGAGAATCCTGACTCGGGGTGCGGGTTCATGAAAGAGCTTTGGGCTGTGGGGTTCCCAGTTCCTCTTTTTTTCTGTTAAAAATGTATGGGGGGACGGGCGTGGTGGCTCACGCCTGTAATTTCAGCACTTTGGGAAGCCGAGGCGGGCGGATCATCTGAGGTCAGGAGTTCAAGACCATCCTGGCCAACATGGTGAAACCCCGTCTCAATTTTTAAAAATACAAAAATTAGCCGGGCGTCGTGGCGCGCGCCTGCAATCCCAGCTACTCAGGAGTTTGAGGCAGGAGAATCGCTTGAACCCGGGAGGCGGAGGTTGCAGTGAGCCTACATCGCGCCACTGCACTCCAGCCTGGGCAATAAGAGTGAAACTCCGTCTCAAAAAAAAAAAAAAAAGATGTATAGGAGTCACCGCAAAAATATTAAAGAACTTAAAAAGTGGTTCAAGTATTGTAGAGCACTCAGCTATGGTTTGTAGTTTGTGGTCCATGGGAGGAGCTTGAATAAAAGACTTTTATAAGGTGCATGATAAAAAAATCAAATTAGTAATTGGTTAGGTACAGTTATATAGTCTCTTAATTTGTACGATCGTGTTGGCAATTTTCTGGTTATGTGATCAGAATTTAATTGGCAGTTTATAGTTGGTTAAGCCTGAATTTTGTTTTCCCCGATGTGGTAATTTACTAAAAAATGAAATTTTAGTTAGATTTTTTTAAAAAGGAGGACCCCAGGGACTAGAGCCACCTCAGTCTAATTGCCTGCCACTGAATCATTTTCACAGTCCACAGGGGACTTCTTTTCCCCTGCATTTTTCACATATGTCTCAAGCAGGGTCTCAAGTCTACTTCTTACTCCCTGTTCTTCCAGATTAACTCTGATTTACAGTAAAATACTAAATTTCCAGTGTCATTGACATTCCCAAATGCCACCTTCCCCTCTCTGATACACATTATCAATTATTTGTCCTTTATTGTACATTTTATATTTCAATTAATAATTCTTCCACAAAACATTGGATGGCACTATTTAAAAAATTGTCTTCTGTTTGTAAATATTTCCCATGAGAAGAAAGTGAATAATAATCCCTGACACCATATTGTAAAAAAATCTCTGTGTCTCTTTTCCTTTTATCTTCCCTAGGCACAGAGTTCTTATCAGAATATTGGTGGGTCAAGGTTTCCGTTTGGAGACTTTATGGTGTGATGGGTCATCAGCCACTCTTCAGTTTTTTCCTGGTCCTGGGTTTTCAGTACTGTATGGGGATAAACCAGGATGCCCACCATTGTGGCTATGTTGGCTAGAGTGTCTAGTGAATATCAGCTCCTGGGTCATTTTCTCTCATAGGACAACCTGAGGTATGAAGTGTATCCTATCAAGGGAGCAGGTAGATACCCAGGGTCTGAGTGCAGTCTCCTGGTGTACTCTTCCTTTGAAAAGCTAACTCCTTGAGACATTAAAATTGACTTCACCCAGCTGGGCGCGGTGGCTCACACCTGTAATCCCAGCACTTTGTGAGGCCGAGGCGGGCGGATCGCGAGGTCAGGAATTTGAGACCAGCATGGCCAATATGGTGAAACCCCATCTCTACTAAAAATACAAAAATTAGCCAGGCCTGGTGGCACACACCTGTAATCCCAGCTACTAGGGAGGCTGAGGCAGAAGAATTACTTGAACCCGGGAGGTGGAGGTTGCAGTGAGCCAAGGTCATGCCACTGCACTCTAGCCTGGGTGAAAGAGCGAGACTGTATACAAAAAAAAAAAAAAAAGATTGACTTCACCCAACCCAGCTTCTATTTCTTGGAGACACATTGAGAGAAAAATGCAGAAATAATTTTTACCCCCTGGATTCTCTAAGATTTGTGAAAGAAAAAATAGTATCCCAAAAGACAAAAAAAAGGTCACCCCAGTGAGATGGTGCAAGAACTTGCAAAGTAAAATGCACTTGGGGCAGTCACTGGGGCATAGTGTAGTGTCTCTTGAGAGGTTGGTCATTGAGAACTTTAGTGAGCAGGAGCGGGTGGGAGAATCTTTCAAGTGATTGAACGGCCTGACTTGACACATAGGTCAGACACATCTCTTTTCTAATCAGCACTGTCCCTCTGTGGGTTTGTCACCTTGAAAAGATTTGTTCACTTATTTTGACTTCAGCTTCTTTTAATTGTAAATTGCATTTGATTAGTAAAGTTTAAAAGGCACAAAAATATTTGCACAGGGTGTAAAAGAAGTGGGTTTTAGAAAAAAATTAAAATCTAATCATATATTCCATTTGTTAAGAATTCTCATTTACTTGTTCCTTTGTCAGAGTGAGTTTAAAAATTTTCTCAGGTGTGCTTATGGCTGGGTGATTTTAAACAGAATTCCAAGGCTTAGCTTTTAGAATGTTATCAGGGAAAAAATTAGGAAAAATCTCTCTTCCATTTTGGCTGTAGAAAATAAATAGATTTCCACAAGAAAATGTGGTATATAATTGGTGAGTTACATAGATTCATGAAAACACAAATTTCTCTTTTTGCAGGGTAAAGTTGTGACAGTGAATATTTCTGTCCCATATCCTGTTATCTTGATTTTTAAGTTTCATGATAAATTTTATGAGATGAAACTTGGTACCTCCTAGAAGTGTTCCCATGACTAATTGTTTACTACATGATTTTTTATAGAAATAATAAAATAATACATTTATTGTCTGAAAGGAATAAATGCTTTTGCTTTTCTAATTGAGGTATAAAATGTAAGCACCAAAAATTTTCTTTTTTTATATGAACACTGTGTTTGAGTGATTTCATTGGAGTTTTCAGTTTCAAAAACCAAGGGAATAAATCTGACATGGAAATTAAAGCTTGAACCCAGTGACTCCAACCTAAGGCTAATATTGAGCCTACAAAAAAAAAAGATTATTAAAGGCCCAGTTAGTTCTTTCTGGGGAGCCTCCCCTGCAGATGTCCCAGCCTGCTCACCCCAGCCATGGAAGAAGTCTTTCCATCCTGAGAGAAGCTCCAAAGCCTTGGAAAGCTGGGGCCCCACAGGCAGATGCAGTTAAGGTTAAGATGAAAGGAAACTGGGAGGGTCTCACTGATGATAAAGTTTTTTATTGTTTTGAGGCACTGTCTAGACTTTGTAAAATAAAACAAAGTTAGATTTGTGTAAAAAAAAAAATTGAATTCCAAAGGAATATTGCAACAGGAGGAAGTACCAACTATATCATCTTTATGGCTTGCAAAGTTTAGGCAGACAAAGGCTTTGTTTCCTAGGGAGGAGCATAAAAGATTAGAAAAAAGGTGGGAGGGGAGTGGCAAATGGAGTGTGAAAAAAATCAGATTTTAGATCAGATAATGTTTTACCCTGAAGTCAGCATGTTCATAGGAGGGACATAAAATGGGGTTGTATGTTGACTCACACTCAGGGTAGCTCAAAGTTCAGGAGCCTGTGGGAAAAAAATAAACTTAAGTTTGATTAAGAAGTATTTTATTTCTGTGCGTGGTGGCTCACACCTGTAATCCCAGCACTTTGGGAGGCTGAGATGGGCATTTCACCTGAGGTCAGGAGTTTGAGACCAGCCTGACCAACACAGAGAAACCCCATCTCTACTAAAAATACAAAATTAGCCAGGCGTGGTGGTGCATGCCTGTAATCCCAGCTACTCAGGAGGCGGAGGCAGGAGAATCCCTTGAATCCAGGAGGTGGAGGTTGTTGTGAGCTGTTATCACGCCATTGCACTCTAGCCTGGGCAACAAGATCAAAAGTGTCTCAAAAAAAAAAAAGTATTTTATTTAGACCAGTGAAGACAAATTCAGCTCATTTTTTTAATGAGAAAAGGAAGAAAATGTGTACAGTATGTATCTGGCTATGTGATAGGTAAGAAAAGGGAGTGTCTTCTAAGTCATAATAAGAAGGGTGTTTTTGGCTGGGCATGGTGGCTCACACCTGTAATCCCAACACTGGGAGGCTGAGGCGTGAGGATCACGAGGTCAGGAGTTCAAGACCAGCCTGGCCAAGATGGTGAAACCCTGTCTCTACTAAAAATACAAAAATTAGCTGGGCGTGGTGGTGTGTGCCTGTAGTCCCAGCTACTTGGGAGGCTGAGGCAGAAGAATCGCTTGAACCGGCAGGCGGAGGTTGCAGTGAGCCGAGATCATGCCACTACACTCCACCCTGGCGACAGAGCAAGACTCCATCTGAGGGGGAAAAAAAGTGTTTCTTTTCATAAACTGTTGCTGGAGCACACAAAGGATGACTTTTATTAATCACAGCTATTTTCCAGGATTATGTATGTGTTTCATTTTTCCCCACCTCTTTTTTTGTCCTATACATTTCTTTCATTTGACTTCTTCTGGGTTGTATCTTTTATAATAAACTACAGAGTTTGCTGGGTTCTGTGAGTAGCTCTATCAAATTATTGAACTAGAGGGAGGTTATGGGAATCCCCAAATTTTAAACAGTAGCTCAGAAGCATAGGTGGGCCTATGGGGTTTGTGACTGGCATCTGTAATGAGGGCAGTGTTGTGGGACTGAACCCTGAATCGGGGTCTGTGCTGACTCTGGGTGGTGTCAGAATTCAAATTTCAGATAATGAGTAGGTGCTGGAGAATTGCTTTGTGTTCAGCAAACTCTATAGATTTGATACCAGAAAAAAGATATCACAGAGGCCTGGCCTCGAATGGAACTCTGGGTGTCTGGGAAGGGGAGGCTCTGCTCTCCTGTACACAGGCTGTCACACTGCCCATTGTCTTGTGATTCCAGGTCTCCTCCCAGGGTGACTGTGGACTGAAAACTTAGAGGAAAGGACCTCTGATGACAGACCCCCTTTTCTTGCAGCTGCCACCACAGGAGTCCCACCCACTCACACACACTAGACATTGACGTGTCCACATCCCTCTCAAGACTAGTCATCATCCTCAGGAATTTCACCACAGCATTGTGGATCCTAGTATTTCTTGCCAAAATCCCACAAGAGTGTCTACAAGTCTCCTGGCATATCCCAACCCCCAGACACTGAATCTGCAGCAGCAAACTGTTTTCTCCACCAACCTAGGGTTCTGGACCACCTGTTCATAATCTCATCTGCCTGCACAGGCACAAATAAATCAGAGTACAGCCCCACCGGGACCGCTGTCTGTAGCAAAAACCTACAGTCCTTCCACCTACATTGCACTTTACCCCACCCATGAAGTTTTTTTCTTTTAACTTTTGATTTTGGTTCAGGGGTACACGTGCAGGTTTCTTATATAGGTAAAATTGTGTCACGGGGGTTTGGTGTAGATTATTTTCTCACAGAGGTACTAAGCATAGCACCAAACCAATATTTATTCAAATTCTCCTTGTCATCTCACCCTCCACCCTTACTAGGCCTCAGTGTCTGTTGTTTCTTTCTTTGTGTACGTGTTCTTATTTAGCTCTTACTTTTTTTTTTTTTGAGATAGAGTCTTGCTCTGTCACCCAGGCTGGAGTACAGTGACAGGATTCACTAGACAAAAACTGATCTCTTCTTTTTTTTTTTTTTGTTTGAGACACCGTCTTGCTCTGTCACCCAGGCTGGAGTGCAATGGCATGATCTCAGCTTACTGCAACCTCCGCCTCCCAGGTTCAAGCAATTCTTCTGCCTCAGCCTCCCAAGTAGCTGAGACTACAGGTGCACACCACCACACCTGGCTAATTTTTGTATTTTTAGTAGAGACAGGGCTTCACCATCTTGGCCAGGTTGGTCTCAAACTCCTGACCTTGTGATCCCACCTCAGCCTCCAAAAGTGCTGGGATTACAGGCATGAGCCACTGCACCCAGCCTATTTCTATTTCTTTAACCTTGCTAAGAATACATATGTATCTTATAATAAAATTACCCTAGAAAACCTTAAAATATTTCTTTAAATTTCTTAGTATATGTTATAAAATTGAGGGGGCAGTGGCTTGGCTTAAAAAGATTAAGATTACACAAACTCTGGGATTTAAGTTTCTCTTAGGTAAGCTTAGGAAAAACAGAACTGGAAATACCCTAGTGGCATAGAGAACAGAGTTCTACATAGGGTCCTCTCCCTGCCCCAGTTCTGTTTAGATTTAACCTATTTGGAGGCCTTATTTAGGTCTGGCCCCACCCTGGAGTCTTGCCTCACACAATTTGTTAGAAGAAATCAAAGTTTTGGGCCAGGCGTGGTGGCTTACGCCTATAATCCCAGCACTTTGGGAGGCCAAAGCAGGCAGATCATAAGGTCAGGAGTTCGAGACCAGCCTGACCAACATGGTGAAACCCCATCCCTACTTAAAAAATACAAAAATTACCCTGGTATGTTGGCATGCACCCGTAATCCCAGTTACTTGGGAGGCTGAGGCAGGAGAATCTCTTGAGCCCAGGAGGCAGAGGTTACAGTGAGCTGAGATCATGCCATTGCACTCCAGCCTGGGTGACAGAGCAAGACTCCGTCCCAAAAAAAAAAAAAAAAAAAAAAGAAATCAGAGTTTTTGTCTGGTGAATCCTTCTGCCTTTCTAGAGTTCATGCTCACAATTTCCTTAAACCCCAAAACAGATAAATGGTAAAAATAAAGTATGTATTTTAGGGTCTTAATTTTTAAATTTTGTATTAAAGTGAGTGCTTGCAGAAACATTCTATTTAACAACTTGTTTTCTATTTTTGCAAATCCAGTAGTTGCTCTGCAAGTCACATAAAATTAAATACAAACACAGTAAAAAACTTCTCTAAAATACATTAAACTTTCCTTTCTGTATTCCTCTCATCTGTCTATATTTAGCTTTTCTTCTATGCAATTAAAAAAAATCAATGACAGAGAAACAAGAAGAAATGGAAAGGCAGGGCTCTTTATTTAAATCCTAAGAATTATTAAACACTTAATAACATCTTTCAGGGTGTTATGATGATGAAATCACGTAATGTGTTATGGCCAACACAGTGCTTTTTAACATCCTTTTGAGTACATAGTTCCTGCTTAATATATCTTGCATTAGTACAGGTGTACATGTTGTTGCCAAATGCAGGCTTATTCAAACATTGCTGCCTTCTGTTTCCTCTGTAAACTTTAATGAGCCAGCAAAGAATATGATACTTAAGGATGGAGATGGATTTTATTTATTTATTTAGAGACAGAGTTTCGCTCTTGCTGCCCAGACTGGAGTGCAATGGCACGATCTTGGCCCACCACAACCTCTGCCTCCCAGGTTCAAATGATTCTCCTGCCTCAGCCTCCCTAGTAGCTGGGATTACAGACATGCACCACCACACCCAGCTAATTTTTTTGTATTTTTAGTAGAGACTGCGTTTCTCCATGTTGGTCAGGCTGGTCTCAAACTCCCGACCTCTGGTGATCCACCTGCCTCGGCCTCCCAAAGTGCTGAAATTACATGCATGAGCCACTGCGCCTGGCAGAGATGGGTTGTCTTTATTTGTACCAGAAGTATTTGGTTGTGACAAGAGTGCTGAGTGTAAGGGAACCTGTGCTGTGCCTGCTTTCTCTAATGCCAATAATGAGCCCAAGGGAAGCAACATCAGCACTGACAGGGTTGTTACCTATTCATGGACTCTTTTCAAACCTGCAGAATCATATTACATAGAATGGAGCCAAAATTACCAAGTGATTTATAAGCTCATTAAAACTTGAGAGGCAATGCTTAGCTAAGTGGTTATCAGCCCAGGCTTCTCATTAGGATTCCATGGCCAATTTGCAGAAATCTCTTTACTTGTGCCCTTTCCACAGATTCTGTTTATTGTTCTAGGGGGAAGCAGTCATGTTGTAGTAATGAAGTGCCTCATGTGACTCTTAAGTTGAGGCCAGAATCAAGTATGAGGTGTTCCAGATACATTCATGAGTTAAGTTCCACCTTTGCACTAAAGGGTGGCCGCAGGACTGTTTCTGTTTGGATTTGGTAGGGACAGAGCAATGTGGCCATATTTTCTTTTTCTTTTTCTTTTTCTTTTTTTTTTTTTTTTTTTGAGGTGCAGTTTCACTGGAGTGCAGTGGTGCAATCTCGGCTTACTGCAACCTCTGCCTGCTGGGTTCAAGCGATTCTCTTGCTTCAGCCTCCCGAGTAGTTGGGACTACAGGCACATGCCACCACGCCTGGCTAATTTTTTCTATTTTTAGTAGAGATGCTGTTTCATCGTGTTAGCCAGGATGGTCTCAATCTTCTGACCTCAGGATCTGCCTGCCTCGGCCTCCCAAAGTACTGGGATTATAGGCGTGAGCCACCAAGCCCGGCCATGGCCCATATTTTCATTATTGTAGCAGAAATTGCTGGTGTCTGTGACAGGGGAGGGCACCTGAGAACAGGAAAAGTGAAACATATTTTGATACCCATGGAGCAGCTCATTGTTCCTGAATCTCTTCCATTATAAAGGACATAAATGAGTGAGCTTTTTCTGCAGGTCTTGATCCTTCTGCCTGTGGGTCTGGTGGTAGCAGATGAGCAGTTGATGTTGACATCTTTAAAGACATATTCTCAACATGCAGCTGTAATTTGTTCAAAGAATCTCATCTGGAAAGGATTCCCAGAAAAGGAGGAAAAAGAGGAAAAAAATGGCTTCTTTTTTTAAAGCAAAACATGTCTCAGATCAAGAGCTGTGTCCACTTTGCCTCCTAGAATGCCATGCAAATCATTACTTCTCTATTGTATTACCCCTCCCTAAAGAGTTTAACTACTTGTAAAAATTCTTATGATAGTCAAGGGTGTCTGAAAAGTATTTTTTTTCTATATACCAGAGCCCTTTCTACATTCTTTACATTGTGGCTTTTTATATGCCATGCAGAATTCCTACCACAAATTTATAATCTGCACTATTAAAAATGTTCCCTTTGTGGCTCTTGAACATGAAAAGGTGTGGATACTCAAGATTTCTATTGGGGGAAAGCTGGAGTCATTTGTAAAGATGGAAAACATGTAATGTTGAGGTTCCATCTGTATTCTCCATTACCTCTGTGCAAAACAGGATCAAGGAAATGCTTAGTTAAACAAGATGACATTTATTACCCAGAAAGTTCTAAAAAAAAAATTATCAGGAGATACCTGCTCTCTAGGGTGCTAAAGAAAGATGATTTAAAATTACTATTACAAATTATAGACAGGGAAGATATCTGTATCCTGAACTTTGCATAAAACTGATTTTTTAATGTTAAAATTCAGACTATAGTTTGGAGGAGCAGTATCACAGCCGTGATGCTGTGTCATTTCATGTGCATCAACACATCATAAAAATATGTCCTAGGATGGGCGCGGTGGCTCAGCCTGTAATCCCAGCACTTTGGGAGGCTAAGGCAGGCAGATCACAAGGTCAGGAGATCTAGACCATCCTGGGAATGGTGAAACCCCGTCTCTACTAAAAATACAAAAAAAAAAAAAATTAGCCGGGCATGGTGGTGGGCACCTGTGGCCCCAGCTACTTGGGAGGCTGAGGCGGGAGAATGCCGTGAACCCAGGAGGCGGAGCTTGCAGTGAGCTGAGATTGCACCACTGCACTCCAGCCTGGGCAGCAGAGCGAGACTCCGTCTCAAAAAAAAAAAAAAAAAAAATTTGTCCTAGTGCAGTTCATGTTAATGATTCACTTGGTTAAAGAGCTCTCTGACAGATTTTGTCACTATAGAGATAATTATTTTTTCTTCATTATTATCTTAATGCAGCTAATGTGCATAAACCATCACAGTTAATCCAGCAGCTGCCCTTTTTTCTTAGTTTTTTTTTTTTGCATACATCTGTCTTTGGAAAGTCAAAGCTCTTATCTTTGTTTACAGGCCAGAAAAATTAGGAAAAACACAGGTTCTTCCCCTTACTGGATGTTTGACAAAATATTCTTCTTGGCCAAAAACATTAACCTTACTGGTGAGCTTGTTAGAAATTCAGACAATCAGACTTTATTCCAGATCATCTGAAAAAATAATCTGCATTAACAAGTTCTCCAGTTTATTGTACACATTAAAATTTAAAAAGTACCTTCTAACTCAACCTGTCTTTTCCATCTGAAAAATATACACAACTCATTCTGTAGAATGTGTATATGGCATCCAAAAATACACATTTTTATGCCCTTAATTTTATACTATATCATCCAGAAAAGTATCATGTATACACTGGTATTGTGGATCTTATGCCACTCTCTTTTCTTAGAGTTAAAAAATATATTAGAGAATATTTCTGTGTTAAAAAAATTATTTTATTTTATAATTTTAGTCACTCCTGTAAGTCAGAAACAGTTACCTGTACTCTCTCATTTCACCTTGAGTAAAATTAAAAATGCTTTTCATAACCAGTTGGTAATTATGTGTGTGTGTGTGTGTGTGTGTGTGTGTGTGTGTGTGTGTATGTGTATGTGTGTGTATCTTTCAGGGACCATTGACATTTAGGGATGTGGCCATAGAATTCTCTCTGAAGGAGTGGCAATGCCTGGACACTGCACAGCGGAATTTATATAGAAATGTGATGTTAGAGAACTACAGAAACCTGGTCTTCCTGGGTGAGGATAACTTCAATACACAATTTCTAATATGCCCTAAAGGTTTTATTTCTTTTATTTGTGGAATGTTTTTCTGGTAAAGTGTGCTTTGCATAAATTAGTTTCAGATCCCTGTTTTCAAGAAAATCTTGGGGATTAATACATGTAGAAAAGAATTTCTGCAAGATGTTTCATTTTGACCTTAACTTTCCAAATTTCTGAGCTGATCTGTATCCTTCACTGTAGATTACTAAATTCCACAAATTTAATGGCATAAAATTTTTGCCCACACCTTAAAATGTAATTGCCAACACCAATTTTTGATTCAATAGTACTGGATAGTAAAATTAAGAAACTGGGCCAGGCTTGGTGGCTCACGCCTGTAATCCCAGCACTTCGGGAGGCTGAGGCGGACGGATCACGAGGTCAGGAGATCGAGACCATCCTGGCTAACACGGTGAAACCCCGTCTCTACTAAAAATACAAAAAATTAGCTGGGTGTGGTGGCAGGCACCTGTAGTCCTGTAGTCCCAGCTACTAAGGAGGCTGAGGTAGGAGAATGGCATGAACTCAGGAGGCGGAGCTTGCAGTGAGCTGAGATCACGCCATTGCACTCCAGCCTGGGTGACAGAATGAGAGTGAGACTCCATCTCAAAAAAAAAAAAAAAAAGAACCTACAAATCAAAAATATTTTTTAAATATTTGAAAATGTCTGTTATAAATTAGTATTTTGGGATTAATTTACTAGCTAAGCACATTACTAGATTGGTCATTAGAGAATATGAGCAAGATTTATATTATTTATTTTTAATAAAACAGGTATTACTGTTTCTAAGCCAGACCTGATCACTTGTCTGGAGCAAGGGAAAGAGGCCTGGAGTATGAAGAGACATGAGATCATGGTGGCCAAACCCACAGGTAGGTGAAAGTGAAAATGAATACAGCAGATGACACATGAGAGGTCCAAAGGCCAAAGAGAAAGCCAGTCCTTAAAATGTGATTTAGGAAGCTGTGTTCCAAAGAAAATAGTTTCTCAGAAGCCTGAGGTTTCTTTCTTTCTTTTTTGCTCTCACATGGGGGCATCTTCTGTCTTATACTTTTAAATTTTCTAAGGATTCTACTTTTCCTTCGGTGATCTTCAAGTTTGCAGTTAGAGCCAAAGTCCTCTTCGTGGCATATAAGAGACTGCGCAGTCTGGCTGCTTTTTCATTGTTTTGGGGGACACACAAATATCTGCATAATTTTGAAAAAGTCTATGTTAAGCAATATTTTTAATTGTATTTTTGCATCATGTTTGAAATATGTGAGTAGTGGTTTCTGTTCCATTGGGGGTTTTTTTGTTTGTTTTTCTGCACATTCCATCCTGTTTGTATTACTACATTCTTGAAATATAGTTTGAAATTATAAAGTATGATGCCCCTATGCTTTGTTCTTTTACCTCAAGATTGCTTTGGCTATTCAAAGTTTATTATAGTTTCATGTATGTTTTAGAATTGTATTTTTCATTACTGTAAAAGATGCCACTAGAATTTTTTTTTTTTTTATTTCGCTCTTGTTACCCAGGCTGGAGTGCAATGGTGTGATCTCGGCTCACCGCAACCTCTGCCTCAGGGTTTCTCAATGTTGGTCAGGCTGTTCTCAAACTCCCAACCTCAGGTGATCCATGTGCCTTGGCCTCCCAAAGTGCTAGGATTACAGGCGTGAGCCACCATGCCTGGCCACCACTAGAATTTTGATAGGGAGTTTGTTGAATCTATAGGTTACTTTGTATAATATGACACTTTAACAATATTTATCCTTTCAATGCATAGACATAAAATATTTTAAAATTTATTTGTGTCTTCTCTAGTTTCTTTCTATGATATCTTATATCTTCCAGTATAAAAATGTTTTACCTCTTTTGTTAAATTTGTTCTCAGAAATTTATTATTTTGATGCTATTATAAATAAGATTGTTTTCTTTATCAGATAGTTTGTTTTATGTATATGGAACCCTAATTTATACTTGTATGTTAATTTTATACTTTGCTAATTTACTGGGTGTATTTATTAGTTTAGACAGGTTTTAATGTACTATTCATGGTTTTCTATATATAAGATTATATGATCTACAACCAGCAACTTTTACTTATTTGTCTTCAATTTCAATGGCTTTAAAACAATTTTTTTACTAATTCTTCTGCCACATACTTCCAGTGCTATATTAAAATAGAAACATTGACAATGGTATTGGGAATGGGTGCTTGGTGTCACAAAAATCCTTTGAGAGACAAAGGATCTCTCAGCAAGGCTAGTTTACTTTCTGCAGAAAGAGTACACTCGCCAGCAGTTTTGCCAAGAGAATACACTAAACAAAGGAGGCAGGGTCATTTATAACCTGATGGGTCCACCCTACTGCTGTGTCCGGTTTCCATTGGCTACAACAGGACCTCACATTCTGTATTTGTCCCAGTTGGCTAGCAACTTAGAACTTTCTAAAAGAGGCAAAGGCAGAGGAGAACAAAGGAAGGAGGGAGCAACTTGTGGATGCTGAGAAAGGTAAAAACACCTCCAGATAAGGAATAGGAACAGGCTATGACCTAATGCTTGCTTGGACCAGTATAAGCATGCCAGGGCAAATATTTAGGCTAAAATGTGGGAGCTAAGAACACAAAGTACATTGATTTCTTTATCACGGCTAGCAGATATCTAAGAATGTCAGCACAGGTGTTTGAATACATTTTGCTTCTAAGAGAAGTTACTATTTATTCCTAATTACACGAGGAGGAAAGTCCCTTTGAAAAGGAACCTCTATTTCACATTTTACGATGAGCACAATATAGTTTTGCATTGGTGTATATGAATTTGAATGAGCAAACAGCTCTTCAAGTTTTTGGGGTTTTTTTGTTTGTTTTGTTTTTTGGGTTTTTGTTTTTTGTTTTTGAGACGGAGTCTCACTCTGTCATCAGGCTGGAGTGCAGTGGCACGATCTCGGCTCACTGCAACCTCCGCCTCCTGCGTTCAAGTATTCCCCTGCCTCAGCCTCCCAAGTAGCTGTGACTAAAGCCGTGCACCACAACGTCTGGCCAATTTTTTGTATTTTAGTAGAGACGAAGTTTCACCATATTGGCCAGGCGAGTCTCAAACTCCTGACCTCGTGATCCACCCACCTCAGCCTCCCAAAGTGCTTGGATTATAGACATGAGCCTCAGCGCCCAGCCCTCTTCAAGTTTTTATAAACCAGTTTCAGAAGGTAAAGATCTTCTGTTGGGCCCCCAGGGTGACGGGATGCCCTCTGAGTTTATAGTGCAGAGGAATTGTAGCTTGATCAGAAGGCTGCTGGGTCTGCACTAGGGTCCGCCTTTAGTTGGTTTGTTATAAGAGGCTTGGGTAGCTGTAACTCCCATTTTATTTTTGGACAAACTGAATATCCTTCAGGACTTCTATATATAAGGCAGACACTAGGGCAGGTTTCTGCAGTCGAGTCTGCTAATGGCAGGGCTTATATCAGGATGTGGATGAGTATGGCTTTCACTGAATACCAGAGAGCATTTCTCTGGGACACTGTGTGGGTTTCTGTGTAGGCAGAACTGGCCATAAACTGTGGCTTAGGGAGCTGGAACTGAGTCATTAAACTGCTTTGGGGACCACAGTAAAGGCCAAGGTCTGCAGGCCTGTCTGCATGTCTATAAATTGATGTCTTCCTCCAGGACTCTGGAAGGGCAGGGCCTCTTTCATACTGTGGCTGGGAGGAGTTTGGGATGACCAAGCTGGGTGGGCCATTTCTTTGGTCTATAGTCAAGAACAGAGTTTCTGTAGATTGCCACCTGAATGAGGGCCTGCCTTCCGAAACGGATACTCCTCAATCTTGGGCTTTAGCAGTTTCACAAGTCCCTCCCTGGATCTCAAAGCTCTTAGAGGCACTTATTTTGGAGATGGGGTCTTGCTTCAGAACCCAGACTAGTCTTGTTTTTTTGTTTTTGAGACGGAGTCTCACTCTGTCACACAGGCTTTAGTGCAGTGGCATGATCTTGGCTCACTCCCATCTCCTCCTGGGTTTAAGTGATTATCGTGCCTCAGCCTCCTAAGTAGCTAAAATTACAGGCACACACCACCACACAGGGCTAATTTTTGTATTTTTAATAGAGACATGGTTTTACCATGTTGGATAAGCTGATCTTGAACTTCTGACGTTAACCTTCCCACCTCAACCTTCCAAAGTGCTGGAATTACAGGCATGAGCCACTGCATTTGTCCTAGGATGCTCTTGAAATCCTGGCCTGAAGCAATTCTCCAACCTCAGTGTACCATGTAGCTGTCATTATAGGGGTGAGCCATGATGCCTGGCTCTCTCATAAGGGCATTTTTGTCAGGATTGGCTGAAAAAATTTTCTTGCTGTTGGGGCATAAGAAAGTAGGGCACCTTTTATTTTTCCATCTTGCTGATGTTACTCTCTATATACATTTTTCTTTCTATTTTCCATTTCAAACTTTTCTGTAATTTTAGATTCAGACATTTAGAACAATATGCTAGAATTTACATGTTATGCCTGAAGTAAATTATACAATTAGTAGGCACTCCATATTTACTAAAATAGTTACTTATAAATTTAAGTTTGCTGCAGGCAAAACGGAATTATAGGATATTCACCCACTTTCTTCAGCCTAAATCTAAATAATAGCATAATTTATTCCCAAATATTTGTTTTATATATCAGAGGCTCTAACCATATTCTGCTATATGTGTGTGTGTGTGTGTGTGTGTGTGTATATATATGTGTGTGTGTGTGTGTGTATTTTATTTAGCAGTTTAAGGCTATTTGCTTCTAAATTTGGATTGCAGCACTTTCATTTTGTGTAAAAATGCATATATTTAAAACAAAATTTATCTCGTTTCTTTTAAATGATTATAAAAAGTTTCTCATTACAATATTCTATTTATGCTTATACTGTATTTTCTCTGAAATTTTACTGCCATACAGTGCCTGCCAATGATTCAAAGTACCTGCTTTCCATGAGTACACTGTCAAATATTGTTGTCTAGACACATTCTTTCTTAATGGTACATCAATATTGCAAACCAGAGTTTAGGAGTAAACATTTATTACTGTCTTGCAGTTCCATATTAGTGTGTTTTAGTGTAGGCTTGTTTTTTGTTTTGTTTTTTGAGACAGTCTTGCTCTGTCACCCAGGCTGGAGTGCAGTGGCATGATCTCAGCTCACTGCAACCTCTGCCTCCTGGTTCAAGTGATTCTTCTGCCTCAGCCTCCCAAGTAGCTGGGACTACAGGCACACACCAGCACGGCTGGCTAATTTTTGTATATTTAGTAGAGATGGGGTTTCACCATATTGGCCAGGCTGGTCTCGGACTCCTGACCTAGTGACCCGCCCACCTCAGCCTCCCAAAGTGCTGAGATTACAGGCCTGAGCCACCACTCCCAGGTAGTGTAGGTTTCTTAACATCAGTTTATTGTGTTTTTTGCTTTTACTTATGCATTATAATTTTAAATAACTTGCAATTCTGTATGTACACGTTAAGTCAATGTGAGGTTTAATTAAGATACAAATCAGCCATATGTCTATAACAATCTGATTATATATGTGTGTGTGCTTATCTATAAATATGACCCCCAGTCTGGAGTGCAATGGCACAATCTCAGCTCACCGCAACCTCTGCCTTCTGGGTTCAAGCGATTCTCTTGCCTCAGCCTCCCAAGTTGCTGGGATTACAGGCATGCACCACCACACCCAGGTAATTTTGTATTTTTAGTAGAGACGGGGTTTCTCCATGTTGGTAAGGCTTGTCTCGAACTCCCGACCTCAGGTGATCCGCCCACCTCAGCCTCCCAAAGTGCTGGGATTACAGATGTGAGCCACTGTGCCTGACCTCTTAGCTGATTTTCAGTGGTTGTTTCATCTTGTTTAAGTGAGTAGTTATGGAGATACTCTTATTTTTACCATGCGTTTAATAATGAATATCTATTTCCTTTATGTGAAAAAAAAAAAAACACTTTGTGATATGAAGGTAATTCCTGAAAGGATTTATAATTCTATATTGTTTTCAGTTTTTTTCTTTAGAAAATTGTTTTTAAAACACATAAAGTTTGTCATCTTAAATCTATTGAAGTGTACATTTTAGGGCCAGGCATGGTTGTGGCTCACATCTGTAATCCCAGAGATTTGGAGAGGCCAAGACAAAGAGGATCACTTGAACCCAAAAGTTTGAGACCACCCTGGGCAACATATGGAGACTCCTTCTCTACAAAAAATTTCTTTAAAATGGCCTGGCATTTTGGTGTGCACTTGTGGTCCAAGATCTTTGGAAGATTGAAGAAAGAGGATTACTTGAGCCTGGGAATTTCAGACTATAGTCAACCATAATTGTGCCACTGCACTCTAGTTTAGGTGACGAAGTGAGACCCTGTCTCCAAAAAAAAAATAGCTTTATATTTCAGGAATGTTAAGTATATTCACATTGTTATGCAAAAGACTTCTAGAAATTTTACGTCTTGTAAAACCAAACTCAATACCCATTAAGTAACAGCAACCCATTTTACCCTCTCTGGTGCTCTTGACAAACACCCTTCCACTTTCTGTTTTTATGAGTGTGACCACTTAAGATATCTCATATAACTGGAATAATATAGTATCTATAATTTTATTACTAGCTTATTTTAAAGGGACATAATATTCTCAAAGGTTATCTTAAATTGTTACAAGATAATCTGTTTTAAGTCTGAAAAAATATTTCATTATATGTATATGTTACATTTTTTGATGTGTTTATAAATCAAGGGACATCTGGGTTGCTTCAGTTTTTTGGCTTATGTGAATACTGGTACAATAAACATGGATGCTCAAATATGTCTCCCAGGTTCTGTGTTGCATAGTTCGGATATACATTCATAAATGTGATTGCTGTACTTAATGATAATTCCAGTTTTAATTATCTGAGGAACATTTATAACATTTTAAAATAATGACTGCATCCTTGTTTTCCACCAGTTAGTATGAGTTTTATTTTCATTGCATCAGCAACAAATTTGGTGGGTTTTTTTATATTTTATAGTGGCCATTCTGATGGGTGTGAAGTGATTTTGTTTTTCATTGTTATTTTTATGCATTTCTCTACAAATTAGTAATTTTGTGTTTCCTTTCTTCCCTCCCCCCACTCTTCCTGCCCCAGGTGGAGTCTTGCTCCAGGCTGGTGTGCAGTAGCATGAACTGAGCTCACTGCAGCCTCTGCCTCTGGGGTTCAAGCAATTCTCCTCAGCCTCCTGAGTAGCTGGGATTACAGGCACATGCCGTCACACCCGGCTAATTTTTATATTTTTAGTAGAGACGGGGTTTCACCGTGTTGGTTATGCTGGTCTTGAACTCCTGACCTCAAGTGATCCACCCGTCTCAGCCTCTCAAAGTGCTGGGATTACAGGCATGAGCCACCGTGCCTGGCCACATTTCCTTTCAAATGCTTTTTCCCATTTGTGTATTCTTTTTGAGAAAAATTTAGTTCAATTATTTGTTCATTTCTAAATAAAATTATTCAACTTTATTGTTAAGTTTTACAAGTTGTTTATACATTCTCAATGTTAACTTCTATGATATGTGATTTGCAAATATTTTTAGCTATTTCCTAGGAGGCATTGTCACTCTATTGAATGTTTTCTTTGATGCGCAGAAACTTTGAAGTGTAATGCAGTTAAATTTTACTGTCTTTTCTTTGTTGCTCATGCGTTTAATGTCGTATCTAGGAAAATAGTGCCAAGACAAATGTCATGTCTTTCCCCCTTCATTTTTATATCTGGGCATTTTATTTAAAAATATTTTTCATATGTGGTTCAAGGATATAATCCATCTTCATCTTATCCATGTTGATATCCAGTTTTCAACATTATGTCTTGAAGAGGTTATCTTTTTTTCTATTGTGTGCTCATGGCAACTTTACAAGATCATTTGATCATATACAGATTTCTGTGCTCTCTACTCTGTTCTTTGTTTATCTGTTTTTGTGTCAGTACCACATTGCTTTTGTTATTGTAGCTTTTATATTATTATTATTAATTTTTTTTTTTTCCTGAGACAGAGTCTCTCACTGTTTCCCAGGCTGGAGTGCAATGGCATAATCTCGGCTCACTGCAACCTCTGCCTTTCAGGTTCAGGAGTAGCTGGGATTACAGGCACCCACCTCCACACCTGGCTAATTTTTTGTATTCTTGGTAGAGACGGGGTTTCAGTATGTTGGCCAGACTGGTCTTGAACTCCTGACCTCATGATCCACCTGCCTTGGCCTCCCAAAGTGCTGGGATTACAGACGTGAGCCACCTTGCTGGCCTATTATGTTTTTAAATCAGGAAGTATAATGCCTCTGTTCTTTTTCATGGGTGTTTGGCTATAGTTTATAATCAAATTTTAAACAATATTTCTGTAAAAATATGTGGTATTGGGATTTCTAGTTAGATTATATTGAATTTGTTTGCCACTGTAGTTTGTATTGACATCTTTGAAAAATTAATTTTTTTGAAACTTGGGCAAGAATATGTTGAAGGGTGTGTTTTATTTTTACGTAATTTTGGATTTTCCAGTTTTGCTTTTAATTCCTAGTTGCATTCAGTTTTGGTCAGAAAACACACAGTGTATAATTTTTGTCTGCTTAAATTTATTTGTTGTTGTTGTCATTGTTATTTTGACGCAGAATCTTACTCTGTCACCCAGTCTGGAATGCAGTAGCAAGATTTTGGCCCACTGCAGCCTCAACCTTCTGGGGTCAAGTGATTGTTCCACCTCAGCCTCCCGAGTAGCTTGGACTACAGACATGCAGTACTATGCCTGGCTAATTTTTTGATTATTTGTAGAGACAGAGTCTCACTTTGTTGCCCAGTCTAGTCTCAAACTTCTGGCTCCAAATGATCCTCCTACCTTGGTCTCCCAAAGTGTTGGGATTATAGGTATGAGCCTGTTCACCCAGCCAGTATTCTTAAATTTAATAAGATTTGTTATGTGTCCTAACAGAATACACAAGGTGCAAATAAGAATGTTGTGTATTCTCTTGCTTTTGACTGAAAAGTTTTGTACATGTCTGTTAATCCTAGTTGGTCTGTGATGTGGTTTAGATGTTCGTGTTCTTCAAATCTTATGCTGCAATGTAATCCTCACTGTTGGATGTGGAACCTGGTGGGAGATGTTTAGATCATGGGGCAAATTTCTCATGAATGGCTTTGTACTATCCTCTTGGTAATCAAAAAGTTTACACTCTGTTAATTCAGATGAGAGCTGCCTCATTAAAAGAACCTGGCCCCTTCACCTCACATTTGGTTCTGTCTTTTACTATGTGATATGTCCAGTTACTGTTGGCCTTCCACCATTGTGGAAGCTTACTGAAACCTTCCACCAGAGGCAGATGCCGGCACACACTTCTTGTACAGTCTGCCCAACGATGAACCAAACAAGCCTTTTTATTTATAAATTATCCACTCTCAGGTATTCCTCTATGTGCAAAATAATATATTCTGTAACGTTGTCTAAGTTTTCTGTTTTCTTATTGATCTTTTGTCTGAATTTTCTATTTATTATTAAAAATGGGGTCTTGATGTCTACAATTATTATGTTGCTATGTATTTCTTGTTTCACTTTTGTCAATATTTGCTTTACGTATTTTGGAGCCCTAATGTTGTATATACATATACACATAAATAAATAGGCATAATAGTTTTAGATTCCTGGTAAATTGATCCATTTTACTATTGTATAATATCAGTCTTTGTCTCATGCTAGTACTTGACTTAAAGCATATAATGTCTAATATAATTATGAGTGTCTTACTCAATTGTGGTTATATTTGCATGTAATAAAAAGTTTTTCCATTCTGTTACTTTCAGCTTATTTGACTCTATATTTTCCAGTTTGTTATTGGTATTAAATATTATTTTATGTTGTGTATCTATTAACAGATTTATATTTTGTTTTTCATATTCTATAGAGGAAATTTAAGAGTTTTATGCACCATTATTTTGATAATAAATAATTTTATGTGTTGATATATTTAATAGTTTTTTATTTATATATGTTTTTATGATGCTGTTCAGCATCATTTTATTTTTTAACATAATGGACTCATTTAGCCTTTCTTTTTTATTTTGTATGCAGTGTCTCACTATGTTGCTCAGGCTGATCTTCAACTCCTAGTCTCAAGTAAGCTGACTGCCTTGGCCTCTTAAAACTGTAGGATTTACAGGCATGAGCCACTGCCTGGCAACCATGTAGCAGTTTTTGTAGGACTGTGGTAGGGGTGATGAATACCCTCACCTTTTATTTTGAAAAGTCTTTATTTTTATCTTGTTTTTGAAGTAAAGTAATTATAATTAGTAGTATAATTATTATATATTTTTATATACTTATATATTATATTAATATATAATTATAAACATATTTTCAAGTAGTATTGGTTAAGAATTTTTTATTACATCATAATTTGGAAAGTTCTCAGCTTTTTTAAATCTTCAAGTAACCTCTGTATTACTTTTTTGCTATATTATTCTATGATTTTTTTTCATGAATATATTGTTCTACTTGATGGTGTCCAATAAGTTTTACATTTCATGTTTTAATTTTGTTTTGCACTTTTATATTTTTGCGTTTTATATTTAAGGGTATTCCAGCTCACATTAGTTAATTGTGTTTGGATGTTTTAGTTTATATTATAATTGTGTATGAAAATATTTAACTCTGCAATTTATGACAGTGTGAAGCAAAATCAAATATGAATCAGCCATATGTCTATTGCTAATGTGTTTATGTTTGCTTGCCTGTATAAATATTATTTCTATTTTCCTATAACTTGTGTATTTATTGTGTAGTTTGGTTGTGAATGGTTGTTTAATCCTGTGTAGGTGAGTAGTCATAAAAATTCTTCTACTTTTATCATCTTATTTGTGAATCTATATTATTTCTGTGTGGGAGAAACACTTTTGAATTTTAAGATAATATAAAAACTATCATTACTCTGTATCTTAGGTATTTCTGTTTATTTTTACTTATCAAAAACATAAAATTTATAATAAAATATTTGTAAATATTCAATTTAGTGATCTTAATTATATTGACATTGTTTTGCAACATATCACCAAAATGTTTTTATCTTGCAAAGCTGAATCTGAATACACATTAAACAACTACCAATTTTTTCCATTTTGTAGCACTTTCCAAACACCACTCTGTTTTCCTTGTCTAAGGTTGTAACTGCTTTAAATATCCTATACAATCTCTGTCTTTCTGTGGCTGGCTCATTTTATTTGGCATAATGTCATCAAAACTTATATTTACAGTTGTCAGAATATTTCCTGCTTTTTGAAAACTGAGGGATATTCCAGTATTTTGTTTTCTGTTTTTTTGAGGTGAAGTTTCACGCTGTCGCCCAGGCTGGAGTACAGAGTGCAATGGCGCGATCTCGGCTCACTGCAGCCTCCGCCTCCTGGGTTCAAGCAATTCTCCTGCCTCAGCCTCTCAAGTAGCTGAGATTACAGGCATGCGCCACCATGCCCGGCTCATTTTTGTATTTTTAGTGGAGGTGGGGTTTCACCATGTTGGACACGCTGGTCTCGAACTCCTGACCTCATGTGATCCACCCGCCTTGGCCTTCCAAAGTGCTGGGATTACAGGTTTGAGCCACCGCACCCAGCCTATTCCAGTAATTTTATATTTCAAATTAAATCTGCTGGATGGTTTAATGACAGAAATTTGCATTGCTTTCACCCATTGGCTTTCAGTAACAATGCTGCAATAATTATGGGTAAGTAAATGACTCTTTATATGACATGTACATTACGTATGTACTGCATTCTCTTATTAGTCTATGTTTTCAGCTTTATACTTATACCAAGTTGTTTTAATTTTGTAGCTTTGTACTGTGTTTGAAATCAGGAAGTGTAATGCCTCAAACGTTTTTTTTTTTTGAAGATTGTTGGGTACTTTATTGTCTTTTGAGATTCCATATACTTCTGAGGTTGCTGTTTCTATTTCTTCAAAAATGCAATGAGAAGTTTTAAAAACATTGCCTTAAATGTGTAGATTACATTGAGCAGTATGAACATCTTTACAGCATTAATTATACCCTGATTCCATTTTTATCTTAAAGAGTAATTTATAAAATTTTAGTTCTAAAAAATTTGTTAAGACTTCTTTTTTTGTCCTAACAGGTTGTCTATCAAAAAGAATGTCGTATGAGCTATTGAGAAAGGTGTATATCCTGATGTTACTGAGGAGTGTTCTCTATGCCTCTGTTAGAAGTAATTGTTTTATATTGCCTTAAAGTTACCTGTTGCCTTCTAATATTCTTTTTTTTTATTATTATAGAAAGTAGGTATTGAAATATCCTACTATAAAAATTATATTGCACTCTATGTGTTTCATCGATTCTGTCAATATTTGTTTTATATATTTGGAACCTTAATGTGAGATATACACATGCACACACACACACACACACACACCCCACAAATGTATATAGAAATTTTTCAGAGGTTCTCAGTGAGTGAATCTATTATTGTTTAATGTCCTTCTTTGTCTCTTTGGAGTTTTGACTTTAAAGTACATTTTATAAAATATGACAGTTTTAACTTAAGATGTGTTGTGTAATATTACTTAGACCTCTTCTGCTCTCATTTGGTTAAAATTTGCATGGAATGTCTACTTCCATCTTGCCACTTTCAGTCTTTCTTTATCATTAGATCGCAACTGACTCTTGTAGAAAGGCAAGTTGAATCCTGGTTTTTAATTTTTTTAATAAATCCCTTTATTGAAAGTATGTCTTTTAATTAAAAAGTTAACTTTATGTATATTTAATTTTCTGAAACAGACTTACAAATGTTATTTTATTGTTTTAGTTGATTCTTGTTTCTTTGTTCCCAATTTTCTCTCTCTCTTTCTTTGTGTCATTTTTATTTTTGTACTAATATGCTTTCACTTTTTAAAATTTTCTTTTATATCTCTATACAGATTTTTTTGTGGTACCTTGGGGTTTACATAAAATCTCTAAAAGATGCAACAGTATATTTAATTATGGTAAAAAATGAACTTTAGTTGTATACAAAAAATCTTTCTCATTATATCTGCCCTCAACTTTCTTATTGATGTTGCTAATTATATCTTTATGTTGTAAGTACATTAATGAGTGTTTATAATAATTAGTGTTTTTATTTTTCAACTTTTAGAGAATAACTAAAAATGTTTTCTGCACCATTATGATAATGCTAAGGAATTCTAATTTTGGATATGTGCATATCTTTCCCAGAAAGTTATGCATTTTTATGTAATAATATGTTGTTTTCTTACATTATGTTATTTTTAGCATCTTTGATATGTAGGGCATATGCAGTGCCAATACACTTTTTTTTTTTTTTTTTTTTTTTTTTTTTACTAATTTCAGGACTATTACAATATCACATAGTTCCCTTCTCGCTTGCAAAATTTTCATGACAAATTTACTAGTAATCTCATAAGACTATGCTTATAAATGACACATCACTTTTATCTTGCATCTTTGAGGATTTTCTACTTTGTGACTTGAAATTGCACTCATGCATGTGTTTGTTATAAATATCTTTGTGTGTATTCTAGTTTGTTGAGCTTCTTCATTTTTACATCATTTTTTCTTATATTAAAATTTTTTTGTATTTTTCACCTCCACAATTTCTGTTTTTTGATATTTTTAATATTTTTGTTGTTATCCTCATTCTTCTAATTTTCAATTGTTGTCTGTGTTTCTATTTTCCTCACTGAATATTATTCAAGTTTTTCAAACTAATTTGTATATCTTTATTTTTAATGATAGCTTTCTGAAATTTTTATGTTTCTGATGGGGCTATGTTGCCCCAATATTTTTATATGTTGTAATCTTTCATTGAAATTTAGACATTAAAAACAAACCACCTGTAACAATCTTTATAATATAGCTTTGTCTTGGCATATCTGAAACCAATTGTCTTGGATAGAGATTCTGAGAGTTTCTCTAACATGTTCTTAGGATGTGTCTTGTCTGAAATGTTTTAGGTCTTTTTTAGTTAAAGGAGTTTGTTCATGTTTCTTCTTAATAGTCAGTAATCATTTGCTACAACTATTTCCTGCCTATAATATTGCAGTCTCTTTGCTGCTGTAGCATTTACCTTTGATCTCAGCAGACTCAAACTGCCATTCCAATGTATACCATTTATTTCAAGACAGAAACCAGTGTCTGGAAAAGTCCCTAGAAACCAGAAATAAAAATGTTTTTTGCCGCTATTTTTCTTGTCTTTTATAAAAGAAACCAAGAGTTGCCAATTTACTTCTAAAGCCACTGTGTTACATTGGGCAACCGAAATAGCTGTGTTGTAAATGTAACAAACTTTTTTTTTCCTATGTGGCTCTTTGCATTATGCTCACCTGGGGCACTGCACACACTTAACTCATTTATAAATTTTCCACAAATGTATTTTGGTCAGTATGTTTTTGTTACATTTAAATGTCTATGAAGGATTTAGGGCCTATGGTATTTTGCTGTGCCATCTTACTTAATGTAGTTTGTTTAATTTTATATATTACATTTGTAAACTATCTTCATCTAAGTCTAGCAAGTGGAGTAATTTGTCATTTTTGTTTCTTTCAGTTATGTGTTCTCATTTTGCCCAAGACCTTTGGCCGGAGCAGAATATAAAAGATTCTTTCCAAAAAGTGACACTGAAAAGATATGGAAAATGTAGACATGAAAATTTACCATTAAGAAAAGGCTGTGAAAGTATGGATGAGTGTAAGATGCACAAAGGAGGTTGTAATGGACTTAACCAATGTCTCACAGCTACCCAGAGCAAAATATTTCAATGTGATAAATATGTAAAAGTCGCTCATAAATTTTCAAATTCAAACAGACATGAGATAAGACATACTAAAAAGAAACCTTTCAAATGTACAAAATGTGGCAAATCATTTGGCATGATTTCATGCCTAACTGAACATAGCAGAATTCATACTAGAGTAAATTTCTACAAATGTGAAGAATGTGGAAAAGCCTTTAACTGGTCCTCAACCCTTACTAAACATAAGAGAATTCATACGGGAGAGAAACCTTACAAATGTGAAGAATGTGGTAAAGCCTTTAACCAGTCCTCAAACCTTATTAAACATAAGAAAATTCATACTGGAGAGAAACCCTACAAATGTGAAGAATGTGGCAAAACTTTTAACCGATTCTCAACTCTTACTACCCATAAGATAATTCATACTGGAGAGAAACCCTACAAATGTAAAGAATGTGGTAAAGCTTTTAACCGATCTTCAACCCTTACTACCCATAGAAAAATTCATACTGGAGAGAAACCTTACAAATGTGAAGAATGTGGCAAAGCCTTTAAGCAGTCCTCAAACCTTACTACACATAAGATAATTCATACTGGAGAGAAACCCTACAAATGTAAAAAATGTGGAAAAGCCTTTAACCAGTCTGCACACCTTACCACACATGAGGTAATTCATACTGGAGAGAAACCCTACAAATGTGAAAAATGTGGAAAAGCCTTTAATCATTTCTCACACCTTACTACACATAAGATAATTCATACTGGAGAGAAACCTTACAAATGTAAAGAATGTGGTAAAGCTTTTAAACACTCTTCAACCCTTACTAAACATAAGATAATTCATACTGGAGAGAAGCCTTACAAATGTAAAGAATGTGAAAAAGCTTTTAACCAATCCTCAAAACTTACTGAACATAAGAAAATTCATACTGGAGAGAAACCCTATGAATGTGAAAAATGTGGCAAAGCTTTTAACCAGTCCTCAAATCTTACTAGACATAAGAAAAGTCATACAGAAGAGAAACCTTACAAATGTGAAGAATGTGGCAAAGGTTTTAAATGGCCCTCAACCCTTACTATCCATAAGATAATTCATACTGGAGAGAAACCATACAAATGTGAAGAATGTGGCAAAGCTTTTAACCAATCCTCAAAACTTACCAAACATAAGAAAATTCATACTGGAGAGAAACCCTACACATGTGAAGAATGTGGCAAAGCCTTTAACCAGTCCTCAAACCTTACTAAACATAAGAGAATTCATACTGGAGAAAAACCTTACAAATGTGAAGAATGTGACAAAGCTTTTAAATGGTCCTCAGTCCTTACTAAACATAAGATAATTCATACCGGAGAAAAATTACAAATATGAAAATTATGGCAAAGCTTTAATCAATTTACAAGTCTTACTAAACATAAGAAAATTTATACTGGAGAGAAACTACTAACCTGAAAGATGTGACAATAATTTTGACAACACCTCAGACTTATAAAAGTAATCATACTGGTGAGAAATTCTAAAAATGTGAAGACTATGGCAAAGTCTTTAAATGGTTGTCACACTTTAGGTAAGATAATTCATATTGGAACAAACTACAAGTGCAAACAATGTGGCAAAACTTAATTTATGCTCACACCTTACTGCACAGAAAAGAATTTTTAGTTGAGAAAAAGTATACAAATATAAAGAATGTGGAAAAGCCGTTAATATCTGCTCACATCTTACTCAGCATCAGAAAGTACTTAATAAAAGCATTATAAATGGAATTACTGTCAAAAGCATTCAGAAAATATAAGCCTTTAATGTGAAAAAGAGTAACCATTTTGAAGACAAACATTGCAAATTTAAAGAGGGTTGTAGTACCTTTAATTGTATCACAAATCTTATTGTACAGATTTTGTACTAGAGGAAACCCCTGAAGCAGTTGCTTAAATTTTGTTTAAAATCAGATTTTTTTTTTTTTCTTTTTGAGACGGAGTTTCGCTCTTGTTACCGAGGCTGGAGTGCAATGGCGCATTCTCGGCTCGCCACAACCTCTGCCTCCCGGGTTCAACCGATTTTCTTGCTTCAGCCTCCTGAGTAACTGGGATTACAGGCATGTGCCACCACGCCTGGATAATTTTGTATTTTTGGAAGAGACAGGGTTTCTCCATGTTGTTCAGGCTGGTCTCAAACTCCTGACCTCAGGTGATCCACCTGCCTCAGCCTGCCAAAGTGCTGGGATTAGAGGCATGAGCCACCACACCTGGCCAACATCAGAGGATTTATATTTGAGAAAAACCCTGCAAATGTAACAAATTTTGAAAAACTTTTTCAAAAACTACAGCTTAAAAAGCAGCAGAGGATTCATACTAAAATATATTTTTGCAGATGCAGTAGATATAAAAATATATTTAATCCAAAGTTAAGTTTATGTAAATATCAGAGGATTCACAGTAGAAATATCTAAGGTGCTGGCACTTCAGACACCACACTAAATCAGAGTGCTGAGTATAGAAAATAATCCAAAACTAAATTTGGTGGATTAATTATTTGTATATAACTTTAAAAGAAGTAGAACTTTTTTTGCAGAGTTTTAATTACATTCAAAGTATACTTTTTTCCTTAAAAAAGTTAGGTTTTTTTGAAAAGAAAATAATCATGTCATTCAACTTTCAAATTACTTCATGCTCTTTCTTCTTCATTGCTATTATATTCACATGTGAAAGCATGTGATCAGTGGTTGCTACATCAAAGATAGGAGATTTTTTTTTCTTAGGTCATTATTTATGACCTTTTCTATTAAAGAATAAGAACATTAGGCTGGGCGCAGGGCTCATACGTATAATCCCAGCACTTTGGGAAGCTGAGACAGGCAGATCATGAGGTCAGGAGTTTGAGACCAGCCTGGCCAATATGGTGAAACCCCATCTATTAAAAACTACAAAAATTAGCTGTCCACTGTGGCACGCACCTGTAACCCCAGCTACTCGGGAAGCTGAGGCAGGAGAATCACTTGAACCCAAAAGGCAGAGGTTGCAGTGAGCCGAGGTCGCACCACTCCACACTAGCCTGGGCAACAGAGCAGGACTCTATCTCAAAAAAAAAAAAGTATACTATTCTTTTTTTTTCTTTATTTATTTTATTTTTTATTTTTTTATTGATCATTCTTGGGTGTTTCTCGCAGAGGGGGATTTGGCAGGGTCATAGGACAATAGTGGAGGGAAGGTCAGCAGATAAACAAGTGAACAAAGGTCTCTGGTTTTCCTAGGCAGAGGACCCTGCGGCCTTCCGCAGTGTTTGTGTCCCTGGGTACTTGAGATTAGGGAGTGGTGATGACTCTTAACGAGCATGCTGCCTTCAAGCATCTGTTTAACAAAGCACATCTTGCACCGCCCTTAATCCATTTAACCCTGAGTGGACACAGCACATGTTTCAGAGAGCACAGGGTTGGGGGTAAGGTCATAGATCAACAGCATCCCAAGGCAGAAGAATTTTTCTTAGTACAGAACAAAATGAAGTCTCCCATGTCTACTTCTTTCTACATAGACACAGCAACAATCTGATTTCTCTATCTTTTCCCCACCTTTCCCCCTTTTCTATTCGACAAAACCGCCATCGTCATCATGGCCCGTTCTCAATGAGCTGTTGCGTACACCTCCCAGACAGGGTGGCGGCCGGGCAGAGGGGCTCCTCACTTCCCAGAAGGGGCGGCTGGGCAGAGGCGCCCCCCCACCCAACTTCCTGGACGGGGCGGCGGCCAGGCGGAGGCGGGCCCCCCACCTCCCTCCCGGACGGGGCGGCTGCCGGGCGGAGACACTCCTCACTTCCCAGACGGGGTGGCTGCCGGGCGGAGGGGCTCCTCACTTCTCAGACGGGGCGGCCGGGCAGAGACGCTCCTCACCTCCCAGACGGGGCCGCGGCCGGGCAGAGGCACTCCCTGCATCTCCGACGATGGGCGGCCGGGCAGAGACGCTCCTCACTTCCTAGACGGGATGGCGGCTGGGAAGAGGCGCTCCTCACTTCCCAGACTGGGCAGCTGAGCAGAGGGGCTCCTTACATCCCAGACGATGGGCGGCCAGGCAGAGCCGCGCCTCACTTCCCAGACGGGGTGGCAGCCAGGCAGAGGCTGCAATCTCGGCACTTTGGGAGGCCAAGGCAGGCGGCTGGGAGGTGGAGGTTGTAGCGAGCCGAGATCACGCCACTGCACTCCAGCCTGGGCAACATTGAGCACTGAGTGAACGAGACTCCGTCTGCAATCCTGGCACCTTGGGAGGCCGAGGCTGGCGGATCACTCGCGGTTAGGAGCTGGAGACCAGCCCAGCCAACACAGCGAAACCCCGTCTCCACCAAAAAAATACGAAAACCAGTCAGGCGTGGCAGCGCACGCCTTCAGTCGCAGGCACTCGGCAGGCTGAGGCAGGAGAATCAGGCAAGGAGGTTGCAGTGAGCCGAGATGGCAGCAGTACAGTCCAGCTTCGGCTCGGCATCAGAGGGAGACCGTGGAAAGAGAGGGAGAGGGAGACCGTGGGGAGAGGGAGAGGGAGAGGGAGAAGGAGAAGTACACTATTACGTATGCTCCAGCCTGGGTGACAGGGCGAGACTCCATCTCAAAAACAAAAAAGGAGCGCACCAGCATGGCACATGTATACATATGTAACTAACCTGCACAATGTGCACATGTACCCTAAAACTTAAAGTATAATAAAAAAAAAGAAAAAAATAACCATTGTACCACCAAAAAAAAAAAAAAGAATAAGAACATTAAAACGTAAGATGCATGATGAAAATCTAAGTGGTGGGGCTCTTTGTGGTTAACATAATATTGAGTGATATATGAGGTGGTTGTTTAGAGTAATATTCTTCTGCATTATAGTAAATGAAAAACATTTTTAATATTAGTTAAAATTAGTAATATATTATTTTACTAATTATATTTCTATGTAATAAAATGCAGTACGTTTTTAAATTTTCAGACTACATGTAAACTTAGTTTTATAATTAAACTTTTTTAAACATATTATGATCATTGTGCATTCAACGATGCGTTGTGATGCCACTAAGTTTAACCTATCTACCGTACTCAAGAATGTAGTTAAAAGATGGTTACAGTGTGCAGGTTGGTAACATAATGAACTAACATCTCTTTTGCCAGTGGCTTTAAACTGCAAATAGGTTAAAGAATATTGTTCTTGTAGGTTAAATTTTTATTCTTTTTTTCTTATATGAACTTATTTTTAAAAATTTTTGTGAGTACATAGTATGTGTATATATTTATACCATATATAGAATATTTTGATACAGGCATATAATATGTAACAATCACATCAGGGTAAGTGAAGTATCCATCACCTCCAGCATTACCCTTTGTATTACAAACCTATTCTACACATTTAGTTCTTTTGAAATGTGCAATTGTTATTGGTTACAGTAACCAATTTGCATGGAATGTCTATTTCCATCTGGCCACTTTGGCAAGTGGCAAGATTTTGGTCATGATTTTGTTTTATGGTCATAATAAGAATTGTATAGAAGTATTAATAAAATCCATACATTTCTGAATTCTGAATAAACATTTAAAAATTTGTTAATATTTTTCTTTAAACATGTGGTCTTACTGCCTGCAAACACATACAGACTCTTAATTTTTATTTACATAGATGTAAATATACACATATATTACTCTAAAGATAAACCTTAAGGGTAAGAAAATTATAAAGTATGTGTGTTTTTGTGAATATGAATTTGTACCTATATTCAGAAGAAAAGAGCAATATTGGCACAAAACAAATCATCTTAATAAGGTAACTAATTGGCTGTGTGCAGTGGCTCACGCCTGTAATCGCATCACTTTGGGAGGCTGAGGCGGGTGGATCACCTGAGGTCAGGAGTTCGAGACCAGCCTGACCAATATGGTGAAACCCCATCTCTACTAAAAATACAAAAATTACCTGGGTGTGGTGGTGTGCACCTCTAGTCCCAGTTACTCAGGAGACTGAGACAAGAGAATTGCTTGAACCCAGGATTTGGAGGTTGCAGTGAACTGAGATTATGCCACTGCACTCCAGCCTGGGTGAAAGAGTAAGACTCATCTCAAAAAAATAATAAGGTAACTAGTTTACTAGAAAACTGAATACCTCAAAAATGCTGAAAACAAATGTATACTGTCTGCTTTGTGTTAAATTTATTACTGTAATATCTTATGGTTTATAGTTCAGAATCTTCCCATGCAAATATTTTGTTTTGACTTGCCTGATACTCATGCTGGACCTATAATTTTCTTTTTTTTATAATTTTTTTTATAGTTTCTGAGGCATTATGTGAGCTTGTCAGGGATTATAATGCTTTTATAAAATTTAGTAGTGCACACAAAATAATATTTATATGTAATTCCAAAATTAGTCTATCAAGTTATATTTTATTTTCTTAGAACATTTCATTTGTTCTTTTAATTGGAGAACTCTTTAAACCTGCTTTAGTTGTTGTTCTTTTCACTTTTTATAATTGAAATAACTATATTTATTTATTGAGCCAATTTTTTTTTCAGGTAAATACTAAGGATGCTTTATAAGTCATGAGGATGTTTTTATATATAAATATAGCAAACAAACATGAGAGTGCTTGCTGTGTAACAAATGCTGCATAACAAGCTATAAATATTCCTGCTGAAGTTAGTTTGTAACTTCAAGTCAGAGATGGAAAATATCAATGGTGAAAAAATAATATTGATTTTTCATGTTAAAAAGACACTTTTTCCAGGCTACAAAACTAACTCTTGCTGAATTTGAAGAGAAATTCTTCTTCCTTTATTTTCTAAGTATCTTTTGTTTTATTATGTGTATTCCAGCTATGTATGCATCACAGCCCTTCTCCTTCTTTTTCAGTATTATATCTATGGTTTTCTCATTGTTGTCTTTATGCCATGTCATTTTACATGGTACTTTGTAGGTTTTGATGAGAAAGTTGGTATTTTTTTAATGTACTAAAAAATTAGTTTTAACTGGAGAGTTTGTCAATACAACTTTCAGATCAGTTAATTAAGATAAAAGGCATTCAGTATCCACAGGTGAGAGGAATAAGTCAGTTAGTTTTCTTTTTTTCTGCTTGTAAAAGAAAAAAAATCTTACACAAAGTGTGGCAAATATTTGCTAAAAAATATATCTCAGAAATTAAATTTTTAAGAAAGCTAATGGTGAGTGAAATTTTTTAAATTTAATTTTCTATGATATAGCACAACTTAACGTTTCCGTGCAGAATCTTCTATTTTTAAGTGTGAATGTTAAAGTTTGTAAAATAATAAAATGACCTCTGTGGATTTAAAATTTGGAATAATATTTCTTTTTTATATTGATATTACAATTTGAAAAAATCTCTCAGTCTTATATAATTTTTTTAGTGGGTGAAGTTCAGTCTAGAGTTTCTATTCTTTGTCACATAACTGTAGCCAACTTATTGATCATTTTCTCTGTAAAACTTGGAGATCATGACAGCTTTTGGATTGAAACATATCCTATTAGTTTGCTCACAAACTTGTTTACTGTGTTCGAAGAGTGGCCAGTCATGAGACCAAAGCAACAACTGCCCTTTTAGTGTCTTTTATGCAGTTATTATCTGTAATAAATAAATATTTATTCTGTAAAACATGAATTTTGAAGTGTGTATACATTGTCAAATGTTTAATTCTAGGTAATTAATGCTTTACCTCACATAGTTAACATTTTTTGTGGTGAGAGCACGTGACATAGTCTTAGCACTTTTCAAAAATACAAATACATTATTAGGAACTATAGCCACCATGCTGTAGAAAAAATCTTTTGAAATTATTTCTCCTATTCAAGTATAATTATGTATTTTTTGACTGACGTCTTTCCAAACCCCCCTTCTAAATACCTTGGTATCTGGTGGTCACCATTTTACTTTCTACTTCCATGAGATTACGTTTTTTGAGGATCCGTGTGTAAGTAAAATTATGAAATAATCTTTCTAGGCCGGGTGCGGTGGCTTACATCTCTAATGCCAGCTCTTTGGGAGGCCGAGGCGGGCAGATCACAAAGTCAGGAGTTTGAGACCAGCCTGGCCACTGTGATGAAACCCCATCTACTAAAAATACAAAAAGTAGCTGGGCATGGTGGCGGGTGCCTGTAGTCCCAGCTGAGGCAGGAGAATCGCTTAAACCTGGGAGGCAGAGGTTGCAATAAGCTGAGATTGCACCACTGCACTCCAGCCTGGGCAACAGAGCAAGACTCTGTTGCAAAAATAATAATAATCTTGATGTGCCTGGCTTATTTCAGGTAATGTAATCCATCTGACTGAAAATAATAGAATTTTCTTTTTTGAAGGTGAGTAGTATTCCATTGTTTAAATATATCATACTTTTTTTTTTTTCTTTTTGAGTCAGAGTGTTTCTCTGTAGCCCAGGCTGGAGAGCAGGGGTGCAATCTCGGCTCACTGCAACCTCCCGCTAACTAACTTTTATATTTTTAGTAGAGATGAGTTTTCACCATATTGGCCAAGCTGGTCTTGAACTCCTGACCTCAAGTGATCCACCCGCCTCGGCCTCCCAAAGTGCTGAGATTACAGGCATGAGCCACTGTCCCCAGCCTACTATATTGTCTTTATTTACTCATTTGATGTTAAACTGTTGATTCTATATTTTGACAATTGTAAAGAGTGTTGCAAACAACATAGAAGTGCAAATTTTTTTTATTCTGATTGTTTTGGATATATATCCAATATTACAATTGCTGTATTATATGATAGTTTTAAATTTTTTGAGACTTCTCTATTTTTTATTTATTTATTTTTGTTTGTTTGTTTGTTTTGAGATGGAGTTTCACTCTTGTTGCCAGGCTGGAGTGCAATGGCATGATCTCGGCTTACCGCAACCTCTGCCTCCCAGGTTCAATCAATTCTCCTCCCTTAGCCTCCCGAGTAGCTGGGATTACAGGCATGCACTACCACGCTTGGCTAATTTTGTATTTTTAGTAGAGACAGGGTTTCTCCATGTTGGTCAGGCTGGTCTCGAGCTCCAGACCTCAGGTGATCCACTTGCCTCGGCCTCCCAAAGTGCTGGGATTACAGGCATGAGGCACCGTGCTCGGCCTATTTTATTTTTATAAAGGCTGTTCTCATTTACACTCAAACCAACAATATGCAAACATTCTTTTTCCTTTTTCTTTTTCTTTTTTTTTCAAGACGGAGTCTCGCTCTGTTGCCCAGGCTGGAGTGCAGTGGCAATCTCGGCTCACTGCAAGTTCCGCCTCCCAGGTTCACGCCATTCTCCTGCCTCAGCCTCCCGAGTAGCTGGGACTACAGGCACCCGCCACCACGCCTGGCTAATTTTTTGTATTTTTAGTAGAGATGGAATTTCACTATGTTAGCCAGGATGGTCTGGATCTCCTGACCACGTGATCCACCCACCTCAGCCTCCCAAAGTGCTGACATTACAGGCGTGAGCCACTACAGCCGGCCCCCAAGCATTCCTTTGTCTTCACACCTTTACTAATTTTTTTCTTTTTAATAAGAGTTATTCTAACAAGTGAGTTGATATCATAGTTTTTTCTCTTTTTTTTTTGCTTTTCCTGGTAATAATTGATACTGATTATTTTTTATATCTCTTGCCTATATGTCTTTTTTGAAAAATAAGTCTTTAATTCATTTTTAATATTATTTTTTATTCTATAATTGAGTTTCTTATATATTTTGATATTAAACCCTTGTCACATGTATAATTTGTACATATTTTCTCCCATTTTTTAGTTTTCTCATCCTGTTGATTGTATCAGATTCTGTGCAGCAACTTTTTAATTTGAAGTAATCTGACTCCTCTAATTTTTCTTTGGTTCCCTGGGATTCTGAGATTAAATTTTAGAAAGTCACTGCCCAGACCAATGTTATGGGGCTTTCACTGTATATTTTTTGTAGTAGTTTCATAGTTTCAAGCCTTACATTTAAATATCTAATTTACTTTAAGTTGATTTTTATATATGGTGTGAAATGAGGGTCTCATTTTATTGCTCTGCATGTGGCTATACAGTTTTCTCAACATCATTTATTGAAGACATTGTCATTTCCCTAAAAGATTGTCACCTGTTAATATAATCAGCTGTAAGTAAATGAATACATTTCTCATTTCTCTCTTCTGCTCCACTGGCCTATGTGTCTTTTTTTATTGCAGTACCATACTGTTTTGGTTACTATAGCTTTGTAGCATATTTCAAAGCCAGGTAGGGTAATACATTCAGCCTTTTTTGTTTTGTTTGATCGCTTTTGCTACTCAGGGTCTTCTGCAGCACCATATAAATTTTAGATAGATATTTTTAAATTCCTATGATGTTTGTCACTGGTATTTTGATAGAAGTTGCATTATATTTGTATATCATTTTGTATAATGTAGGTATTTAACAATATTAATGCCAATTCATAAATATTTTCATTTGTGTATTATTTATTACTTTAATATTCTTTAGATTATAATGTAAGGTGTTTCAACTTTTTGGTTACATTTATCTCAAAGTGTAGTTACTACAGTTATTGTAGATAGGATTGTTTTTTAATTTTATTTTGAGATAGTTAATTGTTTACAAAAATGCCACTGACTTTTGCATGTGGATTTTTTATTCTGTAAATTTAATGAATTTATTAGTTTCTAGTAGTTCTTAGTAAAGTCTTAGGCTTTCCTATACTTAAGATTATGTCTTCTACAAATAGTAATAATTCAACTTTTTTTTCCAATCTGGATGCCTTTGATTTTATTCTCTAATTTCTCTGTCTTGGACATTTCGTACTATGTTTAGCAAGACTGAAGAAAGTGGGCATCCTTGTCTTGTTCTAACTTTCAGAGTAAAAGCTTACAACTTTTCCCTGTTTAGTATGCTGTTTCCTGTGCACTTTTTGTTATATGTGGCATTTATTGGCTTCAGGTGCATTTTTCCTATACTTAATTTTTTCAGAGATTTATCATTAGGGAATGTGTTAAACTTTTGTTCTGCATCTATTTAAATGTTGAGTTGTGAAATCACAGCTAACTCCACATAAATACAAAACATCCTCAGAGACTACTATGAACATCTCCATGCATGCGAAGTAAAAAATTTACAGGAAATAGATAAACTGGATACACACAACCTCTCAAGATTGAACCAGAAAGAAGCAAACATCTTGAACACAGCAAAAATTAATAAAATGTATAATGAAATTATAAATTTAGCAATAGAAATTATACATTATATTATAGAATAGTAATAGAAATCATACATTAGTAATAGAAATATATACATTGGTAATAGAAAACCCGCGAACCATGAATAGCCCTAGATCAGATGAATTCACAACTAAATTCTACCACATATACAAAGATGAACCAGTACTAATCCTCTGAATGTACTCCAAAAATCAAGGTGGGATTTCTTCCTAACTATATAAAACCAGTATCACCTTGATATCAAAATCTAGTGAAGACACAACAACAACAAAAACTATAGGCCAATATTTTGGGTGATCATTAAAACAAAAGTTCTCCATAAAATACTAGCAAGCTGAGTTCATAATCAAATCAAAACGTTATTTTACCACAATCCTGGGAGATTTACTTCATGAATGCAAGGATGTTTCATCATATATAAGTCAATAAATGTGATTCATCAGGTAAAGATGATTAAAAGCTAACATGATTATCACAATAGATACAGAAAAGGCATTCAAAAAATCCAATACCTATAAAAATATTCTCAACAAACTAGGTATTAAAGAAACATCTCAAAATAGTAAAGCCATCTGTGACAAATCTGCAGCTGAAATCATGCTGAACAGGCAAAAGCTGGATGAACTCTCCATATGAATAAAAATAAGACAAGAATATCCACTCTTAACACTCGTATTCAACATAGTTCTGGAAGTCCTAGCTAGAGCAATTAAACAAGATAAAGAAATAAAAGAGATCTAAATAAGAAAAGAGAAAGTCAAATTATTCTCACAGATGATATAATTCTCTACCTGGGAAACTTTGGAGATGCCACAAAAAGACCCCTAAGCCTAAAAAATGACTTAAGCAAAGTCTCAGGATACAAAATTAACATACACAAATGAGTAGCATTTCTGTACATGAATAACATTCAAGCTGAGAACAAAATAAAAAACACAGTTCTGGTCGTCAGCAAAGCCTGAGTCCTGTCCTCTTGCTCTCCTCCCTGGACAGCATAAGCTTCACCACTCGCTCAACCTTCACCAATTACCAGTCCCTGGGCTCTGTCCAGGTGCCTGGCCAGTCAGCAGCACAGCCATCATCTATGCAGGCATGGGGGGTTCTGGTTCCAGGATCTCCGTGTCCTGCTTCACCAGCTTCAAGGCCCATGGGGTTCAGGGGCCTGGCTGCGGGGATAGCCAGGGGTCTGACAGGAATGGGAGGCATCCAGAACGAGAAGACCATGCAGACCCTGAACTACTGCCTGGCCTCCTACCTGGACAGAGTGAGGAGCCTGAGGACCAAGAACCGGAAGGTGGAGAGCAAAATCTGGGAGCACCTGGAGAAGATGGGACCTCAGGTCAGAGACAAGCCATTACTTCAAGACCATCAAGGACCTGAGGGCTCAGATCTTCACAAATACTGTGGACAATGCCCACATCGTTCTGCAGATCGACAGTGTCCGTTGTGGGGAAAAGAAAGAGAGATCAGATTGTTACTGTGTCTATGTAGAAAAGCAAGATAGAAGAAACTCCATTTTGATCTGTACTAAGAAAAATTGCTTCTGCTTTGAGATGCTGTTAACCTGTAACTTTAGCCCCAACCCTGTGCTCACAGAAACGTGCGTAATGAATCAAAGTTTAATGGATTTAGGGCTGTGCAGGATGTGCCTTGTTAACAATATGTTTGCAGGCAGTATGCTTGGTAAAAGTCATTGCCATTTTCCATTCTAAATTAACCAGGGACACAATGCACTGTGGAAAGCTGCAGGGACCTCTGCCCAAGAAAGCCTGGGTATTGTCCAAGGTTTCCCCCCACTGAGACAGCCTGAGATATGGCCTCATGGGAAAGGAAAGACCTCACCATCCCCCAGCCTGACACCCATAAAGGGTCTGTGCTGAGGATTAGTGAAAGAGGAAGGCCTCTTTGCAGTTGAGATTAGAAGAAGTCTTCTGTCTCCTGCTCATCCCTGGGAATAGAATGTCTCAGTGTAAAGCTGGCCATTCCCATTCATTCTCTTCTGAGATAGGAGACAACCGCCCTGTGGCTAGAGGCAAGATATGCTGGCAGCAGTACTGCTCTGTTGCTGTTTGCTATACTGAGATGTTTGGGTAAAGAGAAACATAAATCTAGCCTACGTGCACATCTGGACACAGTACCTTTCCTTGAACTTATTCATAATACAGATTCCTTTGCTCACATGTTTCCCTGCTGACCTTCTCCCCACCTGTTGCCCTGTTACACTCTCCTCGCTAAGATAGTAAAAATAATGATCAATAAATACTGAGGGAACTCAGAGGCTGGCGCCAGTGTGGGTCCTCTGTATGCTAAGCACTGGTCCCCTGGGCCCACTGTTCTTTCTCTGTACTTTGTCTCTGTGTCTTATTTCTTTTCTCAGTCTCTCATCCCACCTGACAAGAAATACCCACAGGTGTGGAGGGGCTGGCCCCCTTCAGTCCATCTTGCTGCTGATGACTTTAGACCCAAGTGTGAGACAGAGCTGGCCATGTGCCAGTCTGTGGAGAGCAACATCCATGGCTTTGCAAAGTCATTGATGACACCAATGTCACTCGGCTGCGGTTGGAGACAGAGATCAAGGTTCTCAGGGAGGAGCTGCTCTTTATGAAGAAGAACCACAAAGAGGAAGTAAAAGGACTACAAGCCAAGGTCGACAGCTCTGGGTTGACCAGGGAGGTAGTTGCCCCCAAAGCTCAGGACCTTGCCAAGATCATGGCAGACATCCAGGCCCAATACGACGAGGTAGCTCAGAAGAACCGAGAGGAGCTGGACAAGTACCAGTCTCAGCAGATTGAGGAGAGTATATAGTGGTCACCACGCAGTCCACCAAGGTTGTAGCTGCTGAGATGATGCTCACAGAGCTTAGATGTACAGTCCAGTCCTTGAAGATCGACCTGGACTCAATGAGAAATCTGAAGGCCAGCTTGGAGAACAGCCTGAGGGAGGTGGAGGCATGTTAAGCCCTGCAGATGGAGCAGATCAACAGGATCCTGCTGCACCTGGAGTCAGAGCTGGTACAGACCCTGGCAGAGGGGCAGTACCAGGCCCAGGAGTACAAGGCCCCGCTGAACATCAAAGTCAAGCAGGAGGCTGAGATCGCCACCTACCACCGCCTGCTGGAAGATGGCGAGGACTTCAATCTTGGTGATGTCCTGGACAGCAGCAACTCCAAGCAAACCATCCAAAAGACCACAACCCGCCAGATGGTGGATGGCAAAATGGTGTCTGAGACCAACAACACCAAAGTTCTCAGACATTAAGCCAGCAGAAGCAGGGTACCCTTTGGGGAGCAGGAGGCCAATAAAAAGTTCAGAGGTAAAAAATAAAAGAACAGAATTCTATTTACAATAGCCAAAAACAAAAAATAACATACTTAGGAATACATTAAACGAAGGAGGTAAAATATCGCTACAAAGAAAACACACTGCTGAAAGAAATCAGACAAAACACAAATAAATGGAGAAGCATTTCATGCTTATGAATTTGAAGATTTAATATAATTAAAATGTCCATGCCACTTAAAGCAACCTGCAGATTTTTATTCCTATCAAACTATCAGTGCCATTTTTATAGAAATAGGGAAAAAAGCTATTCTAAAATTTATATGGAAGAATAAAAAAAGCCAAAATAGCCAAGGCAACATTAAACAAACAAACAAAATAAAACCTGGAGGCCTCGAATTACCTGACTTCAAACTGTGCTACAAGCTACAGTAATCGGTATAACATGGTCGTGGTACAAAAATATACATACAGACTATATTGGTACATTTTTATGCTGCTAATAAAGACACACCTGAGACTGGGTAATTTATAAAAGAAAGGTTTAATTGACTCACAGTTCCATATGACTGGGGAGGCCTCACATTCATGATGGAAGCCAAAGGGAAAGCAAGACATGGCAGCAGGCAAGAGCAAGCATGTGCAGAAGAACTCCCTTTTATAAAACCATCAGATCTTAAAAGACTTATTCACGACCCAGAGAACAGCATGGGAAAAACCCACCCCCATGATTTAATCACCTCCCACCCAGACCCTCCAATGACATGTGGGGATTATTACAATTCAAGGTGAGATTTGGGTGGGGACACAGAGCCAAACCATGTGGAACAGAAGAGAGAGCCCTGAAATAAAGCTACACTCCTACAACCTACTTTTGACAAAGTCAACAGAAATAAAAAGAAAATAACTCCCTATCTAATAAATGATACTGGGAAAACTCGTTAGTCATATGCAGAAGAAGAAAAAAAACTCTTCCTCCCACCATATAAACAATATATCTCAATATAGTTTAAAGACTTAACTGTGAGACTTCAAGCTATTAAAACTCTAGAAGAACATGCAGAAAGTACTCTTCTAGACACAGGGCTCTAGAAAAAAAATTATAACTAACACCTTAGAAGTTAATGCAACAAAAATAAAAACATGTTGAGGTTGTGGAGAAAAGGGAATCTATATACACTGTTGGTGGAAATGCAAATTAATTCAGCCCCTGTAGAACACAGTTTGAAGATTTCTCAAATAGCTAAAAATAGAATAGCTATTTGGCCCATTAATCGAATTACTGGGTATATACCCAAAGAAAAAATTATTTTACCAAAAAGACACTGGCACTCACATGTTTACTGCAGCACTATTCACCATAAAAAAAGACAGAATTAAAGTAGGTACCCATGAATCTTAGATTCATGTTCTTTGTTAATTTGCTTAGAATAAAGGCCTTCTGCCAGCTTGGAGGACAGCCTGAGGGAGGTGGAAGCCCACTATGCCCTGCAGATGGAGCACCTCAATGGGATCCTGCTGCACCTGTAGTCAGAGTTGGCACAGGTCCAGGCCCAGGAGTACAAGGCCCTGCTCAACATCAAAGTCAAGCAGGCCCAGGAGTACAAGGCCCCGCTGAACATCAAAGTCAAGCAGGAGGCTGAGATCACCACCTACCGCCGCCTGCTGGAAGATGGCAAGGACTTCAATCTAGGTGATGCCCTGGACAGCAGCAACTCCATGCAAACCATCAAAAAGACCACCACCCGCCAGAGAATGGATGGCAAAGTGCTGTCTGAGACCAATGACACCAAATTGAGACATTAAGCCAGCAGAAGCAGGGTACTCTTTGGGGAGCAAGAGGCCAATAAAAACTTCAAAGGTCAAAAAAAAAAAAAAAAGAATAAAGGCCTTCTGCTGCATCCATGTTGCTGCAAAGAACATCTTTTTCTGTGGTTTCTTAGTATTGCACGGTATATACGTATTTCAGATACTACATGTTCTCACTTATAATTGGGTGCTAAACATTGGGTGAACATGGAAACAATAAATGCTGGGAGTTCTTAAAAAAACTGCCAAGACCAGCATTGAAAAACTACTTATCAGGTATGAGGTACACTACTTGGACAATGGAATTATTAAGTGCCCAAACTTCGACATCAGGCAGTATACTTATGTTACAAATCTGCCCATGTACCCTCATGAATCTAAAATAAAAATAATAAAATGCTTTGTGGTATAATGGCATGTTATATTTCTCCAGTTCTGGGTTAATAGTTGAAATTAGGAGTGAAAGACACAGAATTATGTCCGTTTTGGGTACAGAGGTGAATGTTTTTATACCTGGTCGCCCCACGTTTTATGACCTAACGTCTCTGAAAACCCTTGGTTTATAGCCCAAAAAGTGTCTTATCCCCAAGTATGCAGCTAAAATAAATGGCCACATCTTTATATTGTATTTATTAACTGTACACTAGATTATAATTTGTCACTCTACTCTTTTTGGGGAAAAAATGGTTTAATCACATTTCTCTTTTAGAATAAACCATTTTTGAAAATGTGAGGCTGTGAAAATCATGTTAAATTCCTGAATTAGGAAAATAATTTTTTTTCTTTTTTGTGGAGTCTAGCTCTGTCACCCAGGCTTGAGTCCAGTGGCGTGAACTCAGCTCACTGCAACCTCTGCCTCCCAGGTTCGAGCAATTCTTCTGCCTCAGCCCTCTGAGTAGCTGGGATTACAGGCACCTGCCACCATGCTCAGTTAATTTTTGTATTTTTAGTAGGGATGGGGTTTTGCCATGTTGGCCAGGCTGGTCTCAAACTCCTGACCTCAGGTGATCTGTCTGCCTTGGACTCCCAAAGTTCTGGAATTACAGGTGTGAGCCACTCCACCTGGCAAGAAAACATTTATTTTTAAGCATAAAAGTCTTATGGTCATAGACCAAAAATGACAAAGTACACGGTATGGGTTATTTATGACCACACTGCTGCAACCACTCTATCACAACCATTCTGGTGAAATAATAATAATAATAATAATGGATTAGAAGGTACTTTTAGAATATCTTTCTGATTCTATTGCAATGTTAAATTCTTGTCTTTATTATTTGTCATATAGAAGTCTGTACTTCAACAAAAGATGCCAAGAATTTCAAGTTAATATCCTCACACATATATTCTCACTAGAAGGGCACTGGTGTGTTTGCAATCAGGGTGGAGCATTTCTGGCTTTGCTTGTGCTACTTTGATTGTCTAAAATAGAAAGACAGGAAGTAAAGTGGAGTCAGCCATGACATATTGAGCTTCTACAGCAACAACATCTGAATTCTTGTGTTACGTCAACTAGAAGTAATGACAGTATTTTATTTTATTTTGTTTTATTTATTTATTTATTTAGAGACAGAGTTTCACTCTTGTTGCACAGGCTGGAGTGCAATGGTGCGATCTTGGCTCACCACAACCTCCACTTCCCAGGTTCAAGTGATTCTCCTGCCTCAGCCTCCTGAGTAGCTGAGATTACAGGCATGCACCACCACACCCGGCTAATTTTGTATTTTTAGTAGAGATGGGGTTTCTCCATGTTGGTCAGGCTGGTCTCAAACTCCCGACCTCAGGTTACCTGCCCACCTCGGCCTCCCAAAGTGTTGGGATTACAGGCACAAGCCACCACATCCGGCCTGTTATTTTACTATATTTATTTTTAAAATTGTAATTCATTTATCCTGAATATATCACTGGGCCCAGAACCTAGGTGATGTGACTCTCCTGCATTATCTCTGCCCATAAGTGGGATTATTAAATATACCTGGGCCTACATAGGTATACAGATGCTACAATGACTCATATACCTGGACACAGCCAAGAGAAGAGATTTTGACTCTCATAGGTTGGCTTACAACAATGGATAAGGTCCTGGGTCTCCTACTTGTACCAAAGTCAAAGAGAATAACAACATTCACACATATCATATAAATTCCTCAAGTGGCACCAAAAGTGTCAACAGGGCCAACCATGCTGAAGAGACTGTGACTCTCCTATGCACACCCAGCTGACTGTAAGGACTGTCACCCTTCCAGATGGACACAGACCACTGTGGAGGTTTTGAATGTCACACCAAGAGTGAGTCAAAGGTTGGAATTGTGACTCTCACACATGGATGTGGTCCACAGGTGGAATAATGACTCTTGGACCTCAGGTGGAATTGGGGCTCTCATGCAGGGATTCAGTCCAGCATTCAGACTGCTTTGCATTCTTGGACCCAACCCACAGGAGATACTGGCTCTCATACATAACCCGGGATATGTGCAGGATTGTAAATGTCATCCCTGGACCTTTCTGCGGGTGTAATTGTGACAGATATTTTTGCCTAGAATCTGAATGATTTGACTCTCCTGCCTGGGCCAAGCCCACAAATGTGATTGTGACATATACTCAGGCCAAGCACCTAGGTTATGTGACTCTCCTGCCTGAGCCCTGCCCTCAAGGGAATTGTGACATATCATTGAACCCAGCACCTAGGTGATGTGGCTCTCCTCTCCTGCCTGGGCCCTGCCTACAGAGAAAATTGTGACATATTCCTCGACCCAGCACTCAGATAATGTGACTCTCCTGCCTGTGCACTGCCTACACAGGGCATGGTGGCCTATCGCCAGGCCCATCAACCATGTGATGTGAATCTCCTCTCTGCCTGAGCCCTGCCCTAAGGATTGTAAAATATTGCTGGGCTCAGCACCCAGGTAATGTAACCTTCTTGCTTTAGCACTGCCCAAAGGAGAAATTGTGACATCTATCTGGGCCAATCTTCTAGGTGATGTGAATCTCCTCTCCTGCCCCCTCCCTGCTCTGGGACTATGACACATTACTGGACTCAGCACCTAGGCGATGTGACTCTCCTCTCCTGTCTAGGACCTGCCCAATTGGTGACTGTGACACATCACTGGGCCTAGCACCTAGGTAATGTGACTCCTCTTTTGCCTGGCCCCTGACCACAGGTTGCATTGTGACATATCACTGGGCCCAGCACCCAGATGTTACTCTTCTTCTGCCTGGGTTTGTTCACAGATGGGATTGTGACATGTGCCTGAGCCCAGCATCTAGGTGGTGTTAGTCTCCTCTCCTGCTTAATACCTGCCCTGGGTACCGGGCAAGGCAATATGTCACAATGCCCCCTGAGATCAGGGCCCAGGAAAAAAGTCACATCACCTGTGTGCTGTGCCCAGTGATGTGTCACAATGTCCCCTGGGGAATAGAGTTCAGGAAGGAGAGTCACATCACCTACATGCTGCATCTAGTGATATATCACTTTCCTGCCTAGGCTCTGCCCACAGAAGGCTTTGTGACAGATCTATGGGCCTGTAATCTAGGTCATTTCACTTATTTTGGGGGGACCTTATGCACAAAAGATTGTGACATATTTCTGGGCACAGTACACAGGTGAGGTGACACTCCTGCCTGGGCCTGGCCCACAGAAGGAATTATATCACTGCTTCCATCACCTAGGTGAGGTAACTCACCTCTCCTGCCTGGGCCCTGCCTACCGGAAGAATTGTGACATAACACTGGGCCCAGCACCTAGGTGATGTGACTCTTTTGCCTTGTTCCTTCCCACAGGTGAGAGTGCGACATACCTGGGCTCAACTCACAGCTGTGAAAATAACTCATTCTTGTACCCAGCCAATAGGAGAGATTTTGATTCTCATAGATACATTTAGGGCAACTGGTAAGGTCCTGGGTCTCTTACTTTTATGAAGATAACAGAGGATTATGACACTCACACATATCATATAAAGCCCTTGAGTGGTACAGAGAGTGTCAGAACATAGGAGCAGGGCACAGTGGCTCACACCTGTAATCCCAGCACTTTGGGAGGCTGAGGCGGGCAGATCACCTGAAGTCAGGAGTTTGAGACCAGCCTGGCCAACATGGTGAAACCCCGTCTCTACTAAAAATACAAAAATTAGCCAGGTGTGGTGGTGCATGACTGTAATCCCAGCTACTCGGGAAGTTGAGGCAGGAGAATTGCTTGAACCCGGGAGGCAGAGGTTGCAGTGAGCCGAGGTTGCGCCATTGCACTCCAGCCTGGGTGACAGAGCAAGAGTCCGTCTCAAAAAACAAAAACAAAAACACAGCACTCAGATGAGATTATGACTCTCATATTCACACTCAGCTGCCAGAATTGTCACCCTCAAACATGGACACAGCCCACTGGTGAGGTCCTGGATCTCACAGGAGTACACAGTTGGAATTGTGACTGTCATACGTAGGCCTGGCCACAGGTGTGACGCTGACTCATTTCTGGACACAGCACACAGGGACAATGATGACTTTCATACCTGAACCCAACCAATAGGAGAGATGTTGACTCTTGTACCTAGGACAATGAGTAAGATCCTGGCTCCATACCAGCACAAATTTCCAGAGCAGATAGCAACTGTCTTGCACACTGTATAAAGCCCTTGGGTTACACAGAGTTTCATAACATGGCCCAGCACACAGAAGCGATTGTGACTCTCATATGCACACCCAGCCAACAGTAAGGATTGTCACCCTCTATCATAAAGCCACCCCGCTGTCGAAGTTCTTAATCTCACACCTGGATTCAGTCAAAAGTTGAAATTGTGACTCTCCTACGTGAATGTTTTCCACAGTTGGATAATGACTCTCAGACCAGGATTCAGAACACTGGTGAGGCTGTGACTCCTTTACTGAAACACAGTCCCCTGCAGGCAGGATTGGGGATCTTATGCACAAATCCAGCTAACCCTTAAGACTGACTCATGTACTTGGACCAAACTCACAGGCATTGACTCTCATACCTGAAGCCAGGACATGTGTGGAATTGTTAAGCTCTTCTCTGGACCTTTCCACAGATGTGGTTGTGAGATATATCTTTGCCTAGTACCTGAGTGAGGTGCTTCTCCTGCCTGGGTCTGGCTCCTAAATAGGATTGTGAGATATACCTGGGCCCAAGCTCTCAGGTGATGTGACTCTCCTGCCTGGGCCCTGTCATAATGGGGGATTTTGCTATAATGCTGGACATAGCTAGGTGATGTGACTCTCCTGTCCTATCTGGGCTCTGCTCACAGGTGAGATTGTGACACATCGCTGAGCCCAGCACCCAGGTGATATAGCTCTGCTGCCTGGGCCCTGCCCACACAGGGCATTACGGTATATTGCCGGGCCAAACACCCAGTAATGTGACTCTTTTTCTGGGCCTTGTCCTCAGGGTGCATGGTGATATATCACTGGATCTAGCACACAGGTGATGTAAATCTCTTGCCTGGGTCTTGCCCGTAGGAGATATTGTAACATATCGCTGGGCTCAGCACTCAGGTGATATGCCTCTCCTGCCAGGGCTCTGCCCACAGTAGGGATTGTGACATATTACAGGGGCCGACACCTATGTGATGTGTCTCCTTTTCTCCCTTGGTCCTACCCTCAAAGAAGATTGTAACTTATTGCTGGGCCAAGCACCCAGGTGATGGGACACTTCTTCCTGGGCCCTGCCCACAGAGGAAATTGTAACATATTTCTGGGCCCAGAACCAAGGTGGTATAATTATTTTGCCTTAGCTTTGCCCACAAAAAGGATTGTGACATATTCCTGGCCCAGCATCCAGGTTATGTGGCTCTCTTGCCCTGTCTCTGCCCACATGTGGGATTGTGACATATCAGTGGGCCCAGAACCAAGGTGATATGAGTCTCCTGTCTGTGCTCTGCCCACAGGGGAGATTGTGACACATTGGTGGGCTCGGCATCCAAGTGATGTGAGTGTCTTGCTTGGATTTTACCCAAAGAGAGTATTGTGACACACCTGTGGATGTGACTTTTCTGCTTGATCCCTGCCCACATTTGAAATTGGGGCCTACACCTGTTTCCATCACCTAGGTGATGTAGCTCTCCTTCCTGGTCCCTGTCCAAAGGGAGGATTGTAACACACCTGCTTCCAGCACCTAGGTAATGTGACTTTCCTGCCTGGGCCCTGCCTCCAGGTAATTGTGACATATACCTGAACCCATCTTCTGAGTTGTGTTGCTCTTCCTCCTGGGTCCCACCCAGAGGGTAGATTGTGGCATGTACCTGGGTCCAGCACCTAGGTGATGTTACACTTTGCCTGGACCTAGAACACAAGAAAAGATTTTGACAGATTTCTTACCACAGCACCTAAGATATGTGACTCCGCTGCCTAGGCTAAAGCCACAAGTGGGATTACATAATACTGGGCCGAGTACTGAGGTGATTTGAGCCTTTTTTAGGTCAAGTTCTCAGGGGGACTGACATATACCTGGGCTCAGGAATTAAGGTGATGTGGCTGTCCTGCATGGGCCCAATCCACAGAGAACATTGTGACATATACCTGGGCCCAGACCATAGGTCATGCGACTCTCTCACCTAGGTCAAGGCCACAAATGGGATAGTGACATATAGTTGAACCAAGCACCTATGTGTTCTGACTCTCATGCCTGGCCAAAGTCACAAGGGGCATTGTGACATATACCTGGGCCCAGCACTTAGATGATGTGACTCTTTAGCCTGAGCCCACCCCACAGGGAGTATTGTGACACATACCTGGGCTCAACACCTATGTGAGGTGTACATCTAACCTGGGCCAAGCCAACAAAAGAGATTGTGACAATATACCAGGGCTAAGCACCTAGACAATGTGTCTCTCTTACCTGGGACCTGCCCATAGTGGGGATTGTGACACATACCTGGTACCTAGGCTATGTAACTCTTCTGCCTGGGCTGAGGCCATAGGTGGGATTGTGATGTAGAGCTAATTCCAGAACCTAGGTGATGTGAATCTCCAACATGAGCCCAAGCAACAGGAGGGATTGTGACACATACCTGGGCCCAGTACCTAGGTGATGTGGCTCTCTTGCTTGGGACCTGCCAAACAGGGGACTTTAATATACCTGGGCCCCACACCTAGGTGATGTGACTCTTCTGCTGGGCCTCGACCATAAGAGAGATTGCGATATATACATGGGCCCAGCCTTCAGGTGATGTAGCTCTTCTGCCTGAGCCAGGCTCACAGGGGGAATTGTAAGATTTAGCTGGACCCAGCTCACAGGCAATGATGACTCTCATACCTGGACCCAGTGAAGAGGAGACATTCTGACTCTCATAGCTAGCCTTAAGGAAATAGGTAAGGTCATGGATCTCATACTTGTACAAAAGTCACAGAGAGGTTTGTGACTCTCAAGCATATCACGTAAAACTCTCAGGTGGTAGAGTGTCATAACAGTGCCCATCACGCAAGTGAGACTGTGGCTCTCATGCACTCCCAGTTGAAAGTTAGGATTGTTACTCTTACACATGGACACAGCTCACTAGTGAGGTCCCCAATTTTATAGCCAAACATACTGGACAGTTGGAATTGTGACTCTTCTATGTGAATCTTGACACAGGTGGGATGGTCATTCATTTTTGGACCAAGCCCACAGGCATGATCATGAGTCTCATACCTGGACCCAGCCAATAAGAAACATTTTTGGCCAGGTGCGGTGGCTCATGCCTGTAATCCCAACACTTTGGGAGGATGAGGTGGGCTGATTACGAGGTCATGAGTTTGAGACAAGCCTGGCCAATATGATGAAACCCTATCTCTACTAAAAATACAAAAATTAGCCAGGCGTGGTGGCACACACCTGTAGTCCCTGTTACTTGGGAGACTGAGGCATAAGAATCTCTTGAACCCGGAAGGCGGAGTTTGCAGTGACCTGAAATCGCACCATCGCACTCCAGCCTGGGTAATAAAGCGAGACTCTGTCTTGAAAAAGAAAAAAAAAAAAGAAACATTTTGACTCTTCTGTTGGGCTTAAGGCCACAGGTAAGATCATGTGTCTATACCATCATGCAGGTCTCAGGGAAGATTGCAGCTCTCATGCATGCTGTATAAAGCACTTGGTTGGTACATAGAGTGTCATAAAAGAACCCAGCACACAGGAAAAATTGTGATTCTTGTATGCATACTCAACCAAATGTTAGAATTATCAGCCTCACACATGCACACAACCCACTGTTGAGGTTCTGAATCTCACACCCAGAAAAGTTGACAGTTGGAATTGTGACACTCATCCATGGATGGAGTCCACAGGTGTGATGGTTAATACTGAATGTCAACTTGATTGGATTGAAGGATACAAAGTATTTATCCTGGGAATTGAGAAAATAACAAATTATCCCATAACATTTACTAATTATCTGAAGATAGATCCTCAGAAAATATATTACTGGGTTAAATGATGTCTATGTAAACTGTTCACAGTTACAGCCAGATGACTTTCCAAAAGGGCTGTAGCAGGTCCATCGGCGCTGGCATTCTCTGATGCACCTGCTGCTCTGTATCTAAGCTCTCCTGCATATTACATTCTTTTAATTTTTGTTGTCAGTTTGTGTCTATATGGCAAATAAAATCTCATTGTCCCTTTCACTTTCAGTTTTTAAACTGACACGTTTGAGTCACCTTTCAGTTGTTTAAGACCTATTAAGATTTTCTCTTTTTTGAGTCATCTGCTCAGATCTTTGGCCCTGTGATGGGCATTCTCCCACCCTGGAGTTTTCCAGCATTTGCCCCTTTGCCAGTTCTGGGATTGTTGTAGTTATTTCTCCAGACTCCCTTTAATATTAAAGAAAAAAAAGCAATTGGCCGGGCGCGGTGGCTCACGCCTATAATCCCAGCACTTTGGGAGGCTAAGGTGGGCGGATCATGAAGTCAAGAGATCGAGACCATCCTGGCCAACATTGTGAAACCCTGTCTCTACTAAAAACACAAAACGTAGCTGGGCATGGCGGCGCTCGCCTGTAGTCCCAGCTATTGTGGAGCTTGAGGCAGGAGAATCACTTGAAGCCGGGAGGCAGAGACTGCGGTGAGCCAAGATCATGCCACTGCACTCCGGCCTGGTGACACGGTGAGACTCCATCTCAAAAAAAAAAAAAAGGCGGGGGGATTTGCATGGGGAGAATCCTATGGAGGACCAATAAAATCTCAGAGAAGTGAGCTCGACATAAAGCAAAGAAAATAGACTCGCTTTCAGAATTTTTGACATTTTTGCCTTTTTAGTAAATTATCAACACTTTGGAAATTATGTTTTATTTCAATATTTTTCTTTTCTTTGCAAAATAGGTATACACCCAAACTCACACAAACACAATTACTTACTCCGTAACTCCTTTACTTCTAAGATTTATCCTTAGAGGAATATATTTGTATATTTTATCCTTGTAAAACAAGACTATCAGTCTGCATATATTTTGCAAGTCAGAAAGGTGACATGTGCAAAAAAAAAAGTGGAATAAAATTTTGTAAATACTCATTCAATATTCAGAAATACATGGCTTTAAATTGTACTTTTATATAATCTTCATTATTACCATTATAATGGCCCTGTAGTTACAAAAAGAATAAAAATATTACCAATAGAAACAATATTCTTTAAACTGTTTGATGTTTAAAGTTATTGAAAAAAGGGATCCCTAAAAATGTTATTCAACTATGTTAACCAATAGTGTATTGTTATCATCTGTTACCTACAAGCTTCAGTTAGGTTGGATAGGTTAACACTGGTAAAAAAATAATACTTTGTTCAATGCACAATAGTAGAAACAAAAACAATTATGCTTAATTAAAACAAATTAAGTTCACACAGAATCTAAATTTTTTTTTAAATCCACTGTATCTTATTATTTTAATAAGCAATTGGAAAAACAACTTGAATTGAAGATCTAAAATGTTTCTCCCTTACTATAATGCATGGAATCTTACTCTAAAAACCTACCCCATGTATCACATGCTGTTGTTAATCAACCACAAAGCACTTCCCCACTTAGAATCTCTTGATATGTCTTACATTTCAGTGTCTATGAAAAACTATGTGAATGATGCTTGTCTAATAGAGATGTGCCTCTTATAGGTCTGATGAAGCAAAAACTAACCATGTGCTTTTGTATACACACTAAGAATGAAGGCATAACAAGTGATCTAAGAGTTGAATTGCAGCCGGGCATGGTGGCTCACGCCTGTAATCCCAGTATTTTGGGAGGCTGAGGCAGGTGGATCATGAGGTCAGGAGTTCAAGACCAGCCTTGCCAAGATGGTGAAACCCCATCTCTACTAAAAACTGCAAAAATTAGCCAGGCGCAGTGGAAGGTGCCTTTAATCCCAGCTACTTGAGAAGCTGAGGCAGGTGAATCGCCTGAAGCTGGGCTGCAGAGGTTGCAGTGAGCCAAGATCGTGCCACTGCACTCCAGCCTGGGTGACAGAGTGAGGCTCTGTCTCAAAAAAATAAAAAAGAGTTGAATTGCATCAATGTTTGCTTTTCAAGAATTTTAATTTTTTAATGCAAAAAGTATGCTTTGAATGTAATTATAACTCTCCAGAAGAAAAATCAATCTCCTCCTTTTAAATGTACATACAAATAAATTAATTTTTTGGTAATTCTTTATAGAAACAAAGTCTTGCTGTGTTACCCAGGCTGGTCTCAATCTCGTGGGCTCAAGTGTTTTTTTCACCCTAGCCTCCCAAAGTGCTGGGATTACAGACATGAGCCATGGCACCTGGCCTTCAGCAATTTTCTAAGCTTCCCAATGACACAGTATATTGTAAAAATATACACGGTAGCCTGGGTGCGGTGGCTCATGCCTGTAATCCCAGCATTTTGGGAGCCCAAGGCAGGCAGATCACAAGGTCAAGAGATCGAGACCATCCTGGCCAACATGGTGAAACCACGTCTCTATTAGAAATACAAAAATAAGCTGGGTGTGGTGGTATGTGCCTGTAATCCCAGCTACTCAGAAGGCTGAGGCAGGTGAATCACTCGAACCTGGGAGGTTGCAGTGAGCCGAGATCATGCCACTGCACTCCAGCCTGGCAACAGAGTGATACTCCTTTTAAAATATATATATATACACATATATAATATATACATGTGTACATATATATAATATATACATGTGTACATATATAATATATACATGTGTACATATATACAATATATACATGTGTACATATATAATATATGTATATATAATATATACATGTGTACATATATATAATATATGTACATATATTATATATGCAATAAATACATTAAGCTACATTACCATAAGAAATTTGGTCATGTAGTGTTTAAATTACCTATCTCAATTTATATTAAAAAAACTGAAAATCGGGGCCAGGTGCAGTGGCTCACGCCTGTAATCCCAGCACTTAGGGAGGTCGAGGTGGATTGATCACCTAAGGTCAGGAGTTCAAGAACAGCCTGACCATCATGGTGAAACCTCATCTCTACTAAAAATACAAACTTAGCTGGGCGTGGTGGCAGGTGCCTATAATGCCAGCTACTTGGGAGGCTGAGGCAGGAGAATCGCTTGAACCCGGGAGGCAGGGGTTGTAGTGAGCCAAGATCATGCCATTGCACTCCAGGCTGGGCAACAAGAGCTAAACTCCATCTCAAAAACAAAACAAAACAAAAAAAAACCTGAAAATTAAAAAAAAAAAATAGATTTTCTTACATTTACAGAGGTACTTAGTGTTCTGATAAAGTTACTGAGTACAAATATCTCTAGAAACACATCTGAAACCATCACAGAATAGAAAGTCATAAAGTAGAAAACTCACATCTTTATCTGGTGTTCTTGCGATTTTGAAACCAAATTTCAATATCACTACTGCTTTCACACATTTCAGCAATGATGTAGAAAGGATTTAAAATAGTTTCATACAGAGTTTCTCTAAAAGACAAATAGTCTCATGTCCCCCAATAGCAATGGAAGACCTGTCAGATTATTCAACCTCTTATAAACCATAAGATGGACTTCAGCTCTAAGTATAAGCTTGAAGGAAGATTAAATTAAAGTAGAATTCTTGGGGGATTTAAGACCATGGGACAGAAGCTGCCCCACTGTTTGGGTATGAGAAAAGAAATCAGGCATTTTAGAAACTATTTCTATTGCAGCAGACCTTCCTAAACCACATTTTATGGTCTGGCTTTCTTCTTCACCTTTGGACCTCAGCTGTGTCATCTTCTTTCACTCCCGCCTACCTAGGTGCTGGCTATGGTCTCTTGTCTTTCTAAATTCCAAGATTCTTTCCTTTGCTTCAGAGAGTTGATCAGGCCCAGATTAGACACAGCAAGATCTGTCTTATTAGAAAAAGGAAACATGAGTTTTGCTGGATTCTCCAATTACCAGACTAGTACTTAGTACTGTGCTTACTAAAGAAAAAGAATATTACAGATAATGTAAAGTTAATATCAAAATACCTTTTCTTCGACAGAATCTTTAGAATATTTAGAAAGTATTTTAAATTTGTGGGTCCTTAGCTCACTACCCAGTAGTACTACTGAATCAAAAGCTGGTGGTGAAAATTGGATTTTAAAATATGAGCAACATTTTATGCTACTAAATTTCTATAATTACCACTAAACTAGAGTGAAGAATGTCAATCATTCAAGAAAAAAAGGTTAATCTCAAAATAAAACATATTGGGCGGGGCACGGTGGCTCATGCCTGTAATCCCAGCACTTTGGGAGGCCAAGGTGGGTAGATCATGAGGTCAAGGGTTCAAGACCAGCCAAGACCACTGCACTACTTTTTTTTTTTTTTTTGAGACAGTTTTGCTCTTGTTGCCCAGATTGAAGTGCAGTGCCATGATTTTGGCTCACTGCAACCTCTGCCTCCCAGGTTCAAGCGATTCTCCTGTCTTAGCCTCCTGAGTAGCTGGGATTATAGGCATGTCCCACCACGCCTCGCTAATTTTGTATTTTTAGTAGAGATGGGGTTTCACCATGTTGGTCAGGCTGGTCTCAAACTCCTGACGTCAGGTGAACCACCTGCCACGGCCTCCCAAAGTGCTGGGATTACAAGCATGCACCACCGCGCCCAGCCAAAAAAATTCTTTTTTTATACTAACAAATTCCCCAAATTTTCTAGACAGCAGGGATCTAAAACTATTCATTGAAAGCAAAATTATGTTTAGGAATATGGAGCATATTTTTATGTTTGTTGGCTTCTTGTAAGTTTTCTTTTGAGAAGTATCAGTTTATGTCTTTTGCTCATCTTTGTGGGGTTATTTATTCTTCTTTAATTAATTTTTTTATAGGTTCTGGAAATTAGACTTGTCAAATGCATAGTTTGCAAACATTTACTCTCATTCTGTAGGTTGTCTGTTTACTCTGTTGATAGTTTCTTTTGCTGTGCAGAAGCTCTTTAGAATAGTTAGGAAGTTGGGAAATTGTCACTTTTTGTTTTTCTTGCTTACTTTTGGAGACTTAGTCAAAAATTCTTTGCCAAGGCCAATGTCAAAAAAGATATTTAGTAGGTTTTTTTGTAGGATTTTTATAGTTTGATGTCTTAAATTTAAATCCTTAATTCATCTTGTGTTAATTTTTGTATATGGCAAATTGTAGGGGTTCAGTATTATCTAGTATTTTTTTCCGCATACGGTTAGCTGGTTATCCCAGCACCATTTATTAAATAGACAGTCTTATTTCCATTGCTTATTTTTGTCAATGTTGTCAAAAATTATATGGCTGTAGGTGTGTAGCTTTATTTCTGAGTTTTGTATTCTGTTCCACTGGTCTCTGTCTGCTTTTATACCAGTAATATGCTTCTTTGGTTCCTGTAGCCATATAGTATAGTTTAAATTTGGGTAGAGTGCTGTCTCTGGCTTTGCTCTTTTTGCTTAAGATTGTTTTGGGTATTTATGCTCTTTATTGTTTTATATAAATTTTAGAATAGTTTTTTTTTTAATTCTCTGAAAAGTTTTATTGGCAGTTTGATAGAGATAGCATTGAATCTGTAGATTAATTTGGCCAATGGGGTCATTTTAATATTGATTCTTTTAATCCATGTGAATATAATGTACTTCCATTTGTTTATGTCATCTATGATTTCTCTTAGCAGTATTTTGTAGTTCTCTTTGTGATAATTGTTCACCTCCTGGGTTATATGCATTCTTAGGTATTTTTTTGTGGCAAGTTAAATGGGATTGAGTTCTTGATTTGGCCCTCAGCTTCAATAATATTGGTGAATAAAAATGACTTTTGCGTATTGACTTGGTATTCTGAAACACTACTGAACTTGCTGATAAGTTCCAGGAGCTCTTTAGTAAAGTTATTAGGTGTTTTTAGGTATCAAATTAGATAATCCATAGAAAGAGATAGTTTGACTTTTTTTCCCGTAATTTGGATGCCTTTTATTTCTTGTTCTTGACTGATTGTTCTGACGAGAACTATTATTAATATTTTGTCATTAAAAGTGAATAAAAATTCTATCACTCTCCTGCTTCTACTTCCCTTAACTCTTACATTACAGCCAAAAGAAATCTTTACATTTCTCATTTTATTACAATAAAAATATGTATTTTACCAGAAAAATAAAACAAGAATATGGTTAAAAAAAACCCAAAACATATATCAAATTTAAAATTTTCTACAATAAAATAAAATCGATTGAAACATGTAAAATAAAAGAAAGCAGCCAGGTGCAGTGACTCACGCCTGTAATCCCAGCACTTTAGGAGGCCAAGGTGGGTGGATCACGAGATCAAGAGTTCGAGACCAGCCTGGCCAACATAGGGAAACCCTGTCTCTACTAAAAATACAAAAATTAGCCAGGCCTGGTGGCACATGCCTTTAATCCCAGCAACTCAGGAGGCTGAGGCAGGAGACTCACTTGAACCCGGGAGGCAGAGGTTGCAGTGAGGCGAGATCATGCCTCCGCACTCCAGCCTCAGTGAAAGAGTGAGACCCTGTCTCCAAAAAAAACAAAAACAAAAACAAACAAAACAAACAAAAAAACAAAGTGCAGGTGAGTGCTTCGAACTGAACACCTTAGAAGCCCTAGTCCATTGTGGATGCACTGAAGCCAAGATTGTCACCAAAACTCAGTTCTCTGTTCTCCAGAGTCCAGGATCTGTAAAACTCTGCATTTAAAAAAGCTCTCAATGTTTTTCCAGGGGAGACTGTGTTCATCTATATCCTATCTCTTCTCACCTTGATTCAAATCCTACCTGATCTAGCGGTGCTGTTTCTGGTTTTGAGCTTAGTTTTCTGTAATTCTCTTTCTTATTTGGATTGTGGTCTGGTCCTAGTCAGAAAGGAAGTTTAGGTGACTCAAATCTCTCTAGATCCAGAGTCCCATAGTCTATTCCTGACTTACATTTGTTGTTCATTTTCTTAACTAAGGCTGTTCAGCAAGCATCAAGAGTTAATGAGAAGAATACGGTTCCAAGGGATCATTACTACAATTCTCAAAGCCATCTCAGGGATATAAGCCATTTCTCATTCCCTAGCTCAAAATAAAACCCTACCAAAGACACACAGCTTACTATCCCTCATTCCACCACTCTTTCTGATCTTAATATGAACAGCCCAAGGCCTTATCTGGCATTTGAGTGCATTACCTACTGGAATGGGAAGAGAGCACCTTGTCTTTTTTCAAATAGTTTCTCCTCCTCATCTAAGCTTCTATCTGTAAAAAAGATTTGTTGAAAATGGAGCTGGCAAGTGGGGCCTTGGATGAAGAGGTAGAGAAGATCTTGGTCTTCAGTTTCCCATTCCATGTTGAAACTCAAATGAAATGTCCTCTCTCTTACACATCCAGACTCAGAATGCAGGGTGTTATGCTGGACTTGCCTTTTATAAGCCCCTCAGCTGGGTACGGCTCACTCTTATGACAAGAAATTTATTTCCTGGAGACATTATGGCCTTCATAAGGAATGTTTCAGGTTGTGATTTACTGGGTACCTTAGACACACATAAGGGGAGATTTTTTCAGGGTCCTGTCATAGCATCAAAAACCAAAATAACAAAACCAGCCAGGTGAGGTGGCTCACACCTGTAACCAAAGCACTTAGGGAGGCCAAGGTGGGTGGATCACCTGAGGTCAGGAGTTCGAGACCAGCCTGGCCAACATGGCGAAACCCCATCTCTACTAAACATACAAAAATTAGCCAGGTGTGGTGGCGAGTGACTGTAATCTCAGCTACTTTGGAGGCTGAGGCAGGAGAATCGCATGAACCCAGGAGGTGGAGGTTGCAGTGAGCCGAGATCATGCCATTGCACTGAAGCCTGGGTGACAAGAGTGAAACTCTGCCTCAAAAGAAAAAAAAAAAACCAGTAGGCATGAAAATTGAAAGTCAAGAGACTCATCCCCTTTTGATTTCTAGCCCTCTTTTCACCCAGAACTATTAAAAACCTTGGCCAGATTTTAAAATGCTAAATTAAACAGACCATATATTAACAGGTATATTTAAATTGTACACATAAAGAAAATTACATAAAGGCCAGGCACGGTGGCTCACACCTGTAATCTCAGCACTTTATGAGGTTGAGGCGGGCGGATCACTTGAGGCCAGAAGTTCAAGGCCAGCCTGGCCAACGTAGTGAAACCCCGGCTTTACTAAAAATACAAAAATGAGCTGGATGTGGGTGACATGTGCCTGTAATCCCAGCTACTCGGGAGGCAGAGGTGAGAGAATCGGTTGAACCCAGGAGGCAGAGGTTGCAGTGAGCCAAGATTGCACCATTGCACTCCAGCCTGGGTGACAGAGTGAGACTCTGTCTCAAAAAAAAAAAAAAAAAAAGAAAAAAAAAGAAAAAAGAAAATTACATATACCATTAAAATTGTATACCTATATGTCACAATTTTTCAAATGCTTGGAAATGACATATCAAATTATAGTTGATTGCATTTGATAAATATACAATAAAATAAAATGCAGAACAACCAAACTCCAAATAGAATATGCCTTTGTCTCTTGAATGTTGAAGAGATACTTAAATCAAATGTGATCACATTGAATTGATCAGATAGGAGCCAGTGCTAACTCAATCAACCACTGATTCCTAAGGCAGCAAAGAGCCCAGCTGGAGAAGCAAGCTTCTCCTCTACCTCACCCTCCCTCAGTCATCCTGGGTGCTACATTGTCTTCTGTAGAATTTGCTCAGCATTCACTATCTGAGCTGACAAATTTGGCTAGATTATTATCACAACCCTAACACATTTTGGTTCTTTGTTCTTGTTTCTTTGTTTAAAATAGGTTGTGGATATAACTATTACATCATGAAACTTTTTTTTTTTTTTGAGATGGTGTCTAGCTCTGTTAGCCAGACTGGAGTGCAGTGGCGTGGTCTGAACTCACTGGAACCTCCACCTCCCAGGTTCAAGCGATTCTCTTGCCTCAGCCTCCTGAGTAGCTGGGATTACAGGCGCCTGCCACCACACCCAGCTAATTTTTTGTATTTTTAGTATAGATGGGGTTTCGCCATGTTGGCCAGGCTGGTCTCAAACTTCTGACCTCATGATCCGCCCGCCTTGGCCTCCCAAAGCACTGGGATTACAGGCATGAGCCACCACACGTAGCCTACATCATGAATCTTTAGAAACCCAGTATGGTACTTGTCTGGGTCTAGTCCTAAAAATAATAAACAGATCCAAAAAACTGTTGCAACATTAACCTTTGAAAGCTGCCTGTGATGATACTGACTCACTGACCTCCTTTCTCCTCAATCCACAGAGAAAGTGCAAGAACCACCAGGTCTTAGGGCACATGGCCAGGACCAGGAGGTACCCAGTGAAGTGCTCTAATGTGGTCCTGTCCCACAGCCCCTGAACCAAATAAGGACAAGCAGAACCTGAAACCAAGGAAGGCTTGGGAACTGCAGACTCCAGGACTCTTTACTAAGACTAACAGGAGGAATGAAGGCAAAGATCAGATACCTGCAGGGTTGAAACCGTACCCAGACTTTGGAATTTTAGTGTCTCCTTCTTTACTCTGTGTCCACAGCCCTCTTTAAGAGTGGAGAGAGAAACATAATAGAAATACATGAAGAGTCTGGGTGCGGTGGCTCACGCCTGTAATCCCAGCACTTTGGGAGGCCGAGGGGGGCAGATCATGATGTCAGGAAATCGAGACCATCCTGACTAACACGGTGAAACCCCATCTCTACTGAAAAATACAAAAAAAAAAATTAGCCAGGCGTGCCTATAGTTCCAGCTGCTCAGGAGGCTGAGGCAGGAGAATCGCTTGAACCTGGGAGGTGGAGGTTGCAGTGAGCTGAGATCGTGCCACTACACTCCAACCTGGTGACAGAGCGAGACTCTGTTTCAAAAAAAAAAAATACATGAAGAGCCCAGCATACTCCTGAGTTCCTCTCTCAGGAGCTCATTCTATTCCTGGAGGATCATTGTGAGCAGGTGTATGAGGATACCTTGAAACTGCATGTGGCAGGCACAATTGCAGTAGATTACAAATGAAAGCCCATCTTGATTGGACATGAAGAAACCATGCAAGGATGCTTGGAGTTGGGGGCTGGATTTGACATGAAGGCAGAAGATACCTTCACAAAGTTCAGAAGACCTTCATTGCTTTCCTCACAGCAAAATATGAGCGAGGACAGTGCCCCTGCTGTTCCTTCCCTGGGTGGTGACAGAAAGTTGAGACACATACAAACACTTAACATAGTTTACTCAGCAAGCAAGAAAATCTTGGAAGGAAGATTCTACTGCAGAATTTGTGCAGCAGATATGAACTGAAGCATCAGCAAAACTGAAAAGTAATGAGAGAATCTGGTGGCTCTGAGGTGTTTTTTTCCCTTTGTTTCCTGCTTAGTTGCTCTTTGAGGATCCCCTGACTTGTTTTACTCCTGTGCCCTTTATGAATGAGTGATGATCATCTTAAAAATCAGGATGTTCGGCCAGGTGCGATGGCTCACGCCTGTAATCCCAGCACTTTGGGAGGCCGAGGCGGGTGGATCACCTGAGGTCAGGAGTTCGAGCCCAGCCTCACCAACATGGTGAAACTCCATCTGTACTGAAAATACAAAAATTAGCCTGGCTTGGTGGTGTGTGCCTGTAGTGCCCACTACTCAGGAGCCTGAGGCAGGATAATTGCTTGAACCCAGGAGGCAGAGGTTGCAGTGAGCCAGGATTGCACCACTGCACTCCAGCCTGGGTAACAGAGAGAGACTCTGTCTCCAAAAAAAAAAAAAAGAAATCAGGATGGTAAAAAATATTTTTCATGTATGTGTACCTTCCTTTTTACTCTTCTTCCTCTTCTTCTTCTTCCTCTTCTTCTTCTTCTTCTCCTTCTTCTTCTCCTTCTCCTCCTCCTTTTTCTCCTCCTCCTCCTCCTTCTCCTCCTCCTCCTCCTTTTTCTCCTCCTCCTCCTCCTCCTCCTCTTCTCCTTCTCCTGCTGCTGCTGCTTTTTTGGATTCTTCTGCTTCTGTTTTCTTTTTCTCTTTGCTATTATGTACATGCCCACCAAGAACATGCTAGGTATGGGGATTTCTGCACAGATGTTCAAGTGTTTTATGAGATGCCTTCCAGGAGGTAGAATCCTTTATGTAAGATCATGTGTCTTTCCACGCTTGATACATATTTTAAAATTATCTTTCAAAAGGTAATTGGCCATTTATACTCCTTACAAGCATGCACAAAACAGCAGGTTTCCTCTGATAACATAGAGACCGTATTAAGGAACATTTAAATTTCCAAACTGATGGTCACACAAACTCATATATTTTGTAATTATTTTTTAACCACCATTAAAGTTGGATGCCTCTTTATGTAGACAATGACAATTTTTACTTCTTTTACTGTGAAATGTTATTATAGGTCCCGTGTCTTTTTGTAATTAAGTTTGTAATTTTGCTCTTAATTTTTAGGGGTGGCTAACACCTTTTATTTGAACACCATATCTCCCACATCATTCTAGCAGGGTAGTGCCTATCCACAAATCCTGAGAATAGATTTGTTCTGAATCTGCTGTCATGAGTTAGCAAGAAGTCAATAAACCCAGAGTGTCATCCATCCGCCTAGCAGGGCCTCTTATCAAGTCATGAACTGGTTTCTCTCTTAATTCATGAACAGCTGAAGAACTGAAGGTGGATTTATTAATTGGCCCCATGCTTTACCTAACCACTTGGGCCAGGACTCAACCCTCTTTGCCAAGCTGACTATCAACAGGCTTGAAGTTTGCTCTCATAATGTACCCTAGTGTGCCACCAAGACACCTGTCCTGGCCACTACAACTTGTCTTATGGTTGTCTTGGTATAAATGCAAACTCAGATTGCTTGCTGTCGAGCATATATGTGGCCAGGACAGCAAATCTAGCATTCAGGAATGAGGCAAGAGGCCTTCCCAGACTCCCAAATGAACTTTTCAGAATTTTCCAAAAATGCTGAGACTCAGTACTTTCCAGACCCCACTCTCCAAAAGAATCATAGATGGGATCTGGGAACCATTCAGACACTCAAGCCTCCTCTGCAGTGAAAATGAACTTGGACCTAAAGAGGCAACCCTTTGTCCACAGGTCACCAAGAATGCTGAGCATCGATCTCCTCCCTCCCCATGGGAGACCTTACCTCAGTTCCATCAAAGCCCATATTGTTTCCCAACCTCCACAATCCAGACATGTTCTAGAGTAAACTCTCAGAATTGTCTTGAGATGGGACAAGGGCTGGTGGAGCTCCAGGTTCAGAATGGCGGCATCATTTTCCCTCCTGAGAAGTTTGCACCTGCTGATCAGAGCCCTTACCTCTTAGGGGGCTTAGCCCATGTCCAAGGAAGTACCCCCTAACTGGATCTCCCAGTCTCTTCCTCCTCTAAGGAGAGTGCCCATGAGACCCTCTATGCTAGGGAATACATGACCTCCATTCTTACGTAACTTGGTTGACTGATAAACGGATACCCTGAGAAACAAGAAGATGCAGGGAACATCTTGGTTCTGGTTAATCTGTGCTCCTTAGCTGAGGTGCCTGTGCAAATGCTGGAACCCAAAATAATATTGGGTGGTAGACACACAGACACTGCCTAATAAAATTATGTAAGTTTATGTTTAACATAAATAGAATTTATAATGTTATATAAAAATGTTGCTACTTAATTTTATAAGAAAATTCAGTCAGATTTTTATAAAGGCATTACAATCTAATTTTAATGAGAAGCTATGAAAATTATGTACACTTGGTGTGTAAATGACTGAGTTTTGGGTAATTCTGCAAAGGCCAACTATGAATGTGAGTCATTGTTAACCAAATGCTCTTACAGATACCATATTGCACACCTGTTTTAATTTGTTCTTTTACCTGAGGTCAATTTTTCATAATTTTAATTATCAAATTTTATACACTTTAGATAAAAGAAACCTTTGCAGTTACCATGTACTCTGTTGGTCTGTAGTTTGTTAGAAATACAAAATTTCAGACAAGATACAGGTATGTTGTATCAAAACCTGGATTTTATGTATTTCCAGGTGATTCACATGCACATTAATGGTTGTTATGTTGGAGTAATTCTATTCTTAAAAGGGGAAATAATTATATGGGTGTACTGGTTTGTCTAAAAGGTATAACTAAGATGGTACGTTTCAGTGCCTATACATCCTATCTCACACACACACACACAAAAACTGAGAAAAAAGTGGAAATGGGGAATAGATTGAAGTAGAGATTAAACAAAAATGACACATAGGCCAGGTGCAGTGGCTCATGCCTGTAATCCCAGCACTTTGGGAGGCCGAGGCAGGCAGATAACCTGAGGTCAGGAGTTCTAGACCAGCCTGACCAACATGGTGAAATCCTATCTTTACTAAAAATATAAAAATTAGGCCAGGCGTGGTGGCTCACACCTGTAATCCTAGCACTTTGGGAGGCTGAGGCGGGCAGATCATGAGGTCAGGAGATCGAGACCATCCTGGCTAACATGGTGAAACCCTGTCTCTACTAAAAATACAAAAAATTAGCCGGGTATGGTGGCATGCACCTATAGTCTCAGCTACTCAGGAGGCTAAGGCAGCAGAATTGCTTGAACCTGGGAGATGGAGGTTGCAGTAAGCCGAGATCATGGCACTGCACTCCAGCCTGGGTGACAGTGAGACTCTGTCTCAAAGAAACAAAACAAAACAAGACAAAGATTAACCAGGCATGATGGCACGCTCCTGTAATGCCAGCTACTCAGGAGGCTGAGACAGGAGAATTGCTTGAACCCAGGAGGCGGAGGTTACAGTGAGCCAAGATTGTGCCATTGCACTCCAGCCTGGTTGACAGTGAGACTCTGTTTCAAAAAAAAAAAAAAAAGACACACAATTAGCAGATATTGAAGTTGAGCATCAGTCTATTATGCTATTATGGTTATTGTGTAAATGTTTAAAGTATTCTGAATAAAACACATGTATGAAGAGATAAAGTTGATCTACAACATTAGCTCTTAAGATTGTGGTTCCTGGCTAAGCACAATGGCTCACACCTTTAATCCCAACACTTTGGGAGGTCAAGGTGAGCAGATCACTTGAGGTCAGGAGCTCGAAACCAGCCTGGGCAACTTGGTGAAACCCTGTCTCTACTAAAAACACAAAAATTAGCCAGGCATGGTGGTTCACACTTGTAATCCCAGCTACTCGGAAGGCTGAAGCATGAGAATTGCTTGAACCTAGAAGGTGGAGGTTTCAGTGAGCCAAGATCATGCCACTGCACTCCAACCTGGGCAACAGAGCAAGACTCTATAAAAAAAAAATTTTAGGGAGTGGACAAGATGGCCAAATAGAAACAGCTTTAGTCTGCAGCTGCCAACAAGAGACCAATGCAGAAGGCAGGTGATTTCTGCATTTCCAACTGAGGTACCCAGTTCATCTCATTGTGACTGCTTAGGCAGTGGGTACAACCCACAGAGAGTGAGCAGAAGCAGGGTGGGGCGTCACTTTGCCTGGGAAGTGCAAGGGACTGGGATCCTTCCTCCCTACCCACAGCTAAGGGAAGCCATGAGGAACTGTGCTGCCCAGCTGGGTTACTATGCTTTTCCCACAGTTTTTGCAATCTGCAGATCAGGAGATTTCCTCCTATGCCTGCACAACTAGGGCCCTGGGTTTCAAGCACAAAACTGGGTGGCTGTTTGGGCAGACACTGAGCTAGCTGCAGGAGTTTTTTTTTCATACCCCAGAGGCACCTGGAACCCCAGCGAGACAGAACCGTTCACTCACCCTGGAAAGGGGGTTGAAGCCCGGGAGCCAAGTGGTCTCTCTCAGCAGGTCTCACTCCCACAGAGCTAAGCAAGCTGAGAACCACTGGCTTGAAATTCTCAGTGCTAGCACAGCAGTATGAAGTTGACCTGGGCGATTGAGCTTGGGAAGGGCATCCACCCCCATTACTGAGGCTTTAGTAGGAGATTTTCCCCTGAAATTGCTAAGGAGGCTGAAAGGTCTGGGCTGGATGTGGCAAAATAGCTGTGGTCAGACTGCTTCTCTAAATTCCTCCTCACTGGGCAGGGCATCTCCGAAGGAAAGGTAACAGCCCCAGTCAGGGGCTTACAGACAAAACCCCCATCTCCCTGGGAAAGAGCACCTGGGGGAAGGGGCAGCTGTGGGCACAGCTTCAGCTGATTTAATTGTTCCTGCCTGCTGGCTCCGAAGAGAGCAGCTGATCCTGACAAGAGGGATTCTGCCAGCACAGCACACCAGCTCTGCTAAGGGACAGACTGCCTCCTCAAGTGAGTCCTTGACCCCTGAGCCTCCTGACTGAGAGAAATCTCCTAACAGGGTTCAACAGAGACCTCATAAAGGAGAGCTCTAGCTGGCATCAGGCCAGTGCCCCTCTGGGATGAAGCTTCCAGAGGAAGGAGCAGGCAGCAGTCTTTGCTGTTTTGCAGCCTCCACTGGTGATACCCAGGTGAACAGGGTCTGAAGTGGACCTCCAGCAAACTGCAGCAGACCTGCAGAAGAGGGGCATGACTGTTAGAAGAAAAGCTAACAAACAGAAAGCCACAACATCAACAAAAACATAAAGGACCCCCACACAAAAACCCCATCCAAACCTCATCAGCCTCAAAGATCAAAGGTAGATAAATCCATGAAGATGAGTAAAAACCAGTATAAAAACACTAAAAATTCCAAAAACCAGAATGCCTCTTCTCCACAACTCCTCTCCAGCAAGGGCACAAAAGTGGCTGGAGAATCAGACTGATGAATTGACAGAAGTAGGCTTCAGAAGGTGGATAATAACAAACTCCTCTGAGCTAACAGAGTATATTCTAACCCAATGCAAGGAAGTTAAGAACCTTGATAAAAGGTTACAGGAACTGCTAACTAGAATAAACAGTTTAGAGAGGAACTTAAATGGCCAGATGGGGCTGAAAAACACAGCACAAACACAAGAACTTCATGAAGCATACACAAGTGTCAATAGCTGAATCAATCAAACAGAAGAAAGGATATCAAAGATTGAAGATCAACTTACTGAACTAAGGCATGAAGACAAGCTTAGAGAAAAAAGAATGAAAAGGAATGAACAAACCCTCCAGGAAATATAGCACTACATGAAAAGACCAAACCTGTGATTGGTTGGTGTATCTGAAAGTGGCAGGGAGAATGGAACCAAGTTGGAAAACACATTTCAGGATATTACCCAGGAGAACTTCCCCAACCTAGCAAGACAGACCAACATTCAAATTGAGGAAATACAGAGAACATTGCTAAGATACTCCTCAAGAAGAGCAACCCCAAGACACATAATCGTCAGATTCTCCAAGGTTGAAATGAAGGACAAAATGTTAAGGGCAGCCAGACAGAAAGGTCAGGTTAAATACAAAGGTAAGCCCATCAGACTAACAGCAGATTTCTCTGTGAAAATCCTACAAGCCAGAAGAGAGTACGGGCCAATATTCAACATTCTTGAAGAAAAGAATTTTCAACCCAGAATTTCATATCCAGCCAAAGTAAGCTTCATAAGCGAATGAGAAAGAAAATCCTTTACAGACAAGCAAATGCTGAGGGATTTCATCACCACCATGCCTGCCTTACAAGAGCTCCTGAAGGAAGCACTAAATATGGAAAGGAAAAACTGGTACCAGCCACTGTAAAAACACACCAAAATATAAAGACCAATGACACTATGAAGAAACTGCATCAACTAACATGAAAAATAACCAGCTAGCATCATGATGACAGGATCAAATTCACACATAACAATATTAACCTTAAATTTAAATGGGCTAAATGCCCCAATTTAAAGACATAGACTGGCTAACTGGATAAAGAGTCAAGACCTATCAGTGTGCTGTATTCAGGAGACCTATCTCACATGCAAAGACACATATAGGCTCAAAATAAAGGTATGCAGGAATATTTACCAAACAAATGAAAAGAAAAAAAAAAGCTGGGGTTGCAATCCTAGTCTCTGATAAAATAGACTTTAAACCAAAAAAGATCAAAAAATAAAAAGAAGGGCATTACATAATGGTAAAGGGATCAATGCAACAAGAAGAATTAACTATCCTAAACATATAAGCACCCAATACACGAGTGCCCAGATTCATAAAACAAGTTCTTAGAGATCTACAAAGAGACTTAGACTCCCACACAATAATAGTGGGAGACTTTAACACCCCTCTGTTAATATTAGACAGATCAAGGAGACAGAAAATTAATAAGGATATTCAGGACTTGAACTCAGCTCTGGACCAAGCAGACCTAATGGACATCTACAGTACTCTCCACACCAAATCAACAGAATATAAATTCTTCTCAGTGCCACACAGCACGTATTCTAAAATTGACCACATAATTGGAAGTAAAACGTTCCTCAGCAAATGCAAAAGAATGAAAATCATACCAAACAGTCTCTCAGACCACAGGACAATCAAATTAGAACTCAGGATTAAGAAACGCATTCAAAACCTCACAACTACATGGAAATTGAACAACCTGCTCCTGAATGACTACTGGGTAAATAACGAAATGAAGGCAGAAGTAAATAAGTTCTTTGAAACCAATGAGAACAAAGACACAGTGTATCAGAATCTCTGGGACCAGAATCTAACACAGCTAAAGCAGTGTTAAGAGGTAAATTTATAGCACTAAATACCCACAACAGAAAGCTGGAAAGATCTAAAATCAACACCCTAAAATCACAATTAAAAGAACTAGAGAAGCAAGAGCAAACAAATTCAAAAGCGAACAGAATACAAGAAATAACTAATACCAGAGCAGAACTGAAGGAGATAGAGACACAAAAAACCTTCAAATAATCAATTAATCTAGGAACTGGTTTTTTGAAAAGATTAACAAAATAGATAGACTACTAGCTAGACTAGTATAGAAGAAAAGAGACAAGAATCAAATAGGCACAATAAAAAATGATAAAGGGGCTATTACCACTGATCCCACAGAAATACAAACTACTATAAGAGAATACTATAAACATCTCTATGCAAATAAACTTGAAAATTTAGAAGAAATGAATAAATTCCTGGACACATACACCCTCCCAAGACTAAACCAGGAAGAAGATGAATCCCTGAATAAACCAATAGCAAGTTCTGAAACTGAGGCAGTAATTAACAGGCTACCAACCAAAAAATGCCCAGGCCCAGATGGATTCACAGCTGAATTCTACCAGAGGTACAAAGAGGAGCTAGTACCATTCCTTCTGAAATGATTTCAAACAATAGCAAAAGAGGGACTCCTCCCTAACTCATTTTATGAGGCTAGCATCATCCTGATACCAAAACCTGGCAGAGACACAATAAAAAAAAAAATTTCAGGCCAATATCCCTGATGAACATCAATGCGAAAATCCTCAATAAAATACTGGCAAACCAAATCCAGCAGCACATCAAAAAGCTTATCCACCATGATCAGGTGGGCTTCATCCCTGAGATGCAAGGCTGGTTCAACATACACAAATCAACCAACATAATCCATCACATAAACAGAACCAATGACAAAAACCACATGATTATCTCAATAGATGGAGAAAGGGCCTTTGATAAACTTCAACATCCCTTCATGCTAAAAACTCTTAAAAAACTAGGTATGGATGGAACACACCTCAAAATAATAAGAGCTATTGATGACAAACCCATAGCCAATATCATACTGAATGAACAATAGCTGGAAGCTTTCCCTTTGAAAACCGGCACAAGACAAGGATGCCCTCTCTCACCACTCCTACTCAACATCATATTGTAAGTTCTGGCCAGGGCAATCAGGCAAGAGAAAGGAATAATGTGTATTCAAATAGGAAGACAGGAAGTCAAATTGTCTCTGTTTGCAAATGACATGATTGTATATTTAGAAAACCCCATCATCTCAGCCCAAAAACTCCTTAAGCTGATAAGCAACTTTAGTAAAGTCTCAGGATACAAAATCAATGTGCAAAAATCACAAGCATAGGCCTGGCATGGTGGCTCGTGCCTGTAATCCCAGCACTTTGGGAGGCTGAGGTGGGCAGATCATGGGGTCAAGAGATCGAGACCATCCTGGCCAACATGGTGAAATGCCGTCTCTACTAAAAATACAAAAATTAGCCAGGCATGATGGTGTGTGCCTGTAATCCCAGCTACTCATGAGGCTGAGGCAGGAGAATCGCTTGAACCCAGGAGGCGGAGGTTGCAGTGAGCCAAGGTTGCACCGCTGGACTCCAGCCTGGGTGACAGAGCAAGACTCCGTCTCAAAAACAAAAAGAAACAAAAAAAACACACAAGCATTCCTAAACAACAACAATAGACAAGCGGAGAGCCAAATCATGACTGAAATCTCATTCACAATTGCTACAAAGAGAATAAAATATCTAGGAAAACAACTTACAAGGCATTTGAAGGACCTCTTCAAGGAGAACTACAGACCACTGCTCAAGGAAATGAGAGGACACAAACAAATGGAAAAACATTACATACTCATGGATAGGAAGAATCAATATCATGAAAATGGCCATATTGACCAAAGTAATTTACAGATTCAATGCTATTCCCATCAAGCTACCAGTGACTTTCTTTGCAGAGTTAGAAAAAACTACTTTAAATTTTGTATAGAACCAAAAAAGAGCCCGTATAGCCAAGACAATCCTCAAGATGAATTGAAGACTTAAATGTAAAACCCCAAATCATAAAAATCCTAAAAGAAAACCTAGGCAATACCATTCAGGACATAGGCATGGGTAAAGACTTCATGACTAAAACACTGAAAGCGATTGCAACAAAAGCTAAAATTGACAAATGGGATCTAATTAAACTAAAGAGCTTCTGCATAGCAAAAGAAATTACCATCGGAGTGAAAAGGCAACCTATAGAATGGGAGAAAAGTTTTGCAAGCTACCCATCTGACAGAGGTCTAATATCCAAAATCTACAAGGAACTTAAACAAATCATTTATGTGGCCAACAAACATATGAAAAAAAGCTCATCAGGCCCAGAGCAGTGGCTCACGCCCGTAATCCCAGCACTTTGGGAGACCAAGGTGGGTAGATCACGAGGTCAGGAGTTCAATACCAGCCTAGTCAAGATGGTGAAACCCTGTCTCTACTAAAAAATATAAAAATTAGCCAGGCACAGTGGCAGGCACCTGTAATCCCAGCTACTTGGGAGGCTGAGGCAGGAGAATTGCTTGAACCCGGGAGGTGGAGTTTGCAGCCAGCTGAGATTGCACCACTGCACTCTAGCCTGGGCGACAGAGAAGGACTCTAACTCAAAAAAAAAGAAAAAAAGAAAAAAAGCTCATCATCACTAGTCATTAGAGAATGCAAATCAAAACCACAATGAGATACCATCTCACACCAGTTAGAATGGAGATCATTAGCAAGTCAGGAAACAACAGATGCTGGAGGGGATGTGGAGAAATAGAAATCCTTTTACACTGTTGGTGGGAGAATAAATTAGTTCAGCCATTGTGGAAGACAGTGTGGCAATTCCTCAAGGATCTAGAACTAGAAATACCATCTGACCCAGCAATCTCATTACTGGGTATATACCCAAAGGATTATAAATCATTCCACTATAAAGACACATGCACACATATGTTTACTGTGGCACTGTTCACAATAGCAAAGACTCGGAACCAACTCAAATGCCCATCAATGATAGACTGGATAAAGAAAATGTGGCACATATACACCATGGAATACCATGCAGCCATAAAAAATGAGTTCATGTCCTTTGCAGGGACATGGATGAAGCTGGAAGACATCATTGTCAGCAAACTAACACAGAAACAGAAAACCAAACACTGCATGTTCTCACTCATAAGTGGGAGCTGAACAATGAGAACACATAGACACAGGGAGGGGAACATCACACATTGAGGCCTGTCTGAGGGGGCAAGGGGAGGGAGAGCATTAGGACAAATACCTAATGCATGTGGGGCTTAAAACCCAGATGACCAGTTGATAGGTGCAGCAAACTACCGTGTCACATGTATACCTATGTAACAAACCTGCATGTTCTGCACATGTATCCCAGAGCTTAAAGTAAAATTTTAAAAATAATAAAAATTAAATTAACAAAAAAAGATTGTGATTACCTTTAGGGAGGAGAAGGAAAAGAGGCTGAAAATGGTGGTTGGGGGCATAAACAAGGCTAATTCTATTCTATGGTTAAACAAATGTGTTTGCCTTACAATGATTTATTAAGCTTTATATTAATGCTTTGTGCATGTATTTCTGTATGTATGCTATACATTAATAAAAATTTAAATATTACATATTTAATCCTAACAATATTTCAGAATTACAGTAATGTTTGGTATTATTTTGTTTTAAAGTGGGGCATTTTCATGCAGGTGTTCTGAGATGGATATTAATATTCCAAGGTATATCTTTATGTTCTGTCTCTTGGGAGACCCATAAGGTTTTCCAATTTCTACCTCAATTAAGTAGCACTGTTTTAATTTGGAGGATGCAATTTTTTACAGCAAAGTCTTCTCCCCACGATAGTACTCACCAAGGCCAGGCCGCCTAGCACAGTGCCCTGCACGCAGTGTGCACCCAGTCTGTACAGAACTGGTTTGAATCAGGAACAAAACAAGTAGCAGAGGTCAGTTCTACAAATGATAGAAAGTAGGTACACAATGAAGACTGAAAGGCTACACTCAACAGCAAACACTTTTGCATTTATTTGGAAAATATTTTAAACTAGCTCACCAAATGATGTTCATGTCAAGCAGTGATTTGGGAGTTTGGCTGTGACTGTAACCTCCTGGAGAGCTTTAAATCACATTGTCTCCTGGGTCTCACTCCAGGATTTTGGCTAATTGTGCCATTGCAACTTGAGTTTGGGGACTTTAAACATCCCACCTTCAGGTTGCTCTAATATCCAGGCAGGGGTAAGAAGCATTTATTCAGGGTGAAGAATGCATTGCTTGTGTGTGATTTTTATGTGTGCTTCAGGCTTTGCCCCATAGCTGCTCCTAAATTTGTGGGCTTAGAAAACATCTTTGCCCTTCAAAGTATACACAGCTGTTTGGCTAAATTGCAGCAGGAGAAAATATCAGCAGCTCTATCTATGTCACTTACCTTTCGAGTAAGAGGTTGTTTCAGGCACAGTAATTTGATTTCTTCTGTGTTGAAAATTATAAATAGCCTAGAACTACCAGAAAGAGATACAAAGATTTTGCAGATGTGTGGAGTGCATTATAGGTGTTTTCAAATTTCTCTTATAATGAGAAATAAAAAACATAATATTAGGCCTTAATTTACTAAACTCAGTGTTCAGCCATTTTCTCAAATGGTTTATAGTTTTTCCAAGAGACTTCAGCAGCATTCTCTAGAGGGAATGAATTCCCCCAAGAGTGCTAACTGGATGGGATGAGAATAAAACATAATCTTGCTTCTATTTCAGAAGTGTCCCTCTACAGAGCCTTTTTTTTTTTTTTAGGCGGAGTCTCTCTCTGTTGCCCAGGCTGGAGTGCAGTGGCATGATCTCGGCTCACTGCAATGTCCGCCTCCCGGGTTCACGCCATTCTCCTGTCTCAGCCTCCCGAGGAGCTGGGACTACAGGCACCCGCCACCAGGCCCGGCTAATTTTTTGTGTTTTTAGTAGAGACGGGGTTTCACCGTGTTAGCCAGGACGGTCTCGATCTCCTGACCTTGTGATCCACCCACCTCGGCCTCCCAAAGTGCTGGGATTACAGGCGTGAGCCACGCGCCCAGCCTCCAGAGTCTTGATGGACTAGAAAACGTGGCTGAGTAGTGTGGTCTGTGGAAGTGCATGAGCTCTGGACTCAGATAGAGTTAATCCTTAATCCCAGCCCAGCTGCTTAGTAGCTGTGGGACAGTTAAATAAACCTTATCTGCAAATAAAAGCATAATAGGCCGGGCGCAGTGGCTTACGCCTGTAATCCCAGCACTTTGGGAGGCAGAAGCGGGCAAATCACGAGGTCAGGAGATCGAGACCATCCTGGCTAACAGGGTGAAACCCCATCTCTACTAAAAAAATACAAAAAAATTAGCCGGGCGTGGTAGCGGGCACCTTTAGTCCCAGCTATTGCGGAGCCTGAGGCAGGAGAATGGCATGAACGCGGGAGGTGGAGCTTGCAGTGAGCCGAGATCGCGCCACTGCACTCCAGCCTGAGCGACAGTGAGACTCCGTCTCCAAAAAAAAAAAAAAAAAAAAAAAGCATAATAAAATTGATTGAAAAAAACAATTATTTTTATTCATTCTCATATCCATGCCCTTAGCATATGATTTTATAATAGTTCCCATCAAGAGACAGGATCTGTTTTCTAAATCTTGGATCTTTCTGGCCTTATTTGCACAGGCCAAAACTGAAATGACAGCATGTCAGTTTTGAGCCTAGGCTCAAAACGTCTTAAATGTTTCTAAAATGGGTCTTAAAAGCTCATTTTTGCTTGCTGAAAAATAAAAGTATCACAAGGAGAAAAATTGAAGTGCCCCAGTTGACAGGTAGCTCACTCTCAGAAGCAGAACCACCCAATCTGCCAGCAGCTGACCACTCATGCCTGAAGCCCAGCCTAAATTTCTAACCAGTTCAATGATGAGCTAGTAAGTTTTAGGATAGTTTGTTATGCAGTTATACCTTACTAACATAAACATTCATTATAGACAGGGTATCAGGATTCCAAAAAGATTCATTGCAAATAACCTGCAAATGGTCTGCACCTTATAAGTACTGATTTTCTTTTCCATTTATTTAAAGTTAGATTTCTGTTAGGTGGTATTGAATTATACAGAAGAGCAAGTAGATGTATATAATTGGTGCTTAAACTCACACAGTGCCCCATACCACAGGAGAAAAACATACAGCTACAGCCAGACAATTAGGTCCGAGGCCAAATAGCAAAATAAGGAGTTGACCTTTGTATTAATTTATTTTCACACTGCTATAAAGACATACCTGAGGCCAGGCACGGTGGCTCATGCCTGTAATCCCAGCACTTTGGGAGGCTGAGGCAGGTGGATCACAAGGTCAGGAGATCGAGACTGTCCTGGCTAACACGGTGAAACCCCGTCTCTACTAAAAACACAAAAAATTAGCTGGTTGTAGTGGCAGGCACCTGTAATCCCAGTTACTCGGGAGGCTGAGGCAGAAGAATTGCTTGAACATGGGAGGCGGAGGTTGCAGTGAGCACAGATCGCGTCACTGCACTCCAGCCTGGGCGACAAGAGTGAGACTCTGTCAAAAAAAACCCCAAAAAACAAACAAACAAACAAAAAAACTACCTGAAACAGAGTAGTTTATGAAGAGAAGAGATTTAATTGACTCAAAATTCTGCATGGCTGGGGAGGCCTCAGGAAACGTACAATCGTGGCAGAAGGCAAAAGGGAAGAAAGGCATGTCTTCAACAGGTGGCAGGAGAGAGTGAAAGAGAGAGAAAGCACTATAGACTTATCAAACAACCAGATCTCCTGAGAACTCTATCAGAGAGCAGCAAGAGGAAGTCTGCCCCCACGACTCAATCACCTCCCACAAGGCCCCTCCCCGACATGTGGGGATTACAACTCAAGATGAGATTTGGGTTGGGACAAAGAGCCAAACCATATCAGCCTTTAATCTATTCCCTCCACATCTGAACTTTGGAGGTCAACACTGTGAAGAGATGTGAAGACATGGGGTTTCCTCCTTCTGAGGCCCTATCATCCATTGTTTACTGTCTGATATTTGGAAGAGAAATCCCCTCCAAACAGCAACTGGGACACAGTGGTCTACATGTGGACACTTCCTGCTTGCAGCTGCTGCTCTGTCTAAGGGCACTGTGCCTCCCACCCTTGGGCCTGAACAGAGAAGTTTATAGGCAGAGGCTGTTCTCTCACTTCCAGCAGAAAAAGGATATTCAGGTCCTTTACCTCTTTGAGGTCAGAGAGTCACAGTCTTCAGAGATGCACTTCAATGTGCCAGCTACTTGCCATTTGAGGCTACTGGGTACCTGGAATGTGGCTGATTTAAAATGAGATGTGCTGCAGATATGAAATAGAGTCAGTTAAGAAAATTTAGAACCAAAAATCACTCTATTAATAATTACATACTGGGCTAGGCACGGTGGCTCACGCCTGTAATCCCAGCACTTTGGGAGGCCGAGGCGGGTGGATCATAAGGTCAGGATATCGAGACCATCCTGCCAACATGGTGAAATGCGTCTCTACTAAAAATACAAAAAATTAGTTGGGCGTGGTGGTGGGTGCCTGTAGTCCCAGCTACTCGGGAGGCTGAGGGAGAAGAATGGCGTGAACCCAGGAGGCGGAGCTTGCCATGAGCCAAGATTGTGCCACTGCACTCCAGCCTGGGCGACAGAGTGAGACTCCATCTCAAAATAATAATAATAATTATTATTATCATTATTATATATTGGGCTGGGTGAGGTTGCTCACACCTGTAATCCCAGCACTTTGAGAGGCCGAGATGGGTGGATCACTGAGGCCAGGAGTTCAAGACCAGCCTGGCCAACATGGCAAAACCCTGTCTCTACTAAAAATACAAAATTAGCTGGGTGTGGTGGCCCACATCTGTAATCCCAGCTACTTGGGAGGCTGAGGCAGAAGAAGTGATTGAACCCAGGAGGCAGAGGTTGCAGTGAGCTGAGATCACGCCATTGCACTCTAGCCTGGGCAACAAGAGCAAAACTCTGTCTCAAAAAAAAGATGATGATAATAATAATTATTATATGTTGATCACACATTTATTCCCAGTGTTCCATTATTGGAACACTAAGCATATGGGAGTTATTTATATCTCACTGCTCAAGGTCATTGCCAACGTCTGACTGCAAAAATTTTAAAAATTGCAACCTCAGGCATAAATGGGTTAAAATAATAATATTTTGGATGTACTGGGTTAAAAAATAATTTCACTTGTTTCTTTTTATTATGTTTAATGTGGCTACTAAAATATTTAAAATTCACACACGGCTGACATTTTATGTTTTAGAGGATTGCTTTTCTTTTAAAATCTCAGGTTGCCTACTCAGAAGATCAGGGGCCGGAAGTGTTATGAAATATTAAATATTAAAATAATTGCCATTATAGTGTTTCCATTTGTAAACAACATATATGTGTGTGTATAAAATTTATAAGTGGACCTAACCTTATACACAAGATTAAAAAATTACCCCCAGGCAGAGCTAAGCCCAGCTCAGAGGTAAAGCCCTTGCTGGAGATGACTGGAGCCAAGAGTCTGTCACTCTTGCCTCATTCAGTGCACTGTCTGGTAGCATCTTCTGTCACTCAAGGCCCGAGGGCGCGGGGCCGGGAGCTCTATCCAATCAGGGTGCTGGGATGGAAACTGTCCAATCAGATTCACAGCCAGAGAGGAAGGGGCGGCTCCCGGTATCTGGCGGGGCCTTTGTCTTTCGCTCCAGGTAGAGCTTGGGGTTAGTACATCACTGGCCTGCGTGCTCCGCTCCAGGAGGTCTCGGTGATTCTGCCACAGCCTCATCCTCCGTCGCCCTGTGACCTACTGGTATTGGAACATTCATAGCTAAGACTCCAGGACACCCACAAAGCCGAGAAATGCTGAGTTTGCGGGTCAGGGCGTCCGGAGACTGGGGAGGCCTCATCGGAGTCGGCCGGAAATGGCGGTGGCGGGACCGAGTCTGTGAGCCTGAGCCCCCCTCAGCTCAGCCCTCAGTCTCCTCTGGTGCAGGGTACCCAGGCGTCCTGTACCGTTTCAGCACAGCGGCTTTGGCCCCAGCCTGTAGCCCTCTTTGCGCAGCTCTGCGCCCGCATCTTCCCCAGCTTGTGAGGTGATGAGGAGAGGTTCACCAGGGAAAGACGCCGACTTGGTGTGCAGGGCTTCTGCGTGGAAGGAGCTCTGGTCTGTGGGGTCACCAGTCCCTACTTTAACCTATTCAGACATAAACGGAGGCACCATTAAAACATTAAAGAATTTATATGAGCAAACAGTGATGAACCAGTGGGACAGCCCCAGACATGGTTTGTCGTTTGGGGGCTACCAGCGGGTCTTGAAGAAAAGGCTTTAAGGTTTGTGAAGAGGCAAAGCAAACTAAATAATTGATTGGGTACAGTTATGTAGTCGTTTCATTTAGAGTGTCCAGGAGAAAATTTTCTGGTTATGTAATCAGATTAATTGGAGATTTATGGTTGGTTAAGCCTGAATTTTGTTTTCTCCTAAGGTAGTAACTTACGAGATACGCATTTGAGTTAGATCGTTTTGTTGCTGTTACACAGGAACCTAGATCCCTAGAGCCACTTCAGTCTACCTGCTATTTAATTATTTTAACTTTAATCAGAAGCACTGTTTTTTTCCTACATTTTCCAAATGTGTGGCAAGCAGAGTCTTAAATCTGTTCTGCCAGCCTAACTTGGCTTGCAGTAAAATCTTAAATTTCCAGTTTCTTTTTTTTTTTTTTTTTTGTTTGTGACGGAGTCTCACTCTATTGGCCAGGCTGCAACCTCCGTCTCCCAGGCTCAAGGAATTCTCCTGCCTCAGCCTCCCAAGTAGCCGGGATTACCGGCATGTGCCACCACACCCGGCTAATTTTTGTATTTTTAGTAGAGACGGGGTTTCACCGTGTTAGCCAGGCTGCTCTCCAACTCCTGACCTCAGGTGATCCGCCCGCCTTGGCCTCCCAAAGTGCTGGGATTACAGGCGTGAGCCACTGCACCAGGACTGAAATTTCCAGTTTCTTTTCAACATTCACCAAAGCCAACTACTCCCATCCAATTCACAACATTATCAACTATTTTTGTTTTTTATTGTATGTTTCTATTTGTAAATATTTCACCGGAGGAAAGCAGAAAATAATCCCATTACACTCCACTGTCAAAAATTTTTCTGCTTTTTCTTCTTTTATCTTCCCTAGGCACAAATGCCTTATCAGGATATCTTTAAATTCAAGTTTCCCTTTGGAAACTTGATGGGACAGTGTGTCCTCAGCCACACTGCTTTTTTTTAAGTCTTGAGTTTTAGAGCTCTCTTGGGATAACCCAAGATACACACAACAGCCATACCTTTTGGAAGGTTTGGTGAATATCAGCCCCTTGGTCATCTCCTTCCAGAGGACACACTGATGTATGGAAATGGAGCTTCTCAGGAGAGCAGCTGAATGTCCTGAGGCTGAGAGAAATATCCTGGTTTACCCTTCCCATAAAAAGAACCTTTGGGGATCTTAAGATTTTCTTTCCCCAGCCCCAGTTCTTCCTGGTCAGCCAATTGGATGGTTGTATTTAGGGGAAAAGACAAAAATAATGCCTGTCTTCTGAATTATCTCATATTTGTGAAGGGGGGAGAACTGTTTTAAAAGACAAAAAAAACAAACAAACAACAACAACAAAAAAAACTCACCCTAAGGAGGCATGCAAGAACTTGCAAAGCAAAAAAAAAAAAAAAAAAAAACACCAGGGACACACTGTAGGGCACTGTGCAGTGTCTTCTGGGAGGGAGAGCTTTGAGCACTTTAGTGAGTAGGGTAAGGGTGGCAGAATGTACCAACTTATAGGATTGCCTGATTTGACACTTGAGTCAGATATGTGTCTCTTCTGGCCGGGCACGGTGGCTCATGCCTGTAATCCCAGCAGCTGGGGAGGCCAAGGTGGGTGGATCATGAGGCCAGGAGATCGAGACCATCCTGGCGAACGTGGTGAAACCCCATCTCTACTAAGAATACAAAAAAAAGTAGCTGGGCATGGTGGCACGTGCCTGTAGTCCCAGCTACTTGGGAGGCTGAGGCAGGAGAATTGCTTGAACCAGGGAGTAGGAGGTTGCAGTGAGCTGAGCTTGCACCAGTGCACTCCAGCCTGGGCCACAAAGCGAGACTCCATCTCAAGAATAAGGGAAGAGACCAGCCCTCATATTGTCTTATGCCCAATTTCTGCCTCCAAAGAAAGAAGAACTAAAAACTAAAAGGCAGAAATGAAATCCACAGGCAGACAGCCCAGTGCCACACCCTGAGCCTGGTAGTTAAAGATTGACCCCTGACCTAATCGGTTATGTTATCTATAGATTACAGACATTGTATGGAAAAGTACTGTGAAAATCCCTGTCCTGTTCTGTTCCATTCTAATTACTAGTGCATGCAGCCCCCAGTCATGTACCCCCTGCTTTCTCAATTGATCACAACCCTCTCATGCGGACCCCCTTAGAGTTGCAAGCCCTTAAGAGGGACAGGAATTGCTCACTCGGGGAGCTCAGTTTTTGGAGACGTGAATCTGCCAGTGCTCCCAGCTGAATAAAGCCCTTCCTTAACTTGGTGTCTGAGGGATTTTTGTCTGCAGCTAGTCCTGCTACATTTCTTGGTTCCCTGACTGGGAATGAGGTGATTAATGGATGGATGGTTGATGCACCTCCTTAGGCAGCTGAGGCTTGCCCTGTGGAGCATCCCTGCGGGGGACTCTGGCCAGCTTGAGCAACATGGATCCTGAGAGCGCTCCCAGATAGGCATTTGCCCTGGTGGAATGCCTTGTTAGAGCGGTGCACAGCAGGCCCCTGCGGAGGATCAACGCAGTGGCTGAACACCAGGAAGGAACTGGCACTTGGAGTCCAGACATCTGAAACTTGGTAAGACTGGTCTTTGGAACTTGCCCACTCCATTTGAGTGGAAGCATGGCCTGATCACCCACGACGTGCCTGTACCGGCACTTTGGTTTTTGTTTTTGACTTGACTTGGATTGCTCGATACTTTGGTTTTGGTTTTGACCTGGCTTGGATTTCTTGATACTCTGATTTTTGTTTTGGTTCTGATTTGGTGTAAACTGTGAAAGTGTGTGTGTGCCCTTTTTACCCGTTCTTTGTTTTGTGGTGTGCGTGTGGTGTGAGCGTGGTGTTTTGTCTTGAGGAAGCATGGGTCAAGCACAAAGTAAGCCCACCCCACCAGGAACTATGTTGAAAATTTCAAGATTTAAGGGAGACTATGGAGTACTATGACACCAGGAAAACTTAAAACTTTGTGTAAGATAGACTGAACAGCATTAGAGGTGGGTTGGCCACCAGAAGGAAGCCTGGACAGGTCCCTTGTTTCAAAGGTATGGCACAAGGTAACCTGTAATCCAGGGCACACTGACCAGTTCCTGTATATAGACACTTGGTTACAGCTGGTTTTAGACTGCCCCCCACAGTGGTTGAGAGAACAGCAGCATAAGCGGCTGGCAGAGGCAAGGAAAGACCAGCAGAGAGAGAGAGGAAGAGACAGACAAAGAGGGAGTCAAGAAGAGAGAGAGAGAGAGACAGAAAGTGAAAGAGAGAAAGAAAGAGGGAAATATACAAGTAGTTAAGAAAAAAAAAGTGTACCCTATTCTTTTAAAAGCCAGCGTAAATTTAAAACCTGTAATTGATAATTGGAGGTCTTTTCCGTGACCCTACAACACTCCAATACAACCTTGTTGTAAGTGTAAGCAAGGGTGAAGCCCAAAAGCACTGAGGCCACTGACAACCTGTAGCCTTCGTATCAAAAATTCTTAACTGAGTAATCTGTGGATGGCCCAAATGCATTCAATCTGTAGCAGCAACTGCTTTGTTAACAGAAGAAAGTAGAAAAATAACTTTTAGAGGAAACCTCATTGTGAGCACACCTCACCAGTTCAGAAATATCCTAAGGGAAAAAAAAAAAAAGATGATTTAACATTAGCCACTGAAAATTCCCTTAACCTAGCAGGTTTCCTAACAGGGGGTCTAAATCTTAATTACCATACAAAGGTCTGACCAGACCTAGGAGGAACTCCCTTTAGGATGGGATGATAGAAGGAAAAAAAAGAAGCCATCTATACCAATTCTAAGTTAATTTGGACTAAACAAGGTCTTATTAATAGCAAAGGATAATTGAAATCCAAAACTTACAAGGTTTTCAACAAAAGTAAAGTTTGCTAAAAGTTAACAGTGTAACATGTATTATAGTAACTTCTAATCTTGTGGCCTTAGACAGTCTAGTCCACAGACATAAAGGAAGTTCACTTTGGAAAAGAATGGTTATCATCTTTGGGAAAAAAAGGGGAAAGAAGGTGAGGGAGCAGAATTTATGTAAAAAGAATGTTATATGGTAAATTCTTGTCCTGAAATAAATTAACTGGTTGTTTAAAGAAAGAAATGTTTGTAATAAGTCAGAAAGTTGAGGCCTGTAGAAGAATTGTCTGTGAAAGTCGTGAAAGAAAAAAAGTTATAAAAAAAAATTTATGCAAGAAATGTTGTATAATTTAAAAGTAACTAGGCCTCCTGAATGTAAAACTATTGAAAAAAACAGTTTATATGCAAGGTGTATAAACAAAGTAAAATATAACTTTGGTAAAAGGATTATAAGGAGGCATAAGAATGTAAATTTTTACCTACATTAAAAGGTTAAAAAAAATTGTTTTGAAGGTTTAAGCAAGTTTTAAAACATTAATTTTAAAGAAAATTCTGTGTGTAAACATATTAGCTAAAGTTAAAGGGGTATCATCCAGTTGTTCTGTGAACTGGACGTTAAAGTAAAAACACAATGAGTTTTTCTTAAAGCGCTAACATGCTCTTTTACAAAGATTATAAAAGGTTAAAAACAGTCTATAAAAATCTTACCTTGGCCGGGCGCGGTGGCTCACGCCTGTAATCCCAGCACTTTGGGAGGCCGAGGCGGGCGGATCACGAGGTCAGGAGATCGAGACCATCCCGGCTAAAACGGTGAAACCCCGTCTCTACTAAAAATACAAAAAATTAGCCGGGCGTAGTTGCGGGCGCCTGTAGTCCCAGCTACTTGGGAGGCTGAGGCAGGAGAATGGCGTGAACCCGGGAGGCGGAGCTTGCAGTGAGCCGAGATCCCGCCACTGCACTCCAGCCTGGGCGACAGAGCGAGACTCCGTCTCAAAAAAAAAAAAAAAAAAAAAAAAATCTTACCTTATGATCCAACATTAAAAATTGAATAAATGTGTCTATAAAGTTTTATTAAAACTAAGTTTAACATTAATAGCACACTAATATAAAGGTGAAATTTAGCTTATCTGGTATAAAAATCATACAGGAAGCATTGTCAAATATAAAATGGTATTTGGCTTCTTTGATCTAAAAACTAATAAAAAATACATGCTAAAGGAAATTTCTCAGTAGAAAGGCACCAAGGACTACAAAGTCCACTGCTGATGTCTCCACATTTAAAACAAAAGGTCAGTTTCTTAGAAATTATATACTTGGTTTATCTTCCGCTTTCCTTTCCATCAAAACTAAAAGTCTTTTAGCACATGTACCACCCCTAGAATTTCCAGTAAACCAGCACCAGCCTGAAGATCACGTTCTCATCAAAGGGTGAAAAGAAAGGAAACTTGAGCCAGCCTAGGAAGGACCCTACCTTGTGCTGCTAACCACTGAGACTGCTGTTCATGCAGCGAAAAAAGGATGGACTCATCACAACTGAGTCAAGAAAGCGCCACCCCCTCCAGAGTCATGGGCCATAGTCCAAGAGGAAAACCCTACCAAACTAAAGCTAAGAAAAATTTAACTCTCTCATCTATTCTATTACTCTTTCTTCTTTCCTCGCTCTATTGCTGACCATCTAGTTATTAATGTAGCCAAGTCAATTTCACCTCAAACTATTGCATTTAATGCATGCCTTGTTATACCCTGTGGGGACTTGCCAAGTCAAAGACTTGTACTTCAGAAAGCTCTGTACTTCAGAAAAGTACCTCTGTCCCTCCTGACTCTCCTCAGACTGGGCATTAGTAAATTAGGACCGTTTAATCCGGGGAAATTTCGATAAAGCCTCCAGTGTCAACCAGGAGCCTTGCTCCCCAATGTAGAGCTTTTATGCCATAGTTGGTCCAACATTCTGTGGACCACTAAAGAGCAAGGATGGACTGCCCCAACTGGTTTTTGTAATTCCCTAAAATCATACATTAATTTTACTAGAGGATCATAGAAGTTAAAGACTTAAAACAAACTTTGGCAAACAGGATACGAAGATGCAAATTCCTGGTTGGAATGGATCAAATATTCCATCCACACGTTAAACAAAAGCAATTGTTATGCTTGGGCACATGGCAGGCCAGAGGCCCAGATTGTCCCCTTTCCACTAAGGTGGTCCTCCTGTCCACCAGGCATGGGCTGCATGGTAGCTCTTTTCCAGGATTCTACAGCCTGGAGTAATAAGTTGTACCAAGCTCTCTCTGTGATATCCCAAAGTCCAGCACCCTGTGAGTCAGCCCCTGAGGGCCATCCAGCTTCTGTCTCCCAACACTAAGTTCACTTCATGTCTCTCATGACAGGGAGGAAACTTAGCATTCCTTGGAGACCTGAAGGGATGCAGTGAGCTTAAGAATTTTCAAGAGCTTATCAATCAGTCAGCCCTTGTTCATCCCTGAGCAGATGTGTGGTGGTATTGTGGTGGACCTTTACTGGGCACTGTGCCGAATAACTGGAGTGGCACTTGTACTTTAGTCCAATTGGCTATCCCTTTCACCCTGGCATTTCATCAACCAGAGGGAGGAAAAATAAGACATCGTAAAGTAAGAGAAGCCCCTTATGGGTCTTTCGACTCTCACGTCTATTTAGACACAATTGGAGTCCCACGGGGAATACCAGATCAATTTAAAGCTTGAAATCAAATAGCTGCAGGATTTGAGTCAATATTTTGGTGGGTGACAGTTAATAAAAATGTAGATTGGATAAACTACATCTATTACAACCAACAGCAACGAGCTTTTCGTGAGTTAAAAGAAAAGCTCATGGCGGCCCCAGCCCTGGGGCTACCTGACCTCACAATAGTTTTACATTCAGGAGGACTAATTACTTTTAAATTTATACAACAATTTCTTGCATAAATTCTTTTTTTATAATTTTTTTTTTTTTTACACAATATGTGTCAGAAAAAAAAATGATAGTTAATAGTTTTAACCCAGACTGTGGGACACTGGCCAAAGCTGGTGGCCTATCTCTCTAAACAATTAGACAGGGTTTCTAAGTGTTGGCCCTCATGTTTGAGGGCCTTGGCAGCAACAGCCCTGCTAGCACAACAAGCAGATAAGCTAACTCTTGGGCAAAACCTGAATATAAAGGCCCCCCCATGCTGTGGTAAATTTGATGAATACCAAAGGACATCATTGGCTAACAAATGCTAGATTAACAAGTACCAAATCTTGCTATGTGAAAATCCCCCCATAACCATTGAAGTTTGCAACACCCTAAACCCTGCCACCTTGCTCCCGGTATCAGAGAGCCCAGTTAAAACATAACTGTCTTAATCCTTTTAAATGGATCAAACCCCTCGGAGGATCATTGTTGTCACTGGCATTATTAATATTGGTATGTTTATGTTGTCTACTTTTAGTCTGCACATGTCTCCAAGGAGTCTGAGGACAAGTGCAAAGTCAACAACAAGCAATGATGGTGGTGGTGATCCTAGTCAATAAAAAGGGGGAAGATGTGGGTGGCAAGCCACCCAGGTGCCAAAGCAAGAGACTGAGGGCACAAGCTATTCCAGTATAATAAAGAAAATATATAGTATAAGAATAGTTCTACTAGAAATAGATTATGGATATGATTATATATGAATGTCATTAATCATTAGTTTGTAGCATTATTCTTTATTCTAATATTATAATAATCTTTGTTCTACAATTATAACCTAGGAAAAACCAGGCCCTACAGAGATAGGAGGTGAAGGGACATGGTGAGAAGTGACCAGAAGTCAAGAATGTTAGCCCTCTGTTACGCCCAGACAGGGCCACTAGTGGGCTCCCTGGTCTAGCAGTAATGCCAGCACCCATTACCTAGCAGACCTTGGTCTAGCAGTAGCATCAGTGCCTAGGGAAGGCACCCATTACTTAGCAGACCAGGAAAGGGAGTCTCCCTTTCCCCGGGGGAGTTAGAGAAGACTCTGCTCCACCACCTCTTGTGGAAGGCCTGACATCAGTCAGGCCCGCCTGCAGCCATCTGGAGGCCTAACCGTCTCCCTGTGATGCTGTGCTTCAATAGTCACGCTCCTGGTCCACTTTCATGTTCCACTCTGTATACCTGGCTCTGCCTTCTAGATAGCAGTAGCAGAATTAGTGAAAGTACTAAAAGTCTTTGAAATGCATAAAAGAAATAGTGGTGTAATCTGTCCTCTCTCTCTCTCCACCTCGGCTGCCAAACAGGGAAGGGCCCCCTGTCCAGTGGACACGTGACTCGTGTGACCTTACCTATCATTGGAGATGGCTCACACTCCTTACCCTGCCCCCTTGTCTTGTATCCAACAAATAACAGCATGGCCAGGCATTCAGGGCCACTACCAGTCTCCACACCTTGGTGGTAGTGGTCCTCCGGGCCCAGCTGTCTTTTCTTCTATCTCTGTCTTGTGTCTTTATTTCTATGATCTCTCATCTCCGCACATGAGGAGAAAAAACCCACAGACCCTGTAGGGCTGGGCCCTACATAACTGTGTAGAGGTATTAGACTCAGTTTATTCTAGTGGGCCCAACCTCCGAGACCATCTTGAGTATCAGGAGACTGTGAGCTATACTTGGATGGGAGCAGCTTTGCCAACCTCTGCAAAGTGACTCTGAAAAAGATGGCAAGCCCTGCTCCAGTCACACCTGGAAGCTGACTGGTTCCCGCATCACCAAAGCATGAGGAAATTAATCACAGGACTCATTTCCCTGAAAATTTGGACTTGTACAGTAAGGACTTCAACTGACCTTCCTCAGACTGAGGACTGTTCCCAATATATACATCAAGTCACTGAGGTAGGACAAAAGTTTGCTACAGTCCTATTATTTTATGGTTATTTTAAGTGTACCAGGACTCTAAAAGGAACTTGTTTGTATAATGCTATTCTATACAAGGTATGTAGCCCACGAAATGACCAGCCTGATGTGTGCTATAACCCATCTTTTTTCCTACTGCCCATAAAAACAGGCGAACTTCTAGGTTTCCTGGTCTATGCTTCCCGAGAAAAGAGAAGCATAGCTATAGGCGACTGAAAAGATGACAAGTGGCCCCCTGAAAGAATCATACAGTACTATGGGCCTGCCACTTAGGCACAAGACAGCTCATGGGGATACCGAATCCCCATTTATATGCTCAACTGAATCATACGATTACAAGCTGTCTTAGAAATAATCACTAATAAAACTGGCAGAGCTTCAACTGTTTTAGCCCAGCAAGAAACCCAGATGAGAAATGCTATCTATAAATATAGACTAGCCCTAGACTACTTGCTAACAGCTAAAGGAGGGGTCTGTGGGAAATTTAACCTTACTAATTGCTGTCTACACATAGATGACCAAGGGCAAGTAGTTGAAGACATAGTTAGAGACATGACAAAACTGGCACATGTGCCTGCGCAAGTGTGGCATGGATTTAATCCTGGGGCCATGTTTGAAAAATGGTTCCCAGCACTAGGAGGATTTAAAACTCTTATAGTAGGAGTTATAATAGTAATAAAAACATGCTTACTGCTCCCTTGTTTGCTATGTACTTCTTCAAATGATAAAAAGCTTCATCGCTACCTTAGTTCACCAAAATGCTTCAGCACAAGTGTACTATATGAATCACTATCGATCTGTCTTACAGGAAGACATGAGTAGTGAGGATAAAGGTGAGAACTTCCACTAATGAGAGAGGTTCTCAAACGGGGGGAAAAAGGGAGGAGACCACCCCTCATATTGTCTTATGCCTAGTTTCTGCCTCCAAAGAAAGAAGAAGTGAAAACTGAAAGGCAGAAATGGAATCCACAGGCAGATAGCCCAGCATCATGCCCTGGGCCTGCTAGTTAAAAATCCACCCCTGACCTAACTGCTTGTGTTATCTATAGATTTCAGACATTGTATGGAAAAGCATCATGAAAATCCCTATCCTGTTCTGTTCTGTTCTGACTAGTGGTACATGCAGCCCCCAGTCACATACCCTCTGCTTGCTCAATCAATCATGACCTTTTCAGGCGGACCCCGTTATAGTTGTAAGCCCTTGAAAGGGACAGGAATTGCTCACTCAGGGAGCTCAGTTTTTGGAGATGTGAGTCTTCCAATGCTGCCAGCTGAATAAAGCCCTTTCCTTCTGCAACTCGGTGTCTGAGGGGTTCTTGTCTGTGTCTCATCCTGCTACAACAGAGGTGGGCAGATCACGAGGTCAGGAGTTCCAGACCAGCCTGACCAACATGGTGAAACCCCGTCTCTAGTAAAAATACAAAAATTAGCCAGGCGTGGTGGTGCAAGCCTTTAATCCCAGCTACTCAGGGGGCTGAGGCAGGAGAATCACTTGAACCCGGGAGGCAGAGGTTGTAGTGAGCCAAGATTGCGCCATTGCACTCTAGCCTGGTCGACAGAGCAAGACTCCATCTCAAAAAAATTAAAAATAGGCTGGGTTGGTGGCTCATGCCTGTAATCCCAGCACTCTGGGAGGCTGAGGTGGATGGATCACCTGAGGTCGGGAGTTCGAGACTAGCCTGACCAACGTGAAGAAACCCTATCTCTACTAAAAATACAAAATTAGCCAGGTGTGGTGGAGCATGCCTGTAATCCCAGCTACTCAGGAGGCTGAGGCAGGAGAATCGCTTGAACCCGGGAGGCAGAGGTTGTGGTGAGCCAAGATTGTGCCATTGCACTCCAGCCTGGGCAACAAGAGTGAAACTCTATCTCAAAAAATAATAATAAATAAAAATAATAAAAAATAATAATGAATAAGTAAATAAAATAAAAATAAGGGATAAATATGCAAGGAAATAGCATAAAGAAAAAACAATCAGAACCTCAGGAAATATTGGACACACTTATAAAAATGCAAAATGCTCTGGAAAGTCTCAGCAATAGAATTGAACAAGTAGAAGAAAGAAATTCAGAGATCAAAGACAAGATCTTCAAATTAACACAATCCAGCAAAGACAAAAAAAAATGAACAAAACCTTAAAGAAGCCTGAATAATTGGTTTTTCTGAAAAAGAAGAAAAATCTAAAAGTTTGGAAAACATATTTGGGGAAATAATTGAAGAAAACTTACCTGGTTTTGCCAGAGGCCTAGACATTCAAATACAAAAAGCACAAAGAATACCTGAGAAATTCATCACAAAAAGATCATCACCTAATCACATTGTCATCAGGTTATCTAACGTTAAGATGAAGGAAAGAATCATATCATATATACATATATATATATACACATCATATATATATATCATCATATACACACACACACACACACACACACACACACACAATGGAATACTACTCAGCCATAAAAAGGAATGAATTAACATTTGCAGTGACCTGGATAACATTGGAGACTATTATTCTAAGTGAAGTCACTCAGGAATGGAAAATCAAACATTGAATGTCCTCACTGAGATGTGGGAGCTAAGCTATGAGGACACAAAGGCATAAGAATGATGCAATGGACTTTGGGGATGTTGGGGAAAGAGTAGGAGGGGGATGAGGGATAGAGACTACCAATATGGTGCAGTGTATACTGCTCTACTGCTCAGGTGATGGGTGCAACAAAATCTCACAAATCACCACTAAAGAACATACTAATGTAACCAAATACCACCTGTAGCCCAGTAACTTATGGGGAAAAAAAAGAGACTTAAAAAAATATATATATATACAAAAATTAGCCAGGCATAGTGGTGCATGCCTGTAGTCCCAGCTACTTGGGAGGCTGAGGGGAGAATCACTTTAACCTGGGAGGCGGAGGTTGCATTGAGCCAAAATTGTGCCATTGCACTCCAGCCTGAGCCACAGAGTGAGACTCTGTCTCAAAAAATATATATAAAAAATAAAACTAGTAATCCAGGCAAAACAAAAATGAATTATACATTATGAAAATACTCTGCCACATTTTTATACTAAATCAGCCAGTACTGAAATTTTTTAGATGTGCCATTTGAGTAAACTGTGTGTTCCAAGTCAGATTACCTATGATAACCTCTCAGTTATCAGTGCTATGAACCTAAATTGAAGAAACAAACTTGATATTTAAGAGGACATAAATTTAATGTTAAGTGTGAACTCATAGAGAACCTAGACAGCAGTGACTTTTTTCATTCCTGAGTTCTTAAAGCTTCCTTTATCAAAAGCACTGCATTTTATCACTCGCCACAGAAGAGATAAAAAATAGTCTAAGTTGGCGGGGCACAGTGGCTCATGCCTGTAATCCCAGCACTTTCAGAGGCCGAGGTGGGCAGATCACCTGAGGTCAGGAGTTCAAGACCAGCCTGACCAACACGGAGAAACTCTGTCTCTACTAAAAATACAAAATTAGCTGGGTGTGGTGGTGCACTCCTGTAATCCCAGCTACTTGGGCGGCTGAGGCAGGAGAATCACTTGAACCTGGGAGGCAGAGGTTGCAGCGAGCTGAGATGGTGCCATTGCAGTCCAGCCTGGGCAATAAGAGTGAAACTCCATCTCAAAAAAATACATAATAATAATCTAAGTTAAATATAAATTAAATGTGTGTGTGTGTGTGTGTGTGTGTGTGTGTGTGTGTGTGTGGTGACTGTCCTAACTACCAAAATAGGTTAGGACCGTTTTTTTCCTCTCAAACATATAATCCTGAGAAGACAATCCAAACTTCATGTACACTTTGGGAGACCAAGGCGGGTGGATCACAAGGTCAGGAGATTGAGACCATCCTGGCGAACACGGTGAAACCCCGTCTCTTCTAAAAATACAAAAAAAAAAAAAAAAAATTAGCCGGGCATGGTGGCAGGCACCTGTAGTCCCAGTTACTCGGGAGGCTGAGGCAGGAGAATGGCATGAACTCGGGGGATGGAGCTTGCAGTGAGCCGAGATCGCGCCACTGCACTCCAGCCTGGGTGACAGAGCGAGACTCCATCTCAAAAAAAAAAAAAAAAAAAGCTTCATGTACATTTCTGCTACCTGAGGATCTATTTAAACATTTGTAAAGAAATCTTATTCAATTGTCATGTTTAATGCATATTTTCTTGTAGAATAAAAATTTTCTCATGGGAAAAGTCTGATGTTATAACAGTAGCTTAAAGGATAATAAAAAATATGTTTTGCTCAGGAGACATTTCTGAAAAAGGCTCCAATAATATACTTATTTCGGCCGGGAGCAGTGGCTCATGCCTGTAATACCAGCACTTTGGGAGGCCAAGAAGGGTGGATCACGAGGTCAGGAGTTCAAGACCAGCCTGGCCATGATGGTGAAACCCTGTCTTTACTAAAAATACAAAAATTAGCCAGGCGTGGTGGTGGGCGCCTGTAATCCCAGCTACTCGGTAGGCTGAGGCAGAGAATCACTTGAACCCAGGAGGCAAAGGCTGCAGTGAGCTGAGATCGTGCCACTGCACTCCAGCCTGGGTGACAGAGTACGACTCTGTCTCAGGAAAAAAAAAAAAAAAAATCCGATTTCACTGGAGAAGTTATAAACTGTTAAATAAGCTATTCCAGAAACAATAGTATTGAGAAAATCCAACTAAATTGACAGGATTGCTTTTGTAATTGCAGATTGATGACAATCAGATTCACTGAGAGTGAAAAACTGTTTTGACTATTATAAACTTGTAATTGGATGGCTTATGTACCTGATAATAGAACCTCATGTGTGTTCTGTTACTGAAGTTTAATATGACTAAATGCAGCAAGGCTTTAATGCGTTATGGCAAAGCATATTTTCACCAGGTAAACAACCTTTTATGGTCTATTGACTGAGGACAGAAAAACCCTTTATAGTCTAGAACCCAGAGATTGAGTCTGCTTGCCATCTACACTGAAGCAAGACTTCAGGACCTTGAACCTTAGGTTGATAATCTCACAACTGAGAAGGGGCCCTCCAAATTCTTGCAATTGTATGCCCATTGGAGTTTTTTTTTTTTTTTTTTTTTTTTTGGAGACGGAGTCTTGCTCTGTTGCCTAGGCTGGAGGGCAGTGGTGCCATCTCAGCTCACTGCAAGCTCCGCCTCCTGGGTTCATGCCATTCTCCTGCCTCAGCCTCCCTAGTAGCTGGGACTACAGGTGCCCACCACCACGCCCAGCTAATTGTTTTGTATTTTTAGTAGAGACGGGGTTTCACCGTGTTAGCCAGGATGGTCTCAATCTCCTGACCTGGTGATCCTCCCACCTAGGCCTCCCAAAGTGCTGGGATTACAGGCATGAGCCACCACAACCAGCCGCAGATATTAAGGTAAAGTTAAACAGGGAAGTTTCTCCTAAAAAGCAAAGGCAGCTTTGATGTAGATCGCTTTCTTCACAAGATGAAAAATCAAGACATCTCTACTATCATGACACTCTTAGATTACGGTTTTTTTCTTATGGCTCTGCAAACAACAGAAATTAAAAAGGGCCTCTTGTGTGCACTCATGGGGTACACTTTTATATGTAGAAGATTTTGCAGCCAACATTATATATGAACAAACTTATGCCTTCATAAGTAAAAGATGAAGGTCCAATGAGGATGAGAAATTTTAATGGGACATCTGTTGCCTCATAATATCAGAAACAGAATATTGGTTCACTGCAGTTAACCTAATTCATAAGTTAAAGAGAACTTATTCAGAATAGATTATAGAGTATTGCCAGGAGGCCATTACTCTTCAATGGCTATCATTTGTTAGGTATTTTTGTTCCCCATGGTTTAGAGTAAATGAGGCAATGGTTAGAAATTTATTCCCCCTACTAGGGCTCTATAGCATATTCTATTGTAAAGGCTATGGTTACACAATAGACTTTAATTTTTCTTTTTAAAGTTGTGCAAAATAATAGAATTTCTCTAGATTACTTACTGGATGAACAGAGAAGTATCTGTGCAGTTGCTAAAACTTGTAGTTGTACATAGAAAAATATATCGGGTATTACAGAGATTCAGTTGTAGGAGATTAATAAATAGGCTGCTTGGTTGAAATGAGGAGACCATTTATTTACCTAATTATTTGATCTATTTAATGTTAGTTGGTGGGCTCATGAGACCCTGGCTAAAAAGCATACTTGAGGCCAGGCATGGTGGATCACACCTGTAATCCTAGCACTTTGGGAGGCCGAGGCGGGCAGATCACGAGGTCAAGAGTTCGAGACCATCCTGGCCAACATGGTGAAACCCCGTTTCTACTAAAAATACAAAAATTAGCTGGACATGGTGGTTCATGCCTATAGTCTCAGCTACTCGGGAGGCCGAGGCAGGAGAATCACTTGAACCTGGGAGGCGAGGCAGAGGTTACAGTGAGCCGAGCTCACGCCACTGCACTCTAGCCTGGCGAAAGAGCAAGACTCCATCTCAAAAAAAAAAAAAAAGCATACTTGAAACTCTTGTTATTATCTTTCTTATAGTCGAAATAGTAGTCTCCCTACTGCATTGTATTCTCTCAAAAGTTATAAATGTTTGTATGCAGTTATCTCTAGAATGTCAAATGATCTCTCTTTAACAGCAATCACAAAAACTCAAATGCATATGTGACCATGAGGACACCATAACCTATGAATGACCTGATAAGGACAAAAACTAAAGGTAATGGAAACTGAGAGTGGCATTAAGACAAAGTTTTGGTCACACTCTTACCTATGTGAGAACTTAACCAAAAGGGGGGAATTTTATAAACAACATTATTGAAGGCCATCATTCTGGATTGAGCTTGTGCATTACGCCCAAAGAGACCAAACCAAATCAAATGGAGTCACTCATGCTAAATGTGACATAATCAAACTGAAAATGTAAGGAAATAGGTAGATCCTAAAACAGGCCAGGTTTGGTTATTCTTTTGAAAACAGCAGATTTCAACACAAGGAGGTCACCTGTACTGTAACCCTTAAAAAAAAATAATAACCTGAAGTCCTTGTTTCCACTTTACAAAAGCTACAGTTCTGCTATTTCACAATGGGATTTGAGAATAAATAAGTAGATTTTTGATGGTGACAGAATAATATCAATGTCTAAAGCTTTGTTCTAGCTCTCAAAATTGAGAAGATGATCAAAAGGGAGAAATTGTTAAATTAATTATGCCTAAAGCTGCTCCCTTTTCTGTTTAACTTTGGTCACTAGGTTTTTTTTTAAACATTGTAAACTGAAACCTAACTGGATATATAAATAGACTGTAATCCATTATTGTACCAACCACTGTGTTTTTGCCAATAAAAGGACATCAAGTGTTCAAATTATGTTTCAATAAGGCAAATCCCAACCTGTAATCAATCTGGCTGTTTCTGTACCTCACTTCTATTTTCTGTATGTCACTTTGCTTTTTCCATCCACAAACCTGTTTTCATAATGTGGCTTTGCCAGAGTCTCTCTGAGCCTACTCTGGATCCACAGGCTGCCCAATTTGCAAATCATTCTATGCTCTATTAAACTCTGTTGAATTTAATTTCTCTAAAATTTTAAAGTTTTTCTCTTTTAAAAGTTTTCAAATATTTTCTTCTCTCTCTCTCTCTTTTTTTTTTCTTGAGATGGAGTTTCACTCTTGTTGGCCAGGCTGGAGTGCAGTGGTGCGATCTTGGCTCACTGAAACCTCAGCCTCCCAGGTTCAAGCGATTCTCCTGCTTCAGCCTCCCACGTAGCTGGGATTACAGACATGTGCCATCACGCCCGGCTAATTTTGTATTTTTAGTGGAGACAGGGTTTCCTCATGGTGGTCAGGCTGATCTCGAACTCCTGACCTCAGGTGATCCACCCACCTCAGCCTCCCAAAGTGCTGGGATTAGGCATGAGCCACCGCACACAGCCTAGTTTTCAAAAAAAATTTTTTTTTGAGACAGAGTTTCGCGCTGTCACCCAGGCTGGAGTGCAGTGGCATGATCTCAGCTCACTGCAAGCTCTGCCTTCCAGGTTCACGCCATTCTCCTGCCTCAGCCTCCCGAGTAGCTGGGACTACAGGCGCCCGCCACCATGCCCAGCTAATTTTTTGTATTTTTAGTAGAGACGGGGTTTCACCGTGTTAGCCAGATGGTCTCGATCTCCTGACCTCGTGATCCGCCTGCCTCAGCCTCCCAGTGTTGGGATTACAGGCGTGAGCCACAGTGCCAGCTCAAATATTTTCAATGATAAAAATAAATAATGTGCTGTTGGGCTTTGATTTTCTAAACTCATCCCTCAGCTATTTCCTCAAATTATTCTGTCTTCGAAATGCTTCTCCAATATTTTTTTTTTTTTGAGACAGAGTCTCATTTTACCACCCAGTGTGGATGGCAGTGGTGCAGCCAATCATGGCTTACTGCAGCCTTGACCTTCCAGACTCAAGCAATCCTCCTGCCTCTGCCACCTAAGTATTGGGACTATAGGCATGTACCACCATGGTTGGCTAATTTTTTCATTTTTTTAATGGAAACAAAATCTTATTATGTTGCTCAGGCTGCACTGGAACGCCTGAGCTCACATAATTCTCCCATCTTAGCCTCCCAAAGTGCTAGGATTACAGGTCTGAGCCACCGTGTTTGCAAAATGGTAGCAATTTTTCATCCCCCTTGTATCCATGCCCAATGCCAGATGCTTTTACAGTTGTTTCCATCAAGATTCAGAATCTGTTTTCCAAACCCTAGATCAGGCTGGCCTTATTTGCTCAGGGCAGTAGAAACCTGTGAACATGGCAATGAGCTAGTTTGGGACCTAGGCTCAAATGGTCTTGAGTGCTTCTGTTTTTCTTTTAGAATGTTGACATCACCTTGGAAAAAAGCCCATGTTAGCCAGCTGGAAAATAAGGTATCATGGGGAGGAGAAGCAAGGTGTCCCTATTGACAACCCCAGAAGCAGAACATCACCCCCAGAAGCACAGCTGCCTAGTCAACAAGCAGCTGACGACATATGACTGAAGGAGCTCAGCTGAAACCAGAAGAATGGCCCCACTGAGCCCAACCTAAATGGCTGACCATCTCGATTATGAACTAATAAGTTTTGGATGATTTGTTATGCTGCAATAGCTAACTAATACATGCACCCAGTGCAGATAGGATGCCAGGATTCAATGACAGGTTGATTACTAGTTATGTTCTAACAGTGGGCACCCTATAGGTACTGATTTTTTCCCCTGATTTAAAGTTGGGTGACTTGTAAGAGAATGTTGAGTAATGCAGAAATACAGGTAGACATGTATGCATGTGATTGGTGCTTATACCCACACAGTCCCACACACCACAGGAGAAAACAGGTAACTACAGCCTGACTAGTAGGGCCAAGGCCAATAGCAAAATAAGTTTTGCCTTTAATCTGTTTTCTCCATATCTAAACATTTGAGGTCAAGAGTGTGGACAGATCTGAAGACACAGAGTTTTATTATCCTGTGGCCCCAACATTCTTTCTTCACTGTCTGATCTCTGGAAGAAAAGTGGGCAACAGGTGGCCAGCAGTGGTCTACCTGTGGTTATTTTACTCCTGCTGCCATCTGCTCTTTTTATGGCCACTATCTGTTCCACCCTTAGAACTGAAGAAAGATATTGGTAGGGAGAGACTCTGCCTTCACTTCTGGCAGAAAAGGGATGTTCAGTTCATTCACCCCCCTGACATCAGAGCTGAACTTCAATGTGGCAGCTATTGGCCACGTGTGCCTCCTGAGTGACTGGAATGTGGCTGGTCTGAACTGCGATGTGCTAGAAAGGTAAAATACAGAGTTAGTTTCAAAGATTTAGTTTCAAATGTTTATATACATTATTAATAATTACACATTCCTCACACATTAAAATGATAATATTATGGACATATTGGGTTAAATTGTTACAATCAATTCAACCTGTTCCTTGTTTCTTTTTCAAGTTTGTCTACTAGAAAATTTAAGATTCACATGTGGCTCACATTTTATTTCAGAAGATTACCATCTTTTTAAAATCTGAGGCTGCCTCCTTTAGCCGGGAAGGTCATAAAATCTGAAATTTTAAAATAATTATTGTTACATTCTTTTCATTTTTGAATAGCCACTATATATATATAAATATAAATATATATAAAAATATATAAAAATAAAAATATAAATATATATAAAAACATAAATATATATAAATATAAATATGTATAATATATAAATATATAAAAATATATAAAAATATAAATATAAAAAATATATATAAATATAAATATATAAATATAAATATAAATATATATAAATATATACATATAAATATATAAATATAAATATATAAATATATAAATATAAATATATATAAATATATAAATATATATATATAAATATATAAATATATAAATATATATATATAAATATATAAATATTTATATATAAATATATATAAATATATAAATATATATAAATATATAAATATATATAAATATATATAAATATATAAATATATATAAGTATATAAATATAAATATATATAAATATATAAATATATATATAAATATATATAAATATATAAATATATATAATTATATAAATATAAATATATATAAATATATATAAATGTATATAAATACATAAATAAATATATAAATATATATAAATATATATATAAATAAATATATACAAATATATATAAATAAATATATATAAATATATATAAATAAATATATATAAATATATATAAATAAATATATAAATATATAAATATATAAATAAATACATATATAAATATATAAAATATATATAAATAAATATATAAAAATATATATAAATAAATATATATAAATAAATATATATATATATATATATATATATATTTTAGACAGAGTTGTGCTCTTGTTGCCCAGGCTGGAGTGCAATGGCACAATCTCGGCTCACCGCAACCTCCGCCTCCCAGGTTCAAGCGGTTCTCCTGCCTCAGCCTCCCGAGTACCTGGGATAACACACATGGGCCACCACAACCCGCTAATTTTATATTTTTTATAAAGACTGGGTTTCTCCATGTTGGTCAGGCTGGTCTCTAACTCCCGACCTCAGGTCATCTGCCCGCTTCAGCCTTCCAAAATGTTGGGATTACGGGCGTGAGCCACCGTGACCGGCCCCATATATTATTTATAAATGCATATGACCTTACACACAAGGTTAAATGCAAATAACCTCTGGGGTGGGCCTGGCTCAGCTCAGGGAGGAAGCCCTGTCAGAGAAGGATGCAGCCCAAGCTGTCACTCTTCTTTCAGCCCCGCATCTCATCACATCTTCCGTCAATCATGGCCTGAGGGGGCGGGGATTTAAATGTTATCCAATCAGAGACGCTAGGCAGGGAACCGTCCAATCAGGCACGCAGGTGAAGCGGACAGGGCGGCTTCCGGGTTTGGCGGGGCCTTTGTCCCTCGCTGTGGCCTGAGCTCCAGGTCTCGTCTTCAGCGCTCTGTGTCCTCTGCTCCTAGAGGTCCAGGCTCTGTGGCCCTGTGACCCGCAGGTATTGGGAGATCTACAGCTAAGACGCCAGGAACCCCTGGAAGCCTAGAAATGGTGAGAGTGCCGGGTCCGACATCCCCAGAGAGGGGAGGGGCTGGTTGTAATGGGTGGGAAGTGGCTGTGGCGGGACTCAGGCCTCCCGGCAGTCAGCTGCACAATCTGCGCCCCGAGTTCTTGCCCAGCTGGGCCTCAGTCCCCATCAGCCTTAAGATGGCGGCTGCGCTGACAGGCGGGCCCCAGCACGTCCCGTCTCTTCCTTGCGCAGTGACTGTGCCCTGGCCTGGAGCCCTCTCTGGGCAGCTCTGCATCCGCAGCGCCGCGTCTCTCCCAGACTGTGCAGGGACCACGGGAGGATCGTCACGGGAGAATCGTCACGGGAGAATCCTGACTTGGGGTGCGAGTTCATGAATGGGAAGAACTTTGGTCCTGGGTTCCTAGTTCCTCTTTTCTCCTATTAAAAATGTACAGACCGGGAGGGGTGGCTCACGTCTGTAATCCCAGTACTTTGGGAGGCCGAGGCGGGCGCATCACTAAGTCAGGAGAGTTCAAGACCAGCCTGGCCAGCATAGTGAAACCCCGTCTTTACTAAAAATACAAAAATTTGCCGGGCATGGTGGTACACGCCTGTAGTCCCAGCTACTTGGGAGACTGAGGCAGGAGAATCACTTGAACCTGGGAGGTGGAGATTGCAGTGAGCCGAGATAGCGCCACTGCACTACAGCCTGTGTAACAGAGCAAGACTCCGTCTCGGAAAAAAAAAATGTACAGAAGTCACCACAAAAATATTAAAGAAATTAATCAAAGAGTGATTAAAAAACTGTTGAGCACCCAGCTGTGGTTTGTAATTTGTTGTTCATGGCGGGGCTTGAAGGAAAGACTTTTATAAGGTGCATGATGAAGAAAGCCAAATTCAGTAATTGGTTAGGTACCGTTATGTAGTTTCTTAGTTTGTACAATAAAGGTGAAAATTTTCTGGTTGTGTAATCAGACCTTAATTGGCAGTATACAGTTGATTAAGCCTGAATTTTGTGTCTTTCAATGTAGTAATTTTCAAAACGATGCGCCTGAGTTAGATTTTTTTTTTTTTTTTTTTTTTTTTTTTTTGAGATGGAGTCTCGCTCTTGTCGCCCAGGCTGGAGTGCAGTGGCACAATCTCGGCTCACTACAACTTCTGCCGCTGCCTGTGTTCAAGCTTCTCCTGCCTCAGCCTTTTGAGTAGCTGGAATTACAAGCGCCTGCCACCCTGCCCAGCTAATTTTTGTACTTTTAGTAGAGACGGGGTTTCACCATGTTGGCCTGGCTGGCCTCGAACTCTTGACCTCAGGTGATCCGCCTGCCTTGGCCTCCCAAAATGCTGGGATTACAGGCGTGAGCTATCACGCCCAGCCACGTTAGATCTTTTTAAAAGTAGGAACCCAGGGTCTAGAGACACCTCAGTCTAATTGCCTGCCACTCAATTATTTTCACACTCCACGGGGAACTGATTTTCTGCTGCATTTTTCACCTGTGTCCCAAGCAGGGTCTTAAGTCTAACCCCCGTCCCCCATTTCTCCAGCCTCACTCTGGCTTGCAGTAAGATACTAAATTTCCAGTTCTTTCTGGCGTTCCCAAATGCCAACTTTTCCTACCTAATTCACATTATCACCTATTTGTCCTTTAGTGTACATTTTTTACACCGTATTTTAATTAGTTATTTTCTGACAAAGTATTAAATGGTGCTTTTAATAAGATTTGTTATCTGTTTGTAAATATTTCCCATGTGAAGAAAGCAAAGAATAATCCCCTGACACTGTGTTGTAAAAACTCTCTGTGCTTCTTCTCCTTGTATCTTCTCTGGGCACAGAGATCTTGTCTCAGGATGTTTTTGGGTCAGGGTTTTCCTTTGGAAACTTTATGGGGTGTTGTGTCCTCAGTCACCCTTCAGTTTTTTTCTGGTCCTGGGTTTCAGTATTGTCTGGGGATAAACCAAGATATCCGCCATGGTTATGTCAGTTAGAGTGTCTAGTGGATATCAGCTTCTGGGTTATTTTCTCCCATAGGAGAACCTGAAGTCTGGAGTGTATCCTCTCAAGGAAGCAAGTGGATGCCCTGGGGCTGACAGGAATCTTCTGGTGTACTCTTTTTATGAAAAGGTAACCCCTTGAGATGTTAAAATTGTCTTCACCCAACCCAGCTTTCATTTCTTGGAGACACATTGCTGGTCAACCAATCAGACTGTGGCATTGAGGGGAAAACAAATAATTTTTGCCTCTGGATTGTCTAAGGGGGCAGAAAAATAGTGAAATAACTATAGTGAAAGTAAAATAGTGGAAAAAAGTGGAACATTTGTGACAGAAAAAATAGTATCCCAAAAGACAAAAAGAAAAAGAAAAACACTGACCCCAGTGAGATGGCGTAAGAACTTGCAAAGTTAAATGCCCGTGGGACAGTCACTGGGGCATAGTGTGGTATCTCCTGAGTGGGTGGTTCTTGAGCACATAAGTGAGCAGGAGTGGGTGGAAGACTGTTTGAAGTGATTGAATGGCCTGACTTGAAACATGAGTCAGACACATCTGTTTTTTCATCAGCACTGCCACTCCCTGGGTTTGTCACCTTGAAAAGATTTGTTCATTTATTTTAACCTCAGTTTTTTAGCTGTAAATTCTATTAGTAGGGCTTGAAAGGTAGGAAAATATTTACCAAAGGCATAAAAGTGGTGGGTTTAAGAAAAAAAATAGTATCTAATAATATATTCCATTCATTAAAAATTCTCTATTCCCTTTTTACCCCCAGGGTGAGTTTAGGAATTTTCTCAGGTGTGTTTTTTATGGCTGGGTGATTTCAAACAGAATTCTAAGGCTCAGCTTTTAGAATGCTACCAAGGAAATGAGTAGGGAAAATCTCTGTTCCATTTTTTTGTAGAAAATAAATACATTTCTACAAGAAAATGTGGTAGATAATTGGTGAGTTACATACATTCATGAAAACATGAGTTTCTCTCTCTGCAGGGTAAATTTGTGACAGTAAACATCTCTGTTCAAATCCTGTTATCTTGATTTCTGAGTTTCATGCTAAATTTTATGAGATGAAACTTGGTACCACCTAGAAGTTTTCCCATATGACTAACTGTTTACTAAATGATTCTTAATGGAATTCATAAAATAATGCATACATTATGTGAAAGAAATAGATATTTTGCTTTTTTTATTGAGGTATAAATTGCAAACACCTTAAAATTTCCTTCCCTTGTATGAACACTGTGACTAATTTTGCTAGATTTTTCAAACACATAGTTTCAAAAACCAAGTGAGTAACTCTAACATAGAAATTAAAGCTTGAGCCCAGTGACTCAGAGCTAAGGCTAATATTGAGCCTGCAAAAGGAGTTTATTACAGGCCCAGTTAGTTTTTTTTCTGGGGAGCCTCCCCTGCAGATGTCCTAGCCTGCTCACTCTAGCTGTGGAAGAAGCTTTTCTGCTGAGAGAAGCTACAGAGTCCTGGAAAGGTGGGGACCCACAGGCAGATGCAGTTAAGGTTAAGATGGTAGGAGATTGAGAGGGTCTTACTGATGATAAAGTTGTTAATGTTTGAAGGCAGTTTCTAGACTTTGTAATACCTAACAAAGTTAGATTTATGTTAAAAATTTGAATTCCAAAGGACTATTGCAACAGGAGGAAATACCAACTGTAAGAACCTTAAGGATTGCAAAGTTTAGGCAGAAAAGGGCTTTCTTTCATGGGGAGGAGCAAACAAAATTAGAAGTTGGAGACGGCCGGATGCTGTGGCTCACACCTGTAATCTCAGCACTTTGGGAGGCCGAGGCAGGCGGATCATGAGGTCAGGAGATGGAGACCATCCTGGCTAACATGGTGAAACCCCGTCTCTACTAAAAATACAAAAAAATCAGCCGGGCGTGGTCACGGGCGCCTGTAGTCCCAGCTACTCGGGAGGCTGAGGCAGGAGAATGGCGTAAACCCAGGAGGTGGAGCTGGCAGTGAGCCTAGATCGCGCCACTGCACTCCAGCCTGGGTGACAGGGCCAGATTCCATCTTAAAAAAAAAAAAAAGAAGTTGGAGGTGACTGACAAATGAAGGGTGAAATAATCAGATTTTAGATCAGAGAATGTTTTACCCTGAAGTCAGCATGTTCTTAGGAGGGACATAAAATGGAGTTGTATATTGGCTCAGATTGAGGGTAGCTCCAAGTTCAGGAGCCTGTGAAAAATTTTATTTAGACCACTGAAGACAAATTCAGCTGATTTTTTTAAATGAGAAAAAGAAAATGTGCAGAGTTCTTATCGGAAAGGGGTCACAATCCACACCCCAAGAGAGGGTTCTTGGATTTCGCTCAAGAAAGAATTCAGGGTGAGTCTACAGAGTAAAGTAAAAGCAAGTTTATTAGGAAACAGAAGGAATAAAAGAATGGCTTACTCTATAGGCAGAGCAGCCCTGAGGGCTGCTGGTTGCCCATTTTTATGGTTATTTCTTGATTATATGCTAAACAAGGGGTGGATTATTTTTGCCTCCCAATTAGACAATATAAAGTCATTTTCTGATGTTTCCATGATGTCTCCATGGCATTTTGTAAACTGTCATGGCACTGGTGGGAGTGTAGCAGTGAGGACCACCAAAGGTCACTCTCATCCCATCTTGGTTTTGGTGAGTTTTATCCACCTTCTTTACTGCAACCTGTTTTATCACCCAGATCTTTATAACCTGTATCTTGTGCTGAACTCTTGTCTCATCCTGTGACTTAGAATGCCTAACCATCTGGGAGTGCAGCCCCATAGGTCTCAGCCTCATTTTACCCAGCCCCTATTCGAAATGGATTTGCCCTGATTCAATACACCTCTGACATTTCTCCTTTTTTTTTTATCTGAGACGGAGTCTCACTCTGTTGCCCAGGCTGGAGTGCAACGGCATCATCTCGGCTCACTGCAACCTCCACCTACCAGGTTCAAGTATTTCTCCTGCCTCAGCCTCCCCAGTAGCTGGGATTACAGGCGCCTACCACCATGCCTGGCTAATTTTTGTACTTTTTTTTTTTTTTTTTTCAGTCCAATCAGTTTACTCTGCTTTCTCCATCTCCTCCTCCCATTAGTCAGCCATTGGAACTGGGAAACCTCCTACTTTCCCCCTCTTTGTACTCTTTCCACAATTCATCTTGTCTTTCTGCAGCCATATCTTCTTAATACAGACTGAAGTTTCTGTCATTGAGAACAGAGTGATCCATAAACCTGGTCATCACACTTTTTATGAGATAGTAATGTGGGCCCCAGATCCATGGCATGGTTTCCTCTGGATGCACTCCTGGATCTAATTTTTGTATTTTTAGTAGAGACGGGGTTTCACCATGTTGACCAGGATGGTCTCCGTCTCTTGACCTCATGATCCACCTGCCTCGGCCTCCCAAAGTGCTGGGATTACAGGCATGAGCCATCATGCCTGGCCGTAATCTCTGACTTTTTTTTTTTTTTCTTGAGACGGAGTCTCACTGTGTTGCCCCGGCTGGAGTTCAGTGGCACGATCTCAGCTCACTGCAACCTCCGCCTCCCAGGTTCAAGTTATTCTCCTGTCTCAGCCTTCTGAGTAGCTGGGATTATAGGCGCACGCCACCACGCCTGGCCAGTTTTTGTATTTTTAGTAGAGATGGAGTTTCACCATGTTGATCAGGCTGGTCTCAAACTCCTGACCTTGTGATCTGCCTGCCCCAGCCTCCCAAAGTGCTGGGGTTACAGGCGTGAGCCACCGTGCCCGGCCAATCTCTGACTTCTTTAAGCAGTGTTTTGTGATTCTTGTCATAGGGATCTTTCACCATTCTGATTAGCTGTATTCCTAGATATTCTATTCTTTTTGTGGCAATTGTGAATGGGATTATGTTTTTGATTTGGCTTTTGGCTTGGATGTTTTGATGTACAGAGATTCTACTGATTTTTGTACGTGTATTTTGTATCCTGAAACTTTGCTAAAGTTGTTTATTAGTTTAAAGAGCTTTCCTGCTGAGACTATAGGGTTTTGAAGATATAGAATCATGTCATCTGCACACAGGGATAGTTAGACTTCCTTTCTTCCTGTTTGGATGCCTTTTTTCTTTTCTTTTCTTTTTTTTTTTTTTTTTTTTTTTGAGACAGAGTCTTGCTCTCGCCAGGCTGGAGTGCAGTGGTGTGATCTCGGCTCACTGCAACCTCCGCCTCCCAGGTTGAAGCGATTCTCCTGCCTCAGCCTCCTGAGTAGCTGGGACTACAGGCACATGCCACCATGCCAAGCTAAGTTTTGTATTTTTAGGAGAGACGGGGTTTCACCATGTTGGCCAGGATGGTCTCGATCTCTTGACCTCGTGATCTGCTCACCTCAGCCTCCCAAAGTGCTGGGATTACAGGCGTGAGCCCCCATGCCCGGCAGATGCCTTTTATTTTCATCTCTTCTCTGATTGCTCTGGCCAGGATTTCCAATTTTATGTTGAATAGGATGTTTGAGAGAAGGCATCCTTATCTTGTGCCAGTTTTCAAGGAGGAATGCTTCCAGCTTGTGTCCATTCAGTGTGTTGGCTGTAAGTTTGTCGTTGATGTCTCATTGTTTTGAAGTATATACCTTCAATGCCTAGTTTGTTAAGGGTTTTAAACATGAAAAATGTTAAATTATATTGAAAGTATTTTTAGCATCTATTGAGATAATCTTGGTATTTGTTATTAGTTCTCTTTATGTGATGAATAACATTTATTGATTGTATATGGAACCAACTTGCCTCCCAGAGATGCAGCCTACTTGATTATAGTGGATTAGCTTTTTGATGTTCTTCTGAATTCAGTTTCCCAGTATTTTGTTGATGGTATTTTCATCAATGTTCATCAAGGATATTGGCTTGAAGTTTTCTTTTTTTTTTAATCTCTGCCAGGTTTTGATATCAGAATGATGCTATTCTTATATATAATGAGTTGAAAAGGAGTCCTTTCTTTTCAATATTTTGAAGTATTTTTAGTAGAAGTGGTACTAGCTCTTTTTTGTACATCTGGTAGAGTTCAGCTAGGAATTTGTCTGGTTCTTTGCTTTTTTTTGGCTAGTAGGCTATTTCTTACTAATTCAATTTTGGAGCTTGTTATTGGTCTATTCAGGGATTCAGTTTCTTATTTGTTCAGTCTCTGGAAAATGTGTCTTTGCTCCCAGGTTACTATTCTCAAGCTTGGCCCAAATAAACTCTTATATTCATGTTGCCTCAGCTTTTTCCTTTTAGGTAGTCATATCACGTAGAATGAGCTAGAGCAGCCTCTATGAGGGGATCTCTCCTTTGATTGTACTCCACTTGCTGTAACACCCAAGAATGCAGAGTGTGGTTGATCCTACCTAGAATCTGCACATAAGGTCTGGCCTCTTCCTGGGATTTACAGGACACGGCCAGACTTTAGGTTGAGAATGTACAGAAAACCAACAGGAGGCATTTTCTCCATTGTGAGTTGTCAACATAGACATCTTAAAGCCCCCTTTGACAGTGTGGTTCTTTAAGCTTTTCAGATCTTGTTCAGTGATTTGCCACAGTTATGTGAGAGGCTCCAGATATAAATAGAATCTGATGACAGAATCAGCATTTTAAGAGTGAGATATCAAAGTCATAATGTATCCATAGCCATGACCACAACTATACCTACCTGTAAAATGTGATACTGGAGTAGAGTATTCTTGTCTTTCTCCTTACCCAAAAGCTAGCAAATTGGGACAAGTGATTAGGTTCTGGAGCTCCACCAGGCCATTTTCTATTTAGAATCAGCCTGAATCTCTCCAGCCTGGATTATCATTGGGCCATCAGCCCAGGGTCACTAAGAACCCTCTCACAATCACCTAGACGTCTTTGAGACATTTGAGGATGTCCAGGGCAGAATTGTGTCAGGCTGACAAGAGTGGTTAATTCTGCTTCTGGCTTGGTGTAAGAGAAATGAGTCATTCTGTGTGTGTGTGGTTTTTTTAGGGTTTTTTTTCTTTTTTTAGACGGAGTATTGCTCTATCGCCCAGGCTGGAGTGCAGTGGCGCGATCTCGGCTCACTGCAACCTCCGCCTCCCGGGTTCAAGTGACTCTTCTGCCTCAGCCTCCCAAATAGCTGGGAATACAGGCACTTGCCACCATGCCTGGCTAATTTTTGCATTTTTAATAAAGACAGGGTTTCACCATATTGCACAGGCTGGTCTTGAACTCCTGACCTTGTGATCCGCCCACCTCAGCCTCCCAAAATGCTGGGATCACAGGTGTGAGCCACCATGCCTGGCAATTCTGTGTTTTTTTCTCCCCTTATACAAGAGATAACTTTGGTTGGTACCCAGATGAGAGTTTCTCAAGTTTCCTGATACTTGGATGAAAGCAATAGGAGGTCTGGTGACTCAAACAGATAAAGTAATTGTTTTCATTTTATATGGCCATTCAAAAAACAGATGAAGCAGTCATGATCCTTACTATCCAGGAACATGTCTAGACTAACAACTGGATACATGGGTGAATTAAGCATTATATGGTTGGTACAATGAATAGATGTGTCCAAAAAAAATTGGGGCCACTGTTTTATATTGTTACTTCTGATACCATCAGCTGAGGAGATATTTATGGAGTGAAGATTTGTTATTATTTGTGTTTCCTTTACTTTGCTAAGAATATATATTTATCTTCTAGTATAATTATTCTAAAGAACTTTAATAAATTTGTTTAAATTGCTTATTAGTATATGTTATAAAATTGACAGGGCAGTGGCAAAAATAGATTAAAGTTACATAAGCTCTGGGATTTAAGATTCTCTTATGTAAGCTTAGGAAAAACAGAACTGGAAATACCTTGGTGGCAGAGAGAACATAATTCTACATAGGGTCCTTTCCCTGCCCAAATTCTGTTCAGATTCACGTTTTTTGGAGGCCTTATTTATGTCTGGCCCCGCTCTGGAGCCTTACCTCACAAAACTGATTTATAAAAATCAGAGTTTTGGCTGGGTGTGGTGGCTCACACCTGTAATCCCAACACTTTGGGAGGCCGAGGCAGACAGATCATGAGGTCGAGAGTTTGAGACCAGCCTGACTAACATGGTGAAACCCCGTCTCTACTAAAAATACAAAAATTAGCCGGGCGTGGTGGCACATGCCTGTAATCCCAGCTGCTCAGGAGGCTGGGGCAGGAGAATCGCTTGAACCCGGGAGGCGGAGGTTGCATTGAGCCAAGATTGTGCCACTGCACTCCAGCCTGGTGACAGAGCGAGACTCCATCTAAAAAAAAAAAGACTGGAGTTTTGTCTGGTGAGTCCTGCTGCTTTTCTAGAGCTGGTGCTCACAATTTTCTGAAACCCAAAAACAGATAAATGACAGAAATAAACTATTTATTTTAGGATCTTATTTTTTGAATTTGTATTAAAACCAGTGCTTACAGAAACATTCCATTTAGCACCTTGTTTTCTGTTTCTGCCAATCTAGCAGTTGCTCCACAAGCCACAAACAAGTAAATGTATACACAATAAAAATTTCTCTAAACTACATTAAACTTTTTCTATGTTCTTCTCATCTGCCTGTATTTAACTTTTATTCTATACCTTTAAAACAAAATCAATGACAGAGAAACAGAGGGAGAAATAAAAATGCTGAACCCTTTATCTAAGTCCTGGGAATTATTGAACACTTAGTATCAACTTCCAGGGTGTTATTAGGATTAAATCACAAAATGTGTTATTCCCAGCACAGTGCTCTGTAACATATCCTTGAGCACATAGTACCTGCTTAATAAACATTGCATTTGTATATGTGTACATGTTATTTTCCAAAGGCAGATTTATTCAGACATTGCCGCCTTCTGTTTGTTCTGTAAACTTTAAAGAGCCAGCGAAGAATATAAAAATTTAAGATGGAGATTGGTTTTATTTGTACCAGAAGTATTTGTGTTGTGACAAGAGTGCTAAGTGTAAGGGACTCTGTGCTGTACCTGCTTCTCTAACTAATGCTAATGAGCCCAGGGGGAACAACATCAGCATTGACAGGGAACTTGTTTGAAACACGCATTCATGAACCCTTTTCAAACTTGCAGATCCACATTACGTAGAGTGGGGCCAAAATTACCAAACGAGTTTTAAGCTCATTAAAGTTTGAGAGGCAGTGCTTAGCTAAGTGGTTATCAGCCCCGTCTTGTTTTTTTTGTTTTGTTTTGTTTTCTGTTTTTGAGACAGGATCTCACTCTGTCACCCAGTCTGGAGTGCAATGGCATAATCTCGGCTCAGTGAAACCTCCGCCTCCTGGGTTCAAGCCATTCTTATGCCTCAGCCTCCTGAGTAGCTGGGATTACAGGCACCCGCCACCATTCCTGGCTAATTTTTTGTGTTTTTAGTAGAGATGAGGTTACACCATGTTGGCCAGGCTGATCTTGAACTCCTGACCTCAGGTCATCCATGTGCCTCGGCCTCCTAAAGTGCCAGGATTACAAGTGTGAGCCACCGCGCCCGGCCTCTGCCCAGTCTTCTAATTAGGATTACATGGCAGAAATCTCTGTACTTATGCCCTTTCCATGGATTTCGTTTATTGTTCTGGGTGGAAGCATCCATGTTGTTTTAATGAAGTGCCTCATGTGACTCTAAGGTGAGGCCAGAATCAAGTATGAGGGCTTCAATATACATTCATGAGAGCTAAGTGCCACCTTTGCACTAAAGGGTGGTCTCAGGGCCCGTTCTGTTTGGGTTTGGTAGGGACAGGGGAGTGTGGCTCATATTTCCATTACTGTAGCAGAAATTGCTGGTGTCTGTGGCAGAGGAGGGCACCTAAGGACAGGAAAAGAGAAACATACTTTTATATTCATAGAGCAGCTCGTTGTTCCTGAATCCTTTCTGTTATAAAGGACAGAGAAATGGGTGGACTTTTTCTGCAGGACCTTCCTTCTGTTTGTGTGCGTGATGGTAGCAGACAAAAAGGTGGTGCTGACATTTTTAAAGGAACGTTCTCAAAATGCAGGTATAACTTGTCCAGAGAATGTTATCTAAAAAGGATTTTCAGAGAAAGAAAGAGAAAAAATGGCTTTTTTTCAGCTAAACGTGTCTCAGAAGAAGAGCTGTGTGCACTCTGCTTCATGGAATGCCATGTGTTTAGTACTTGCAAATCTTTACTTCTCGATTTGTGTTTTTCCTTCTTAAGGAGTTTGTTTTAACTACATTAAAAAATTCTTATAATATTCAAGGCTGTCTGCAAAACATTTCTTTACTATATACCAGAGCTTTCTCTACATTCTCTACATCATGGCTTCTTATATGCCACGCAGAATTCCTACCATAAATTTATAATCGGCACTACTAAAAATGTTCCCTTTGTGGCTGTTAAACATGGGGAGATGTAGATACTCAAGATTCCTATTGGGGGAAAGCTGGGGTCCCTAGTAAAGATGGAGAATATGTAATGTTGAGGTTTCATCTGTTTTCTCTATTAACTCTATGCAGAACAGGATTAAGAAAATGCTTATTTAAACAGAATACCATTTATTACCCAGAAAGTTCTGAAAAAAATTATTAGGAGATACCTGCTCTCTAGGGTGCTAAAGAAAGACTACTTAAAATCACTGTTAAAAATAACAGAACATGGGAGATATCTGTATTTTGAACTTTGTATAAAACTGATGTATCTTTATGGTTGCATTCAGATTATAATTTACTGTTTGAGGGGCAATATCTTAGCAGTGATGCCGTGTTCTTCTATGTGCATCAGCACATCATAAAAATTTGTTGGCTGGGTGTGGTGGCTCACACCTGTAATCCCAGCACTTTGGGAGGGCGAGGTGGGCGGATCACCTGAGGTCAGGAGTTCGAGACCAGACTGACCAACATGGAGAAACCCCGTCTTTACTAAAAATACAAAATTAGCTGGGCATGGTGGTACATGCCTGTAATCCCAGCCACTTGGGAGGTTGAGGCAGGAGAATTGCTTGAACCCAGGAGGCGGAGGTTGCAGTGAGCCGAGATGGTGTCATTGCACTCCAGCCTGGGCAACAACAGCAAAACTCCATCTCAAAGAAAAAAAAAAGAAGAAAGAAATTTAGAAGTTCAGACTTTACTCCAGATCTTCTGAAGAAAAAAAGTCTGCACAACAGAATCTCCAGTTTATTGTTCACCTTTAAAGTTGAGAGGTACCTTCGAACTCAACATGTCTTTTTTGTCTGAAAAATATACACAACTCAAACTTTATGATGTAAATATAGCACTCGAAGTGTACAAATTTTTGTTTATGCCCTTAATTTTATGCTTCTCATCCAGAGAAGTATCATATATATACTGGTGTTATGGATCTTATGCCATTCTCTTCTCTCAGAGTTAGAGAAAACATTAGATAATATTTCTGTGTGAAAAATTATTGGGGCCGGGCATGGTGGCTCATGCCTGTAATCCCAGCATTTTGGGAGGCCAAGGCGGGTGGCTCACCTGAGGTTGAGAGTTCGTGACCAGCCTGACCAACATGGAGAAACCCCGTCTCTACTAAAAATACAAAATTAGCCGAATGTAGTGGTGCATGCCTGTAATCCCAGCTACTCAGGAGGCTGAGGCAGGAGAATCGCTTGACGCCGGGATGCAGAGGTTGCCTCTGTCTCAAAAAAAAAAAAAATTATTGGATAATTTCAGTCATTCCTGCAAATCAGAACCAATTCTCTTTATTCTGTCATTTCACTTTAATTCAAATAATAAATTCTGCCCGTGGCCACTTGGTAAATATACGTGTGTCTTGTGTGCTTGTGTTTTTCAGGGGCCATTGACATTTAGGGATGTGGCCATAGAATTTTCTCTGGAGGAGTGGCAATGCCTGGACACTGCTCAGCAGGATTTGTATAGAAAAGTGATGTTAGAGAACTACAGAAACCTGGTCTTCTTGGGTGAGAATAACTTTAGTACACAATTACTAGTATACCCTAAAGGTTTCATTTCTCATTTTTTGAGAATAATTTTTGGTAATTTATGCTTTGCATAAATGAGTTTCTGATACTTGTTCTTAAGAAAACCTTGAGGATTTTTCCATATAGGAAAGAATTTTTTCAAGAAGTTTTATCTTGACTTAAACTTTCCACATTCCTGGGCTGATCTGTATCCTTCACTCTAGATTAGTGGCAATTCCAGAAATTTAGTGGCATAAAATATTGTTGCCCATATCTTAAAATCTATTTGCCGCCACCAATTTTTGATTAATGAATGCCAGGCAGTGAAATTAAGAACCTACAAATGTAAAATATTTTCTAAATACTTAGAAATTTCTGTTATAAATTAGTATTTTTAGGATTAATTTTCTAGAATATTCTACCACATCCTCTTTACTAAGCACAGTACTAGGTTGGTAACTGAAGAATATGAGAAAGATTCATGTTATTTATTTTCAATAAAGCAGGTATTGCTGTTTCTAAGCCAGACCTGATCACCTGTCTAGAGCAAGGAAAAGAGCCCTGGAATATGAAGAGACATGCGATGGTAGATCAACCCCCAGGTAGGTGAGAGTGAACACAACAGACGACATGAATGAGAGGTCCAAAAAAGAAGAAAGCCAATGCTTAAAATGTTATTTGAGAATCTGTGTTCCAAAGCAAATATTTTCTGGGAAGCCTGAGTTTTTTTTTTTAATTTTGCCCTCGCATAGGGTCATCTTCTGTCTTATGCTTTTAAATTCAAGGATTCTTTCCCCTTGGTGATCTCCCTTCAAGTTTGCTATCAGAACCAAAGTCCTCTTCATGGCATGCGAGACTCACAATCTGACTGCTTTTCCATTGTTTTGGGGGACACACAAATATCTACATGATTTTGAGAAACTCTATGTTAAACTATTTTCTTTTCTTTTTTCTTTCTTTTTTTTTTTTTTTGAGACTGAGTTTCATGCTCGTTGCCCAGGCTAAAGTGCAATGGCACGATCTAGGCTCACTGCAACCTCTGCCTCCTGGATTCAAGCAATTCTCCTGCCTCAGCCTCCTGAGTAGGTGGAATTACAGGCACCTGCCACCATGCCCAGTTAATTTTTTGTATTTTTAGTAGAGACAGGGTTTCACCATGTTGGGCAGGCTGGTCTCAAACTCCTGACCTCAAGTGATCCACCCGCCTTGGCCTCCCAAAGTACTAGGATTACAGGTGTGAGCCACTGCACCTGGCCAAACTATTTTCTTAGTTCTCTTTTTGCATCATGTCTGAAATGTGTAATAGTAGTGGTTTCTGTTCCACTGTTTTTTGTTGTTGTTGTTAACTTTTCTGCACACTCCATTCTGTTCTTATTACTATATTCTCGAAATATAGTTTGAAATTATAAAGCATCATGTCTTTCTACTTTGTTCTTTTTCCTCACGATTGCTTTGGCTATTTGAAGTTTATTGTTGTTTCTTGTAAATTTTAGAATTGTATTTTCCATTACTGTGAAGAAAAATGCCACTGAAATTTTGATAGGGAATTTATTGAATCTATAGATTACTTAGATAATAGGACACTTTAACAATATTTATTTTTTCAATCTGTAGACATGCAATATTTTTAAATTTGTGTCTTCTCTAATTTCTTTTATTAATAACATATCTTTCGTTGTAAAGATTTTTTACTTCCTTGTTCTCAGAAATTTATCATTTTAATGCTATTTTAAATTGTTTTCTTTCTCTGTTAAAGTGTATGGAACAATAACTTCATACTTGTGTGTTAATTTTATGTTTTGCTAATTTACTGAGTGTATTAATTCAGACAAATTTCAATGTAGTGTTCATGGTTTTTTATATATAAAATCATATGATCCACAAACAGCAACTTTTTACTTGTGTTCAATTTCAGTGGCTTTTTAAAAATGTTTTTGACTCATTATTCTGCCACATACTTCCAGTGCTATGTTAAAATAGAAGCATTGACAATGGGCACAATGTAGTTTTGCATTAGTGTCTGTGAATTTGAAGGAGCAAACAACTCCTCAAGCTTCTATAAACTGGTTTCAGTAGGTAAAGATCTTTTTCTGTCATGTCTCCAGGGTCATAGAATGCTCTCTGGGTTTGTAGTGGAGAGGGGGTGTAGCTTGGTCACAAGGCTGCTGGGTCTGCACTAGGGTCCACCTTTAGTTGGCTTGTTACAGGGGCTTGGGTAGTGGTAATTCCCATTTTATTTTTGGACAGACTGAATATCCTTCAACACTTTGATCTGTAGAGCAGACAATAGGGCAGGTTTCTGCAGTCAGGTTCATATATAATGGTCCTTATATCAGGATGTGAATGAGTATGGCGTTTATTGAGTACCGGAGAGGATTACTGTAGTTATGCAGACAAATTCTTTTTTAATGGTATATCAGTGTTGCACAGCAGATTTTATGAGTAAATATGTCACTTACTATTACTGCGCAGTTTCATATCAGTGTTTTGTTAGTGTAGGTTTCTTAACATTGAGTTATTGTGTTTTTTTGTTTCACTTTTGTATTATAATTTTAGACAGTTTGCAATTCGGTTTATCTCTTATAATTAAGAGATAAATCAGCCATATGTCTGTCACAATTAGATATATATGTGTGTGTGTGTTTATCTATAAATATGACCCCAATATTGGTTATGGCTTATCTTGTATATATTCTTTCTTAGCCAATTTTCAGTGGTTGTTTTATCTCACCTAAGTGAGTAGTCATGGAAATATTTTCACCATCTCTTATTTTCACCATGTGTTTAATGATGATGTTTCTCTCACCTTTGTGTGAGAGAAACACTTTTGTAATTTGAAGGTAATTTTTGAAAAGATTTATAAATCTGTATTTTTTTCAGTTTTTCCTTTAGAAAAATTAATTGTTGTAAAAACACATAATATTTACCATCTTAAATCTATTTAGGTGTACCTTTTAGGGCCAGACATGGTGGTGGCTCACATCTGTAATCCAGGATTATTTGAGCTCAAAAGTTTGAGACCAACCTGGGAAACATATGGAGAGTCCCTCTCTACAAAATGTTTTTTAAAAATAGCCAGGCATAGTGTTGTGCATCTGTGGTTCAGGCTACTTGCAAGACTGAGGTGGGAGGGTTACTTGAGCCTCAGAGTTTGAGGCCGAAGTGAGCCATAATTGTACCACTGCACTCCAGCTTTTTGACAGAGTGAGACTGTGTCTCCAAAAAAAAAAAAAAAAACCACAGCTCTACATTTCAGGCAGGCATGTTAATTATATTCACATTGTTATGCAAAAGACTTAGATATTTTACATTTTGTGAAACTAAAACTCAATACCCATTAAATAACAGCAACCCATTTTACCCTCTTTCCAGCCCTTGACAAACACCCTTCCACTTTCTGTTTTTATGAGTGTGACTAATTAAAATATCCCATATCAGTGGAATCATACTGTATCCATCATTTCGTTACTGGCTTATTTCAGGTGACATAATATTCTCAAAGTTTATCTTAAAATGTGACAAGATTTTCTTTTTTTTTTTTTTTTTTATTTTTGAGACGGAGTCTCCTGTCACCCAGGCTGGAGTGCAATGACGCAATCTCGGCTCACTGCAACCTCTGCCTCCCTGGTTCAAGCGATTCTCCTGCCTCAGCCTCCCGAGTAGCTGGGACTACAGGCATGTGCCACCATGCCCAGCTAATTTTTTTCTTATTTTTAGTAGAGAGAGGGTTTAACCATGTTGGTCAGGCTGGTCTCAAACTCCTGACCTCAGGTGATCTGCCATCCTCGGCCTCCCAAAGTGCTGGGATTACAGGTGTGAGTCACACGCTTGGCAAGATTTTGTTTTTTAAGACTGAATAATATTTCGCTCTACACATATGTTACATTTTTGATATGCTTATAAATCAAGAGACACCTGGGTTGCTGCAGCCTTTTAGCTTTTGTGAATACTAGTACAATAAACATGGATGTTCAAATATGTCTTCCAGGTCATGTGTTGCATATTTTAAATTGATAAAGAGGATTGCTGTATTTGATGATAATTCCATTTTTAATTACTTGAGAAACATTTATAACATTTAAAAATAATGACTGCATCTTTGTTTTCTACCAACAATTGACATAGGTTTTATTTTCATTGCATCATCAACAGATTTGGTGTTTTTAAATAATTTATAGTGGCCATTGTAATGGGTATGACATGATTTCATTTTTCATTGTTATTTTTATGTGTTTCTCTACAAATTATTAATTTTGCATGTCATTTCAAATGCTTTTTCCATTTGTGTATCTTTTATGATAAAAATTTAGTTCAATTGTTAATTTTCAAATCAAGTTATTTAACTTAGTTTTAAGGGTTTTTTATATATTCTGAATATTAACTGTGACATGTAATTTGGAAATATTCTTACCCATTTTCTCGGAGGCATTTTCACTGAGTTAAATGTTTTGTTTTAATGTGCAGAAATTTTGAAGTATAGCATAGTTAATTTTTTGTTGTTGTTCCTCAGGCATTTAGTGTCTTATCTAAGAAAATGGTGCCAAGACCAATGTCATGTCTTCTTTCTATTTTTTTCTAAGAGACTTATTAGTTTTTTTATGTCTAAGTATTTTACTTAAAATATTTTTGTATATGATTCAAAGAAATGATCCAACCTTATTTTATCAGTATTGATATTTAGTTTTTAACATTGTTTTTTAAAAGACTATTGTTTCCTCTTGGCAGCTTTGTAGATCATTTGATTATATATAAAAGGTTTCATTTCTGGGCTCCATATTTTGTTCTTTCATCTGTTCATCTGCCTTTGTGTCAATATTACACTGTTTTTGTTACTGTAGCTTCTAATTTTTTATTATTATTTTTGAGATGGAGTCTGGCTCTGTCGCCCAGGCTGGAGTGCAGTGGCTCGATCTCAGCTCACTGCAACCTCCTCCTCCTGGGTTTCAGCGATTATTCTGCCTCAGTCCCCCAAGTAGCTGAGGTTACAGGCGTGCACTACCACGCCTGGCTAATTTTTGTATTTTTAGTAGAGACGGGGGTTTCACAATGTTGACCAGGCTGGTCTCAAACTCCTGAGCTCAGGTGATCCCCCACCCTGGCCTCACAAAGTGCTGGCATTACAGGCGTGAGCCACTGCACCCTGCCTAATATGTTTAAAAATCAGGAAGTATAATGCCTGTTTATTCTTTTTCATGGGTGTTTGGCTATAGTTCATAATGAAATTTAAAAATTTTAAACAATATTTGTGTAATAAAACTGTGCTATTGTCATTTTTATAGAGGTTATATTGAATTTGTTCACCACTGTAGGTTGTATTGACAACTTAACTAAATTAAACTTTTTGAACCTTTAGCTGAAGAGTGTGTTTGATTGACTGATTGATTCGAGACAGAGTCTCTCTCTGTCATCCAGGCTGGAGTGCAATGGCATGGTCTCGGCTCACTTCAACCTCCGCCTCCCGGGTTCAAGGAATTCTCCTGCCTCAGCCTCCTGAGTAGCTGGGATTACAGGTGCCCACCACCATGCCTGGCTAACTTTTGTATTTTTAGTAGAGACGGGGCTTCACATGTTGGCCAGGCTGGTCTCAAACTCCTGACCTCAAGTGATTCGCCCACACCAGCCTCCTGAAGTGCTGGGATTACGGGCATGAGCCACCATGCTTGGCCTTATTTTTATTTTATTTATTTTTATTTTTAGAGACAGGGTCTTCCTATGTTGCCCATGCTAGTTTGGAACTCCTGGACTCAAGCAATTTTCTTGCCTTGGCCTCTGAAAGTGCTAGTATTATAGCCGTGAGCCACTACACTCGGCCCATGTGTTTTTTTTTTTCAAATATATTATTGGATTTAACAGTTTTACTTTTGCTATTTATTTATTTATTTATTTATTTATTTATTTTACTGAGACAGAGTCTCACTCTGTTGCCCAGGCTGGGGTGCAATGGTGTGATCTTGGCTCACTGCAAACTCCGCCTCACAGGTTCAAGCAATACTCCCGCCTCAGCCTCCCAAGTAGCTGGGATTACAGGCACCCACCATTATGCCCGGCTAATTTTTGTATTTTTGTAGAGACAGGTTTTCACTATGTTGGCCAGGTTGGTCTTGAACTCCTAACCCCAGGTGATCCACCCACCTTGGCCTCCCAAAGTGCTGGCATTACAGGTGTGAGCCACCGCACCCGGCCTACTTTTGCTTTTAATTTTTAGTTTCATTCAGTTTTGGTCAGAAAACACACAGTGTATGATTTTGGTTTTCTTATATTTATTTGTTGTTGTTTTGAAACAGGATCATACTCCGTCACCCAGGCTGGAGTATAGTGGCATAATTTTGGCTCACTGCAACCTCAGTCTCCTTGACTCAGGTGATCTTTTCTTCCTCCTAAGTAGCTGAGACTACAGACATGCACTACCGTGCCTCGCTAATTTTTTGATTTTTTTGTAGTGACAGAGTCTCACTATATTATTCAGTCTGGTATCAAACTTCTGGTCCCAAGTGATCCTCCCACCTTCATCTTCCAAATTGTTGGGATTAGATGTATCAGCCACTACTCCCAGGTGGTATTCTTTAATAAGACTTGTTATGTGTCCTAACAGAATATATCACATCCAAATAAAAATATTGTGTATTCTCTTGCTTTTAACTGGAAAGTTTTGTACATGCTGTTAAGCCTATTTGGTCTGTGGTACAGTTTGGATGTCCATGTTCTGCAAGGCTCATGCTGCAATGTAATACACAATGTTGGATGTGGAACCTGGTAGGAGGTGTTTGGGTCATGGGGACTAATTCTCATAAATGCCATGGCACCATTCTTTTAGTAATCAGAAAGTTTTCACTACATTAATTCAAATGAGAGCTGGTTCATTAAAATAACCTGTCTCCTTCACCTCACACTTGCTCTGTCTCTTACCATGTGATATGTCCAGCTACTCTGCCTTCCACTAAGATTATAAGTTTCCTGAGACCCTCACCAGAAGCAGATACTGGCACACACTTCTTATACAGTCTGCCAAACTGTAAACCAAATAAACCTTTTTACTTTATAATTTATCCACTCTCAGTTATTTGTCTATATGCAAAATAGTTAATACAGTCTATAATGTTGTCTGTTTTCTTACTGATCTTTTATCTAAATTTTCTATTTATTATTGCAAATGGGATCTTGATGTCTACAATTATTGTGTTGCTGTATATTTCTTGCTTTACCTTTGCCAAAATATGCTTTATATATATTGGAGTCCTGATGTTATATATACATATACATATAAACATAAATAGATAGATATGATAGTTATAGATTCTTGACCCATTTGGCCATTATATAATATCAGTGTTTGTCTCATGTTAGTACTTGACTTAAAGCATATTATATTCAATATAATTACTGCCACCTCACCCAATTATGGTTACTATTTGCATGTAATATAGATTCTTTTCATTCTATTACTTTCAGCCTATTTGACTCAATGCTAAAATGAGTCTGTTATAGACAGCGTATTGTATGCTTTTTTACTTAAACTACTCAGGCATCTTATTTCTTTTTCTTTTTATAAATTTATCTATTTTTGAGATAGAGTCTCATTCTGTCAACCAAGCTGGTTTGCAGTGGCATGATTACAGCTCGCTGCAGCCTCAACCTCCCAAACTCAGATGATCTCATCTCAGCTTCCAAGTAGCTGGGCTGCAAATGTGTGTCGTCACGCCCAGCTCATTTTATTGTTTTTGTTTTTGTTTTTGTAGGGACAGAATTTTGCCATGTTCTCCAGTCTGGTCTCAGACTCCTGAGTTAAAGTAATCAGCCCCTCTGGGCCTCCCAAAGTCCTGAGATTACTTTTTTTTATTAAGTAGTTTAATTAATTTATATTTAAAATGATTGCTTAAAGAAATAAAGTTACTATTACCAGTTTCATTGTTATTGTTTTGTTTAAATATTATTTTTTGTGTGTTCTGGGATACATGTACAGGATTTACAAGTTTGTTACATAGGTAAACATGTCCCATGGTGGTTTACTGCACCTATCAATTCATCACTTAGGTGTGAAGCCCTGCATGCATTAGCTGTTTATCTTGATGCTGTTTCCCCTACTCTGACAGGTTCCAGTGTGTGTTGTTCCCCTCTATGTGTCCATGTTTGTTTTTGTTTTTGTTGTTGTTGAGACAGAGTCTTGCTCTGTCGCCAGGCTGGAGTGCTGTGGCATGATCTCAGCTCACTGCAAACTCTGATACCCTGGTTCAAGCGATTCTCCTGCCTCAGCCTCCCAAGTAGCTGGGATTACAGGCATGCACCACCATTCTCAGCTAATTTTTGAATTTTTAGTAGAGATGGGGTTTCGCCACACTGGCCAGGATGGTCTTGATCTCCTGACCTCGTGATCTGCCCACCTCAGCCTCCCAAAGTGCTGAAATTGCAGGCATGAGCCACCGTGCCCAGCCCATGTGTTCTTATTGTTCGGCTCTCACTTACGAGTGAGAACATGTGGTGTTTGGTTTTGTGTTCCTGCATTAGTTTGCTGAGGATAATGGCTTTCAGCTTTATCCATGCCTTTGCAAACTACATGCTCTTATTCTTTTTTATGGTTGCATAGTATTCCATAGTGTATATGTACCACATTTTCTTTATCCAGTCTATTATTGATGGGCATGTGGGTTGATTCCATGTCTTTGCTATTGTAAATAGTGCTGCAATGAACATACACATCCACATATCTTTATAACAGAATTATTTATATTCCTTTGGGTATATACCCAGTAATGGGGTTGCTGGGTCAAATGGTATTTCTGTTTCTAGGTCCTTGAGGAATTCCCATAGTGTCTTCCACAATGATTGAACTAATTTACATTCTCACCGACAGTGTAAAAGTATTTCTATTTCTCCACAGCCTCATCAGCATCTGTTGTTTCTTGACTTTTTAATAATCACGATTCTTGGCCGGGCACGGTGGCTCACACCTGTAATCCCAGCACTTTGGGGGTGCCGAGGCAGGAGGATCACAAGGTCAGGAAATTGACACCATCCTGGCTAACACGGTGAAACCCCGTCCCTGCTAAAAATATAAAAAATTAGCTGGGCGTGGTGGCGGACGCCTGTGGTCCCCGCTACTTGGGAGGCTGAGGTAGGAGAATGGCGTGAACCTGGGAGGCAGAGCTTGCAGTGAGCCGAGATCGCGCCACTGCACTCTAGCCTGGGCAAAGAGTGAGACTCCATCTAAAAAAAAAAAAAAATTTAGAAAAAAATAACCACTATTCTTACTGGCATAAGATGGTATGTAATTCTGGTTTTGATTTGCATTTCTCTAACGATCCCTGATGTTGAGCTTTGTTTGTTTCTTGGCCACATAAATTTATTCTTTTGAGAAGTGTCCATGTTCTTTGCCCACTTTTTAATGGGGTTGTTTTATTCTTGTAAATTTGCTTAAGTTCCTTTTAGACTCTGGATATTAACGTTTGTCAGATGAATAGGTTGCAAAAATGTTCTCCGATTCTTAGGTTGTCTGTTCACTCTGATGATAGTTTTTTTGTTGTTGTGCGGAAGGTTTTTAGTTTAATTAGATTCTATTTGTCAAGTTTTGCTTTTGTTGCAGTTGCTTTTGACGTTTTCATGATGAAATCTTTGTCCATGCCTATGTCCTGAATGGTATTGCCTAGATTTTCTTCTAACGTTTTTATAGTTTTTGGTTTCATATTTAAGTCTTTAATCCATCTTGAGTTAACTTTTGTACAGGTGTAAGGAAGGGTTCCAGTTTCAGTTTTCTGCATAGGGCTAGCCAATTCTCCCAGCACCATTCATTAAATAGGGAGTTTGTTCCTCATTGCTTGTTTTTGTCAGATTTTTCAAAGATCAGATGGTTGTAGATAAGCAGTCTTATTTCTGAGTTCTGCATTCTTTTTCATTGGTCTATGTGTATGTTTTTATACCAGTACCAGGATGTTTTGGTTACTATAGCCTTGTGGTGTAGTTTGAAGTCAGATAGCATGATGCTTCCAGCTTTGTTCTTTTTGCTTAGAATTTTCTTGGCTATATGGGGTCTTTTGGGTTCCATATGAATTTTAAAATAGTTTTTTCTAATTCTGTGAAAGATGTCAGTAATAGTTTAGTGGGATAAGCATTGAATTACTTTTGGCAGTATGGCCGTTTTTACAATATTGATTATTTCTATCTTTTCCATTTGTTTGTGTCCTCTCTGATTTTCTTGAGCAGTGGTTTGTGTTTTCCTTAAAGAGGTCCTTCACTTACTTTGTTAGCTGTATTCCTAGGTATTTTATTCTTTTTGTAGCAATTGTGGATGGAGGTTCGTTCATGATATGGCTCTCTGCTTGTTTACTGTTAATGTATTGAAATGCTTGTAATTTTTGCACATTGATTTTGTATCCTGAGACTTTGCTGAAGCTTCTTATTAGCTGAAGAAGCTTTTGGGCTGACATTGGGGCATTCTAGATATGGGATCATGTCATCTGCAAACACAGACAGTTTGACTTCCTATTTGAATACCCCTTATTTATTTTTCTTGCCTGATTTTCCTGGCCAGAACTTCCAATACTACGTTGAATAAGAGTGGTGAGAGAGGGCCTTCTTGTTGTGCCAGTTTTCAAGGGGAATGCTTCCAGCTTTTGCCCTTTCGGTATGATACTGGCTGTGGGTTCATCATAAATGACTCTTATTATTTTGAGGTATGTTCCATAAATACCTAGTTTATTGAGCATTTTTAACATGAAGGTATGTTGAATTTAATCAAAGACCTTTTCTGCATCTATTGAGATAATCATATGGATTTTGTTTTTAGTTCTGTTTATATGATGAATTGTATTTATTGATTTGTTTATGTTGAAATAGCCTTGCATCCCAGGGATGAAGCTGACTTGATCGCGGTGGATAAGCTTTTCGATGTGCTGCTGGATTTGGTTTGCCAGTGTTTTATTGAGAATTTTTGCATCAATGTTTATCAGGGATATTGGCTTGAAGTTTCTTGTTGTTGTTATATCTTTGCCAGATCTTGGTATCAGAATGATGCTGATCTTATAAAATGAGTTAGAGTGGAGTCCCTCTTTTTCTATCATTTGGAATAGTTTCAGAAGAAATGGTACCAACTCCTCTTTGTACCTCTGGTAGAATTCAGCTGTAAATCCATCTGCCTCTGGGCATTTTTAGTTTGTAGGCTATTTATTACTTCCTCAATTCCAGAACTTCTTATTGGTCTATTCAGGATTCAAATTTTTCCTGGTTTGGTCTTGGGAGGGTGTTTGTGTCCAGTAATTTATCTACTTCTTCTAGCTTTTTCAGTTTATGTGCATACAGGTGTTTATAGTATTTTCTGATGGTTTGTATTTCTGTGGGGTCAGTGGTGATATCCTCTTTATGATTTTGTATTGTGTCTATTTCTTCTTCTCTCTTTTGTTCTCCATTACTCTAGTTAGTGTTCTATTTTATTAATGTTTTCAAAAAAAATAGCTCCTGGATTTATTGGTTTTTTGAAGGGTTTTTTGTGTCTCTATCTCTTTCAGTTTCACTTGGATTCTTCTTATGTCTTGTCTTCTGTTAGCTTTGGGGTTTGTTTGCTCTTGATTCTCTTGTTCTTTTAATTGTAATGTTAGGGTGTCATTTTGAGATCTTTCCAGCTTTTTGCTGTGGCTATGTAGTGCTATAAATTTTCCCCTTAACACTGCTTTAGCTGCATTCTACAGATTCTAGTACATAGTCTCTTTGTTCTCATTGGTTTCAAAGAATTTCTTGGTTTCTGATTTAATTTTATTATTTACCCAGAAGTCATTCAGGAGCAGGTTGTTCAATTTCCATGTACTTGTGTGGTTTTGAGTGAGTTTCTTACTCTTGAGTTCCAATTTGATTGCACTGTGGTCTGAGAGACTGTTATGATTTCAGTTCTTTTGCATTTGCTAAGGAGTATTCCTTCCAATTATGTGATCAATTTTAAAGTAAGTGCCATGTGACACTTAGGAGAATGTGTATTGTGTTGTTTTTGGCTGGAGAGTTCTGTAGATATCTATCAGGTCCATTTGACCCAAAGCTGAGTTCAAGTCCTGAATATCTTTGTTACTTTTCTGTCTCAATTGTTGGTCTAATATTGGCAGTAGGGTGTTAAAGTCTCCCACTATTATTGTGTGGGAGTTTGTTTAAGTCCCTTTGTAGGTCTCTAATAATGTGTTTTATAAATCTGGGTCCTCCTTGAATTGATTCCTTTAGCATTATGTAATGCCCTTCTTTTTCTGTTTTGATCTTTGTTGGTTTAAAGTCTATTTTGTCAGAAACTACAATTGCAACTCCTCCTTTTTTCTTCTTTTATTTGCTTGGTGAATTTTCCTCCATTCCTTCATTTTAAGCATGTGTGTGTCTTTGCATGTGAGATGGGTTTCTTGAATATGGCACACCAATGGGTCTTGACTCTTTAATCAGCTTGACATTCTGTGTCTTTTAATGAGGGCATTTAGCCCATTTAAATTTAAGATTAGGCCAGCCACGGTGGCTTATGCCTGTAATCCCAGCACTTTGGGAGGCTGAGGCAGGTGAATCACCTGAGGTCAGGAGTTCATGACCAGCCTGGCCAACATGGTGAAACCCCGCCTCTACTAAAAATATAAAAATTAGCCTGTCATGGTAGTGCTCATCTGTAATCCCAGCTGCTCAGGAAGCTGAGGCAGAATTGCTTGAACCTGGGAGGCAGATGTTGCAGTTAGTCAAGATTGTGCACTGCACTCCAGCCTGGGTGACAGAACAAGACTCCATCTCAAAAAAAAAAAAAAAAAAAGTTTAAGGTTAATATTGCTATGTGTGAATTTGATTATGTTTTCATGGTGCTATCTGGTTATTTTGAAGACTCTTTGATGTAGTTTTTTCATAGTGTCATTGGTCTTTGTACTTCAGTGTGTTTTTGTAGTGGCTAGTAATGGTTTTTTTCTTTCCATGTTTAGTGCTTCTTTCAGGAGCTCTTGCAAGGCAGGCCTGGTGGTGATGAATTCCTTCAGCGTTTACTTGTCTGAAAATGATTTTATTCCTCCTTTACTTATGAAGCTTAGTTTTCCTGGATATTCTTGGTTGGAAATTCTTTTCTTTAAGAATGTTGAGTAGTGGCCCCCAATCTCTTACGGCTTGTAGGGTTTCTGCTTAAAGGTCTGTTGTCAGTCTGATGAACTTTTGTCTATAGGTGATGTGGCGTTTCTCTCTGGCTGCCTTATCATTTATTCCTGAATTTCAATCTTGAAGAATCTGATTATTATGTGTCTTGGGGATGATCTTCTCATGGAGTATCTTACTGGGGTTTTCTGGATTTTCTGAATTTGAATGTTGGCCTTTCTTGTTAGGTTGGAAAAGTTCTTCTGGATGATATCCTGAAGGATGTTTTCTAACTTGGTTCCATTCTCCCTATCTATTTAAGGTACCCCAGTCAGTCATAGGTTCGGTCTTTTTACATAATCTCATAGACCTCAGAGATTTCTCTCATTCCCGTTTATTCTTTTTTCTTCAATCTTGTCTGCCTGTTTTATTTCAGCAAGATTGTCTTCAAGCTCTGAAGTTCTTTCCTTGCTTCGTCTACTCAGTTATTGATACTTGTGGTTGCGTTGTGAAGTTCTGATGCTGTGTTTTTCAGTTCCATCAGGTCATTTATGTTCCTCTCTAAATTGGTTGTTTTGGTTAACAGCTCCTGTAATGTTTTTCATGGTTCTTAGCTTCTTTGCATTGGGTTAGAACATACTCCATTAGCTCAGCAAAGTTCATCATTACCCACCTTCTGAAGCCTACTTTTGTCAATTTATCCACCTTAGCCACCGCCCAGTTCTGTGCCCTTCCTGGAGATATGCTGGGATCATTTGGAGGAAAGGAGGCACTCTGGCTTTTTAAGTTTTCAGCATTTTTTGGTTTATTCTTTTCATCTTTGTGAGTTTTTCTAGCTTCGATCTTTGAGGCTGCTGACCTTTGGATGGGATGCTTGTGAGGATTTTTTTGTTCATGCTGTTTTTGTTGTTGCTTTCTGTTTGTTTTTCTAACCATCAGGCCACTTTTCTGTAGCACTGTTGTGATTTGCTTGGGATCTACTTCAGACCCTATTTGCCTGGGTTTCTCTCACACCTGGAGGTGTCAACCAGTGGAGCCTGCAGAATAGCAGAGAGGACTGCTTGCTCCTTCCTCTGGGGTCTTTGTCCCAGAAGGGGAATGATCTGATGACAGTGGGAACACTACTTTATAAGTTGTCTGACGATGTCTGTTGTGGGGGTCTCACCCAGTCAGGATGCATGAGATCTGGGAACCACTTAAGAAAGCACTCTGGCTGCACCTTGGTGGAGTGGCTGTGCTGCACTGAGGGAAATTCCATACATCTGTACTGCCTGGATTGCTCAGAGCCAGCAGGGGGAAAGACTAAGTCTGCTGATCTGCAGAAACCACCTCATTGTTCCTGTTTTATGTATTTCTTGTAGATAAGTTTTTTCTCATTTCCTGTTTTACTACCTTTATTTTTGTTAACTTTATCGTTACATGCTTTGATTATTTTTTCATTTTTTGCATACTTTTTATAAATATTATGTAATCACCTTGAAGTATAATGTAATCATCTTAAAATGGAGATTACATAAAACATCTTTTTTTTTTTTTTTTTTTTTTTTTTTTTTTTAGTATTTATTGATCATTCCTGGGTGTTTCTCGCAGAGGGGGATTTGGCAGGGTCATAGGACAATAGTGGAGGGAAGGTAAGCAGATAAACAAGTGAACAAGGGTCTCTGGTTTTCCTAGGCAGAGGACCCTGCGGCCTTCCGCAGTGTTTGTGTCCCTGGGTACTTGAGATTAGGGAGTGGTGATGACTCTTAACGAGCATGCTGCCTTCAAGCATCTGTTTAACAAAGCACATCTTGCACCGCCCTTAATCCATTTAACCCTGAGTGGACACAGTACATGTTTTAGAGAGCATGGGGTTGGGGGTAAGGTTATAGATTAACAGCATCCCAAGGCAGAAGAATTTTTCTTAGTACAGAACAAAATGGAGTCTCCTATGTCTACTTCTTTCTACACAGACACAGCAACAATCTGATTTCTCTATCTTTTCCCCACATTCCCCCCTTTTCTATTCGACAAAACCGCCATCGTCATCATGGCCCGTTCTCAATGAGCTGTTGGGTACACCTCCCAGACGGGGTGGCGGCTGGGCAGAGGGGCTCCTCACTTCCCAGAAGGGGCGGCCGGGCAGAGGCGCCCCCCACCTCCCGGACGGGGCGGCTGGCCGGGCGGGTGCTGGCCCCAACCTCCCTCCTGGACGGGGTGGCTGGCCGGGCAGGGGCTGCCCCCCACCTCCCTCCCAGATGGGGCATAAAATATCTTAAAGTTAAAAAAATAAGGCCAAGCATGGTGGCTCACACCTGTAATCCCAACACTTTGGGAGGCTGAGATGGATAGATCACCTGAGGTCAGGAGTTTGAGACCAGCCTGGCCAACATGGTGAAACTGTCTCTACTAAAAATACAAAAATTAGGTATGTGGTGGAGGACATCTGAGACTGAGGCAGGATAATCACTTGAACCCAGATGACAGAGGTTGCAGTGAGCCGAGATTGCGCCACTGCACTCCAGCCTGGGTGACAGAGCAAGACTCCATCTCAAAAAAAAAAAAAAAAAAAAAAAAGTAAAAAAGATATATTTTAACTTCTTAAACTTTAATTAAATACAAAACCTATACTGCTATGTTTTCCAGTTTGTTATTGATACTACAAATTATATTATGTATCTATTAACAGATTTATATCTTGTATTTTTATATCTACAGAACTTTAACGGTTTTATGCACCATTATGATAGTAAAAAATTCTATATGTATCTGTATATTTATATTTAATAGGGAGCTTTATATATGGTTTTATGATGCTGTCTAGCATCATTTTATTTTTCAACAAAATGGATTCATTTTAGCATTTCTATTTGTTTATATGCAGAGTCTGTGTTTCTCAGACTGGATCTTGGACTCCTGGTCTCAAGAGATCTGACTGCCTTGGCTTCCTAAAGCTGTAGAATTACAGGCATGAGCCACTATGTCTGGCCACCATGTAACATTTCTTGTTACATTTCGTGCAACATTTCTTGTTACGTTTCCTGCAACATTTCTTGTTACATTTCGTGCAACATTTCTTGTTACATTTCGTGTAACATTTCTTGTTACATTTCGTGTAACATTTCTTATAGTGAACACCCTGAAATTTAATTTAGGAAAGTCTGTATTTTTATTTTGTTTTTCAAGTAAAATAACTTTGAATTAAATATTATTGGTTAGAATTTTTTATTACATCAAAATTTGGGAAGTTCTCAGCTTTCGTTTTCTTTAATTTACCTCTGTATTACTTTTTCCCTACATTATTCTTCTCTTTTTTTTTTTTGAGACAGAGTCTCTCTCTGTCACCCAGGCTGGAGTGCGGTGGCTCGATCTCAGCCTCAGCCTCCCGAGTAGCTGGGACCACAGGCGCCCACCACCACACCTGGCTAATTTTTTGTATTTTTTCAGTAGAGGCAGGGTTTCACCGTCTTAGCCAGGACGGTCTCGATCTCCTGACTGTGTGATCCGCCTGCCTCGGCCTCCCAAAGTGCTGGGATTACAGGCATGAGCCACTGTGCCCAGCCCCCCTATATTCTTCTAAGATTTATTTCATGAATATATTGATGGACTTGATGGTGTCCAATAAGTTTTACATTCCATATTTTTCTTTTGTTTTGCAATTTTATATTTTTATGTTATATATTTTAGGGTATGCCACCTCATACCAATTAACTGTGTTTTGATGTTTTAGTTTATATTGTAATTGTGTATGACAATGTTTAACTCTGTACAATTTAAGGCAGTTTGGAGCAAAATCAAATATAAATCAGCCATATGTCTATTGCCAATATAATTATCTCTTTTTCCCTGTATAAATATTCTCTCTGTATTTTTTATGACTTGTATATTTGTTATGTAGGTTTGTTGTGAGTGGTTGTTCAATCTTGTCTAGGTGAGCAGTCATCTCCTAATTTCAATATCTATTGTGAATCTATATTATTTTTGTGTGGAAGAAACACTCTTGGATTTGAAGATTATATACAAACTATCATAACTTTGTGTCTTTTTTAGGTATTATTGTTTATTTTTACTTGTCAGAACCACATAACAAAATTTATTATCAAACATTTTAAAATATGCTGTTTAGGCCAGGTGCAGTGGCTCATGCCTGTAATCCCAGCTCTTTGGGAGGACAAGGTGGGAGGATTGCCCGAGGTCAGGAGTTCAAGACCAGTCTGGCTATCTTGGTGAAACCCTGTCTCTACTAAAAATACAAAAACTACCCGGGTGTGGTGGCGAGTGCCTGTAGTCCTAGCTACTCGGGAGGCTGAGGCAGGAGAATCACTTGAACCCGGGAGGTAGAGGTTGCAGTGAGCTGAGATCATGCCACCTCACTCCAGCCTGGGCAACAGAGCAAGATTCCGTCTGAAAAAAATAAAATATGCTGTTTAGTCATATTAATTATATGACAATGTTATGCAACATATCCCTATAATATTTATATGTTGCAAAGCTAAATCTCAATACACATTAAACAAGAACCAATTTTTCTGACTTTCTGGCACTTTGCAAGCACCACTCTGTTTTCTCTTTCTAAGAGTGTAACTGTTTCATGTATCTTCTACAGTCTCTTTTTGTGGCTGGCTCATTTCATTTTGCATAATATCATCAAGCTTTATCTTTATAATTGTTAGAATATTTTTGGCTTTTTAAGTCCTAGGTGATATTCCAGTATTTTTATATTTTAAATTATATCTACTGAATAATTTGGTGACAGAAATTTGCATTCCTTTTACCTACTGGCTTTCAGTAGCAATGCTGCAATAATTATGGATATGCAAATAACTTCATATGGCCATATATGTGAACATTTATATATGTGCTAACTTCTATTTTATTAGTTCACTTTGTTTTGAGACAGTCTCACTTTGTCACCCGGGCTGGAGTGCAGTGGTGCGATCTCGGCGCACTGCAACCTCCACCTCCCGGGTTCAAGTGATTCTCCTGCCTCAGCCTCTTGAGCAGCTGGGACTACAGGCTCGTACCACCAAGCCCAGCTAATTTGTTTATTTTTAGTAGAGATGGGGTTTTATGTTGGCCTGGATGGTCTCGATCTCTTGACCTCATGATCCGCCCACCTTGGCCCCCCAAAGTGCTGGAATTATAGGCGTGAGCCACTGCACCCAGCCTATTAGTCCACTTTTTAGCCATTATACTCATACCAAATTGTTTTTATTCTGTAACTTTGTAATGTATTTTGAAATCAGGAACTATAATGACTTCAACATTGTTCCTTTTTTTGAATACTTTGGGTACTTTATTGTCTTTTGAGAGTCCATATGCTACTTTTGGAGTTGCTGTTTCTGTTTCCTCAAAAATGCAATGAGAAATTAAAAAAAAAATTGCATTAAATCTCTGTATTACATTGAGCAGTATGGACGTCTTCAAAATATTAATTATTTCAACCTTTGAACAGGAGCATGCTGGAGAATGTGTTTAATATCTATATAGTTATAAATTTTTCAGTTTTTGTCTGTTTTATACTCATTTCATTTTGGTCATAGAATGTAATTCATAAATTGTTTTTAAAAACTTAAAAATTAAAAAAATTTGTTAAGACTTCTTTTTTTGCCTACCAGGTGGTCTATCAAGGAGAATGTTGTATGAGCTACTGAGAAGGGCATGCATCCTGATATTGTTGAGGTGTCTTCTCTATACCTCTGTTAGAAATAGTTGTTTTATACTGCCTTCAAGTCCTCTCTTTACTTACTAATATTCTGTCTTGTGTTATTTTTATTACAGAAAGTTGGGTATTGAAATGTCCTACCATAATTATATTACTGTCTAAGTGTTTTTTCCATTCTTTCAATATTTGCTTTATATGTTTGGAGACTTAATGTAAGATACAAACACACACACACACATATATATACATAGGTTCCCAGTAAATGAATGTATTATTGTTTAATGTCTTTGTCTCTTTGCAGTTTTGACCTAAAGTACATTTTATAAACTATGACAGTTTTTGACTTAAGATGTAGCTTGTGTAATATTATTTTGGTCTCTTCTGCTCTCATTTGGTTAATATTTGCATGGAATGTCTAAATCCATCTTGCCACTTTCAATCCTTTTTTGTCATTAGATTTTAGCTGAGTCTTGTAGAAAGGCAAGTTGCATCTTGGTGTGAGAAACAAACTCACCTATCCAAACCCAAAGAATGGACTCAGGGACCTGGAGAACAGCGAAAGTGAGACTTTTAATGACGGTCTTGCAAGATTGAGTGTCTGGCATACAGGCACACGCAGCACAGTTTCAACAAACAATTATCTCTTAGTGCACAGGTCCCTCCCCCTGGTTCCTCATAGGCTGACTACTATTGGGTCACAGTCTTCCCAGATGTCACCTATTGGCAAGGGCTTTAGGTGTTTCTTTTACGAGTTGTCTTGTTGCATTTTGTTGCAGCCCAAAATGCATCGCGACTGTTCAGGACTCTTCAGACATTTGATTTGTGGCCCTAGTGGCTGCACTTAGCTGATAAGAAAGGGTACAATTATCTATGTTGCAAACTAACCTAAATTTTTTGGTGGGGTGGAGGGGGTGTGGTTGCGGGGACCCTGACCTATAGGCGCCTGGCTACTGGGTAAAAGAGAAGGCAGGAAGGAGGGGGGTGATGACTCAGTACACTCTGCTTCTTTATGTCTTTATTTCCATGTAACCTGCTTAAAACTAACGCACTTAGAATTGAGAATGGACCATCACATATAGGTTATTTTCTACATTGGTTTTTTTATTTTTATTTATTTATTTATTTTGATACAAAGTCTCACTATGTCGCCCAGGCTGGAGTGCAATGGCATGATCTTGGCTCGCTGAAACTTCCGCCTTCCAGGTTCAAGTGATTCTCCTGCCTCAGCCTCCCGAGTAGCTGGGATTACAGGCAGGTACCACCACACTGAGCTAATTTTTGTATTTTTGCTAGAGATGAGATTTCACCATGTTGGCCAGGCTGGTCTCAAACTCCTGACCTCAGGCGATCCGCCCATCTTGGCCTCTGAAAGTGCTGGGATTACAGGCGTGAGCCACTGCGCCCAGCCAAAAATTTTTTTAATAAATCACTTTATTGAACTCATGTCACTTGAGTGGAAAGTTAGTTATATATATGTATGTGTATATATATAAACTCTGAAACAGAAAGACATTAATGTTATTTTATTGTTGTATTTGATTCTTGTATCTTTGTCTCTCATTTTCTCTCTTAATTTGTGTCTTTTTTGTTTTTATGTTGATATACTTTTACTTCTTTCTTATTTTGTTTGTGTATCTATACAAATATATTATTTGTGCTATCTTGGGGATTACATAAAACCTCTAAAAGATACAACGATATATTTCAGTCTGGTAAAAAGAAAAAAACTTCAGTTACATGCAAATATTTTTTCTCATTACATCTGCCCTCAAATTTTTCATTGATGTTTGAATTATATTTTTTATGTTGTATATTAACTAACAGATGTTTATAATGATTTCTATGCTTTTAACTTTCAAATTTTAGAAAATAATTAAAAATGTTTTCTGCACCATTATAATAATGCTTAAAAATTCAATTTTTGTGTTTGTGCATATCTTTTCCAGAAAATAATGTATTTTTCTATGATGATGTGTTGTTTCATTGAATAATGTTATTTTCAGTAGAAGCAACTGCTTTTAGCATCTTTTTATATGTAGAGCATACGGAGTACCAATGCACTTTTTCAGAATTTGGTTATTTTTTAAGGTTTTTTTTTTTTATTTAGCAGGACATATTTGCTGATGGTATTATACTCACTTGATAGCTATTTTTTTCAGGACTTTGACTATATCAGACAGTACCCTTCTGGCCTGCAAAATTTTTGTTGACAATTTACTGGCTGTGTCATAAGACTATGCTTGCAAATGACATCACTTTTATCTTGCAGTTTCCAAGAGGCTGTTTTTGTCTGTGACTTTTGAAATTGTGCTTATATATGTGTTTGTTATAAATATCTTTGTGTGTATCCTAGTTTGTTTTTTGAGCTTCTTCATTTTTACGTCTTTTTTTTTTTTTTTTTTTTTTTTGAGACGGAGTCTCGCTCTGTCGCCCAGGCTGGAGTGCAGTGGCGCATCTCCGCTCACTATAAGCTCCGCCTCCCCGGTTCACGCCATTCTCCTGCCTCAGCCTCCTGCGTAGCTGGGACTACAGGCGCCCGCCACCACGCCCGGCTGATTTTTTCTTTTTTTAGTAGAGACAAGGTTTCGCCGTATTAGCCAGGATGGTCTCAATCTCCTGACCTCGTGATGCACCTGTCTCAGCCTCCCAAAGTGCTGGTATTACAGGCGTGAGCCACCGCGCCCGGCCGTCATTTTTTCTTTCAGGATTTTTCAGTTAGTCTTTTTGGTATTTTTTGCCTTCATAATTTCTGTTTTTCTGGTATTTTACATATTTTTGTTCTTACCCTCATTTTTCTGATTTTCTGTAGTTCTCTATGTTTCTGTGTCACTCACTGAGTATTATTCAATTTGTTTTCAATTTTTAAAATTAATATATACATTTTTTATGGTTTCTCTCTGAAACTTTTATATTTTTGATAAAACCATATTGCCTTATTTTGTATACATTGTAATCTTTGATTGAAATTTGTACATTTAAAAAAGCTACCTGTCACAATCCTTATAATGTAGCTTTGTCCTGGCATAGTCTGGACAATTGTCTTGATTAGAGATACTGGGAGTCTCTCAAACATGTTGCTAGAATGTGTCTTGTCTACAATTTTGTGTTTATTTTTTAATTAAAAGAGTTTGTGTTTCTTCTTTTTTTAGTTTTTTTTTTTGTTTGTTTTTTGTTTTTTTGTCAGACGGGGTCTTGCTCTGTCTCCCAGACTGGAGTGCAGTGGCGCAATCTCGGCTCACTGCACCCTCCGCCACCTGGGTTCAAGTGATTCTCCTGCCTCAGCCTCCCAAGTAGCTGGGAATACAGGTGTACGCTATCACACCTGGCTAACTTTTCTTTTGTTTTTTTAGTAGAGATGGAGTTTCACCATGTTGGCCAGGCTGGTCTCAAACTTGTGACCTCAAGTGATCCGCCAGCCTTGGCCTCCCAAAGTACTGGAATTACAGGCATGAACCACCACAACTGGCCTTTTTTTGTTTCTTCTTAATAGTAATAACTTGCTACACCTGTTTTCTGTGTGTGGCACTGCAGTCTCTCTGCTGCTGTAACATTTAGCTTTGGTCTCAGCAGACTTAAACTGTCATTCCAAAGTATACCACCATTTCTTTCAGCACTAGATGTCATAGGAGACAGAAACCAGTGTATAGATAGGTCCCTAGAAGCAAGTAATAAAGATGTATGTGGCAGTATTTTAATTGTCTTTTAAAAAAGAAACCAAAAGTTGGCAGTGGGGAGCAGGAAGAGCTGTGTTGGGTAAATTTAACAGACTTTTCTTTTTCTTCTGTGTCACTCTCTATGTTGTGCTCAGCTGGGGCACTTCACACACTTAACTTATTTATAAATTTTCCTCAGATGTATTTTTGTTGGATGTTTTTGTTACATTTACATGTCTGTAAAAAATTAGGGCCTTTGGGCCAGGCGCGGTGGCTGGTGTGCCAAAGTGCGGTAATCCCAGCACTTTGGGAGGCTGAAGTGGACGCATCATCTGAGGTCAGGAGTTCGAGACCAGACTGGCCAACATGGCGAAACCCCATCTCTACTAAAAATACAAAAATTAGCTGTGCGTGGTGGTGCGTGCCTGTAATCCCAGCTACTTTGGAGGCTGGGGCAGGAGAATAGCTTGAGCCTGGGTGGCGGAGGTGGCAGTGAGCAGAGATCACGCCATTGCACTCCATCCTGGGCTACAGAATGAGACTCTGTCTAAAAAAAAAAAAAAATTAGGGCCTTTATTATTTTGCTATGCCATCTTGTTTATGTAGTTTGTATAATTATATGGGTTAGATTTGTAAAGCATATTCATCTGAGTCTAGTAAATGGAGTAATTTGTTATTTTTATTTCTTTCAGTTACATATTCTCATTTTGCCCAAGACCTTTGGCCAGAGCAGGGCATAAAAGATTCTTTCCAAGAAGTCATATTGAGAAGATATGGAAAATGTGGACATGAAGATTTACAGTTAAGAACAGGCTGTAAAAGTGTGGATGAGTGTAATCTGCACAAAGAATGTTATGATGAACTAAACCAGTGTTTGACAACTACCCAGAGTGAAATATTTCAATATGATAAATATGTGAATGTCTTTTATAAATTTTCAAATCCAAATATACAAAAGATAAGACATACTGGAAAGAAGCCTTTCAAATGTAAAAAATGTGACAAATCGTTTTGCATGCTTTTACACCTAACTCAACATAAAAGAATTCATATTAGGGAAAATTCTTACCAATGTGAAGAATGTGGTAAAGTCTTTAACTGGTTCTCAACCCTTACTAGACACAGAAGAATTCATACTGGAGAGAAACCCTACAAATGTGAACAATGTGGCAAAGCTTTTAAGCAGTCCTCAACCCTTACTACACATAAGATAATTCATACTGGAGAGAAACCCTACAGATGTGAAGAATGTGGCAAAACCTTTAACCGGTCCTCACACCTTACTACACATAAAAGAATTCATACTGGAGAGAAACCCTACAGATGTGAAGAATGTGGCAGAGCTTTTAACCGGTCCTCACACCTTACTACACATAAGATTATTCATACTGGAGAGAAACCCTACAAATGTGAAGAATGTGGCAAAGCTTTTAACCAATCCTCAACCCTTACTACACATAAGATAATTCATGCTGGAGAGAAACCTTACAAATGTGAAGAATGTGGCAAAGCTTTTTACCGATTCTCATACCTTACTAAACATAAGATAATTCATACTGGAGAGAAATTCTACAAATGTGAAGAATGTGGCAAAGGCTTTAATTGGTCCTCGACCCTTACTAAACATAAAAGAATTCATACTGGAGAGAAACCCTACAAATGTGAACAATGTGGCAAAGCTTTTAATGAGTCCTCAAACCTTACTGCACATAAGATAATTCATACTGGAGAGAAACCCTACAAATGTGAAGAATGTGGCAAAGCCTTTAACCGGTCCCCAAAACTTACTGCACATAAGGTAATTCATTCTGGAGAGAAACCCTACAAATGTGAAGAATGTGGCAAAGCTTTTAACCAATTCTCAAACCTTACTAAACATAAGATAACTCATATTGGAGATACATCTTACAAATACCTAGAATGTGATAAAGCCTTTAGCCAGTCTTCAACTCTTACTAAACATAAGGTAATTCATACTGGAGAGAAACCCTACAACTGTGAAGAATACGGCAAAGCTTTCAACCAGTCCTCAAACCTTATTGAACAAAGTAATTCATACTGGAGAGAAACCCTACAAATGTGAAGATTGTGGCAAAGCCTCTAACCCGTCCTGAATTCTTACTAAACATAAGAACATTCATACTGAAGAGGAACCCTATGAGTGTGAAGAATATGGCAAAGCCTTCAACAAGTCCTCAATTCTTACCAGACATAAGATAATTCTGGCTGGGTGCGGTGGCTCACACCTGTAATCCCAGCACTTTGGGAGGCTGAGACGGGTGAATTACATGAGGTTGGGAGTTCGAGACCAGCCTGACCAACATGGTGAAATCCTGTCTCTACTAAAAATACAAAATTAGCCATGCGTAGTGGTGCATGCCTGTAATCCCAGCTACTCGGGAGGCTGAGGCAGGAGAATTGCTTGAACCCGGGAGGCAGAGGTTGAAGTGAGCTGAGATCGCGCCATTGCACTCCAGCCTGGGCAACAAGAGTGGCACTCCATCTCAGAAAAAAAAAAAAAAGATAATTCATACTGAAAAGAAACTCTACAAACTTGAAAGATGTGACAGTGCTTTTGACAACACCTAAAACTTTTAAACATAAAAAATCATACTGGTGAGAAATCCTAGAAATGTAAAGAATGTGACAAGGCCTTTAAATGGTTGTCACACTTCATTATAGGTAAGATAGTTCATACTGAAGAAAACTTCTACAAGTGTGAACAGTGTGGCAAAACTTTTAATGAATGCTCACACCTTATTGCACAGGAGAGCATTTATACTTGAAAAAAATTGTACAAATATAAAGACCATGAAAAAGCCATTAATATCTATTCACATCTTACCACTGGAGAGTTCATACTTAATAAAAGGAATATAAGTGCAATTACTGTCAAAAGATCTTTCAGAAAATATAAACCTTTAAAGCGAAGAAGGTATTTATTTTGAAGATGAACACTACAAATGTGAAGAGGGTTGTAGTACCTTTATTTGTATCACAGATTTTATTGTACACATTTTGTACTAGAAGAAAACTCTGAAGTAGTTGCTCAAACTTTGTTCAACATCAGGGAATTTATATTGAAGAAAAACTTTGCAAATTTAATAAATTTTAAAAAACACTTTTTCAAAAAGTACAGCTTAGAAGACACCAGAGTTCATACTAAAATATATTTTTGCAGATGCAGTAAAAATGAAAATATTTAATCCAAAATTAAGTCTATGTAAATATCAGAGAATTTACTGTAGAAATATATAAGGCACTGAGACTTCAGATATTATACTAAATCAGAGTGCTGAGTATAGAAAATAAAACTGAAGTTGGGGCCAGGTGCAGTGGCTCACACCTGTAATCCAGCACTTTGGGAGGCCGAGAAGGGTGGATCACCTGAGGTCAGGAGTTTGAGACCAGCCTGACTAACATGGAGAAAACACGGCTCTACTAAAAATACAAAATTAGCCAGCTGTGGTGGTGTATGCCTGTAATCACAGCTACTCGAGAGGCTGAGGCAGGAGAATTGCTTGAACCCGGGAGGTGGAGAGTGCAGTGAACTGAAATTGCGCCATTGCACTCCAGCCTGGGCAACAAGAGTGAAACTCCATTTCAAAAAAAAAAAAAAAAAAACAACTAAAGTTGGTAGAAAAATTATTTGTATATAACTTTAAAAGGAGTAGAAGGGCTTTTTGCAGAGTTATTACGTTTGAAGTATACTTTATTTCTTGAAAAAATTACAGATTTTTTGTAAATAATGATGTAATTCAACTCTCAAAATATTTCCTACTGTTTCTTTATTCCAGTTGTATTCACATGTGAAAGCATGTGATCAGTTATTGCTGCATTAAAAACATGAGTCTTTTTTATTAGGTGGCCATTATTTATGATCTTTTCTATGAAAGAGTAAGGACATTAAAATGTAAGATGCATGATGAAAAATTAAGTGAAGAGGCTCTTTATGGTTAATTTATATTGAATAATGCATTAGGTAGGTGTTCAGAGTAATATTTTGCGTTGTGAGAACATTTTTAATTTTATTTAAAATTAAATGAAAATAAATTAGTATATTATTGTACTAATTGTACTTTTGTATAATAAAATCCAGTGTATTTTAAAAATGTTAGGTTATGTGTGGTTAATATTTTAATCCAATATTTTTAACATGTTAAATACTATTGTGCATTCAATGAAGTGTTATTATGCCACGAACTTTAACCTGTTCCACTTTACTTAAAGGTATAGATGAAAGATAATAACAATAAGGGGCCAGGCGTAGTGGTTCACACCTGTAATCCTAGCACTTCGGGAGGCTGAGGTGGATGAATCACGAGGTCAGGAGTTCAAGACCAGCCTGGCCAACGTGGTGAAACCCCGTCTCTACTAAAAATACAAAAATTAGCCAGTTGTGGTGGCTGGCGCCTGCAATCCCAGCTACTTGGGAGGCTGAGGCAGAAGAATCGCTTAAAACCAGAAGGTGGAGGTTGCAGTGAGCCAAGATCGCGGCACTGCACCTGGGTGAAAGAGTGAAACTCTGTTTCAAAAAAAAAAAAAAAGATGGTAACAATATACTATTTGGCAACATAGTGGATTAACATCTTGAGTAATCTCTTTTGTCAGTGGGTTTAAACTGCAAATTAGTTAAAGAATATTGCTTCTGTAGGTTAAATTTTTCTTTTTCAATTATTTAAATTTATTTTTAAAATTTTTGTGGGTACATAATATGAGTATATATTTATGCCATATATGGCATATTTTGATACAGGAGTACCATATATAATAATCACATCAGGGCAAATGGGGTATCCATCACTTCTAGCAATAATTTATCCTTTGTATTACAAACAATTCAGTTCTACACTTTTAGTTATTTTAAAATGTACAATTGTTATCGGTTACAGGGTTATTTTTATGGTCATAATAAAAAATATGCAAGTATAAATAAAATCCATACATTTCTGAGTCCTGAATAAATATTATTAAAATTTTCTTACATATATTTTTGAACATGTGGCCTGTCTGCCTACAAACACATACAAACTTTTAGTTTTGATTTACATAGAGTTAAATATATATTAGTCTAAAGATAAATCTTAGTTGTAAGAAAACTATGGAATATGAGTTTGTCCCTACTTTCAGAAAAAAAAAGAGCAATATAGGAACAAAACAAGTCATTTTAACAAGGTGACTACTAGAAAACTAAAAACCTCAAAAATGCAAAAGCAAACATATACTCTCTGCTTTGTATTGAATTTATTACTGTATAATCTATGCCTTATACTTCGGAATCTCCCCATGCAAATTCTGTTTATACTTGCCTGGTACTCATGATAGACCCCTACTTTTTGGTATTTTGTATATTTATTTTATAGTTTATGAAATATTCATTATGTGAGCTGGAATGTGAGTATAAGAATAATTTTTATGAAATGTGCATACAAAATAATTTTATATGTAATTCCACAATTAGTATATTAAGTTACATTTTATTTAGCTAGAACACTCCATTTTGTTTTCAATTGGAGAACCCTATATAAGCTTACTATTCTTTAGTTATTGTTCTTTTTACTTTTTATAATTGACAAAGTAAATTTATTTATGGAGTCAAATTGTTCAGGTAAATACAAGGGAAGCTTAGTAAGTCATGAAGATGTTTTTACATGTAAATGTGGAAAGCATATATAGCAGTTCTTGGTGTGTAACATGCTCCAGAAAAAGCCATAAACATTTCTGCTAAAGTTAGTTTGTAACTTCAAGTCAGAGATAGAAAATATTAGTAGTGAAGAAATACAGCTGATGTTTTATGTGGAGAGGACACTTCCAGGCTGCAAAGCTGAGTGTTGCTGAATTAAAAAAAAAAAAAAAAAAAAAAAATGTGGCCTGGCACGGTGGCTCACACCTACAATCCCAGCACTTTGGGAGGCCAAGACAAGTCGATCATGAAGTCAGGAGTTCAAGACCAGCCTGGCCAAGATGGTGAAACCCCGTCTCTACTAAAAATACAAAAATTACCTGGGCATGGTGGCAGGTGCCTGTAATCCCAGCTACTTGGGAGGCTGAGGCAGAGAATCCCTTGAACCTGGGAGGCGGAGGTTGCAGTGAGCTGAGATCACACCACTGTACTCCAGCCTGGGCAACAGAGCGAGACTCCGCCTCAAAAAAAAAAAAATGCTAGCTGGGTGCGGTGGCTCACGCCTGTAATCCCAGCACTTTGGGAGGCTGAGGTGGGCAGACCACAAGGTCAGGAGATCAAGACCATCCTGGCTAACACGGTGAAACCCCGTCTCTACTAAAAATACAAAAAATTAACTAGGCGTGGTGGCAGGCGCCTGTAGTCCCAGCTACTCGGGAGGCTAAGGCAGGAGAATGGCATGAACCCGGGAGGCGGAGCTTGCAGTGAGCCGAGATCACACCACTGCACTCCAGCCTGGGCGACACAGCAAGACTCCGTCTGAAAAAAAAAAAAATGCTGCTTTTATTTTCTTCAGATTTGTTTGTATTATGTGTATTCTAGCTATGTATGCATCACAGCCCTTATTTTTCTATGTTATGGCTACAGTTTTCTCTTTGTTGTCTTCATGCCATTTCATTTCACATGGTACTTTGTAGATTTTGATGAGAAACTTCATAATTTTTAATGCCCTGAAAAAATGTTTTTGTTTTCTATTTCTTTAAGATGGAGTTTCACTCTTGCTGCCAAGGCTGGAGTGCAATGGTGCGATCTCGGCTCACTGCAACCTCTGCCTCCTGGGTTCAAGTGATTCTCCTGCCTCAGCCTCCCAAGTAGCTGGGATTACAGGTATGCGCCACCACGTCCAGCTAGTTTGGTAGTTTTAGTGGAGATGGGGTTTCACCTTGTTGGTGAGGCTGGTCTTGAACTCCTGACCTCAGGTGATCCACACACCTAGGCCTCCCAAAGTGCTGGGATTACAGATGTGAGCCACAGCACCAAGCATGAAAAATTGGGTTTAACTGGAGAGTTTGCTTATCAATATAACTTTCAGATCAGTGAATTAAGATAAAGGCATACACTGTCCACAGGTGAGAGAATTAAATCAGTTGCATGGGTTTTGTTTGTTTGTAAAAGAAAAAGCTTATTACATTGTTATACAAAGTGTGGCAAATAAAAAATTTGCTAGAAAATATACCTTAAAAATTATTTATTTATTTATTTATTTATTTATTTTGAGAAAGAGTCTCACTCTGTTGCCCAGGCTGGAGTGCAGTGGCGCGATCGCAGTTCACTGCAACCTCCACCTCCCGGGTTCAAGCGATTCTCCTGCCTCAGTCTCCTGAGTAGTTGGGATTACAGGTGCGCACCACCACGCCCAGCTAATTTTTGTATTTTAAGTAGAGACAGGTTTTCACCATGTTGGCCAGGCTGGTCTCGAACTCCTGACCTCGTGATCCACCCACCTTGGCCTCCCATAGTGCTGGGATTACAAACACTGCACGGAGACTTTATTTTTTATTTTATTTTATTTTATTTTATTTTGAGATGGAGTTTTGCTTCTGTTGCCCAGGCTGGAGGGCAATAGCACGATCTCGGCTCACCACAACCTCCACCTCCCAAGTTCAAGCGATTCTCCTGCCTCAGCCTTCCCGAGTAGCTGGGATTACAGGCATGCCCCACCACACCCTGCTAATCTTATATTTTTAGTAGAGATGGGGTTTCTCCATGTTGGTCAGGCCGGTCTCGAACTCTCAACCTCAGGTCATCCACCCTCCTCGGCCTCCCAAAATGCTGGGATTACAGGCATGAGCCACTGCATCTGGCAAAAATTAAATTTTTAAAAGAGTTAATGGTAAGTGAACAATTTTATATTGAATTCTCTGTGATATAACACAACTTATGTTTCCATGCAGAATCTTCTAAGCGTAAATGTTAAAGGTTGCAAAATAATAAAATGACCTCTGTGAATTTGCAATTTGGAAGAATTTTTTTTCCATATTGATATTGAAATTTGGAGGAATTTCTCTCATTTTGTATAATTTTTTTAGTGGGTGAAGTTCAGTCTTCAGTTTTTATTTTTAGTCACCTAACTATAGCCAACTCCTCAGTCATTTTCTCTGGATAACTTTTGGAGATCCTGACAGTTTTGGGATTAAAACATTTACTGTTAGTTTGCATGTAAACTAGTTATACTGTGTTCACAGAGTGGCCAGTTATGGGACCATAGGCAACAACTGCCCCCTTAGTGTCTTTCATACCATTACCATCATCACCAGAAACTCCAGGTGCCCCAAGCTTAAAGCAAAAATCCTGAAGTACATCAGCTCCTCCCTTGCAACGTGCTGGGTTTGGAACATGCTGTTAAAATATCAGAGTTCCTGGCCAGACATGGTGGCTCATGCCTGTAATCCTAGCACCTTGGGAGGCTGAGGCGGGCAGATCACGAGGTCAGGAGCTCGAGATAGCCTGGCCAATGTAGTGAAACCCCGTCTCTACTAAAAATACAAAAACATTAGGCAGTGTGGTAGCACACACTTGTAATCCCAGCTACTCCTGAGGCTGAGGCAGGAGAATCGCTTGAACCTGGGAGGTGAAGGTTGCAGTGAGCTGAGATGGAGCCACTGCACTCCAGCCTGGGCAACAGGGGGAGACTTCCGACCTCAGGTAATCCACCTGCCTCGGCCTCTCAAAGTGCTGGGATTACAGGCGTAAGCCACAGTGCCCGGCCTTGAACTGTTGATTCTATATTTTGTCTTTTATGAAGAGTGCTGCAAACAACATAGAAGTGCAAATGTTCTTCATTAGGCATTATCTGTTTCGGACACATATCCAATGGTGCAATTGCTATGTTACATGGTAGTTTGATTTTAAGTTTTTTGAGAAACCTCTATTTCATTTTTCATAATAGCTGTCTTCATTTACATTCAAACCAACAGTATGCAAGTATTCCCTTTTCTTCACGTCTTTACCAGCACTTTATTCTTTTTCTTTTTAATAAGAGTCATATTATAGGAGTGAGTTGATATCTCATAGTGTTTTTTGGCTTGCCTTTCCCTGATCATAATTGACAATGAGCATTTTTAAATATTTCTGTTGGCCATATGTATGTCTTTTCTTGAAAAAGACTTATTTAAGGCTTTTGCTTATTTTAAGTTATTTCTTTTTTGTTGTAGTCATTTGAGTTTCTTATATATTTTTAATATTAACTCCTTGTCACATGTATGATTTGCAAATACTTTCTCTCATTAATTAGTTGTCTCATCCTGTTGATTGTACCACATTCTGTGCAGCAGCTTTATAATTTGAAGTAATCTGACTAATCTATTTTTTCTTCTATTCCCTGGGATTTTGAGGTTAAATAAACTCTCTGCCCAGGACAATGTGATGGGGATTTCACTCTATTTTTTAGTAATAGTTTCAGGCCTTACATTTAAGTATCTAATTTATTTTCGTTGATTTTTTAATATGGTGTGAGATAAGGGTCTCATTTTACTGTGCTGCCTGTGGATATAGTTTTCTCAACAACATTTATTGAAGATACTGTTCTTTCCTTAAGAAATCATCACCTTTATTTAAAATCAGCTAGCTGTAAATACACAGATGTATTTCTGGTCTCTTTCTGCTCAATTGGCCTATATGTCTGTTTTTATTCAGTACCATACTGTTTTAGTTACTATAGCTTTGTGGTATATTTCAGTCAAGTAGAGGGATATCTTCACTTTTTTTTTTTAATTGCTTTGGCTATTTGGATCTTTTGTGGTACCATATGAATTTTAGATATACATTTTTAAACTTCTTTTTTTTTTTTTTGAGACAAAGTCTCACTCTGTTGCCCAAGCTGGAGTGCAGTGGTGTGATCTCGGCTCACTGCCACCTCTGCTTCCTGGGTTCAAGTGATTCTCCTGCCTCAGCCTCCTGAGTAGCTGGGATTACAGGCCCAACATGTGCGCACCATCACGCCCAACTAAGTTTTGTATTTTTAGTACAGATGGGGTTTCACGATGTTGGTCAGACTGGTCTCAAACTCCTTACCTCAAGATCTACCCACCTCAGCCTCCCAAAGTGCTGAGATTACAGGCATGAGCCGCCATGCCCAGCCTACTTTTTAAAATTTCTATGAAGTATGTCACTGGTATTTTGATAGAGGTTGCATTATATCCATAGATCATTTTGTGTAATACAGATACTTAATTACTAATAATGCCAATTCATGAATGAATATTATTTTATGTGTATATTACTTAATTTGTTTAATGTTCTTTAGAGTATAATGCAAGATGTTTCAACTTTTTGGTTATATTTATTTCAAAGCATAGTTACTAAAGTTAGATGGAATTGTTTTTTAATTTCGAGATAGTTATTGTATAGAAATGCTGCTTACTTTTGGATGTAGCTTATTTATTCTGAAAGTCTAATAACTTTGTTTATTAGTTCTAATAGTTTTTTGTAAAGTCTTAGGCTTTTCTATACTTCAGATGTTGTATAGAAATAAAAGATTATTATACAGGGATAATTTACATTCCTTTTTTCCAATCTGGATACTTTTGATTTTACTCTCTAATTTCTTTGTCTTGGATATTTAGTACTATGTTTAGTAAGACTGACTAGAGTGGGCATCCTTGTCTTGTTCTAGCTCTTAGAGTGAAAGCTTGCAACATATCCCTGTTTAGCATGTTATTAGCTGTGCATTTTTTGGTTATATGTGGCATTTATTGGCTGAGGTGCATTTGTTCCATACCTGTTTTTTTCAGAGATTCATCATAAGGGAGTGTCAACTTTTGTCAAACTTTTCTTCTGCATCTATTTCTTTCTTTTTGTGCTTTGCATCTATTTAAATGTTAGATTTGTGAAATCACAATAAATCCTACATAGACAGGAAAAATCCTCAGAGACTACTATGAACATCTCTATGCCTGCAAACTAGAAAATTAGGAGAAAATAGATAAAATCCTGGATACACAAACTTCCAAGATTGAGCCAGGAAGAAACAGAAGCCTTGAACAAAGCAAAAATATATAAAATAGATAATGAAATTGAATTAGTAATAAAAAACCTACCAAGTGTGATTCAACATGTAAAGATAATAAAACCAAAAAATGATACGATTAACACAATAGATGCAAAAAAAAGCATTCAAGAAAGTTCAACATTCATGAAAATATTCTCCACAAAGTGGGCATTGATGAAACATACCTCAAAATAATAAGCCATCTATGACAAATCCTCAGCTAACATTATACTTAAGCAAAAGCTGGATGCATTCTCCATTAGAATAAAAATAAGACAAGAATATCAACTTTATCCCTTCTATTCAACATAGTTCTGGAAGTCCTAGTCAGAGCAATTCAACAAAATAAAGAAATAAAAGGCATCTAAAGCCTGGCGCAGTGGCTCATGCCTGTAATCCCAGCCCTTTGGGAGGCCGAGGCGGGAGGATCACCTGAGGTCAGGAGTTCGAGACCAGCCTGACCAACATGGAGAAACCCCATCTCTACTAAAAATACAAAATTTGCTGGGAGTGGTGGCACGTGCCTATAATCCCAGCTACTCGGGAGGCTAAGACAGGAGAATCACTTGAACCCGGGAGGTGGAGGTTCCGATGAACCGAGATCATGCCATTGCACTCCAGCCTGGGCAACATGAACGAAACTCCATCCCCCCCACCCCACTCCCCCCAAAAAACTCATCTAAATAGAAAGAGAGGAAGTCAAATAATCTTCACTGATTATATAATTCTCTACCTAGAAAACAAAAGATTTTGGGCCAGGTGCAGTGGTTTACGCCTGTAATACCACACTTTGGGAGGCCGAGGCGGGTAGATCACTTGTGGTCAGGGGTTCAAAACCACCCTGGCCAACATGGCTAAACCCCATCTCTACTAAAAATACAAAAGTAGCTGGGTGTGGTGGCGCATGCCTGTAATCCCAGCTACTTGGGAGGCTGAGGCAGGAGAATCATTCGAACCTGGGAGGCAGAGGTTGCAGTGAGCTGGAATCACACCGTTGCACTCCAGCCACTCCAGCCTGGGTAACAAGAACGAAATTCCGTCTAAAAAAAAAAAGTTCACCAAAAGACTCCAAAGCTTAATGAATGACTTTAGCAAAGTATCAGGATACAAAATTAATATACACAAGTCACATTTTTGTATACCAATAACATTCAAAATCAAGAACAGTTTTATTTTATTTATTTATTTTTGAGATGGAGTTTCACTCTTGTTGCCCAGGCTGAAGTGCAATGGTGTGATCTCTGCTCACTGCAACCTCCGCTTGCCGGGTTCAAGCAATTCTCCTGCCTCAGTCTCCCAAGTAGCTGGGATTACAGGCGCGCACCACCATGCCCGGCTAATTTTTTGTATTTTTAGTAGAGACGGGGTTTCACCATGGCCAGGCTGGTCTTGAACTTCCTGACCTCAGGTGAGCCGCCCGCCTCGGCCTCCCAGAGTGCTGGGATTACAGGCATGAGCCACCGTGCCCGGCCAAGAAGAGTTTTATTTTGAATAACCACAGACAAAAAATAATATACCTACATATACACTAAATCAAAGAGGTAAAATATCTCTACAAGAAGTACAAAACACTACTGGAAGAAATAAGAGACAATGCAAATAAATAAAAAAGCATTATATGCTCATGGATTTGAAGAATGAATGTAATTAAAATGTCTATGCTGCCTAAAGCAGCCTACAGACTAAGTGGTATTTCTATGAAACTATCAATGACATTTTTTATAGAATTAAAAAAAGAAGGCCAGGCGCAGTGGCTCACACCTGTAATCCCAGCATTTTGGGAGGCCAAGGCGGGCGGATCCCAAGGTTCAAGAGATCGAGACCATTCTGGCCAACATGGTGAAACCCTGTCTCTACTGAAAATACAAAAATTACCCTGGCGTGGTTGAGCACGCCTGTAGTTCCGGCTACTCAGAAGACTGAGGCAGGAGAATCGCTTGAACCCAGGAGGCGAAGGTTGCAGTGAGCCGAGATTGTGCCACTGCACTCCAGCCTGGCGACAGAACCAGACTCTGTCTCAAAAAAAAAAAAAAAAAAAAAAAAGCCGGGTGCGGTGGCTCACGCCTTTACTCAGCACTTTGGGAGGCCGAGGCAGGCGGATCACAAGGTCAGGATATCGAGACCATCCTGGCTAACACAGTGAAACCCCATCTCTACTAAAAATACAAAAAATTAGCCGGGCATGGTGGCATGCGCCTGTAGTCCCAGCTACTCGGGACGCTGAGGCAGGAGAATCGCTTGAACCTGGGAGGCGGAAGTTGCAGTGAACCAAGATTGCGCCACTGCACTACAGCCTGGGTGACAGAGTGAGACTCCGTCTCAGAAAAACAAAAACAAACAAACAAAACAAAAAAGCTATTCTAAAATCTATATGGAATAATAAAAGAACCCTAATAGCCACGGCAACTTTATACAAAATGAATAAACCTGGAGGCCTCCCATTAACTGACTTTAAACTACTACGAGTTACAGTAACCGGTGTAACATGGTTCAGGTACAAAAATATACATATAGACCAATATAACAGAAGAAAGAGCCCTGAAATAAAGCTACACTTTTACACCCAACTTATTTTTGACAAAGTCAACAGAAATAAAGGGGAAATAACTCCCTGTTTAATTAATTGTACTGGGAAGACTGGTTAGTAATATGCAGAAGAAAACTGGACGCCTACCTCTTCCCATATAAAAAATGTAACTAAAGACATATTAAAGACTTATCTGTGAGTCTTCAAGCTACAAAAATTCAAGAACACCTAGAAAGTACTCTTCTAGACACTGGCGTCTGAAAAAAAAAAAAAAAAAAAACTTAAAACTAATAAAAGTGAGTGCAACAAACATAAAAATCAGAAATTGGCATCTAATTAAACTAAAGAGCTTCTGCAAAGCAATAGAAACTATCAACGAAGTGGACAAGCTACAATATGGAATAAAATATTCGCAAACTGCATACAATGAAAGATTAATATATAGAATCTATAAGAAATAGCCAGGAGCAGTGGCTCACGCCTGTAATCCTAGCACTTTGGGAGGCTGAGGCAGGTGGATCACCTCAGGTCAGGAGTTCGAGACCAACCTGGCCAACGTGGTGAAACCCCATCTCTACTAAAAAAAAAATACAAAAATTAGCCGGGCATGGTGACGCATGCCTGTAATCCCAGCTACTCGGGAGGCTGAGGCAGGAGAATCATTTGAACCCCGGGAGATGGAGGTTGCAGTGAGCCAAGATCGTGCCACAGCACTCCAGCCTAGGCGACAAGAGTGAAACTCCGTTTCAAAAAAAAAAAAGAAAAAGAAAAAAATTTAATAAGAAAAAGGGCGGCGAATGATATGAATATGCATTTCCCAAAGGAAGACGTGAGAGCTGCCAATAAACATGCAAAAATTGCTCAACATCCCTAATCATCAGAGAGATGTAAATCAAAGTGACAATGTGATACCATTTCCCAGCAGTTAGAATGGCTGTTATTAAAATGTCAAAAATTGGCTGGGTGCGGTGTCTCATGCCCGTAATCTCAGCACTTTGGGAGGCCGAGGCGGCTGGATCACCTGAGGTCAGGAGTTGGAGACCAGCATGGACAACATGGCAAAAGCCAGTCTCTAATAAAAATACAAAAATTAGCCAGCGTGGTGGTGGGCATCTGCAGTCCCAGCTACTTGGGAGGCTGAGGCAAAAGAATTGCTTGAACCTGGGAGGCGGAGGTTGCAGTGAGCTGAGATCGCACCACTGCACTCCAGCCTGGGTGATAGAGTGAGACTCTGTCTCAAAAACATAATAATAAAAAATTTAAAAATTGAAAATGTTGAAGTTGTGAAGAAAAGGGAATCTTTATACACTGTTGGTAAAAATGCAAATTAATTTAGCCTCTTTAAAAAGCAGTTTGGAGATTTCTTAAAAAACTAAAAATTGAGCTGCCATTTGACCCATACACCTCATTACTGGGTATCTACCCAAAGGAGAATAAATTATTTTTCTAAAAAGACATCTGCGGTCAGCCAGGTGCGCTGGCTCACACCTGTAATCCCAGCACTTTGGGAGGCCGAGGCGGGTGGATCACGAGGTCAGCAGTAAGAGACCAGCCTGGCCAACATGGAGAAACCTCGTCTCTACTAAAAATACAAAAATTAGCCAGGTGTGGTGGCAGGTGCCAGTAATCCCAGCTACTCAGGAGGCTGAGGCAGGAGAACTGCTTGAACCTGAGAGGCGGAGGTTGCAGTGAGCCAACACCACACCATTGCACTCCAGCCTGGGTGACAGAGCGAGATTCTGTCTCAAAAAAAAAGACACCTGCAATCAGATGTTTATTGCATCACTATTCACAATAGCAAAGACACCGAAGTAAACCAGGTACTCATGAAACTTAGATTGAATAAAGAAAATGAGGTCCTTATACACCTTGCAATACTATGCAGCCACATTAAAAAAATGAAGTAATGTCCTCTGCAGCAGCATGAATGCAACAAATGGCCATTATTATAAGCAAATTAACACAGATCAGGAAAACAAATACTACATGTTCTCACTTACATGTGAGAGGTAAACATTGGATGCACATGGAAACAAAGATAGGAACAATAAACACTGGGAATTCCAAAAAGAAGAAAGAAGGAAGGGAAAACAAGCCCTGAAAAACTACGTATCTACAAAATTAGCCGGGCGTGGTGGCACATGCCTGTAATCCCAGCTATTCAAGAAGCTGAGGCAGGAGAATCGCTTGAACCCGGGAGGTGGAGGTTGCGGTGAGCCGAGATCGTGCCATTGCACTCCAGCCTGGGCAACAAGAGCAAAACTCCATCTCAATAAAAAAAAAAAAAGAAAGAAAAACTACGTATCAGGTATAATGTACATATGTACATAACTTGGGCAATGGGATTATTAAGTGCCCAAATGTCGGCATCATGCAGTATACCTATGTGACAAATCTGCACGCATACCCTCAAATGTAAAATAAAAAGAATAAAATGCTTTGGGCTATAACAACATCACATTTTTCTAGCTCTTGGTTAATAGCTGAAATTAGGGGTGAAAGACAAGGAATTATATCCCCTTTGGGCATGGGGTGAATGTTTCTATTCCAGGTCACCCCAAATTTTATGAGCTAACATCTATAAAAGCTCTTGGCCTATAGCCCAAGGTTTTCTTCTCAAGTATGCAGTTAAAATAAATGACTCTACATCTTTATTTTTTATTAACTGTACGTTAGACTATAGAGTTAATTTGTCACTCTGCTCTTTGGGGAATAAATATTAGTATACAACCTGTATTACTTTAATAAAGAAATTATTTCTTTAGTTTTGATTCTTCAGGATGATTCAATTCCCTGGTGAGAGAATAACTTACTTATTAAGGTAATAGATGTAGGGAAGACTCATTACTCTTGACCAACATCTCCCCCACCACCAGCCCCAGGCAATCATCATTCTACACTTTGCTTTTATTAGTTTGAATTTTTTAATATTCTACATAGAAATGAGATAATGTAGCCAGGCATGGTGGCTCATGTCTATAATCCCAGTTACTTGGGAGGCTGAGGCTGGAGAATCGCTTTAACCCTGGGAGGCAGACATTGCAGTGAGCTGAGATGGGGCCACTGCACTCCTGCCTGGGTGACAGAGAGAGACTCCATCTCAAAAAAAAAAAAAAAAAGAAAGAAAGAAAACAAAACAAAAAACTACAACTACATAAACAACAAGGCACTTAACATGATCTTCAGAATTTGTGGGGGCCCCACAGATGTAACTTCCTGTTGGGGGTCTGGGTGCAGCTAGTTGTTGTAAGTTTCTGTGCTGCCCATCATCCTCATGGAAACTGAAGCTGGGATGGAAATTTAAAGGGTAAGATGAAACATGATGACAGCAAGAAAGCTGAAGCTCTTAATAATGAATATTTTTTAAAATAATAATGCCATAAAATAGTAAGGTGGCTAAATTACTTGCTGTAAACAAACTCACAATTTGAAAATAAAATTAATTTTTTGCCCATTTCAAGATAGTTGAACAGGAGTTTCTGAATGTATCTGCTTGCTAGGTCTAGTTGGCATATTAAAGCCGACAATTTTTTTTTTTTTTTTTTTTTTTTTTGAGGCAGAGTCTTGCTCTGTCACCCAGGCTAAAGTGCAGTGGTGAGATCTTGGCTCACCGCAGCATCCATCTCCCAGATTCAAGTGATTATCGTGCCTCAGCCTCCCGAGTATCTGGGATTACAGACGTGTGCCACCATGCCTGGCTAATTTTTGTATTTTTAGTAGAGATGAGGTTCCACCATGTTGGTGAGGCTGGTCTGGAACACCTGGCCTCATGTAATCCACCTGCCTCGGTCTCCCAAAGTTCTGGGATTACAGGCGTAAGCCATTGTGCCCGGCCAAAGCCAACAATTCTTATTGAGAACTTTCTACTTCTGCCATTAACTGTCATTTTATGCTTTATATGTTGGGATTTTTGTTAGGTACAAATATATTTACAACTATCATATTATCTTGATAGATTTACAATTTTTTCAATATAACATGTTGTCATTTGCCAGTTAATTACAACACTTTTGTCTTAACACCTTCTTTTTCTAAGTGTAGCCACCCCAGCTCTCTTTTGGTTACTATCTGTATGAAATCTTTTCATCTAACCTTTCATTGTAAAACTATTTGTGAGTTTAGAACTAAAGAGAGTCTCTTGTAGATAACATAAATTTCTCGAATCCGGGCGCAGTGGCTCATGACTGTTATCTTAGTACTTTGGGAGGCTGAGGTGGGCAGATTACCTGAGGTCAGGAGTTCAAGACCAGCCTGGCCAAGATGACGAAACCTCGTCTCTACTAAAAATACAAAAATTAGCCAGGTATGGTTGCAGGTGCCTGTAGTCCCAGCTTTACTCAGGAGGCTGAGGCAGGAGAATCGCTTGAACCCAGAAGGTGAAGGTTGCAGTGAGCCAAGATCATACCACTTCACTCCAGCCTGGGTGACAGAGCAAGACTCCATCTCAAAAAATATAAAATAATTTTAAAAAAACATAAATTTCTCTTCAATTTATTTTATAGTCCCTCTCTCTATTAATATTTTCTATTTGCAGCATATTTAGGATAGGTAATTTAGACTTTTTCTAGGCTTTCTAATGCCTAGGCTTCCTCTAAGACTTTTTCTGTTCATATCTGTTACTTATTCATAGGCCATGTTTTCTTATTTCTTTGCATGCCTTGTATCTTGTTGCTGAAAACTGGACATTGTTCTACTATAATATAAAAACCATAAAATCTTACGTACTCTTATCCTTTGGGTTTTTGTTCCTGCTTATTTTAACTTGTACTTTTGTGCTTAGTTTTCAAAATTATTATTAATATTATTATTATTATTATTATTATTTGAGATGGAGTCTTGCTCTGTCACTCAGGCTGGAGTGCAGTGGTACGATCTCGGCTCACTGCAACCTCTGCCTCTTGGGTTCAAGCAATTCCCTGCCTCAGGCTCCCGAATAGCTGGGATTACAGGCATCTGCCACCACAACTGGCTAATTTTTGTATTTTTAGTAGAGACGGGGTTTCATCATCTTGGCCAGGCTGGTCTTGAACTCCTGACCTCGTGATTCACCTGCCTCAGTCTCCCAAAGTGCTGGGATTACCGGCTAAAAGTTATTTTTTTTAAATACTGTTTTTTGTTGTGTTTGGCAATAAAAATCTGTTTCTTTAGCTTAATGCGAACTAGTGATTTGAAAGAGATTTACCTCAAATGCCTGCTCACCTCAAATGTACATTTCCTAATTCTTGCAGCTGGGTTTACACAGCTAGGAAGATTACAACTTTGCCACCTTCTTCTCTTCTTGCATGTTTAGAGATTGAGGGTAAAGCAGAGATGAGAGAGAACATCTTCTTAGGTCTTTCTGAGCATTTGCCTGGCCTTTGACTGACCCTGAACATGCTTATGAGCTTCTAGATTCTTAGAAATATGTGGACAATTTTCAAAGCCCTAATCCTACAAGCACTTCACTCCTCAGTTTTGTCTCATATATACTACGTGACTTTTGCTTGCCCAGATTGATATTCTTTTTCCCAGGTATAATGAGTAGTTAATTTGTCCTTAAATATTTTTGCCAAAAATTAGGTTATTGATTCTAAATTGTTGTTTATGTTTTATGTAGGTGTTTACTGCTATGAATTTCTCTGAACAGTTTGCTGCATCTCATATGTTTGATAGGTTGTGGCTTCATTTTCATTCATCTGAAAATATTTTCAAATTTTTTTTTTTCTTTGACACATTAGTTACTTAGAAGTATGTTTTATTTCCACATATATGTGAGTTTCTCAAACTTTCCGCATTTATTTATTTTTACTTTCTATGAAAGTCAGAGAACATACTTTGGGTTATGTTTATCCTTTTAATTTATTGATGTTTCCTTGCTGTATGGCCTACCATGCAATCTATCCTGAAGAATAACCTATGAGTACTTCTCTTTTTTTTTTTGAGATGGAGTCTCACTCTGTCACCAGGGCTGGAGTGCAGTGGCACAATCTCAGCTCATTGCAATCTCTGCCTCCTGGGTTCAAGCTATTCTCCTGCCTCAGCCTCCCGAGTAGCTGGGATTACAGGCGCCTGCCACCATGCCTGGCTAATTTTGTATTTTTAGTAGAGATGAGGTTTCATCATCTTGGCCAGGCTGGTCTTGAACTCCTGACATCAGGTGATCCACCCGCCTTGGCCTCCCAAAGTGCTGAGATTACAGGCATGAGCCACCGCACCCGGCCACCTATGTGTACTTCTAATCTTGAGAGGAGATTTCTGTAGAAGGCTATTTATATTTGTTAACAGTGTTGTTCATGTGTTATATTTTCTTGCTGATATTCTGTCTAGTTTTTCTATTATTTAAATTCAGGTAGAAAAGTTTCTGATCTGACAACCTCGGCCATTGGATTTAATTATTTAACCCATTCATAGCCAATGATATTATCAATATAGTTGGATTTACACTGGCCATTATGCTTTTTGCTTTTTTTCTTTTTGAGATGGAGTCTTGCTCTGTCGCCCAGGCTGGAGTGCAGTGGCGCTATCTCCGCTCACTGCAAGCTCCGCCTCCTAAGTTCATACCATTCTCCTCCCTCAGCCTCCCGTGTAGCTGGGACCACAGGTGCCCACCACCACACCCGGCTAATTTTTTGTATTTTTAGTAGAGATGGGGTTTCACCGTGGTCTCGATCTCCTGACCTCGTGATCCGCTTGCCTCGGCCTCCCAAAGTGCTGGGATTACAGGCATGAGCCACCGCACCCGGCCTCTTTTTCTTTTTTCTTTTCTTTTTTTTTTTTTTTTTTGAGACAAAGTCTCACTCTATCACCCAGGCTGGAGTGCAGTAGTGTGATCTCCACTCACTGCAACTTCCACCTCCTGGGTTCAAACACTTCTCCTGCCTCAGCCTCCAGAGTAGCTGGGATTACAGGCACCCACCAGCATGCTGGCTAATTTTTGTATTTTTAGTAGGGACGGGGTTTCACCATGTTGGCCAGGCTGGTCTCGAACTCCTGACCTCAGGTGATCCACCCACCTCAGCCTCCCAAAGTGCTGGGATTATAGGTGTAAGCCACCATGCCCAGCATATTTTTATTCTTCCTTTACTGCTTTCTTTTATATTAGATACTTCCCATATAATATTTAAATTTCTATAGTGATTGTTTATGTTTTTGCAGTTACTTTCTTTTTTTTTTTTTTTTTTTTTGAGACGGAGTCTTGCCCTGTCGCCCAGACTGGAGTGCAGTGGCTTGATCTTGGCTCACTGAAACCTCTGTCTCCCGGGTTCAAATGATTCTTCTGTCTCAGCCTCCTGAGTAGCTGAGAATACAGGCACCTGCCACCACGCCCAGCTAATTTTTTTTATTTTTAATAGAGAGGGGGTTTCACCATGTTGGCCAGGCTGGTCTTGAACTCCTGACCTCATGATCTGCCCACCTTGGCCTTCCAAAGTGGTGGGATTACAGGCATGAGCCACTGCACCCAGCTACTTTCTTATTTTCTCTAGGCCTTATAACATAGATCTTTTTATAATCTGCTTCATGTTTATATTAACTTAATTCCAATGAGATATAAAAATATTACCTCTATATGGTTCTTTTGCCTTGATTTAGACTGAATTTAGTTTTTATCAAAATGTATAGGGTAAGCCCTAACCTGCAATGTGATTCTTTTTTTTTTTTTTGTATTTTAGTAGAGATGGGGTTTCACCATGTTGGCCAGGATGGTCTTGATCTCCTGACCTCGTGATCTGCCTGCCTCAGCCTCCCAAAGTGCTGGGATTACAGGTGTGAGCCACCGTGCCTGGCAGAGAACAGCAATTTTAGAAAGTGATTAAGTTTAAGTAAGTTTATGTGAGTTGGATGGAAAAGCCATAGGCACTCAATGCCAGCTTGTGAAAGCAGCTGCAGGGGCTGTACTCTGCAGAGCCACAGGGGTGGAGCTGCCTAAGACCTTGGGAGCTCACCCCTTGCATCAAAGTGGCCTAGATGTGAGACGCCAAGTCAAAGGAGATTATTTTGGAACTTTAAGATTTAATGACTGCCCTGCTGGGTTTTGGAGTTTGATAGACCCAGAGCCCTTTTGCTTTGGCAAATTCTCCCTTTTGGAAGAGGAATATTTACCCAATGCCTGCACATGCATTGTATCTTGAAAGTAACTAACTTGTTTTTGATTTTACAGACTCATAGGTGGAAGAGGCTTGCCTTGTCTCAGACAAGACTTTAAACTGGACTTTTGAGTTAATACTGAAATTGGTTAAGAATTTGGGGGACTGATGTGAAGGGATGATTGTGTTTTGAAATCTGAGAAGGGCATGAGGTTTGGGAGGGCCCAGGGGCAGAATGATATCGTTTGACTCTGTATCCCCACCCAAATCTCGTGTCAAATTTTAATTGTATTAATATAGGTAGGGGTCCAGTTGTGTTCTGCATAAGATCAGCTTTAAACTTTATTTTTAAAACAAAAAAAGAGCCAATTTTTAATGATAAATTATTTTGCTTCTTATTTTTCAGTTTGGAGAACCTCTAGTATATTTATAATATTTTATAATTTATTGAATTTATGATATCTTAATACATGAGATAATTTAAATACTTTATAATATTTCAAGTGTCATTTTTTCTTATTTCGTTATGAAAATTGCTAATAGATACATTTTTTTCTGGTTATCACAAAACTATCTGAAAATGTGACATTTGCCATTTATCAAATCTTCATTGTTAATACTTTACCTGAATGGGGGCTTGTAATATGTATTATAATTTTTCATGTTGTCTTAAATTAATTCGGTTTTATTATTTTATTTTATTTAAAAAAGCTAAACTTATAAAATTGGTTGTATATTAGTTTAGGTGAAATTGCTTAGTGATGAGAGAAAAATAATTTGCAAAATATAGAGACTGGATAGTTTTTTTAATTTTTTTTTTTTTTTTTTTTTGAGACAGAGTTTCGCTCTGTCACCCCGGCTAGAGTGAAGTGGCTCCATCTCAGCTCACTGCAAGCTCCGCCTCCTGGGTTCACGCCATTCTCCTGCCTCAGCCTCCCGAGTAGCTGGGACTACAGGCGCCTGCCACGGCGCCCGGCTAATTTTTTGTATTTTTAGTAGAGGCTTGTTTTATAATTTATAATTTAGTGTTAGCCAGGATGGTCTCGATCTCCTGACCTCGTGATCTACCCGCCTCGGCCTCCCAAAGTGCTGGGATTACAGGCGTGAGCCACCGCCCCCGGCGGATAATTTTTTATAATAAAAATGTTCTTTATGTTTGCCCCTTACCATTTTTTTTTTTTTTTTTTTTTGAGATGAAGTTTTTGCTCTTGTTGCCCAGGCTGGAGTGCAGTGGCGCGATCTCGGCTCACCACAACCTCCACCTCCCAGGTTCAAGCGATTCTCTTGCCTCGGCCTCCTGAGTAGCTGGGATTACAGGAATGCGCCACCACGTGCGGCTAATTTTGTATTTTTAGTAGACGGGGTTTCTCCATGTTGGTCAGGCTAGTCTTGAACTCCTGACCTCAGGTGATCCACCCGCCTCAGCCTCCCAAAGTGTTGGGATTACAGGCGTGAGCCACTGTGCCCAGCTGCCTATACCATTTTCTTTGAAAGTTGAAGTTTTAACTCCCTAATTAGGAAACATATTCATAAATGTGACTTGTAAATACTGAAATTTGTGTTTGCTTTTTCTGCCTTCAGTAGAAATGGTGTTTTCTAGCATCTATGTCTTTTTAAAATAAAAGAGAGGATGGAAGCAGAATAGGTTGAAAATGCTATTAACAAAATGATGTTGACAGAGATGATCTATCTGGTCTACCAGGGCATAAAAATTTCAAAAATCATAATCAGTACAAAACCTCTATGTCCGTTAATATTACAGAATATTGCTTGTGTTAAAATCATTTATGTTGGCCGGGCGCAGTGGCTCACGCCTGTAATCCCAGCACTTTGGGAGGCCGAGGCAGGCAGATCACGAGGTCAAGAGATCGAGACCATCCTGGCCAACATTGTGAAACCCCGTCTCTACTAAAAATACAAAAAAAAATTAGCTGGGCGTGGTGGCGCGTGCCCATAGTTCCAGCTACTTTGGAGGCTGAAGCAGGAGAATCGCTTGAACCTGGGAGGCGGAGGTTGCAGTGAGCCGAGATCGAGCCACTGCACTCCAGCCTGGGTGACAGAGCGAGACTCCGTCTCAAAAAAAAAAAAAAAAAAAAAAAAATTATGTTAAAAACTCTGCCTCGCCGAGTGCGGTGGCTCACGCCTGTAATCCCAACATTTTGGGACGCCAAAGCAGGCGGATAACGAGGTCAGCAGTTAGAGACCAGCCTGGCCAACATGGTGAAACCCCGTCTCTACTAAAAAGACAAAAAAGTAGCCGGGCGTTGTGGCGGGCGCCTGTAGTCCCAGCTACTCCGGAGGCTCAGGCAGGAGAATGGCGTGAACCCGGGAGGCGGAGCTTGCAGTGAGCTGAGATTGTGCCACTGCACTCCAGCGTGGGTGAGAGAGCGAGACTCCGTCTCAAAACAAACAAACAAACAAACAAAAAACAAAACAAAAAAACTCTGCCTCTCATGCATTTAGTAGAGATAAAGTCAGAGGGCAGAACCCTCCGCTGATCCTTATCAGGACACCTGAAGTACAGATGATATATTTCTGTTTTCTCTCAAACTCCATATTGGATACAGTTATTCTGCTTCTAATCCATATTATTACAGTAATGCACAGACACGGGATCATAAAAGAACTTGCAAGCTTTTTAAAAAAGTGTTATATTTTACACATGTGTGTATGTATTTGTAGACAGCTCTGTCATCTTGGCCAGAGTGCAGCTCAATCAAACCTCAAAATTCTTAGCTCTCAGCCTCCTTGGTAAATGGGACTTCACGTACACACCACTACAGTGGCTAATTAATTTTTTTTTTTTTTTTTTTTTTTTGTAGAGATGGGGTCTTATTATGTTGCCCAGGCAGCTCTTTTTTTTTTTTTTTTTTTTTTTGAGACAGAGTCTCCCTCTGTCGCCAGGCTGGAGTGCAGTGGCGCGATCTCGGCTCACTGTAACCTCCGCCTCCCGGGTTCAAACGATTCTCCTGCCTCGGCCCCCCGAGTAGCTGGGAATACAGGCGTGCGGCATCACACCCAGGTAAGTTTTTGTATTTTTGGTAGAGACAGGGTTTCACCTTGTTAGCCAGGATGGTCTCGGACTCCTGACCTCTTGATCCACCCACCTCGGACTCCCAAAGTGCTGGGATTGCAGGCGTGAGCCACCGTGCCTGGGCGATTCTATTTTATTCGTTGATCTTTTGTGGTGCTTTTACAATTTTACATCTACATATTATAAATCCAGTAACAAAGAGTCATAATTGTTGCTTTTAATAGTGATAGGTTGCTTTAAAACTGAAGGGTACAATTTAGTCAGATACTTTGGTGCTATGCAAATACAATGCTTATTTTTTAAGTGTTATTTACAATTTTTACACTCCTCAGTTAACCTTGGATACAATAATAACTGGTGGTTTTGTGATGGTTTCTTTAGCATTTTATCTATGTTGATTAGTATTTGGAATTCTGTAAAAAAAAATTTCCCTATCCTTTTTTCTTTTTTATTTATTTAAAGTTTTTTGTGTATCAGTGTAAATGCATGGGTATTTATTTATTTGACTTGATTTATTTTATAGGTCAGTGCTCTAATTATTCATTTGGATGCTAACATTGTTCCAGGATGGACCATTGGGAGTTCTTTCAGGCTGGCTCCCTTTGACATGTTCCCATCATTTTTTAAAATTAAAAAAAAAGAAAGAAAAAACATTTTGAGGCTGGGTGCGGTGGCTCACGCCTGTAATCCCAACACTTTGGGAGGCCAAAGCGGGCAGATCACCTGAGGTCAGGAGTTCAGGACCAGCCTGGCCAACATGGTGAAACCCCGTGTCTACTAAAAATACAAAAAATTAGCCGAGCATGGTGGCGCGCGCCTGTGATCTCATCCAGCAGTGCTTTACTTGTAATTATTTTATTCCTGCTGCCGTCTCCTCTTTCTTTGGCCACTATCTGTTCCACCCCCGGAACGGAAGAGAGATGTTGGTAGGGAGAGGCTCTTCCTTCACCTCTGGCAGAAAAGGTTTGCTTGGGCCCTTCACACCGCTGACATCAGAGCTGCACTTCAATGTGGCAGTTATTGGCCATGTGTGGCGCCTGGTCTGAAGTGCGATGCTAGAAAGGTAAAATACAGAGTTAGTTTCAAAGATTTAGTTCCAAATATTTATATACTTTATTAATAATTACATATTTCTCACACATTAAAATGAAAATTTTTTTGATATATTGGGTTAATTAAATTGTTACAATCAATTCAACCTGTTCTTGTTTCTTTTTCAAGTTTGGCTACTAGAAAACTTAAAATTCACATATGGCTCACATTTTATTTCAGAGGATTACCTCCTTTCTAAAATCTCAGCCTGCCTGCTCAAAGACCAGAAAGAAGCCAGGAAGGTCATAAAATCTGAAATTTTAAAATAATTGTTATTATAAAATTATATTTTTTCCTTTGTGAAGAGCCATATATTATTTATAAATGCATATGACTTTACACACAAGTTTAAAGGCAAATTCCCTCTGGGGTGGGCCTGGCTCAGCTCTGGGAGGAAGCCCTGCCTGAGAAGGCTGCAGCCTAGGCTGTCACCCTTTCTTCACTCAGCCCAGCAACTGATCACATCTTCTGTCACTCAGGGCACGAGAAGGTGGGGTTTTAAAAGTTATCCAATCAGCGACGCTGGGTTGGGAACCGTCCAATCAGGCCTGCAGCTGGAGCGGACAGGACGGCTTCGGGGATGTGGCGGGGCCTTTGTCTCTCGCTGCAGCTGGAGCTGCAGGTCTCGCCTTCACTGCCCTGTGTCCTCTGCTCGCAGAGGCCCAGCCTCTGTGGCCCTGTGACCTGCAGGTATTGAGAGATCCACAGCTAAGACGCCAGGTACCCCGGAAGCCTAGAAATGGTGAGAGTGCCGGGTCCGACATCCCGAGAGAGGGGAAGGGGCGGGTTGTAAGCGGTGGGAAGTGGCTGTGGTGGGACTTAGGCCTCCCCGCAGTCAACTCTACAATCTGCGCCCGGAGTTCTCCTTGCTCAGCTCGGCCTCAGTCCCCTTCAGCCATAAGATGGCGGCTGCGCTGACTGCGGGATCCCGGGCGTCCTGTCTTTTCCCTGCGCAGTGACTGGGCCCTGACCTGGAGTCCTCTCAGGGCAGCTCTGGACCCTCAGCGGCGCGTCTCTCCCGGATTGTGCAGGGACCACTGGAGGGTCCCAGGGGTAGAATCCTGACTCGGGGTGCGGGTTTATGAATGGGTCCGTGGGGTTCCAGTTCCTCTTCTGTTGAAAATGTATGGGAGTCACCGTTAAAACACTAAAGCATTTAATCAAAGCGTGATTCAAAAATTGTGGAGCACCCAGCTGTGGTTTGTAATTTATGGTTTATGGGCGGGGCTTGAAGTAAAGACTTTTATAAACAGCATGATGAAGAAAACCAAATTCAGTAATTGGTTAGGTTCAGATACATAGTTTCTTAATTTGTAAAATAAAGGTGAAAATTTCCTGGTTATGTAATTAGATGTTAATTGGCAGTTTATAGTTGGTTAAGGATGAATTTTGTTTCTCTCAATGTAGTAATTTACTAAAAATGCACCTCAGTTAGATTTTTTTTTTTTAAGATGGAGTTTCGCTCTTGTTGCCCAGGCTGGAGTGCAATGGGGCGATCTTGTCTCACCGTAACCTCTGCCTCCCGGGTTCAAGCGATCCAATGCTTCAGCCTCCCAGGTAGCTGGGATTACAGGCATGCGCCACCACGCCCGTCTAATTTTGTGGTTTTAGTAGAGACGGGTTTCTGCATGTTGGTCAGGCTGGTCTCGAACTCCCGACCTCAGGTGATCTGCCCTCCACGGCCTCCCCAAAGTGCTGGGATTACAGGCGTGAGCCACCGCGCCCAGCCAGATTTTTTTAAAAGTAGGAATCCAGGGACTAGAGACACCTCAGTCTAATTTCCCGCCGCTTAATTATTTTCACACTCCATGGGGAACTGATTTTCTGGTGCATTTTTCAACTGTGTCCCAAGCACTGTCTTAAATCTAACCTCCCGTCCCCCATATCTCCAGCCTCACTCTGGCTTGCAGTAAGATATTAAATTTCCAGTTCCTCCTGGCATTCCCTAATGCCAGCTTTTCCTCCCTAATTCACGTTATCACCTGTTTGTCTTTTAGTGTACTTTTGTATACCATATTTTAATTAATTATTTTTTGACAAAGCTTTAAATGACGCTTTTTAAAAGGTTTGTTACCTGTTTGTAACTTTCCCATGAGAAGAAAGCAAAGAATAATCCCCTGACACTGTATTGTAAAATTTCTCTGTGCCTCTTCTCCTTGTATCTTCTCTAGGTACAAAGATCTTGTCAGAATGTTTTTGGGTCAAGGTATTCCTTTGAAACCTTTATGAGGTGATGTGTCCTCAGCCACCCTTTAGTTTTTTTCTGGTCGTGGGTTTCAGTACTGTCTGGGGATCAACCAAGATATCCACCATGGTTATGTCAGCTAAAGTGCCTAGTGAATATCAGCTTCTGGTTTATTTTCTTCCATAGGGCGACCTGAGGTCTGGAGTGTATCCTCTCAAGGGAGCAAGTGGATCCCTGGGGCAGAGAGGAAGCTTCTAGTGTACTCTTACTTTGAAAAGGTAATCAGATGCTGGTACTGAGGGGAAAACACAGAAATAACATCTGCCTCCTGGATTGTCTAAGGGGTAGAAATATAATGAAATAAATGTAGTGAAAGAAAAAATAGTGTTAAAAAGAAAAAAAAATTGTGACAGAAAAAATAGTATCCCAAAAGACCAAAAAAGAAAAAAAAAATCAAGCAAACAAACAAAAAACACAAAAAACCTGACTCCAGCAGTCAGGATTTTTTCCAGCAGTTCCATTAGCACTTAAGTTTTCCCTTTTGGAGAAGAAAAAGATCCCCATGTCCTATGGTCTTGTAGATGCCTAATTCTGTCACCCATAGCCATCAGCAAGGTTAACTGAGATGGTGTAAGAGCTTGCAAAGTAAAATGCCTCTGGAGCAGCCACCGAGAAATACTGCAGTGTCTCCTGAATGGGTGCTTCTTGAGCACATAAGTGAGTAGGAGTGGGTGGAAGAATCTCTCAAGTGACTGAATAGCCTGACTTGAAACATGAGTCACACACATCTGTTATTTAACCATCATTGCCACTTCTGGATTTGTCACCTTGAAGAGATTTGTTCACTTATTTTGACCTCAGTTTTTTAGCTGTAAATTGCATTATATTAGTAGGGCTTGAAAGGTAGGAAATTTTTTTTTTTTTTTTTTTTGAGACAGTTTCACTCTTGTTGCCCAGGCTGGAGTGCAGTGGTATGATCTCGGCTCACTGCAACCTCCACCTCCTGGGTTCAAGTGATTTTCCTGCCTCAGCTGGCCAGGCTGGTCTCAAACTCCTGACCTCAGATGATCTGCCCTCCTTGGCCTCCCAAAGTGCTGGGATAACAGGTGTGAGCCACCACGCCCGGCCAGCAGGAAAATATTTACAAAGGGCATAAAAGAGATGGGTTTTAGAAAAAGAAATTAATGCTTAATTATATATTCCATTTGTTAAAAATTCTCATTTACCTTTTTCTTTCCCAGAGTGAGTTTAAAAGGTTTCTCAGGTGTGTTTGTTTTTTATGGCTAGGTGAATTCAAACAGAATTTCAAGGCTCAGCTTTTAGAATGCTAGCTACCGAGGAAAAGAATAGGGAAAATCTCTATTCTATTTTGGCTGTAGAAAATGAATACATGTCCATAAGAAAATGTGGTAGATAATTGGTGAGTAAACATAGATTCATGAAAACATCAGTTGCTCTATCTGCAGGATAGGATTTTTGACAGTGAATATCTGTGTTCACATCCTGTTATCTTGATTTCTGAGTTTCATGCTACATTTTATGAGATGAAACTTGGTACCACCTAGAAGTGTTCCCATATGACTAATTGTTTACTACATGATTTTTAATGAAAACAATACAATAATAGATATATTTTCATAAAGGAGTAGATACTTTTGCTTTTTTTATTGAGGTATAAAATGTAAGTACCTTAAAATTTCCTTCCCTTATATGAACACTGTGTTTGAGTAATTTTGCTGGATTTTTCAAACACGTAGTTTCAAAAACCAAGTGAGTAACTCTAACATGGAAACTAAAGCTTGAGCCCAGTGTCTCAGAGCTAAGGCTAATATTGAGCCTACAAAAGGAGGTTATTAAAGGACCAGCTAGTTTATTTATGGGGGATGCTCCCCTGCAGATGTCCAGTCTGCTCACCCCAGCCATGGAAGAAGCCTTTCTGCTGACAGAGCCCTGGAAAGCTGAGGACCCACAGGCAAATGCAGTTAAGGTTAAGATGAAAGGGGACTGAGAGGGTCTTACTGATGATAAAGTTGTTATTGTTTTGAGGCAGTTTCTAGGCTTTGGAATATCAAACAAAGTTAGGTTTATGTAAAAAAAAAAAAAAGAATTCCAAAGGAGTATTGCAACAGGAAAAAGTACCAACTATAAAAATTTTAAGGATTGCATAGTTTAGGCCAACAAGGGCTTTCTTTCCTAGGGAGCAGCAAACAAGATTAGAAAGAAGGCAGGAGAGCAATGGCAAATGAAGGGTGAAAAGTCAGATTTTAAATCAGAGAATGTTTTACCATGAAATCAGCATGTTCTTAGAAGAGACATAAAATGAGATTTTATGTTGACTCAGACTGAGAATAGTTTAAAGTTCTGGGGCCTGTGAAAAATTTTATTTAGACCACTGAAGACAAATTCAGCTGAATCTTTTAATGGGAAAAAGAAGAAAATGTGCAGAGTTCTTACTAGAACAAGGTCCCAATTCAAGCCCCACAAGAGGGTTCTTGATTTCGCTCAAGAAAATATTCAGGGTGAGTCCACACAGTAAAGTAAAAGGAAGTTTATTAAGAAAGTAAAGGAATAAAATAATGGCTTACTCCATAGGCAGGGCAGCACCGAGGGCTGCTGGTTGCACATTTTTATGCTTATTTCTTGATTATATGCTAAACAAGGGGTGGATTATTTATGCCCCCCAATTTTAGACCATATACAGTAACTTCTGATGTTTCCATGGCATTTGTAAACTGTTACGACACTGGTAAGAGTGTAGCAGTGAGGGTGACCAGAGGTCACTCTCGTCACATCTTGGTTTTGGTGGGTTTTATTTGACTTCTTTACTGCAACCTGTTTTATCCGCAAGGTCTTTAAAACTTGTATCTTTTGCTGACCTTCTATCCTGTCCTGTTACTTAGAATGCCTAACCATCCAGGAATGCAGCCCAGTCAGTCTCAGCCCTATTTTATCCAGCCCCTATTCAAAATAGATTTTCTCTGGTTCCATATGCCTCTGACATCTCCCCCTTCTTTTTAACATGGGCACACTTAATCCTAAGAGTTGTAGAGGGATGAAGATTCATTTTCTGTAACTACTTCATGCTGAACAGGGGTGATGATATTTTTGCCTAACTAGTCAGAGTCTTCTTGACCCTGAAAAACAAAACAAAGGATCAGTGACATTTTATGCAAAGTCAAAAAATATAACTTCAGTCTTCTATTAGTTCAGTCCATTCAGTTAATTCCTATTCTGTTTGATAGTCATGAACATTTCAGTTCTCCATGAATACTGAAAGTTTTTTCTGTATTCTAATGTCACAATTTCTAAAGTTACAACAAACTTGCATTTGAGAACATCTGTCAAAGTCTTAAGTTAACTATAAATCATCTTTTGAAGAGGATCAACACAACTTGATTGTCTGCATGGGAAAGTCTTAGGGCAGTCTCAGCAAAAAAAAAAAAAAAAAAAAAAAACATGATCGACAAGGAAATTTGGTTAGCTCTGTGGCATAAAATAATTTTATGTAACAATTGTGATTATTAATGATATACACTTAGTCATTAGAATTACAGGAGTTTCCCATAATTTTGGAACACATACCAATAACATATTTACAAAAACAGTCCAAAAATAGTCAAACATGATTTCACATTTGACATGTTTTCTATGTGATTTTTTATACTAAATGAGCCAAATTTTACTATTATATTTGTGTATTATTAATGTCAAACCCAATTCTTAATCTTTATAGACAAACCTATCCAATTTTAGTATTTGACCGTAAGGTAATATTCTTATAAACCTTTTATAACTCTTTACAAAGTCCTTGTTGTTTAAGAGTAGATCAGTGCTTTAAGAGAAACCTGTTGTTTTTATCTCAATGTTCAATTTATAGAAAAACTGAATAATACCCATTTAACTTTATATGTTCACACACAGAAACTCTTTTGCAATTAAATTTTAGCAAATCTTTCACAATTTGTTTAAACCTTCAGTTTTATTCTAATTTAAAACAATCCTTTAACCTTTTAATCCAGGCAAAAAAGTCCACATTTCCATGTCTTCTTATAATCTTTTATCAAAAACACATTTCACTTTCTCTGCATACCTTGCATGTAAAACTGTTTTTTAGTAGTCAAAGTTACATGTTACAATGTTAACTCTTAGCAACTTTTACTTTTGATGAAACCCTTGGTAAGTAAAGGATTTTAATTACGTACTAGGCGTGGAGTCCAGGACACAGACACAAGTTTATATAAGGTCTGACTCCAGTGTATTAATAGTTAGGGGGTGTGGCTAACTTGATGTGTCCCAGGCCTTACCTAGCCGTAAAGCAGGCAAGTTGTACAGTGAACAGTGATAGTGGCATTTTGAGAAGTCTTTAAGAGGCCTAGTAACCTTTAAATTGTACAACATTTCTTGCATAAATTTCTTTTAGTGAATTATTTCATGACTTATACAGACCATCTATAATATGTTTGGACTCTCTGATTTGTCCTAAACATCCATCTTTTTAAATAACCAGTCATTTTATTTTAGGATAATAATTTACTATACAACATCTTTTCTTATATAAAATCTCTTTTCTTTATAACCTTTGTATATTTAGGGGGCATGGCTAATTCCATATGTCCCAAGGCCTTATTTGGAATCTACTGGCTTCAAGATAGGTAAATTGAACAATTTTTAAAAGTCAAAGAACCAATTTATGACCTTAAAGTATTTGGCAAATCTAATATCTGACCTATATAATTTAGATCAAATGGTTTATATTTTGAAGACATTTTTATTTTCCCAATGATCTTTAAAACTGTTTTTATTTCAAAAAGATTACTTGTCACATGAACTAAAAGGCATTGCACTTTTTACTTTTCTGACAAAATATTTGATTTAAGCTCTTATTATTTTTAAACCAATTAATCAGGGTTCTTTTATATCACACACACAGACAGAAGATTCAGTAGTTGTAAGGTTTTTCTTTGTCAGTTTCTTAATTGGATTACTAGCCCACGACCAGGAAAGCATGTAGTTTCTATGGCTTAATAAGTAAACAGCTGGACAACAAAATGGATTCCCCCTAAATTAAGGCTCCCATTTTTACATCAGATCTTGTATCTAAAAAGGAGAGAATCAGTTCATCCCAAGGGAAGTCTTATTTCTCAGTGGGACATGGGGACACCTCCATACTTCCTAAGTGGTCCAGAGTATGTTTCTCTGATCCAAATGTGAAGAGCTGAGTTTTTCCCCATAATTGCCCTTAGCCATTCCAAAAGTATATTTCTCACCCAGTTATTACATGCCAAAGTTCTTTTATAATGTGAAGTAATTCCTGATACCCCCAAAAGTAAAAAACATCAGATAATGCAATGCAAAACAGAAGAGAAACTTAGATTTTGAGAGGGATCTATTCACTTCCAATTCCTGGGGTTTCATAAGGAAAAAGAGGTGTTTCCCAAAACAGGGTCTATAGTGTCTCTTCTGTTTTTCCCAAGGAGTCCCAGGCTGCTAGAGCTTGAATATCTGCTTTTAATTAAGCTGACTTTTAACCATAGTGCTCTTTTAAAAAGTCCTTTTAAATTTCTTATTACCAGACTTTAGTCAGGTCAAACGGCCAATATCTCTGGTTTTTGAATTTTACCAAAAGTAACTTCACAGGTGTTCTGAAAAAGGAAAATTCAAGGTGGTTTCTGGAGGGGAAGAGAATCAACAAATGGTAAAGCTCACCCAAATACCAAACAAGAAAGTACTCATTCCCTAAGCTGAGAATGGAACCCTGAACCTGGGCCACCATTAATGATGGTGGAGACAAGAGAAAGTACTATCATGTGGTCACAAGGTCAAGCGTCCAAGGACATGACTGAGCACTTTGCTGGGCCATCCTGAACAGCAGCCTTAAAGGGTCCTAGGCCTGCATTCTATCCTAAGGAACCCCTCTTAATGACAGAACCATACAGAAAGACAAATTTATAGCACAGAGTACAACAGATTTGTTACAGCTTAAGACTAACCTCACAAATGCATCTCCAAATTAATTAGAACTTTACATAGGAGATAAACAGTAATTTTTTTTACCATTCATTCCATCAGTTTACATAGAGAGGCTAGAATTCTGGTAAGAAATTTGTACCCTTTTGCCAGCATGCCAGGCTTCTGGGCTTCCTTTCCCTGGGTTGCCCTAGTGACGTGGCTGGCTGCACCACAGCCCTGGGGGCCAAGCCACAATACAAAGGAAAATTATCTTTTTCTATTCTGGCCATAGCAAAATATGTGTGACAACACAGACATTAGCTACTCTCCTTAGCAACCAATATCAAATGCAACTCTTAAACTTGGCCCCAGTTGGGCCCTGTCATCATTAATTCAACCTCTGATCAGGAGTTTCAACTTGAGGCCTCTGGGCAAGATGGTTACTCTGGGAATAGAAAAGATAAGAAAGGGAAAAGAGAGAAAAAGCATTGCCTGTGGCAGGTTGGGGAAGGCAAAGAGCTCAGGGGGCCAGAGAAAGACCTACCCATTGCAGTGATAATAAAAAGTTGAGGTGGCTGCTTCTTGGTAGGAAAGATTTTTTCCAGCAGTCCCATTAGCACTTAAGTTTTCCTTTTTGGAGAAGAAAAATATCCCTATGTCCCATGGTCCTGTAGATGCCTAATTCTGTCACCCATAGCCATCAGCAAAGAGTGCAAGACAGATTAATCCAAAGAGAATAGCAATGAATATCCCGTAGTGTCAAACCAGTTCTTGCTGAGATGGATTTTACTGAGAGGTTTACCCAGGTATATGCACCCCACTCACCCAAAGTCAGCCAGTTGGTGCACACAGATGATTTTCCTTTGGGTCAGAGTACAGTCCCTTTGTGGTTGCCAGAAAGATGTTACTGGAAAGAAGTTCTGTTCCAGACCCCAAGAGAGGGTTCTTGGATCTCGCTCAAGAAAGACTTCAGGGCAAGTCCATAAAGTGAAAGCAAGTTAATTAAGAAAGTAAAGCAATAAAAGAGTGACTACTCCATAGGCAGAGCAGTCCTGAGGGCTGATGGTTGCACATTTTTATGGTTATTTCTTGATTATATGCTAAACAAGGGGTGGAATATTTATGCCTCTCCTTTTTTTTTTTTTTTTTTTTTTTTTTTTTTTGAGACAGGGTCGCGCTGTTTTGCCAGGCTGGAGTGCAGTGGCATGATCTCAGCTCACTGCAACCTCCGCCTCCCGGGTTCAAGCAATTCTCCTGCCTCAGCCACCGAAGTAGCTGGGACTACATGCACATGCCACCATGCCCAGCTAATTTTTGTGTTTTTAGTAGGACGGGGTTTCACCATGTTGGCCAGGATGGTCTCAATCTGTTGACCTCGTGATCCACCCACCTCAGCCTCCCGAAGTGCTGAGATTACAGGCATGAGCCACCACATCTGGCCTATGCCTCTCCTTCTTAAACTGCTATAAGATAACTTCCAGATGTTGCCATGGCATTTATAAACTATCATAGCACTGGTGGGAGTATAGCAGAGAGGATGACCATAGGTCACTCTCATCACCATGTTAATTTTGGTGGGTTTTATCCAGCTTCTAATACTGCAAACTGTGTTATCAGCCAGGTCTTTGTGACCTGTATCTTATGCTGACCTTCTATCTCACCTTGTGAGTTAGAATGCCTAACCATCTTGGAATGCAGCCCAGTGGGTCTCAGCCTTATTTTTACTCAGGCTCTATTCCAAATGGAGTTGCTCTGGTTCAATACGCCTCTGACAGAATCTGTGTCTGGCTATGTGATAAATAAGAAAAGAGAGCACCATCTAAGTCATAATGGGAAGGGTGTTTCTTTCCATAAACTATTTCTAGAGAACACAAAGGATGAAGGATTTTATTAATCACAGCTATTTACCCAGATTATGTTTGTGATTCATCATTCCCCACCTCTTTTCTTTGTCATGTACATTTCTTCCATTTGACTTTTCCTGGGTTGTACTTTTTATAATAAACTAGTAAACATAACTACAGTGTTTTGCTGAGTTCTGTGAGTAGCTTGATCTAATTATTGAACTTGAGGAAGTTTGTAGGAGTCCCCAGTTTTTAAACAGTAGCTCAGAAGCATAGATAGGCCTATGCGGTTTGTGACTGGCATCTACAATGAGGGCAATGTTGTGAGACTAAGCCCTGAATCAGGGTCTGTGCTGACTCTGGGTGGTGTCAGAATTCAAATGTTAGACATTGAGTTGCTGTTGGAGAATTGCTTGGTATTAAGCTAACTCTACAGATTTGGTGCCAGAAGAAAGATATCACAGAGGCCTGTCCTGGAATAAAACTCTTGGTATCTGGAAATGGGAGGCTCTGCTCTCCTGTACACAGGCTTTCACACTGCCCATTGTCCTGGGATCCCAGGCCTCCTCCCAGGGTGAGAGAGGATGAAAACTTAGAGGAAAGGAGCTCTGATGACAGACCCCCTTTTCCCACAGCTGCCACCACAGGATTCCCACCCACTCCCAAACATGCCCACTAGACATTGACATGTGCACACCACTCCCAGGACTAGGCACCACCCTCAGGAATTTCACCACAGCATTGTTGATTTTAGTGTTTCTTGACAAAAAGCCACAAAAGTGTCAAGTCTCCTGGCATATCCCAACCCCCAGACAGTGAATCTGCAGCAGCAAACTATTTTCCCCAGCAACCTAGAGTTCTGGGCCTCCTGTTCCTAATCTCATTTAACTGCATGGGCACAGAAATAAATCAGAGTCCAGCCCCACCTGGGCCACTATCTGTAAAACAAAAACTCCGTCCACTTACATTGCATTCTTCCCCACGCATGGATTTTTTTTTTCTTTCAACTTTTCTTTTTGGTTCAGGGATCCATGTGCAGCTTTGTTATATACGTAAAATTGTGTCATGGGGTTTTGGTGTAGATTATTTTGTCACTGAGGTACTAAGCATAACACCAAACAGGTACATTTTCTGTTTCTTTTGTTCTTTCATTGTCTATTCTCAACTAGGCCTCAGTGTCTGTCGTTCTCCTCTTTGTGTCCATGTGTTCTTATTATTTAGCTCTTATCAATGAGAACATGCATTTGGTTTTCTGTTTCTGTTTTAGGTTCCTAAGGATAATGGTCTCCAGTGTCGTCTATGTTGCTGCAAATAACTTAAACTTTTTTTTTTTTTTTTTTTTTGAGACAGAGTCTCGCTCTGTCAGCCAGGCTGGAGTGCAGTGGTGCGATCTCGGCTCACTGCAAGCTCCGCCTCCCGGGTTCATGCCATTCTCCTGCCTCAGCCTCCCGAGTAGCTGGGACTACAGGTGTCTGCCACCACGCCTAGCTAATTTTTTGTATTTTTAGTAGAGAATTTTTAGTGTTAGCCAGGATGATCTCAATCTCCTGACCTTGTGATCCACCTGCCTCGGCCTCCCAAAGTGCTGGGATTACAGGCGTGAGCCACCATACCTGGCCTTGCAAATAACTTAATCTTGTTTTTGTTTAATTTATTTATTTTTTGAGATGGAGTTTTCACTCTTGTTGCCCAGGCTGGAGTGTGATGGCGCCACCTCAGCTCACCACAACCTCCGCCTCCTGGGTTCAAGCAATTTTCTTGCCTCAGCCTCCCGAGTAGCTGGGATTACAGGCATGCGCCACCACTCATGGCTAATTTTATATTTTTAGTAGAGATGGGGTTTCACCATGTTGCCCAGGCTGGTCTCAAACTCCTGACCGCAGGTGATCCGCCCGCCTCAGCCTCCCAAAATGCTGGGATTACAGGCTGAGCCACCACGCCCAGCTTGTTTTTTTTTGTTTTTGTTTTTTTGTTTTTTTATTGGCCACATAATCTTCCATCATGTTTACATACCATACTTTGTTTTTATTAAATCTTCTATTTTATTTAATTAATTAATTTTATTTGGAGACAGTGTTTCACTCTGTTGCAAAGGCTGAAGTGCAGTGGTGCAATCTTGGCTCACTTCAGCCTCAACCTTCCAGGCTCAAGGCACCCTCTTCAGCCCCCTAAGTAACTGGGACTACAAGCATGCACCACCATACCCAGTTAACTTCTTTTTCTATCGTTTGTAGAGATGGGGTTTTGTCATGTTGCCCAGGCTGGTCTTGAACTGTTGAGCTAAGGTAATCCACCTGCCTCGGCCTCCCAAAGTGCCGGGATTACAAGTGTGAACCACCTCACCTGACCATACCTTATTATTTTAATCTAGTCTACATTAATAGGCAATTAGATTTGTTCCATGTTTTTGTTTTTTGTTTGTTTGAGACGGAGTCTCACTCTGTTGCCCAGACCAGAGTGCAGTGGCACCATCTCAGCTCACTGCAACCTCTGTCTCCTGGGTTCAAACGATTCTCCTGCCTCAGTTTCCTATGTAGCTGGGACTACAGGCACATGTAACCACACCTGGCTAAATTTTGTATTTTTAGTAGAGATGGTGTTTTGCCATATTGGCTAGGCTAGCCTCGAACTCCTGACCTCAGGTGATCCACCAGCCTCAGCCTCCCAAAGTGCTGGGATTACTGGCATGAGCCACTGAGCCCAGCCCATGTCTTTGTTATTGCAAACAGTGTTGTAATAAACATGCATATGCATGTGTCTTTATGGTAGAATAGTTTATATTTCTTTGGATATATACTCAATTTGGAGGTTGCTGGGTCAAACAGTAATTCTGTTTTCAGTTCTGTGAGGAATCACCACACTGCTTTTCACAATGGTTGAACTAATTTACCCTCCCACCAGCAGTGTATAAACATTCCATTTTCTCTGCAACCTTACCAGCATGTTACTGACTTTGGTTTTTGAGACAGTCTCACTCTGTCACCCAGGCTGGAGTACAGTGGTGTGATCTCAGCTCATTGCAACCTCCACCTCCTTGATTCAATAGATTCTCATGCCTTAGTTTCTGGAGTAGCTGGAACTACAGATGTGTGCCACCAAGCCTGACTAATTTTTGTATTTTTAGTAAAGATAGGATTTCTCCATATTGGCCAGGCTGCTCTCAAACTCATGACCTCAAGTGATCTGCCTGCCTTGACCTCCCAAAGTGCTGGGGTTACCGCACCCAGCCTGTTACTTTCTAACAACAGCCATTCTGAATGGTGTGAGATGGTGTCTCATTGTGGTTTTTGTTAGTTTGTTTTTGGCATTTCTGTAGTGATTAGTGGTGAGCATTTTTTGCACATGCTTGTTAGCCACATGTTTGTCTTCTTTTGAAAAGCATCTGTTCATGTTTTTTTGCCTACTTTTTAATGAAGTTTTTTTTTCTGTAAACCTGCCTAACTTCTTTATGAATTCTGGGTATTAAACCTTTGTCAGGAACATAGTTTGCAAATATTTTTGTTTATTTGGTATGTTGTCTGTTTACTCCATTGATAGTTTCCTTTGCTATGAAGAAGCTCTTTAATTAGGTCCCTGTTGGGAAAAAGCTGGGTGTTGGGAGGGAAACTGAGGCAGGCCTTGCATAATGTCCTCTGGAATGTGTCTAGACCTGCTGGCTCCTTGCTTCTAGCTTTCCTAGGTTCCTATTCCCATTATCTCAAGTAGCAGAACATGTTCCTTATAATGCTAAACCATCACAGCTGTAGATCATGCGCCTGCTCTTTTGACCTCCACGTTCTCACCACCTGTTTCTTTGTTGGATTATCAGTAAATACCGTGGGCTCCCAGAGCTCAGGGCCTTCACAGCCTCCATAATGGTGATGGCCCCCTGGTGTTCCATCTTTTATTTTTTTTTTGAGACAGAGTCTCGCTCTGTCACCCAGGCTGGAGTGCAGTGGTGTGATCTCAGCTCACTGCAAGCTCCGTGTCCCGGGTTCACGCCATTCTCCTGCCTCAGCCTCCCGAGTAGCTGGGACTACAGGCGCCCGCCACGACACCCAGCTAATTTTTTTTTTGTATTTTTAGTAGAGATGGGGCTTCACTGTGGTCTCGATCTCCTGACCTCATGATCCGCCCGCCTCAGCCTCCCAAAGTGCTGGGATTACAGGCGTGAGCCACCGCGCCTAGCCTGGTGTCCCACCTTTATATCTCAAACTGTCTTTTTTCTCAATCCTTTGACTCCACCGGACTTTGTCACCCCCACGACCTGATGTTGGGTCTGATCACCCCAAGAGGTCCCATTTGTCAATTTTTGCTTTTGTTGCAGTTGCTTTTGGTATCTTCATCATGATACATGTAGATACGTGTGGTAAGACAGTGAAACTCCAGGGCCTCATATGACTCTATGGTGAGGCCAGAATCAAGTATGAAGGCTTCAAGATACATTCCTGAGAGTTAAGTGCCACATTTGCACTAAAGGGTGGCTTCAGGACCTGTTCTGTTTGGGTTTGGTAGGGACAGGGCAGTGGCCCATATTTTCATATTTTCATTACTGTAGTAGAAATTGTTGGTGTCTGTGGCAGGGGAGGGCACCTGTGGACGGTAAAAGAGGAACATATATTTTTATTTCCGTGGAGCAACTCATTGTTCCTGAATCTCTTCTGTTATAAAGGAGAAAGATGAGTGGACTTTTTGGTCTTGGTCCTTCTGTCTGTGAGTGTGAGGCTAGTAGGTAAGCAGGTGGTGCTGATGCCTTTAAGGGACTTGTCTCAAGATGCAGGTGTTACTTGTCCAGAGAATTTTATCTGAAAAGGATTTCTAGAGGAGGAGAAAGAGGAAAAATGCTTCTTTTCAGCTAAACATATCTCAGATCAAGAGCTGTGTCCACTCTGCCTCCTGGAGTGCCATGAGTTTAGTACTTGCAAACCTTTACTTCTCTACTTCTGTTTTCCCTCCCCAATGATTTTGTTTCACATACTTTTAAAAATTCTTGTGATAGTCAAGGATCTCTAAAAAATATTTCTATCCTATGTACGAGAGCCTTCTCTACATCATGGCTTCTTATATGCAATGCAGAATTCCTACCATGAATTTATGATCTGCCATATTAAAAGTGTTCCTTTTGTGGCTGCTGAACATGGGAAGATGTGGATACTCAAGATTCCTATTGGGGGAAAGCTGGGGTCCTTAGTAAAGATGGAGAACATATAATGTTGAGGTGTCGCTTGTGTTCTCCATTAGCTCTATGCAGAACAGGATTAAGAATATGCTTATTTAAACAGGATGGCATTTATTTATTTATTTATTTATTTTTATTGTTTGAGACAGAGTCTCGCTCTGTTGCCCAGGCTAGAGTGCAGTGGCGCAATCTCAGCTCACTGCAAGCTCCGCCTCCTGGGTTCATGCTTTTCTCCTGCTTCAACCTCCCAAGTAGCTGGGACTACAGGCGCCCACCACCACACCCGGCTAATTTTTTGTATTTTTAATAGAGACGGGGTTTCACTGTGTTAGCCAGGATGGTCTTGATCTCCTGACATCATGATCCGCCTGCCTCAGCCTCCCAAAGTGCTGGGATTACAGGTGTGAGCCACCACGCCCGGCCTGTTCAGGATAGCATTTATTACCCAGGAAGTTCTGGAGAAAATTATTCAGAGATACCTGCTTTCTAGGATGCTAAAGAAAGGACTACTTAAAATCATTACTAAAAATTATAGAACATGGGAGATATCTTGACCTTCGCATGAAACTGATTTTTTCTTTATGGTTAAATTCAGTCTATAATTGACTTTTTGAGGGGCAATATCTCAGCAGTGATGTTGTGTTCTTCTTTGTGCATCAGCACATCATAAAAATTTATTCTAGTGTTGTTGATGTTAATAATTTGCTTGGTTAAAGAGCTCTCTGACTTTTTTTCACTATAGAGTTAATTGTTTTTCTCTTTATTGTTAAGTATCTTTATGTAGCTAATAAACTATCACATTTAATCTGGCACCTGCCCTTTTTTCTTAGGTTTTTTTGTTTGTTTTTTGCACATATGTGTCTTTGGAAAATGAAGGCTCTTATCTTTGTTTACAGACCAAAAAAGTTGGGAAAAACACAATCTCTTTCACTTACTGAATGTCTGACAAAATAGTCTTCTGGGGTCAAAAACATTGGCATTGCTAGTAACCTTGTTAGAATTTTAAAAACTCAGACTTTATTCCAGATCTTCTGGGGAAAAAAAAAAAAAGCTTCACAACAGGATCTCCAGTTTATTGTACATATTTAAATTTGAGAGGTACCATCTAACTCAACATGTCTTTTTTTGTCTGAAAAATATACACAACTCATTATGATGTAAATATAGCACTCAAAAATGTATACGTTTGTGTCCTTAATTATATTCTTTATCATCCAGAAAAGTATTATATATGCACTGGTGTTGTGGATCTTATGCCATTCTCTGCCCTCAGAGTAATACATTAGAGAATATTTCTGTGTTAAAAATTATTGGATAATTTCAGTTATTCTTATAAGTCAACCAATTCTCTTTACTCTCTCATTTCACCTTAATTCAAATAATAAATTCTGCCCATGGCCACTTGGTAAATATACGTGTGTCTGTGCGTATGTGTTTTTCAGGAGACGTTGACATTTAGGGATGTGGCCATAGAATTCTCTCTGGAGGAGTGGGAATGCCTGAACCCTGCTCAGCAGAATTTATATATGAATGTGATGTTAGAGAACTACAAAAACCTGGTCTTCTTGGGTGAGAATAACTTTAATACATAAGTCTTAATATACCCTAAACGTTTTATGTCTCTTTTTTTGTAGAATTTTCTTTGGTAATTTATGCTTTGTATAAATGAGTTTCTGATCCCAGTTTTCAAGAAAATCTTGATGATTTGTCTCTGTAGAAAAGAATTTCTTCAACATGTTTCATCCTGACCTGAACTTTCCACATTCCTGAGCTGATCTGCATCCTTCACTCTAGATTAGTGGTAATTCCAGAAATTTGGTGGCATAAAATATTGCCCGTATCTTAAAATCTATTTTCCACTGTCAATTTTTGATTCATGAGTACCAGGTAGTGAAATTAAGGACCTACAAATTTAAAATATTTTCTAAATAGTTAGAGATGTGTCTCATTAATTAGTATTTTAGGATTAATTTTCTAAAATATTCTATTATATCCTTTTTACTGAGCACAGTACTAGGTTGGTAACTAGAGAATATAAGCAAGATTTATGCTATTTACTTTTAATAAAGCAGGTATTGCTGTCTCTAAGCAAGACCCGATCACCAGTCTAGAGCAAGAAAAAGAGCCCTGGAATATGAAGATATGTGAGATGGTGGATGAATCCCCAGGTAGGTGAGAGTGAACACAACAGATGACACAGATGAGAGGTACAAAGGTAAAAAAAAAAAAAAAGCAAGCCGGCCCTTACAATGTGATTTGGGAAGCTGTTTTGCAAAGTATATAGTTTCTGGGAAGACTGAATATTTTCTTAAAATTTTCTCTCACTAAAGGGCATCTTCTGTCTTATGCTTTTAAATTCTCTAAGAATTTTCCTTTTCCTTGGGTGAACACACAAATATCTGCATAATTTTGAAAAACACTGTTTTTTTTTGTTTTGTTTTGTTTTGTTTTTTGAGACAGAGTTTCGCTTTGGTTGCCCAGGCTGGATTGCAGTAGCGTGATCTCAACTCACTGCAACCTGTGCCTTTTGGGTTCGACGATTTTCCTGCCTCAGTCTCCTGGGTAGCTGAGATTACAGGCGCCTGCCACCACACCCAGCTAATTGTTTTGTATTTTTAGTAGAGACGGGTTTTTACCATGTTGGCCAGGCTGGTCTTGTACTCCTGTCCTCAAGTGATCTGCGCACCTAGGCCTCCCAAAGTGCTGGGATTACAAGTGTGAGCCACCGTGCCCAGCTGGAAAACTCTATGTTACATTATTTTTTAGTTCTCTTTTTGCATCCTGTCTGAAATATGTGAGAGTAGTGGTTTCTGTTCCATTAGGGGTTTCTTGTTAATTTTTCTGCATAGTCCATCCTGTTTTTATTACTATAGTCTTAAAATATAGTTTGAAATTATAAATTATGATGTCCTGTCCCTCTGCTTTGTTCTTTTTTTTCTCAAGAATGCTTTGGCTATTTGAAGTTTATTGTAGTTTCTTGTAAATTTTAGAATCGTATTTTCTATTGTGAAAAAAATGCCACTGGAATTTTATTAGGAAGTTTATTGAATGTGTAGATGACTTTAGATAATATGGCACTTTAACAATATTTATTCTTTCAATCCATAGACATGAAATTTTGTGTTGTTGTTGAGACAGAGTCTCGCTCTGTCACCCAGGCTGGAGTGCAGTGGTGCAATCTCAGCTCACTGCAACCTCCACTTTCCGAGTTCAAGTGATTCTCCTGCCTCAGCCTCCCTAATAGCTGGGATTACAGGCATGTGCCACCATGCCCGGCTAATTTTTGTATTTTTGGTAGAGACGGGGTTTCACCTTGTTGTCCAGGCTGGTCTCGATCTCCTGACCTTGTGATCCGCCCACCTTGGCCTCCCAAAGTGCTGGGATTACAGGCATGAGTCACCATGCCCAGCCGACATAAAATATTTTTAAATTTATTTTTGTCTTCTCTAATTTCTTTCATTGATATCTTATATATTTCATTGTAAAGATTTTTTACCTTGGCCAGCCGCAGTGTCTCACACCTGTAATCCCAGCTCTTTGGGAGGCCAGGGAGGTGGATCCCCTCAGGTCAGGAGTTCGAGATCAGCCTGACCAACATGGAGAAACCCCGTCTCTACTAAAAATACAAAAGTGGCTGGCCATATTACAGGCATAGATTACATGCCTGTAATCCCAGCTACTCAGGAGGCTAAGGCAGGAGAATCGCTTCAACCCAGGAGGCAGAGGTTGTGGTGAGCCAAGATGGCACCATTGCACTCCAGCCTGGGCAGCATGAGCAAAACTCCATCTCAATAAAACAAAAAGATTTTTTACCTTCTTGGTTAAATTGGTTTTCAGAAATTTATTATTTTAATACTATTATAAATAAGATTGTTTTCTTTATTGCATCAGATAGTTTAAGTGTATGGAAGCATAACGTATGTTAATTTTATATTTTGCTAATTTACTGACTGTATTTATTAGTTTAGACAATTTTGTTGTTGTTCAAGACAGAGTCTCACTGTGTCACCCAGGCTGGAGTGCAATGGCGCGATCTTAGCTCACTGCAACCTCCACCTCCTGGGTTCAAATGATTCTCCCGTAGCCTCTCAAGTAGCTGGGACTACAGGCGCCCACCACTACACCTGGCTAATTTTTTTTGTAGTTTTAGTAGAGACAGGGTTTCACTATGTTGGCCAGGCTGTTCTTGAAGTCCTGACCTCGTGATTTGCCCGCCTCGGCCCCCAAAAGTGCTGGGATTACAGGTGTGAGCCACCAAGCCCGGCTTTTTAGACAAATTTTAATGTACTGTTTATGGTTTTTTATATAATAAGATCATACTATCCACAAAAAGCAACTTTTTACTTATTTCTCTTCAATTCCAATGGCTTTTTAAAAATGTTTTTGACTAATCCTTGTGCCATACACTTTCAGTGCTTCATTAAAATAGAAGCATTGACAATGGGCACAATATAGTTTTATATTGATATCTGTGAATTTGAAGGAGCAAACAACTCCTTAAGCTTTTGTTATCTGGTTTCAGGAGGTAAAGATCTTTTTCTGTTGTGTCCCTAGGGTGATGGGATGCCCTCTGGGTTTGTAGTGAAGAGGGGTTGTAGCTTGGTCACAAGACTGCTCAGTCTGCACTAGCATCCACCTTTAGATGGTTTGTTACCAAGGGCTTGGGTAATCATAATTTCCATTTTATTTTTGGACAGATTATTCTTTAAGACTTTGATCTGTAGGGCAGACACGAGGGCAGTGTCTGCAGTTGGCTCCATATATAATGGCCCTTATATCAGGATGTGAATGGGTTTGCCTTTCACTGAGTACCAGAGAGGATTTCCTCAGGTCACTGTGTGAGTTTCTACTTAAGCAAAACTGGTCATGAACTGTGGCTCAGAGAGCTGGAACTGAGTCATTAAACTACTTCAGGGACTACAGTAAAAACCAAGGCCTGTAGGCCTGTCTGCATGGCTGCAAATGGGTGTCTTCCTCCAGGTCTCTGAAAGGGCAGGACCTCTCTTAGACTGTAACTGGGAGGAGTTTGGGATGGTTACAGAGTTAACTTCAGAATTCTCTGTTGGACCAAGTTGCGTGGGCCATTTCTTGGTCTGTAGCCAAAACCAGGGGTCCTGTAGTTTCTCACATGAATAAGTGCCTGTCCTCTGAAAAAAACACTCCTCAATCTTGGGCTTTAGCAGAGTTTCACAACTCCCTCCCTGGGTCTCAAAGCTCTTCTAAAGGCACTTACTTGGGAGATGGGATCTTGTTTATCATCCGGGCTGGTCTGGAAATCCTGGCCTGCAGCAATTCTCCAACCTCAGTGTACCATGTAGCAGTCATTACAGATGTGAGCCATGATACCTGGCTGTCTCATAAAGGCATTTTTTTGTCAGGGATGACTGAAAAACTTTTTTGCTGTGGTGAGGATAATCAAATAGAGCACCTTTTATTTTTTCATGTCACTGATGTTACTGTTTCTATACATTTTTACTTTCTATTTTCCATTTCAAACTTGTCTGTAATTTTAGATTTGGACATTTAGGACAATATGCTAGAATTTACATGTTATGCCTGAAATAAATTAGATAATTGATAGGCACTCCATATTACTAGAATGGTTACTTAAATTTAAGTTTGCTGCAGGTAAAAAGGAATTATAGGATTTTCACCCACTTTCTTCAGCATATATCTAAATGATAATTTACTTGTAAATATTTGTTTTACATATCAGAGGCTCTAACCCTATTTTGAAAAATATAAGTTTTAATTTAGCAATGTAATGCTGTTCTTTGCTTAAGTTGGATTACAGCAGTTTCATTTTGTGTAAGAATAGCATATATTTAAAACATAAAAATTATCACATTTCTTTTACATGCTTATTAAAAGTTTCTCATTAGTATGTTCTATTTATAATTATACTGCATATTCTGTGAAATTTTACTGCCACATAGTGCATGCCAATTATTCGAAATACCTGCCTTCCATGAGTACACAAATATTGTAGTTATCCAGACAATTCTTTTTTAAAGGTATATTAATGTTGCATACCAGATTTTATGAGTAAACATGTCTCTTACTGTTGTGCAGTTTTCATGTTAGTGTTTTTTCAGTGTAGGTTTCTTAACATCAGCTTATTGTGTTTTTTAGTTTTTCTTATATAATTTTAGCCAATTTGCAGTTCTGTTTGTATACTTTAAGTCAATGTGATGTTTAATTAAGAGATAAATCAGCCATACATCTATCACAATCGGATTATATATGTGTGTGTGTTTATCTATAAATATGACCCCAATATTGGTTATGGCTTATCTTGTATACTTTCTTAGCTGATTTTCAGTGGGTATTTTATCTTGTCTAAGCGAGTAGTCATGGAAATACTTTCATTATGTCTTATTATCTCCATGTGTCTAATGATGAATATATATTTCCTTTGTGTGAGAGAAACACTTTTTGTGATTTGAAGGTAATTTTTGAGAAGATTTGTAATTTAGTATTTTTTCCATTTTTCCTTTAGAAAAAGTAATTGTTGTAAAAACACATAACAGGCCTGGCTCGGTGGCTCACGCCTGTAATCCCAGCACTTTGGAGGCTGAGGCAGGCAGCTCACTTGAGATCAGGAGTTCCAGACCAGCCTGGTCAACATGGTGAAACCCTGTCTCTACTAAAAATACAAAAATTAGCTGGACATGGTGGCCTACGCCTGTTGTTCGGGCTACACAGGAGACTGAGGCAGGAGAGTCGCTTAAACCCAGGAGGCAGAGGTTGCAGTGAGCCGAGATCACGCCACTGCACTCCAGCCTGGGTGACAGAGCGAGATTATGTCTCAAAAAAATGAGAAGAAAAAACAGTAAAAACATATTAAAATTTAGCATCTTAAGTCTATTTAAGTGCACATTTCAGGGCCAGACGTGGTGGCTCACATCTGTAATCCCTGGATTTTGGGAGGCCAAGACAGGAGTATCATTTGAGCCCAGCCTGGGCAACATTCGGAGATTCCCTCTCTACAAAAATTTTTTAAAATATCCAGGCATGTTAGTGTGCACCTGTGGTCCCAGCTATTTGGGAGATTGAGGGGAGGATTACTTGAGCCTGGGAGTTTGAGGCTGAAGTGAGGCATAATTTTGCCACTGCACTTCAGCTTGAGTGACAGAGTGAGACCCTGTCTCAAAAAGAAGCTGTACATTTCAGTCATGTTAAATATATTCACATTGTTATGCAAAAGACTTCTAGAAATTTTACATCTTGTGAAACTAAAACTCAGTACCCATTTAAGTAACAAGAACCCATTTTACCCTCTCCGCGGCCCTTGACAAACACCGTTCCACTTTGTTTTTATGAGTGTGACTGCTTAAGATATCTCATATACATAGTGGAATCATACAGTTTTTATCATTTTGTTATGGGCTTATTTCCCATGACATAATATTTTCAAAGTTTATCTTAAAATGTGACAAGATTTCTTTGATTATATTTGATTTAATTATGATAATATTTGATAATCTTTGATTTCTGTGATATTGGATGTATATGTTACATTTTTTATGTGTTTGTAAATTAAGAGACAACTGGGTTGCTTCTGCCTTTTGGCTTTTGTGAATACTGGTACAATAAACATGGATGTTCGAATTTGTGTTCCAGGCCCTGTGCTTCATATTTTGGAAATATATTCATAAGTGAGATTGCTGTATTTGATGATAATTCCATTTTTAATTAAGAAGCATTTATAACATTTAAAATAATGGTTGCATCTTGTTTTCTACCAACAGTCAACATAGTTTTATTTTCATTGCATCATCAACAGATTTGGTGTTTTAAAAAAAGGTATAGTGGCCATTGTAATGAGTGTGAGGCAATTTTGTTTTTTCATTTTATTTATTTATATATTTATTTATTTATTTATTTATTGTGATGAAGTCTTACTGTTATCACCCAGGCTGGAGTACAATGGTGCAATGGCTCACTGCAACCTCCGCCTCCTGGATTCCAACAATTCTCCTGCCTCAGCCTCCCGAGTAGCTGAGATTACAGGTACCTGCCATCATGCCTGGCTAGTTTTTGTATTTTTAGTAGAAACGGGGGTTTTCACCATGTTGGCCAGGCTGGTCTTGAACTCCTAACTTCAGGTGATCCTACCTGACTCGGCCTCCCAAAGTGCTGGGATTACAGTCGTGAGGTGAGCGCCCGGCCTCATTTTTATTTTTATATGTTTCTCTGCAAATCATTAATTCTGCTTTTCTTTTCAAATGTTTTATCCCATTTGGGTATATTTTTTGATGAAAATTATTTTTTCATTTCTTTCTTTTTTTTTTTTTTTTGAGACGGAGTCTCACTCTGTCTCCCAGACTGGGGTGCAATCGTGTGATCTTGGCTCACTGCAAACTCTGCCTCCTGGGTTTAAGTGATTCTCCTGCCTCAGCCTGCCTCAGCCTTCTCAGTAGCTATAGGTGCCTACCACCATGCCTGGCTGACTTTTGTATTTTTAGTAGAGTTTCACCATCTTGGTCAGGCCAGTCTTGAACTCCTGACCTTGTGATTCACCCGCCTCGGCCTCTCAAAGTGCTGGGATTACCTGCGTGAGCCACCGGGCCTGGCCTTACTTTTTCATTTCTAAATAAAGTTATTCAACTTTATTGTTCAGTTTTAAGAGTTGTTCATATACTCTGAATATTAACTACTTTCACTTGTGAGTTCCATATATTTTCACCCACTTCCTAGATGACATTTTCAGTCTATTGAATTTTTTTTAATGTGCAGAAATTCTGAAGTATAGTGTAGTTAAATATTTCTGTTCTTTCCTTTGTTGCATATGCATTTAATGTCGTATCTTAGGAAATGGTGCCAAGACCCATGTCAAGTTTTTTTTCTAAGAGATTCGCTAGTTTTTTGTTTTTTTGTTTTTCTGTTTTTTCTTTTTATGTCTAAGCATTTTATTTGAAATATTTTTTGGCCAGGCGCAGTGGCTCATGCCTATAATCTCAGCACTTTGGGAGATGGAGGCGGGTGAATCACTTGAGGTCAGGAGTTGGAGACCAGCCTGGCCAACATGGTAAAACCCCGTCTCCACTAAAAATACAAAAATTAGCCGGGCGTGCTAGTGCATGCCTGTAGTCCCAGCTACTCGGGAGGCTGAGGCAGGAGAATTGTTTGAACCCGGAAGGTGTAAGTTGCAGTGAGCCGAGATCATGCCACTGCACTCCAGCCTTGGTGACAGAATGAGACTCCATCTCAAAAAAAATAAATAGGCCAGGCGCGGTGGCATATGCCTGTAATTCCAGCATGTTGGGAGGCTAAGGCGGGAGGGTCACGTGAGGGTCAGGAGGTTGAGACCAGCGTGGCCAACATATAGTGAAACCCCATCTCTACTAAAAAATACAAAACTTAGCTGGACATTGTGGCATGTGCCTGTAGTCCCACCTACTTGGGAACCTGAGGCAGGAGAATCACTTGAATCTGGGAGGCAGAGATTTCAGTGAGCCGAGGTCGCACCACTGCACTCCAGTCTGGGCAATAGAGTGAGACTCCGTCACTCCAAAAATAAATAAATAAATAAAATAAAATCGGGCCGGGCACGGTGGCTCACGCTTGTAATCCCAGCACTTTGGGAGGCCGAGGCGGGCGGATCACGAGGTCGGGAGTTCGAGACCAGCCTGACCAACATGGTGAGACCCCCATCTCTACTAAAAATACAAAAATTAGCTGGGCGTGGTGGCAGGCGCCTGTAATCCCAGCTACTCAGGAGGCTGAGTCAGGAGAATCACTTGAACCTGGGAGGCGGATGTTGTAGTGAGCCGAGATCGTGCCACTGCACTCCAGCCTGGGTGACAGAGCAAGACTCCGTCTCAAAAAAAAAAAAAAAACAAATATTTTTTGTATATGGTTCAAGGAAATGATTCAACTTTATCAGTGTTGTTATCCAGTTTATGGCATTATTTTTTGAAAAGATTATCTCTTCTCTGTTGTGTGCTCGTGGCAACCTTGTGGAAGATCATGTAATCATATACAGAAGGCTTCATTTCTGGGCTCTCCACTCTTTTCTTTCATCTGTTTATCTGCCTTTGTGTCAGTACCATACTGTTTTTGTTATTTTAGCTTATTTATGTATGTATGTATGTATGTTTTGAGATGGAGTCTAGCTCTGTCACCAGGCTGGAGTGCAGTGGTGCGATCTCGGCTCACTGCACCTCTGCCTCCCGGGTTCAAGCGATTATCCTGCCTCCAGCTCCTAAGTGGCTGGGATTACAGGCACACGCTGCCACACCCCGCTAATTTTTGTATTCTTAGTAGAGACAGGATTTCGCCATGTTGGCAAGGATGGTCTCGATCCCCTGACCTCGTGATCCACCCACCTCAGCCTCCCAAAGTGCTGGGCTTACAGACATGAGCCACGGTACCTGGCTTATTTTAGCTTTTAATATGTTTTAAAATTTGGAAGTATAATACCTCTTTGTTCTTTTTCCTGGGCGTTTGGCTGGTTATAGTTCCAAATCAAATTTTTAAATTTTAGACAAGTTTTCTTTCTTTTTTTTTTTGAGACGGAATTTCGCTCTTGTTGCCCAGGCTGGAGTACAATGGCGCAATCTTGGCTTACCGCAACCTCCGCCTCCCGGGTTCAAGCAATTCTCCTGCCTCAGCCTCCGGAGTAGCTGGGATTACAGGCATGTGCCACCACGCCTGGCTAATTTTGTATGTTTAGTAGAGATGGGGTTTCTCCATGTAGGTCAGGCTGGTCTTGAACTCCTGACCTCAGGTGATCCGCCCACCTTGGCCTCCCAAAATGCTGGGATTGCAGGTGTAAGCCACCACACCCAGCCATAGACAAGATTTCTATAATGAAACTGTACTTTTGGGATTTTTAAAGAGCTTATATTGAATTTGTTTCCCACTGTAGTTTGTACTGACATCTTAACAAAATTAATTTTATTGACCATTGAACAAAAATACGTTGAAGAGTGTCTTTTATTTTTATTTTATTTGTTTTAGAGACAGGGTTTTCTTACGTTGTCCATGCTAGTTTTGAACCTCTGAGCTCAAGCAATCTTCCTGCCCAGCCTTCCTAAATGCTAGTATTGGAGGCATGAGCCACCGTACTCAACCCATGTGTTTTATTTTTAGATATTCTTGGATTTGCCAGTTTTACTTTTTAATTTCTAGTTTTATTCAGTTTTGGTCAGAAAACAAAGTGTATGATTTTGGTCTTCTTATTTATTGTCGTTTTGAGACAGGATCATATTTATCACCCATGCTGGAGTACATTGACATAAATTTGACTCACTGCAACCTCAGCCTCCTTGACTCAAGCGATCTTTCCACCTCAGCCTCCTATGTAGCTGAGACTACAGACATGCACTACCATGCCTCGCTAATTTTTTTGGTTATTTGTAGTAATGGGTCTCACTAGACAGGGTCTCACTGTGTTACTCAGGCTGGTGTCAATCTTCTGATCCCAAGTGATCCTCCCACCTTCATCTTCCAAATTATTGGGATTGTAGGTACCAACCACACATCCAGCCAGTATTTAATAAGACTTGTTATGTGTCCTAACAGAATACATCAGGTGCAAATAAGAACATTGTGTTGTTTCTTGCTTTTAACTGAAAAGTTTTGTACCTATCTGTTAAGCCTAGTTGGTCTGTGGTATGGTTTGGATGTCTATGTCCTGCAAACCTCATGCTGCAGTGTAATCCTCAATGTTAGATGTGAAACCTGGTGGGAGGTGTTTGGGTCATGGGGACAAATTCTTCATGAATGCCTTTGTGCTATCCTGGTCATGAGAAAGTTTTCACTCCATTAATTCAAATGAGAACTGGTTCATTTAAAGAAACTGACTCCTTCACCTCACGCTTGCCGTCTCTTACCATGTGATATGTCCAGTTACTCTTTGTCTTCCACCATGATTGTAAGTTTCCTGAGACCCTCACCAGAAGCAGATGCTGTTACACCCTTCTTGTACAGTCTGCTGAGCTGTGAGCCAAATAAACCTTCTTTCTTTATAAGTTATACACTCAGGTATTCCTCTTTATGCAAAATAGTTAATACAGTCTATAATGTCTGTTTTCTGTTTTCTTATTGATCTTTTATCTGAATTTTCTATTTATTATTGCAAATGATGTCTTGATCTCTACAATTATGTTGCTATGTATTTCTTGCTTCACCTTTGCCAAAATTTGCTTTGTATATTTTGGAAACCTCATGTTATATATACAGACACATATACATATAAATAGATATGATAGTTATAGATTCCTGGTAAATTGACCCATTTGACCATTATGTAATACTGTGTTTGTCCTATGCTAGTACTTGACTTAAAATACATCCAATATAATTATTACCACCTCATCCAATTGTGGTTACTATTTGCATGGAATATAGTTTTTTTTCCATTCTGTTACTTTCAACCTATTTGACTTAATGCTAAAATGAGTCTCTTATAGACAGCAAATTGTATGCTTTTTAACTTAAGCCACTAAGCCATCTTATTTTTTCTTTTTATAAATTTATTTATTTTTGAGATAAAGTCTCACTCTGTCAACCAGGCTGGTTTGCAGTGGCATGATCATGACTCACTGCAGCCTCAACCTCCCAAACTCAGATGATCTCATTTCAGCTTCTTGAGTAGCTGGGTTGCAAATATTTGCCATCCCAAGCCCAGATAGTTTTTTGTACCTTTTTCTGTAGATACAATTTTTTGCCCTGTTGTCTAGGTTGGTCTCAAACTCCTGAGTTAAAGTGATCAGATTCCTCAACCTCCAAAAGTTCTGAGATTACATTTTTTAAATAAGTAGTTTAATTAATTTATATTTAAAATGACTGCTTAAAGATATAAAGTTACTATTACCAGTTTCATTGTTGTTTTTTTTTTAATTTAATTTAATGTAATTTAATTTTATTTCAGGATACATGTGCAGGATGTGCAGGTTTGTTACATAAGTAAACGTGTGCCATGGTGGTTTGCTGCACTTATTAACCCCTCACCTCGGTGATAAGCCCTGCATGCATTAGCTATTTATCCTGATTCTCTCCCTCCCCTGCAACAGGCCCCAGTGTGTGTTGTTTCCCCCCATATGTCATGTGTTCTTATTGTTCAGTTTCCACTTATAAGTGAGAACATGTCGTGTTTGGTTTTCTGTTCCTGTGTTAGTTTGCTGAAAATAATGGCTTCCAGCTCCATCTCTGTCTTTGCAAAGTACATGATGTTGTTCCTTTTTTATGGCTGCATAGTAGTCTATGGTGCATACGTACCACGTTTTCTTTATCCAGTCTGTCACAGATGGGCATTTGGGTTGATGCCATGTCTTTGCTATTGTGAATTGTGCTGCAGTGAAGATACACATCCATGTATCTTTACAGTAGAATGATTTATATTCCTTTGGTATATACCCAGTATAATGGGATCGTTGGGTCCAATAGTATATCTGGTTCTAGGTCTTTGAGGAATCGCCATACTGGCTTTCACAATGGTTGAACTAATTTACATTCCCACCAAAAGTATAAAAGCATTTCTATTTCTCCATAGCCTCACCAACATCTGTTGTTTCTTGGCTTTTTAGTAATCACCATTTTGATGGCATGAAATGGTATCTCATTGTAGTTTTGATTTGCATTTGTTTAATGATCACTGATGTTGAGCTTTTTTTCATGTTTTATTGGCCACATAAATGTCTTCTTTTGAGGCGTGTTTCTTCTTGTTCTTTGCTTACTTTTTAATGAGGTTGTTTGTTTTATTCTTGTAAATTTGTTTAAGTTCTTTGTAGACTCTGGATATTAGCTTTTGTCAGATGGATAGATTGCAAAAATGTTCTCCCATTCTGTAGATTGTCTGTTCACTCTGACAATTTATTTTGCTGTGCAGAAGCTCTTTAATTAGATACCATTTGTCAATGTTTGCTTTTGTTGCAATTGCTTTTGACGCTTTCCTCATGAAATCTTTGCCCATGCCTATGTCCTGAATGGTATTGCCTAAATTTTATTTTAGGGTTCTTGTAGTTTTGGGTTTCAAATTTAAGTTTTCAATTCATCTTGAGTTAATTTTTGTATAAGTGTAAGAAAGGGGGTCCAGTTTCAGTTTTCTGCCTATGGCTAGCTAGTTCTCCCAGCACCATTTATTAAAAGGGAATCCTTTTCCCATTTCTTGTTTTTGTCAGGTTTTTCAAAGATCAGATGGTTGTAGATATGCAGTCTTAGATTTCTGAGTTCTCTATTCTGTTCCATTGGTCTATGTGTCTGTTTTTATAACAGTACCAGGCAGCTTTGGTTACTATAGCCTTCTAGTATAGTTTGAAGTTGGATATCATGATGCCTCCAGCTTTGTTCTTTTTGCTTAGGATTCTCTTGGCTATATGGGGTCTTTTGGGGTTTCATATGAATTTTAAAATAGTTTTTTTCTAATTCTGTGAAGAATATCAGTAGTAGTTTAGTCAGAATAGCATGGAATCTATAAATTACTTTGAGCAGTATGGCCATTTTTACAATATTGATTCTTTCTGTCTTTTTGTTTGTGTCCTCTCTGATTTTCTTGTGCAGCGGTTTGTAGTTCTCCTTGAAGAGGTCTATCACTTCCCTTGTTAGCTGTATTCCTTGGTACTTTATTCTCTTTGTAGCAGTTGTGAATGGGAGTTTATTCATGATTTGGCTGTCTGCTTGTTTATGGTTGGTGTATTGAAATGCTTGTGATTTTTGCACATTGATTTTGTATCCTGAGACTTTGCTGAAGTTGCTTATTAGATGAAGAAGCTTTTGGGCTGAGACAATGGGGCTTTCTAGATCTAGGATCATGCTGTCTGCAAACATGTCGTCTGCAAGCTTCTGCAGACAGAAGTTTGACTTCCTAATTGAATACTGCTTATTTATTTCTCTTGCCTGATTTCGCTGGCTGGAACTTCCAATACTATGTTAAATAGGAGTGGTGAGAGGGCATCCTTGTCTAGTGCTAGTTTTCAAGGGGAATGCTTCCAGTTTTTGCCCTTTTAGTATGATATTGGCTGTGAGTTTGTCATAGATAGTTCTTACTATTTTGATGTATGTTCCATGAATACCTAGTTTATTGAGAGTTTTTAACATGAAGGGATGTTGAATTTGATCGAAGGCCTTTTCTGCATCTATTGAGATAATCGTGTGGTTTTTGTCTTTAAATCTGTTTATGTGATGAATTATGTTTATCGAGTTTTGTATGTTGAACTAGCCTTGCATCCCAGGAATAAAGCTGACTTGATTGTGGTGGATAAGCTTTTTAATGTGTTGCTAGATTCAGTTTGCAAGTATTTTATTGAGAATGTTTGTATTAATGTTTATCAGGGATATTGGCTTGAAGGTTTTTTTGTTTGTTTGTTTTTGTTATATCTCTGCCAGGTCTTGATATCAGGATGATGCTGGCCTCATAGAATGAGTTAAGGAGAGGCCCCTCCTTTTCTATCATTTGGAATAGTTTCAGAAGAAATAGTACTCTTTGTACCTCTGGTAGAATTTAGCTATAAATTCATCTGGCCCTGGACTTTTTATGGTTGGTAGGCTATTGGCTATTTGTTACCGCCTCAGTGTCAGAACTTGTTATAGGTCTATTCAGGGATTCAACTTCTTCCTGTTCAGACTTGAAAGGATGGATATGTCCAGCAGTTTATCCATTTCTTCTAGATTTTCCAGTTTTTGTGCACAGAGGTGTTTATAGTGTTTTCTGAAAGTTGTTTTTATTTCTATGGGGTCAGTGGTGATATCCCCTTTATCATTTTTTATTGTCTATTTCATTCATCTCTCTTTATAGCTAGTGTCTATTTTATTAATTTTGTCAAAAAAACAGCTCCTGGATTCATTGATTTTTTTTTTTGAATGGTTTTTTTGTGTCTCTGTGTCCTTCACTTCCAGTCTGAATCTGGTTATTTCTTGTCTTCTGCTAGCTTTAAGGTTTGTTTGCTCTTGGTTTTCTCGTTCTTTTAGTTGTGATGTTAGGGTGTCCATTTGAGATCTTTCTGGCTTTTTCATTTGGGTATTTAGTGCTATAAATTTCCCCATGAACACTGCTTTAGCTGTATGCCAGAGATTCTGGTACATTGTCTCTTCATTCTCATTGGTTTCAAATAGTTTTTTTATTTCTGATTTTTTTTTTTTTTTTTTTTTTTTGAGACGGAGTCTCGCTCTGTCGCCCAGGCTGGAGTGCAGTGGCGCGATCTCGGCTCACTGCAATCTCTGCCTCCCAGATTCAAGTGATTCTCCTGCCTCAGCCTCCCAAGTAGCTGGGATTACCAGCACCCACCACCATGCTGGGCTAATATTATGTATCTTTAGTAGACATGGTGTGTTTCACCATGTTTGCCAGGCTTGTCTCGAACTCCTGACCTCAGGTGATCTGCCTACCTCGGCCTCCCAAAGTGCTGGGATTACAGGTGTGAGCCACCATGCCCAGCCAAAGCCTACAGCACCCGGTATTCCCAGGTGGTCTCCCCTCCAAGTCCCAGCAAGGCCCGACCCTGCTTAGCTTCCGAGATTGGGCACGGTCAGAAGGGTGTGGCTGTGGATGCCAGCCTCTGATTTAATTTTATTATTTAGCCAGAAGTCATTCAGTAGCAGGTTGCTCAATTTCCATGTAGTTGTGTGGTTTTGAGTGAGTTTCTTACTCGTGAGTTTTTTTGTTTTGTTTTTGTTTGTTTGTTTGTTTGTTTGTTTGAGACAGAGTGTTACACTGTCACCCAGGCTGGGGTGCAGTGGCATGTTATGATTTCAGTTCTTTTGCATTTGCTGAGAAGTGTTTTACTTCCAATTATGTTACAATTTTTTTTCTTTTCTTTTTTCTTCTTTTTTTTTTTTGAGACCGAGTCTCGCTCTGTCACCCAGGCTGGAGTGCAATGGCACAATCTTGGCTCACTGTAACCTCCACCTCCCAGGTTCAAGCGATTCTCCTGTCTCAGCCTCCTGAGTAGCTGGGATTACAGGCACATACTGCCACGCCTGGCTAATTTTTTTTGTATTTTTAGTACAGACGGGGTTTCTCTGTGTTCCCCAGGCTGGATTTGAACTCTTGAGTTCAGGCAATCCACCCACCTTGGCCTCCCAAAGTGCTAGGGTTACAAGCGTGAGCCACCATGCCCAGCCATATGATCAATTTTAGAGTAAGTGCCATGTGGAACTTAGAAGAATGTGTATTGTGTTGTTTGTGGCTGGAGAGTTCTGTAGATATCTGTCAGGTCCACTTGACCCACAGCTGAGTTCAAGCCTTGTTACTTTTCTGTCTCAATGATCTGTCTAATATTAACAGTGGGGTGTTAAAGACTCTCACTATTATTATGTGGAAGTCTAAGTCTCTTTATAGTTCTCTAAGAATGTGTTTTATGAATCTGGGTGCTCCTTGAATTGATCTCTTTACCATTATGTAACGTACTTCTTTGTCTTTTTTGATCTTTGTTGGTTTAAAGTTTGTTTTGTCAGAAACTGTGATTGCAGGCTGGGCTCGGTGGCTCACGCCTGTAATCCCAGCACTTTGGGAGGCCAAGGTGGACAGATCACAAGGTCAGGAGATCGAGACCATCCTAGCTAACACAGTGAAACCTCGTCTACTAAAAATACAAAAAATTAGCCAGGTGTGGTGGCGGGTGCCTGTAGTCCCAGCTACTTGGGAGGCTGAGGCGGGAGAATGACATGAACCCAGGAGATGGAGCTTGCAGTGAGCTGAGATCGCACCACTGCACTCGAACCTAGGTGACAGAGCGAGACTCCATCTCAAAAAAAAAAAAAAAAGAAACTATGATTGCAACCCCTGCTTTTTTTTCTGCTTTTATTTGCTTTGTAATTTTCCTCCATTCTTTAATTTGAGCCTACATTTGTCTTTTCATGCGAAGTGGGTCTCTTGAATACAGCACACAAATGGGTCATGACTCTTTATCCAGTTTGCCCTTCTATGTCTTTCAATTGAGGCATTCAGCCTATTACATTTAAGGCTAATATTGTTATGTTTGATTTTGATTCTATCCAAGTGGTGCTAGCTGCTTATTTTGCAGAGTCGTTGATGTAGTTGTTTTATAGCATCATTCATCTTTGTACTTCACTTTGTTTTTGCAGTGGCTGGTAATGGTTTTTTTCTTCCCATATTTAGTGCTTCCTTAATAGCTCTATCTAGCAAGGCAGGCCTGGTGGTCATGTATTCCTTCAGCATTTGCTTCTCTGAAAAGAATTTTATTTTTCTCCAGTTACAAAGACTTAGTAGTGTTATTTTATTGTTTTATTTGATTCTTGTATCTTTGTTCCTCATTTTCTCTTTTTCTGTCTCTGTGTCTTTTTTATACTTATCTTGATATGCTTTTACTTCTTTCTTATTTTGTTTTGTGTATCTATTCAGATATATTCTTGGTGGTATATTAGGAATTACATAATACCTCTAAAAGATAAAACAGTGTATTTTAATCTGGTAAAAAATGAACTTCAGCTGGATTCATAAATTTTTTCTCATTATATCTGCCCTCAAATTTGTCATTGATGTTGCTAATCATATATTTTATGTTGTATATCATTAACAAATGTTTATAATGATTTCTATTCTTTTACCTTTCAAATTTTAGAGAATAATTAAAAATGTTTTTTGTGCCATTATTATAATGCTAAGAAATTCCATTTTTGTGTATGTGCATGTTTCCCTAGAAAATAATGTATTTATATGATAAAATTATTATTTATAAAATTACTTTATTTAATCGTATTATTTTCAGTAGAAGCAACTGCTTTCAGCATCTTTTATGTTTAGGGCATATGAAGTGCCAATATTTTTTTTCAGAATTTGGTTATTTTTGAAGGTTTTTTTCTTTTTATTGGGCAGGACTGGTATTATTCTCACTTGATAGCTATTTTTTTTTAGGACTTTGGCTATATCACAGTTTCCTTCTGGCCTGCAAAGCTTTTGTTGACAGTTCACTGACTATCTTATAAGACTGTGCTTGTAAATGACATGCCATTTTTATCTTGCAGCTCCATTCTCTTCTTGTCTGTGGTTTTTGAAATTGTGCTTATATATGTGTTTGTTATAAATATCTTTGTGTGTATCCTAATTGTTTGTTGAGCTTCTTCATTTTGACAATATTTTTTCTTTCAGAATTTTTGAGTTATATTTTCTTTTGATATTTTTTACCTTTACAATTTCTGTTTTTTGGATATTTTAAATATTTTTTTCTTATCAGTTTTTTCTGGTTTTCTATAGTTCTCTGTATTCCTATTTTACTCATTGAGTATTCAATTTATTTTTAATTTTTAAAATTAATATATACATCTTTTTTATGGTTTCTTTCTGAAAATTTTATAATATTTTTGATAGAACCATTTTGCCCTATTTTGTATTCATTGTAATCTTTGATTAAAATTTAGACATTAAATAAAGCTACCTGACACAGTTTTTATCTTGTAGCTTTCTCCTGGCATAGTCTGAAAACAATTATCTTGGTTAGAGATCCTGGTAGACTCTCAAACATGTTCTTAGAATGTATCTTGTCTAAAATTTTGTGTTTACTTTTTAGTTAAAGGAGTTTATTTCTGCTTCATCTTAATCAGTAACCATTTGCTCTGTTTTCTGTCTGTTGTACTGCAGTCTCTCTGCTGCTGTAACAATTACCTTTGGTCTCAAGACCCAAACTATAACTCCAAAATATACCACCATTTTTTTCAGCACTTTATGTTACGGGAGACCAGTTTCTGGAAAGGCCCCTAGAAGCAAGTAATATAGATGTATGTGCCAGTATTTTACTTGTTTATTAAAAAAGAAACCAAAAGTTAGCAATTTACTTTGAAAGGCAGTATGTTATATTGTTGAGTAGGAAGAACTGTGTTGGGCAAAGGTAATGGACTTTTCTTTTTCTTCTGTGTCTTTGCATTCCTGTGTACTCATCTGTGTACTCACCTGGGGAACTTTACATGCTTATTTATAAGTTTTCCTTATGTATTTTGGTCAGTATGCTTTTATTACATTTATATGTCTATGAAGGATTTAGGGCCTGTGGTATTTTATTATGGCATCTTGCTTATGTAGTTTGTATAATATAGGTTAGATTTGTAAAGTATGTTTATCAGAGTCTAGTAAGTTGAATAATTTGTTGTTTGTATTTCTTTCAGCTATGTGTTCTTCTTTTACCAGAGACCTTTGGCCAGAGCAAGACATAAAAGATTCTTTTCAACAAGTGATACTGAGAAGACATGGCAAATGTGAACATGAGAATTTACAGTTAAGAAAAGGCTCCGCAAATGTGGTTGAGTGTAAGGTGTACAAAAAAGGTTATAATGAACTAAACCAGTGTTTGACAACTACCCAGAGCAAAATATTTCCATGTGATAAATATATAAAAGTCTTTCATAAAATTTTCAATTCAAATAGACACAAGACAAGACATACTGGAGAGAAACCTTTCAAATGTAAAAAATGTGATGAATCATTTTGCATGCTTTTACACCTACATCAACATAAAAGAATTCATATTAGAGAGAATTCTTACCAATGTGAAGAATGTGACAAAGTGTTTAAGCGGTTCTCAACCCTTACTAGACACAAGAGAGTTCATACTGGAGAGAAACCCTTCAAATGTGAAGAATGTGGCAAAGCTTTTAAGCACTCCTCAACCCTTACTACACATAAGATGATTCATACTGGAGAGAAACCCTACAGATGTGAAGAATGTGGCAAAGCCTTCTACCATTCTTCACACCTTACTACACATAAGGTAATTCATACTGGAGAGAAGCCCTTCAAATGTGAAGAATGTGGTAAAGCTTTTAACCACCCTTCAGCCCTTACTACACATAAGTTCATTCATGTTAAAGAAAAACCCTACAAATGTGAAGAATGTGACAAAGCTTTTAACCGATTCTCATACCTTACTAAACATAAGATAATTCATTCTGGAGAGAAATCTTACAAATGTGAACAATGTGGCAAAGGCTTTAACTGGTCTTCAACCCTTACAAAACATAAAAGAATTCATACTGGAGAGAAACCCTACAAATGTGAAGAATGTGGCAAAGCCTTTAATGTGTCTTCACACCTTACTACACATAAGATGATTCATACTGGAGAGAAACCCTACAAATGTGAAGAATGTGGCAAAGCCTTTAACCACTCCTCAAAACTTACTATACATAAGATAATTCATACTGGAGAGAAACCTTACAAATGTGAAGAATGTGGCAAAGCTTTTAACCAATCCTCAAACCTTACCAAACATAAGATAATTCATACTGGAGAGAAACTCTACAAATGTGAAGAATGTGGCAAAGCTTTTAACCGATCCTCAAACCTTACTACACATAAGAGAATTCACACTGGAGAGAAACCCTACAAATGTGAAGAATGTGGCAAAGCTTTCAACCGATCCTCAAACCTTACTAAACATAACATAATTCATACTGGAGAGAAATCTTACAAATGTGAAGAATGTGGTAAAGCCTTTAACCAATCCTCAACTCTTACTAAACATAGGAAAATTCAGCAGGGCATGGTGGCTCATGCCTGTAATCCCAACACTTTGAGAGGACTAGGTGAGCAGATCGCGAGGTCAGGAGTTCAAGACCAGCCTGGCCAACATGGTAAAACCCCATCTCTACTAAAAATACAAAAATTTGCTGGGTGTGGTGGCAGGCGCCTGTAATCCCAGCTACTTGGGAGGCAGAGGCAGGAGAATCATTTGAACCTGGGAGGCAGAGGTTGCAGTGAGCCAAGATCGCGCCATTCTACTCCAGCCTGGGCCACAAGGCAAGACTCTGTCTCAAAAAAAAAAAAAAAAAGAAAAGAAAATTCATACTGGAACGAAACCCTACAATTGTGAAGAATGTGCCAGTGCTTTCAACCAGTCCTCGAACCTTTTTAAGAAAATAATTTATACTGGAGAGAAATTCTACAAATGTGAAGAATATGGCAAAGCCTTTAACCAGTCTTCAACTCTTACTAGGCATTAAAAATTCATACTGTACAGAAACCCTACGAGGGTGAAAAACATGGCAAAGCCTTTAACAAGCCCTCAATTCTTAACAGACATAACATAATTCATACTGGAAAGAAACTCTGCAAACCAGAAAGATCTGGCAATGCTTTTGACAACACCTCAAACTTTTCTAACCATAAAAGAAATTATACTGGTGAGAAATCTTAGAAATCTGAAGAATGAGACAAAGCCTTTAAATGGTTGTCACACTTGATTGTAGGTAAGATAATTCATACTGGAGAAAACACCTACATGTGTGAACAATGTGGCAAAACTTAACCAGTGCTCACACCTTATTGCACAGGAAAGCATTTGTACTTGAGATAAATTATACAAATATAAAGACTGAAAAAGCCATTAATATATGTTCATATCTCAACACCAGATAGTTCATACTTAATAAAAGCATTATAAGTACAATTACTGTCAAAAGACCTTTCAGAAAATACAAGCTTTTGACCAGGCGTGGTGGCTCAGGCCTATAATCCCAGCACTTTGGTAGGCCAAGGCAGGTGGATCATGAGGTCAGGAGTTTGAGACCAGCCTATCCAAGATGGTGAAACCCCATCTCTACTAAAAATACAACAATTAGCCGGTTGCGGTGGTGGTGCCTGTAATCCCAGCTACTCAAGAGGCTGAGGCAGGAGAATCACTTGAACTTGGGGAGGGAGAGGTTGCAGTGAGCTGAGATTGCACTCTAGCCTGGGCCACAGAGCAAGACTCCATCTAAAAAGTAAAAAAAAAAGAAAATATGAACTTTACAGTGAAGAATATTTATTTTGAAGATGAATGTTACAAATATAAAGTGGGTAGTAGTGCCTTTACTTGTATCACAGATCTTATTGTAGACATTTTTTGTAGAGGAAAAACTCTGAAGCACTTTCACACTTTGTTCAATATCAGGGAATTTATATTGAAGAAAAATCATGCAAATGTAGTAAATTTGGAAAAACACTTTTTCAAAAACTACAGCTTAGAAAACAGAGTTCATACTAGAATATATTTTTGCAGATGCAGTAAAAGTTAAAAAAAATTTAATCCATAAGTAAGTCTGTGTAAATATCAGAATTTATGGTAGAAATACATAAGGCACTGACAACATCAGATATACTAAATCAGAGGGCTGAGTATAGAAAATTAAAGTTGGTAGAAAAATTATTTGTATATAACTTTAAGAGGATCAGAAGGTTTTTTGCAGTTATAATTACATTCAAAGTATACTTTATTTCTTGAAAAATATTACAGATTTTTTGAAAAGTGAATAATGATGTCATTCAACTCTGAAATTCCTGCCGTTTCTTCATTCCTATTGGATTCACATGTGAAAGCATGGGATCAATTATTGCTGTATCAAAGATATGAAAGATTCTTTCTTTGTTTTGTTCTGTTTTTTTGAGATGGAGTTTTGCTCTTTCGTCCAGGCTGGAGCACAGTGGCATGATCTCGGCTCACTGCAACCTTCAATTTCCAGTTTCAAGCGATTCTCCTCCCTCAGCCTCCTGAGTAGCTGGGATTACAGGCGCATATCACCACGCCCAGCTAATTTTTATGTTTCTAGTACAGACAGGATTTCATCATGTTGGCCAGGCTGGTCTCAAACTCCTCACCTTGTGATCCACCCACCTTGGCCTCCAAAGGTGCTGGGATTACACAGGCATGAGCCACTGCTCCTGGCAAGAGATTCTTTTTTATTAGGTGGGCATTATTTGTGATCTTTTCTATTGAAAAGTAAAAACATTAGAATGTAAGATGCATAATGAAAATGTAAGTGGAGAGGTTCTTTGGGGTTAACTTATAATATTGAGTGGTGCATGAGGTTGGTGTTCAGAGTAATATTCTGCATTATGAAAAAACATTTAATTTTATTTAAAATTTAGTTTATCATACTAATTGTACTTTTATATAAGATGCAGTACATTTTTAAAATTTTAGATTGTGTGAAGTTAATAGTTTAACATTTTTAACATGTTAAATACTATTGTGCATTCAATGAAGCATTATTATACCACAAACTTTACCCTGTTCCACCTTACTGAAGGGTATAGGTAAAAGATGGTAACGATATACTATTTAGTAACATAATGGATTAACATCTCTAGTAATTTTTTTTGCCAGTGGCTTTAAACCGCAAATAAGTTAAAGAATATTGTTTCTGTAGGTTAAATTTTTATTTTGTTTTTAATCATTTAAATTTAATTTTGGTGGGTACATAATATGAGTATATATTTATGCACTTATATGGCATATTTTAGTACAGGAATACAATATATAATAGTAGCATCAGGGTTAAGTGAGGCATCCTTCACCCATAGCATTTCTCCTTTGTTTTACAAACAATCCAAACCTACACTTTTTAAAAATTTTTTGTTGTTGTTGTTCTTGTTGTTGTTGAGACGGAGTCTCGCTCTGTCGCCCAGGCTGGAGTGTGCAATCTCGGCTCACTGCAAGCTCCACTTCCCGGGTTCACGCCATTTTCCTGCCTCAGCCTCCCAAGCAGCTAGGACTACAGGCGCCCACCACCATGCCCGGCTAATTTTTTGTATTTTTAGTAGAGATGGGGTTTCACCATGTTAGCCAGGATGGTCTCAATCTCCTGACCTCGTGATCTGGTCTCGATCTCCTGACCTCATGATCTGCCTGCCTTGACCTCCCAAAGTGCTGGGATTACAGGCATGAGCCACCGTGCCCGGCCACTTTTTATAAATTTTAAAATGTACAATTGTTATTTACTATAGAGTTATTTTTATGGTCATAATACAAATTATATATGAGTATAAATAAAATTCATTTCTAAACTATTAATATTTTTTCCAAATTGTTATATATTTTTCTTTGAACATGTGGCCTGTCTGCCTGCAAACATGCAGACTTTTTGATTCACATAGAGTTAAATATGTATTAGTCTAAAGACAAACTTTAGGTGTAAGAAAATTATGGAATAAGTGTGTGTGTGTGAGTATGAGTTTGTACCTATTTTCAGAAAAGAACAATATGGGAATAAAAATCATTTTAATAAGGTGGCTACTATAAAACTAAAAACCTTAAAAAATGCTGAAAGCAAATGTATACTTTGTGCTTTGTATTGAATTTATTACTGTACAATCCATGACTTACAGTTCTGAACCTTTTCATGCAAATTCTCTGTATATACTTGCCTGGTACTCATGCTAGACCCATACTTTTTTTGTTTCTTACATTTTTTTTGTTTTATGGTTTAGGAAGTATTCATTATATGAGCTGGTCTGTGATTATAAGAATTTTTATGAAATTTAGTGCACACAAAATAATTTTTAGATGTAATTCCAAAAGTAGTGTATTAAGTTACATTTTATTTAGTGAGAGCACTCCATTTTGTTCTTTTAAGGGGAGAACAATATATAAGTTTTCTTTTCTTTAGTGATTGTTCCTTTCACTTTTTATAATTGACATAAGTATATTTATTTATTGAGTCAATTTGTTCAGGTAAGTACTGGGGGGCTTCATAAGTCATGAGGATGTTTTTATATATAAATGTAGCAAACATACATTACAGTTCTTACTGTGTAATCGATGCTCCATAATAATTCACAAATATTCCTGCTGGAGTTAGTTTGTAATTTCAAGTCAGAAATGAAAGATATCAGTGGTGAAGAAATAAGATTGATTCTTCATATGGAGTGGACATTTTTTCCAGACTATAAAACTGAATCTTGCTGAATTTAAAGAGAAATTCTGGCCGAGGCAGATGGATCACCTGAGGTTAGGAGTTTCAGACCAGCCTGGTGAAACCCGGTCTCTACTAATAAACTACAAAAATTAGCTGATTGTGGTGGCATCCACCTGTAGCCCAGCTACTCAGGAGGCTGAGGCAGAAGAATTGCTTGAACCCAGGAGGCGAAGATTGTGGTGAGCCGAGATTGTGCCATTGCACTACAGCCTGGGTGACAGAATGAGACTCATAAAAAAAAAAATAAATTCTGCTTCTTTTATTTTCTACTTCTCTTCAGATTTGTTTCTCGTATGTATTTTCCAACTATGTATGCATCACAGCCCTTCTTTTTCTGAGTTATAGCTACAGTTTTCTGACTGTTCTCTTCACGCCATTTCATTTCGCCTGGTATTTTGTAGATTTTGATGACAAAATTCTATTTTTAGTGCACTTAAAAATGGATTTTAACTGGTGAGTTCGCTTATCAATATAACATTCAGATTAGTTAATTAAGATAAAAGCCAGGTGTGGTGGCTCACGCCTCTAATCCCAGCACTTTGAGAGGCCGAGGCAAGTGGATCACTTGAGCTCAGGAGTTCGAGACCAGCCTGACCAACATGGTGAAACCCCGTGTCTACTACAAATACAAAATTAGCCACATGTTGTGGCGCATGCCTGTAATCCCAGCTACTCGGGAGGCTGATGCAGGAGAATCGCTTGAACCCAGGAGGCAGAGGTTGCAGTGAGCCGAAATTGCGCCATTGCACTCCAGCCTGGACAAGAGCAAAACTCTGTCTCAAAAAAAAAAAAAAAAAAAGATTAAAGGCGCACACTGTCCACAGGCAAGAGGATTAAATTAGCATTGCATTTCTTTGTTTTTAAAAGAAAAATCTTATTAGATTCTTATACAAAGTGTGGCAAATATAAAACTTGCTTGAAAATATGGAAATTAAATTTTTAAGAGAGTTAATAGTAAACGAATTTAATTTTCTTTTTTTATTTTTACTTTTTATTTTTTAGAGACAGAGTCTTGCTCTGTCTCCCAGGCTAGAGTACAGTGGTGTGATCTTGGCTCACTGCAAGCTCCGCCTTCCGGGTTCACGCCATTCTCCCGCCTCAGCCTCCCGAGTAGCTGGGACTACAGGCGCCCGCTACCGCACCCGTCTAATTTTTTTGTATTTTTAGTAGAGACGGGATTTCACCATGTTAGCCAGGATGGTCTCAATCTCCTGACCTCGTGATCCGCCCGCCTCGACCTCCCAAAGTGGTGGGATTACAGGCATGAGCCACAGTGCCCGGCCACGAATTTAATTTTCTATGATATAATTACAGCACAATTTACATTTCCGTGCAGAATCTTTTAAGTGTGGTGGTAAAGATTGCAAAATAATAAAATGACCTCTGAATTTAAAATTTAGAAAAATATGTCTTTTCTATATTGATTTTACAATTTGGAGAAATTTCTCTTATTTTTTATATTTTTTCTTTTAGTGGGAGAAGTTTAGTCTACGGTTTTTATTTTTAGTCACCAAGCTGTAGCCAACTCCTGGGTCATTTTCTCTGAAAAACATTTGGAGATCATGACAAGTTTTGGATTAAAACATTCTGTTATTTTGCATGCAAACTAGTTTACTGTGTTCACAGACTGGCCAGTCATGGGACCATAAGCAACACCTGCCCCTTTAGTGGCTTTCATACCATTACCACCAGTACCAGAAACTCCAGGTGGCCCAAGCTTAAAGTAAAAATCCTAAAGTACATTGGCTTCTCCCATGCAATGTGCTGGGTCCAAACCATGCTGTTAAATATCAGAGTTCCTATGGTTATGACTGACAAATGACAATAATAGCCCCAAAATACATATTTTTGATACTATTTAGCCAAGATTACCACAAAGATACAGTATTTGACACATTCTTATTCTATAACATTTTGAAAATATTTTCTCTTGACAGATAAAAATGTGTACTTTTTCTGTAGAACATAATATTTTGAACATGCTGTTAAATATCAGAGTTCCTATGATTATGACTAAAAAATTAAATGACAATAGTCCCCAAACTATGTATTTTCATACTATTTAGCCAAAGTAATCACAAAGACACAGTATTTGACACATTGTTATTCTTTTATGTCTTAAAAATATTTTCTTTCAACTTGAGAAAATGTGTGCTTTTTCTGTAGAACATATTTTGAAGTATATATACATTGTTATTATTTCTAGGTAATTAATACCTCACATAGTTAACATTTTTGTGGTGAGACCACGTCTTATCATTTTTCAAAAATCCAAATACATTATTATGAACTATAGTCACCATGTTGTACAATAAATCTCTTGAACTTATTTCTCCTATTTGACTATAATTACTTATTATTTGACAGACTTTCCAAACCCCCATTTCTTCTAAATACCTTGGCATCTGATGGTCACCATTTTACTCTATACATCAATGGGATTAAGATTTTTGGAATCCATGTATAGGTGAAATCATGAAATATTAATCTTTCTGTGCCTGGCCTATCCCAACTAATATAATGTCCTCCAGCTTAATCTATGTAATTTAAAATAATATAATTTTTTTCTTTTTTTTTTTTTTTTTTAAGGCCAGGTGTGGTGTCTTACACCTGTAATCCCAGCACTGTGGGAAGCCAGGGCAGGTGGATTGCTTGAGCCCAGGAGTTTGAGACCAGCCTGGTCAACATGGAAAATCCCCGTCTCTACAAAAAAAAAAAAAAAATCTCAGCTGGGCATGGGCATGGTAGTGCATGCCTGTAATCCCAGCTACTCCAGAGGCTGAGGCATGAGAATCCCTTGAGCCAGGGATGCAGAGGTTGCAGTGAACTGAGATTGTGCCACTGCATCCAGCCTGGGTAACAGAGTGAGACTCCGTCTCAAGAGAAAAGGAATTTTCTTATTTTAAAAATAATATTCTGTTGTGTATATCTACCACATTGTCTTCATTTACTCATTAGATGTTAAACTGTTTATTCTGTATTTTGGCTATTGTGAAAAGTGCTACAAACAGAATTGCAAATGTTTCTTCATTCTGATTTTATTTGTTTTGGATATATATCCAGTAGTGCAATTGCTGTTATGACATGGTAGTTTAAGTTTTTTGAGAAATCTCTATTTTGTTTTTCATAATGGCTGTCTTCATTTACATTCCAAACCAACAGTGTGCAAGCCTTCCCTTTTCTTCACATCTTTACCAACGCTTTTTCTTTTTAATAAGAGTCATTCTAACAGGAACGAGTTGATATCTCCTAGTTTTGTTTTTTCTTTTTTGGCTTGCCTTTTTGTGATAATTGACATTGAGCATTTTTAAATATATCAGTTGGCCATTATGTATGTATTTTCTTGAAAAATACTTATTTCAGCTACTTATTTTTAATAGTTACTTATTTTTGTTGTATTGTCATTTGAGTTTTGTATATATTTTTGATATTAACCCCTTGTCACATGTATAATTTGCAAATATTTTCTCCCTTTTTTTAGTTGTCACATTCTGTTCATTGTATCAGATTCTGTGCAGCAGCTTTTTAATTTGAAGTGATCTGACTGACTTGTTCTTCCTTTTGTGTCCTGGGATATTTAGGTTAAATCAAAAAACTTGCTGCCCAGACCAATGTTATGGGGCTTTCACTCTATTTTTTGGTAGTAGTAGTTTAAGAGTTTTAGGCCTTACATTTAAGTGGCTAATTTATTTTGAGTTTATTTTTACATATGGTGTGAGATGAGGGTCTCACTTTTTTTTCTCTGCATGTGGACATAAAGTTTTCTAAACATCATTTATTGAAGATACTGTTATTTCCCTTAAAAAAAAAAGTCACCTGTATTTAAAATCAGTTAGCTGTAAATACACTGATATATTTCTGCTCTCTTTTTCTTCTGCTCCATTGGCCTATATCTCTGTTTTTATTCAAGTGACATACTGTTTTGGTTACCACAGTTTTGTAGTGTATTTCAAAGTCAGGGTGATACCTTCTTTTGTCTTGATTGCTTTGGCTATTTAGGGTGTTTTGTGGTAACATATGAATTTTAGATATGCTTTTTAAAAATGTCTATGAAGTATGTCACTGGTATTTTGATAGAGGTTGCATTATATCTGCAGATCATTTTGTGTAATACAAATATTTAACTATTAAAAATGCCAGTTCATGAATGAGTAATATTATTCCATTTATGTGTTACTTAATTTGTATAATGTTCTTTAGAGTAGAATGTAAGGTGTTTCAACTTTTTGGTTAAATTTACTTCAAACTATAGTTAGGTAGATGGAATTTTTTTGAATTTCATTTTGAGATAGTTACTAATGTATAGAAATGCTATGACTTTTTGATGATGTTTTTGTATTTTGAAAGTTTAATAAATTTTGTTTGTTTATTTTTTGTTGTTGTTGTTGTTTCAAATGGAGTCTCAGTCTATCGCCCAGGCTGGAATACAGTGGTGCATTTTACTTTGCAAGCTTTTACACCATCTCACTGGAGTCAGTTTGTTGTTGTTTTTGTTGCTTGTCTTTTGGGATACTGTAGCAGGATTGATAAGAAATCAGAGAGACTGATGGGGTTGAGGAGGATATTTATTATTTAGGTGCACTGGCCTAGTCGGATTAACATCCAAAGGACTGAGCCCTGAACAAAGAGTTAAGTTACCCTTTAAGCATTTTGTGGGATGGCAGGGGGAGATCTGTGCAGGGAGAAGCATATTACAGAAGCGAGAAACAAAGACAGTTATTCAATTAATTGTGACATGCATTACATAATTTTTTACTTTCCAAGGAAAAACATGTTTTACAACTTGAGTTTATCTATCTAGTGACCTTGCAGCTGCACAGCTAGAGAAACAGGGTCTTCAAAATGCCTGGGAAAGGAGGAGAGATAAGCCTTGCTAGCCACAGAAAAACAGGCCGTTAATTTTTAAAGGACTCCAGCTCTTTCTCTTTCTCAGGAGGAATTGGGTTTTCTTACATACAACTGAGTTTCTGCTTACACATTCTTTAATTTCTTTTAATTTCTGTTCCAATACTATTTTTTTGGTCACAAATTTTTCACTTTTTTTTTTTCTTTCTTTGAAACGGATCTCACTCTGTTGCCCAGGCTGGAGTGCAGTGGCGTGATCTTGGCTCACTGCAAGCTCTGCCTCCCAGATTCACACCATTCTCCTGCCTCAGCCTCCTGAGTAGCTGGGACTGCAGGTGCCCACCACCACACCTGGCTAATTTTTTGTATTTTTAGTAGAGACTGGGTTTCACTGTGTTAGCCAGGATGGTCTCAATCTCCTGACCTCGTGCTCTGCCTGCCTTGGCCTCCCGAAGTGCTGGGATTACAGGCATGAGCCACCGCATCTGGCCCAATTTTTTTACTCTTTTTCTTTTACTATATTTATTTCACTATTCTTCTGCCCCCTTACATAATTTCTATCCAGGGGGTAGAAATTATGTCTGTGTTTTCCCCTCATTATCAGCATCTGATTGGCTGACCAGCAATTTGTCTCCAAGAAATGAAAGCTGGGTTAGGTGAAGGCAATTTTAACAGCTTTTCAAAGTTAGAGTACACCAGAAGATTCCTCTTAGCCCCAGGGTATCCACTTGCTCCCTAGAAAGGATACACTCCATACTTCAGGTCATCCTAAGGGAGAAAATAAACCAGAAGCTGATATCCACCGGACATTCAAGCTGACATAAGCATGGCAGATATCTCGGTTTATCCCCAGATAGTACTAAGCCCAGGACCAGCAAAAAACTAAAGGGTGGCTGAGGACACATCACCCCATAAATTTTCCAAAGCAGAACTTTGACCCAAAAACATTCTGATAAGATCTCTGTGCCTAGAGAAGATAAAACGAAAAGAGACACAGAGATTTTCTACAATACAACATCGGGGGATTATTATTTGCTTTCTCCTCATGGGAAATATTTACAAACAGTTAATACAACTTCTTAAAAGCACCATTTAATGTTTTACCAAAAAATAATTAATTAAAATATGATATAAAAAAAGTACACTAAAAGACAAAGAAGTGATAATGTGAATTAGGAAGGAAAAGTTGGCATTTAGGAATGCCAGAAGAACCTGGAAATTTAGTATCTTACTGCAAGCCACAGTGAGGCTGGAGATATGGGGCATGGGAGTTTAGACTTAAAAACCCTGCTTGGGACACAGGTGAAAAATGCAGCAGAAAATCAGTTCCCCGTGCTGTGTGAAAATAATTAAGTGGCAGGCAATTAGACTGAGGTGTCTCTAGTCCCTGGGTTCATACTTTAAAAAAAACTAACTCAGGTGCATTATTTTTAATTACTACATTCAGAGAAACAAAATTCAGGCTTCACCAACTATAAACTGCCCATTAAGCTCTGATTACATAACCAGGAAATTTTCACCTTTAATCTATTGAAGTAGGAACTTAAGAAAATAACAGAATAATAGCATAAGTAATAATAGTAAAGATTATAGTAATAGAGAAATAACAATAGCTCATAGAATGAATTGCTGTATTAACCAAGGCTAACAAGAATTTAAGTAGCCCCCCTGAAGTTAGAAGAGAATATTAACTGTCTGTCCCAGGAAACATTAACCATATCTACCTTCCACATATTTTGTAGGCTCTGTAAACTCTTGTTTCTTTCTTCCTTGCACAGCTGCAAGGTCACAAGACAGATAAGCATAAGCTGCAAACTAAGTTTTCCCAGAGATGTAAGACATGTTGCAAAAGTGTCACAGCAGCCTTTGTTCTCATTTCTGTAAGCCTGCTTCCTGCTTCACACAGTGCCCACCTCAAAATGCTTAAAGGGGACTCATTTTCTTTGCTCTGGGCTCAGAGTTTCAGGACATGTGTCCGCTGTGCCAGTGTACACCTTAAATAAACACTTTCCTTCACTCCATTTCGTCTCTCCAGTTCCTTACTTTCCCACAACAGTACAAATTAAGAAACCACGTAATTGTACCTAACCAATTACTAAATTTGGTTTTCTTCATTATGCATTTTACAAAATGTCAAGCGCATCCAGGTGAAGAGACCACCAAACAGGATTTGTGTGAGCAACAAGCCTGTTTATTCACTTGGGTGCAAGTGGGCTAAGTCCAGAAAGAGAGTCAGCAAAGGGAGATAGGAGCGGGGCAGCTTTATCGGGAACAAGTCATAATGGTAGAATGTCATAAGGTGGGTTAACTAGTTAAGGCAGGAACTGGCTGTTCCACTTCTTTGTGATTTTTTGGCTGCTCCAGACTTCTTGGCTCCTGCAGGCCATCTGGACATATATGTGCAGGTCACAGGGGTTATAATGGCTGAGCTTCAGCTGAGGCCTGACATTCCTGTCTTTTTATTTTTAAAATATAAAGTTATAAGAAAAGATAAAGAAAATATAACTTTTTAGTGAGGGTCATTGGGGTAGGGGTGATATTTCTCAGGACTGCTTCAAGCATGACCAGGGACTGCGTGGACACCTTAAAGAAAATTTTATTATGAGTTAGTCCAGTAAGTTTCAGGTCTAGGGTGCATTTTTTATGTGGCTAAAGAGGTGCCAGTTAGCATATTTTTTAGCTTGGAACTGCCCTAAGAAAATAAGTTCTCTAAAAACAGTAATCAGGCATATTAGCTTTAATGTAGGTGGCGATGAGTTTTTAGACCAAGGAAGGAATAATGTTTTATGTACCAAAGCTTTTTGTCCCCATTTTCCATCATATGAATAGGATTCCCTGTTGTTAAGCCAACGACCTATTATATTACTCTTTTTCCATAGGTGTGGGTGGCAATGTGAATGGAGAAGTTCAATAGTTGTGATTGCAAATCCTATGCAGGAGAGATAATAAGTAAAATAATCTTTGTTTCCTGGATAAAGCTGAGGAAGAATAAATTTTTCATGAGCTAAGAGCCACTTGCCCTGAGTTGGAAAGACTGGTAGAGCAGGTTTTCAGAAGAGGAGTAGGTGGGGGTGATAGAGTAGAAAGAAAAATATTGGCCTTTTGGAGTGAGGGCTGGAATATTTGTGGGTGTGGAGGCATTTGCTATTTCTTTTGCTGTTCTGTCAGCATAGGCATTTCCTTTAGCAATAAGATGAGTTGGTTTCTGGTGTCCTTTACAATGAATGACCCCAGCCTTGGCTGGCAGGAGAGCAGCCTTAAGGAGAGCCTTTATTAGAGAGGCATTGATAATGTAAGAGCCTTGTGTGGTGAGGAAACCTCTTTCAGCCCACATAACAGCATGGTGGTGCAGGATATGGAAGGCATATTTAGAGCCAGTATAAATATTGACGTACAGTACCTTTGCAAGAGTGAGGGCCCAAGTTAAGGCAATGAGTTCGGCTCGCTGAGAGCTAGTGGAGTGGTGCAGAGCAGTAGCCTCAATGAAAGATGTGGAAGAGACTATAGCATAGCCTGCCTTTGCTGGTGAGTAGCAATTAGGCCAAGACATTTTAACAAAATTATCCACTACCCTGACTATTCCTGGAATACAGCCGCATCTCATTGCTGCCCTTCTTCCCAACTCAAAGCCTGTTTTGCTTCCTCCCCTTGTATCTCTCCACCTTAATCCGCAAGTATGGGATACCTCTACTCCCTCTTTGGCAACTGACCATGCACCCCTTACCATTCCATTAAAACCTAATCACCCTTACCCCACTCAATGCCAGTATCCCATCCCACAGCAGGCTTTAAAGGGACTGAAGCCTGTTATCACTCGCCTGCTACAGCATGGGCTTCTAAAGCCTACAAATTCTCCTTACAATTCCTCTGAATTACAATTCAGAGGACTATGCTGAGAACTGCCATCAATAAACCAAGTGTGATCAGGGTGAGGAATAGGAAAGATGGAAATATGGGGAAATGGAGTGAATGCCAGGTGGATCACAGACATACAGTCATGGGGGTCAGGTGTGGTATCAGGAATAATGTGGAAGGCTGGACTGAAGTCCGGGCCAGGAACAAGGGTAATTATGGGAGACTCAGTAAAGAGCAAGTATAGCCAAAGAAGCCAGGGGGCAGAAAGTATATGCATCAGGTGTGAGGAAGAAAACAAATTTTGAATGTTATGAGACTTGTGGAGAGTGAGTTGAGCATAGTTTGTGATTTTGAGGACATCTTGAGCATAGTTAGTGATTTTGAGGACCTCTAAAAGTATTAGAGTGGTGGCAGTCACTGCACACAGACATGAGGGCCAGGCTAAAACAGTAAGGTCAAATTGTTTGGACAAAAAGGCTACAGGGCATGGTCCCGGTCCTTGTGTAAGAATTCCGACCGCACAGCCCTGCACTTTGGCTGTGTATAGTGAAAAGGGTTGGGATGAGTCAGGGAGAGCCGGTGTGGGAGCAGTTTTTAGAGCTGTTTTTAAGGAATGGAAAGAAGAGTGGGGAGAGGATTTGGGATCTATGGGGTCGGCTGTGTTTTCCTTTGTGAGTTTATATAATGGTTTTGTTAGGATGGCAAACCCAGGTATCCAAAGGCGAAAGTATCCAACCATGCCTACAAAGGAAAGGAGTTGATGCTTTGGTGGTGGGGATAGGGGTCTGTGAGATTAACTGAACACAGTCTGTATGAAGAGTGCATGTATGTTGACAAAGGACTATGCTGAGATATGTAACACTAGGGGAAGAAATTTGAGGCTTAGAGGGGGATAGTTGGTACCCCTTTGAGTAGAGATGTTAAAGAAGTAGGATACTGTTCTGATGGGAAGCTTGGTAAGAGGAGCTGCAAAGAAGAAGGTCGTCAACATATTGAATGAGGTGAGAAGCAGAGGGGTGGAAAGAAACTCAATCATGAGAAAAGGCTTGGCTGAAGTAATGAGGGCTGTCCCTGAAGCCTTGTGGCAGTACAGCCCAGGTAAGCTGCTGGGACTGATGGGTGTCAGGGTCAGTCCAGGTAAAAGCAAAGAGAGGCTGGGATGAGGGGTGCAAGGGAATAGTGAAAAGGGCATCTTTAAGATCAAGAATGGAATAGTGAGCTGTGGAGGAAGGTATTGAGGACAAAAGAGTGTACGGGTTGGGCACCACAGGGTGGATAGGCAAAACAATTTGATAAGGCACAGATCCTGAACTAACCTGTAAGACTCGTCCGGTTTTTGGACAAGTAAAATGGGGGAATTGTAAGGAGAATTTGTAGGCTTTAGAAGCCCATGCTGTAGCAGGCGAGTGATAACAGGCTTCAGTCCCTTTAAAGCCTGCTGTGGGATGAGATACTGGCATTGAGTGGGGTAAGGGTGATTAGGTTTTAATGGAATGGTAAGGGGTGCATGGTCAGTTGCCAAAGAGGGAGTAGAGGTATCCCATACTTGCGGATTAAGGTGGAGAGTTACAAGGGGAGGATGCAAAACAGGCTTTGGGTTGGGAAGAAGGGCAGCAATGAGATGCGGCTGTATTCCAGGAATAGTCAGGGTAGTGGATAATTTTGTTAAAATGTCTTGGCCTAATAAGGGAACTGCGCAGGTGGGGATAACTAAAAAAGAGTACATAAAAGAATGTTGTCCAAGTTGGCACTAGAGTGGGGGAGTTTAAAGAGGTTTAGAAGCCTGGCTGTCAATACCCACAATAGTTACGGAGGCAAGGGAAACAGGCCCTTGAAAAGAACGTAATGTGGAGGGGGTAGCCTCCATATTGACTAAGAAGGGGACGGACTTACCCTCCACTGTAAGAGTTACCTGAAGCTTGGCATCCATGATGGTCCGGGGGGCTTCTGAGACGATTGAGCAGCATCAGTCTTGCCAAGGAGATCTGGGAAGGAGTCAGCCAGAGAGCTTTGAGCCAGAGCTCCAGGGGCCTTAGAAGTGGCTGCAATATTAGTTGGACAGTTTGATTTCCAGTGGGGTCCTGCTCAGATGGGACATGGCTTAGGAGGAATCCTGGGCTGTGGGCAGTCCTTGGCCCAGTAGCCAGTTTTGCGGCACTTGAAGCAAGGTCCATGAGGAGGTTTTAAAGGAGTGCCCAGAGGCTGCGGTTTGGTTGTTCTGCAGTTTTTGTGTGCCAAAGGCATGGCTGGAGTTTGTCTTACAGCGGAGGCAAGCAGTTGCAGCTCTGAAAGATGTTGCCACTTGGCTGCCTCTTGTCTATTGTTGAACACCTTGCAGGCAAGATTGATTAATTCTTGTTGTGGGGTTTGAGGGCCAGATTCCAATTTTTGAAGCTTTCTTTAATGTCAGGAGGTGACTGGGTGATAAAATGCATATTGAGAATAAGATGGCCTTCTGGCCCTTCACGGTTTAGGGGCTGTAAAGTGTCTAAGGGTGGCCGCCAAATGGCCCATGAACTGGGCTGGGTTTTTATATTTGATGAAAAAGAGCCTAAATGCTAACTGATTTGAGAGAGGTTGGATAAAGAAAAAAGGAGAATTAACCTTGACTATGCCTTCAGCTCCAGTCATCTCTCTATGAGGAAATTGTTGGGCAGGTTGGGGAGGGCTAGTCACAGAATGAAACTGTAAGCTGGACCAGGTGTGAGGGGGGAGGTGATAGAAGGATTATAGGGTGGGGGAGTGGAGGCTGAGGAAGAATTGCTTGGCAGTGGAGGAGCAGCCTGGGGAGGAGGGAAAAGTTCAGATGGGTCCATAGGAAAGGAGGACTTAAAGGACCCAGAGCTTGGGGTGGAGACTGAAGGTACAGACAGGAGAGAAAGAAGAAAGATTTGAGATGAGTCATGCTGGGAGCAGAGACTAGGGAGGGACCAATGTGTAAAGAATGCCTGGACGTCAGGCACTTCAGACCATTTGCCCATTTTTTGACAAAACTTATCTAGGTCTTGTAGAATGGAGAAATCAAAAGTGTCATTTTCTGGCCATTTAGAGCCATTTTCAAGTTTGTACTGGGGCCAAGCAGTGTTGCAGAAGAAAATAAGATGCTAGGTTTTAGGTCAGGTAAGAGTTGAAGAGGTTTTGAGTTTTTTAGAATGCAGGTTAAGAGGGAAGAAGGAGGAATGGAGGGCAGAAGGTTGCCCATAGTAAAAAGGTAAGTTTAGAGAAAAGAGAGGGTAGAGACACAGAGAGAGAGGGGTGGTACTTGCCACCAAGGTGAAGGATCAAGGCAGGCATCCCCGCGGTGATCAAACACATCTAGAATGTGGGTGAATAATCAGGCAGGCATCCCCACAGTGATTAGACACCAAGGGAAGACTGTCTTCCCGAGTCTGTGACCAGCACTGGAGTTTTGGGTCCATGGATAAAACGCGTCTCCTCTGTCTCTACCAGAAAGGGAAAGGAAATGAAGGGAAAGGAGAGATTGAAGGGTGGTGCCAAAATTGAAAGGAGAAAGAGGTTGAGGGATAGCAAGAGAGGTTGGAGAAGAGAATAAAAAGATGCTGCTTACCCGATTTAAAATTGGTGAGATGTTTTTTGGGCCAGTCTGAGGACCCGAGTTTGTAGGTGGATTTTCTCATGGAGCAAAAGGCAGGAGGACAGGAGATTCATTTCCCAAGGGAGGTCCCCTGATCCGAGTCATGGCACCAAATGTCAAGCACATCCAGGTGAAGAGACCACCAAACAGGCTTTGTGTGAGCAACAAGGCTGTTTATTCACTTGGGTGCAAGTGGGCTGAGTCCGAAAAGAGAGTCAGCAAAGGGAGATAGGAGAGGGGCAGCTCTATAGGGCTTGGGTAGACAGTGGAAAGTTACAGTTAAAAGTAGTTATCTATTGTTAGCAGGGGAGGGGGTCACAAGGTGCATGGTGGAGAGATCATGGGACTCATTGTCCAGAAGAATCACAGGACAATCACAGGGTCGATTGATCAGTTAAGGTGGGGCAAGGAAAAGTCACAATGGTTGAATGTTGTAATGTTGGTTAATCAGTTAAGGCAGGAACTGGCTGTTTCACTTTCTTTGTGGTTTTTTGGCTGCTACAGACTTCTTGGCTCCTGCAGGCCATGTGGACACATATATGCAGGTCACAGGGGTTATAATGGCTGAGCTTCGGCTCAGATGCCTAACACAAAACACTTTCCTTCAAGCCTCTCCCATAGACTACAAACTACAAACCATAGCTGTGTGCTCTACAATTCTAAAACCACTCTTTAATTAAATTCTTAAATATTTTGGAGTGACTCCCATAAAGTTTTAATAGGCAAAAGTAGGAGCTGGGAACCCCACAGAACAAAGTTCTTCCCATTCCTGGCACTCTCATCATTTCAAGGCTTCCGGGGGTCCCAGCGTCTTAGCTGTGGATCTATAGGGGAAGAAGACACAGAGCAATGAAGATGAGACCTGGAACTCAAGCTGCAGTGAGAGACAAAGGCCCCACCAAACCTGGAAGTCGCCCTGCTGGCTCCAGCTGCATGCCTGATTGGACAGTTCCCAGCCCAGAGTCACTGATTGGATAACTTTTGTTTTGTTTTGTTTTGTTTTGAGACGGAATCTCGCTCTGTCATTCAGGCTAGAGTGCAGTGGCATGATGGCTCACTGCAACCTCCGCTTCTCAGGTTCAAGCAATTCTTCTCCCTCAGCCTCCTGAGTAGCTGGGACTGCAGGCATGAGCCATGGCGTCCAGCCTGTATAACGTTTAAAACCCCACCCTCTCAGGCCCTGAGTGACAGAAGATATGATTAAATGATGGGCTGCAGCCCTCTCAGGCAGGGCTTCCTCCCTGAGGTGAGCTTGACCCACCCCAGAGGATATTTGCATTCAACCTTGCGTATAAGGTCATACGCATTTGTAAATAATATATCATATGGCGGCCAGGCACGGTGGCTCATGCCTGTAATCCCAGCACTTTGGGAGGTCAAGGTGGGTGGATCACGAGGTCAGGAGTTCAAGACCAGCCTGGCCAACATGGTGAAATCCCACCTCTACTAAAAATACAAAAATTAGCCTGGCATGGTGGGCAGCACCTGTGGCGCAGGTGGCACATGTGGGCTGCAGGAGCCAATCTGCTACTCTGGAGGCTGAGGTAGAGAATTGCCTGAACCCGGGAGGTGGAGGTTGCAGTGAGCAGAAATCATGCCACTGCACTCCAGCCTGGGCGACAGAGTGAGACTCCATTTCAAAAAAATATACATGGCTATACACAAACGAAAATAACATAATAACACATGTTTTAAAATTTCAGCTTTTTTTGGCCAAGCGTGGTGGCTCATGCTTGTAATCCAAACACTTTGGGAGGCTGAGGCAGGAGGATCATGAGGTCAGGAGTTCCAGCCCAGCCTGATCAACATGGTGAAACCCCGCCTCTACTAAAAAATTAACTTTGGGAGGCCAAGGCAGGTGAATCACCTGAGGTCGGGAGTTTGAGACCAGTCTGACCAACATGGAGAAACCCCATCTCTATTAAAAATACAAAATTAGCTGGGTGTGGTGGCACATGCCTGTAATCCCAGCTACTCGGGAGGCTGAGGCAGGAGAATTGCTTGAACCCCCGGGAGGTGGAGGTTGCAGTGAGTTGAGATTGTGCCATTGCACTATAGCCTGGGCAACAAGAGCAAAACTCCATCTCAAAATAAATTAGCCAGGTGTGGTGACGTGCACCTGTAATCCTAGCCACTCAGGAGGCTGAGCCAGAAGAATCACTTATACCTGGGAGGCAGAGGTTACAGTGAGCTGAGATCATGCCACTGTACTCCAGCCTGGGTGACGAAGTGGGACTCCATCTCCATGAAAAAATAAAAAAAAAAAAAATTCAGCTTTTTTACCTTCCTGGTTTACAGTCCTTTGAGTAGGCAGCCTGAGATTTTAAAAAGGAGGTAATCCTCTGAAATAGAATGTGAGACACATGTGAATTTTGAATTTTCTAGTAGCCAAACTTTAAAAAGAAACAAAGAACGGGTTGAATTGATTGTAAGAATGTAGTTAAGCCAATATATCCAAAATATCATTTTAATGTGTGAGGAATATGTAATTATTAATGAAGTATATAAATATTTGCAACTAAATTTTTGAAAATAACTGCATATTTTACCTTTCTAGCACATTGCAGTTCAGACCAAGCACATTCCAGGCACCCAGGAGCCACACATGGCAGCTCTGATGTCAGTGGTGTGAAGGGCCAGAGGGGAAGGAAGGGCCTCTCCCTACTAACATCTATCTTCAGTTCCGAGGTTGGAACAGATAGTGGCCATAGAAAGAGCTGAGGCCAGCAGGAATAAAATAACCACAGGTAAACCACTGCTGGCCACCTGTTGCCCACCTTCCTTTTAGAGATCAGGCAGTTAACAAAGGATGATGGGGCCACAGGAGAAAAAAACTCTACGTCTTCAGTTCTGTCCACACTCTTGAACTCCAATGTTTAGATATGGAGAAAATAGATTAAAGGCATTTATTTTGCTATTTGGCCTTGGCCCTAATTGTCTGGCTGTGGTTATCGGTTTTCTTGAGCGGTGACTGCACTCCTGTGCACTCCTGGAGTGACTGCACAGAACTTCAGGCGATCTGCCTGCCTCAGCCTCCTGAAGTGCTGGGATTACAGGTGTGAGCCACCACGCCCAGCCAAAATCTTCTACATATAAGTGTATGCCATGAGTGCACACAAGAGGCCTTTTTTAATTTCTGTCATTTGTAGAGCCATAAGAAAAAAACAGCGAACAAAGAGTGTATGATAGCAAAGATGTCTTGATTTTTGATCTTATAAAAAAAAAAGTCTATCTGGGCCAGGTGCGGTGGCTCATGCTTGTAATCCCAGCACTTTGGGAGGCCGAGGTGGGTGGATCACAAGGTCAGGAGTTCGAGACCAGCCTGGCCAATATGGTGAAACCCCGACTCTACTAAAAATACAAAAACTAGCTGGACATGGTGGCACACACCTGTAGTCCCAGCTACTCGGGAGGCTGAGGCAGAAGAATCGCTTGAACCCGGGAGGTGGAGGTTGCAGTGAGCCACCACCACACCACTGCACTCCAGCCTGGATGAGAGAGCAAGGCTCTGTCTCAAAAAAAAAAAAAAAAAGCTATCTATATCAATGTTGCCATCCACTTTTGAGAAGAAACTTTACTGGTTAGCTTTACCTTAAGATCTCCAATGGATATACAATTGCAAATGTTTGGAGGGGCCCTTCTGAGTCATGAGATTATTAACCCAAGGTTCAAGGTCCTGAAGTCTTGCTGCAGTGTGGATGGCAAGCAGACTCAATCTCTGGGTTATAGATTATAAAGAGTTTTACTGTCCTCAGTCAGTAGACCATTAAAAGCATTCTTTACCTGGTGAAAATATGCTTTGCCATAATGCACTGAAGTTTTGCTGCATTTAATCATATTAGACTTCAGTAGCAGAAGATACATGAGGTTCTATTATCTGGTGCATAAGACATCCAATGACTATTTTATAATAGTCAACACATTTTTTTCACTCTCAGTGAATCTGATTGTCATCAGTCTCAATTACAAAAACAATCCAGTCCATTTAGTTAGCTTTGCTTAACACTATTTTATCAGGGCTGGGTGCAGTGGCTCGCTCCTGTAATCTCAGCACTTTGGGAGGCTGAGGCAAGTGGATAACCTGAGGTCAGGAATTCAAGACCAGCCTGGTAAATATGGTGAAACCTCGTCTCTACTAAAAATACAAAAATTAGCCAGGCATGGTGGCAAGCGCCTGTAATCCCAGCCACTTGGGAGGCTGAGGCAGGATAATGGCTGAATCCGAGAGGCGGAGGTTGCAGTGAGTCGAGATGGCACCATTTGATTTATTTATACATAAATAGACTGTAACTTATTATTGTACCAACCACCGTGTTTTTACCAATAAAATAACATCAAGTGTTCAAGCCATGTTCAAATAAGGCAAATCCCAAGCTGTGGTCAATCTGGCTGTTTCTACACCTCATGTTTATTTTCTGTATGTCCCTTTGCTTTTTCTGCCATAAATCTGTTTTCATCATGTGGCTGTGCTGGAGTCCCTCTGACCCTGTTCTGGATTCACAGGCTGCCCAATTTGCAAATTATTCTATGCTCAAATAAACTCTGTTAAATATAATTTCTCTAAAGTTTTTTTCTTTTAGGCTGGGCACGGTGGCTCACACCTGTAATCCCAGCACTTTGGGAGGCCAAGGCGGGTAGATCACGAGATCAGGAGTTCAAGGCCAGCCTGGCCAACATGGTGAAACTCCATCTCTACGAAAAATACAAAAAAAATTAGCTGGGCATAGTGGCGCGCACCTGTAATCCCAGCTACTCGGGAGCCTGAAGCAGGAGAATTGCTGAACCCAGGAGGCAGAGGCTGCAGTGAGCAGAGATTAGGCCACTGCACTCCAGGATGGGCAAAAGAGCAAGACTTGGTCTCAAAAAAAAAAAAAAAGTTTCTTTCTCTTAAAAGTTTTCAAATTTTTTTATATGATGAAAAATAAATAATGTGTTGTTGGGCCTCGATTTCCTAAACTCATCCCTCAGCTATTTCCTTAAATTATTCTATGTCTTTTCAAAATGCTTCTTCAATTTCTTTTCTTTTTTTGAGACAGGGTCTCACTCTATCAACCAGTCTTGATTGCAGTGGTGTAACCAATCATGGCTCACTTCAGCCTTCACCTTCCAGGCTCAAGCAATCCTCCTGCCTCTGCCATCTAAGTAGCTGGGACTACAGGCATGCACCACCATGGCTGGCTAAATTTTATTTTATTTTATTTTTCATGGAAACAGCATCTTATTATGTTGCCCAGGCTGCACTGGAACTCCTGAGCTCACGTAATTCTCCCATCTCAGGCTACCAAAGTGCTAACAATACAGGTGTGAGCCAGCTAGTGCTTCTGCAATTTCTTGAGATGATTATTCCCAATGATAAACAGTACTGAGCACAAATCTGAAGGAATCTGGTTTCTTCTGTACAAGTGTCACTCTCCAGGATTTCAAGGGTCTAGGGCAGGGCAGCTACTTTGTAGTGTGATCTATGGAGGTACATGGGCTTTGGAGTCAGACAGAGTTAATCCTGAGTCTCAGCCCAGCCACTTAGTATCTGTGGGTCTTTGGACAATTTTCTTGATGTGAAAGAGTTCTATGAACCACATATGGAAAAGAGGTAGATTGGTACTAATTGCAAAATGGTGGCAATTTTTAATCTCTTCTGTATCCATGCCCATTGCCAGGTGCTTTTACAACTGTTTCCATCAAGATCCAGAATCTGTTTTCCAAACCCTAGATCTGGCTGGCCTTATTGGCTCAGAGTGGTAGAAACTTGTGAACATGACAGTGGGCTAGTTTGGGGCCCAGGCTCAAATGGTCTTGAATGCTTCTGTTTTTCTTTCAGAATGCTGCCATCTCCCTGAATAAAGCCATGTTAGCCAGCTGGAAAATAAGATACCATGGGAAGGAGAAGCAAGGTGCCCTGTTGACAGCCCCAGAACTAGAAGCTCACCCCCAGAAGCACAGCTGGCTAGTCAACAAGCAGCTGATGATACGTGTCTCAAAGAGCTCAGCTGAGACTAGAAGAACGGCCCCACTCAGTCTAGCCTAAATGGCTGACCATCTCAATTATGAACTAATAAGTTTTGGACGATTTGTTATGCTACAATAGCTAACTAATACATGCACCCCGTGCAGATAGGACACCAGGATTCTATGACAGGTTGATTACTAGTTACCTTCTAACAGTGGGCACCCTATAGGTACTGATTTTTTCCCCTGATTTAAAGTTGGGTGACTTGTAAGAGAATGTTGAGTAATGCAGAAATACACGTAGACATGTATGCATGTGATTGGTGCTTATACCCACACAGTCCCACACACCACAGGAGAAAACAGATAACTACGGCCTGACCATTAGGGCCAAGGCCAATAGCAAAATAAGTTTTGCCTTTAATCTGTTTTCTCCATATCTAAACATTTGAGGTCAAGAGTGTGGACAGATCTGAAGACACAGAGTTTTATTATCCTGTGGCCCCAACATTCTTTCTTCACTGTCTGATCTCTGGAAGAAAATGGGCAACAGGTGGCTATCAGTGGTCTCCTTGTGGTTATTTTGTTCTTGCTGCCCTCTGCTCTTTCTATGGCCACTATCTGTTCCACCCTCAGAACTGAAGGGAGATGTTGGTAGGGAGAGGCTTTTCCTTCACCTCTGGCAGAAAAGGTTTGCTGGGGCCCTTCACCTCCCGACATCAGAGCTGCACTTCAATGTGGAAGCTTTGGTCATGTGTGGCTCCTGAGTGCCTGGAATGTTCCTGGTCTGAACTGCGATGTGCTAGAAAGGTAAAATACAGAGTTAGTTTCAAAGATTTAGTTTCAAATATTTATATACTTTATTAATAATCACATATTTCTCACACATTAAAATGAAAATTTTTTGATATATTGGGTTAATTAAATTGTTACAATCAATTCAACCTGTTACTTTTTTTTTTTAAGTTTGGTTACTAGAAAATTTAAAATTTACATATGGCTCACATTTTATTTCAGAAAATTACCTCCGTTCTAAAATTTCAGACGGCCTGCTGAAAGACCAGAAGCCGGGAAGGTCATAAAATCCGAAATTTTAAAATAATTGTTATTATATTCTTTTCATTTGTGAATAGGCATACAGTATGTTATTTATAAATGCATGTGACTTTACACACAAGGTTAAATACAAATTCCCTCTGGGGTGGGCCTGGCTAAGCTCTGGGAGGAAGCCCTGCCTGAAAAGACGGCAGCCTAAGCTGTCACTCTTTCTTCACTCAGCCCAGCATCTGTTCGCATCTTCTGTCACTCAGGGCCTGAGAAGGTGGGGTTTTAAACGTTATCCAATCAGCGACGCTAGGCTGGGAACCGTCCAATCAGGCACGCAGCTGGAGCGGACAGGACGGCTTCCGGGATGTGGCGGGGCCTTTGTCTCTCGCCGCAGCCTGAGCTCCAGGTCTCCCCTTCGCTGCTCTGTGTCCTCTGCTCCTAGAGGCCCAACATCTGTGGCCCTGTGACCTGCAGGTATTGGGAGACCCACAGCTAAGACACCGGGACCCCCTGAAAGCCTAGAAATGGTGAGAGTGCCGGGTCGGACATCCCGAGAGAGGGGAAGGGCTGGTTGTAACCGGTGGGAAGTGGCTGTGGCGGGACTCAGGCCTCCCCGCAGTCAGCTCCACAGTCTGCGCCCCGAGTTCTCCTTGCCCAGCTCGGCCTCAGTCCCCTCCAGCCATAAGATGGCGGCTGTGCTGACAGTCGGGACCCCAGGCGTCCTGTCTCTTCACTGCACAGTGACTGTGCCCTGGCCTGGAGCCCTCTCTGGGCAGCTCTGCACCCGCAGCACCGCGTCTTTCCCAGATTGTGCAGGGACCACGGGAGGGTCTTCAGGGGACAGTTCTGACTCGGGGTGCGGGTTCATGAATGGGAAGAGCTTTGTTCCGTGGAGTTCCCAGTTCCTCTTGTCTTCTGTTAAAAATATATGGGAGTCACTATAAAAACATTAAATAATTTAATCAAAGAGTGATTCAAAAATTGTGGAGCACCCAGCTGTGGTTTGTAATTTGTGCTTCATGGGCGGGACTTGAAGAAAAGACTTTTATAAAAAGCATGATGAAGAAAACCAAATTCAGTAATTGGTTAGGTAGAGTTACATAGTTTCTTAATTTGTACAATAAAGGTGAAAATTTCCTGATTATGTAATCAGAGGTTAATTGGCAGTTTATAGTTGGTTAGGGCTGAGTTTTGTTTCTCTCAATGTAGTAATTTACTGAAAAATGTACGTCAGTTAGATTTTTTTAAAGTAGGAACCCAGGGACTAAAGACACCTCCGTCTAATTGCCTGCCTTTTAATTATTTTCACAGTCCATGGGGAGCTGATTTTCCGCTGCATTTTTCACCTGTGTCCCAAGCAGGGTCTTAAGTCTAACCCCCATTCCTCATTTCTCCAGCCTCCCTCTGGCTTGCAGTAAGATACTAAATTTCCAGTTCCTTCTGGTGTTTCCAAATGCCAGCTTTTCCTCCCTAATTCACGTTATCGCCTATTTGTCTTTTAGTGTACTTTTCTATACCGTATTTTAATTATTTTTTGACAAAGCATTAAATGACGCTTTTCAAAAAGTTTTTTAAAAGATTTTTTAAAAAAAATATCTGTAAATATTTCCCATGAGAAGAAAGCAAAGAATAATCCCCTGATACTGTATTGTTAAAACTCTCTGTGCCTTTTCTCCTTGTATCTTCTCTAGGCACAGAGATCTTGTCAGAATGTTTTTCGGTCAAGGTTTTCCTTTGGAAACTTTATGGGGTGATGTGTCCTCAGCCACCTTTTAGTTTTTTTCTGGTCGTGGGTTTCAGTGCTGTCTGGGGATGAACTAAGATATCCACCGTGGTTATGTCAGCTAAAGTGCCTAGTGAATATCAGCTTCTGGTTTATTTTCTTCCATAGGACGACTTGAAATATGGAGTGTATCCTCTCAAGGAAGCAAGTGGATGCCCTGGGGCTGAGAGGAATCTTCTAGTTTACTCTTATTTTGAAAAGGTAACCTCTTGAGACATTAAAATTGTCTACGCCCAACCCAGCTTTCATTTCTTGGGGACACATTGCTGGTCAGCCAGTCCGATGCTGGCACTGATGGGAAAACACAGAAATAATGTATGCCCCCTGGATTGTCTTAGGGGGCAGAAAGATAATGAAATAAATATAGTGGAAGAAAAATAGTGTTAAAAAGTGAAAAATTTGTGACAGATAAAATAGTATCCCAAAAGACCAGAAAAAAACAAAAACAAAAACAAAAAAACCTGACTCTAGTGAGATGGTGTAAGAACTTGCAAAGTAAAATGCACCTGGAGCAGTCACCGAGAAATACTGCAGTGTCTCCTGTATGGGTGGTTCATGAGCACATAAGTGAGCAGGAGTGGGTGGAAGAATCTCCCAAGTGATTGAATGGCCTGACTTGAAACATGAGTCAGACACACATTTGTTTTTTAATCAGCACTGCCACTCCCTGGGTTTGTCACCTTGAAAATATTTGTTTACTTATTTTGACCTCACTTTTTTAGCTGTAAATTGCATTATATTAGTAGGGCTTGAAAGGTAGGAATTTTTTTTTTTTTTTGAAACAAGTTTCACTCTTGCTGCCCAGGCTGCAGAAGGATTGATCTTGGCTCACTACAACCTCTGTCTCCCAGGTTCAAGCAATTCTCCTACCTCAGCCTCCTAAGTAGCTGAGATTACAGGCACACACCACCACACCCAGCTAATTTTTTGTATTTTTTTTTAGTAGAGACAGGGTTTCATCATGTTGGCCAGGCTGGTCTCGAACTCCTGACCTCAGATGATCTGCCTGCCTCAGCCTCCTAAAGTGCTGGGATTGCAGGCATGAGCCACTGTGCCTGGCAGGTAGGAAAATATTTACAAAGGGCATAAAAGAGGTGGGTTTTAGAAAAAAAATTAATATCTAATTATGTATCCCATTTGTTAAAAATTCTCATTTACCTTTTTCTTTCCCAGAGTGAGTTTACAAGTTTCCTCAGGTGTGTTTTTTTTATGGCTGGGTGCATTCAAACAGAATTCCAAGGCTTAGCTTTTAGAATGCTAGCTACCAAGGAAAAGAATAGGGAAAAATCTCTATTCATTCTGGCTGTACAGAATGAATACATTTCCATGAGATAATGTGGTAGATAATTGGTGAGTTACATAGATTCATGAAAACATCAGTTGCTCTTTTTGCAGGGTGAATTTGTGACTAAATATCTCTGTTCAAATCCTGTTATCTTGATTTCTGAGTTTCATGCTACATTTTATGAGATGAAACTTGGTATCACCTAGAAGTATTCCCATATAACTGTTTACTACATGGTTTTTAATGAAAACAATAAAATAATAGATATGTTGTCTGAAAGGAATGGATACTTTTGCTTCTCTTATTTAGGTACAAAATGTAAGTACCTTTGAGTAATTTTGCTGGATTTTTCAAACACATAGTTTCGAAAACCAAGTGAGTAACTCTAACATGGAAATTAAAGCTTGAGCCCAGTGACTAAGAGCTAAGGCTAATATTGAGCCTACAAAAGGAGGTTATGAAAGGCCCACCTATGCGGTGGCTCATGCCTGTAATCCCAGCACTTTGGGAGGCCAAGGTGGGTGGATCACGAGGTCAGGAGATCGAGACCATCCTGGCTAACACGGTGAAAGCCCGTCTCTACTAAAAATACAAAAAAATTAGCCAGGCGTAGTGGTGGGCGCCTGTAGTCCCAGCTTACTCGGGAGGCTGAGGCAGGAGAATGGCATGAACCCGAGAGGCGGAGCTTACAGTGAGCCAAGATCGCGCCACTGCACTCCAGCCTGGGCGACAGAGCGAGACTCCATCTCAAAAAGAAACAAAGAAACAAATAAAAGCCCAGCTAGTTTTTTTCTGGGGATCCTCCCCTGCAGATGTCCCAGTCTGCTCAACCCAGCCATGGAAGAAGCCTTTCTGCTGACACAGCCCTGGAAAGCTGGGGACCCACAGGCAAATGCAGTTAGGATTAAGATGAAAGGGGACTGAGAGGATCTTACTGATGATGTTGTTATTGTTTTGAGGCAGTTTCTAGGCTTTGGAATATCAAAGTTAGATTTATGTAAAAAAAAATTCCGAAAGAGTATTGCAACAGGAAGAAGTACCAATTATAAAAACTGTAAGTATTGGAAAGTTTAGGCTGACAAGGGCTTTCTTTCCTAGGGAGGAGCAAACAGGATTAGAAAGAAGGTGGGAGGGGAATGGCAAATGAACCGTGAAAAATCAGATTTTAGATCAGAGAATGTTTTACCATGAAGTCAGCATGTTCTTAGACGAGACATAAAATAAGGTTGTATGTTGAATCAGACTGAGGATAGTTCAAAGTTCTGGAGCCTGTGAAAAATTTTATTTAGACCACTGAAGACAAATGCAGCTGATTCTTTTAATTGGAAAAATAAGAAAATGTGCAGAGTTCTACCAGAAAGAGGTCCCAATCCAAGCCCCAAAAGAGGGTTCTTGGATTTTGCTCAAGAAAAAATTCAGGGTGAGTCCATACAGTAAAGTAAAAGGAAGTATTAAGAAAATATCACAAGGTCAGGAGTTTGAGACCAGCCTGATCAACATGGTGAAACCCCGTCTCTACTAAAAACATAAAAATTAGCCAGGCTTGGTGGTGCACACCTGTAATCCCAGCTACTCAGGAGACTGAGGCAAAAGAATCACTTGAACCCAGGAGGCAGAGGTTGTAGTGAGCCGAGACCGTGCCACTGCACTCCAGCCTGGGTGACAGAGTGACACTCTGTCTGAAAAAAAAAAAAAAAAAAGAAGAAGAAAGAAAGTAAAGGAATAAAAGAATGGCTTACTCCATAGGCAGAGCAGCCCAAGGGTTGCTGTTTGCACATTTTTATGGTTATTTCTTGATTATATGCTAAACAAGGGATGGATTATTTATGCCTCCCAATTTTAGACAATATAGGATAGCTTCCTAATGTTTCCATATTTGTAAGCTGTCATGACACTTGTGGGAGTGTAGCAGTGAGGGCAATCAGAGGTCACTCTCGTCACATCTTGGTTTTGGTAGGTTTTATTTGACTTCTTTATTGCAACCTGTTTTGTCCACAAGGTCTTTATGACTTGTATCTTGTGCTGACCTTCTTTCCTACCCTGTTACTTAGAATGCCTAACCATCCAGGAATGCAGCCCAGTCAGTCTCAGTCCTATTTTACCCAGCCCCTATTCAAAATAGATGTGCTCTGGTTCCTCTGACATCTCCCCCATCTTTTTCACAAGGGCACACTTAATCCTGAGGGTTGTAGAGGGATGAAGATCCATTTTCTGTAACTACTTCATGCTGAATAGGGGTGATGATATTTTTGCCTAACTATTCAGTTTTCTTGACCCTGAAACAAAGGATCAGTGACATTTTATGTGAAGTCAAAAAGTATTACTTTCATCTTCCATTAGTTCAGTCCCTTCAGTTAATTCCTGTTCTGTTTGATTGTCATGAACATTCCAGTTCTCCATGTATACTGAATGTTTTTTCTCTATTCTAATGTCACAATTTCTAAAGTTATCACAAACTTGCATTTAAGAACATCTGTTGCTGGGCACAGTGGCTCCTGCCTGTAATCTCAGCCCTTTGGGAGGCCAAGGCAGGTGGATTATCTGACGTCAGGAGTTCAAGACCAGCCTGATCAACATGGTGAAACCCTGTCTCTACTAAAAATACAAAAAAAATAGCTGGATGTGCTGGTGGACGCCTGTAATCCCAGCCTAGTTGGGAGGCTGAGGCAAGAGAATTACTCGAACCTGGGAGGCAGAGGTTGCAGTGAGCTGAGATTGCATCATTACACTCCAGCTCCAGCCTGGGCAACAGAGTAAGACTCCATCTCAAAAGAAAAAAAAAATAGAACATCTGTCAAAGTTAACTATAAATCATCTTTTGAAGAGTACCAACACAAGATGATTGTCTGGATGGCAAAGTCTTAGGGCAGTCACAGTGAAAAAAAAAAAAAACCATGATTGACAAGGAAATTTGGTTAGCTCTGTGTCATATAATAATTTTATGTAACGATTGTGATTATTAATGATGTTTTACCATGAAGTCAGCATGTTCTTAGAAGAGACATAAAATAAGGTTGCATGTTGACTCAGACTGAGGATAGTTATATTATCATATTAGTTACATTAGTCATATTAGAATTACAGGAGTTTCCCTTAATTTTGGAACACATACCAATAACATATTTACACAAATATAGTCCAAAAATAGTCAAACATGATTTCACAGTTGACAGCCTTTTCTGTGTGATTTTAATACTAAATGAGCCAAATTTTTACTATTTTATATTTGTGTATGATTTATGTCAAACCCAATTCTTAGTGAATTTTTTTTAATTTTTTTTTTTTTGAGACAGAGTCTCGCCCCGTTGCCTAGGCTGGAGTGCTATGGCAGGATCTCAGCTCACTGGAACCTCTGCCTCCTGGGTTCAAGTGATTCTCCTGCCTCAGCCTCTTGAGTAGCTGGATTACAGGTGCACACCACCATACCTGGCTAATTTTTTTGTATCTTTAGTAGAGACTGGTTTTCATCATGTTGGCCAGGCTGGTCTCGAACTCCTGACCTTGTGATCGGCCCGCCTTGGCCTCCCAAAGTGCTGAGATTACAGACATGAGCCACCATGCCCGGCCTCTTAATGAATCTTTATAGACAAATCTATCCAATTTTAATGTTTGACCATAAGGTAGTATTCTCATAAACCTTTTATAACTCTTCACAAAGTCCTTGTTGTTAGAGTAGATCAGTGCTTTAAGAGAAGTCTGTCATTTTTATCTCAATGTTCAATTTCTAGAAAAAATAATACCTATTTAACTTTAGTCAGTATGTTGACACACAGAATCTCTTTTGCAATTAAATTTTAGCAAATCTTCCACAATTTGTTTAAACCTTCAGTTTTATTCTATCTAATCTAAAACATTCCTTTAACCTTTTAATCTAGGCAAAAAAATCCACATTTCCATGTCTTCTTATATAACCTTTTATCAAAAACATATTTCACTTTCTCTGAATTCCTTGCATGTAAAACTGTTTTTTAGTAGTCAAAATTAGATGTTACAATGTTAACTCTTAGCAACTTTTACTTTTGATGAAAACCTTGGTAAGTAAGGAATTTTAATTACATACTAGGAGTGAAGTCTAGGACACAGACACAAGTGTATATAAGGTCTGACTCCAGTGTATTAATAGTTAGGGGGTGTGGCTAACTTGATGTGTCCCAGGCCTTACTTAGCTGTAAAACAGGCAAGTTGTACAGTGAACAGTCATAGTGGCATTTTGAGAAGTCTTAATTTAAGAGGCCTAATGACCTTTAAATTGTACAACATTTCTTGCATAAATTTCCTTCAGTGAATTATTTCATGACTTATACAGACCATCTACAATATGTTTGGGCTTTCTGATTTGTCCTAAACATCCCTCTTTTTAAATAACCAGTCATTTTACTTTAGGATAAGAATTTACTATACAACATCTTTTCTTATATAAAGTCTCTTTTCTTTATAACCTTTGTATATGTAGGGGACATGGCTAATTCCATATGTCTCAAGGCCTTATTTAGAATCTACTGGCTTCAAGATAGGTAAATTGAACAATTTTTAAAAGTCAAAGAGCCAATTTATGACCTTGAAATATTTGGTAAATCTAATATGTGACCTATATAACTTAGATCAAATGTTTATATTTTGAAGACTTTTTATTTTCCCAATGATCTTTAAAACTGTTTTTATTTCCAAAAGATTACTTGTCACATGAACTAAAAGGTGTTACACTTTTAACTTTTCTGACAAAATATTTGATTTACGCTCTTACTATTTTTAAACCAATTAATCAGAGTTCTTTCATATCACACACACAACACATGTAAATACAAAGACAGAAGATTCAGTAGTTGTAAGGTTTTTCTTTGTCAATTTCTTTCTTTTTTTTGAAGGAAAGTTTGTATTATTTTAATTATTTTTATGTATAGAAAACTCAACAGTGTACATTTAACCCAGTTTAGTGGCAAGTTCTTTAGTCTTTGCCTTTTTGAGCTTGGCGATCTGAGCCACAGACTTGAGACCCAGGGCCTTCCCTCCCCAGTGATGGCGGATCTCATCCTGTCATTGTAGTTGGTCCTGATAGCTTCCCCCAGCTTAGCCAAAGCACCTTTGTCTTCTGAGTTAACCTGTGTGAAGACGACAGTGGTGCAGGTCTTCCTGTGGACTAGACGTCCTAGTCTTACCTTCCCCTTGATAATGCAGTAAGGGACTCCCCTTTTATGACACAGGGCAGGCAAGAAGACAACCAGCTTGATGGGATCCACATCATGCGCAATCACCACCAGCTGAACTTTCTTTTTCTCCACCAAGGTGGTGACAGTGTTAATTCCTGCTCGAAGGACACGTGGTCTCTTAATAAGGATGTCCCCTTTGTCAGCAGCTTTCTTCTCGGCCCGGGCCAACAGCCTCTGCTTCTCCTCTTGCTTTGTCTCTGGTCTGTACTTGTAGGCTAGCTTAAGCAGCTGAGTAGCTGTTTGGTGGTCCAGGCCCTGGGTGAACTGGTTAATCACAGAAAAACACTTTCAGCCGCCTATAGAGGATGGCTCTTTGCTGCTGCAACCTGATATAGTGGGGCCATTTCGGGTGAGGTCCCTTTTGGGCTGGATGTCCTGCCCAGTGCCACAATTCTTAGGCCTTTTCTCAAACAGGAAATTCACCACTTTCTTGGCCTCCTGCTTCTTCACAACAGCAGGGGTTGGAGCCACCTTCTTCCCCTAGGCCTTCTTTCCTTTTGGCATCTTGGGTCGGGGGAGGAGAGCTTCTTTGTCAGTTTCTTAACTGGATTACTAGTTTCAGCGTGGAGCCCAGGGCCAGGAAAGCATGTCGTTTTTATGGCCTAAAAAGTAAACAGAGCTGGAAAACAAAACAGATCCTCCTAAATTAAGGGTACCATTTTTAAATCAGATCTTGGATCTAAAAAGGAGAGAATTAGTTAATCCCAAGGGAAGTCTTATTTCTCAGTAGGGGTTGGGGATACCTCCATATTTCCTAGGTGGTCAAGATTATGTTTCTCTGATCCAAATATGAAGAACTGAGTATTTCCCCATAATTGCCATTAGCCATTCCAAAAGTATAGTTCTCACCTAGTTATTACATGCCAAGTTTCTTTTATAATGTGAAGTAATTTCTGATACCCCCCAAAGTCAAAAACATCAGATAACGCATTGCAAAACGAACAGAACCTTAGATTTTGAGAAGGCTCTATCCACCTTCAATTTTTGGAGTTTCATGAGGAAAAAGTGTTTCTCAAAAGAGGGCCTGCGGCACCTCTTCTGTTTTTCCCAAGGTGTCCCAGGCTGTTAGAGCTTGAATATCTGCTGTACTTAAGCTGACTTTTAACCACAGTGCTTTTTTTTTCTTTTTTTTTTTGGAATGGAGTCTCGCTCTGTCGCCCAGGCTGGAATGCAGTGGCGCTCGCTATCTTGGCTCACTGTAATATCTGCCTCCCAGGTTCAAGTGATTCTCGTGCCTCAGCCTCCTGAGTTGCTGGGACTACAGGCGAGTACCACCACACCAGGCTAATTTTTTGTATTTTTAGTACAGATGGGGTTTCACCATGTTAACCAGAATGGTTCTATCTCCTGACCTTGTGATCAGCCCACCTTGGACTCCTAAAGTGCTGGGATTACAGGTGTGAGCCAATGACCACAGTGATCAGTGCTCTTTTAAAAAGTCCTTTTAAATTTCTTATTACCAGACTTTATTCAGGTCAAACAGCCAATATCTCTGGCTTTTGAATTTTACCAAAAGTAACTTCACAGGTGTTCTGAAAAGAAAATTCAAGGTGGTTCCTGGAGGGGAAGAGAATCAACAAATGGTAAAGCTCACCCAAATATCAAATAAGAAAGTACTCATTCCCTAAGCCGGGAATTGAATCCTGAACCTGGGCCACCATTATGATGGTGGAGACCAAGAGAAAATACTGTCATGTGGTCACAAGGTGGAGCTTCCAAGGCCATGACTGAGCACTTTTCTGAGCCATCTTGAACAGCAGCCTTAAGGGGTCCTAGGCCTGCATTCTATCCTAAGGTACCCCTCTTAATGACAGAAGAATACAGAAAGACAAATTTATTAGCTCAAAGTACAACAGATTTGTTACAGCTTAAGACTAACCTCACAAATGCATTCCCATATTAATTAGAACTTTACATAGAAGATAAACAGTATTTTTTTTCACCATTCATTCAATCAGTTTGCATAGAGAGGCTAGAAGTCTCGTCAGAAATTTGTACACTTTTGCCAGCATGCCAGGCTTCTGGGTTCCATTTCCCCGAGTGGCCCTAGTGATGTGGCTGGCTGCACCACAGCCCCGTGGGCCAAGCCACAACAAAAAGAAAAATTATCTTTTTCTGGCCAGATCAAAATATATGTGACAACATAGACCTTAGCCACTCTTCTTAACAACCAATATGAAACTGGCAAGACTTAAACTTGGCCCCAGTTGGGCCCTGTCATTGTTAATTCAACTTAATAATCAGGAGTTTTATCTTTTGGTCTCTAGGCAAGATGGTTACTCTGAGTAATATAAAATAAGAAAGAGAAAAGAGAGAAAAAGCATTGTCTGTGGCAGGGTAGGAAGGCAAAGAGCTGAGGGGTCCAGAGAAAGACCTACTCATTGCAGCGATAATAAAAAGTTCAGGTGGCCGCTTCTTGGTAGGAAAGAGATTTTTTTCCCAACAGTCCCATTAACACTTAAGTTTTCCCTTTTGGACAAGAAAAAGATCCCCATGTCCCATGGTCCTGTAGATGCCTAATTCTGTCACCCATAGCCATCAGCAAAGAGTGCAAGACAGATTAATCCAAAAAGAATAGCAATGAATGTCCCATAGTGTCAAACCAGTTCTTAGCTGAGACGGATTTTACTGAGAGGGGTCTGTAACTTTCTGAATCTTAGGAAGGAATATAACCTTTCTAAGCTCGGCCTCAAATCCAAGTTCAGTCAAGCATCCTTGTCTTTTATTAAGAGGAGCCTTTAACCCACTGTGTCTTAGGAGAGACTCTAATTCTCCTAAGTTGTGCCTCTAACCCAATCCCATCCTTTACTCAGGCATATGCACACCACTCACCCAAAGTCAGCCGATTGGTGCACACAGATGATTTTCCTTTGGGTCAGAGGTCTCTTAAGTATAGTCCCTTTGTGGTTACCAGAAAGATGTTACCGGAAAGAAGTTCTGATCCAGACCCCAAGAGAGGGTTCTTAGATCTCGCTCAAGAAAGAATTGAGGGCGAGTCCGTAAAGTGATAGCAAGTTAATGAAGAAAGTAAGTAAATAGAAGAATGGCTTTCTCTATAGGCAGAGCAGTGGCTGCTAGTTGCACATTTTTATGGTTATTTCTTGATTATATGCTAAACAAGGGGTGGAATATTTATGCCTCTCCTTTTTCAACTATTTTAAGATAACTTCCAGACATTGCCATGGCATTTATAAACTATCATAGCACTGGTGGGAGTGTAGCAGAGAGGACAACCACATGTCACTCTCATCGCCATGTTAATTTTGGTGGGTTTTATCCAGCTTCTATACTGCAAACTGTGTTATCAGCCAGGTCTTTATGACCTGTATCTTATGCTGACCTCCTATCTCATCTTGTGAGTTAGAATGTCTAACCATCTGGGAATTCAGCCCAGTGGGTCTCAGCGTTATTTTTACTCAGCCTCTATTCAAAATAGAGGCTGCTCTGGTTCAGTACACCTCTGACAGAGTCTGTGTCTGGCTATGTGATAAATAAGAAAAGAGAGCACCATCTAAGTCATAATGGGAAGGGTGTTTCTTTCCATAAACTATTTCTAGAGAACACAAAGGATGAAGAATTTTATTAATCACAGCTATTTACCCAGATTATGTATGTGCTTCATTGTTCCCCACCTCTTTTCTTTGTCATATACATTTCTTCCATTTGACTTTTCCTGGGTTGTACTTTTTATAATAAACTAGTAAACATAACTACAGTGTTTTGCTGAGTTCTGTGAGTAGCTTGATCTAATTATTGAACTTGAGGAAGGCTGTGGGAGTCCCCATTTTTTTTCTTTTTTGAGACAAAGTTTCGCTCTTGTTGTCCAGTTTGGAGTGCAGTGCCGTGATCTTGGCTCACCGCAACCTCTGCCTTCCGAGTTCAAGCGATTCTCCTGCCTCAGCCTCCCTAGTAGCTGGGATTACAGGCGCCCACCACCATGCCCGTCTAATTTTGTATTTTTAGTAGAGACGGGGTTTCTTCATGTTGGTCAGGCTGGTCTCAAACGCCCGACCTCAGTTGAGCCACCTGCCTTGGCCTCCCAAAGTACTGGGATTACAGGCATGAGCCGCCGCACCCATTGGGAGTCCCCAATTTTTTTTTTATTATACTTTAAGTTTTATGGTACATGTGCACAACGTGCAGGTTAGTTATATAGTATACATGTGCCATGTTGGTGTGCTGCACCCATTAACTCGTCATTTAACATTAGGTATATCTCCTAATGCTATCCCTCCCCCCTCCACCCCACAACAGGCCCCAGTGTGTGATGTTCCCCTTCCTGTGTCCATGTGTTCTCATTGTTCAATTCCCACCTGTGAGTGAGAACATGCGGTGTTTGGTTTTTTGTCCTTGCGATAGTTTGCTGAGAATGATGGTTTCCAACTTCATCCATGTCCCTACAAAGGACATGGACTCATCATTTTTTATGGCTGCATAGTATTCCATGGTGTATATGTGCCACATTTTCTTAATCCAGTCTATCATTGTTGGACATTTGGCTTGGTTCCAAGTCTTTGCTATTGTGAATAGTGCTGCAATAAACATATGTGTGCATGTGTCTTTATAGCAGCATGATTTATAAACTTTTGGGTATATACCCAGTAATGGGATTGCTGGGTCAAATGGTATTTCTAGTTCTAGATCCCTGAGGAATCGCCACACTGACTTCCACAATGGTTGAACTAGTTTACAGTCCCACCAACAGTGTAAAAGTGTTCCTATTTCTCCACATCCTCTCCAGCACCTGTTGTTTCCTGACTTTTTAATGATCGCCATTCTAACTGGTGTGAGATGGTATCTCATTGTGGTTTTGATTTGCATTTCTCTGATGGCCAGTGATGATGAGCATTTTTTCATGTATCTGTTGGCTGCATAAATGCCTTCTTTTGAGAAGTGTCTGTTCATATCCTTTGCCCACTTGTTGATGGGGTTGTTTGTTTTTTTCTTATAAATTTGTCTGAGTTCATTGCTGATTCTGGATATTAGCCCTTTGTCAGATGAGTAGATTGCAAAAATTTTCTCCCATTCTGTAAGTTGCCTGTTCACTCTGATGGTGGTTTCTTTTGCTGTGCAGAAGCTCTTGAGTTTAATTAGATCCCATTTGTCAATTTTGGCTTTTGTTGCCGTTGCTTTTGGTGTTTTAGACATGAAGTCCTTGCCCATGCCTATGTCCTGAATGATATTGCCTAGATTTTCTTCTAGGGTTTTTATGGTTTTAGGTCTAACATTTAAGTCTTTAATCCATCTTGAATTAATTTTTGTATAAGGTGTAAGGAAAGGATCCAGTTTCAGCTTTCTACATATGGTTAGCCAGTTTTCCCAGCACCATTTATTAAATAGGGAATCGTTTCCCCATTTCTTGTTTTTGTCAGGTTTGTCAAAGATCAGATGGTTGTAGATATGCAGCATTATTTCTGAGGGCTCTGTTCTGTTCCATTGGTCTAGGTCTCTGTTTTGGTACCAGTACCATGCTGTTTTGGTTACTGTAGCCTTGTTGTATAGTTTGAAGTCAGGTAGCATGATGCCTCCAGCTTTGTTCTTTTGGCTTAGGATTGACTTGGCAATGTGGGCTCCTTTTTGGTTCCATATGAACTTTAAAGTAGTTTTTTCCAATTCTGTGAAGAAAGTCATTGGTAGCTTGATGGGGATGGCATTGAATCTATAAATTACCTTGCGGAGTCCCCAATTTTTAAACAGTAGCTCAGAAGCATAGATGAGCCTATGGGGTTTGTCACTGGCATCTGGAATGAGGACAATGTTGTGGGACTGAGATCTGAATCAGGGTCTATGCTGACTCTGGGTGGTGTCAGAATTGAAATGTTAGACACTGAGTTGCTGTTTGAGAATTGCTTGGTGTTCAGCAAACTCTACAGATTTGGTGGCAGAAGGAAGATATCCCAGAGCCCTGTCCTGGTATAAAATGAGTGTCTGCAAATGGGAGGCTCTTCTCTCCTGCACACAGGCTTTCACACTACCTATTGTCTTGGGATCCCAGGGCTCCTGCCAGGATTGAAGAGGATGAAAACTTCAAGGAAAGGAGCTCTGATGACAGACCCCCTTTTCACAAAGCTGCCACCACAGGATTCCCACCCACACCCAAATATGCCCACTAGACATTGATGTATCCACACCTCTCCCAGCACTAGGCACCACCCTCAGGAATTTCACTATAGCATTGTTGATTTTAGTGTTTCTTGACAAAAACCCACAAAAGTGTCTACAAGTCTCCTGGCATATCCCCACATGCAGACGCTGAATCTGCCACAGCAACCTGTTTTCCCCACCAAGCTAGGGTTCTGGGCCACCTGTTCATAATCTCATCTGCCTACAGGCACACAGAAATAAATCAGAGTCCAGCCCCACCTGGGCCACCATCTGTAGAACAAACAACTCCTTGCACCTACATTGCACTCTTCCCCACGCATGGATTTTTTTTTTCTTTTAACTTTTCTTTTTGGTTAAGGGGTCCATGTGCAGCTTTGTTATATAGGTAAAATTGTGTCATGGGAGTTTGGTGTAGATTGTTTTGTCACTGAGGTACTAAGCGTAAAACCGAACAGGTATTTTTTTCTGATCCTTTTTGTCCTTTCGTTCTGCATTCTCAACTAGGCCTCAGTGTCTGTCGTTCCCTTCTTTGTGTCCATGTGTTATTATTATTTAGCTCTTATAAATGATAGCATGCATTTGGTTTTGTTTCACTTTAGCTTTCTAAGGATAATGGTCTCCAGCATCATCTATGTTGCTGCAAATAACTTAATCTTGTTTTTTTTTTTTAATGGCCACATAATCTTCCATGATGTTTATGTACCGTACTTTGTTTTTTATTAAATCTTCTATTTTATTTAATTAATTTATTTGGAGACTGTGTTTCACTCTGTCACAAAGGCTGAAGTGCAGTGGTGCAATCTTGACTCACTTCAGCCTCAACCTTCCAGGCTCAAGGCACCCTCTTACTTCAGCCCCCAAAGTAGCTGGGACTACATCCATGCACCACCATGCCCAGCTAACTTCTTTTTCTATCTTTTGTAGAGATGAGTTTTGCCATGTTGCCCAGGGTGGTCTTGAATGCTTGAGCTAAGGCAATCCACCTGCCTCGGCCTCCCAAAGTGCTGAGATTACAAGTGTGAACCACCTCACCCAACCATACCATATTATTTTAATCTAGTCTACCATTAATAGGCAGTTAGGTTTGTTTTGTTTTATGTCTTTGTTTGTTTGTTTGAGATGGAGTCTTACTCTGTCACCCAGACTAGAGTGCAGTGGTACCGTCTCACCTCACTGCAACCTCTGCCTCCTGGGTTCAAGCAATTCTCCTGCTTCAGCCTCCCATGTAGCTGGGACTGCAGGCATGTGCCATCACGCCCGGCTAATTTTTGTATTTTTAGTAGAGACAGAGTTTTGCCATGGGATTATTGTATGCAGCCTATTATTGACTTTCTAATTACAGCCATTCTGATTGGTGTGAGGTGGTATCTCATTGTGGTCTTTTTTTGCTTGTTTTTTGCATTTCTCTAGTGATTAGTGGTGAGCATTTGTTGCACATGCTTGTTAGCCACGTTTGTCTTCTTTTGAAAAGCATCTGTTCATGTTTTTTGCCTACTTTTTTTTCTTTTTTTTTAGACAGAGTCTTGCTCTGTCCCAGGCTGGAGTGTAGTGGTGGGACCTTGGCTCACTGCAACCTCTGCCTCCTAGGTTCAAGCTATTCTCCTGCCTCAGCCTCCCGAGTAGCTGGGATTACAGGTGTGCGCCACCACGCCTGGCTAATTTTTTTGGATTTTTTTAGTAGAGACGGGGTTTCACCATGTTGGCCAGGTTTCAAACCCGACCCCATGATCCGCCCGCCTCGGCCTCCCAAAGTGCTGGGATTACAGGCGTGAGCCACCGCACCCGGCCATTTGTCTACTTTTTAATGAATTTTTTTTTTTTTTTTGCTCTGTATTCTGCTGCCTTGTTCTGCGAGTCTGTTTTTGTACCAATACCGTTCTGCTTTTGTTACCGTAGCCCTCTAGTGAGTGTGGTTTGAAGTGGGGTAATGTAATGCCTCCAGCTTTGTTCTTTTTGCTTAAAATTGCCTTGGCAATTCAGGCTCATTTTGGTTCCATATAAATTTTAAAATAGTTATTTTTTAGTTAACAGCGTTTTGGTAGTTTGATACAAATAGCATTAAATTGGTAAATGTCTTTGGGCAGTTTGGCCATTTTAATAATATTGATCTTTTCTATCTGTGAGCATAACATGTTTTTTTAATTTGTTTGTGTCATCTCTGACTTTTGTTGTTCTTGAGACAGAGTCTTGCTCTGTCACCCAGGCTGGAGTGCAATGGTGCGATCTCAGCTTACTGCAACCTCTGCCTCCCTGGTTCAAGCTATTCTCCTGCCTCAGCTTCCCAAGTAGCTGGGATTACAGTCACATGCCACCATGCCTGGCTAATTTTTTTTGTATTTTAATGGAGACAGGGTTTCACCATGTTGGTCAGGCTGGTCTCGAACTCCTGACCTCATGATCCGCCCACCTCGGCCTCCCAAAGTGCTGGGATACAGGTGTGAGCTACTGGGCCTGGCCATCTCTGACTTCTTTAAGCAGTATTTTGTCATTCTTGTTATAGAGATCTTTCACCTCCCTGGTTAGCTGTATTCCTAGATATTCCATTCTTTTTGTGGCAGTTGTGAATGGGATTATGTTTTTGATTTGGCTTTTGGCTTGGATGTTGTTGATGTAAACGGATGCCATTGATTTAGTACCCTGAAACTTTGCTGGAGTTGTTTATCAGTTTAAACAGCTTTTTGCTGAGACTGTAGGGTTTTGAAGATATAGAATCTTGTCATCTGGACATAAGGATAGTTTGACTTCCTCTCTTCTTTTTTGGATGTCTTTTATTTTAATCTTTTTCCTGATTGCTTTGGCCAGGACTTCCAATTCTGTGTTGAATAGGAGTTTTGAGGGAAGGCATTCTTGTCTTGTGCCAGTTTTCAAGGAGGAATGCATCCAGCTTGTGTCCATTCAGTATGTTGGCTGTAAGTTTGTCATAGATGACTCATTATTTTGAAGTATGTACCTTCAATGCCTAGTTTGTTGAGGGTTTTAAGCATGAAGGATGTTAAATTATATTGAAAGTGTTTTTAGCATCTATTGAGATAATCTTGTGGGTTTTGTCTTTAGTTCTGTTTATGTGATGAATAATATTCATTAATTGTTGTATGTTGAAAAAACCTTGCATACCAGAGATACAGCCTACTTGATCACACTGGATTAACTTGATGTTCTCCTGGATTTGGTTTGCCAGTATTTTGTTGAGAAAGTTTTCTTCAGTGTTCATCAAGGATATTGGACTGAAGTTTTCTATTTTTTGTTTTATCTCTGCCAGGTTTTGGTATCAGAATTCTATATAGAATTATGATATATATATATAGTATACAAAAAGAGTATACTATTCTTTTTGTTGTTGTTGTTGTTGTTGGAGGCGGAGTCTCACTCTGTTGCCAGGCTGGAGTGCAGTGGCGCGATCTTGGCTTACCACAACCTCCACCTCCCGAGCTCAAGTGATTCGCCTGCCTCAGCCTCACGAGTAGCTGGGACTACAGGCCTGGGCCACCACACCCAGGTAATTTTTGTATTTCTCGTAAAGACGGGTTTTCACCATGTTGGCCAGGATCGTCTTGATCTCTTGACCTCATGATCTGCCCACCTCAGCCTTTCAAAGTGCTGGGATTACAGGCATGAGCCACTGCACCTGGCTGATGCTATTCTTATATAATGAGTTGAAAAGGAGTCCCTTTTACTCAGTATTTTAAAATAATTTTGGTAGAATTGATACCAGCTCTTTGTACATCAGGTAGAATTCACCTGCAAATTTGTCTGGTCCTGTTCTTTTTTTGGTTATTAGGCTATTTATTACTAATTCAATTTTGGAACTTGTTGGCCTATTCAGGGATTCTGTTTTGTTGCTGTTGTTATTGTTCAGTCTTTGGAGGATGTATCTTTGCTCCAAGGTTGCAGTCCTAAACTTGGCCCAAATGAACTCTCTACTTATATTCATGTTGCCTCAGCCTTTTTTTTTTTTTTTTTAGGTAGACATATTACTTAGAGTATGCTAGAACAGCCTCTATGAGGAGATTTTTCCTTTGATTGTACTTTACTTGATGTAACACCCAAGGATGCAAGCCAGGTTGATCCCACCTAGAATCTGCACATAACATCTTGCTTCTGCCTGGGATTCACAAGACAGGGCCAGACTTTGGATTGAGAATATACAGAAAACCAATAGGAGGCATTTTCTGCATTGTGAGATGTCAACATAGACATCTGAAACCCCGCTTTGAGAATGTGGCTTTTTAAGCTTTTTAGATCTTGTTCAATGACCTGTTACAGTTATGTAAGAGGCTCCAGGTGTAAATAGAGTCTGATGACAGAATCTTTAAGTTTAAACAAGCATCTTAAGAGTGAGAGATCAAGGCCACAAAATATCCAGAGCCATGACAACCACAACTATACCTACGTGTAAAATGTCATGCTGGAGCAGAGTATTCTTGTCCTTCCTCTTACCCAAAAGTGAATGAATCAGGATAGGTGATCCAGGTTCTGGAGCTCCACCAGAGCAGTTCCATTTTCTATTTAGAATCAGCCTGAGTCTCTCCATCCTGGCTTATCAGTGGGCCCTCAGCCGTGGATCACTAAGAACCGTCTCACAATCACCTAGGCATCTTTGAGACATTTGAGGATGTCCAGGGCAGAACTGTGTCAGGCTGACAAGAGTGATTAATTCTGCTTCTCTCAGTATAAGAGAAAGAAGTAATCCTGTGTTTTTTACTCCCTTCATATAAGAGGTCACTTTAGTTGGTACCAAGATGAGAGTTTCTCCAGTTTCCTAGTACTTAGGTGAAAGACAAAGAGGAGGTCTTGTGACTCAAATAAACTAATTGCTTCCATTTCATATGGTCATTCAAAACATAGATGAACCAGGTGCGGTGGATCATGCCTGTAATCCCAGCACTTTGGGAGGCCAAGGTGGGTGGATCACGAGGTCAAAACATCAAGACTATCCTGGCCAACATGGTGAAACCCCATCTCTGCTAAAAATACAAAAATTAGCTGGGCTTGGTGGCACGTGCCTGTAATCCCAGCTACTCAGGAGGCTGAGGCAGGAGAATCTCTTGAACCTGGGAGGTGGAGGTTGCAGTGAGCTGAGATCATGCCACTGAACTCCAGCCTGGTGACAGAGCAAAGTTCCATCTCTAAATAAATAAATAAATAAATAAATAAAGCAGTCATGATCCCTACCATCCAGGAACTTTTAGTCTAGACTAGCAACTGGGTACATGGTTGAATTAAGTATTGTATGGTTAGTACAATGAATAGATGTGTACAAAAAAACTTGAGCTTTATTTGGGCCACTTTTTTTGTATTGTTGTGACTTCTGATATCATCTGAAGGGATATTTATGGACAGGAGAATTTTATTATTATTCGTGTTTCTTTTACCTTGCTAAGAATACATATATATCATCTGATAAAATTATCCTAGAAAACCTTGAGAGATTTGTTTAAGTTGCTTATTATTATATGTTATAACATTGAAAGGGCAGATTAAAGTTACATAAACTCTGGGATTTTAGTTTCTCTTAGGTAAACTTAGGAAAAACTGAACTGGAAATACCCCAGTGGCATAGAGAACAGAATTCTACAGAGGGTCCAGTGCCTAACCCAGGTCTGTTTTGTTTGTTTGTTTGTTTGTTTGTCTAAGATGGAGTTTTGCTCTTGTTGCGCAGGCTGGAGTGCAGTGGCGCAATCTAGGCTCACTACAACCTCCACCTCCCTGGTTCAAGTGATTCTCCTGCCTCATCCTCCCGAGTAGCTGGGATTACAGGCTTGCACCACCATGCCTGGCTAATTTTTGTATTTTTAGTAGAGAGAAGGTTTCTCCATGTTGGTAAGACTGATCTCGAACTCCCGACCTCAGGTGATTTTCCCACCTAGGCCTCCCAAAGTGTTGGGATTACAGGCGTGAGCCACCGCACCAAGCGTTCACCCCTTGTTTTTTGTTTTTTTGTTTTTTGCTTTTTTCAGTTGGAGTCTTGCTCTTGTTTCCCAGGCTGGAGTGTAGTGGTGCAACCTCGGCTCACTGCAACCTCTGTCTCCCAGGTTCAAGTAATTCTTGTGCCTCAGCCTCCCAAGTAACTGGGATTACAGGTGCCTGTCACCACATCCAGCTAATTGTGTGTGTGTGTGTGTGTGTGTGTGTGTGTGTGTGTGTGTTTTCTTGAAATGGAGTCTAGCTCTGTAGCTCAGGCTGGAATGCAGTGGCATGATCTTGGCACACTGCAACCTCCATCTATGGGAGTCAAGCGATTGTCCTGCTGCAGCCTCCTGAGTAGCTGGGATTACAGGCACCTGCCACCATGCCCATCTAATTTTTGTATATTTAGTAGAGACAGGGTTTCACCATGTTGGACAGGCTGGTTTTGAACTCCTGACCTCAGGTGCCACCTGCCTCACCCTCCTGAAGTGCTGCGATTACAGGCATGAGCCACTGTACCCGGCAATTTTTGTATCTTCAGTGGAGACAGGGTTTCACCATTTTGGCCAGGCTGGTCTTGAACTCCTGACCTCAGGCGACTTACCCACCTCAGCCTCCCAAAGTGCTGGGATTATAGGCATGACCACCACACCCGACCAGATTCACCCTTTTTGGAGCCCTTATTTAGGTCTGGCCCCACCCTGGAGTCTTGCATCACAAAGCTGATTTAAAAAGATGAGAGTTTTTGCTGGTGAATCCTGCTGCCTTTCTAGAGCTGGTGCTCAAAATTTCAGAAACCCAAAAGCAGGTAAATGAGAAAAATAAACTGTATATTTTGGGATCCTAATTTTTAAGTTTTGTGTTAAAACCAGTGCTTACAGAAATATTCCATTTAGCAACTTGTTTTCTATTCCTGCAGATCCAGTAGTTGCTCCACAAGTAACAAAAAAGTAAATATAAACACAATAAAAATTTCTCTAAACTACATTAAATTCTCTCATTCTGTATCCCTCCTATCTGTCTATATTTAGCTTTTATTCTATACATTTTATTTTTAAAAATGACAGAGAAACAGATGAAGAAATAAAAATGCTGAACCCTTTATCTAAATCCTGGGAATTATTGAACACTTAGAGTCAACTTCCAGGGTGTTATGAGGATTAAGTCACATAATGTGTTATTCCCCACATAGTGCTCTGTAACATACTCTTGAGCAGATAGTACCTGCTTAATAAACATTGCATTATTACATGTTTACATGTTGTTTTTCAAATGCAGAATTATTCTGAAATTGCTGCTTTCTGTTTCCTCTGTAAACTTTAAAGAGCCAGCAAAGAATACGAAACGTTTGGATGGAGATTGGTTGTCTCCATTTGTACCAGAAATATTTGTGTTGTGACAACAGAGCTGAGTGTAAGGGACTCTGTGCTGTGCCCGCTTTCTCTAACTACTGCTAATAATGAACCCAGGGGTAGCAACATCAGCATTGGCAGGGGACTTGTTTGAAATACCCATTCATGGACTTTTTCCAAACCTGCAGATTCACATTACATAGATTGGGACCAAAATTCCCAAGTAATGTTGGTTTTTTTTGAGACGGAGTCTCGCTCTGTCACCCAGGCTGAAGTGTAATGGCACGATCTCGTCTCACTGCAACCTCTGCCCTCTGGGTTTAAGCGATTCTCCTGCCTCAGCCTCCTGAGTAGCTGGGATTACAGGCATGCACCACCACGCCAGCTAATTTTTTATTTTTAGTAGAGATGAGGTTTCTCCCTGTTTGTCAGGCTGGTCTTGAACTCCAGACCTCAGGTGATCCGCCCCACTCTGTGTCCCAAAGTGCTGGGATTACAGGCGTGAGTCACTGCTCCTGATCCTATTACCAAGTAATTTTTAAGCTCATTAAAGCTTGAGAGGCAGTGCTTATCAGCCCACTTCTCTCATTAGGATTACACGGTGAAATCCTGACTCTACTAAAAATACAAAAATTAGCTGGGTGTGGTGGTGTGTGTCTGTAATCCCAGCTACTCAGGAGGCTGAGGCAGGAGAATCGCTTGAACCTGGGAGGCGGATGTTGCAGTGAGCTGAGATTGCACCATTACACTCGAGCCTGGTAAGAGCGTGAAACTCCATCTCAAAAAAAAAAAAAAAATTGCAGAAATCTCTTTACTTGTGCCCTTTCCACAGTTTCTATTTATTGTTCTGGGTGGAAGCATCCATGTTGTTTTAATGAAGGGCCTCATGTGACTCTAAGCTGAGGCCAGAATCAAATATGAGGGCTTCAAAATACATTCATGAGAGTGAAGTGCCACCTTTGTACTAAAGGGTGGTCACAGGGCCCGTTCAGTTTGGGTTTGGTAGGGACAGGGCAGTGTGGTGCATATTTCCATTACTGTAGCAGAATTTGCTGGTGTCTGTGGCAGGGGAGGGCACCTGTGGACAGGAAAAGAGGAACACTTTTAATATGGCAGATCATATTTTTATTTCCATGGAGCAGCTCATTTTTTCCTGAATCTCTTCTGTTATAAAGGAGAGAAATGCATGGACTTTTTGGTCTTGGTCCTTCTGTGTGTGGGCGTGACACTAGTAGGTAAGCAGGTGGTGCTGATGCTTTTAAGGGAATTTTCTCAAGATGCAGGTGTTACTTGTCCAGAGAATTTTATCTGAAAAGGATTTCCAGAGAAGGAGGAGAAAGAGGAATAATGGCTTCTTTTCAGCTAAACATGTCTCAGATCAAGAGCTGTGTCCACTCTGCCTCCTGGAGTGCCATGTGTTTAGTACTTGGAAACCTTCTCTGCTTGTGTTTTTCCTCCCCAGTGAGTTTGTTTCAGGTACTTTAAAAAATTCTTGTAATAGTCAAGGGTCTCTAAAAAATATTTGTTTCTGGCTGGGCGCGGTGGCTCATGCCTTTAATCCCAGGATTTTGGGAGGCCGAGGCAGGTGGATCACTTGAGGTTGGGCGTTCAAGACCAGCCTGACCAAGATGGATAAACCCCGTCTCTACTAAAAATACAAAATTAGACAGGCATGGTAGCACATGCCTGTCATCCTAGCTACTAGGAGGCTGAGGCAGGAGAATCACTTGAACCTGGGAGACGGAGGTTGTGGTGAGCCGAGATCACACCATTGCACTTCACCCTGGGCAACTCAAAAAAAAAAAAAAAAATGTTTTCCTATGCACCAGACCCTTCTCTACATCATGGCTTCTTATATGCAATGCAGAATTCCTACCATGAATTTATGATCTGCCATATTAAAAGTGTTCCTTTTGTGGCTGTTGAACATGGGAAGATGTGGATACTCAAGATTCCTACTGGGGAAAAGCTGGGGTCCTTAGTAAAGATGGAGAACATATAATGTTGTGGTTTCATCTAAACCCAGGAAGTTGTGAAAAAATTATTAAGAGATACCTGCTCTCTAGAGTGCTAAAGAAAGACTACTTAAAATCATTATTAAAATTATGGAATGCGGGAGATATCTTGACCTTTGCATAAAACTGATTTTTTAATGGTTAAATTCAGTCTATAATTGACTTTTTGAGGGGCAATATCTCAGCAGTGATGCTGTGTTCTTCTGTGTGCATCAGCACATCATAGAAATTTGTTCTAGTGTAGTTGATGTTAATAATTTACTTGGTTAAAGAGCTCTGTGACTTTTTTTCACTATAGAGTTAATTATTTTTATCTTTATTATTAAGTATCTTTATACAGCTAATGTGCATAAACCATCACAATTAATCTGGTGCCTGCCCTTTTTTCTTAGGTTTTTTTGTTTTTGTTTTTTTTTGCATGTGTCTGTCTTTGGAAAATGAAGACACTTGACTTTGTTTACAAGCCAGAAACATTGGGAAAAACACAGTCTCTTTCACTTGCCTAATGTTTGACAAAATAGTCTTCCTGGGATAAAAACATTGGCATTACTAGTGACCTTTTTAGAATTTTAAAAACTCAGACTTTATTCCAGATCTTCTGAAAAATATAAAAAAATCTTCATGGCAGGATCTCCAGTTTATCGTGCACATTTAAATTTGAGAGGTACCTTCTGACTCAACATGTTTTTCTTTGTCTGAAAAATATACACAACTCATTATGATGTAAGTATAGCACTCAATAATGTATATGTTTGTGTTTGTGTCCTTAATTATATACTTTATCATCCAGAGAAGTATCATATATGCACTGGTGTTGTGGATCTTAGGCCATTCTCTGCCCTCAGAGTAGGAGAATACATTAGAAAATATTTCTGTGTTAAAAATTATTGGATAATTTCAGTTATTCTTATAAGTCAGAATCAGTTCTCTTTACTCTCTCAATTCACCTTAATTCAAATAATAAATTCTGCCCATGGCCACTTGGTAAATATATGTGTGTCTCTGTGCTTGTGTTTTTCAGGAGACATTGACATTTAGGGATGTGGCCATAGAATTCTCTCTGGAGGAGTGGGAATGCCTGAACCCTGCTCAGCAGAATTTATATATGAATGTGATGTTAGAAAACTACAAAAACCTGGTCTTCTTGGGTGAGAATAACTTTCATACACAATTCTTAATATGCCCTAAATGTTTCATGTCTCTTTTTTTGTAGAATTTTTTTGATAATTTATGCTTTGTATAAATGAGTTTCTAATCCCAGTTTTCAAGAAAATCTTGATGATTTGTCCGTGTGGAAAAGAATTTCTTCAACGTGTTTCATCTTGATCTGAACTTTCCACATTCCTGAGCTGATGTGTATCCTTCACTCTAGATTAGTGATAATTCCAGAAATTTAGTGGCATAAAATATCACTGCCCATATCTTAAAATCTATTTGCCATCACCAATTTTTGATTCAGGTAGTAAAATTAAAAACCTACAAATTTAAAATATTTTCTAAATAGTTAGAGATGTCTCTCTTTAATCAGTATTTTCAGATTAATTTTATTTTATTTATTTATTTTTTTGAGATGGAATCTCACCCTGTCACCCAGGCCGGAGTGCAATGGTGCGATCTTGGCTCACTGCAACCTCCACCCTGGGTTCAAGCGATTCTCCTGCCTCAGCCTCCCAAGTAGCTGGGATTACAGGTGCACACCTCCACACCCAGCAAATTTTTGTATTAGTAGATACAGTGTTTCACCACGTTGGCCAGGCTGGTCTCAAACTCCTGACCTCAGGAGATCTGCCCACCTCACCCTTCCAAAGTGCTGGGATTACAGGCGTGAGCCACTGCGCCTGGCTAAAACACTTTTTTTTTTTTTTGAGATGGAAGTTTGCTCTTGTTGCCTAGGCTGGAGTGCAATGCACTATCTTGGCTCACTGCCACCTCCGCCTCCCGGGTCCAAGCAATTCTCCTCCTTAGCCTCTGGAGTTGCTGGGACTACAGGCACCTGCCACCATGCCCAGCTAATTTTGTATTTTTAGTAGAGATGGAGTTTCACCATGTTGGACAGGTTGGTCTCAAACTCCTGACCTCAGGTGATCTGTCCGTCTCGGCCTCCCAAAGTGCTGAGATAACAGGTGTGAGCAACTGCGCCCAGCCTTTGGATTAATTTTCTAAAATATTCTATCACATCCTTTTTACTGAGCACAGTACTAGGTTAGTAATTAGAGAATATAGGCAAGATTCATGTTATTTATTTTTAATAAAGCAGGTGTTGCTGTCTCTAAGCAAGACCCAGTCACCTGTCTGGAGCAAGAAAAAGAGCCCTGGAATATGAAGAGACATGAGATGGTGGATGAACCCCCAGGTAGGTGAGAGTGAAAAAAAACAGATGACACAGATGAGAGGTCCAAAGCTTAAAAAAAAAAAATGTGCCAGTCCTTACAATGTGTTTTGGGAAGCTGTGTTATAAAGCATGTAGTTTCTGGGAGGCCTGAATATTTTCTTAAAATTTTTTCTTACATAGGGACATCTTCTGTCTTATGCTTTTAAATTCTCTAAGAATTCTACTTTTCCTTGGGGGATCTTCCTTCAAGTCTACAAGAGAGCCAAAGCATATTGTCATAGCATATAAAAGACTGTCATGGCATATAATCTGACTGCTTTTTTATTGTTTTGGGGGACGCACAAATATCTGTATAATTTTGAAAAATTCTTTGTTAAATTATTTTTTAGTTCTCTTTTTGAATCCTGTCTGAAATATGTGAGAGTAGTGATTTCTGTTCCATTAGGGGTTTCTTGTTAATTTTTTTGCATATTTCATCCTGTTTGTATTACTATAGTCTTAAAATATAGTTTGAAATTATAAATTATGATGTCCCTCTGCTTTGTTCTTTTTTCTCAAGAATGCTTTGGCTATTTGAAATTTATTACAATTTCTTGTAAATTTTAGAATTGTATTTTCTATTGTGAAAAAAATACCACTGGAATTATCATGGGGAGTTTATTAAATGTATAGATTACTCTAGATAATATGGCATTTTAACAATATTCTTTCAATCCAAGACATGAATTTTTTTTTTTTTTGAGACAGAATCTCACTCTGTCATCAGGCTGGAGTGCAGTGGCACAATCTTGGCTCACTGCAACCTCCACCTCCTGTGTTCAAGCGATTCTCCTGCTTCAGCCTTCTGAGTAGCTGGGACTACAGGCATGTGCCACCACACATAGCTAATTTTTTGTATTTTTAATAGAGTTGGGGTTTCACCGTGCTGTTCAGACTGGTCTCAAACTCCTGACCTTGTGATCTGCCCACCTCGGCCTCCCAAAGTGCTGGGATTATGGGTGTAAGCCACTGTGCCTGGCCAACATGAAATATTTTAAAATTTATTTTTGTCTTCTCTAATTTTTTTCATTGATATATATTTCATTGTAAAGATTTTTTACCTTCTTCGTTATATTTGTTCTCAGAAATTTATTTTAATGCTATTATTAATAAGACTGTTTTCTTCCTCTATTGTATCAGATAGTTTTAAGTGTATGGAACCATAACTTTATGTTAATTTTATATTTTGTTAAGTTACTGACTGTATTTATTAGTTTAGACAAATTTTTCTTTTTTTTCTTTTTTGAGACACAGTCTCACTGTGTTGCCTAGGCTGGAGTGCAATGGCATAATCTCAGCTCACTGCAACCTCTGCATCCTAGGTTCAAGCGATTCTCCTGCCTCAGCCTCCTAAGTAGTTGGGATTACAGGCACTCGGCACCAGCCCAGCTAAATTTTTTTTTGCATTTTTAGTAAGACGGAATTTCACTCTGTTGGCCAGGCTGGTCTTGAACTCCTGACCTTGTGATTTGCCCCCCTCAGCCTCCCAAAATGCTGGGATTACAGGTGTGAACCACTGCGCCTGGCTGTTTAGACAAATTTTAATGTACTGTTTATGGTTTTTTTATATATAAGATCATATGATCCACAAACAGCAACTTTTTACTTATTTCTCTTTAATTCCAATGGCTTTTAAAAAATGTTCTTGACTAATTCTTGTGCCACATACTTTCAGTGCTACCTTAAAATAGAAGCATTGACAATGGGCGCAATATAGTTTTATATTGGTATCTGTGAATTTGAAGGAGCAAACAACTCCTTAGCTTTTATAAACAGGTTTCAGGAGGTAAAGATCTTTTTCTGTTGTGTCCCTAGGGTGATGGAATGCCCTCTGGGTTTGTAGTGAAGAGGGGTTGTAGCTTTGTCACAAGGCTGCTGGGTCTGCACTAGAGTCCACCTTTAGATGGCTTGTCACAAGGGCTTGGGTAATTGTAATTCCCATTTTATTTTTGGACAGATTGTATATATTCTTTAAGACTTTGATCTGTAGGGCAGATACCAGGGCAGATTTCTGCAGTTGGCTCCTTATATAATGGCCCTATCAGGATGTGAATGGGTTTGCCTTTCACTGAATACCAGAGAGGATTTCTTCAGGTCACTGTGTGGGTTTCTGTTTAGGAAAAACTGATCATGATCTGCGGCTCAGAGAGCTGGAACTGAGTCAATAAACTGCTTCAGGGACCACAGTAAAAACCAAGGTCTGTAAACCTGTCTGCATGGCTGCAAATAGGTGTCTTCCTCCAGGTCTCTGGAAGGGCAGGACCTCTCTTAGACTGTAACTGGGAGGAGTTTGGGATGGTTACAGAGTTAATTTCAGAATTCTCTGTTGGACCAAGTTGGGTGGACCATTTCTTGATCTGTAGCCAAAACCAAGGGTCCTGTAATTTCCCACACGAATAAGTGCCTGTCCTCTGAAAAAACACTCCTCAATCTTGGGCTTTAGCAGAGTTTCACAACTCCCTCCCTGCATCTCAAAGCTCTCTTAAAGGCACTTACTTTGGAGATGGGATCTTGTTTATCATCTGGTCTGGAAATCCAGGCCTGCAGCAATTCTCCAACCTCAATGTACCATGTAGCTGCCATTAAAGATGTGAGCCATGATGGCTGGCTGTCTCATGAAGGCATTTTTTGTCAGGGATGACTGAATAAATTTTTTTTTGTGGCGAGGATAATCAAATAGAGCACCTTCTATTTTTTTATGTCACTGATGTTACTCTTTCTATACATTTTTACTTTCGATTTTCCATTTCAAACTTCTCTGTCATTTTAGATTCAGACATTTAGGACAATATGCTAGAATTTACATGTTATGCCTGAAGTAAATTAGATAATTGGTAGGCACTCCATATTACTAAGATGGTTACTTATAAATTTAAGTTCGCTGCAGGTAAAAAGGAATTATAGGATTTTCACCCACTTTCTTCAGCATATATCTAAATGATAACATAATTTCTTTCTTTTCTTTTCTTTTCTTTTTTTTTTCTTTTCTTTTCTTTTCTTTCTTTATGAGATGGAGTGTCAATCTGTCACCCAGGCTGGAGTGCAGTGGCATGATCTCAGCTCACTGCAACCTGCACCTCCCAGGTTATAGCTATTCTGCTGCCTCAGCCTCCTGAATAGCTGGGACTACAGGCGTGTGCCACCACATATAGTTACTTTTTTGTATTTTTAGTAGAGTCGGGGTTTCACCATATTGGCCAGGCTGGTCTCGAACTCCTGACCTTGTGATCCACCTGCCTCGGCCTCCCAGATTGCTGGGATTACAGGCGTGAGCCATTGTGCCCGGCCCAACATAATTTATTTCTAAATATTTGTTTTACATATCAGAGGCTGTAACCCTACTTTGCAAAATATACGTTTAAATTTAGCAATGTAATGCTATTCTTTGCTTCTAAAGTTGAATTACAGTGGTTTCAATTTTGTGTAAGAATAGCATATATTTAAAACGTAAAATTTATCATATTTTTTACATGCTTATTTAAAAAGTTTCTTATTAGACTATTCTAATTATACTGCATATTCTGTGAAATTTTACTGCCATACAGTGCATGCCAATGATTCAAAATACCTGCCTTCCCTGAGTACACAGTCAACTATTGTAGTTATCTAGACAATTCTTTTTTAATGGTACTTTAATGTTGCATACCAGATTTTATGAGTAAACATGTCTCTTATTACGCAGTTTCTTATTAGCGTTTTTTCAGTATAGGTTTCTTAACATCAGCTTGTTGTGTTTTTTAGTTTTTCTTATATAATTTTAGCCAATTTGCAATTCTGTTTGTATACTTTAAGTCAATGTGAGGTGTAATTAAGAGATAAGTCAGCCATACGTCTATCACGATCAGATTATATGTGTGTGTGTTTATCTATAAATATGACCCCAATATTGGTTATGACTTATCTCATATATATTCTTTCTTAACTGATTTTCAGTGGCTGTTTTATCTTGTCTAAGTGAGTAGTCATGAAAATATTTTCATTATGTCTTATTTTCACCATGTTTCTAATGATGAATATATATATATATATTTTTTTTTTTTTTTTTTTTTTTTTTTAGACAGAGTCTCGCCTTTTCGCCCAGGCTGGTGTGCAGTGGCACAATCTCGGCTCACGGCAACCTCCACCTCCCGGGTTCAAGTGATTCTCCTGCCTCAGCCTCCTGAGTTGCTGGGACTACAGGCATCTGCCACCATGCCCGGCTAATTTTTTGTATTTTTAGTAGAGATGGGATTTCACCGTGTTAGCCAGGATGGTCTCAATCTCCTGACCTCGTGATCCACCTGCCTTGGCCTCCCAAAGTTCTGGGATTACAGGCATGAGCCACCGCACCTGGCCTGAATATATATTTTCTTTGTGTGAGAAAAACATTTTTGTGATTTGAAGGATATTTTGAGAAGATTTATAATTCTGTATTTTTTTCTGTTTTTCCTTTAGAAAAATTAATTGTTGTAAAAACATAACAGGCCAGTCACGGTGGCTCATGCCTATAATCCCAGCACTTTGGGAGGCAGAGGCAGGCAGATCACTTAGGGTCAGGAGCTCCAGACCAGCCTGGCCAATATGGTGAAACCCTGTCTCTACTAAAAATACAAAATTAGCCAGACATGGTGGTGTATGTGTGTAATTTGAGCTATACAGGAGACTGAGGCAGGAGAGTCACTTAAACCCAGGAGACAGAGGTTGCAGTGAGCCGAGATCATGCCACCACACTCCAGCCTGGGTGAGAGAGCGAGATTCCATCTCAAAAAAAAAAAAAAAGAAAGAAAAAGAAACAATAAAAACACATAACATAAAATTTAGCATCTTAAATCTATTTAAGTGCACATTTCAGGGCCAGACATGGTGGTGGCTCACGTTTGTAATCCCTGGATTTTGGGAAGCCAACACAGCAGTATCATTTGAGCCCCAAAGTTTGAGACTAGCCTGGGCAACATATGGAGATTTCCTCTCTATAAAAATTTTTAAAAATATCTAGGCATAGTGTTATGCACCTGTGGACCCCGCTATATGGGAGATTTAGGGAGGATTACTTGAGCCTAGGAGTTTGAGGCTGAAGTGAGACATAATTGTGCCGCTGCACTTTAGCTTGGGTGACAAAGTGGACCCTGTCTTAAAAAGAAGCTGTACATTTCAGGGATGTTAAATATATTCACATTGTTCTGCAAAAGACTTCTAGAAATTTCACATGTTGTGAAACTAAAACCCAATATCCATTTAAGTGACAAGATGCCATTTTACCCTCTCCCCAGTGCTTGACAAACACCCTTCCACTTTCTGTTTTTATGAGTGTGACTACTTAAGCTATCTCATATAAGTAGAATTATATAGTATTCATCATTTTGTTTCTGGCTTATTTCAAGTGACATAATATTTTCAAAGTTTATCTTAAAATGTGACAAGATTTCTTTGATAATATTTGATTTAATTATGAAAACATTTGATCTTTGATTTCTGTGATATTTCATTGAATATATATGTTTCATTTTTGATGTGTTTATAAATTAAGAGACACCTGGGTTGCTTCTGCCTTTTGGCTTTTGTGAGTAAGGGTACAATAAACATGGATGTTCAAATATGTCTTCTAGGTCCTGTGTTGGATAGTTTGGATATAGCTTCGTAAGAGTGGGATTGCTGTATTTGATAATTCCATTGTTAATTATTTAAGAAGCATGTATAACATTTTTAAATAATGGCTGCTTCCTTCTTTTCTACCAACAATCAGCATAGGCTTTATTTTCATTGTATCATCAACAGATTTTGTGTTTTAAAAAACATGTAGTATATTTTTAAACATATAGTATAGTGGCCATTGTAATGAGATTTTATTTCTTTATTATTTTTTATTTTTTGAGATGGAGTCTTGCTGTTGTCATCCAGGCCTGCTGTTGTCACCCAGGCAATTGGCACGATGGCTCACTGCAACCTCTGCCTCCTGGGTTCCATAAATTCTCCTGCCTCAGCCTCCTGAGTAGCTGAGGTTACAGGTGCCCGCCACCATGCCAGGCTAATTTTTATATTTTTAGTAGAGATGGGGCTTTCACAGTGTTGGCCAGGCTGGTCTTGAACTCCTGACCTCAGATGATCCGTCCACCTCGACCTGCCAAGGTGCTGGGATTACATGCGTGAGCCACCACGCCTGGCCTCATTTTTATTTTTATGAGTTTCTCTACAAATCATTAATTTTGCTTTTCTTTTCAAATGGTTTTTCCCATTTGAATATCTTTTTTGATGAAAATTTAGTTCAATTATTTTTTCTTTCTTTGGTTTTTTTTCTTTTTTTTTTGGGAGTCTCACTCTCTCACCCAGGCTGGAGTGCAATGGTGCAATCTCGACGCACTGCAACCTCTGCCTCCTGGGTTCAAGCGATTCTGCTGCCTCAGCCTCCTGAGTAGCTGGGATTACAGGCGCCAAAATTACTCTTTGTCTTCCACCATGATTGTAAGTTTCCTGAGACCCTCACCGGAAGCAGATGCTGTTACATCCTTCTTGTACAGTCTGCTGAACTGTGAGCCAAATAAACCTTCTTTCTTTGTAAGTTACACACTCAGGTATTCCTCTATATGCAAAATAGTTAATACAGTCTATAATGCCTGTTTTCTGTTTTCTTACTGATATTTTATCTGAATTTTCTATTATTGCAAATGATGTCTTGATCGCCACAATTATGTTGCTATGTATTTCTTCCTTCACCTTTGTCAACGTTTGCTTTATATATTTTGGAGCCCTTATGTCATATGTATGTATACATATAAATAGATATGATAGTTACAGATTCCTGGTAAATTGACTCATTTGACCGTTATATAATATCGTGTTTGTCCTATGCTGTTACATACAAGCATATGTCCTATGCTGTTATATACAAGCATATTATATACAATATAATTATTACCACCTCACCCAATTGTGGTTACTATTTGCATGGAATATAGATTTTTTCAGTTCTGTTACTTTCAACCTATTTGACTCAATGCTAAAATGCCTCTCTTATAGACAGCAAATTGTATACTTTTTAACTTAAGCTACTAAGGCATCTTATTTCTTTTTCTTTTTATAAATGTATGTATGTATGTATTTATGTATGTATTTTTATTTTTATTTTTTTGAGATGGCATCTCGCTCTGTCACCCAGGCTGGAGAGCAATGGCATCGATCTCTGCTCACTGCAACCTCCACCTCCTAGATTCAAGCGATATTCCTTCCTCAGCCTCCCAAGTAGCTGGGAGTACAGGTGTAGTGGCTAATTTTTGTATTTTTAGTAGAGACGGGGTTTCACCATGTTGGTCAGGCTGGTCCCAATCTGACCTCGTGATCTGCCCGCCTTGGCCTCCCAAAGTGCTGGGATTACAGGCATGAGCCGCTGCACCTGGCCAATGTATTTATTTTTGAGATAAAGTCTCACTCTGTCATCCAGGCTGGTTTGCAGTGGCATGATCACGACTCACTGCAGCCTCAACCTCCCAAACTCAGATGATCTCATTTCAGTTTCTTGAGTAACTGGGTTGCAAATGTTTGCCATCCCAAACCGAGATAGTTTTTTGTACTTTTTTCTGTAGAGACAGTTTTTTGCCCTGTTGTCTAGGTTGGTCTCAAACTCCTGAGTTAAAGTGATCAGCTCCCTTGGCCTCCCAAAGTTCTGAGATTACATTATTTTTATTAAGTAATTTAACTAATTTTTAAAATGACTGCTTAAAGATATAAAGTTACTATTACCAGTTTTATTGTTGTTCTTTTTTTAAGTTTAATTTAATTTAATTTTATGTTCCAGGATACATGTGCAGGATGTGCAGGTTTGTTACATAAGTAAATGTGTGCTGTGGTGGTTTGCTGCACCTATTAACCTCTCACCTCGGTGATAAGCCCTGCATGCATTAGCTATTTATCCTGATTCTCTCCCTCCCCGTGACAGACCCCAGTGTGTGTTGTTTCCCTCCATATGTCCATGTGTTCTTATTGTTCAACTCCCACTTAATAAGTGAGAACATATGGTGTTTGGTTTTCTGTTCTTGTATTAGTTTGCTGAAAATAATGGCTTCCAGCTCCATCTCTGTCTTTGCAAAGTACATAATCTTGTTCCTTTTTATGGCTGCATATTAGTCTATGGTGCATATGTACCACATTTTCTTTATCCAGTCTGTCATAGATGGGCATTTGGGTTGATGCCATGTCTTTGCTATTGTGAATGTTGCTGCAATGAAGATACACATCCATGTATCTTCATAATAGAATGATTTATATTCCTTTGGGTATATACCCAGTAATGGGATTGTTGGGTCCAATAGTATATCTGGTTCTAGGTCTTTGAGGAATCGCCATACTGGCTTTCACAATGGTTGAACTAATTTACATTCCCACCAAAAGCGTAACAGTATTTCTATTTCTCCATAGCCTCCCCACCATCTGTTATTTCTTGATTTTTTAATAATCACCTTTCTGACTGGGGTGAGATGGTACCTCATTGTGGTTTTGATTTCCATTTCTTTAATGATCACTGATGTTGAGCTCCACATAAATGTCTTCTTTTGAGAAGTGTTTCTTCTTGTTCTTTGCTCACTTTTTTTTTTTTTTTTTTTGAGACTGAGTTTTGCTCTTGTTGCCCAGGCTGGAATGCAATGGTGCAAACTCAGCTCACTGCCACCTCCGCCTCCCAAGATCAAGCGATTCTTCTGCCTCAGCCTCCTGAGTAGCTGGCATTACAGGCATGTGCCACCATGCCTGGCTAATTTTTTGTATTTTTAGTAGAGGTGGGGTTTCTCCATTTTGGTCAGGGCTGGTCTCAAACTCCCAGTCTCAGGTGATCCTCCCACCTCGGCCTCCCAAAGTGCTGGGATTATAGCCGTGAGCCACTGTGCCCGGCCTTTGTTCACTTTTTAATGGGGTTGTGTAATTCTTGTAAATTTGTTTAAATTCTTTGTAGACTCTGGATATTAACCTTAGTCAGATGGATAGATTGCAAAAATGTTCTCCCATTCTGTAGATCGTCTGTTCACTCTGATGATAATTTATTTTATTTTATTTATTTATTTTTTTTCAGACAGAGTCCTGCTCTGTCACCCAGGCTGGAGTGCAGTGGCACGGTCTTGGCTCACTGCAACCTCCACTTCCCGGGTTCAAGCAATTCTCTGCCTCAGCTTCCAGAGTAGCTGGGATTACAGGCGCCTGCCACCATGCCCGGCTAATTTTTGTATTTTTAGTAGAGATGGGGTTTCACCATCTTAGCCAGGCTGGTCTTGAACTCCTGACCCCATCCTCATCTACCCCCTTTGGCCTCCCAAAGCACTGTGGTTACAGGCGTGAGCCACCACACCTGGTGATAATTACTTTTGCTGTGCAGTAGCTCTTTAGTTTAATTAGATCCCATTTGTCAATGTTTGCTTTTCTTGCAATTGCTTTTGACATTTTCATCATGAAATCTTTGCCCATGCCTATGTCCTGAGTAGTATTGCCTAGATTTTCTTCAGGGGTTCTTGTAGTTTTGGGTTTCACATTTAAGTCTTTAATTCATCTTGAGTTAATTTTTTATAGGCATAAGAAAGAGGTCCAATTTCAATTTTCTGCATATGGCTAGCCAGTTCTCCCAGCACCATTTATTAAAAGGGAATCCTTTTCCATTGCTTGTTTTTGTCAGGGTTTTCAAAGATCAAATGGTTGTAGATATGCAATCTTATTTCTCAGTTCTCTATTCTATTCCATTGGTCTATATGTATGTTTTTATAACAGTACCAGGCAGCTTTGGTTACTACAGCTTTGTAGTATAGTTTGAAGTTGGATATCATGATGCCTCCAGCTTTGTGTTTTTTGCCTAGAATTCTCTTGACTAGGCCAGGCACAGTGGCTCACGCCTGTAATCTCAGCATTTTGGGAGGCTGAGGCGGGTGGATCACTTGAGGTCAGGAGTTTGAGAAAAGCCTGGCTAACATAGTGAAACCCTGTCTCTACTAAAAATACAAAAAATTAGCCTGGCATGGTGGCACATTCCTGTAATCCTAGCTACTTGGGAGGCTGAGGCAGGAGAATCGCTTGAACCTGGGAGGCGGAGGTTGCAATGAGCTGAGATCATGCCATTGCACTCCTGCCTGGGTGACAGAGTGAGACTCTGTCTCAAAAAACAAAAAGAATTATCTTGGCTAGATGGGGTCTTTTGGGTTTTCATATGAGTTTTAAATTTTTTTTTTTTCTAATTCTGTGAAGAATGTTAGTGGTAGTTTAGTCAGAATAGCATGGAATCTATAAATTACTTTGAGCAGTATGGCCATTTTTACAATATTCTTTCTATCTTTTTTATTTGTTTGTGTCCTCTCTGATTTTCTTGGGCAGTGGTTTGTAGTTCTCCTTGAAGAGGTCCTTCACTTCCCTTGTTAGATTTACTCCTTGGTACTTTGTTCTCTTTGTAGCAATTGTGAATGGGAGTTTATTCATGATTTCGCTCTCTGTTTGTTTATTGTTGGTGTATTGAAATGTTTGTGATTTTGGCACATTGATTTTGTATCCTGAGACTTTGCTGAAGCTGCTTATTAGATGAAGAAGCTTTTGGGCTGAGACAATGGGGCTTTCTAGATCTAGGATCATGTCATCTACAAACAGAGACAGTTTGACTTCCTATTTGAATATCACTTATTTATTTCTCTCGCCTGATTTCCCTGGCCAGAACTTCCAATACTATGTTAAATAGGAGTGGTGGGGAGAGGGCATCCTCATCTAGTGCCAGTTTTCAAGGGGAATGCTTCCAGCTTTTGCCCTTTTATATCGGCTATGGGTTTGTCATAGATCTTATTATTTTGATGTATGTTTCATGAATACCTTGTTTATTGAGAGTTTTTAACATGAAGGGATGTTGAATTTGTTCGAAGGCCTTTTCCGCATTTTTGAGATAATCATGTAGTTTTTGTCTTTAGATCTGTTTATGTGATGAATTACATCGATTTTTGTATGCTGAACCAGCCTTCCATCCCGGGAATAAAGCTGACTTGAATTACATCAATTTTTGTATGTTGAACCAGCCTTGCATCCTGGGAATAAAGCTTTTTGACGTGCTGCTGGATTCAGTTTGCCAGCATTTTATTGAGAATTTTTGCATTGATGTTTATCAGGAATATTGACTTGAAGGTTTGTGTGTGTGTGTGTGTGTGTGTGTGTTGTTGTTGTTGTTTTATTTTGTTATATCTCTGCCAGGTCTTGATATCAGGGTGATGCTGGCCTCATAGAATGAGTTAAGGAGAGGCCCCTCCTTTTCCATCATTTGGAATCGTTTCAGAAGAAATGGTACCAGATCCTCTTTGTGCCTCTGGTAGAATTCAGCTATAAATTTATCTGATCCTGGACTTTTTTTGTTGGTAGGCTGTTCCCGCCTCAATTTCAGAACTTGTCATTGGTCTATGCAGCGATTCAACTTCTTCCTGGTTCAGTCTTGAAAGGATGGATGTGTCCAGGAATTTATCCATTTCTTCTAGATGTTCCAGTTTATGTGCACAGAGGTGTTTATAGTATTTTCCGAACATTGTTTTTATTTCTGTGGGGTCAGTGATGATAGCCCCTTTATCATTTTTTATTGTTTATTGCATTTTTCTCTCTTGTTTTATTAGTCTAGCTAGCAGTCTATTTTATTAGTTTTGTCAAAAAAAACCAGCTCCTGGATTCATTGAGTTTTTTTGAAGGGTTTTTTGGGTCTTTATGTCGTTCACTTCCACTCTGAATCTGGTTATTTCTTGTCTTCTGCTAGCTTGAAGTTTTGTTTGCTCTTGGTTTTCTCGTTCTTTTAGTTATGATGTTAGGGTGTCCATTTAAGATCTTTCTAGCTTTTTGATGTGAGTACTTAGTGCTATAAATTTCCCTGTTAACACTGCTTTAGCTGTGTTCCAGAGATTCTGTTACATTGTCTTTTTTTTTTTTTTTTTGAGACGGAGTCTCGCTCTGACCCCAGGCTGGAGTGTAGTGGTGTGATCTCGGCTCACTGCAACCTCCGCCTCCCAGGTTCAAGCAATTCTCCTGCCTCAGCTTCCCATGTAGCTGGGACTACAGGTGCCGGCCACCAAGCAAGGCTAATTTTTATATTTTTAGTAGAGACGGGGTTTCACCATATTGGTCAGGCTGGTCTCGAACTCCCGACCTCAGGTGATCTGTCCGCCTCAGCCTCCCAAAGTGCTGGGATTACATGTGTGAGCCACCACGCCCGGCTACATTGTCTCTTCATTCTCATTGGTTTCAAATAATTTTTTGATTTCTGATTTAGTTGTATTATTTACCCAGAAATAAAGAGGAGCAAGTTGTTCATTCAGGAAATTCATTCAGGAGTAGGTTGTTCAGTTTCGTTGTAGTTGCGGGATTTTGAGTAGCTGGGATTACAGGCGCCCACCACCACACCCAGCTAATTTTTTGTATTTTTAGTAGAGATGGGGTTTCACTATGTTGGTCAGGCTGGTCCCAAACTGTGTCATGACTCTTTATCCAGCTTGCCCTTCTGTGTCTTTCAGTTGAGGTATTCAGCCTATTACATTTAAGGTTAGTATTTTTATGTGTGATTTTGATTCTGTCCAAGTAGTGCTAGCTGCTTATTTTGCAGAGTTGTTGATGTAGTTGTTTTATAGCATAATTGATCTTTGTACTTCAGTGTGTTTTTGCAATGGCTGGTAATGGTTTTTTCTTCTTAACCTTAGTGCTTCTTTCAGGAGCTCTAGCAAGGCAGGCCTGGTGGTGATGTGCTCCCTCAGCATTTGCTTGTCTGAAAAGAATTTTATTTTTCTCCACTTATGCAGACTTACTATTGTTATTTTGTTAATTGTTGTATTTGCTTCTTGTATCTTTGTTCCTCATTTTCTCTTTTTCTGTCTTTGTGTCTTTGTTGTACTTATCTTGGTATGCTTTTACTTCTTTCTCATTTGTTTTGTGTACTTACGCAAACGTATTCTTGGGGTTACCTTGGGGATTATATAAAACCTCTAAAAGATACAACAATGTATTTTAATCTGGTAAAAAATGAACTTCAGGCCAGGTGTCGTGGCTCACACCTATATTCCCAGCACTTTGGGAGGCCGAGGCAGGCAGATCACAAGATCAAGAGATCGAGACCACCCTGGCCAATATGGTGAAACCCTATCTCTACTAAAAATACAAAAATTAGCTGGGCATGGTGGTGCACACCTGTAGTCCCAGCTACTCGGGAGGCTGAGGCAAGAGAATCACTTGAACCCAGGAGGCGGATGTTGCCGTGAGCTAAGATTGCACCATCCAGCCTGGCGACAGAGTGAGACTCCATATCAAAAGAAAAAAAAAAAAAAAAGAACTTCAGTTGCATCCAAAAATTTTTTCTCATTATATCTGCCTTCAAATTTGTCATTGATGTTGCTAATTGTATATTTTATGTTGTATATTTGCTAACAAATGTTTATAATGATTTCTATTCTTGTACCTTTCAAATTTTAGAGAATAATTAATATTTTTTGCACTATTATTATAATGCTAAGAAATTCCATTTTTGTGTATGTGCATTTTTTTTCCCAGAGAATAATGTCTTTTATATGATGTGTTGTTTTGTTGAATCATGTTATTTTCAGTAGCAGCAACGGTTTTCAGCATCTTTTATATGTAAGGCATATGAAAAGCCAATGTACTTTTTCAGTATTTGGTTATTTTTAAAGGTTTTTTTTCTTTTTACTTGGAAGGACAGATATGCTGATGGTATTATTCTCACTTTATAGCTATTTTTTTCAGGACTTTGACTATATCACACAGTTTCCTTCTGGCCTGCAAAGTTTTTGTTGACAGTTCACCGGCTATCTCATAAGACTATGCTTGTAAATGACATGTCGTTTTTATCTTGCAGCTCCATTCTCTTCTTGTCTGTGACTTTCGAAATTGTGCTTATATATGTGTTTGTTATAAATATCTTTATGTGTATCCTAGTGTATTTGTTGAGCTTCTTCATTTTGACATTATTTTTTCTTTCAGAATTTTTTAGTTATATTTTCCTTTACAATTTCTGTTTTTGGATATTTTAAATATTTTTGTTATTCTCATTTTTTCTGATTTTCTATAGTTGTCTGTGTCCTTATTTTACTCATTGAGTATTCAATTTATTTTAAATTTTTAAAATTAATGTATACATCTTTTTTATGGTTTCTTTCTGAAAATCTTATAATTTTGGTGGAGCGATTTTGCCCTATTTTGTATTCATTGTAATCTTTGATTAATATTTGGACATTAAATATAGCTACCTGTCACATTGTTTATAATGTAGCTTTGTCCTGGCATAGTCTGAAAACAATTATCTTGGTTTGAGATCCTGTGAGACTCTCAAACATGTTCTTTGAATGTGTCTTGTCTAAAATTTTGTGTTTATTTTTTAGTTAAAGGAGTTTCTGTTTCATCTTAATCAGCAGTCATTTGCTGTATCTGTTCCCTGTCTGTGGTACTGCAGTCTCTCTGTTGCTGTAACATTTACCTTTGGTCTCAGCAGAAGTAAACTGTAATTCCAAAATATACCACCATTTCTTTCAGCACTTTATGTTATGGGAGACCAGTTTCTGGAAGGGCCCCTAGAAGCAAGTAATATAGATGTATGTGCCAGTGTTTTACTTGTTTATTAAAAAAGAAACGAAAAGTTAGCAATTTACTTTGAAAGGCACTATGTTGTATTGTTGAGTAGGAAGAACTGTGTTGGGTAAATGTAACAGACTTTTCTTTTTCTTCTGTGTCTTTGCATTCCTGTGTACTCACCTGTGTGCTCACCTGGGGAACTTTACACACTTGTTTATAAGTTGTCCTCAAATATATTTTGGTCAGTATATTTTTATTAGATTTATATGTCTATGAAGGATTTAGGGCCTATGGTATTTTATTATGGCATCTTGTTTATGTAGTTTGTATAATGTAGGTTAGATTTGTAAAGTATGTTTATCAGAGTCTAGTAAGTTGAATAATTTGTTGTTTGTATTTCTTTCAGCTATGTGTTCTTATTTTACCAAAGACCTTTGGCCAGAGCAAGACATAAAAGATTCTTTTCAACAAGTAATACTGAGAAGATATGGCAAATGTGAACATGAGAATTTACAGTTAAGAAAAGGCTCCGCAAGTGTAGATGAGTATAAGGTGCACAAAGAAGGTTATAATGAGCTAAACCAGTGTTTGACAACTACCCAGAGCAAAATATTTCCATGTGATAAATATGTGAAAGTCTTTCATAAATTTTTAAATGCAAATAGACATAAGACAAGACATACTGGAAAGAAACCTTTCAAATGTAAAAAATGTGGCAAATCATTTTGCATGCTTTTACACCTAAGTCAACATAAAAGAATTCATATTAGAGAGAATTCTTACCAATGTGAAGAATGTGGCAAAGCTTTTAAATGGTTCTCAACCCTTACTAGACACAAGAGAATTCATACTGGAGAGAAACCCTTCAAATGTGAAGAATGTGGCAAAGCTTTTAAGCAGTCCTCAACCCTTACTACACATAAGATAATTCATACTGGGGAGAAACCATATAGATGTGAAGAATGTGGCAAAGCCTTCAACCGGTCCTCACACCTTACTACACATAAGATAATTCATACTGGAGAGAAGCCCTACAAATGTGAAGAATGTGGCAAAGCTTTTAACCAGTCTTCAACCCTTAGTACACATAAGTTCATTCATGCTGGAGAGAAACCCTACAAATGTGAGGAATGTGACAAAGCTTTTAATCGATTCTCATACCTTACTAAACATAAGATAATTCATACTGGAGAAAAATCTTACAAATGTGAAGAATGTGGCAAAGGCTTTAATTGGTCCTCAACCCTTACTAAACATAAAAGAATTCATACTGGAGAGAAACCCTACAAATGTGAAGTGTGTGGCAAAGCCTTTAATGAGTCCTCAAACCTTACTACACATAAGATGATTCATACTGGAGAGAAACCCTACAAATGTGAAGAATGTGGCAAAGCTTTTAACCGGTCCCCACAACTTACTGCACATAAGATAATTCATACTGGAGAGAAACCTTACAAATGTGAAGAATGTGGCAAAGCTTTTAGCCAGTCATCAATCCTTACTACACATAAGAGAATTCACACTGGAGAGAAACCCTACAAATGTGAAGAATGTGGCAAAGCTTTTAACCGATCCTCAAATCTTACTAAACATAAGATAATTCATACAGGAGAGAAATCTTACAAATGTGAAGAATGTGGTAAAGCCTTTAACCAATCCTCAACTCTTACTAAACATAGGAAAATTCATACTAGACAGAAACCCTACAACTGTGAAGAATGTGACAATACATTTAACCAGTCCTCAAACCTTATTAAACAAAATAATTCATACTGGAGAGAAACTCTACAAATGTCAAGAATGTGGGAAAGCCTTTAAGCAGTCCTCAACTCTTACTAAGCATTAAATATTGGCCGGGTGCGGTGGCTTATGCAAAATGGCTCCCAGCATTTTGGGAGGCTGAGGTGGGTGGATCACAAGGTCAAGAGATCGAGACCATCCTGGCCAACATGGTGAAACCCTGTCTCTACTAAAAATACAAAAATTATCTGGGTGTGGTGGCACGTGCCTGTATTCCCATCTACTCGGGAGGCTTAGGCAGGATAATCACTTGAACCTGGGAGGTGGAAGTTGCAGTGAGCCAAGATTGTACCACTGCACTCCAGTTTGGCAACAGAGTGAGACTCCGTCTCAAAAAAAATTTATACTGTACAAAAACCCCACAAGTGTGAAAAACATGGCAAAGCCTTTAAGAAGCCCTCAATTCTTAACAGACATAAGATAATTTATACTGGAGAGAAACTCTACAAATCAGAAAGATGTGACTACTTTTGACAACGCCTCAAACTTTTCTAACCATAAAAGTAATTATACTGGTGAGAAATCCTAGAAATCTGAAGAGTGAGATAAAGCCTTTAAATGGTTGTCACACTTCATTGTAGGTAAGATAATTCATACTGGAGAAAACGCCTACATGTGTGAACAATATGGCAAAACTTAATGCTCACACTTTATTGCTAGGAAAGCATTTATACTTGAGATAAATTATACAAATATAAAGACTGTGAAAAAGCCATCATTATCTGCTCACATTTTACTCAACACAGAGAGTTCCTGCTTAATAAAAGCATTATAAGTGCAATTACTGTCAAAAGATCTTTCAGAAAATATAAGCTTTTTTAGTGAAGAGTATTTATTTTGAAGTTGAACATCACAAATATAAAAAGGGTTGTAGTGCCTTTACTTGTATCACAGATCTTTTTGTAGACATTTTCTTCTAGAGGAAAACTCTGAAGCAGTTGATCAAACTTTGTTCAACATCAGGGAATTTATATTGAAAAATTGTGCAAATATAATAAATTTGGAAAAACAATTTTTCAAAAACTACAGCTTAGAAATCAACAGTTATACTAGAATATATTTTTTCCAGATGCAGTAAAAGTAAAATATTTAATCCATAATTAAGTCTATGCAAATATCAGAGAATTTATGGTAGAAATATATAAGGTACTGACACTTCAGATATACTAAATCAGAGTGCTAAGTATAGAAAATCTGAAACTAAAGTTGGTAGAAAAGTTATTTGTATAGAACTTTAAGAGGATCAGAAGGTTTTTTGCAGAGTTATAATTACATTCAAAGTATACTTTATTTCTTGAAAAATATTACAGATTTTTTGAAAATTGAATAATGTCATCATTCAACTCTGAAATTATTTCCTGTTGTTTCTTCATTCCTATTGGATTCACATGTGAAAGCATGGGGTTAATTGTTGCTACATCAAAGAGAGAGATTCTTTTGTTTGTTTGTTCGTTTGTTTTTTGAGACTGAGTTTCACTCTTTCGCCCAGGCTGGAGTGCATTGGCATGATCTCAGCTCACTACAACCTCTGCCTTCTGGTTTCAAGCAACTCTTCTGCCTCAGCATCCCAAGTAGCTGGGATAACAGGTGCCAGCCACCATGCCCAGCTAATTTGTGTATTTCTAGTAGAGATGGGGTTTCACCATATTGGCCAAGCTGGTCTTGAACTCCTGACCTCATGTGATCCGCCCGCCTCAGCCTCCCAAAGTGCTGGGATTACAGGCTTGAGCCACCACGCCCAGCCTGTAGCATATTTTAATAGGAGAATACAATATATAATAGTAGCAGGGTTAAGTAAGGCATCCATCATCTGTAGCATTTCTCCTTTGTTTTACAAACAATCCAATTCTACACTTTAAAAAAAAATTTTTAAATGTACAATTAAATTTTTATTTACCACAGTGTTATTTTTATCGTCATAATAAAAATTATATACGAGTATAAATGAAATTCATTTCTAAATTCTTAATAAATATTTTCTCATGCCAGGTGTGGTGGCTCACGTCTGTAATCCCAGCACTTTGACAGGCTGAGCGAGGGAGTGGATCTTGAGGTCAGCAGTTCGAGACCAGCATGGCCAATATGGAGAAATCCCGTCTCTACTAAAAATACAAAAATTAGCCAGGCGTGGTGGCATGTGCCTGTAATCCCAGCTACTCAGGAGGCTGAGGCAGGAGAATCGCTTGAACCTGGGAGGTGGAGGTTGCAATGAGCCAAGATCACCCCACTGCACTCCAGCCTGGGCAACAGAGCGAGACTCCATCTCAAAAAGTAAAATATATTTTCAAATTTTCTATATATTTTTCTTTGAACATGTGGCCTGTCTGCCTGCAAACATATACAGACTTTTAGTTTTGATTCATATAGAGTTAAATACATGTTAGTCTAAAGACAAATCTTAGGTGTAAGAAAATTATGGAGTTAAGTATGTGTGTGTGAGTATGAGTTTGTACATATTTTCAGAAGGAAAGAATGATACGGGAACAAAAATCATTTTAATATGGTGACTACTATAAAACTAAAAACCTAAAAAATGCTGAAAGCAAATGTATACTTTTTGGTTTGTATTGAATTTATTACTGTACAGTCTATGACTTAGAGTTCTGAATCTTCCCAAGCAAATTCTCTGTATATACTTGCCTGGTACTCATGCTAGACCCATACTTTTTTTGTTTCTTACATTTTTTTTGTTTTATATTTTATGAAGTATTCATTATGTGAGCTGGTCTGCGATTATAAGAATTTTTATGAAATTTAGTGCACACAAAATAATCTTTAGATGTAATTCCAAAAGTAGTGTATTAAGTTACATTTTATTTAGTTAGAGCACTCCATTTTGTTCTTTTAAGAGGAGAACAATATATAGGTTTTCTTTAGTGATTTGTTCCTTTCACTTTTTATAATTGACATAAGCATATTTATTGAGTCAATTTGTTCAGCTAAGTACTAGGGAGGCTTCATTAGTCATGAGGATGTTTTTATATATAAATGTAGCAAACATATATTACAGTTTTCACTGTGTAATAGATTATCCATAATAATTCATAAATATTCCTGCTGAAGTTAGTTTGTAACTTCAAGTCAAAGATGAAAAATATCAATGGTGAAGATTGATTGTTCATATAGAGAGGACATTTTTTTTCCAGACTGTAAAACTGAATCTTGTTGAATTTAAAGAGAAATTCTGGCAGAGGCAGATGAATCACCTGAGGTCAGGAGTTTGAGACCAGCCTGATGAATATGGTGAAACCCAGTCTCTACTAAAACTACAAAAATAGCCAGGCATGGTGGTGGGTGCCTGTAATCCCACTCGGGAGGCTGAGTCAGGAGAATTGCTTGAACCCGGAGGTGAAGATTGGAGTAAGCCAAGATTGTGCCGTTGCACTACAGCCTGGGCGACAGAGCGAGACTCCATATAAAAAAAAAAAAAAAAAAAAAAGAGCTGGGCGTGGTGGCTCACGCCTGTAATCCCAGCACTTTGGGAGGCCAAGGTGGGCGAATCACTTGAGGTCGGGAGTTTGAGACCAGGTGACCAACATGGAGAAACTCCATCTCTACTAAAAAATACAAAATTAGCCCGGTGTGGTGGCGCATGCCTGTAATCCCAGCTACTCGGGAGACTGAGGCAGGAGAATCGCTTGAACACGACAGGTGGAGGTTGCAGTGTGGCGAGATTGCACCATTGCACTCCAGTCTGGGCGACAAGAGGGAAACTCCATCTGAAAAAAAAGAGAAATTCTTTTATTTTCTACTTCTCTTCAGATTTGTCTTATGCATTTTCCAACTATGTATGCATCACAGCTATTCTTTTTCTGAGTTATAGCTACAGTTTTCTTACTGTTGTCTTCATGCCATTTCATTTCACATGGTACTTTGTAGATTTTGATGAGGAAGTTGGTATTTTTAGTGCACACAAAAATTGGTTTTAACTGTAGAGTTTGCTTATCAGAACAGTTAAAAGGCAGCCAGGTGTGGCTCACGCCTGTAATCCCAGCACTGAGATAGGCCAAGGAGGGTGGATCACTTGAGGTCAGGAGTTTGAGACCAGCCTGACCAACATGGTGAAACCCTGTGTCTACTAAAAATACAAATTTAGCCACGCGTGGTGACGCACGCCTGTAATCCCAGCTACTCGGAAGGCCGAGGGAGCAGAATCGCTTGAACCTGGGAGGTAGAGGTTGCGGTGAGCCGAGACTGGGCCACTGCACTTCAGCCTGGGCAACAAGAGCGAAATTCTGTCTAAAAAAAAAAAAAAAAGATAAAAGGTGCAATACTGTCCACAGGTAAGATAATTAAATTAGTCAGCTTTGTTTTTAAAAGAAAAATCTTACTAGATTCTTATACAAAGTGTGGCAAATATAAAACTTGCTTGAAAATACAGAAATTAAATTTTTAAGAGAGTTAATGGTAAGTAAACAATTTTAAAGTTAATTTTCTATGATATACTTACAGCACAACTTATATTTCCATGCAGAATCTTTTATTTTTAAGTGTGAGTGTTAAAGGTTACAAAATAATGAAATGACTTCAGTGGATTTAAAATTTTGAAAAATAATGTCTTTTCTATATTGATTTTACAATTTGGAGAAATTTTTCACTCATTTTTTATATATTTTTTAGTGGGAGAGGTTTAGTCTACAGTTTTTATTTTTAGTCACCAAACTGTAGCCAACTCTTGGGTCATTTTCTCTGAAAAACATTTGGAGATCATGACAGCGTTTGGATTAAAACATTTCTGTTACTTTGCATGCAAACTAGTTTACTGTGTTCACAGAGTGGCCAGTCATGGGACCATAAGCAACACCTGCTCTTTGAGTGTCTTTCATACCGTTACCATCAGCACCAGAAACTCCAGGTGCCCCAAGCTTAAAGTAAAAATCCTAAAGTACGTTGGCTCCTCCCATGCAATGTGCTGGGTCCAAACCATGCTGTTAAATATCAGAAGTTTCTATGGTTATGATTAAAAAATTAAATGACAATAATAGCCCCAAAACTATATATTTTTGATACTATTTAACCAAGATTATCACAAAGACACAGTATTTGACACATTGTTATTCTTCTATGTTTTATAAATATTTTAATGTGACAGGTAGAATCTGTACTTTTTCTGTAGAACGTAATATTTTGAAGTATATATATAGTTAAATTATTATTTCTAGGTAATTAATAATTTATCTCACATTGGTCAGACATGATGGCTCATGCTTGTAATCCCAGCAATTTGGGAGGCCGAGGCAGGCAGATCACATGAGGTCAGGAGTTCGGGACCAGCCTGGCGACCATGGGGAAACCCTGTCTCTACTAAAAATACAAAATAAGCAGCGTGTGGTGACACATGCCTGTAATCCAGCTACCCTGGAGGCTAAGGCAGGAAAATGGCTCAAATCTGGGAGGTGGTTGTTGCAGGGAGCCGAGATTGCACCACTGCACTCCAGACTGGGGGACAGAGTGACTATCAAAAAAAAAAAAAACTTTACCTCATATGGTGAACATTTTTGTTTTGAGACCACATGACACTGTCATCATTTTTCAAAAATCCAAATACATTATTATGAACTATAGTCACCATGTTGTGCAATAAATCTCTTGAACTTATTTCTTCCATTTGACTATAATTATGTATTATTTCACAAACATGTTTCCAGCCTTCCATTTCTTATAAATAACTTGCATCTGATGGTCACCATTTTACTCTCTACATCAATGGGATTAAGTTTTTTGGAATCCATGTGTAAGTGAAATTATGAGACACTAATCTTTCTGTGCCTTGCTTATCCCAACTAATACAATGTCCTCCAACTTCATCCATGTGATTGAGAATAATAGTTTTTGTTTTTTTTTTAAGGCCAGGAGTGGTGGCTCACACCTGTAATCCCAGCTCTGGGAGGCCAAGGCCAGTGGATTGCTTGAGCCCAGGAGTTTGAGACCAGCCTGGACAACGTGGAAAAACCCCATCTCTACTAAAAATACAAAAACAACAAAACAAAAACAAAAAACACCTCAGCTGGGTGTGGTGGTGCAGGCCTGTAATCTCAGCTACTCCAGAGGCTGAGGCATGAGAATCCCTTGAACCACAGATGCAGAGGTTGCAGTGAACTGAGATCATGCCACTGCACTCCATCCTGGGCAACAGAGTGAGACTCGGTCTCAAGAGGGAAAATAAGGCATTTTTCTCATTTAAATAATAAATAGTATTCCATTATGTATATCAACCACATTGTCTTTATTTACTCATTAGATGTTGAACTGTTTATTCTGTATTTTGGCTATTGTGAAACAAGTGCTGCAAACAGAAGTGCAAATGTTTCTTTATTCTTATTTTGTTTTGGATATATACCCAGTAGTGCGATTGCTGTATTACCTGGTAGTTTTTTTGATAAATCTGTATTTTGTTTTTCGTAATGGCTATCCTCATTTACGTTCACACCAACAGTGTGCAAGGATTCCGTTTTCTTCACATCTTTACCAACACTTTTTTCTTTTTCTTTTAATAAGAGTTATTCTAACAGGAATGAGTTGATATAGGGATTTTTTTTTTGGCTTGTCTTTTTGTGATAATAGTCAACATTGAGCATTTAAAAATATATCCGTTGGACATATGTATGACTTTTCTTGAAAAATATTTATTTCAGCTATTTCCTTTTTTTTTTTTTTCTTTTTGAGATGGAGTTTTGTTCTTGTTGCCCAGGCTGGAGTGCAATGGCACAATCTCGGCTCACTGCAACCCTTGCCTCCCGGATCAAGTGATTGTCCTGCCTCAGCCTCTCAAGTAGCTGGGATTACAGGCAAATGCCACTGCGCCCAGCTAATTTTGTATTTTTAGTAGAGACGGGGTTTTTCTATATTGGTCAGGCTGGTCTCGAACTTCTGACCTCTGGTGCCCACCTCAGCCTCCCAAAGTGCTGAGATTACAGGCATGAGCCACCGCGTCCGGCCTATTATTTTTAATAATTTTTTATTGTTGTCATTTTAAATACACTTTTGATATTAACCTCTTGTCACATGTATAATTTGCAAATTTTTTCTCCCATGTTCTAGTTGTCACATTCTGTTGATTGTATCAGATTTTGTCCAGCAGCTTTTTAATTTGAAGTGATCTGACTTATTTTTCCTTTTGTGTCCTGGGATGTTTAGGTTAAATCAAAAAACTTGCGGCCAGGCGCAGTGGCTCACACCTGTAATCCCAGCACTTTGGGAGGCCGAGGCAGGTGGATCACGAGGTCAGAAGTTCGAGACCAGCCTGACCAACATGGTGAAATCCTGTCTCTACTAAAAATACAAATATTAGCCGGGCGTGGTTGCACGTGTCTATAATCTCAGCTACTCAGGAGGCTGAGGCAGGGGAACGGCTTAAACCCAGAGGCGGAGGTTGTAGTGAGCCAAGGTCATGCCACTGCACTCCAGCCTTGGCAACAGAATGAAACTCTGTCTCAAAAAAAAAAAAAAATTTGCTGCCCAGAACAATGTTATAGGGCTTTTGCTCTATATTTTGGCAGTAGTAGTTTCAGAGTGTCAGGCCTTACATTTAAGTACTAATTTATTTCGAGTTTATTTTTACATATGGTGTGAGATGAGGGTCTCAATTTTTATCTCTGCATGTGGATATAAAGTTTTCTTAATTGAAGATTCTGTTCTTTCCCTTTAAAGTCACCTGTATTTAAAATCAACTGTAAATACATGGATATATTTCTGCTGTTTTTTTCTTCTGCTCCATTGACCTATGTCTCTGTTTTTATTCAAGTACCATACTGTTGGTTACCATAGCTATGTAGTGTATTTCAAAGTTAGTCACTTCTTTTGTCTTGATTGCTTTGGCTATTCAGGGTCTTTTGTGATACCATATGAATTTTAGATATACTTTTAAAACTTTTCTATGAAGTATATCACGTATTTCGATAGAGGTTGCATTATACCTGTAGGTCATTTTGTGTAATACAAATATTAATGTCAGTTCATGAATAGTCCATTTATGTATTAATTTCTATTTAGAATGTAAGGCGTTTCAACTTTTTGGTTAAATTTATTTCAAACTATAGTTATTGTAGATGTAATTGTTTTTGAATTTCATTTTGGGATAGTTATTAATGTAGAGAAATGCTGTGACTTTTTGATGGTGCTTTTGTATTTTGAAAGTTTAATAAATTTTGTTTATTTATTTATTTATTTTGAGATGGAGTCTCGGTCTGTCACGCAGGCTCGAGTGCAGTGGCACGATCTTGGCTCACTGCAACCTCTGCCTCCCTGGCTGAAGCGGTTCTCCTGCCTCAGCTTCCTAAGTAGCTGAAACTACAGGCGCCTCCTACTACACCCAGCTAATTTTTTTATTTCTATAGAGATGGGGTTTCCCTACGTTGGCCAGACTGGTCTTGAACTCCTGACCTTGTGATCCGCCCACCTCGGCCTCCCAAAGTGCTGGAATTACAGGCAGGAGTCACTGCACCTTGCCTGTTTATAATTTTTAAGATTTACTAAGGTCTTAGGCTTTTTTATACTTCAGATTATGTATAGGGATAAAAGAAAATTATACAGGAATAATTCCTTTTCCTCAATTTGGATGCCTTTGATTTTTTTCTCTAATTTCTTTGTCTTGGATATTTAGTACCATGTTTAGTAAGTCTGACTAGAGTGGGCATCCTTGCCTTGTTCTAGCTCTTAGAGTAAAAGCTTACAACATATCCCTGTTTAGTATGTTGTTAGCAGTTTTTTTGGTTATATATGGCATTTATTGGCTGAAGTGCATTTGTTCTATACCTAATTTTTTCAGCGATTTATCATAAGGGAATGTCAAATTCTGTCAAACTTCTATTGTGCATCCATTTTTTTCTCTTTGCACTCTGCATATATTTAAGTTTTAGAGATGTGAAATCACAACTAATTCTGCATACATACAAAAAAAGTCAGAGACTACTATGAACATCTCTATGCCTGCAAAATAGAAAATTTGGAGAAAATAAATAAACTCCTGGAAACATACAACTTTCCAGGATTAAACCAGGAAGGAACAGAACTCTTGAACAGGGCAAAAATGTATAAAATATATAATGAAATTGAATTAATAATTTAAAAAACCTACCAACTATAAGGAGCCCTGGATTATATAAAATCACAGCCGAATTTTAACACATATACAGAGATGAGCTGGTATTACTTCTACTGAATGTATTACTGAATGTATTCCAAAAAATCCAGGTGGAGTTCCACCCTAACTCATTATATAAAATCTGTATCGCTGCACGAGGTGGCTCACGCCTGTAATCCCAGCACTTTGGAAGGCCGAGGTGGGCGGGTCACCTGAGGTCGGGAGTTTGAGACCAGCCTGCCCAACGTGGTGAAACCCCATCTCTGCTAAAATACAAAATTAGCCAGGCGTGGTGGCATATGTCTGTAATCCCAGCTACTCGGGAGGCTGAGGCAGGAAAATCGCTTGAACCCGGGAGGTGGAGGTTGCAGTGAGCCGAGATCGCGCCATTGCACTCCAGCCTAGGCAATGAGTGAAACTCCATCTCAAAATAAATTAATTAATAAAATAAAAACCTGTGTCATCTTGATACCGAAGTCTAGTGAAGACAACAACAACAAAACTATAGGCCAATATTTTGGGTGAACATTGAAACAAAAATCCTCCATGAAATAATAGCAAGCTGAGTTCACAGGCAAATCAAAAAGTTATTTTGCCACACTTGTGAACTTTATATCACATGTGCAAGGATGTTTCATCATATACAAGTCAATAAGTGTGTTTCACCATACAATTAAAAGCAAAAATTTATATGATTAACACAATAGATGCAGAAAAAGCATTCAAGAAAATCCAGTATTCATTTATGAAAATATTCTCTAAGCAATGATGAAACATACCTCACAATAATAAGAGCCATCTATGACAAATCCTCAGCTAACATACTGAACAGACAAAAGGGGCATGCATTTCTCATTAGAAAAAAAATAAGACTATCTAAACAATTCTATTTAACATAGTTCTGGAAGTGCTGGATAAATCTAACAAAATGAAAAAATAAATGGCATCCAAATAGGAAAAGAAGAAGTGAAATTACCTTCACTCATGATATAATTCTCTACCTAGAAAACTTTAAGGATTTTACCAAAAGACTCCTAAGGTTAAAAATGACTTCAGCAAAGTCTCAGGATACAAAATTGATATACAAAAATGAATAGCATTGCCTTACACCAATAACATTCAAGCTGAGAACAAAATCAAGAACAGTTTTCTTTACAATAGCCATAAACAAAAAATAATATACTTAGAAATACATCAAACCAGGGAGGTAAAATATCTCTACAAGAACTAGAAAACATTACTGAAAGTAATCAGAGACAATTCAAATAAAAAAGCTTTCTATGCTCATGGATTTGAAGAATGAATAGAAAATGTCTATGCTGCCTAGAGCAGCCTACAAAATAAGTTTTTGTTTTTTTATCAAAATGTCGATTACTTTTTTTTTTTTTTTGAGACAGTGTTGCTCTGTGGCCTAGGCTGGAGTGCAGTGGTGCGATCTTGGCTCACTGTAACCTCCACCTCCTGGGTTCAAGTGAGTCTCCTACCTCAGCCTCCCAAGTAGCTGGGATTACAGGTGCCCACCAGCACACCTGGCTAATTTTTATGTTTTTAGTAGAGATCGAGTTTTGCTGTGTTGGCCAGGCTGGTCTCAAACTCCCGGCGTCCCAAAGTGCTGGGATTACAGGTGCGACCCACCATGCCTGGCCCAACCCCATATTATTTCTGGTAACAAAGCACAGAAACATGATTTCTCGAATTTTGCTAGGATTTTAATTTACAAAAGAAAGGTGAATGCCATTAAAAGGTGTTTAATACACTCCCACCAGAAACAAGAGGCAAGGCAGGCCCTGGGGGCCTCACAAAGGCGGTCTTATGCAAGGGTGAGAAAGCAGAGTTATCAGGGAGGTGGGACTATTGCTTTATGAACGTGATGATTGGAAGCAAAAACGTGGGGCTTTTTCCTATTGAATACAAAGTAAAATAATGAATGCTGGTGTCAGTGGTTGGGAATAACAACATTTGCAGGCTCATGAGAGCTGCCTGACAAAAAGCGTGTAAACAACAGTGATTGCTCCTGTGGCCCTGTGATTCAGCAGGTTTATGGAGCAGTTAAGAATCGCAGATGTCAAATGGCCAACACAGAATCTAACGACATGCTTAATACAAATTATTATTAGTAGAAATGCTGAATTGCTTCATTTCTGCAATTTCTGCTGCTTCTTAAGATGCTTTTAATGAATAAAATCTGCCTTAAAATTTGATACCTGGTAACTTCTCTCTGTGAGTTTTGAATTGGCTGATGTAACCAAAATGCCAGCTCTTGCCATCTAACTACCATTAAAAGGAACTTCTAAAGCTCCGAAGTGGTCAACAGTTTCACTTCCAACTTTTTTAAAAGATACACAATTTTCTAAAAAATTTTTCTTTATGGGCGATTGAATAGTTGGGCTTTGGCTAATTCCTCATTAGCAATAGAATTATGTATATTTTGCAAACTCTAATACAGAACACTTAATGTATCAGACAACCATGATTATGATGTATATACCTGGTATAAACAATCTTTTTTGCATATTGAATTCTGCATTTTTTTCTTCCTTGATACGTATGAGATTCACCAGTACCAGTTTTTCTCTTGTGGTGGCATATAGTTGATTGTCATTTGCATTATCTATTAAAAACCTGTGGCAGCTCATGGTATTATTGACCATATGTTCTAGTGTCTTCTTGCAGATTTAAATATTTTATTGCAGTGTAAAGTTTAATATTTAGATGTGTGATACATCTTTGGATAATCTGTAATTAAATTGATCTTTTGTAATGGTGATAGTGATTAGCACACACTGAAAATCCAGCAAAGCAATTATTTTTCTCTTTTTAACTGGAAATCATATTCGTAAGTTGTGGTAGATATTATCATCAGTGTATTCATGATTCGATTTATATTTTGTGTTATCTGGTTATAAATTTTATATAGCATTCAATTTGACAAAATATAAATCTATTTGATTTGAATTTAATGGTGTGTGTGTGTGTGTGTGTGTGTGTGTGTACTTCCTTGAACTTTAGGAAATTCTACAAATCTTATACAGATATGAATGTATCAGGCTTATATTTTTTGCAAGGCTATATATACATTTCTTCTGTTTATTAAAATACTGGAATTGGTGTTATGTAGATATAGTTGTAGATATCAGAATAAAAATGGAATGTTGTGAAAATTACAACTTAATAAATATTTATGGCAAATAAATACAAGATAAAAATTATACATCTTTACAAGATAGTTATTTACAATTGCTTAGAGCTTACCTGTCCAGCCAAGGCCTATCTTCTTCAAGACTGTGCTGAGGCCTGGCACGGTGGCTAATGCCTGTAATCCCAGCACTTTGGGAGACCAAGGCAGGTGGATCACCTGAGGTCAGGAGTTCCAGATCAGCCTGGCCAACATGGCGAAACCCAGTCTCTACTAAAATAAATAAATAAATAAATAAATTAGCCAGGCATGGTGGTGTGTGCCTGTAATCCCAGCTACCCAGAAGGCTGAGGCAGGAGAATCACTGGAACCCAGAGGACAGAGGCTGCAGTGAGCCAAGATTGCACCACTGCACTTTAGCCTGGGTGACAGAGCAAGACTATGTCTCAAAAACAATAATAAAAAGATTGTGCTGAAATTGCACCTGCTTGGTTACAGTCTCTACTGGGGAGAAATAACCCTGACCGAGAATGATCAAAAAAAGAATAAATTTTTGGCAGAAAAATTCTCTGTGTAAAAAAACAGAGTTGTGTAAAAGAAAATTATGTTCAGAGAAAAACAAACTGACCAATTTTACCACAGTTATTTTTAAGAAAATAAATGCTTCAAAGTCAAATTAAATTTATTTAAAAATTGCAAATATAGTGGTGAATGAAATTAAAGGTCTCGGTCTTCACAGAGTTTACATTGTAAGGTTTGAAAAATAAAGACAATTTGAGAATAAATAATTCTTCATATAATGCTGGTAGCATAGGTAAGTTGGTACTACATCCTGGAAGAGGGCTCCCCAATGCCTATACAAGCTGAAGATACAAATACACTTTAGTTATATTTGTGGTTAAATATCTACATAGTTACAAAAATTTTTCTTTTAAAAATGCACAAGACTGTTTACAGAAGCACTGACCAATCTGGAAAATCACCAAAATGTTCATAAAAAGTGGAATAAAGAAATTGTAGTGTATTTATATAATGGAACATTGTAGATCAATGAATATAGAAAGCACAACTTGCAATATTCACAACTTTCAAAGCAAAGCACAACTACAGGCAGCAACAGAGATCTATCTCACAAACAATGTTGAGCAGAATAAGCTAGCCAAAAATGAGAATTTACTGTATTAATCCATTTATTTAAAGTTCAAAAACAGGCAAAACTCATTTATTGTATAAATAGCTAGAATATAAGTTGCTCTTAGAGGAACAGTGATTGAAAAGGAGAATAAAATGTAGCGGGATTTTTAAGGAATCAGAGAGACCGATGGGGTACAGGAGGATATTTATTAATTATTTAGGTGCACCGGCCCAGTCAGATTAACATCTGATGGACTGAGCCCTAAACAAAGAGTTAAGTTACCTTTTAAGCATTTTGTGGGGCAAGGGGAGATCTGTGCATGGAGAAGCGTACTACAGAAGCAAGAAACAAAGACAGTTATTCAATTGAGACATGCATTACATCATTTCTTACTTTTCAAGGAGAAACATGTTTTGCAACTTGAGTTTATCTGTCTAGTGACCTTGCAGCTGCACAGCTAGGGAAAGAGAGTCTTCACAATGCTTGGGAAAGGAGAAGAGATAAGGCTCACTAGCCACAGAAAAACAGGCAGTTAATTCTTAAAGGACTCCAGCTCTTTCTCTTTCTCTGAGGGAAATGGGTTTTGTTACATACAACTGAGTTTCTGCTTATACACTCTAATTTCTTTTAATTCCTGTTCCGTTCCCCACTTTGGTGCATTTTTATAACAGAGGTGTTAATAGAAAGCACCACTATTTGCCACCTTCTCACAGAGCTGAGCTGCTCCTTCTGGTAGCGGCTGATATTTTGTTAATACCATCAACTGCACGGTAGTGTGTCGGGTTACTATTGCCTCTATAGTTGACTGAATACTCATAATAAACAGGGGTAAAAGGCAAGGGAGGATGAGGCAGACGCCAAGAATAAGCAAGAACCCACCAATGAGGATTTTGAATCCTCCAAAGGTTGAGAACCATCCTCCAAACAAGGAATCTGGGGACCATCCAGACCAAGTCTGAACTGGAACATGGGCCAGCCTGCGCATTGTAGCTATGATTTCCATGACCGCTTGGTCATTATCATCAATTTCTAGGCAACAGTTGGTTCAATTAAATTTTCCACATACTCCTCCTTCTGAGGCTAAGAGGTAATCTAAAGCCAATCTATTATGATATATAGCATTTCTCATTTGTTTTGCTTGTATTGCCAATAAATCTAGTGCCCTTGATGTTTCATTGGTTATAATTTCTAGGACTGCCTGCAACCTTATGATGAGGTTGAGCATATAGATTGGGTTGTGGTACCCCTGTGACCCATCTTGCGCCCAGGTAGCTGGCCCATAATATTTCGTGATTCAGGCCATTCATTTTCTTTCCAGTTTCCTATGTCCACATCGTTTTTGATATTTGTGTCTATTTTTGTGATTATGCTTCTTCTAGTTCTTCCTTTATTTTTATCATAAACTGGATATCCTAAGAGTTCCTGTTGCTTTAGAGGAATTAGAAGGATGGCTTGACTGTTCCTAACACACATGCCCCTGTCCATTTAGCTAGCAGTAGCTGATATGCCTGTGCTCCACAGATCCAATACAGGCCAGAGGGTGCCTTTCAAGCATTTGCAGCCTCTAGCTGATGCCAAGAGTGGCTTATAGTAGACAATCAAGAGAAAGGGTTTGGATCTGGTAAGTAGGAGTCAGTCTGGGTGTTTCTTCATAGTTTTGTTTTTAGTCTCATCATAATACTGTTGCCCTAGGCAGGTTGTTTCTCCTACTGCCTCTGTGAAAGCCTTTCCCCATTGAGCGATACAATACCTTCCAATTATGGAGGTTTTTAACAACCAGACACTGGCAAAGGCTGTTGGTTCACTGGCAGGGTTAAGCGAAGTGAAGTTATCTTATGGTATTAATTATTTTGCCTCCCATGGCCACTAGTCCCCCATATTATTTCCTCCACATACACAGCATGAGGAAATTCCTAAGCTGCCAGCTATGTTTTCAGCTAGTTGAGCAAATAAGTGTTTTGTTGATGGGGGAAACTCAGGCACTGTCTGATCAAAATGCTTATAGAATGACTTATGGGCCTGGAATTGTGAGGTTGGATGCATTTGAGTCCATCTAGTCTTTTTGACAATTAGTAGTGGAATTCCAAGGCCTGCTCTTTTTCTATGAACTCATAATAGTGCTGTCTGTCCTGTAGAACAAAAAGGTAGCTCTGGCTTTAAGACAGTAAAATTTAAAGGATTGCATGTTCTTGTCTTACAATCTGGTTTGTTTGACATACCACTTAGCAGAGCAGTCCTTCCTGAATAAAGGTGTTGGAGCTGTATTTGTGTAGACCATGGAATGTTACAGTCTGAGCATCTGATTTGTGGTTCTCCATACAGATGTTTAGGACTGCTGCTAAGCCTCTCTTGTGTCAAACCACTGCAGACTCCTTCTGTTTTTTTTAGGATTTGAACATATGCAGCATGGCAGGCATCAAAGTACAAGGAAATAGGCTCTTTATAGGAGGGAGGGGCTTCTTTGGTTCAAGCTATAAGCTCTCCTTCTTTTTCTCCCTCTGATTTAATATGTACCTCAAACCAGAATTCATAGGGTAAGAGCTTAGGGTCATAACATAAATATAGCTGATTATTTCCTGGGTCACAGACTGAATAGGTGGTCTGGTTGTATGTGCAGGTTCCTAACTTGGTTCCTGTACATTCATAGTAGGTATGGTACAGTAGAGTTTTAACTATGGTATTCGTTACCCAGGTAGTATGTACACAGTGTGAGCATCCTTCTAGAGATTTCTCCCCTTTTAGTATAGGCAGAAATGGTAACAACATCAGTGTATGTAATAGAAACATGCTTATACTACACATGTGCATGGCAAACCTTCCTCTGGGCATAGATATTTGCTGTAATAACATAACAACAGAACAATCAGTATTGACAGAATTATAACTAGGCTTATAAATTGTATCCACATTTACTTATCTGGAGATGGTCCTCTTAGCTTCAGCTGTGCATAGACTAGTCAGCTTCTGGGATGTGACTAGAGTAGAGCTTGCAGGATCCTCAAGCTTCAGCCACGCGTAGACTGACCAGCTTCCACTGTGATCAGAGCAGGGCAGTTGTCCTTCTTACTGGTGGTTGCGTTTCGCCGTAGGACTATTCAGGCGGGGTGATCTGTGTCTTGTTGGCTAATTCATTGGTCATTGTCAGGAGTCACTGCTGCCACTGGTTTCGGCTGGCTATGGTGAATCGAAGGTGTGACACCTGCGACTTTAACAGCAGTGGGAGTAGACATAATTACAATATGGGGCCCATCCCATAAGGGCCCCAGGGTTGTTGGATTCCACCTTTTAACCCAGACAGAGTCTCCTGGCTTATGTGGATGCACTACATCTCTTAGACTTATAAGTATCCTTTCCCTTACCCAGCCTTTTACCTCCTGCATTGCCACTCCTCAAGCCTGCATCTGTGTTCTAAGGGTTAGCTCTCCTAACTCCTTTAAATGCCCTCTAATTTGATTAATGATTGCGGGTGGCCTTCTGAACAATATTTCATAGGGCAAGTACCCAGTTTGTTTTGTAGGTGTACACCTCACCTGGAGGAGGACCATGGGCAAGACCTGATCCCATCATAAGTGAGTTTACTGGCAAAATTTTTTAGTAGCTGTTTGAGTGTCTGATTCATCCGTTCCACCTTCTCTGAACTCTTTGGTCAGTAGGCTGTGTGCAATTTCCATTTGATCTTTAAAAGTTGAGTCAACTGTTGTACTACTTCTGCCGCAAATGCAGGACCATTGTCTGATCCTAGGGTTAAAGGCAACCCAAACCTTGATATTGATGTCTTTTAGTAGCACCTTTGTCACCTCTTGTGCCTTTTCAGTTCTGATGGGGAAGGCCTCAACTCACCCCGAGAAGGTGAAACAAACACTAGCATATACCAGTAACCTCCTGCTCAAGGCAACTCGGTAAGGTCTACAAGCAGGTTCTCACAAGGCACAGCTCCCATTTCCTGAATTTCTGGGGGTCGAGTAGGTCCTTGTTTTGGATTAGATATTGTTCGCAGGATAGACATTGTTCGCAAACAGCACGGGTGATGGCAGAGAGCCGTGGCACATAGAAGTGTTGACCTATCAAAGTCTCTAGGGCCGTGCTTCCAGCATGTGTTCCTTGATGGATCTGCTTCACAAACCTTGGGGCTATTGTCTCTGGGACAGCTAGCCTCCCATCAGAGAACAGCCACCATCCACCTTTAATATATTTTCCTGTTTCCTGGCCAAACCAAGCTTTTTCAATTGAAGAGTAATTGGGTACCTCTGGCAAAGGGGGCTCTACAAAGAGAGGCATTGCTAGAGTTATTTCTTCAGGTAAAACCTTGCTCATTGCTGCCCACCTAACTTCTTGGTCTGCCCTCCTGTTGCCCTGTGCCTCATAGCTTTTCCTAATTTGGTGTCCTTTGCAATGAATGAGAGCCACCTTCTCTGGAGCCCATATGGCTTCTAATAATTGCAAAATTTCCTCTTTATTTTGTATTTCTTTTCCTTCAGTAGTCAGAAGTCCTCTCTATTGTATATTGCCCCATGGGTGTGCAGGGTTGCAAAAGCACAGTTTGAGTCAGTATATATGTTTACTTTTTCCCCTTGGCCAATAACAGTGCTCTGGATAATGCTATTATTAATTCAGCCTTCTGAGCAGAAGTCCCAGAAGTTAAGGCTTGAGCCTCGACCACCGAGCGTTGGGTCACTACTGTATACCCTGCATATCGCACCCCATTTGTTATGAAACTGCTACCATCAGTGAAGTATTCAACATCTGGGCTCTCCAAGGGGGTATCCCTTAGTTCTTCCTAGCTCGAGAACATTTTGTCCACTGAATACAGTGCAACAGTGGGGAAGGTCCTGCCAGCAGTGAGGCAACCCACCATTCTTCAAAGTGGGCTCCTCCACAGGCAGCAGGGTAGCTGGGTTCAAGAAATTTACAGTCTGTAGTGTTATCTGGAAATTTTACACAGAAAACTTTGACACTTTAGCATTCTAAAGTTGGACAGGCAACGATGTCCTCTTTGGTCCATTAAGGAGACTACAGCATGTGGCACCCCAATTTTTAACTTCTGTCCTAGGGCTAGCTTGTTGGCATCTTCTATGAGGATTGCAGTAGCTGCCAATGCCCTGAGGCAGTGGTGCCAACCTAAGGCCACCTAGTCCAGTCTTTTGGATAAGTATGCTACCAGCCAATGTAAAGAGCCCAACAACTGAGTTAAGACTCCGACTGCCATTCCCTTTCGTTCATCCACATACAAAAGAAGGGTTTTTCTTACATCTGGCAACCCACATACTGAGGCCTGGATGAGAGCTTCCTTTATATCCTTGAAGGTCTTTTCTTGTTCCTTTTCCCATAGGAGGGGCTCTCTTTCCCTACCTCTGGTAGCCTCATGTAAGGGCCTTGCTATAAGGGAGAAGTTTGAAATCCAGATTCGGCAAAATCTCACCACCCCTAGAAATTCCCTGACCTGCTGCCGCCTTGTAACTGGGTGGACAATGCACATACAGCCTCCTTGCGTGCACTTCCAAGCCTGCATTGGCCTTGGGATACTATGAATCCTAGATATGCAACCTCCCAAAAACAGACTTCTGCCTTGTCCTTGAACACTTTATAACCAGCTTCACACAGCAGGTCGAAGCCTCTCTGTTCCTTGGAGGCATTCCTCCCTCTTAGGGGCAGTTAATAGCAAGTCATCAATGTATTGTAATAGCACAGAATTGTCACTAGACGGCGCAATAGCCTCAAGGTCGGTAGCCAAAGCCTCCTTGAAGATAGTGGGAGAATTCTTAAACCCTTGTGGCAGCCTTCTCCGGGTATACTGCGATTGCCCCCACTGGAAGGCAAATATAGGCTGACTTTGGGGAACAAGCCTCAAGCAAAAGAAAGCATCCTTTAAGTCCAGACATGTGAACCCCGCGGCCTCAGCAGGAATATGTCACAACATTGTGTATGGGTTGGGTACTGTGGCATGGATAGTGGCAGTGGTCTTGTTTACCACCTGGAGGTCCTACACTGGCCTGTATTCACCATTTGGCTTGAGCACGGGCAGCAGAGGAGTATTCCAAGAGGACTTGTATTTCACTATAATCTCATGTTCATAGAGCTGATTTACATGTTTTGTTATGCCTTCAGTTGCCTCTCTGGGTAATGGGTATTAACGGACTCATACCAGGGTAGCATGAGGGTTAAGCTCTACTACCACCGGGGGTCTGTTTAGAACAAGTCCGGGGGGGTTGTCCTCAGCCCATACACCTGGTACCTTGAAAAGCATTCCCCACGTATTGTGTAGGTCCAGCTCCAGCAGCCTCCTGGTACACAGTTCATAGAGCCGCCATTCCTCAGCTATTAGGAGAGCTAGAGTCAATACCATTGCCTTTGGCTTCCCTACCTCCAGGGTCATATTCCCATTAGGTGTAAAGGAAATTTGTGCCTGTATAGTTTCTGGAGTAAGTCTCTCCCCAACAAGGGCACTGGACAATTTGGCATATATAGAAACTCATGCTGCACTTCTTGTCCTCCAATAACACATCTCCTGGATTTGCAAAAAGGTCCCTTTTCTTTGGCCCCAGTAGCCCTTACAATAGTAGCACAGTTCTTTGTGGGGGGGCTAATTGGGTGAGTTACCACAGAGAAATCAGCTCTAGTGTTGACCAAAAAATCCATTGATCAGCCCCCTATTTCCATAGAAACCATAGCCACCCCCCGACCCCAGGGCCTAAAAAGATGGAACGCGGTCTCTCAGTCCTCAAAATTCTTGGCCCCTGCTAAGCCAATCAGATCAGGATCTGCCTTTGAGGCACCATTACTAGCAACAGAACGCCGCACTCGGGTGTTAGACTATTGACCATCATCTCCATCCTTTGCCTTTTTGGGACACTCATCTTTCCAGTGGCCTATTTGCCTGCACTTTGCACATTGGTTCCTGTCCAAAGGGGACAGGCTTTCCTCTCCCAGTCATGTCTGCCCTCTTCCTCAGCCTCTGCTTTGACCACGCCCTCTAGCAAATCCAGGTTTACTTTCTGCTAGTGAAGCAGCTGTAAATTGAACCGTGTCTTTATTTCTGTTTCTGGTTTTTCTTTCTTCCTTTCTCTCTGCCTCTTCTTCCCAGTTTATGTATACTTTGTTTGCTATTTCCAGGAGTTCACTAGTATTTTTCCCTGCAAAGCCTTCCAGCTGCTGAAGCTTTTGTCTTATGTCTCCCTGTGCTTGCCTGACAAAGGTCATATTTATCATGTGTTGGTTTTCAGGAGCCTTTGGAATAATTGGAGTGTACAGCCTATATGCCTCACAAAGCCTTTCAAAGAATGCACTTGGGCTTTCATCAGGCTTTTGGCGCATTTCTGACATTTTACTCATATTCATTGCCTGCCTTCCTCCTGCTTTTATCCCATTCAGGAGTGCCTTTCTATATAGCCGCAGCCATTCCATGTCCCTTGCCTCATTTGGGTCCCAGTTAGGGTCCTCATTTGGGTAACGCTCCAAGGCAAACTGGCATGGGTTAGGGATGGCCTCTGGGGCTTCCCCTTCTAACCAGCTGAGAGCTGCCTGATTAACTCTCCTACACTTCTCTGTATTAAATAAAGTTAGCAAAAGCTGTTGACAATCCGGCCAGGTCAGGTTATGTGTTATAATAAAAGCATTCACCAAATCAATGAGAGCCTGAGGCTTTTCTGTACAGGAGGGGTATGCTGTTTCCAATTTAAGAGATCAGTAGTGGAGAAAGGCTGATAAACATAAAGCCTAGGGTTACCTTGTATCTGCCCCTGGTCATCATAAACTTGTGTCCTTGTCTCTTGAATTGGCATCTGCAAAGCCCATGGTAGGCCTTAGTGGAGGCACCTAGCTGCCTCACCCTGTCCATCTTCCCTGTTTTTATCTAATAGGGGCTTCTTTTTCTCTGGGTGGGGGAGACTGAGCCTCACTTTCCTCTGAATCCGACTCTCCAGATGCTCCTGACTCTGCCTCCTGCCTTACTCTGGCCAAAGATGGGTAGACTGGCACATATGGGGGTGGACATTCCCTTTCCTCAGGTGGGACCTGAAGAACTGGTTTCAGCTGAGGCTTTGGGGATTCCTTTTCCTAGGAGACACTAGAAGCTTTAGGTTTCTCTGTTTTACTTTGGTTGTGCTGCCTGAGCCACTAATGCCTTGCAATATCCCTCTAGGCAGGGCTGTCACCACTTGGGGCGAGTTTGCACCACATTGAGCCAAGAGTCTATATAGGGAAACTGGTCTGGGTATCCTGGTTGTCCTGCAACTCCAGTGACCACCTTAAACACACGGCCAATTAATTCCCTGTCTATTGTACCTTTAGAGGGCCACCCCATATTGAAAGCAGGCCCATCTATCTCACAGTATGTCCTTAACCTTTGAGCAACAAGTTTCATCCCATAATCACCTCTAAATCCTTTTTTAAAATTCTTTATCATGCACTCCAAAGGAGTTGGTTTCAATGCTTTCCCTCTCATTTCCTCCCTTGCAGTGCACTTTCACTCTCACTTTCACTCACAGGTCCACCAGACCAGGTCCTATTATGAGAGTTTTGGATGCTGCTTAGTCAGGAACATGCCTTCCCCTGTCACAGCCTGCTGCAGCTGTGAAGCTGGTCCTTTCAGCCGTATGCAGCATCCTAGGTCTGATGTCCCCTGCACTCATGTCAGAGCACACAGCCCATGCTAAGGGATCTCTGCCTCCCCATGTCACTCCCCGCACTGGCCTCTCCTGAGACCATCTCTTTCACACACTTTCACACACCTCCCCTGCCCCAAGATTCCTCACTGGATGAAACTAGCCTGTCTCATGTCCTGGGTGAGCCTCTCTCATGTCCTGGGTATGTTCACGTGCACCCTCAACACTCCCAGTTGGGGTGGCAAGCCACTCTTGCCACCCTGCCAGCAAGCTCTACCTTGCTGCACTTGCTGCTCTATTGGCCCATTTCCTCATTTTTTTCCAGTTCCAGTGTTAGTGGGGACTTGAGGTGCATCCAAATTGGCAAGCCACTCCTGATGCCCCCAGCCACTCTGGGTTGGATTAGTGTTCATTCTCCGGGAGGTGATCAAGCTCCCCTTCATCCTCATGGGATGGGCTTTGCTGCCTTGGGCACTTTCTCTTTACTGCAGTTCCTGAAGTGCTGGTATCATCCTGCAGCCCCATTCCCAGTTCCATTGCACTGCCAGGCAGGGTGTCAGAATATGGGGAGAGCTGGTTTCTATCCAGTTGAAGCTCCCCTGTGGTGTGCCTTGGATGCTGGGTCTCTCCTAGCCCCAGAGCTCTAGTCTCACAGGCAAAGGAGACAGTAAATCTGTCATCTCCAACCCCAGGCAAGCCCCCCACCCCCAAGAAATGTAGTGGGATTTTTAAGGAATCAGAGAGACCATTGGGGTTCAGGAGGATATTCATTAATTATTTAGGTGCACCAGCCGTCGGATTAACATCCAAAGGACTGAGCCCTGAACAAAGAGTTAAGTTACCTTTTAAGCATTTAGTGGGGTGGGGGGAGATCTCTGCAGAGGGAAGCATACTACAGAAGTGAGAAACAAAGCCAGTTATTCAATTGAGGTATGCATTACATCATTTCTTACTTTTCAAGGAGAAACATGTTTTGTGACTTGAGTTTGTCTGTCTAGTGACCTTGCAGCTGCACAGCAAGGGAATCAGGGTCTTCACAATGCTTGGGAAAGGAGGAGAGATAAGGCTCACTAACCACTGAAAAACAGGCAGTTAATTTTTAAAGGACTCCAGCTCTTTCTGTTTCTCAGGAGGAATTGGGTTTTCTTACATACAACTGAGTTTCTGCTTACACACTCTTTAATTTCTTTTAATTCCTGTTCCAAAAACAGGGGGAGTGCCCAGGTTGTTCACACTCTTCCATCACTGCATGCTGGGTTCCTGGTATATGCATTGTGTAAACATTCATCAAGCTGTTCTTTTATAATGTATGGATATTTTGTGTGAAATTAAAAACATACCTTTTTGATTTTTTATTTATCCTTTTTTATTTCTTCTTCAGTCACTTTTTGACACATACTTTTCTGGAAAAATAATTTTATCTAAATTTTTAAATTTAATAACATAAAATTGTTTAAAACAATATCATGTTTAAATATTTTTATTATTTTTTTTTTGAGATGGAGTCTTGCTCTGTAACCCAGGCTGGAGTGCAGTGGCACAATCTCGGCTCACTGCTACCTCTGCCTCCCAGGTTCAAGCAATTCTCCTGCCTCAGCCTCCAAAGTAGCTGGGATTACAGGTGCATGCCACCACGCCCAACTAATTTTTGTATTTTTAGTAAAGATGGGGTTTTGCCATGTTGGCTAGGATGTTCTCAATCTCTTGACCTCGTGATCCACCTGCCTCATCCTCCCAAAGTGCTGGGATTGCAGGCATGAGCCAACGTGCCTTAATATAGAAGGTATCTAAAATAAACTACAGCAAATGTGCATGATAAACTATTGAGATCATAAATATTATAAGGATGCTACTGTCAAGATTTTTATTAAACATTGGATTTATGGTCCCAGCCAATGCATTAAAATGAGATCAGTTTTACAACTATACTTTAAAGTATAACAAGTCAATAATCTAGTACCTAAACAATTGGTTCTACCTGGATAGATTGGATTCCCACACAGCAACTGACACGACAATTTTTCACATAGATTCAGAATTTAAAACTTTTAGGAGAAAATACAAGATAATATTGTTGTGATAACTGTGGGTGTAAAGCAATTTCTTAAACATGGCACAATATAAAAACTTGCATAAACATATTTATAAATTAGATGAAATTTTAAAAACTTTTGATTATCAAGAACTTAGAAAAACATGTTTGAATAAAGATGGTGGAAAGGCAAATCATAACCAAGAAAAAATATGTAAAAAACACATATTACAAAAATTAGTATTTAGAAAATATGCACTACAGAATATGTATTAATATACAAAGAAATGAAATACATTAAAAATGGACAGATGGCACATCTTAAAACACATATGACCAATTAACCTCTGAAAAATACCAATTTATTTAGTGACTATGGAAATGCTAATTAAAACTCTAAATTATATACTTTTCTGATTCTCCATTTTGTCAAAAAATATGTCTAGTAATTCCAAGAGTTGATAAAAATAAAGTAATTGGAATTCACAAATAACCACTGGCAGTAGAATTCGTTTATAAATTGATGTATATTCACACTGCGGCAGTAAAAATGGACAACTATAGCTATGCAAAGCAACATGGAAAAATAGAAACAATTGTAAATAAAAAAGCAAGTCACAGATGAAAACTTGTAGAATTGATCTAAAGTCAAAAAACAAGCAACACTGAAACGTATATTGTTTATAGATAAAATTGCATAAAGTAGGCCAGGCACCATGGCTCACGCCTGTAATCCCAGCACTTTGGGAGGCCAAGGTGGGTGAATCACAAGGTCAAGAGATCGAGACCGTCTGGCCAGCATGGTGAAACCCCGTCTCTACTAAAATTACAAAAATTAGCTGGACATGGTGTTGCATGCCTGTAGTCCCAGCTACTCGGGAGGCTGAAGCAGGAGAATTGCTTGAACCCAGAAGATGGAGGTTGCAGTGAGCTGAGATCATGCCACTGCACTCCAGCCTGGCAACTGAGCAAGACTCTGTCAAAAAAAAATTGCTTAAAATAAACGACAATATGAAATTCAGATACTGGTCACTTTTGGGTTAGGAGGTTGTTTTTTGTTTGTTTGTTTGTTTGAGATGGAATTTCACTCTTGTTGCCCAGGCTCAAGTGCAATGGCACAATCTCAGCTCACTGTAACCTATGCCTCCTGGGTTCAAGTGATTCTCCTGCCTCAGCCTCCCGAGTAGCTGGTATTACAGGCATATGCCACCACACCTGGCTAATTTTGTATTTTTAGTAGAGATGGGGTATCTCCATGATCATCAGGCTGGTCTTGAACTCCTGACCTTAGGTTATCTGCCTCCCTCAGCCTCCCAAAGTGCTGGGATTACAGGCATGAGCTACTGTGCCCAGCCAGGTTAGGAGGTTTATAGGAAAATTCAGAGGTATCCACTTCTCAGGAATGCGTGATGATTTTATGAAGTTACACTGAAAGTTTCATGAGAGTAGAGACCAATACTTTCTTTTCTATTTTATTTTCTAAGGCTGCCAAAAGGATAGCATATTGTGTGTGGTCAACACACATTTATCAGTTAAAAGAATGAATACATACATATTCTTTGTAAAATGTGAAACTATGCAAATCAAGATTTTATTATTTTTATTTCCTATAGTTAACAGAATCAAATAGAAAATAATAAAGTATAAAATTCAGAAAGCACTATTGAAAGTTTAATGTTAACCTAGCACTTGCAGGTAAAAATATAGCAAAATTTTTAGTTTCCACATTTGTGACCATTATAATTACATCAAAATTGCCCCATGAGGAAAGAACATGAAATCTGACTTCAGTAGAGCACAATTTAAGAGGAAAAAGCTGAAATAAAAAGAAAAAGAAAAGAAAAATATAAAAATTTGATTGGGTCAAATCTCTAAGTTATTCTCCATAATTTTTTTTTTTTTAGAAAATAATTTTTACCTCTGCTTGTGCAGAGTGAGGCTGGCTGGTGGAACCTAGGCCCCTCTGTCCCCCCCAGGTGGCAGTGGCTGATCTCTGGTCAGGCATGAGGGGTGCCTCCATGTATGAGTTCAGTCAGGGTGTGGAAAAACTTATAGAGAAAGATGCAAACCTTCTTGGAAGGCCAGGAGGTTTTTGCAAATCTTCAGGAAGGAATGAGCCAAAGGTGGCTGTTCTTTCCCAGCGGTAATTAGACAGATGTAGATACAAAGGAATGTAGGGGAGCTTATCTAAAGACCTTGTTTGCTCATGTTGTCCTAAGACCGACCTTTGATCATTTGTGGGCAGAACTGCTCTCTACTGGGGGATTGACAATGTTAATTACCCACTAATAGTGTTTACTCGAGACTTTTGTCATTTAATCTGTAATAAATACATGTAAACTTCACCGGCTTATGGAGGTGGGTGCTGCTCATTCTGTTAGCACAGCCTCTTAGCTGCAGTGACAGGCAAAATATCTGTGTCAGTGTACGTCTTTCATCCATCACTGTGTCAGGGTCTGTGGGTCAGACCTGGCACTGCCACGCACTGGGCCTGAGGCTGCCCAGCCCAGCTGCTCCTCATTCCCCTGGACTCTTCCATGGTATCTCCAAGCCCCTGCATCATCCTATCTGTCTCTCTGATGAAAGGTGAGGTGGCAGCACAAAGATGATGGGGAAACTGCCCCACATGCCGAGGAAAGCTTGCCCAGCTGCACGAAATGCTCTGGTTGATGGGTTTCTGCGCACCAAGCTGGGCCATGACCAAGGGTTAGAGTGGAGGCGTACCAGGGTGAGGGTGCTTTGGCTGCTGCAGGAGCTTCCCTGCTGGCAGGAGGCAGCAATAGCCATGGTCATTGAAAACAAGGCTCTGCTGATAAATCTCAGACACCAGGATCAGAAGAAACCAGAGAAACTGCTGGAGAGCTTGAGCCAAATGGACAGACTGTTGGAGCAGCTGAGGGTGAAGCTGCATGAACATCACCAAGGATAGAAATGGAAATGATGAAGGAGTCTGGGAAATAAATGATAGAAGATAAAATACAGCCGTGAACATGGTAAGGTGATGACGATTCTGGTCCATTGGATCCCACCATCTCCAAGGCAGTAAATCTCATCACAGTCACCACCCAGCAAGTTGCCACCACAGCATTTTCTGTTTGTTCCTAAATAAATAAAGGTGATTCTCATCACAAGGGCAAATACAAATAGTGGTCTATTATGTTTTTAACTAAACTGTAGGGGTTTCATTTACTTTTTCTAAGTTCTCATAATTTTGAAAATGCGGTTGTCATATATATGGCTTAAGAAGTTTTTGATAGGCTAACGTTACTTGAATTGTTCAAAAACCACTATATTTTAAATTAAGAAGAATAAACAATGTATTTGTTTTATATATTTAAAGCTTAGAGTCACAAATAATGCTCCTGTTTATGATTTGAAAACTTTAAAGTTTGGTTTTCCATCTGCATGTACAGAAAACATTGCATCACACCAAAACATGTGTTTTTTAAAGTGGCAGTCATAATTCCTGTCTGTCTGGATATATTTTGGACTTTTCTATGTTAAGCATAACATAAGAAAGAAATTTCATTAGCCGCGCATGTAGGCTTACGCCTGTAATCTCAGCACTTTGGGAGGCTGCAGCAGGTGCATTGTCTCAGGTCAGGAGTTTGAGACCAGCCTGGCCATCATAATGAAATCCCGTCTCTACTAAAAATACAAAAAATTAGCTGGACATGGTGGCAGCACCTGTAATCCCAGCTACTCAGGAGGGTGAGTCAGGAGAATCGCTTGAACCCGGGAGGCGTAAGTTGCAGTGAGCCGAGATCGTGCCATTGCGCTCGAGCCTGGGCAACAAGAACAAAACTCCATCTCAAAAAAGAAAAAGAAAAAAGAATTTCATTTTGTTTTAGGTAATCTAAGATTGTTGTACACAAAAAACTTTATATATTATGGTAGGGTTCAGGAAACTATGTATATAACCTAACATTAATATCACTTTTTTAATTTTTTTTATTTTTTTATTTTTTTTTAGTATTTATTGATCATTCTTGGGTGTTTCTCACAGAGGGGGATTTGGCAGGGTCATAGGACAATAGTGGAGGGAAGGTCAGCTGATAAACATGTGACCAAGGGTCTCTGGTTTTCCTAGACAGAGGACCCTGTGGCCTTCCGCAGTGTTTGTGTCCCCGGGTACTTGAGATTAGGGAGTGGTGATGACTCTTAATGAGCATGCTGCCTTCAAGCATCTGTTTAACAAAGCACATCTTGCACCGCCCTTAATCCATTTAACCCTGAGTGGACACAGCACATGTTTCAGAGAGCACAGGGTTGGGGGTAAGGTTATAGATTAACAGCATCCCAAGGCAGAAGAATTTTTCTTAGTACAGAACAAAATGGAGTCTCCCATGTCTACTTCTTTCTACACCAACACAGTAACAATCTGATCTCTTTTCCCCACATTTCCCCCTTTTCTATTCGACAAAACCGCCATAGTCTTCATGGCCCGTTCTCAATGAGCTGTTGGGAACACCTCCCAGACGGGGTGGTGGCCAGGCAGAGGGGCTCCTCACTTCCCAGATGGGGTGGCTGGGCAGAGGCGCCCCCCACCTCCCTCCCGGATGGGGCAGCTGGCCGGGCGGGGGCTGCCCCCCACCTCCTGGACAGGGCGGCTGCCGGGCGGAGGGGCTCCTCACTTCTCAGACGGGGTGGCTGCCGGGCGGAGGGGCTCCTCACTTCTCAGATGGGGCGGCTGCCAGGCGGAGGGGCTCCTCACTTCTCAGATGGGGCAGCCGGGCAGAGACGATCCTCACCTCCCAGATGGGGTGGCGGTCAGGCAGAGACACTCCTCAGTTCCCAGATGGGGTCGCGGTCAGGCAGAGGCGCTCCTCACATCCCAGATGGGGCGGCAGGGCAGAGGTGCTCCCCACATCTCAGACGATGGGCGGCCGGGCAGAGACACTCCTCACTTCCTAGACGGGATGGCGGCCGGGAAGAGGCGCTCCTCACTTCCCAGACTGGGCAGCCGGTCAGAGGGGCTCCTCACATCCCAGACGATGGGTGGCCAGGCAGAGATGCTCCTCACTTCCCAGACGGGGTGGTGGCCGGGCAGAGGCTGCAATCTCAGCACATTGGGAGGCCAAGGCAGGCGGCTGGGAGGTGGAGGTTGTAGCGAGCCGAGATCACGCCACTGCACTCCAGCCTGGGCAACATTGAGCACTGAGGGAGTGAGACTCCGTCTGCAATCCTGGCACCTCGGGAGGCCGAGGCAGGCAGATCACTCGCGGTCAGGAGCTGGAGACCAGCCCGGCCAACACAGCGAAACCCCATCTCCACCAAAAAATGCAAAAACCAGTCAGGCGTGGCGGCGCGCGCCTGCAATCCCAGGCACTCGGCAGGCTGAGGCAGGAGAATCAGGCAGGGAGGTTGCAGTGAGCCGAGATGGCGGCAGTACAGTCCAGCCTCGGCTTTCACAACTTTGGTGGCATCAGAGGGAGACCGGGGAGAGGGAGACGAGGGAGAGGGAGACGAGGGAGAGGGACTAATATCACTATTTTCTGATGTCTATATTTTTTTAGAACTTTTTTATTTTTACAAATGTCTCCACAAATTCTAGGATATTTTATAAAATAGCAGAATACTAAAGAAATGGGTGGTTTGCCATACTATATGAATACTGGTATTCAATTAAAATAACAATATTTTCATCAAAATTTAGACAGTAGATTTAAATTTCTTGATTTTTCACTACAGTGATAGACATTCATAAATATTTCAGAAATCAGAGCTGTATTAGGTTTTACTTAGTAGTAATATGTATAAAAGATCAAGAATCTGTTCAAAATAGATATTTCTCATCAATAATTTGATGCTTTCAAATACCCAGAAGTTTTGTTTTAATCAGATGAAGTCTGAGGATAGTTTACTAGTTTTATTTTTTGTATGATGTGTTCACAATTTTCTAATTTAACCTAATATTGATAATGGTATACAAATCAACTTTTTTTTCAAATCTCATAAGTCTATTTATTATGTTGTTGAAGATATTTTTAGTTAACATTCCTTCTTTCAGTATTTTTTACAGGAATTTACATCTAGTCAAATTTGCTTAAACTGTTAATCAGTGTCAGGTGCCAGATTCCAATTCATTTTTAGTGTGCCTGTACTTTTCTTTCTATAACCTCTGAACTAAATTTATATTGCTTAATTAAATGTGATATAATACAACTCACATATTTAAAACAAAACCACCAGGTAAAATGAATTCTGGCTTAGTATAAAGAAGCTGTTACCAAATTAGTGTCACATATACAGATGGATGTGGCTCAACAAAATTTTACACAAAAATATTTGGATTGAACTACACGTGTTGCCATGACTTAGCCTCTAATGACCTTATAAATAAAGACAAATTAATACACATTTATTCATTTTCTTTCATTGTGTCTAAAGGTAGCATGTCAGGAAATCTCATGCTACTGTCTGAAAAAACACATTCTACTGTTACCTAAGAAATCAACTGGATGGCATTTTTATAACCTTGCACCACATAAGGAAAAACTGCAATGTAGTCTGATAAATGCAGACTCCATCACATGGAAAAGGATAATCCAGAATGCCACTTTCAATACTTAAGTATTCAACCTTTTGGTTGAAAAATGTAGTAAAATAGAGCTCTTGGTAAGTTTTGTGTAGCTTAACATCAGCATAAATTAGGAAAAAATATCTTTTAAAATGTAAACAAACAAAAACCTACACCAAAAACAAAAACATTCACCAATGCATACATATTGACTGACGCTCCAGGGACATAAAATAATTTTTCCTGGGTACACAGCTAGTGACCCAAATCAAGCTCAAATGTGTGATTTTAAAAATTTCATTTTCCCACTTTTGACAATATTGACATAACAGCGAAATCTTACTCTCAGAGTTGATAGTTGAAAATAAACTAAGACAAGTACTGTTGAGGGAGGCTAGGTAGCCAAGAAGGTCACCATGTCCTTGGGACATGCAGCAGGCATGGCGATTGCATAGTGACAGCATATTGGCAACACAATAAGCCCCAACATTTGCATTGTATTTCAGCTCACTGAAGCACAGCTCTCTTCAGTAGGGAAGAGAGTTCTTTACTCCCCTGTAAAGAACATGCACATTTTGATTTTACTTGTCCTCTGACCTTTTACTCATTATAATAGTAAAAAACACACAAGTGAGTGGAGATTAAAGATGCTAATAAGATATGTGACACATAAGCATGTACAGCCACTGTGTATGTACACCAACAAGACCACTCAGAACATGCTAACTAATAACACCACTTTCCACCTCTTCATAAATAATGATCTAAGACTCCCATAGATGGAGTCTCTCTAGTTCCAGTCTTTGCTGTCTCATTCTTATAAGCAGCCCACCCTGAATCCCTTCTCTCTTGGGGCTATTTTGCACCTAATTTTTAAAATAGTATTTCAACTTTGCAATAAATCCCTCTATGTTGCATCTTCATTGTTTTGTGTCTCTTGTTTAAATTTTTGAAACTAAGAACCAAGGTCTCACAACAGCCATCAACACTATCGTGCTTTGTTTTGTATTCTTCATTAACAGTATTTTTGGGAATATGTCAATATCTACATTTTAAACACAGCCCAAACTGCTAAATTAAAAATTTAAATGATTGTAAAAGCATGTATATTTTTCAAGTTTCAGCTTCATTACACTTTATGTATTGAAATTTTTAAAAAATTCTGCCAGGCACAGTGGCTCACGCCTGTAATCCCAGCACTTTGGGAGGCAGAGGCAGGCAGATCATCTGAGGTGAGGAGTTCAAGATCAGCCTGGGCAACACAGTGAAACCCCATCTCTACTAAAAATACAAAATTAGCTGACCATGGTGGCATATGCCTGTAATCCCAGCTACTCAGGTGGCTGAGGCAGGAGAATCGCTTGAACCTGGGAAGTGGAGGTTGCAGTGAGCCGAGATCGTGCCATTGCACTCCAGCCTGGGCAACAAGAGTAAATCTCCATCTCACCAAAAAAAAAATTTAAAAAAATAAAAAATATTGTGACACAAATATATCTGTCAAATTTAATATCTTACGTAATAATTTGAATTCACTTCCAAAATGATTTATATTCATTTATTGTTATATTTACTTTTGACCAAATTTAGCTTTCCAAACTAAATAAAAACTGAAGCATGTTTTCAAAGTTTCAAGGAACTAAAGTTTACTGGCATCAAATTCTCTGTAGTAAAATGAAAAAATAAAACCATCTTTTTATCAATAATATTTTATATCTGAGCACTTAAGCATCAAGGACAGGATTTTGGATGATGTTGAGTGAATATCTAAATTAATGAAGTAGAAAATAATTATCAGAATAGAATAAGTGATGGATACAGAAACAGAGCACTTGACAAAACCATTCAGGGTATGTTTGACAAACAAGAAGATTGTATAGGACCTGCACTGCACTGCACTACTAATGTAAAGCGTTCTCTGTAACTTTAGTCTTTATTCTCAAGCTTACAACCACCACATACTCACATACACAGAATAAATAAGATTAGCTCCTTTTCCTGGAAGGCAGTGATTCCTCTTTTATTCTATTACGTCTGTTCCATATTGCTGTGATAATGCTGTTGAAGTGCACCCTGTTACACCAGAAGATCACCTGTGTGAATGTGAATAGACTGACACTGGAGAGGACCAGCTCAGCAAACACATTTGAACTGCCTCTTTGCATTTCAGGCAGTTAAAAATGCCTTTGAAGAGTGAAAATAAAGTTACTGCTGATTAAGCAGAGAGTTTAACATGGAAAAACGTTTTTCAATTGTTTAAAAATTACAATGCATGGACTACAACTTTTAAAATGTAAAATGCATCACATAATACTGCAAAAAAAAAAAAGAATAGAAATGATAGGGTTGGCCACAAAGGACAGCCAAAGCTGTATTATAGCAATATAGAAAAATACATATCTACTGCCAGAGGAAGGTAACTTGAAGTATTTGAGAAATGTACTCTAAAAATCTAAAATTGTTTTTAGTATTAGTTTCTATAAAAAATGTTCCTTAAGCATTTTGAATTTTTGAAAAAGTTAAATACATGCTTTGGCAGTTTAGCTTTTCTGAATAATTTGAATAGAATAGAATAAATACATATCAAAATATTAATTTTTCTGGTAATGGATAACTTTCAGACTAAAAGAGTTAAACTTTACAAAATTGTATGCCGATCAATTTGATCAGAAGCCTCTTTCTTGGAACTGGAAGAGATGACACAAAGATGGTGCTTTCATGTTGGGTGGGAGAGAAATGGTTACCAGGGGCTACATCATAGTTGTTTCACTAATGAACATTGATTTTCATTGCTATTTTGTCTAAATTATGGTAATAATTAATGGCCTCGATCCAAAAAATTTTCTTAAAACTTAAGTTGTCAATCAGCCATAATATTAACCAAAAATGCATTAAAATGAAGGTATTTAAGTTATAATTTATATTTTCAAATTAAAATACTTCTGGAAATCTTTAAGGTTTTCTAGGTAGAGCATTATCAGTGAAGATAATTTAATTTCCTTTTTTTCTATTTAGATGCTTTTAATTTCTTTATTTTCTTGGATTGTTCTAACTAGGATGTCTAAAATTATGTTGAATAGGAGTGTTAGAATGGATATTTTTGTCTTATTTTTATTCTAATGGAGAATGCATGCAGCTATTGCCTTTTCAGTATAATGTTGGCTGAGGATTTTTAATACATGGCTCTTGCTATTTTGAGGTATGTTTTGTTAATGGTTTCTTTGTTGAGAATATTTTCATGAATGAATATTGGATTTCCTTGAGTGCATTTTCTGTGTCTATTGTGTTAATTGTATAATTTTTTAATTATCTGTACATGGTGAATTGCACTTACTGACTTGCATATGATTAAATATCTTTGCATAGGTGGAATTAAGCTCACGTGATTGTGGCAAAACGTTTTGATTTGCTTATGAACTCAGATTGCTCGTATTTCATGGAGGATATTTGTTTCAATGTTTACCAAAAATATTGGCCTGTAGTTTCCTTTTTTTGTTGTGCCTTCACTAGATTTTGGTATCAAGATAATATTGATTTTATAAAATGAGTTAGGGTGGAATTCCATCCTGATTTTTTGGAGTACATTCAGTAGTAGTACGAGCTCATCTTTGTATATGAGGTAAAATTTTGTTGTGATTTTACATAATCCAGGGCTTTTATGGTTGGTAGGTTTTTTATTACTAATTCAATTTCATCATATATATTTTATACATTTTTGCCCTGTTCAAGACTTCTGTTTCTTCCTGGTTCAATCTTGGAAATTTGTGTGTATCCAGGAGTTTATTTATTTTCTTAAAATTTTCTAGTTTGCAGGCATAGAGATGTTCATAGTAGTCTCTGATGATTTTTTGTATATATATAGAATTAATTGTGATTTCACATCTCTAACATTTAAATAGATGCAGAGTACAAAAGAATAGATGCACACAATGGAAGTTTGGCAAAATTTGACATTCCTTTATGATAAATCTCTGAAAAAATTTGTTATAGATCAAATTATTGGCACCTCAGCCAATAAGTGCCACATACAACCAAAAAATGCACAGGTAACAACATACTAAATGGGGATATGTTGCAAGATTTTACTCAAGAGCTAGAACAAGACAAGGATGCCCACTCATCCTTGCTAAAGTCAGTCTTACTAAACATAGAATGAATCTAAGGCAAAGAAATTAGAGAATAAAATCAAAGGCATCCAGATTGGACAAAAGGAAGTTAATTATTCCTGTGTAATTATCTTTTATCCTTATACATAATCTGAAGTATAGAAAACCCTAAGACTGGCTGGGTGCAGTGGCTCATGCCTGTAATCCCAATACTTTGGAGGCCGAGGCAGGCAGACCACCTGAGGTCAGGAGGATCGAGACCAGCCTGGCTAACATGGTGAAACCCAATCTCAACTAAAAATACAAAAAGAAAAAAAAAAAAGTTAGCCAGGCCTGGTGGCACAATACCTGTAATCCCAGCTACTCTGGAGGCTAATGCAGGAGAATTGCTTGAACCTGGGAGGTAGAGGTTGCAGTGAGCCGAGATCATGCCACTGCACTCCAGCCTGGGTGACAAACGTGAGACTCCATCTCAAAAAGAAAAGAAAAGAAAAGCCTAAGATTTTACTAAAAACTATTAAAAATAAACAAATTTATTAAGCTTTCAAAATACAAAAGTAACATCAAAGTCAGTAGCATTTCTACACATTAACTATCTCAAAATGAAAATTAAAAAACAATTTCATATACAATAACTATAGTAGTAAATTCAATACAAAGCAGAGAGTATACATTTGCTTTCAGCATTTTTGAGGCTTTTAGTTTTATACTAGTTACCTTGTTAAAATAATTTTTCCAATATTTCTTATGAAAATAAGTACAAACTTATACTAACACAGACTTACTTACTCCATCATTTCCTTACACCTAAAGTTTATCTCTACAGTAATGTATATTTAACCCTCTGTATATCAAACCTAAAAGTCTGTATGTGTTTGCAGGCAGACAGGACACAAGTTCAAATATATATATGTTTAAAATTTTAAGATATGTACTCAGAACTCAGAAATGTATGTATTTAATTTATACTTGCATATGATTTCTATAATAACCATAAAAATATCCCAGTAGTCAATAATAATTTAATCGTACTTTATTTTTTATTTCTTTTTTTGCTTGAGATGGAGTCTTGCAGTGTCACCTGGGTTGGAGTGGAGTGGTGCAATCTCAGCTCACTGTAACCTCCACTTCCCAGGTTCCTGGCCATCTCAAACTCCTAATCTCAGGTGATCCATCCGCCAGGGCCTCCCAAAAGTGCTGGGATTACAGGCGTGAGCCACTGCACCCGGCCATAATTGTACATTTTAAAATAAGTAAAAGTGTACAATTGGATTGTTTGTAATACAAAGGATAAATGCTAGAGGTGATGGATACCACATGTATCTCGATGTGAGTATTATGTATTGTATTTGTGTATCAAAATATGCCATATATGCCATAAGTATATACACTCATGTACCCACAGAAATTAAGAAAAACAAATTAAATGATTAAGAATAAAAATTTAACCTACAGGAACAATATTCTTTAACTTATTTGCAGTTTAAAGCCACTGGCAAAAGAGATGACTAAAGATGTTAGTCCATTATGTTACCAAATAGTATATTGTTAACATTTTTTACCTATATTTTTGGGCAAAGTGGAAAAGGTTAATCTTTGTGGTAAAATAACACTTCATTGAATGCACAATAGTATTTAACATGTTAAAAATGTTGAAACGATTAACTTCACACATAATCTAAAATTTTTAAAATGTACTGCATTTTATCATATAAAAGTACAATTAGTACAATATATGAATAATATACTACTAGTTTTCTCGTAATGCAAAGAATATCACTCTTAACACCTACCTCGTGCATCACTCAATAGTGTAAGTTAACCACAAAGAATCTCTCCACTTAGATTTTCATCATGCATCTTACATTCTAATATCCTTACTTGTACATAGAAAAGATCATAAATAATGCCCACCTAATGAAAAAGAATCTCTCATACCTTTGATGCAGCAAGAAATGATCACAAACTTTCACAAGTGAATAAGAATGAAGAAACAGCAGAAAATAATGACAGTTGAATTACATCATTTGCTTTCAAAAAATCTGTAATTTTTTCAAGAAATAAAGTATACTTTGAATGTAGTTATTACTCTGCAAAAAACTTTTACTCCTCTTAAAGTTATATACAAATAATTTTTATACCAACTTTAGTTTTAGATTATTTTCTATACTCAGAACTCTGATTTAGTATAACATCTGAAGTGTCAGTTCCTTATATATTTCTACTATAAATTCTCTGATATTTATGTAGACTTAAATTTGAATTAAATTTTTTTTTTCATTTTTACTGCATTTTCAAAAACATATTGTAGTATAAACTCTGGTGTTTTCTAAGCTGTAGTTTTTGAAAATTTGTTTTCCCAAATTTATTACATTTGCAAGACAACTCTTCAATATAAATTCCCTGATGTTGAACAAAGTTTAAGCAACTCCTTTAGAGTTTTCCTCTAGTACAAAATGTGGACAATAAGATCTGATACAAGTAAAGCTACTACAACCCTCTTTACACGTGTAATGCTCATCTTCAATATAAATCCTCTTCTTCACTTTAAAGAATAAGATTTTCTGAAAGGTCTTTTGACGGTAATTGCACTTATCATGCTTTTAGTAAGTATTAACTCTCTGGTGTTAGTAAGATGTGAGCAGATATTAATGTCTTTTTCACAGTCTATATTTGTACAATTTTTCTCAAATATGAATGCTTTTCTCTGCAATAAGGTGTGAGTATTAGTTAAAAATTTTGCCACCTTGTTCTCACTTGTAGGAATTTTTTCCACTATGAATTATATCACCTATAATCAAGTATGACAACCATTTAAAGACTTTGTCACATTCTTCACATTTCTAGGATTTCTCAGCAATATGATTTCTCTTATGGTTAGAAAAGTTTGAGGTATTGTCAAAAGCATTATCACATCTTTCTGATTTGTAGAGTTTCTCTCCAGTATGAATTATCTTATGTGTGTTAAGAACTGAGGACTAGCTAAAGCCTTTGCCATATTTTTCACACTCATGGGGTTTCTCTCCAATATGAATTTTCTTATGTTTATTAAGAATTGAGGACTGGTTAAAGGCTTTGTCACATTCTTCACATTTGTAGGGTTTCTCTCCTGAATGAATTATTTTGTTCAATAAAGTTTTAGGACTGGTTAAAAGCTTTGCCACATTCTTCACAGTTGTAAGCAGCTTATGTTATGTTTAGTAGGAGTTGAGGACTGGATAAAGGCTTTACCACATTCTTCACATTTGTAAGATTTTTCTCCAGTATGAGTTATGCTTAGTAAGTTTTGAGGATTGGTTAAAAGCTTTGCCACATTCTTCATATTTGTAGGGTTTCTCTCCAGCATGAATTAACATATGTGTAGTAAGGGTTGATGATTGGTTAAAATGTTTGCCACATTTTTCACATTTGTAGGGCTTCTCTCCAGTATAAGTTATCTTATGTGCAGTAAGTTGGGGGGACAGGTTAAAGGCTTTGCCACATTCCTCACATTTGTAGGTTTTCTCTCCAGTATGAATTATCTTATGTTTAGTAATGGATGAAGATTTGTTAAAAGCTTTGCAAGATTTTTCATATTTGTATAATTTCTCTCCCTTATGAATTATTTTATGTTTAGTAAGGTATGAGAATCAGTAAAAAGCTTTGAGACATTCTTCATATTTGTAGGATTTCCAGCATGAATTATCTTATATGTAGGCAAGATTGAAAAGTGGTTAAAAGCTTTGTCACATTTTACACATTTGTAGGATTTCTGTATGGTATGAATTCTTTTATGTTTAGTAAGGGTCGAGGACCAATTAAAGCCTTTGCCACATTCTTCACATTTGTAGAATTTCTCTCCAGTGTGAATTTTCTTAAGTTTAGTAAGTATGAGAATCAATAGAAACCTTTGCCACATTCTTCACATTTGTAGGGTTTCTCTCCAGCAGGAATTATCTTATGTGTAGTAAGGTTTAAGTACCGTTTAAAAGCTTTTCCACATTCTTTAGTAAGGGAAGAGGACCAGTAAAGCCCTTTGCCACATTCTTCACATTTGTAGAATTTCTCCTCAGTATGAATTCCAATATGAATGACCTTATGTCTACTAAGGTATGAGGACCACTTAAAAGCTTTGCCACATTTGGCTGGGTGCAGTGGCTCAAGCCTGTAATCTCAGGACCTTGGGAGGCCAAGGCGGGCAGATCACGAGTTCAGAAGATTGAGACCATCCTGGCTAACATGGTGAAACCCTGTCTTTACTAAAAATACAAAAAATTAGCTGGGCGTGGTGGTGGCGGCCTGTAGTCCCAGCTACTCAGGAGGCTGAGGCAGGAGAATGGCGTGAACCCGGGAGTGGAGGTTACAGTGAGCCTAGATCATGCCACTGCACTCCAACCTGGGGGACACAGCAAGACTCTGTGTCAAAAAAAAAAAAAAAAAAAAAGGAAAGAAAGAAAAAAAGATGAATTATTTCCTTTAACTAAAAAATAAACACAAAATTTCAGAAAAGACACATTTGAAGAACATGTTTAAGAGACTCTCAGAATCTCTAACTCAGACAATTGTTCAAGGTATGCCAGGGGAAAGCCACATTATAAAGATTGGGACAGGTAAGTTTTTTTAATATTCAAATTTGAATAAAAGATTATGATGTGGCCAGGCGCAGTGGCTCACACCTGTAGTTCCAGCACTTTGAGAGGCCGAGGCGGGCATATCACCTGAGGTCAGGAGTTCAAGACCAGCTTGACCAACATGAAGAAACCCCATCTCTACTAAAAATACAAAATTAGCCAGGCATGGTGACGGGCATCTGTAATCCCAGCTACTAGGGAGGCTGAGGCAGGAGAATCGCTTGACTGGGAGGCGAGGTTGCGGTGAGCTGAGATCATGCCATTGCACCCCAGCTTGGGCAAGAAGAGGAAAATTCCATCTCAAAAAAAAAAAAAAATTACAATGTATATAAAATAGGGCAATGTGGTTCCATTAAAAATAATATAAAATTTTCAGAAAGAAACAATAACAAATGTTTACATTAGTTTTAAAAATTGAAAATAAATTGAATAATACCCAATGAGTGAAAAAAGAACACAGAGAACTATAGGATATCAGAAAACTGGAAATAAGAATAAAAATACTTAAAATATTAGAAAAAAGAAATTATGGAGGTAAAAAATATATAAAGAATAACTGAAAAATCTTTAAAAAAAGACATAAAAATGAAGAAGCTCAACAAACAAACTAGGATACACACAAAGATATTTATATCAAACACATACATAAGCACAATTTTAAAAGTCACAGAAAAGGGAATCTTGGGAGCTGCAAGATAAAAGTGATGTGTTGGCTGGGCATGGCAGCTCTCACCTGTAATCCCAGCACTTTGAGAGACCGAAGCAGGCAGATCACCTGAGGTCAGGAGTTCAAGACCAGCCTGTTCAACATGGAGAAACCTGTCTCTACTAAAAATACAAACTTAGCCGGGCGTAGTGGCACATGCCTGTAATAGCAGCTACTCGGGAGGCTGAGGCAGGAGAATCGCTTGAACCAAGGCGGCAGAAGTTGCAGTGAGCTGAGATCACAAAATTGCAATCAGCCTGGGCAAACAAGAGCAAAACTCAGTCTCAAAAAAAAAAAAAAATGGTGATGTGTTATTTGCAAGAATACTCTTATGGGATATCCAATGGATTCTCAACAAAAATTTTGCAGGCCAGAAGGAAACTGCATGATATATTTAAGGTTCAAAAAAAATCAAGTGAGTATAATACCATCACCAAATCTGTCCTTCCAAATAAAAAGAAAAAAACCTCAAAAATAACTAAATTCTAAAACAGTATATTGGCACTGCCTTACATATAAAAGGTGCTGAAAGCAGTCGCTTCCAATGAAAATAACATGATTCAACAAAACAACACATAATCATATTAAAATACATTATTTTCTGGGAAAGATGTGTACATACACAAAAATAAATTTCTTAGCACAAAGAATACATCTATATAGATACACAAAATAAGAAAGAAGAAAAAGCATATCAAAATCAAAATAAAAAAGACACAAAGAGACAGAAAGAGAGAAAATGTGGGACACAGGTACAAGAATCAAATAGAAAAATAAACAAATATTAGTCTCTTTGTTTAAGAAAACTTTCCAATCAAGAGTTATACTTTCAATAAAGAAATTTATTTACAATTATTAAAAACCAAGATCCAATTTGCCTTTCTACAAGGGTCAGCTGACATCTAATGATAAAAAAGATACTGAAGGTGGCAAGATGGATTTAGACATTGGATGCAAATATTAACCAAATGAGAGCAGAAGAGGTCAAAATAGTATTACAAAAGCTACATCTTAAGTCAAAAACTGTTATATTTTATATAAAGTACTTTAAGTCAAAACAGCAAAGAGGCAAAGGACATTAAACAATAATAGATATATTTACTGGGAACCTATTGCAAATTTGTGTGCGTGTGTGTGTCTGTATTTCACACCAAGTTTTCAAATATATAAAGCAAATATTGACAGACAGGAAGAAACACCTAAACAGCAATATAATTATAGTAGGAAATTTCAATACCCTACTTTCTGTAATAAAAATAAAACAAGACAGAATATTAGTAAGTGAAGAGAGGAATTGAAGGCAGTATAATACAATTATTTTTAACAGTGGAATAGACAAGAGCCCTCAACAATATCAGGAAACACATTCTTATGAATAGCTTATACAACATTCTTTTTGATAGACCACCTGTTAGGCCAAAAAAAGGAGTCTTGAAAATTTGTTAAAATTGACATTTTGTGGATTACATTCTATAACCAAAATGGAATGTAAGTATAGAACAGAAAAAAAAATTAAAAATGTACAAATATATAGATATTTAACAACACACTCTTCAGCATGCTCCTGTTCAAAAGTTGAAATATTTTGAAGATGTCCATAATGCTCAATGTAATCTACAGATTTAATGCAATGGTTTCTTTTGTTTTGTTCTGTTTTGTTTTGTTTTGTTTTGTTTTGTTTGGAGATGGAGTCTTGCTCTGTCACCCAGGCTGGAGTGCAGTGGTGCGATCTCAGCTCACCGCAACCTCTGCCTCCCAGGTTCAAGCGATTCTCCTGCCTCATCCTCCTGAGTACTGGGACTACAGGTATATACCACCATACCTGGCTAATTTTTGTATTTTTAGTAGAGATGAGGTTTCATCATACAGGCCAGGCTGGGTTCGAAATCCTGTCCTCATGATCCACCTGCCTAAGCCTCCCAAAGTGCTGGGATTACAGGCGTGAGCCCCCACACCATGCAATAAAATGTTTTTAAAAATTTCTCATTCCATTTTTGAGGAAATAGAAATAGCAATCTCAAAAGTATATAGACTATCAAGAGAAAATGAAGTACCCAACAGTCTTCAAAAGAAGAAACAATGTTAAAGGCATTACAATTTCTGATTTGAAAACACATTACAAAGCTACAGAGTTAAAACAATTTGGGGGCTGAGCACAGTGGCTCATGCCTGTAATCCCAGAACTTTGGGAGGTCAAGGCAGCAGGATCACAATGAGGTCAGGAGTTTTAAACCAGCCTGGCCAACATGGTGAAACCCAGTCTCTACTAAATATGCAAAAATTAGCTGAGTGTGGTGGCAGGCACCTGTAATCCCAGCTACTCAGGAGGCTGAGGCAGAAGAATCACTTGAACCCAGGAGGTGAGGTTGCAGTGAGCCATGATCATGCCGTCATGCCATTGCAACCCAGCCTGGGTGACAAGAGTGAAACTCTGTCTCAAAAAAAAAAAAAAGAATAAAGAAAAAGCAAGAAAATAGACTTTAAAAAAATCTGTATGAGTATAGTCATTAAAAAGTGAACTAATAAAATAGGCAGCACTTATATAAACTTTCATATACATGATCATATGAAGAGTTATTTGCATACCCATAATTATTGCAGCATTGTTACTGAAAGCCAACAGGTAGAAGCAATTCAAATTTCTGTAACAAAATTATTCAGTAGATGTAATTTGAAATAGAAAAATACCATATTATCATCCAGAATTTTATAAGCAGGAAATACTCTAATACTCTTTATAGATAAATTTTGACATTATGCAAAATGAAATGAGTCAGCCACAAAAAGATAGAAATTGTAAGAAATATATGAAGCAGTTACACTCTTAGAAAAAGAAAACAGAATGGTGTTTGGAAAATTCAGAAAACCAGAAAAATTGGTTGTTGTTTAATGTGTATTGAGATTTCGTTTTGAAAGATAAAAACATTTTAGAGATATGTTGCATAACATTGTCAATATAATATGACTAAACAGAATATTAAAAAATATTTGATAATAAATTTTGTTATGTTTTTGACAAGTAAAACTAATACCTAAAAATATAGAGTTATGAGAGTTTTAATATTATCTTCAAATCCCAAAGTGTTCCTTACACACAAAAATAATATAGATTCACAATAGACATTGAAATTAGGAGAATTTTTACGACTGCTCACCTAGACAAGATTGAACAACCATTTACAACAAACCTACATAACAAATATACAAGTTATTTTAAAAACAGCAATAATATTTATAGAGGGAAACAAACATAGAGGTAATGATATTGGAAGCAGACATATGGCTGATTCGTAGTTGATTTTGCTCAACACTGTCTTAAATTGTACAGAGTTAAACATTGTCATACAGAATTATAATATAAATCAAAACAACAAAACACAATTAACTGGTTTGAGGTGGCATACCCTGAAATACATAACAAAAAATATAATATTGCCAAAGAAAATTAAAATTTAGAATGTAAAAATTATTGGACACCATCAAGTAGATCAATATATTCATGAAAGGAATCTTAAAGCCATATATAAAATAAAGCACTCTATTAAATATAAATATAAAGACACACATAGAATGTTTTACTGTCATAATGATGGTACATAAAACCTTTGAAGTTCTTCTATAGATATAAAAAAAACATAAATCTGCACAAATCTGTTAATAGATACAAAATAAGATAACATAATTTGTAATACCTATAACAAACTGGAAAATATAGCAGTATAGCTTTTGTATTTAATTAATGTTATTATGAGATTAAAAGATACTGTTTTAACTTTAAGGTGTTTTATATAATCTCCAGTTTTCAAGATGGTTACAATATACTTCAAGATGATTACATTATATTATAGGAAGTATGCAAAACAAAATTTTAAAAATCACACCATGTCACAACAAAGTTAAACAAAAATTATGATAGTAAAACAGGTAATGAGAAAAAACATGTCTGCAAGAAACACATAAAACAGTAACAGTGAGGTGGTTCCTGTAGATCAGTAGACTTAGTCTTTCCCTCTGCTGGCTCTGAGGAATCTGGGCAGTACAGATGTATGGAATCTCCCCCTGTGCAGCACACCCCCTACACCAAGGAGCAACCAGAGTGCTTTGTTAAGTGGTTCCTGGATCTTGTGCATCCTGACTTGGTGAGAACCCCCCCCTCAAAAGGTGGTGTCAGGCAACTTATAAAGGAGTGTTCCCATTGTCATCAGGTTGGTGCCCTTCTGGGAACAGGCCTTAAAGAAACTGGCCATAAACTGGATTTCTGCAGCAATGTGACATGCTCATGATGGCTATAATGCACACTGCTAGAAGTTGTTGGTTTACTGGAGCAGGCAAGGAACATCTGGCCTGCCCGGAGCAGAAAACTGCTCAAACCACACACAATAGCAGGAGCAGCCTGTGCCTTAACAACATGTTTTTGCTACAGATAATCAGCCAGAGCCTGTTTCTCTACTCTTTGCTAAGAATGCTTTGTTTCCCATAAGGAATGCTTTTAGCTAATCTATAGCCTATAGAAACAATGCTTATTACTGGCTTGCTGTCAGTAAATATGTAGGTCAAACTCAGTTTGTGGCTCTCAGCTCTAAAGGATGTTGCCCCTCTGACTCCCACTCTGCACTCTATTTCTGTGTCTTTGTCTTAATTCCTCTAGCACCACTGGTTTAGGGTATCCATGACTGAGCTGGTCTCAGTAGTGTCCCTCTGGGATTAAGATCTCAGAGAAAGGAGGAGACAGTCATCTCTGCTGTTCTGCAGCCTCCACTGGTGACACCTCCAGGTGTGAGAGAAACCCAGACAAATAGAGTCTGAAGCGGATTCCAAGCAAATGACAGCAGCCCCACAGAAGAAGAGCCTGACTGTTAAAAGTAAAACAAAAAGACAGAAAGCAACAACAACAACAGCACCAACAAAAAAGTCCCCAAAAACCCTATCCAAAGGTCAGCAGCCTCAAAGATCAAAGCTAGATAAACTCATGAAGATGAGAAGAATCAACAAACAAATGCTGAAAACTCAAAAAGCCAGAGCCCCTCTTCTCCAAATGATCACAACATATCTCCAACAAGGGCACTGAACTGGGTGAAGGCTGAAATGGATAAATTGGCAGAAGTAGTCTTCAGAAAATGGGTAATAATAAACTTTGCTGAGCTAACAAAGCATGTTCTAAGCCAATGCAAAGAAGCTAAGAATCATAAAAAACTACCTTAGAGAGAAACAGAAATGACCTGAGGGAACTGAAAAACACAACATGAGAACTTCATAATGCAACCAATAGTATCAATAACTGAGTAGACCAAGCAGAGGAAAGAATTTCAGAGCTTGAAGACTAGCTTGCTGAAATAAGACAGGCAGACAAGATTAAAAAAGAATAAAAAGGAATGAACAAAATCTCTGATAATTATAGGATTATGTAAAATGATCAAAACTATGACTGTTTGGGGTACCTTAAAGAGATCAAGAGAATGGAACCAAGTTGGAAAACATACTTCAGTGTATCATCCAGAAGAACTTTTCCAACCTAACACGACAGGCCAACATTCAAATTCAGAAAATCCAAAGAACCTCAGTAAGATGTTTCATGAGAAAATCAACCCCAACACACGTAATCATCAGGTTCTTCAAGGTTGAAATGCAGGAAAAAATGATATGAACAGCCAGAAAGAAAGGCCAGGTCACCTACAAAGGGAAGCTCATCAGACTAACAGTGGAATTCTAAGCAGAAATGTTGCGGGAAGTCAGGGACCCCGAACAGAGGGACTGGCTGAAGCCATGGCAGAAAAACATAAATTGTGAAGATTTCATGGACATTTATCACTTCCCCAATCAATACTCTTGTGATTTCCTATGCCTGTCTTTACTTTAATCTCTTAATCTCATCATCTTCATAAGCTGAGGATGTATGTGGCCTCAGGACCCTGTGATGATTGTGTTAACTGCACAAATTGTTCATAAAGCATGTGTGTTTAAACAATATGAAATCTGGGCACCTTGAAAAAAGAACAAGATAACAGCAATGTTCAGGGAACAAGGGAGATAACCCTCAGGTCTGACTGCCTGAGAGCCAGGTGGAACAAACCATATTTCTCTTCTTATGAAAGTGAATAGGAGAAATATCACTGAATTCTTTTTCTCAGCAAGGAACAGCCGTGAGAAAGAGAATGCACTCTTAGGGGGAGGTCTCTGAAATGGCCGCTCTGGGAATGTCTGTCTTACACAGTTGTAGATAAGGGATGAAATAAGCCCCGGTCTCCCATAGCACTCCCAGGCCTATTAGGATGAGGAAATTCCCACCTAGTAAATTTTAGTCAGACAGTTTGTCTGCCCTCAAACCCTGTCTCCTGATAAGATGTTATCAATGACAATGTGTGCCTGAAACTTCATTAGCAATTTTAATTTTGCCCCATTGCTCTGCCCCTATTTGCCTTGTGACATTTTATTGCCTTGTGAAGCATGTGATCCCTGTGACCCACACCCTATTCATACACTCCCTCCCCTTTGAAAATCACTAATAAAAACTTGCTGGTTTTGCAGCTTAGGGGGCATCATGGAACTTGCCGACATGTGATGTCTCCCACAGACACCCAGCTTCAAAATTTCTGTCTTTTGTACACTTTCCCTTTATTTCTCAGACTGGCTGACACTTAGGGAAATAGAAAAGAACTTATGTGAAATATTAGGGGTGGTTCCCCTGATACAGAAACCTTACAAGCTATAAAGATTGGAGGCCAATATTCAACATTCTTAAAGAAAATAATTTCCAACCAAGTATTTCATATTCTGCAAAATTACACGTTATAAGTTAAGGAGAAATAAAATCCTTGTCAGACAAACAAATGCTGAAGAAATTTGTCACCACCAGACCTGCCTTGAAAGAACTCCTGAAAGAAGGACTAAATATAGAAAAGAAAAAGAATTACCAGCCACTGCAAAAATACACTGAAGTACAAAGACTAATGACACTGTGAAACATCAACAAGTCTGCAAAATAACCAGCTAGAATGATGAAAAGGATCAAATTCACACAAAACTATATTAACCTTAAATGTAAATGAGTTAAATGCACCAAGAAAAGAGACAGAATGGCAAGCTAAATAAAAAGTCAGGACTCATTGGTGTGCTGTATTCAAGAGACCCATGTGTCACATGCAAAGACACAAATAGGCTCAAAATAAAAAAAGGAGGAAAATTCACTAAGCAAATAAAAGCAGAAAAAAAAGCAGAGGTTGCAATCATAGTTTCTGACAAAACAGACTTTAAACCAACAAAGACCAAAAAAGATAAAGAAGAGCATTACATAATGCTAAAATAATCAATTCAAGGAGCACCCAGATTAAACAAGCACATTCTTAGAGACCTACAAAAAGACTTAGATTGCCACACAACAATAGTGGGAGACTTTAACACCTCACTGCCAATATTAGACAGATAATTGAGAAAGAAAAGTAACATGGATATTCAGAACTTGAACTCAGCTCTGGGTCAAGTGAACCTGATAGATATCTACAGAACTCTCCAGTCAAAAACAACACAATACACATTCTTATAAGTGCCATCTTTTAGATGGAGTCTTGCCTTGTTGCCCAGGTGAAAATGGCTGGAATGCAATGGTGTGATCTGAGCTCACTGCAACCTCCACCTCCAGGGTTCAAATGATTCTCCTGCCTCAGTCTCCTGAGCATCTGGGATTACAGGTGCATGTGACCACACCCAGCTAATTTCTTTTATCTTTAGTAGAGATGGGGTTTCACCATGTTGGCCAGACTGGTCTTGAACTCCTGATCTTGTGATCCACCCATCTTGGCCTCTCAAAGTGCTGGGATTACAGTAAGTGTGAGGTGAAGAAGTCAGGTTCTTTGAATAAACCAGCTCTCATTTGAATTAATGGAGTGAAAACTTTCTGATTATCAAAAAGATAGTGTCAAGGCATTTATGAGGTATTTTTCCCCTTAACAGACATGTACAAAACTTTCTACTTAAAAGTCAAAGAATACAAAATATTCTTATTTGCACATGACGTATTCAGTTAGGAAATATAACAAGTCTTATTAAATAATAACAGCTGGGGGTAGTGGCTAACATCTATAATTCCAACAATTTGGAAGATGAAAGTGAGGGAGTCAGTTGGGACCAGAAGTTTGAGACCAGCCTGGATAACATAGTGAGACCCTGTCCCTACAAATAATAAAAAAATTAGCCAGGCATGGTTGTGAATGTCTGTAGTCTCAGCTACTTGGGACGTTTAGGTAAAAACGTCATTTGAGTCAAGGAGGCTGAGGTTGCAGTGAGCCAAAATTATGCCACTATACTCCAGCCTGAGTGACAAGTTTGATCCTTTCTCAAAATGACAACAACAAATAAATTTAAAACCAAAATCATACATGTGTGTTTTCTTAACAAAACTGAATGAAACTAGAAATTAAAAGCAAAAGTAATAATGGCAAATCCAAGAATATATAAAATTGAAACACACAGGCTGAGTACAGTGGCTCCCAACCTCTAATACTGGCATTTTGGGAGGCTGAGGCAGGAGGATTTCTTGAGCCCAGGAGTTTGAAATTAGCCTGGGCCACATAGGAAATCCTTATCAAAAAAAAAAAAAAAAAGAAAGAAAGAAAGAAAAAGAAAGAAAACTAAAAAAACACACTCTTCATCTCTTCATCATATTCTTGCTCAGGGGTCAAAAAATTTAATTGTGTTAAAATGTCAATACAACCTACAGTGGTGAACATATTAAGTATATTCTCTATAAAAATCACAATAGCGCTGGGCATGGTGGCTCACGTCTGTAATCTCAGCATTTTGGGAGGCCGAGGTGGGTGGATCATGAGGTCAGGAGTTCGAGACCAGCCTAACCAACATGGTGAAACCCCGTCTCTACTAAAAATACAAAAATTAGCCAGGCGGGGTGGCAGGCACCTGTAATCCCAGCTACTTGGGAGACTGAGGCAAGAGAATCACTTGAAATGGGAAGGCAGAGGTTGCAGGTTGCAGTAAGATGAGATCATGCCACTGCACTCCAGCCTGGGCAAAAGAGCAAAACTCCATCTTAAAAAAAAAATCACAATGGCACAGTTTTATTACAGAAATATTGCTTAATATTTTAAAATTTGATTATAAACTATAACTAGCAAAACACCCATGAAAAAGAACAAAGAGACATTATACTTTCTGATTTTAACACATTAAAAGTTGCAATAAAAAAGTATGATACATACACAAAGGAAGATAAAAAGATGAAAGAACAGAATAGAGAGCCCAGAAATGAAGCCTTCTGTATATGATTACATGATCTCTTGCAAAGTTGCCATAAGCACACAATAGAGAAAAGATGATCAGTCTTCTCAAAAAATAATGTTAAAAACTTACTATCGCTTTCCATGCTGACAGCACTCACACAAACATGGCGAATGTCCCTAAAACCCACTGGACTTTCTGTAAGAAGTGTGGCAAGCACCAACCCCACAAAGTGACACAGTACAAGAAGGGCAAGGATTCTCTGTATGCCCAGGGAAAGCAGCATTATGACAGGAAGCAGAATGGCTATGATGGGCAAACTAAGCCGATTTTCCAGAAAAAGGCTAAAACTACAAAGAAGATTGTGCTAAGTCTTGAGTGCATTGAGCCCAAATGCAGATCTTAGAGAATGCTGGCTATTAAAAGATGCAAGCATTTTGAACTGGGAGTAGATAAGAGAAAGGGCCAAGTGATCCAGTTCTAAAGTGTCATCCTTTATTATGAAGACAATAAAATCTTGAATTTATGTTAAAAAAAAACTGAATATCAACACTGATAAAATAAAGTTACATCATTTCCTTGAACCATATACAAAAAATTTACAAAAAAAATACTTAAATGTGTTGCAGGCCAAAAAAGTGAGGGTCATGATCCATGATCAACTCAGTGTACCACTGGAGGCTATATGAGTAAACAGCAAGCTGTTCTCATGAATGCAGAATGTTGGCAAACCGACAAACTGCATGTGCCACCCAGAGGTTATGCTGAGGGCAGTCACACCCCAGGCACAAATGTTTCATGTGATTAGGCATACCTGAAGTCTAATAGCAATAACGAGAACCTGTGATCAATCAAGAGCTGACCAATCATTACCTCCTCCTCCCTGCTCTTTCTACCCTGTGAATTTGGGGATCTGTGGAAGCTCAGGGCAGCTGCCCTTGCTCACTAGAAGCTGGGAGCCCTCTTCTTCTTCCCCAGACCCTTTCCTTAAAGCATATTGCTTTTTCCTTGGTTTTCATTTCTTCATTCATCCTCCTTCGTTCAGTCCTGCAGTAACCGTGGCAAACCGTGGCAAGTGGTGCCCAACGTGGGACTTGATGAAGGGAACTGCAGGGTCATACAGGGACTTGCAGGGAACTGAAGGAACTTACAGGACCTATAGGGACCCATAGGGACAGTCGAGGGACAGATAGGAAAAGATAAAGACTAGCAGAGACTTGCTGGGACAGAACAGGGACAGAATAGGGACAGAGACAGATAGGGTCCTATAGGAGCTTGAACAAGGAAGGTCTGCAGGAGCAGAAAAAGAAGAAAAAAAAGAAAAGAAAAAAAATTAAAAATGAAACTGACCAGGTGAAGGAGAAACCCCTTACGAGTATGCCGGCAGCGATATACCCTAAAGAGGTATTGGTCAGTGCCCTAAAAGGTACATAGAATGGAAAGTTTTTGAATCAGGGTAACATGGGGGAAGAATTTGGCTATTTCTTTTCTCTTTTCTGTTTGGAGTTTGGTTTGTACTGTTCTTTTGTCATTGTTCCAAAATTTAAAAGAATTTTTTGCCCTACCCACAGCACCTATCGAGGGTGGTGAACAGAAGAGGGAGGATGAAAATTGGCTTGTATTGTTTCTTTTGTGGTTGCAGAAATGTTAACTTTAACTTTGGCTTTTGAAAGTGCAAACGTTTATTGTGGATGTGCACTGGCACCTGTGAGATGTGCAGAGAGCTTGGGAAATTTTCTCAGAGCCTGTCAAGATGTGAGAACTGAGCTTCATCGCTCTACAATGTTGGTTCAAGCAATGGCTAATTTAGTAGTTGATAAATCTAAAAAGAGCCAAGGGTCAAACTCTAAACGGGGGAAATACTATAAGTGTAGAAAGATTGGACATTTCAAAAAAGAATGCCATCAGATCTCTGGGCAGAAGGGATTTGATAATGCAGTTTCCCTCTAACAGAAAAAAATGCCAGGCCTTTGCCCTTGTTGCAATTAAGGAAATCATTGGGCTAATCAATGCCACTCAAAATTTCATCAAAACAACACCCCCCTGTCGGGGAATGAGAAAGGGACCTGGACCTGGGCACCTCAAACAATGAGGGCATTCCCCGTCCAGGCCACAACTCCATTTCAGGGGTGGGTTTCCGGAGGAGCATTGATTCCCTCTCCCCAGGAACACCTGGAAGCGCAGGATTACATCTCCCAGCCAGAGAATGGGTTACATTAATTGAAGGAGAAAAACCCAATAAGATGCCCACTGGTATTTGGGTACCTTTGCCAATAGGATATATGGGATTAATTTTAGGTAGAAGTCATCTTAACTTACATAGCATTGTTGTAGTCCCTGGAGTTGTTGATTCTGATTGTGAAGGATAAATTCAAGTAGTGGTATTGTCACAAGATCTTTGGGATTTTTAACTAGAATATAATGCTCAACTGTTGCTTATTCCCTGTAAATTGATCTTTGGGTTTTTGAACTAGGAGATCAACTGTTGCTTGTTCCATGTAAATCGCACCCATCTTCACAAAAGGAGAAAGGAGGGAATTAAGGATTTGGAAGTACAACTACATGGGAAATTTATCTATCACAACCCATAGCATGTAATAGACCCACCTGTACAGTGCAAATTAAAGGAAAGAGTTTTTATGGGCTTATGGATATGGGAGCTGATGTGTCAGTAATATCTAAAAATAATTGGGCCCTATCTTGGCCCTTAAAACTAACTTCTACATCCCTAGTGAGAATAGGAGCAGCTCAAAGTGTTCAACAGAGTTCTATCCTGTCTCGGACCAGATGGACAGTTATATACTTTTCAACCTTATGTTACGAATATAGCTGTTAATCTATGGGGTCGAGATTTACTTACAGCATGGGATATGAGACTTACAAATGAAACTATTGATAATCCAGGATTTAAATGTTAAAGAAAATGGGATATCAGAATGGAAAAGCCTTAGGAAAATCCCTACAGGGAAACCCTGATCTAATATCAATAACTGGACACACAGATAGAAAAGGGTTAGGACATCAGGACTTCTGATGGGGAGGTCATTGATATTTCTCCTCCACCTACTGCTTTGCCGCTAGAGTGGCTGACTGACAAACCTGTATGGGTGGATCAGTGGCCCCTATCACAGGGGAAACTGATTCAACTCCATCAATTAGTAAAAGGGCAATTGGAAGCAGGACATATAGAAGAGTCGGTTGGCCCATGGAATTCACCAGTATTTGTGATTCCTAGGAAGTCAAGAAAATGGTGATTGCTGCATGATTTGAGAGCTATTGATGCACAGATTAAACCAATGGGTGCATTACAGCAAGGTCTGCCATCCACAGCAGCCATTCCAAGAGACTGGCCTTAAGTGGTAATAGATCTTGAGGATCTATTGTTTTTGCTGTACTGTTGCACGAGAAGGATGGGCCTCAATTTGTTTTCTCTGTGCCTTCTGTTAATCAGAAAGAGCCTGTCTCTCATTATCAATGGAAAGTTTACCCCATGGCAATTAGCCAAAGAGGCAGAAGCTGAGTTAGAACCACAAAAGCCTTTGCTTTTGTTTTGGTAGATTTATTAATGTGGGGACGAGAGTATTCGTGCGTCTGTAAAAAGTAAAGTAGAGGTTCCTCTTCAGAGACTTTCCTCCCCATTTAGGAATAAATAATAATTTCTCTTAGAAGCAAAATTTATTCAAAGACCTGTGCTAACATTCTTAAATATCTGCTAGCCGTGATAAAGTAATCAATGTACTTTATGTTCTTAGCTCTCACAATGTAGCCTAAATATTTGCCCTGACATGCTTACACTAGTCCAAGCAAGCATTAGGTCATAGCCTGTTCCTCTTCCTTATTTGAAGGTGTTTTTACCTTTCTCAGCATTCCACAAGTTACTTCCTCCTTCCTTTGTTCTCCTCTGCCTTTGACTCTTTTAAAAAATTCTAAGTTGCTAAACAATTGGGACACATACAGAATGTGAGGTCCCATTCCGGCCAATGGAAACCAAACACAGCAGTAGGGTGGATGCATCAGGTTATAAATGACCCTGTCTCCTTTGTTTGGTATACTCTCATGGCAAAACTGCCGGTGAGTGTCCCCTTTCTGCAGGAAGTAAAAATGGCCTTGCTGAATAAATTAAATTTATGTTCAAATGCTATTTCTTTATGGCACCAGGGAACAAGCATTTCAAACATATCTTTACAGGAAATGAACAAACCGTGTGGGTGCCCTCAGGAACAAGGTTCCAACTGGAGTCATGCTGACATTAACCCTCATAACATAGGAACAGTTCAAGAAAACCACACAAGAAGCTGATAAACTGCTGGAGTGCCAGGGTCAGGCAAAAACTCCTGACTCCATATTTGTGGCCAAGCTGGCTGTAATTTTCTGTACATCTGTAAGATCAGCTGGACCACCAGCTGGCAGTTGAGGGCTGTACAGTCTGAATTGCCTTTTTTCAACTAAAAACAGGACGAGATGTTACAGGCCAAAAAAGTGAGGGAGGGTTGTGATCAACTCAGAGTACCACTGGACGCTATATGAGTAAACAGCAAGCTGTTCTCATGAATGCAGAATGTTGGCAAACTGACAAACTACATTTGCCACCCAGAGGTTATGCTGAGGGCGGTCACATCCCAGGCACAAGTGTTTCATGTGATTAGGCATACCTGAAGTCTAATAGCAACAATATGAACCTGTGATCAATCAAGCAGCTGACCAATCATTACCTCCTCCTCCCTGCTCTTTCTACCCAGTGAATTTGGGAGGCTGTGGAAACTCAGGGTGGCTGCCCTTGCTCACTAGAAGCTGGGAGCCCTCTTCTTCTCCAGACCCTTTCCTTAAAAGATATTGTTTTTTCTTTGGTTCTCATTTCTTTGTTCGTCCTTCGTTCAGTCCCGCAATAACCGTGGCAATCCGTGACAGACATGCGGCCGGGTGCTGTGGCTCACGCCTGTAATCCCAGCACTTTGGGAGGTTGAGGCGGGTGGATCACCTGAGATAGAGAGTTTGAGACTAGCCTGACCAACATGGAGAAACCCCGTCTCTACTAAAAATACAAAATTAGCCAGGTGTGGTGGCATATGCCTGTAATCACAGCTACTCAGGAGACTGAGGCAAAAGAATCGCTTGAACCCAGGAGGCAGAAGTTGTGGTGACCTGAAATCATGCCATCGCACTCCAGCCTGGGCAACAAGAGTGAAACTCCATCTCAAAAACAAATAAAAAACTTAAACATAAAAAAATAACAAATCCCTTAGAAAAAAATAGAAAAAAGAGATGATATAGGTCTTGGCACCATTTTCTTAGAAATGACATTAAATGCATGAACAACAAAGAAAAAAATAGAAAAATGTAAGCACACTATATTCAAAATTTCTGCACACTCAAAAAAATATTCAGTAGAGTGAAAAATGCCCTCTAGTAAACAAGTGAAAATATTTGCAAAACACATGTGATAGGAGTTAATATTCAGAATATATAAACAACTCTTAAAATTGAACAATAAAGCTAAATTGATTTAGAAATGAGCAAATAATTGAACAAAATTTTCATCAGAAAAGATACACATATAGAAAAAAACATTTGAAATGACACAGAAAATTAATACTTTGTAGAGAAACACACAAAAATAATGAAAAAATTGCCTCACACCCATTACAATGGCCACTATAAAATTTTAAGCACACCAAATCTGTTGATGATGCAATAAAAATGAAACCTATGTTGATTGTTAGTAGAAAACAAAGATACCGTCATTATTTTTAAATGTCATGTTTCTCAAATAATTAAAAATGGAATTATCAAATATAGCAATCCCATTTATGAATCTATAGTCAAAATATGCCACACAAGACAAGAAGACCTATTTGAACATCGATTTATTCACAAAAGCCAAAAGGCTGAAGCAACTAAGATGTCTCTTGATTTATGAACACATCGAAAATGTGACATATACATACAGTGAAATATTATTCTTAAGAAAGAAAATCTTGTCACATTTTAAGATAAGCTTTCCAAGTATTATGTCACCTATATAAGCCAGAAACAAAATGATGGATGCCGTATGATTCCACTTACATGAGATATCCTAAGTAGTCACACTTATAAAAACAGAAATTGGAAGGGTGTTTGTCAAGGGCTGGGAAAAGGGTACATGCGTTGTTGTTACTTAATGGGTACTGGGTTTTAGTTTCACAAGATGTAAAACTTTCAGAAGTCTTTTGCACAACAATGTGAATATACTTAACATGCTTGAAATGTACAGATTGGTTTTGAGACAGGTTCTCACTCTGTCACCCAAGCTGAAGTGAAGTGGCACAATTAAGGCTCACTTCAGCCTCAAATTTCAAGGCTCAAGTAATCCTCCCCTCTCAGTCTCCCAAGTAGCTGGAACCACAGGTGCACACGATCATACTTGGTTATTTTTTAAAAAAATTTTGTAAGAAGGAATCTTCACATGTTGCCCAGGCTGGTCTGAAAATTTTGGGTTCAAGTGATCTTCCTGTCTTTGCCTCCCAAATTTCTGAAATTACAGATGCGAGCCACCCACATGTCTGGTCCTGAAATGTACACTTGAACAGATTTAAGATGCTAAATTTTATGTTGTGTGTTTTTACAACAATTAATTTTCTAAAGGAAAAACTGAAAATAATACTGAATTATAACTCTTTCCAAAAATTACCTTCAAATCCCAGAAGTGTTTCTCTTACACAAAGGAAATATATATTCAACATTAAACGCACTGTGAAAATAGGAAATGGTGAAAATATTTCCATGACTACTCACTTAGACAAGATAAAACGACCATTGAAAATCAGCTAAGAAACAATATACACAAGATAAACCATAACCAATATTGGGGTCATATTTATAGATAAACAAACACACATATATAATCTGATTGTGATAGACATATGGCTGATTTATCTCTTAATTAAACCTCACATTGACTTAAAGTGCACAAGCAGAATTGCAAATTGACTACAATTGTAATACATAAAAACAACCCCAAAACACAATAAGCTGATGTTAAGAAACGTACACGAAAAAAACCACTAATATAAAACTGCACAATAAGAGACAGGTTTACTGATAAAATTTGGTATGCAACATTAGTAAACCATTAAAAAAGAATTTGTCTAACTACAGTATTTGACTGTAACTGTGACTCATCAAAGGTAGGTATTTTGAATCATTGGCAGTAAAATTTCAGGGAATATGCAGTATAATTATAAATAAAATATCCTGATGAGAAACTTTTTTTTTTTTTGAGATGCAGTCTCGCATTGTCACCCAGGCTGGAGTGTAGTGTTGCGATCTCAGCTCACTGTAAGCTCCGCCTCCCGGGTTCACGCCATTCTCCTGCCTCAGCCTCCTGAGTAGCTGGGACTACAGGCACCCGCCACCACATCCGGCTAACTTTTTGTATTTTTACTAGAGATGGGGTTTCACTGTGTTAGTCAAGATGGTCTCGATCCCCTGACCTCGTGATCCGCCTGCCTCGGCCTCCCAAAGTGCTGGGATTACAGGTGTGAGCCACCACGCCGGGCCTCAAGAAACTTTTAATAAATAAGCATTTAAAAGAAACTAGTGACCGGGCACGGTGGCTCATGCCTGTAATCCCAGCACTTTGCAAGGCCAAGGCAGGTGGATCACCTGAGGTTAGCAGTTTGAGGCCAGCCAGGCCAACATGGTGAAACCCCATTTCTACTAAAAATACAAAAAAATTAGCTGGATGTGGTGGCGGGCACCTGTAATCCCAGATACTCGAGAGGTTGAGGCAGATGAATTGCTTGAACTTGGGAAGCGAAGATTTCAGTGAGTTGAGATCACACCATTGCACTCCAGCCAGGGCAACAAGAGTGAAACTCTGTCTCAAAAAAAAAAAAAAAAGAAAGAAAGAAAGAAGCAAGTGTTAACTTTTCTTTTCTTTTTTTTTTTTTTTGACATGGAGTTTTGCTCTTGTTGCTCAAGCTGAAGTGCAATGGAAATGATCTTGGCTCACCACAACCACCGCCTCCTGGGCTCAAGTGATTCTCCTGCCTCAGCCTCCCGAGTAGCTGGAATTACGGGCATGTGCCACCATACCCAGCTAATTTTGTATTTTTAGTAGAGATGGGATTTCTCCATTTTGGTCAGGATGGTCTCGAACTCCTGACCTCAGGTGATCTGCCCGCCTCAGCCTCCCAATGTGCTGGGATTACAGGCGTGAGACACCATGCCCAGCCACGATAACTTTTATGTTTTAAATATAAGCTATTCATACACGAAATAAAACTGATGTAATCCAACTTTAGAAGCAAAGAATAGCCTTACATTGCTAAATTTTAAAAAATATATTTTGCAAAATATAATTAGAGCCTCTGATATATTAAACAAATATTTAGCAATAAATTATGTTATCATTTAGATATATGGACGAAAATAGGTGAAAATCTTATTTTTTTGCCTACAGCAAATTTAAATTTATAAGTAACGATTTTAGTAAATATGGAGTGTCTACCAATTATCTAAATTACTTTAGACAAAACATGTAAATTCTCACATATTGTCCTAAATGTCTGAATCTAAAATTACAGATAAATTTGAAATAGAAAATAGCAAGTAAAAATGTATAGGAAAAGAAACATCAGTAAGATGAAAAAATGAAAAGTGCTCTATTTGCTTATCCCTCCCACAGCAAGAACATTTCTCAGCCATTCTTTACATAAATTCCTTTATGAGAGAACCAGGCATCATGGCTCAAACCTGTAATGAAGATATATGGTACACTGAGGTTGGAGAATTGCTTCAGGCCAGGATTTCAAGACCAGCCTGGGTTATAAAGTGAGACCTCACCTCAAAAATAAGTGCCTTTGAGACAGCTTTGATATTTAGGGAGGCAGTTGTGAAATTCTGCTAAAGCCCAAGATTGAGGAGCATTCCTTTTCAGAGAGCAGGTCCTCATTCTGGTGGGAAATTATAGGACCTCTGGTCTTGGCTACAGACCAAGAAATGGCCCAACCAACTTGGTCACACTGAGAATTCTGAAGTTACTCTGTAACCGTCCCAAACTTCTCCCAGTTACAGTCTGGTAGAGACCCTGCCCTTCCAGAGACCTGGAGAAAGACAGCCATTTGTAGCCATGTAGGCAGGCCTACAGACCTTGGTTTTTACTGTGGTCCCTGAAGCAGTTCAATGACTCTGTTCCAGCTCCATGGGTAGCAGTTCATGGCCAGTTCTGCCTACATAGAAACCTGCACAGTGACCTGAGGAAATCCTCTCTGGTACTCAGTGAAAGCCATACTCATTTGCATCCTGATATAAGGGCCACTATATATGGACCCGACTGCAGAAAGCTGCCCTAGAGTCTGCTCCACAGATAAAAGTCCTGAAGGATATTTAATCTGTTAAAAAACAAACAACAACAACAACAAAAAAAAAAAAACAGCACTTTGGGAGGCCGAGGCAGGTGGATCACAAGGTCAAGAGATCAAGATCATCCTGGCCAATATGGTGAAACCCCATCTCTACTAAAAATACAAAAATTAGTTGGGCATGGTGGCACGCACCTGTAGTCGCAGCTACTTGGGAGGCTGAGGGAGGAGAATTGCTTGAACCCGGGAGGCAGAGGTTGCAGTGAGCCGAGCAACTCCAGCCTGCACTCCAGCCTGGAGACAGAGCAAGACTCCCATCTCAAAAAAAAAAAAAAAAAGAAAAAAGAAAACAAATGGGAATTACAACTACCCAAGCCCCTTGTAACAAGCCATCTAAATGTGGACCCTAGAGCAGACCCAGCAGCCTGGTGACCAAGTTACAACCCAACTCCACTACAAACCCAGAGGGCATCCCAGAACCCTGGGGACCCAACAAAAGCAGATCTTTACCTCCTGAAATCAGTATATGAAAATATAAGTTGTTTGCTTTTTCAAATTCATGGACACCAATATAAAAAACAATTGTGCCCATTATCAATGCTTCTATTTTAACACAGCACTGGAAGTATGTGGCAGAATAATGAATAAAAAACATTTTTAAAAGCCATTGAAATCAAAGACAAGTAAATAGTTGCTGTTTGAGGAATATATAATCTTATACATAAAAAACCATAGACAGTACATTGAAATTTGTCTAATAAATACACTCAGTAAATTAACAAAATATAAAATTAACATAAAAGTATAAGTTATTGTTCTATACACTTAAAACAAGCTATTGGATACAGTAGAAATAAAAAATATTTTACTAATTTTTTTTTTTTTTTTGAGACAGAGTCTTGCTCTGTGGCCCAGGCTGGAGTGTAATAATGTGATCTCTGCTCACTGCAACCTCCACTTCTTGGGTTCAAGTGATTCTGCTTGTTCAGCCTCCTGAGTAGCTGGGATTACAGGTGCCCACTGCCACACCTGACTAATTTTTTATACTTTCAGTCGAGATGGGGTTTCATCATGTTGGACAGACAGGTCTCAAACTCTTGAACTCAAGTGATCCATCCGCCTCAGCCTCCCAAAGTGCTGGAATTACAGGCCTCAGACATGGTACTGGCCAAGAAAACAATCTTTTTAAAAATATAATTAAAATACTAAATTTCTGAGAACAAATATAACCCAAGAGGTAAAAAATCTTAACAATGAAAGCTATAAATCAATGAAATTAGAGAAGACACAAATAAATTTTAAAATATTTCATATTTATGGAAAGAATAAATATTGTTAAAGTATCATATTCTCTAATCTATAGATTCAGCACAATTCCCATCAAAATTCCAGTGAAATTTTTTTTTACAGTAATGAAACTATAATTTTGAAATTTACAAGAAACTACAATAAACTTTGAATAGCCAAAGCAATCTTGAGGAAAAAGAACAAAGCAGAGGGACATCATACTTTATAATTTCAAACTATATTTCAAGAATATAGTAATAAAAACAGGAGGGAATGTGCAGAAAATTAACATAAAAACCAGCAGAACAGAGACCACTACTCTCACACATTTTAGACATGATGCAAAAAGATAACTAAAATAATAGTTTAACACAAAGTTCTCAAAATCATGCAGATATTTGTGTGTCCCCCAAAACAATGGAAAAGCAGTCAGATTGTGCAGTCTCTTATGTGCCATGAAGAGGACTTTGGCTCTCACTGTGAACTTGAAGGAAGATCAACGAAGGGAAAGTAGAATCCTTAGAGAATTTAAAGGCATAAGACAGAAGATGACCCTATGTGAGAAAAACAAAACGAAACACACACACCTCCGGCTTCCCAGAAACTATTTGCTTTGGAACAGAGCTTCCCAAATCACACTGTAGAGACTGGCTTTTGTTTTTTTTTAATCTTCCAACCTTTCATCTATGTCAACTGTTTCATTTAGTCTCACCTACCTGGGGTGTGGCTACCATACCGTGTCTCTTCATATTCCAGGGATCTTTTCCTTGCTCCTGACAGTTGATCAGATCTGGCCTAGAGAAACCAATACCTGCTTTATTAAAAATAAATAACATGAATCTTGCTCTTATTCTTTAATTACCAACCTAGTACCGTGCTTAGTAAAGAGGATGTAATAGAATATTCCAGAAAATTAATCCCAAACTACTACTTAATAACAGAAAGTTCTTAACATTTAGAAAATATTTTAAATTTGTAGCTCCTTAATTTCACTACCCAGTACTCATGAATCAAAAATAAGTGCTGGCAAATAGATTTTAACATATGGGCAACAATATTTTATACTACTAAATTTTTGAAATTACCACTACTCTGGAGTGAAGGATACAGACCAGCTTGGGAAAGTAAAACGTTCAGGCCAAGATAAAACATCTTGAAGAAATTTTTTTCTACAGAGATAATTTCTCAAGATTTTTTAAAAACAAAGATCAGAAATTCCTGTATGCAAAGCATAAATTACCAAAAATTATTCAAGAAAATAGAGAAATGAAACTTTTAGGGTATATAAGGAATTGTGTATTAGAGTTATTCTCACCCAAGAAGACCAGGTTTCTGTAGTTCTCTAAAATCACTTTCCTATACAAATCCTGTTGAGCAGTGTCCAGGCATTGCCACTCCTCCAGAGAGAATTTGATGGCCACATCCCTAAATGTCAACGGCCCCTGAAAAACACATGCGTGCGTGCACACACACACACACACACACACATATTTACAAGTGTCAATGGGCAAAATTTATCATTTGAATTATGGTTAAATGAGAGAGTAAAGAAAATTTGTTCTGACTTATAGGAATGACTAAAATTATCCAACAATTTTCCACACAGAAATATTCTCTAATGTATTCTCTAACTCTGTGAGAAGAGAATGGTATAAGATCCACAACACCAGGGCATAGATGATACTTTTATGAATAATAAAGTATAAAACTAAAGGCATAAACACAAACATGTACATTTTTAGCACTATATTTGCATCATAAAGAATGAGTTGTGTATATTTTTCAGACAAAAAAGACATGCTGAGTTAGAAGGCACCTCTCAAGTTTTAATATGTATAATAAACTGAAGATCTTGTGCAGATTTTTTTTCCAGAAGATCTGGAATAAAATCTGAGTTTCTGAATTTCTAACAAGCTCACTAGTAATGCCAATGCGTTTGGCTGAAAAAGAATATTTTATCAAACATCTAGTAAGTGAAAGACCCTGTGTTTTACCCAATTTTTCTGGCCTGGAAACAAAGACAAGAGTCTTCATTCTTCAAAGACAGGTATTTGTAAAGAAAACTAAGAAAGAAAGGCAGCTGCCATATTAAATGTGATGGTTTATGCACAGCTCTTCTTTAGCTACACAAAGATACTTAATAATAAAGAGAAAAATAATTAACTCTATAGTGAAATAAATATTTCAGAGAGCTCTTTAAGTAAATTGTAAAATCAACTGCACTAGGATCAATTTTTATGATGTGCTGATGCACACAGAAGAACACATCACCACTGCTGAGATATTGCCCCTCAAAAAGTACAGTCTGAACTTAACCATACAGAAAAATCAGTTTTATGCAGAGTTCAAGATGCAGATATCTTCTATGTACTGTAATTTTTAATAACAATTTAAAGTAGTCTTTCTTTAGCACCCTAGAGAGTGGGTATCTCTCAATAATTTTTTTTCAGAACTTTCTGGGTAATAAATGCTATCCTGTTTAAATAAGCATTTTCTTAGTCCTGTACTGCATAGAGTTAATGGAGAAAACAGATGAAACCTCAACATTACATGTTCTCTATTTTTACTAAGGACCCCAGCTTTCCCCCAATAGGAATCTTGAATATCCATATTTTCCCATTTCAACAGCAACAAAGGGAACATTTTTAATAGTGCCGATTATGAATTCCTGGTAAGAATTCCACATGGCATATAAGAAGCCATGATTTAGAGAGTGTAGAGAAGACTCTGGGATATAGGAGAGAAATATTTTGCAGAGACCCTTGACTATCACAAGAATTTTTTTAAGTAGTTAAAACAAATTCATTGGGGGAAAAGAAACACAAGTAGAGAAGTGAAGGTTTGCAAGGACTTAAATGCATGGCACTCCAGGAGGCAGAGTGGACACAGCTCTTCATCTGACACATGTTTAGCTGAAAAAAAGCCATTTTTCCTCTTTTGTCTTCTTTGGAAATCCTTTCCAGATGACATTCTCTGGAGAAGTTACACCTGCATCTTGAGAAAATTCCTTTAAAGTTGTCAGCACCACCTGTTTACCTGCTAGTCTCACACCCACAGAAAAAAGAACTAAGACCTGTAGAAAAAGCCCACCCATTTCTGTCCTTTATAACAGCAGAGATTCAGGAACAATGAGCTGCTCCATGAATATAAAAATATGTTTCTTTATTTTTGTCTTCAGGTGCTCGCCCTTGCCACAAACACCAGCAATTTCTGCTACAGTAATGGAAATATGGGTGACACTGACCTCTCCCTATCAAACCCAAACAGAACAGACTCTGTGACCACCTTTTAGTGTAAAGGAGAAACTTAACTCTTATGAATGTATCTTGAACCCCACACACTTGATTCTGTCCTCACCTTAGAGTCACATGAGACACAATTAAAACAATGTGAATACTTTCACCTAGAACAATAAACAGAACCTGTGGAGAGAGCCTGTGGAGAGTAAAGAGATGTCTCCAAATTGGCCACATAATCCTCATGAGAATCCTGGGCTGATAATCACTTAACTAAGCCTTGCCTCTCAAGCCTTAATGAGCTCAAAAATCACTTGGTAATGTTGGCCCCACTCTATGTAACGTGATTCTGCAGGTTTGGAAAGGGTCCATGGATGGGTGTTTCAAAAAAATCCCCTGTCAATGCTGATATTGCTCCCCCTGGGCTCATTATTAGCATTAGTTAGAGAAAACAGGCACAGCACAGTGTCCCTTACACTCAGCACTCTTGTCACAACACAAATATTTCTGGTACAAATAAAGACAAAATAACTTCATCTTAAAGTATCATATTCTTTGCTGGCTCCTTAAAGTTTACAGAGGACACAGAAGGCAACAATGTCTGAATAAGTCTGCATTTAAAAAACAACAGGTACACATGAACTAATGCAATGCTTATTAAGTGGCACTATGTTCTCAAGAGTATGTAACAGAGCACTGTGCTGGGAATAACACACTATGTGATTAAATCCTAATAACACCTTGAGAGTTCATACTAAGTTTTCAATAATTCTCAGGATTTAGATAAAGGGCCCAGAATTATTATTTCTTCCTGTTTCTCAATCACCAATTTTAACCAATAAACTAAAAGCTAAATATAGACAGATGAAGATATATAAAGAAATAAAGACATAAAAAGAGTTTAATGTAGTTTAGAGAATTTTTTTGTTTATATTTACTTGTTTATGACTTGCAGAGCAACTACTGGATCCGCAGGAATAGAAAACAAGTTGCTAAATGGAATGTTTCTGTAAGCACTGGTTTTACTACAAAATTTAGAAATTAAGATCTTAAAATGTATACTTTACTTTTCTTATGTATCTGCTTTTGGATTTCAGGATATTGTGAGCAACCGCTCTAGAAAGTCAGCAGGATTTAACAGCCAAAACTTGAATCTTTATAAATCAGTTTTGTAAGGAAATACTCCAGAGTTGGGACAGACCTACAAGGTCTCCAAAAAGGGTGAATCTGATCAGAACTGGGGCAGGGAGAGGAACCTATGTAAAATTTGTTCTTTATGCCACTGGAGTATTTCCAGTTCTGTTTTTCCTAAGCTTACCTAAGAGAAACTTAAATCCCATAGTTTACGTAACTTTCATCTATTTTTGCCACTGCCCTGTCAATTTTATAACATAAACTAATAAGGAATTTAAATGAATCTTTTAAAGTTTTCTAGGATAATTTTATTAGGAGTTAAATATGTATTCTTAGAAAAGTAAAACAAACCCAAATAACAACAACAACTCTTCAGTCCATAAATATCCCTTCAGATAATAACATCAGAAGTCACGCCAATATTAAAAAAAAGTGGCTCAAATTTTTGTGTTTTTTTTTTTTTGCAAACATCTATTCACCGTACTAATAATATAATGCTTAATTCAACCATGTATTCAGTTGCTAGTCTAGACTAAAAGCTCCTAGATGGTAGGGACCATGACTGCTTCATCCATTTTTTGAATGACCATATGAAATAAAAGCAATTAGTTTATTTGTTTGAGTCACAAGACCTCCTCTTTGTCTTTCACCCAAGTACCAGAAAACTTGAGAAACTCTCGTCTGGGTAACAACCAAAGTTATCTCTCGTATGAGGGAGAAAAAAACACAGGATGATTCCTTTCTCTTACACCAAGACAGAAGCAGAAGAAGAGTGATTACACTCTTGTCAGCCTGACACAATTCTGCCCTGGACATCCTCAAATGTCTTTAAAACACCTAGGTGATTGTGAGAGGGTTCGCAGTGACCCAGGGCTGATGGCCCAGTGATAAGCCAGGCTGGAGAAACTCAGGCTGATTCTAAATAGAAAATGGAACTGCCATGGTGGAGCTCCAGAACCTGGATCACCTATCCTGATTTGTGAGCCCTTGGGTATGAAGAAGGACAAGAATACTGTACTCCAATATCAGAATTTACAGGTAAGTATCATTGTGGTCATGGCTCTGGATACTTTGTGGCCTTGATTTCTCACTCTTAAGATGCTTGTTTATACTCATGGATTCTGTCATCAGATTCTATTTACACCTGGAGCCTCTCACAAACTGTAGCAGGTCACTGAACAAGATTGAAAAGCTTAAAGAGCCACACTCTCAAAGGGGAGCTTTAAGATGTCTATGCTGACATCTAACAATGCAGAAAATGCCTTCTGTTGGTTTTCAGTACATTCTCAATCCAAAGTACAGCCCTGTCTTGTAAATCCCAGGCAGAGGCCAGACCTTATGTGCAGATTCTAGGTGGGATCAACGGGACTCTGCATCCTTGGGTGTTACAGCAAGCACAGTACAATCAAAGGGGAGATTCCTTCATACAGGCTGCTCTAGCACATTCTAAGTAACACGTCTACCTAAAAGGAAAAAACTGAGGCAACATAAATATAAGTAGAGAGTTAATCTAGGCCAAGCTTGAGGATTGTAACCTTGGAGCAAAGATACATCCTCCAAAGACTGAACAAATAAGAAATTGAATCCCCGAATATAGCAATAACAAGCTCCAAAACTGAATTAGTATGAAATACCCTACCCACCAAAAAAAAAAAACAAAAAAAAAAAACGAAGAATGAGACAAATTTACAGACGAATTCTACCAGATGTCAAAAGAAGAGCTGGTATCACTTCTACTAATATTATTTCAAAATATTGAGAAAAAGGGACTTTTTCCCCACTCATTATATAAAAACAGCATTATTCTGATACCAAAATCTGGCAAATATAAAACAAGAAATAGAAAACTTGAGGCCAATATTTTTAATGAACATTGATGAAAATATTCTCAACAAAATACTGGAAAACCAAATCCAGGAGAACATCAAAAAGCTAATCCACTATGATCAACTTGGCTGTATCTCTGAAATAAAAAATTGGTTCAACATACAATTAACAAATGTTACTCATCACATAAACAGAACTAAAGACAAAAACCACAAGGTTATTTCAGTAGATGTTTAAAAAGCTTTCAATAAAATTTACCATCCTTTACGTTTAAAACCCTCAAAAAACTAGGCATTCAAGGTACATACATCAAAATAATCAGTCATCTATGTATGGCAAACTTACAGCAAACATACTAAATGGACACAAGCTGGAAGCATTCCTTCATGAAAACTGGCACAAGACAAGGATGCTTTCTCTCAAAACTCCTATTCAACATGGAATTGAAAGTCTTGGCCAAAACAATCAGGGAAGAGATAAAAGACATTCAAACGGGAAAAAAGAAAGTCAAACTATATTATCCCTATGTGCAGGTGATAAGATGCTATATCTTCAAAACCCTACAGTCTCAGCAGAAAAGCTCTTTAAATTGATAAACAACTTCAGCAAAGTTTCAGGGTACTAAGTCAGTAGCATCCCTGTACATCAACAATATCAAGCCAAAAGCCAAATCAAAAACATAATCCCATTCACAACTGCCACAAAAAGAATAGAATATCTAGGAATGCAGCAAACCAGGGAAGTGAAAGATCTCTGTGACAAGAATGAAAATATACTGCTTAGAGAAGTCAGAGATGACACAAACAAATGGAAAACCATTGTATGCTTATGAATAGAAAATATTAATATCATTAAAATGGTCAAACAGCCCAAGAAATTTACTGATTTAATGCTATTCCTATCAAACTACCAAAAACATTGTTAACAAAATGATAAAATATTTTAAAATTTGTATGGAACCAAAATAAGCCTGATAGCCAAGTCAATTTTAAGCAAAAAGAACAAAGCTGGCTGGTTGCGGTGGCTCATGCCTGTAATCCCAGCACTTTGGGAGTCTGAGGTGGATGGATCAGGAGGTCAGGGGTTCAAGACCAGCCTGGCCAACATAGTGAAACCCCATCTCTACTAAAAATACAAAAATCAGCTGGGCATGGTGACGCATGCCTGTAGTCCCAACTACTTGGGAGGCTGAGGCAGGAGAATTGCTTGAACCTGGGAGGTGGAGGTTACAGTGAGCCAAAATCACACCACTGTGCTCCAGTTTGGGCAACAGAATGAGACTCTGTCTAAAAAAAAAAAAAAAAAAAAAAAAAAAAAAGAATGATGCTGGAAGCATTGCATTGCTCCTCTTCAAACTACACTACAGTAACCAAAGCGACATTATACTGGTAAAAAACAACAACAACAACAACAAAAAACAGACTCATAGAACAATGCAACAGAATAGAGAGCCCAGAAATAATGCCACACACCTCCAGCCATCTGATATTTGACAAAGCTGACAAGAGGAATGTAAAAAGAATTTCCTATTTAATAAATGGTGCAGAAATAACTAGCTAGCACTGTATAGAAGATTGAAACTGGTCCCCTTGCTTACATCATATATAAAAATCAACTCAAGATGAATAAAAGACTTAAATGCAAAACTTAAAAAAAAAACCTGCAAGATAAATAACCTAGAAAATACCATTCTAGGCATAGAAACTAGCAAAGATTACATGATAAAGATACCAAAAGCAATTGCAACAACAGCAAAAATTGACAAATTGAACCTAATTAAATTAAAAAGCTTTTTCACAGCAAAGGAAAATATCAAGAGACTAACCAATCTACAAAATTAAAAAAAATGCAAACTATTCTTCTTACAGAGATTTAATATACAGAATTAAGAAACTTATGCCAGGCTTGGTGAGTCACGCCTATAATCCCAACACTTTCGAAGGCTGAGGTGGGTGGATCATGAGGTCAGAAGTTCAAGACCAGCGTGGTCAACGTAGTGAAACCATGTCTCTACTAAAAATACAAAAATTAGCCAGGTGTGGGGGCACACACCTGTAGTCACAGCTACTCAGGAAGTTGAGGCAGGAGAATCACTTGAACCCAGGAGTCGGAGGTTGCAGTGAACTGAGACCACACCATTTCATTTCAGCCTGGGTGACAGGGTGAGAATTCCTCTCAAAAAAAAAAAAAAGAGACTTAAACAACTTTACAAGAAAACAATATACTACCTCATTAAAAAGTAGGCAAAAAAAAAAGAAGAGATGCTTTTCAAAACAAATATGTGACTAACAAAAATATTTTTAAAATGCTCATCACAGCTGGGCATGGTGGCTCACACCTGTAATCCCAGCACTTTGGGAAGCCAAGGGGGGTGGATCACGAGGTCAGGAGTCCAAGACCAGCCTGGCCAAGATGGGTGAAACCCCATCCTTACTAAAAATACACAAATACAAAAATTAGCTGGGTGCAGTACCAGGTGCCTGTAATCCCAGCTTCTCAGGAGGCTGAGGCAGGAGAATCACTTGAACCCAGGGGGCAGAGTTTGCAGTAAACTGAGATCATGCCACTGCACTCCACCCTGGGCGATGGAGTGAGACTCCATCTCAAAAAAAAAAAAAAATGCTCATCACATTAGAGAAATGCAAAAAGAAAGAAAGAAAAAAAAAGCCTACAATGAGATACCATCTCACACCAGTCAGAATGGCACTGTTAAAAAGTCAATAACAGGTTGGGTGGGGTGGATCATGCCTGTAATCCCAGCACTTTGGGAGGCTGAGGCAGGTGAATTACTTGAGGTCAGGAGTTCAAGACCAGCCTGGCCAACATGGTGAAAGTTTATCTCTACTAAAAATACAAGAATCAGTGGGGCATGGTGGTGTAAATCTGTAGTTTCAGCTACTTGGGAGGCTAAGGCATGAGAATCACTTGAACCCGTGAGGCGGAGGTTACAGTGAGCAAAGATTTTGTCACTGCACTCCAGTCTGGGTGACAGAGTGAGACTGCCTCAAACACAAAAGTTAATAGCAGATCCTGGCAAGGTTTCAGAGAAGAGAGAATGCTTATACACTGCTGGTGGGAGTATAAATTAGTTCAACTATTGTGAAAAGCAGAGTGGCAATTCCTAACAGAACTAAAAACAGAATTACCATCTTCCGGCAACCTCTTAATTGGGTGATGTAATTCATGTCTAAATTGAATAACTCTCTTTTTCTCACTTCTGTAGTATGCTTCCCCCTGCACAGATCTCCCCCTACTCACGAAATGCTTTTAAGGAATCAGACACCCATTGGTCTCTGTGATTCTTTAAAAATCCCACAACATTTTCTAGGAACTTGCCTGGGATTGCAGATGACAGATTTACTGTCTCCTTTGCCTGTGGGACTAGAGCCCCAGGGCCAGGGGAGACCTGGCATCCAAGGTGCACTGTGTGGGAGCTCCACCCAGATGTAAACCAGCTCTTCCCACATCCCAGCATCCTGCCCAGCAGCACAACAGAACTGAGGATGGGGCTGCAGGATGATACCAGCACTTCAGGAGCTGTGGTAAGGAGCAAGGGCCCAAGGCAGGGAAGCCCGTCCCATAAGGATGAAGGGGAGCTTCATCACCTCCTGGGGAATGACCACTAATCCAACCCAGAGTGGTTGGGGGCAGCAGGAGTGGCTTGCCAATTTGGATGAAACTTGTGTCCCCACTAACAAAGTGAAAGTGGTTCACTGGATCTGGAGACAGGAACTGGAAAAAGGGAGGAAAGGGGCCAATAGAACAGCAAGTGCAGCAAAGTAGAGCTTGCTGGCAAGGTGGCAAGAATGGCTTGCCACCACAACTGGGAGTGTGTGGGTGCATGTGAACCCACCCAGGACATGAGAGGGGTTCGTTTCATCTGATGAGGAGTCCTGGGGCAGGGGAGGTGTGTGAAAGAGACTGTCTTTGGAGAGGCCAACACGGGGAGTGATGTGGGGAGGCACAGAACCCTTAGCACGGGCTGTGTGCTCCAAGGTAAGAGCAGGGGAAATCAGACCCAGGATACTGCATATGGCTGATAGGACCAGTTCCACAGCTGCAGCAGGCTGTGACAGGGGAAGGCATGTTCCTGGCTAAGCATTGTCCAAAACTCCTGTAATAGGACCTGATCTGGTGGATCTGAGAGTGAAAGTGAGAGCAAAAGTGTGCCCCAAGGGAGGAAATGGGAGGAAAAGCATCAAAATTGACTCCTTTGGAATGCATGATAAATAATTTTAAAAAAGGATTTAGAGGTGATTATAGGATTGAACTTGATGCTCAAAAATTAAGGACATACTGTGAGATAGATAGGCCTACTTTCAAAGTGGGGTGGCCCCCTGAAGGTACAATAGACAGGAAATTAATTGGCTATGTGTTTAAGGTGGTCACTGGAGTTGGAGGACAACCAGGATACCCAGGCCAGTTTCCCTATGTAGACTCTTGGCTTAATGTGCCACAAACTCACCCCAAGTGGCTACAGCCCTGCCTATGATATTGCAAGGCATTAGTGGCTTGGGGCAGCCCAACCAAAGGAAGCAGAGGAACCTAAAGTCCCTAGCATCTCCCAGGAAAAGGAATCCCCAAAGCCTCAGCTGAAACCAGTTCTTCAGGCCCCACCTGAGGAAATGGGATGTCTGCCCCCCATATGTGCCAGTCTACCTGTTTTTGGCAAGAATACACAGGAGGCAGAGTTGGGAGCATCTGAAGAGTCGGGCTCGGAGGAAAGTGAGGCTCAGTCTCCCCACCAAGTGGAACAGAAGCCCCCATTAGAAAAAAACAAAGAAGATGGAAAGGGTGATGCAGCTAGGCACCTCTGCTCTGGCCAACCATGGGCTTTGCAGATGCCACTTTGAGAGACCAGGACACAAGTTTTTGATGACCAGGGGCAGATAGAAGGTGGTCCTAGGCATTATGTTCATCAGCCTTTCTCCACTACTGATCTCTTAAATTGGAAACAGCACACACCCTCCTATACAGAAAAGCCTCAGGCTCTCATTGATTTGGTGAATTCTATTATTATGACACATAATCCAACCTGGCCAGATTGTCAACAATTTTTGCTAACTTTATTTCATACAGAGGAGCATAGGAGAGTTAATCAGGCAGCTCTCAGCTGGTTAGAAAAGGAAGTCCCAGAGGCCACCCCTAACCCATGCCAGTTCGCTGAGGAGCAATACCCAAATGATGACCCTAACTGGGACCCAAATGAGGCAAGGGACATTGAACAGCTGCAGCTATATAAAAGGGCACTCCTGAATGGGATAAAAGCAGGAGGAAGGAAAGCAATGAATATGAGTAAAATATCAGAAGTGCACTGAAAGCCCAAGTGCATTCAATGAAAGGCTTTGTGAGGTATATAGGCTGTACACTCCAATTATTCCAGAGGCTCCTGAAAACCAAAATATGACAAATATGACCTTTGTCAGTCAAGCACAGGGAGACATAAGACAAAAGCTTCAGAGGCTGGAAGGCTTTGCTGGGGAAAATATTAGTGAACTCATGGAAATAGCAAACAAAGTATACATAAACTGGGAGGAAGAGGCAGAGAGAAAGGAAGAAAGAACAAACAGAAGTAGGAACAAGGAGACAGCTTAATTTATAGCTGCTGCACTAGCAGAAAGTAACCCTGGATTTGCTAGAAGGCATGGCCAAGGCAGAGGCTGAGGAAGGAAGCAAACAAGACTGGGAGAAGAAAGCTGGACCTGGTTGGACAGGAACCAATGTACAAGGTGCAGGCAAATGGGCCACTGGAAAGATGAGTGCCCTGAATAGGAAAAGGATGGAAATGATGGTCAATGGTCTAACATCTGAGTGCAGTATTTGGTTGCTAGTCATGGCACCTCAAAGGCAGATCCCGATCTGATCGGCTTAGCAGGGGCCAAGAATTTTGAGGACTGAGACAGACTGGGCTCCATCTTTTTAGGGGAGCCTATGGTCTCTATGGAAGTAGGGGGTGGTTAATGGATTTTTTGGTCAATACTGGTGCTGATTTCTCTGTGGTAACTCACCCAATTAGCCCCCCCTAAAAATAACTGTGCTACTATCGTAGGGGCTTCCAGGGCCAAAGAAAAGAGACCTTTTTGCAAATCCAGGAGATGTGTTATTGGAGAACAGGAGGTGCAGCACGACTTTCTATATATGCCAAATTGCCCAGTGCCCTTGTTAGGAAGGGACTTACTCCAGAAGCTGCAGGCACAAATTTCCTTTACACCTAATAGGAATATGACCCAGAGATAGGGAAGCCAAAGGCAATGGTATTGACTCTAATTGCCCCAAGGGCTGAGGAATGGTGGCTCTAAGAACTGTGTACAGGAGGCTGCCAGAGCCAGACCTACACAATATGCAGGTAATACGGGGTAATATGTGGGTAATATGTGGGGGCTGAGGACAACCGCCCTGGACTTGCTCTAAACAGACCCCAATGGTAGTAGAGCTTAACCCTCATGCTGCCCCAGTACAAGTCCATCAATACCCACTACCCTGAGAGGCAATTGATAGAATAACAAAGCATCTAAATTGGCTTTATATGCATGAGATTATAGCAAAATGCAAGTCCTCATGGAATACTCCTCTGTTACCTGTGCGCAAACCAAATGGGGAATACAGGCCAGTGCAGGATCTCTGGGCAGTAAACAAAGCTGCTGTCACTATTCATGCCATAGTGCCCAACCCATATACAATGCTGGGACAGATTCATGCTGATGCCACTTGGTTCATGTGTCTGGACTTAAAAGATGCCTTCTTTTGTTTGAGGCTTGCTCCTCAAAGTCAGCCTGTATTTGCTATCCAGTGGGGGAAATCACAATATACCTGGACAAGGCTGCCACAAGGGTTTGAGAATTCTACCATTTTTGAGGAGGCCTTGGCTACAGATCTTGAGGCTTTTTTGCCACCTAGTGACAATTGTGTGCTATTATAATACATTGATGACTTGTTATTCACTGCCCCCATGAGGGAGGAATGCTTCCAAGGAACAGAGAGGCTTCTTCACCTGCTACGTGAAGCTGGCTGTAAAGTGTCCAAAGACAAGGCACAAGTCTGTTTTTGAGAGGTTGGATATCTAGGATTCATGGTATCCCAAGGCCAATGCAGGCTTGGAAGTGCATGCAAGAAGGCTGTATGTGCATTATCAACCCCAGTTACAAGGCAGCAGGGAATTTCTAGGCATGGCGGGATTCTGCTGAATCTGGATTCCAAACTTCTCCCTTATAGCAAGGCCCTTATATGAGGCTACCAAAGGTGGGTAAAGAGAGCCCCTCCTATGGGAAAAGGAAAAGGAAAAGGCCTTCAAGGGTATAAAGGAAGCTCTCATCCAGGCCCCAGCACTAGGATTGCCAGATATAAAAAAGCCCTTCTTTTTGTATGTGGATGAATGAAAGGGAATGGCAGTTGGAGTCTTAACTCAGTTGTTGGGCTCTTGGCACTGGCCGGTACCATACTTATCCAAAAGACTGGACTTGGTGGCCTTAGATTGGCCCTACTGCCTCAGGGCATTGGCAGCTACCACGACCCTTATAGAAGATGCCAACAAGCTAGCCCTAGGTCAGAAGTTAATAATTCAGGTGCCACACACTGTAGTCACCTTAATGGAGCAAAGAGAACATCGTTGGCTGTCCAACTCTAGAATGCTGAAGTATCAAGGGCTTCTGTGTGCAAATCCCTAGACAACATTAAGACTGTAAATACCTTGAACGCAGCTACCCTGCAGCCTATGGAAGAACCTGATTGGAAGGATGGTGAGTTACCTCACTGCTAGTAGGACCTTCCCCACTGTTGCATAAATACAGTGGGCAAAGTGTTCTCAAGCCAGGAAGATCTCAGAGATACCCCCTTGGAGAGCCCAGATGTTGAATACTTCACTGATGGTAGCAGTTTCATAACACATGGGGTGTGATATGGAGGATATGCAGTAGTGACACAACACTTGGTGGTCGAGGCTCAAGCCTTACCTTCTGGGACTTCTACTAGGAAGGCTGAATTAATAACATTAACTAGAGCACTTTTATTGGCCAAGGGGAAGAAAGTAAATATATATACTTCTCAAAATATGCTTTTGCAACTCTGCACACCCATGGGGTGACATACAAAGAGAGAGGACTTTAGACTATGAGAAAAAAAGAAATAAAAAATAAAAAGGAAATTCTACAATTATTAGAAGCCTTATGGGCTCCAGAGAAGGTGGCTGCCATTCATTGCAGAGGACACCAAACTGGGAAAAGCTATAAGGTTCAGGGCAACAGAAAGGTGGACCCAGAGGCTAGGCAGGCAGCAATGAACAAGGCTTTACCTGTAAAAAGAACTCTAGCAATGCCTCTCCTTATAGAGCCCCCTTTGCCAGAGGTACCCAATTACTCTTTAAGTGAAAAAGCTTGGTTTAGGCAGGAAACAGGGAAGTATATTAAAAGTGGATGGTGGCTGTTCTCTGATGGGAGGCTAGCCATCCCAGAGACAATAGCCCCAAGGTTTGTGAAGCAGATCCATCAAGGAACACACATTGGAAGGATGGCCCTAGAGACTGATAGGTTGACACTTCTATGTGCCACAGCTCTCTGCAACCACCTGTGCTGTTTATGAACAATGTATGTCTATCCTGTGCCCTGAATAATCCAAAATAAGAACCCACTCAACCCCCAGGAATTCAGGAAATGGGAGCTGTGCCTTTTGAGAACCTGCTTGTAGACTTTACCGAGTTGCCTCAAGCAGAATGTTACTGGTATATGCTAGTGTCTGTTTGCACCTTCTCCAGGTGGGTTGAGGCCTTCCCTAACAGAACTGAAAAGGCATGAGAGGTGACAAAGCTGCTACTAAAAGACATATAGCAAGGTTTGGATAGCCTTTAACCATAGGATCAGACAATGGTCCTGCATTTGTGGCAGAAGTAGTACAACAGTTGACTCAACATTTTTTTTTTGTATTTATTGATCATTCTTGGGTGTTTCTCGGAGAGGGGGATGTGGCAGGGTCATAGGATAATAGTGGAGAGAAGGTCAGCGGATAAACACATGAACAAAGGTCTCTGGTTTTCCTAGGCAGAGGTCCCTGCGGCCTTCCGCAGTGTTTGTGTCCCTGGGTACTTGAGATTAGGGAGTGGTGATGACTCTTAACGAGCATGCTGCCTTCAAGCATCTGTTTAACAAAGTACATCTTGCACCACCCTTAATCCATTTAACCCTGAGTTGACACAACACATGTTTCAGAAAGCACAGGGTTGGGGGTAAGGTCATAGATTAACAGCATCCCAAGGCAGAAGAATTTTTCTTAGTACAGAACAAAATGGAGTCTCCTATGTCTACTTCTTTCTACACAGACACAGTAATAATCTGATCTCTCTTTCTTTTCCCCACACTTCCCCCTTTTCTTTTCAACAAAACCGCCATTGTCATCATGGCCCATTCTCGATGGTTGCTGTCTCTTCGGAGCTGTTGGGTACACCTGCAGAAAGGCTGTTGCTTCACACTTGGAAGATTGAACAGCGGCCAGGCAGAGGTGCTCCTCACTTCCCAGATGGGGTGGCGGCCGGGCAGAGGCACTCCTCACATCCCAGATGATGGGCGGCTGGGCAGAGGCGCTCCTCACCTCCCAGACGGGGTGGCCGGGCAGAGGCGCTCCTCACTTCCCAGACGGGGTGGCCAGGCAGAGGTGCTCCTCACTTCCCAGACGGGGCAGCTGGGCAGAGGCGCTCCACACTTCCCAGACGGGGTGGCCAGGCAGAGGTGCTCCTCACTTCCCAGACAGGGCAGCCGGGCAGAGGTGCTCCTCACTTTGCAGATGAGGTGGCCAGGCAGAGGCGCTCCTCACTTCCTAGACAGGGTGGCAGCCGGGCAGAGGTGCTCCTCACATCCCAGACAATGGGCGGCCGGGCAGAGGTGCTCCTCACTTCCCAGACGGGGCGGCCAGGCAGAGGCACTCCCCACTTCCCAGACAGGGTGGCCGGGCAGAGGCGCTCCTCACTTCCCAGATGGGGTGGCTGCTGGGCAGAGGCGCTCCTCGCCTCTCAGACGGGGCGGCCAGGCAGAGGCACTCCTCAGTTCCCAGACAGGGCAGCCAGGCAGAGGTACTCCTCACCTCCCAGATGGGGTGGTGGCCAGGCAGAGGCGCTCCTCACATCCCAGATGGGGCGGCCAGGCAGAGGCACTCCTCACTTCCCAGACAGGGTGGCAGCCGGGCAGAGGCATTCCTCTCATCCCAGACGGGGCAGCAACCGGGCAGAGGCACTCCTCACATCCCAGACGGGGCTGCCGGGCAGAGGCGCTCCTCACTTCGCAGATGATGGGCAGCCGGGCAGTGGCGCTCCTCACTTCCCAGATGATGGGCGGCTGGGCAGAGGTGCTCCTCACTTCCTAGACGGGGCGGCCAAGCAGAGGTGCTCCTCACCTCCCAGATGAAGGGCGGCCGGGGAGAGGCTCTCCTCACATCCCAGACGATGGGCGGCCGGGCAGAGGCGCTCCTCACCCCCCAGACGGGGTGGCCGGGCAGAGGCGCTCCTCACTTTCCAGACAGGGTGGCCAGCCAGAGGCGCTCCTCACATCCCAGACGGGGCAGTTGGGCAGAGGCGCTCCTCACTTCCCAGATGATAGGCGGCCGGGCAGAGGTGCTCCTCACTTCCCAGACGGGACGGCCGGGCAGAGATGCTCCTCACCTCCCAGACAGGGTGGCCGGGCAGAGGCGCTCCTCACTTCCTAGATGGGGCAGCCAAGCAGAGGCACTCCTCACCTCCCAGATGAAGGGCAGCCGGGGAGAGGCTCTCCTCACATCCCAGACGATGGGCGGCTGGGCAGAGGTGCTACTCACTTCCCAGACAGGGCAGCTGCTGGGCAGAGGCGCTCCTCACCTCTCAGACAGGGCGGCCGGGCAGAGGCGCTCCTCAGTACCCAGACAGGGCGGCCAGGCAGAGGCACTCCTCACCTCCCAGATGGGGTGGCGGCCGGGCAGAGGCGCTCCTCACATCCCAGATGGGGCGGCCGGGCAGAGGCACTCCCCACTTCCCAGATGGGGTGGCGGCCGGGCAGAGGCACTTCTCACATCCCAGATGGGGCGGCTGGGCAGAGGTGCTCCTCACTTCCCAGATGATGGACGGCTGGGCAGAGGTGCTCCTCACCTCCCAGACAGGGCGGCCAGGCAGAGGCACTCCTCACTTCCCAGACGGCGTGGCCAGGCAGATGCACTCCTCACTTCCCAGACGGGGTGGCAGCCAGGCAGAGGTGCTCCTCACTTTGTAGACAGGATGGCCGCTGGGCAGAGATGCTCCTCACCTCCCAGACAGGGTGGCGGCCGGGCAGAGGCACTCCTCACCTCCCAGACGGGTTGGCCGGGCAGAGGGGCTCCTCACATCCCAGACGATGGGCGGCCAGGCAGAGACGCTCCTCACTTCCTAGACAGGGTGGCCGCCGGGCAGAGGCTGTAATCTTAGCACTTTGGGAGGCCAAGGCAGGTGGCTGGGAGGTGGAGGTTGTAGCGAGCCGAGATCACGCCACTGCACTCCAGCCTGGGCAATATTGAGCATTGATTGAGCGAGACTCCGTCTGCAATCCCAGCACCTCGGGAGGCCGAGGCGGGCAGATCACTCGAGCTCAGGAGCTGGAGACCAGCCCAGCCAACACGGCGAAACCCTATCTCCACCAAAAATACAAAAACCAGTCAGGTGTGGTGGCGCATGCCTGCAATCCCAGGCACTGGGCAGGCCGAGGCAGGAGAATCACGGGAGCCCGAGGCAGGGAGGTTGCAGCGAGCCGAGATCACGGCAGTACAGTCCAGCCTCAGCAACAGAGGGAGACCATAGAAAGAAAGAAAGAAAGGAAGGAAGGAAGGAAGGAAGGAAGGAAGGAAGGAAGGAAGGAAGGAAGGAAGGAAGGAAGGAGGGAAGGAAGAAGAGAGAGAGAGAAAAAAAGAAAGAAAGAAAGAAAGAAAGAAAGAAAGAAAGAAAGAAAGAAAGAAAGAAAGAAAGAGAAAGAAAGAGAGAGAGAGAAAGAAAGAAAGAAAGAAAGAAAGAAAGGAAGGAAGGAAGGAAGGAAGGAAGGCAGGCAGGCAGGCAGGCAGGCAGGTGACTCAACTTTTAAAGATCAAATGGAAACTGCACACAGCTTACTGACCACAGAGTTCAGAGAAGGTGGAATGGATAAACTGGACACTCAAACAGCTACTAAAATAGTTTTGCCAGGAAACTCACTTATGATGGGATCAGGTCTTGCCCGTGGTCCTCCTCCAGGTCAGGTGTATGCCTAGAAAACAAACTGGATATTCGCCCTATGAAATATTGTTCAGAAGGCCACCCCCAATCATTAATCCAATTAGAGGGGATTTAAAGGAGTTAGGAGAGCTAACCCTTAGAAGACAGATTTAGGCTTTGGGAGTGGCAATGCAGGAGGTGCAAGGCTGGGTAAAGGAAAGGATACCTATAAGTCTAACAGACCCAGTGCATCCACATAAGCTGGGAGACTCAGTCTGGGTTAAAGGTGGAATCCAACAACCCTGGGGCCCTTATAGGATGGGCCCTATATTGTGATCATGTCTGGTCCCACTGCTGTTAAAGTTCCAGGTGTCACACCTTGGATTCACCATAGCCGGCTACAGCCAGTGGCAGCAGTAACTCTCAATGACAATCAGTGGATTAGCCAACAAGACCCAGATTGCCCCACCCGAATGGTCCTATGGTGAAACCCAACTACCAGTAAGAAGGACAACTGCCCTGCTCTGACCACTCTGGAGGCTGGTCAGTCTACACACGGCTGAAGCTTGAGGATCCTGCAAGCTCTGCTCTAGTCACATCCAGGAAGCTGACTAGTCTACACATAGCCAAAGCTAAGAGGACCATCTCTGGATAAGTAAATGTGGATACAATTTATAAGCCTAGTTATAATCCTGTCAATACTGATTGTTCTGTTGTTATGTTATTACTGCAAATGCTTCAAATGTCTATACCCAGAGGAAGGTTTGCCATGCCCATGTGTAGTGTAAGCATGTTTCTATTACATACACTAATGTTGTTACCATTTCTGCATATACTAAAAGAGGAACTCTTAGGATATCCAGTTTATGATTAAAATAAAAGAATTAGAAGAAGCATAATCACAAAAATAGACACAAATATCAAAAAGGATGTGGTCATAGGAGACTGGAAAGATAATGAATGGCCTACTGAAAGAATCATTAAATTCTATGGGATGGCTACCTGGGTGCAAGACGGGTCATGGGGGTACCATACCCCCATCTGTATGCTCAAGCACATCATAAGGTTGCAGGAAGTCCTTGAAATCATAACCAATAAAACATCAAGGGCACTAGATTTATTGGCAATACAAGCAACACAAATGAGGAATGCTATGTATCAAAATAGATTGGCTTTAGATTACCTCTTAGCCTTGGAAGGAGGAGTATGTGGAAAATTTAATTTAACCAACTGTTGCCTAGAAATCAATGATAGTGGCTGAGCTCTCATGGAAATCACAGCTACAATGTGCAAGTTGGCCCATGTTCCAGTTCAGACTTGGTTCAGTTGGTCCCTGGATTCCTTGTTTGGAGGAAGGTTCTCAGCCTTTCGAGGATTCAAAACCCTCATTAGTGGGTTCTTACTTACTCTTGGCATCTGCCTCATCCTCCCTTGCCTTTTACCCCTGTTTATTAGGAGCATTCAGTCAACTACGGAGGCAATAGTGGCCTGACACACTATCATGCAGTTGGTGGTATTTACCAGATATCAGCTGCTGCCAATCGAAGAAGAAGCTCATCTCCACGAAAAGGTGGCAAATAGTAGTGCTTCCTATTAACACCTCTGTTATAAAAAGCACCAAAAAGGGGAATGGAACAGGAATTGAAAGAAATTAAAGTGTGTAAGCAGAAACTCAGTTGTATGTAAGAAAACCTAACTCCTCCTGAGAAAGAGAAAGAGCTGGAGTCCTTTAAAAACTAACTGCCTGTTTTTCTGTGGCTAGTGAGCTTTATCTCTCCTGCCTTCCAAGGCATTGTGAAGACTTTGTTTTCCTAGCTGTGCAGCTGCTAGGTCACTAGACAGATACACTCAAGTTGCAAAACATGTTTTTCCTTGAAAAGTAAGAAATGATGTAATGCATGTCTCAATTGAATGATTGTCTTTGTTTCTCACTTCTGTAGTACGCTTCCCCCTGCACAGATCTCCCCCCACTCCACCCCCATGAAATGCTTAAAAGGTAACTTAACTCTTTGTTCGGGGCTCAGTCCTTTGGATGTTAATCCGACTGGGCCAGTGCACCTAAATAATTATAAATATCCTCCTGAATCCCATCGGTCTCTCTGATTCCTTAAAAATCCCACAACATGGGTATATACCCAAAGAAATATAAATTATTCCACCATAAAGATATATGCACTCTGGGAAGTGAGGAGTGCCTCTGCCTGGCCGCCGCCCCATCTGGGAAGTGAGGAGCGCCTCTGCCTGGCCGCTGCCCCATCTGGGAAGTGAGGAGCACCTCTGCCTGGCTGCCCACTGTCTGGGATGTGAGGAGCCCGTCTGCCTGGCTGCCCCATCTGGGAAGTGAGGAGAGCCTCAGCCCAGCCGCCAACTGACTGGTATGTGAGGAGCACCTCTGCCTGGCTTCTGCCCTGTCTGGGAAGTGAGGAGCACCTTGGCCTGGCCACCACCCTGACTGGGAAGTGAGGAGCACCTCTGCCCAGCTGCCCACTGTCTGGGAAGTGAGGAGTGCCTCTGCCCGGCTGCTGCCCCATCTGGGAAGTGAGGAGAACCTCTGCCTGGCTGCTGCCTTGTTTAGGAAGTGAGGAGCACCTCGGCCTGGACGCCTCCCTGACTGGGATGGCAGGAGCATCTCTGCCTGGCCGCCACTGTGACTGGGAAGTGAGGAACGCCTCTGCCCAGCTGCCCACAGCCTGGGAAGTGAGGAGCACCTCTGCCCAGCAGCCCACCATCTGGGAGGTGAGGAGCGCCTCTGCCCAGCTGCCTACAGCCTGGGAAGTGAGGAGCACCTCTGCCCAGCAGCCCACCATCTGGGAGGTGAGGAGCGCCTCTGCCCAGCTGCCGCCCCATCTGGGAAGTGAAGAGCTCCTCTGCCTGGCTGCTGCCCTGTCTGGGAAGTGAGGAGCGCCTCTGCCCGGCTGCCCACCATCCCCCCGATCTGGGAAGTGAGGAGTGCCTCTGCCCAGCTGCCCACCATCTGGGAACTGAGAAGTGCCTCTGCCCAGCTGCAGCCCCAACGTCTGGCAAGTGAGGAGCACCTCTGCCTGGCCGCCGCCCTGTCTGGGAAGTGAGGACGGCCTCTGCACAGCTGCCACCTCATCTGGGAAGTGAGGAGCGCCTCTACCCACCCCCGCCCTGTCTGGGAAGGGAGGACTGTCTGGGAAATGAGGACTGCCTCTGCCCAGCTGCCTCCCCATCTGGGATGTGAGGAGCACCTCTGCCTGGCGACTGTGCAACCTTCCGAGTGTGAAGTGACAACCTTCTGTGTGATCTTTTCTGTCTTCCCCAAGTTTGCATTTTTGACATTAAAGTTTACTTTTTAATTAAAAGTTTTAAATTGGGAAACATTAAAAAAAAGACGTGCACATGCATGTTCATTTCACCCCTGTCCACAATAACAAAGACATGGAATAAACCTAATTGCCTGTTAATAGTAGACTAGATTGAAAAAATATGATGTGGTAGCACGAGGTGGCTCACATTTGTAATTCCAGCACTTTAGGAGATCAAGGCAGGTGGACTGCCTTAGCTCAAGAGTTCAAGACCAGCCTGGGCCGAGTGTGGTGGCTCACGCCTGTAATCCCAGCACTTTGGGAGGCCAAGACGGGTGGATCACGAGGTCAGGGGATCGAGACCATCCTGGCCAACATGGTAAAACCTCATCTCTACTAATAATACAAAAATTAGCTGAGCATGGTGCACATACCTGTTACCCCACCTACTCGGGAGGCTGAGGCAGGAGAATTGATTGAAGCAGAGAGTCAGAGGTTGCAGTGAGCCAAGATCGTGCCACTGCACTGCAGCCTGGTGACAGAGCAAGACTCTGTCTCAAAAAATAAAATAAAATAAAATAAAATAAAATACCAGCCTGGGCAACATGGCAAAACTGTATCTCTACAAATAATACAAAAAAGAAAAATTAGGCATGATGTTGTGTGCCTATAGTCCCAGTTACTTAACGGGCTGAGGTAGGATTCCTTGAGCCTTGAGACTTGGATGTTAAGGCTGAAGTGAGCCAAGATTGCACCACTGCACTCCAGCCTGTGTGACAGAGTGAGACGCTCTTCCAAAAATAAAATAAAGATTTAGTAAAAACAAAATATGGTACACAAAAATCGTGGAAGACTACGTGACCATATAAAAACAACACAAAGCCAGGCACCATGGCTCATGCCTCTAATCCCAGCACTTTGGGAGGCTGAGGTGGGTGGATAACTTGAGATCAGAAGTTCAAGGCCAGGCTGGTCAACACGCTAAAACCCTGTCTCTACTAAAAATACAAAAAGTTAGCTGGGCATCACGGCAGGCACCTGTAATCCCACCTACTCAGGAGACTGAGGCAGGAGAATCGCTTGAACTTGGGAGGTGGAGGTTGCAGTGAGCCAAGATCATGCCAATGCACTCCAGCCTGAGTGACAGAGTAAGAATTCATCTTAAAAAAACAAGCAAACAAACAAAACACACCAAGATTAAGTCCTTCGCAGCAACATAGATGGAGCTAGAGACCATTATTGTTAGAAAACTGATGCAAAAACAGAAAACCAAATGCATGTGATTATTTATAAGTAAGAGCTAAATAATAACACAGGGACACAAGGAAGGAACAGTCACTGAGGCCTGGTTGGGGATGAAGGATAAAAGGACAAAGAGGATCAGAAAAAAATACCTCTTTGGTGCTATGTTTAGTACCTCAGTGACAAAATAATCTACACCAAACCCCCATGACACAATTTTACCCATATAACAAACCTGCACGTGTATGCCTGAACCAAAAAGAAAAGTTAAGAAAAGAAAAACCCACGAGTGCAGAAGAGCGCAGTGTAACTGGAAAGAATTGTTTGTTCTACAGATAGTGGTCCTGGTGGGGCTGTACTCTGATTTATTTCTGTGTCCATGCAGGCAGATGAGATTATGAACAGGTGCTCCATAATGCTAGGTAGATGGAGAAAACAGGATGCTGTGGCAGATTCAGTGTCTGGGGTGGGGATATGCCAGGAGACTTGTAGACACTTTTGTGGCTTTTTGGCAAGAAACACTAGGATCAAAAATGCTGTGGTGAAGTTCCTGATGGTGGTGCCTAGTCCCAGGAGGACTGTGAACACATTAATGTCCAGTAGGTTTGTTTGTGAGTGGGTGGGAATGCTGGGGTGACAGCTGTGAGACAAGGGGGTCTGTCATTAGAGGTCCTTTCCTCTGAGTTTTCATTTTCTCTCACCCTGGGAGGAGACCTGGAATCACAGAACAACAGGTAGTGTGACAGCCTGTGTACAGGAGAGCAGAGCCTCCCATTTCCAGACACCCAGAGTTCCATTTGAGGTCAGGCCTCTGTGATATCTTTCTTCTGGCACCAAATCTGTAGAGTTTGCTGAACAAGCAATTCTCTAACACCAACTCAATGTCTAACATTTGAATTCTGACACCACCCAGAGTCAGCACAGACTCTGATTCAGGGCTCAGTTCCACAACATTGTCCTCATTGCAGATGCCAGTCACAAACCCCATAGGCCCATCTATGTGTCTGAGATACTGTTTAAAAATTGGGGACTCCCGAGCCCTTTCTCAAGTTCAATTATCTGATCAACCTACTCACAGAACTCAGAAAAACACTGTAGTTATGTTTACCAGTTTATTATAAAACATACAACTGAAGAAAAGTCCAATGGAAGACATGTATAGGACAAAAAAAGAGGTGGAAAGCTGAAACACATACATAACCCTGGTAAATAGGGTAAATAGCTGTGATTAATAAAATTCTTCATCCTTTGTGTTCTCCAGGAATAGTTTATAGAAAGAAACACTCTTCCTATTATGACTTAAGATGGTGCTCTTTTTTCTTATTTATTACAGAGCCAGACACAGACTCTGCCAGAGGTACACAGCCTCCATTTTGAATAGGGGCTGAGTAAAATAAGGCTGAGACCTACCGGGCTGCATTTCCAGATGGTTAGGCATTCTAAGCCACAAGATGAGATAGGAGGTCAGCACAAGATACAGGTCAAAAAGCTGGCTTGCAGTAAAGAAGCGGGATAAAAGCCACCAAAACCAAGATGGTGATGAGAGTGACCTCTGGTCATCCTCACTGCTACACTCCCACCAGTCCCATGATAGTTTACAAATGCCATGAAAACATCAGGAAGTTACACCATAAAGATCTAAAAAGGAGAGGCATAATCCACCTTTTATTTAACATATAATTAAAAATTAACCATAAAAATGTGCAACCAGCCTAAGGAGAAAGCCATTTCTTTTATTTCTTTACTTCCTTAATAAATTTGCTTTCACCTTACTCTACGACTCGCCCTGAATTCTCTCTTGAGCAAGATCCAAGAAGAAACTGGAAATTTAGTATCTTATTGCAAGCTAGATTGAGGCTGGAGAAATGGGGGATGGGTCCCAAGACCCTGCCTGGGACACAGGTGAAAAAGGCAGCAGAAAATCAGTTCCCCGTGGAGTGTGAAAATAATTAAGTGGCAGGAAATTAGAGTGAGGTGTTTCTAGTCCCTGGGTTCCTACTTCAAAAAAACAAACACAAAAATCTAACTCAGGTGCATTATTTTTAATTACCACATTCAAAGAAACAAAATTCAGGCTTCAGCAACTATCAACTGCCAATTAAGTTCTGATTACTTAATCAGGACTTTTTCACCTTTAATGTACAAATTAAGACACTATGTAAAAAAAAAACACATCACGTGGCTGGGTGCGGTGGCTCACGCCTGTAATCCCAGCACTTTGGGAGGCTGAGGCGGGTGGATCATGAGGTCAAGAGATCATGACGATCCTGGCCAACATGGTGAAACCCCATTTCTACTAAAAAGTGCAAAAATTAGCTGGGCGTGGTGGCTTGCACCTGTAGTCCCAGCTACTTGGGGGGCTGAGGCCGGAGAATCTCTTGATCCTGGGAGGCGGCGGTTGCAGTGAGCTGAAATCGCACCACTGCATGCTAGCCTGGGCGACGGAGCAAGACTCCATCAAAAAAAAAAAAAAAAAAAAAAAAAAAAAGAACACAAAACAAAAAAGGCTGGGCACAGTGTAACTGTACCATGTAACTGTACCTAACCAATTATTAAACTTGGTTTTCTTCATCATGCATTTTATAAAAGACTTTCCTTCAAGTCTCTCCCATAGACCACAAACTACAAACCATAGCTGGGTGCTCTACAATTCTAGAACCACTCTTTGATTAAGTTATTTAATATTTTTGCAGTAACTCCCATAAATTTTTAATAGGAGAAAATAGGAACTGGGACCCCCACGCACGAAAGTTCTTCCTATTTATGAACCGCATCCCAAGTCAGGATTCTCCCCTGATGACCCTCCCGTGGTCCCTGCACAATCTGAGAGAGATGCAGGGCCGCGGGTGCAGAGCTGCCCAGAGAGGGCACCAGGCCAGGGCACAGTCACTGCACAGGGAAAAGACAGGACACCCAGGGCGCTGGCTGTCGGCACAGCCACCATATTATGGCTGAAGGGGACTGAGGCTGAGATGGGCCAGGAGAACTTGGGTGCAGATTGTGGAGCTGACTGCTGGGAGGCCTAAGTCCTACCACGACCACTTCCCACTGGTTCCAACCAGCCCCTTCCGCTCTCTCAGGATGTCGGACCCAGCACTCTCACCATTTCTAGGCTTCCAGGGCGTCCCGTTTTAGCTGTGGATCTCCCAATACCTGCAGGTCACAGGGCTACAGAGGCTAGGCCTCTAGGAGCAGAAGACACAGAGCAGTGAAAATGAGACCTGGAGCTCCAGCTGCAGCAAGAGACAAAGGACTCCCCACATCCCAGAAGCCATCCTCTCCACTCCAGCTGCGCCTGATTGGACAGTTCCCAGCCCAGCGTTGCTGATTGGATAATGTTTAAAACCCCACCCTCTCAGGCCTTGACTGACAGAAGATGTGATTAGATGCTGGGTTGAATGAAGAAAGAGTGACAGCCTAGGCTGCAGCCTTTTCAGGCAGGGCTTACTGTCAGAGATGAGCTAGGCCCACCTTACAGGGTATTTGCATTCAACCTTGTGTATAAGGTCATATGCTTTTGTAAATAATGTGTCATAAATCCTCTGAAATAAAATTTTGAATTTTCTAGTAGCCAAACTTTAAAAAGAAACAAGGGGCTGGGCATGGTGGCTCCTGCCTGTAATCCCAACGTTAGGGTGAAGCAGGCAAATCATGAGGTCAAGAGATTGAGACCATCCTGGCCAACATGGTGAAACCCCGTCTCTACTAAAAAGAATACAAAAATTAGCTGGGTGTGGTGGTGCACCCCTGTAGTCCCAGATACTTGGGAGGCTGAGGCAGGAGAATCACTTGAACTTGGGTGGCAGAGGTTGCAGTGAGCCAAGCTCGCACCACTGCATGCCAGCCTAGGCAACAAGAGCAAAACCTCATCTCAAAAAAAAAAAACAAAAAAGACAATTGAATAAAATTTTTGTATAAATATTTACATAGCCCATCAGGTATCAGAAATGTACATAAAGTTTTGATTGTCTTCTCAGGATTATATATTTGACCAAAAAAAAAAGGTCCTAACCCATTTTAGTAATCTATAATAGTAACCAAACACACAGACACAAACACCCACACACACACTTCATTTATTAACTTAGATTATTTTTTCTCTCTTCTGTGATGAGTAATTAAATGCAGTGTTTTTGATAAAAGAAGTTTTTTTTTTTTTCCTTTCTGATCTTGGTTATTTCTTTACTTCTGCTGGGTTTGGGTTTGGTTTGTTTTTGTTTCTCAAGTTCCTTGAGATGTGACCTTAGATTGTCTATTTGTGCTCTTTCAGATTTTTTGATGTAGGCATTTAAGGCTATGTACTTTCCACTTAGCTTCACCTTTGCCATATCCCAGATGTTTTGATAGGTTGTGTCACTATTATTGTTCAGTTCAAATAATTTTTAAATTTCCATCTTGATTTTATTGTTGACCCAATGATCACTCAGGAGCATGTTATTCAATTTTCATGTATTTACATTGTTTTGAAGGTTCCTTTTGGAGTTGATTTTCGATTTTATCCCCCTGTAGTTTGAGAGACTACTTGATATAATTTTGATTTTCTTAAATTTATTAAGAGTTGTTTTGTGTCCTATCATATGGTCTATCTTAGAGAAAGTTTCACATGCTGATTTGGGAACTTCAGTGTTAGGTGCTTATATATTTAGAACTGTAATATTTTTCTGTTTGACAGGGTTTTTATCATTATATAATATCCCACTTTGTCTTTTCTTAACTGCTGTTGTTTTAAAGTGTGTTTGTCTGATATATGAATATCTACTTCTGCTCATTTTTGGTATCCATTTGCATGGATTTTTTTTTTCACATTTTTACCTTAACCCTAGTGTGTTAGATGAGTTTCTTGAAGGCAGAAGATACTTGGTTGGTGAATTCTTATCTATTCTGCAATTCTATATCTTTCAAGTGGAACATTTAGGCCATTTACATTCAATGTTACTATTGAGATGTGAGGTACTGTTTTATTTATCATGCTATTTGTTGCTTGAATACTTTGTTTTTATAAAACATTTTGTTGTATTCATATTTTATAGGCCCTGTGAGATTTATGCTTTAAAGAGGTCCTGTTTTGATATTTTTCCAGGACTTCTTAGAGTTCCTTTTAGCAGTTTTTGTAGTGCTGGCTTGGTAGCGGTGAATTCTCTCAGCATTTGTTTGTATGGAAAGACATTTTTTCCTTCAATTATGAAGCTTAGTTTTCCTGGATACAAAGTTCTTCACTGATAGTTGGTTTGCTTAAGGAGGCTGAAAATAGGGTCCCAATCCCTTCTTGCTTGTAGGGTTTTTGCTGTTAATCTGATAGGTTTTTATTTTGTATATTTTTAGGTTACCTGGTGCTTTTGCCTCACAGCTCTTAACATTCTTTCCTTTGCCTTGACTTTAGATAACCTGATAACAATTTGTCTAGGCAGTGGTCATTTTGTAATGAATGTCCCAGGTGTTTTTGAGCTTCTTGTATTTGAATGTCTAGGTCTCTAGCCAAGAAAGAAAAGTTTACCTCAATTACTTTCCCAAATATGCTTTCTGAACTTTTAGATTTCTCTTCTTCCTGAGGAATGCAAATTATTTTTAGGTTTGGTAATTTAACATAATTCCAAACTTCTTGGAGGCTTTGCTGATTTTTTTATTCTTTCTGTTTGCCTTTGTTCGATTGGGTTAATTCAAAAATCTTGTTTTGGAGCTCGGAATTTCTTTCTTCTAGTTGTTCAACTCTATTACTGAGACTCTTCAGTACATTTTGCATTTCTCTAAGTGTGTTTTTATTTCCTGAAGTTGTTATTGTTTTTTATTTATTCTATTTTTTTCACTGAAGATTTCTCCCCTCATATCTTGTATTATTCATTGATTTCCATAAATTGGACTTTACATTTCTATGGTACCTACTTGATTAGTTTAATAATTGACTTTCTAAATTTTTTTTTAGACACTACATGGATTTCTTCTTGGTTTGGATTCATTGCTGGTAAACTTGCATGATTTTTGGGTGGTGCTAAAGAACATTGTTTTTTCATATTACCAGAATTGTTTTTCTGGTTCTTTCTCATTTGGGTAGACTGTGTGAGAGGGGAGATCTGGGGGCTTAAGGCTGCTGTATAGATTCTTTTGTCCCACAGGGTGCTCCCTCGATGTAATACCCTAACCCTTTTTCTAGGGATGTAGCTTCCTAAGAGCTGAACTATAGTGATTGTTATTTCTCTTCTGGACGCAGGTCTATTAGTCTCTGGGCTGGTACTTGAGGGTGTCTGCACAGAGTCCTGTGATGTGAATCATCTTCAGGTCTCTCAGCCATGGACACCAGCACCTGCTGTGGTGGAAGTTGCAGAGGAGTGAAATTGACTCTGTTGCATCCTTAATTGTAATTGTTTAATGAACTAGTTTTTTGCTGGTTGGCCTCCTGCCAAGAGGTGGCACCTTCAAGAGAGCATCAGCTGTGGTAGTATAGGGAGGATCAGCTACTGGACAGGACCCTAGAACTTTCAAGAGAATATGAATTTTGTCTTTGTCTACCAGAGTGGGTAGGGAAGGACCATCAGGTGGGGGCAGGGTTAGGCAAGTCTGAGCTGAGACTCTCCTTTGGAGGTGCTTGCAGTGGCTGCTGTGGTGGGATGAGGTGTGGTTCCCAGGTCAATGGAGTTATGTTCCCAGGAGGATTATGGCTGCCTCTGCTGGTGATGCACGTTGTCAGGAAAGTGGGAAAAAGCAGACAGTCACAGGCCTCACCCAACTCCCACACAACCCAAAAGGCCAGTCTAGCTCCCATGATGCCTCTCCCCCCGACAGCACCAGGTTAGTTTTCAGGGAGTGGGTGAGCAGGGCTGAGAACTTGCCCCAGGCTACCAGCCTCCTGGCAAAGAGAGCAAGCAGGACTTTTACACCTTTCCACCTGTCAAGTCTGCACATTGGATTCACGCCCTCCTCTGAGTTCTGGCAAGAAAACTTCACGTTTGGTTGGAATTGTTACAAAGTTAAGCTGGAGGTAAAACCATTTTATATTTTTAATAAAATATTTTTTTCAAACTTTCTGCTAACTTACAGATCTAAATATATTTAGCTTTTCTATATCATATAAAAATAAGATTCTAGTCAGGCATGGTGGCTCACACTTGTAATCCCAGCATTTTGGGAGGCCAAGAAACAAAGACTGTTTAAACCCAGAAATTTGATACCAACATGGCAAAATCCCATGTCTACCCAATATACAAAAATTAACATTTGGGCACGGTGGCTCAAGTGTGTAATCCCAGCACTTTGAGAGGCTAAGACAGGCAGATCACAAAGTCAGGAGATTGAGACCATCTTAGCTAACATGGTGAAACCCCGTTTCTACTAAAAATACAAAAAGTTTGCTGGGCGTGGTGGTGGGCACCTGTAGTCACAGCTACTCAGGAGGCTGAGGCAGAAGAATCGCTTGAACCCAGGAGGCAGAGCTTGCAGTGAGTCGAGATCATGCCACTGCACTCCAGCCTGGGCGACAGGGACTCCGTCTCAAAAAAAAAAAAAAAAGAAAGAAAAGAAAACAAAAATTAGCTGGGCATGGTGGCCAGTGCCTGCATTACCTGCTATTCAGGAAGCTGAGGTAGGAGGATGGCCTGAGCCCAGGAGCTTGAGGCTGCAGTAAGCCATGATCAATCTACTGCTCTCCATCCTGGGTGAAAGAGTGAAATCCTTTCTAAAAAAATGCCAAAGCATAGCAACGTAAACTTCTGTGGGTTTTTTTAAATTGTTGTTATTATTATTCTAAGAGCTTTTGAGGTAAAGGTGTTGTTTGGCTACATAGGTAAGTTCTTCAGCAGTAATGCCTGAGATTTAGGTGCACCCAGCAACTAAGAAGTGTATACTGTACCCAATGTGTAGTCTTTTAGCTCTCACCCTCCTCCTGCTCTTCCCCTCAAGTCCTCAGAGTTCATTATATAATTCTCATGCTTTGGAATCCCCATAGCTTAGCTCCCACTTGTAAATGAGAACATACGATATTGATTTTTTATTCCTGAGTTACTTCACTTAGAACAATGATCTTCTAATCCATTCAAGTTGCTGTGAATGCCATTACTCCATTTTTTAATGGCTGAGTATTACATGGTATATACATATCACATTTTCTTCATCCACTTGATGGTTGATGGGCATTTAGGGTGCTTCCATATTTCTGCAATTGGAAATTGTTTTGCTATAAACATGACTGTGCAAGTGTCTTTTTTATATAATGACTTTTTTCTTCATGTAAATGCCCAGTAGTGGGATTGCTGGATCAGATGGTAGTTCTACTTTTAGTTCTTTAAAAAAATCTCCTGGCTGGGTGTGCTGGCTCAAGCCTATATTCCCAACACTTTGGGAGGCCAAGGTGGGTAAATCACCTGAAATCAGGAATTTGAGACCAGCCTGGCCAACATGGTGAAAACCTATCTCTACTAAAAGTACAAACAAATTAGCCAGTCATGGTGGCATGTGCCTGTAGTCCAAGCTACTGAGGAGGCTGAGGCAGGAGAATCACTTGAACTTGGAAGGCAGAGGCTGCAGTGAGCTGACATCACGCCACTGCACTCAGCCTGGGTGACAGAGTGAGACTCCATCTCAAAAAATAATAATAATAATAAAAATTCCCAGCTGTTTTCCATAGTGATTGTACTAGTTTACATTTCCACCAGTAGTGTTAAAATGCTCCATTTTCATCAAATCCATGGCAATATCTAGTTTTTTGATGTTTTAATTGTGGCCATTCTTGCAGGAGTAAGGTGGTATCACATTGTAATTTTAATCTGCATTTTCCTGACAATTAGTGATGTTGAGCATTTTTTTTCAGTATTCACATTTTTTATTTCAAGGTGTAAAATATATGTGTCCAGTATTGTTACTTTCATCTGCAGATGGAATAATTGGGAAGTATAAAAACCTGTACTTGACTTTTTTTTGTTTTTGTTTTTGAGACAGAGTCTCGCTCTGTCATCCAGGATGGAGTGCAGTGGCACGATCTCGGTTCACTGTAAACCCCGCCTCCCGGGTTCAAGTGATTCTTCTGCCTCAGCCTCTTGAGTAGCTGGGAATACAGGCATGTGCCACCATGCCTGGCTAATTTTTGTATTTTTAGTAGAGATGGGGTGTCAACATACTGGCCACGCTGGTCTTGAACTCCTGACCTCATGATCCACCTGCCTCAGCCTCCCAAAATGCTGGGATTACAGGCATGAGCCACTGTGCCCAGCCTTGTACTTGATATTTTATCAAGATTATCTGCCAACAAGTTACCCATATTCGGGTTTCAATGAGCCTGGAATCTTCTTTCCACTTGATAGGGGTATGTATTAGGAAATCCAGTTGATGACATTTTTATTTAAAAAATCAAAAAGAATCAGCACAGTCAGGTTGTCTTAGTCTTAAGGATTTCTGGATTCCTTTCTTGGAGGAGGTCAGGATCTTTCCAAGGCTTGGGTCCTTGGATATTCTTCCAGTCATCAAAAGTGGAGTCTTTTCTCATATTCTGACTCTAATGATACTATTTGCTTTCAGTTTTTTTCCAACTCAGGATCAATTTTAATCTTCACTGCATCATGTCAGATTTGTAAAAACTCACGAACACCAAAAGAAACTCCAACAATTAGCAACAACATGGGGACTTCGTAGTGGAGAGTCTTATTCTTGCGCAAAGCACGCATCACTGCGGGTGCAAACGACTGAACTCTTCCACCCGTTTAGAACTGCAAGCAGGCCCAACGCAGATTCTCAAATCTCAGTGGTCCAAGCTCTCATCAAGATGAGACTCACCAACTTTCCTTGGTTGTTTGGTGTTCGGTCCTTACTGATAGGTTTCCAAGCATTTTTTAAATATGTTTGTTGGCCATTTGTATATCTTCTTTTGAGAATTGTCTATTCGTGTCATTCGTCCACATTTTCATGGGATTATTTGTTTGTTTGTTTGTTTGTTTTTTCTTGCTGATTTGTTCAAGTTCCTTGTAGATTCCGGGTAACAGTCCTTTGTTGAATGCATTGGTTGTAAATATTTTCTACTCTGTGGGTTTTCTCTTTACTCTGCTGATTACTTCTTTTGCTGTGCAGAAGCTTTTCAGTTTAGTAAGTCCCATTTATTTATGATTTTTTTTTTTTTGCATTTGCTTTAGGGTTCCTGGTTACAAACTCTTTGCCTAAGCAAATGTCTAGAAGCGTTCTTCTGATGTTATCTTCTAGAATTTTTATAGTTTCAGGTCTTAGATTTCAGTCTTTGATCCATGTTGAGTTGATTTTTGTATAGGATGAGAGATGAAGACCCAATTTTCTTATTCTACATGTGGCTTACCAGCTATCTCAGCACCATTTCTTTAACAGGCTGTCCTTTTTTTTTTTTTAAAACGGAGTTTTGCTCTTGTTGCCCAGGCTGGAGTACAATGGCACAATCTTGGCTCACTGTAACCTCTGCCTCCTGGGTTCAAGTGATGCTCCTGCTTCAGCCTCCTGAGTAGCTGGGAATACAGGCGCGTGCCACCATGCCTGGCTAATTTTTTGTATTATTAGTAGAAACTGGGTTTTGCCATGTTGGTCAGGCTGGTCTTGAACTCCTAACCTCAAGTGATCCACCTGTCTTGGTCTCCCAAAGGGCTGGGATTACAGGCATAAGCCACTGTGCCTGGCTAATTTTTGTAGTTTTATTAAAGATGAGGTTTCACCATGTTGGCCAGGCTGGTCTCAAACTCCTGACCTCAGGTGATCCACCTGCCTTGGCCTCCCGAAGTGCTGGGATTACAGGCATGAGCCACCACGCCCAGCCTTAGGGTGTCCTTTTTATACTTTGTTTTCGTTAACAGTGTCAAAAATTAGTTGGCTTTAAGTATTTGGGTTCATTTCTGGGTATGAAATTCTGTTGTTGTTCTACATGCCTATTTTTATACCAGTACCATACTGTTTTGATAACTATCACCTTTTGATATAGTTTGAAGTTGGTAATGTAATGCCTTCAGATTTGTTCTTATTACTTAGTCTTGTTTTGGCTATGTGGGCTTTTTTTGGTTCAATATGAATTTTATAATTGTCTTTTTTTGTTTTAGTTCTGTGAAGAATGATGATGCTATCTTTATGGGAATTGCATGGAATTTGTAGATTGTTTTTGGCATCATGGTCATGTTCACAATAGTCACTCTACTTATCCATGAGCATGAAATGTGTTTCCATTTGTTTGTGTCATCTATAATTTATTTCAAGTGTTTTGTTATTTACCTTGTAGAGATCGTTTGCCTCCTTGGCTAAGTATATTCCTAATTATTATTATTATTATTATTATTATTATTATTATTATTATTATTTTTCAGCTGTTGTAAGAGGGGTTGAGTTCTTGATTTGATTCCTAGTTTGGGTTGCTATTTGTGCATAGCAGTGCTACTGAATTTTGTACATTGATTTTGTATCCTGAAACTTCACTGAATTCATTTATCAGATCTAGGGGCTTTTTGGATGAGTCTTTAGTGTCTTTTAGGTATACAATCACATCATCAGTGAACAGTCACAGTTTGACTTCCTCTTTTCCAATTTGGATGCCCTTTATTTCTTTCTCTTGTTTGAATGCTCTGGCTAAGAATTCCAGTACTATGTCGAATAGAAGTGGTGAAAGTGAACATCCTTGTCTTGTTCTAGCTCTCAGGGGTAATGCTTTCAAATTTTTCCCATTCAGTATAAGGTGGGCTGTGGGTTTGTCATAAATGGCTTTTGTTACCTTAAGCTATGTCCTCTCTCTGCCAGTTTTGCTAAGGGTTTTAATGCTGAAGTGATGCTGGATTTTGTCAGATTTTTTTCTGAGCCTATTGAGATAATCATGTGATTTTTGTTTTTAATTCTGTTTATGTGGTATATCACATTTATTTACTTGCATATGTTAAACCATCCCTTCATTTCTGGTATAAAATGCACTTGATCATGGTGTATTATCTTTTTGATATGCTGTTGTATTTGGTTAGCTAGGAATTTGCTGATAATTTTATCATCTATGTTCATCAGAAATATTTACTTTTTTTGTTTTTTTGTCATGCCTTTTTCTGGTTTGGGGATTAGGGTGATATTGGCTTGATGGAATGATTTAGAGAAGATTACCTTTTTATCTTTTGGAATAGTTTCAGTAAGATTGGTAACAATTCTTCTTTGAATGTCTGATGATAAAATATATCTGTGAATTCATGTACTCCTGGACTTATTTGGTTAGCAATTTTTTATTACTATTTCAATCTCACTACCTCTTATTGGTCTGTTCAGAGTTTCTGTTTCTTCCAGGTTTAATCTAAAAGGATTGTGTATTTCCAGGAATTTATGCATCTTCTCTAGGTTTTCTAATTTGTACATGTAAATATATTCATGGTAGCAAAATCTTTTGTATTTCTGTGGTATTGTCTGTAAATCTTCCATTTTGTTTGTAATTGAGCTTATTTAGATCTTCTCTCTGCTTTTTTTGGTTAATCTTGCTAGTAATGGTCTATCAATTTTGTTCAACTTTGTAAACAACCAGCTTTTTGTTTCATTTATTTTCTTGTATTTTTTTGTTTCAATTTCAGTTAGTTTTTCTCTTTGTTATTTTTTCTGTGCTGCTGCATTTGGATTTGATTTGTTTTTGCTTCTCTAGATTTTTGAGGTGTAACCTTATGTAGTCTGTTTTTGCCATTTTAGACTTTTTGATGTAGGCATTTATTGCTATCAACTTTCTCTTAGCACGACTTTTGCTGTATCCCAGAGGTATTCATAAGTTGTGACATTATTGTCATTCAAATCAAAGTGTTTTTAAATTTCCACCTTAATTTTGTTGTTGATTCAAAGCTCATTCAGGAGGCTGGGCATGGTGACTCACTCCTATAATTCCAGCACTTTGGTGGGCAGATCACTTGAGGTCAGGAGTTTGAGACTATCCTTGCCAAAATAGTGAAACCCCATCTCTACTAAAAATACAAAAATTAGCCAGGCATGGTGGCTTGTTCCTGTAATCCTACCTACTCGGAGGCTGAATTGCTTGAACCTAAGAGGTGGATGTTGCAGTGAGCCAAGATCATGCCACTGCACTCCAGCCTGGGCAATAGAGTGAGACTCTGTTTCAAAAAAAAAAAAAAAAAATCATTCAGGAGTAGGCTATTTGGGTTTATTTCTGGGTTCTGTATTCTGTTCTACTGATCTATGTGCCTGGTTTTTTTGTTTGTTTGTTTGTTTGTTTGTTTTTTTGAGATGGAGTCTCGCTCTGTCTCCCAGGCTGGAGTGCAGTGGCGCGATCTCGGCTCACTGCAAGCTCCACCTCCCGGGTTCGCGCCATTGTCCTGCCTCAGCCTCCTGAGTAGCTGGGACTACAGGCGCCTGCCACCGCGCCCGGCTAATTTTTTGTATTTTTAGTAGAGACGGGGTTTCACCGTTTTAGCCAGGATGGTCTCAATCTCATGACCTCGTGATCCATCTGCCTCGGCCTCCCAAAGTGCTGGGATTACAGGCGTGAGCCACCGCGCCTGGCCTATGTGCCTGTTTTTATACCAGTATCCTGCTGTTTTGGGGACTAGGGCCTTATAAAATATATTATGCCTTGAAGTCAGGTAACACGATGCCTCCAGATTTGTTCTTTTTGCTTAGTTTTGCTTTGGCTATGTGAGCTCTTTTTTGGTTCCATATGGATTTTATCAGTGATTTTTCTACTTCTGTGAAGAACATTGGTGGTATTTTGATGGAAATTGCATTGAATTTTTAGATTGCTACTGATTTGTGTACGTTGATTTTGTATCCTGAAACTTTGCTGAATTCATTTATCAGTTATAGAAGCTTTTCAGAGGAGTCTTTAATGTTTTCTAGGTATACTATTATATTACCATCAAACAGCAACAGCTTGATTTCCACCTTACCAATTTAAAACTTTTTTTTTTTTTTTTTGAGACGGAGTCTCCCTCTGTCACCAGGATGGAGTGCAGTGGCACGATCTTGGCTCACTGCAACATCTGCCTCCGGGGTCAAGCGATTCTCCTGCCTCAGCCTCCTAAGTAACTGGGACTACAAGTGTGTGCCACCACAGCCGGCTAATTTTTGTGTTTTTAGTAGAGACAGGGTTTCACTATCTTAGCCAGGCTGGTCTCGAACTCCTGGGCTCATAATCCACCCGCCTCGGCTTCCCAAACTGCTGGGATTATAGGCATGAGCCACCGTGCCCGGCCTAACAATTATATCTGTCTCATCACTTAAAAGAGCCACTAATTTTTTTTTTTTGAGATGGAGTCTTGCTCTGTTGCCCAGGCTGGAGTGCAATGGCATGATCTCAGCTCACTGCAACCTCCGCCTCCTGGGTTCAAGCCATTCTCCCATCTCAGCCTCTTGAGTAGCTGGGATTACAGGCACGCACCACCATGCCTGGCTAATTTTTGTATTTTTAGTAGAGATGGGGTTTCACCATGTTGGCCAGGCTGGTCCTGAACTCCTGACCTCGTGATTCGCCCGCCTTGGCCTCCCAAAGTGTTGGGATTACAGGTGTGAGCCACTGCACCCAGAAAGAGCCGCTAATTTTACTTTGGAAATATAGTGAATATTTATATTAAAAGCTAGGCTAAGCTTACTATTATGTAGAAAATTTGTGATTTGCATGTGCATTATTACCCATTAAGTGGTCTACAGTTTCTGAAAGTTTCAGAAACACCAATATAAAAATACTATTTCTGATTGAATAAAGGATATCAAGTTATTTTAGTTACTAAATGAAACAGATTGGAATTACTGGTCACAATGTGGTTTTAAATGTTATTTAATGAAAACGTGAAGTTTCTGTTCAACTCATGTTAACTATTTCTATTGTTTTTTTCACTTCTATTAGAAAAATATTAAAATTTAAATTGCTACAAATGTATGAATGTATTCAAATCTAAACACAGTGCCAATCTTAAAAGATCTGTATGCATAGGATTATAGAACACCTATTCTCTTTTTACACTTAGAAGATAAATAACTGCTTTTCAGTAAACCCAATGGGGCAATTGTGACTCACAATCATAAGCTACTAAAATATTAATACTATCATCTAGAAAGTATTAATTCATTTTTCTTACTTATGAAACACAATCATAATTTCTAGTTGACATAACACTAGATTTGAGGTGCTGTGGCTGTAGTAACTAGAAATGTCATGGTTGACTCAGCTTTACCTTCTGCCTATTTCTCACAAACACAGCAAAACAAGGAAGGCCAGAAATCCTACACCTTGATTGCAAACACACCAGTACCCTTCTAGGGAGAATATATGTTTGAACATATTAACTTGAAATTCCTGGCATCTTTTCTTGAAGAACAGACTTTTTTTTTTTTTTTTTTTTTGAGGTGGAGTTTTTCTCTTGTTGCCCAGGCTGGAGGGTAATGTCGCTGTGTCGGCTGACCGCAACCTCTGCCTCCTAGGTACAAGCGATTCTCCTGCCTCAGCCTTCTGAGTGGCTGGGATTACAAGCACCTGCCACCATGTCTGGCTAATTTTCTTTGTATTTTTAGTAGAGACAGGGTTTCATCATGTTGGCCAGGCTGGTCTCGAATTCCTGACCTCAGGTGATCCGCCTGCCTTGACCTTCCAAAGTGCTGAAATTACAGGCATGAGCCACGATGCCCAGCCTGAGGAACAGATTTCTATATGGCAAATAATAAAGGCAAATAAAAATTAACGCTAAAATAGAATGAGGAAAGTATTCTTTCTTCACCAGAATGGTTGTGACAGAATGGTTGCAGCAGGGTGGTCTTAAATAACCCTCACTCTATTTTGTTATTCTTGAGTTATGGTCATAAGACATTTATGCTTATTTGAGAGAAATCTTTTTTTCCTAATTCAGAAATTTAGCATGATTTTCACAATCTCACATTTTCAAAAATGGTTCATTATAAAAAAGAAAGATGATTAAACCAACTTCCATTTTTTCCCCAAAGAGTAACAAATTAAATCTGTAGTCTAAAGTACAGCTAATAAAAAATAAAGATTAGTCACTTATTCTAGCTGCATAATTGGGAATAAAACACTTCTTGAGCTATAGACCAAGAGCTTTCAGAGATGTTAGCTTATAGAATGTCGAGCGACCTGGTACAGAGACTTTCACCCCTCTTTCAAAAGGGAACATAATACTGAGTCTTTCACCCCAATTCCAACTATTAAGCCAGAACGGGAGAAGTGTAACATGTCATTATCCACAAACCATTTTATTATTACAGATTGAGGGTATGTGTGCAGATTTGTAACACAGGTATACTGCATGGTGTTGAGGTTTGGGCACTTAATAATCCCATTACCTAAGTGGCATACATCATACCTGTTAAGTAGTTTTTCACTGTTTCTCTCCCTTCTTTCTTCTTTTTGGAATCCCCAGTGTTTATTGTTTTCATCTTTGTTTCCATATGCACCCAATGTTTAGCTCCCACATGTAAGTAAGAACATGTAATAGTTTTCTGTTAATTTGCTTAGAATAATGGCCATCTTCTGCAGACATGTTGCTACAAAGGACATTACTTCACTGTCTTCTGTGGCTGCATAGTATTGCATGATGTACAAGTATCTAAGTTTTTTTTATCCAATTTAAGATTCATGGCTACCTAGTTTAATTCTGTCTTTGCTACTGTGAATAGTGCTGCAATAAACACGTGAGTGCAAGGAGTCTTTTGGGTAAAATAATTTATTCTCAGGCGGGGCACAGTGGCTCACGCCTGTAATCCCAGCACTTTGGGAAGCCCAAGTGGGTGGATCATGAGGTCAAGAGTTGGAGACCAGCCTGGCCACCAGGATGAAACCCCGTCTCTACTAAAAATACAAAAAATTAGCCGGGCATGGTGACACATGCCTGTAGTCCCAGCTACTCAAGAGGCTGAGGGAGGAGAATTGCTGGAACCCAGCAGGCAGAGACTGAAGTGAGTCCAGATCGCGCCACTGCACTCTAGCTGGGGAGACAGAGCAAGACTCCATCTCAAAAATAAACAAATAAATAAATAAATAATTTATTCTCCTTTTGGTATACACCCAGTAATGAGACTGATGGGTCAAACGGCAATTCTATTTTCAGTTAAGAAATCTCCAAACTGCATTTCACAAGGGCTGCATTAAACTGCATTTCAACCAACAGTATATATACATTCCCTTTTCTCCACAACTTCAACATCTGCAATATTTTTACTTTTTAATAACAGCCATTCTAACTGCTATGAAATGGCATCACATTGTCATTTTGATTTACATGTCTCTGATGATTAGGGATGGTGAGCAATTTTTTGCATGTTTATTGGCAACTCTCATGTCTTTTTTTGAGAAGTGTCTACTCAGATCATTTGTGTATTTCCTTATTAAATTTTTATAGTATTCTAACCATTAACTTAATTTATATATTATATAAATACATAATATATATGAATAAATATTAACTTTTTCTTGTATGAAGTTTGAAAATAGTTTATTCCATACTCTAGGTTGTCTGCATATTTGTCAATGGTTTCTTTTGGTGTGCAGAAGTTTTTTAGTTTAATTAGGTGTTAATTTTTCACTTTTATTTTTGTTGCATTCACTTTTATGGTGTTAGTCATAAATCCTTTCCAGAGGCCAGTGACTAGAAGAGTACTTTTTTGATGTTCTACGATTTTTATAGCTTTAAGTTTCACAGTTAAGTTTTTAATCTATTTTGAATTACATTTTTTATATGGTGAGAGGTACAGTTTCAATTTTCTCCTTCTACATATGATTAACCAGTTTTCCCAGTACCATTTGTTGGATAGACAATTTTTCCTTGTTTACTTCTGTTGACTTTGTCAGAAAAAAGTTGGGTGTAGAAATGTAAACTTATTTCAGGGCTTTCTCTTCTTTCTATTGGTCTACATGTGTATTTTTGTAGCAAGCCATGTAATATGGATTACTGTAGCTTTGTAGTACAAGCCAGGTAATGTGAGGCCTCCAGGATTGCTTTGTTGTTAATGTTGCTTTGGCTAAATGGGCTGTTTTATTCTTCCATATGACTTTTAGAATGGTTTTCTTTTTCTAATTCCATAAAAAGTTGCATTTATAGTTTGAGAGAAGTAGCACTTAATCTGTAAGTTGCTTTAGGCAGCACGGACATTTTAATTATATTGATTCTTTAAATTCATGAGCATGGAGTGCCTTTTTACTTATTTGCGTTGTCTCTATTTTTTTTCAGCAGTTTTGTAGTTCTTGTTGTAGAGATATTTTACCTCCTTGATTTAATGTATTACTAGGTACATATTTTTTTGTTTGTAGCTATTGTAAATAGAACCATGTTCTTTTTTTCTCAGCTTGAATATTATTGGTGCACAGAAATGCTACTCATTTGTGTATGTTGATTTAGTATGGTGAGACTTTGCTGAAGTCATTCTTTAGGCTTAGAAATCTTTTGGTGAAATCTTTTTCGGTGAAGTTTCCCAGGTAGAGAATTATATCACCAGTGAAGATAATTTGACTTCCTCTTTTTCTATTTGAATACATTTTATTGCTTTATCTTGTTAAATTGCTGTGGCTACGACTTTCAGGACTATGTTGAATAGAAGTGTTTAGAGTGGATACTCTTTGTCTTTTTTTTTTTTTTTTTTTGAGATGGAGTCTCACTCTTGTTGCCCAGGCTGGATTGCAATGGCATGATCTCAGTTCACTGCAACCTCTGCCTCCCACATTCAAGTGATTCTCCTGCCTCAGCCTCCTGAGTAGCTGGGATTACACATGCCTGCCAGCACGACAGGCTAATTTTTTGTATTTTTAGTACAGACAGAGTTTCACCCTGTTGGCCAGGCTGGTCTTGAACTCCTGACCTCAGGTGATCCACCCACCTCAGCCTCCCAAAGAGCCGGGATTACAGGCGTGAGCAACTGCACCCAGCCTTATTTTTATTCTGATGGAGACCTCATCCAGGTTTTGCCCGCTCAGTATGATGTTGGCTGAGGATTTGTCATGGATGGCTCTTATTATTTTCAGGCATATTTCTCCAGTGCTTAGTTTGTTGAGAATGTTTTTATAAATGAGTATTAGATTTTCTTGAATGCCTTTTCTGCATGTGATAATTGTTTTTTAAAAATTATCTTTACATGGTGAATCACATTTATTTACTTGTATATGATGAAACATCTTTGCATTCATACAATGAAGTTTACATGATTGTGGCAAAATAACTTTTTGCTTTGCTTATGAACTCAACTTGCTAGTACTTCATGAATTTTTGTTTCAATTTTCACCAAGAATAGTGACCGGTAATTTTCCTTTTTTGTTGTGTCTTCACTAGGTTTTACTACCAAGATAATAATGTTTTCAAATAATTTAGGAAGGACTTCCACCTTGATTTTTGGAATACACTCAGTAGAATTAATACCAGGTTATCTTTGTATATGTGATAAAATGTGGCTGTGAACTCATCTTATCCAGGGCTTTCTATGGTTGGTAGCTTGTTTTATTAGTAATTCAATCTTATTATATACTTTATACATTGTTGCTCTGTTCAAGACTTCTGTTTCTTTCTGGTTCAATGCTGAGAAGCTGGATGTATCCAGGAGTTTATCTATTTTCTCTAAATTTTTTAGTTTGCATGCATAGAGATGTGCATAGTAGTCTCTGAGGATGTTTACTATTTATGTGAAATTAGTTGTGATATCACAACTCTAACATTTAAATAGATGCAGAATAAAAGCTTGACAAAATTTGGCTGGGTGCAGTGGCTCACACCTGTAATCCCAGCACTTTGGGAGGTCGAGGCGGGTGGGTCACCTGAGGTCAGGAGTTCGAGACCAGCCTGGCCAACGTGGGGAAACCCTGTCTCTACTAAAAATACAAAAATTAACTGGGCGTGGTGGCTCACGCTTGTAATCCCAGCTACTCAGGAGGCTGAGGCAGGAGAATTGCTTGAACCTGGGAGGCAGAGGTTGCAGTGAGCCGAGATCGTGCCAGTGCACTCCAGCCTGGATGACAAGAGTGAAACTCCAGCCAAAAAAAAAAACAAAAGTTTGACAAAATTCAACATTCCCTCATGATAATCTCTAAAAAATAATTAGTATAGGACAAATGCATCTCAAGCCAATAAATGCCATGTATAGAAAAAAATGTCCAGCTAACAACATATTAAACAGTGAAATGTAAGCTCTTACTCTAAGACCTAGAACAAGACAGGGATGCCCTCTTTCTTCCTTTTCCTTTCTTCCTTTCCTTCTCTCCTTTTCTTGCTTCTCTTTCTTTCTCTCTCCTTTCTTCCTTTCCTTCTCTCCTTTTCTTTCTTCTTTCTTTCTCTCTCTCCTTCCTTCCTTTTCTTTCTTTCTTGTTCTTTCTTCTTTTTTTTTTTTGACGGAGTCTCACTCTTGTCACCCAGACTGGAGTGCAATGGCACAATCACAGCTCACTGCAACCTCTGTCTCCCAGGTTCAAGCGATTCACCTCCCTCTGCCTCCCAAGTAACTGGGATTACATGCACCTGCCACCATATCCAGTTAATTTTTGTATTTTTAGTTAGACTGGGTTTCACCATGTTGGCCAAGCTGGTCTCGAACTCCTGACCTCAGGTGATCCACCTGCCTTGGCTTCCCAAAGTGCTGGGATTACAGGCATGAGCCACCACTCCTGAGCAGATGACCACTTTCTTCATTCTTAACTAAACATAATACTAAATGTCCAAAGAGAGAAATTGTAAGATAAAAGCAAAGATAGGCAGATTGGAAGAAAAGAAATTAAATTATTTGTTTGCAGACGATATAATCTTAAGTACAGAAAAGCCTAAGACTTTACTAGAACTACTAGAACTAATAAACAAATTTATTAAATTTGCAGAATACAAATCAACATATGAAAGTCAGTAGCATTTCTATACACTAACAATTAACTATCTCAAAATGAAATTTAAAAAGAATCCCAGCTACAATAACTTGAGTAACTATACTTTGAAATAAATTTAAGTAAAAAGGTGAAACACCTTATATTATAATCTAAAGAACATAAAAGTAAAAAATTAAGTAATACACAAATGGAAAATATTACTCATTCCTGAATTGGTACTATTAATATTGCTAAATATGTGTGTTAAACAAAATAATCTACAGATAAAATGTAACCTGTATCAAAATACCAGTGACTTCATAAAATTTTTAAAATGTATTTAAAATTAATATGGCACCACAAAAGACCCCAAATACCCAGAGCAATCAAGCAAAAAAGAAAGGTTGAAGGTATCACACAACCTTACTTTGAAATATACTACAAAGCTATAGTGACCAAAGCAGTATATTGGAATAAAAATGAACCCAAAGAAACCAGAAATATATCCATGTATTTACAACTGTCTAATTTTAAATATAGGTGACAATTTCTCAGAGAAAGGACAGTATCTTCAATAAATGGTGTTGAGAAACTTTACAGCCACATGCAAAGCAATGAGACCCTCATTTGACACCACATGTAAAAATCAATTCAAAATAAATTAGAAACTTACATGTAATGCTTGAAACTGCAATGAAACTAATACACAAAAGTAGAGTAAAAGCCCCATAACATTGGTCTAGGCAGTAACTTTTTTTTTTTTTTTTTGAGATAGAGTCTCGTTCTTTTGCACAGGCTGGAGTGCATTGGTGCAACCTCAGCTCACTGCAACCTCCATCTCCCGGGTTCAAGCAATTCTCCTGCCTCAGCCTCCCAAGTAGCTGGGACTACAGGTGTGTGCCATCAAGTCTGGCTAATTTTTGTATTTTTAGTAGAGACGGGGTTTCACCATGCTGGCCAGGCTGTTCTCAAACTGGCCTCAAGTGATCCACCTGCCTCGGCCTCCCAAAATGCTGGGATTGCAGGCATGAATCACCACACCCGGCTGGCAGTGACTTTATGATTTAAACTCAAACCCCAGGAAAGCAAAGGAAAAATAGATGACTCAGATTACTTCAAATTAAAAAGCTGCTGCACAGAATCTGATGAAATCAACAGGATGTGACAACTAAGAAATAAGAGAAAATATGTGCAAATCATACATGTGACAAAGGGTTAATATCAAAAATATATTAAAATTCAAATGACTATATCACAAAAAACAAATTAAAAATGAGTAAAATGCTTATTTTTCAAAAGACATACATAGAGCCAACAGATACATAAAAAATTCTCAATGTCAATTATTATTATTGAAAGCCAAGACAAAATAACTGTGAGATATATACTCACTTTTGATAGAATGACTCTTAGTAAAAAGAAATGTGTTGATAAAGATGTGAAGAAAAGGGAATGCTTGTATACTATTGGTATGAGTGTAAATGAGGACAGCCATTTTGGAAAACAAAAGAGAGATTTTTCAAAAAAAATTTAAAATCAAACTACCATATAATACAGCAATTGCACTATTAAATATACATCCAAAATGAATAAAATCACAATGAAGGAAAGTTTGCACTTCTATGTTGTTTGCAACACTCAACACCTAATAAGTAAATAAAGACAATGTGGTAGATATATCTAGTGGAATACTCTTCACCTCTAAAAAAAAATTCTATTATTTTCAACCACATGGATTAACCTAGAGGATATTAGTTGAAATAAGCCAGGCACAGAAAGATTAGTATTTCACGATTTCACCTACACTTAAAGTATAAATAACAAATCTCATTGAAGTAGAGAGTAAAATGGTGACCACAAGATGCCAAGATACTTAGAAAAAAGAATGGTTTGGAAAGATGTCTATCAATGAATACATAATTATAGTTAAGTTGGAGGAATAAGTTCAAGATATTGTTTGTGCAACACTGACTACAGTTCATAATATTGTATTTTTGAAAAATGGTAAGAGGATATTACAGGCTCTCACCACAAAAATGTAAACTATGTGAGGTAAAGCATTAATTACCTAGAATTTATCATTTGACAATGTAGATATACTTCAAATCATCATGCTTTACAGAACACACATTTCATCTGTCCAGTTAAGAAATGTATTTTTAAAACATTATAGAAGGATAACAATGTTTCAAATATTGTGTCTTCATCATTAATTTTGCTGAATAGTATCCAAAATATATGGTTTTTGTGCTGTTTTTTTCGCATTATTTTTCAGCCACAACACAACCATAGGTACTCTGATATTTAACAGCATGTTCTGGACACAGCACAGTGTATGAGAGGAGCCAATGTAGTTTAGGGCTTCTAAGCTTGGGGCACCTGGAGTTTCTGGTGCTGATGGTAATGGTATGATAGACAGTAAATGGGCAGGTGATGTTTATTGTCCCATGACTGTGAACACAGTAAACAAGCTTGCATGCAAAATAATAGGAAATGTTTTAATCCACAAGTTGCCAAAATTTCCAAAATTCTTCAGAGAAAATGACCAAGGAGTTGGCTATACTTAGATGACTCAGAATAAAAACTGTAGATTGGGCCAGGTGCGGGGGCTCACGCCTGTTATCAGCATTTTGGGAAGCTGAGGCAGGTGGATCATGAGGTCAGCAGTTCGAGACCAGCCTGCCCAATATGGGGAAACCCTGGTCTCTACTAAAAATACAAAAATTAGCTGGGTGTGGTGGCGCATGCCTGTAATCCTAGCTACCTGGAAGGCTGAGGCAGGAGAATCACTTGAACCTGGGAGGCGGAGGTTGCAGTGAGCCGAGGTTGGGCCACTGCACTCCAGCCTGGGCAACAGAGCAAAACTCTTTCTCAAAAACAAAAAAAAACTGTAGACTGAACTTCACCCACTGAAAAAAAGTTATATGAACTGGAAATTTCTTCAAATTGTAATATCAGTATGGAAAAGAAATATTATCTCAAATTTCAAATTCACAGAGGTCACTTTATTATTTTGCCATGTTTAACATTCACTCTTAAAGTAGAAGATTCTGCATAGAAATTAAGTTACACTACATTACAGAAAAGTAAATTTAAAATTCTTTACTTACCATTAGAACTCCTAAAATTTTGATTTCTAAAATATATTCTCTAGCAAATTTTGTATTTGCTACACGTTGTATAAAAATCTAGGCCAGGCGCAGTGGCTCACGCCTGTAATCCCAGCACTTTGGAAGGCCGAGATGGGCGGATCATGAGGTCAGGAGATCGAGCCCCTCCTGGCTAACACGGTGAAACCCCGTCTCTACTAAAAATACAAAAAATTAGCTGGGCGTGTTGGCGGGCGCCTGTAGTCCCAGCTACTCAGGACACTGAGGAAGGAGAATGGCGTGAATGTGGGAGGCGGAGCTTGCAGTGAGCCGAGATCGTGCCACTGCACTCCAGCCTGGGGGACACAGCGAGACACTGTCTCAAAAAAAAAAAAAAAAATTAAACAGATTTCAACAAGAAAAAATAATAAAAATTTAACCTACGGAAACAGTATTTTTTAAACTTATTTGCAGTTGAAAGCCACTGGCAAAGGAGATTACCAGAGATGTTAGTTGATTACATTACCAAATAGTATATTCTTACTATCATTTACCTACACCTTTGAGTAAATGGGATAGGTTTCAGTTAGTGGCATAATAATGCTTCATTGAATGCACAATAGTATTAACATGTTAAAAATGTATAATGAAACAAGTTCACACATCATCTGAAAATTTAAAAATGTACTGCATTTTATTACATAAAAGTACAAATAGTAAAATAACGTACTAATTTTTTAATTTTAACAAAACTTAAATGTTCTTACTATAATGCAAAAGAATATTACTCTAAACACCTACCTCATGCACCACTCAATATCATAATTAACCACAAATACCATCTCCACTTAGATTTTCATCATGCATGTTACATTTTAATGTCCTTACTCTTCCAAAGAAAAGGTCATAAATAATGCCCACCTAAAAAAAAAGAAACTCTCCTATCTTTGATGCCGTGACAACTGATCACATGCTTTCACATGTGAATACAATAGAAATGAAGAAATAGCATCAAGTAACTAGAGAGTTGAATCACAGCAATATTAGCTTTTTAAAAAATCTGTACTTCTTTTCAAGGAAAAAAGAACACTTTGGGCCGGGCGCTGTGGCTTAAGCCTGTAATCACAGCACTTTGGGAAGCCAAGCTGGGCAGAGCATGAGGTCAGGAGTTCAAGACTACCCTGACCAATATGGTGAAACCCCGTCCCTACTAAAAATACAAAAGTCAGCCGGACGTGGTGGTGTGCACCTGTAATCTCAGCTACTCAGTAGGCTGAGGCAGGAGAATTGCTTGAACCCAGGAGGCAGAGGTTGCAGCGAGCTGAGATTGTGCCACTGCACTCCAGCCTGGACGACAGAGAGAGACTCTGTCTCAAGGAAAACAAACAAACAAAAAAAGTATACTTTGAATGTAATTACAAACTTCCAAAAAATCTTCTACTCCTTTTAAAGTTATGTACAAATAAATTTATCTACCGTTAGTTTGGGATCATTTTTAACAGTCAGCACTTTGATATAGTGTAATGTCTGAAGCATCCATACCTTAGTTTGTTTGTTTTTGAGATGGAGTCTCACTCTGTCACCCGGCTGGAGTGCAGTGGTGCAATCTCGGCTCACTACAACCTCTGCCTCCTGGGTTCAACGGATTTTCCTGCCTCAGCGTCCCAAGTAGCTGAGACTACAGGCACGTGCCGCCACGCCCAGCTAATTTTTGTATTTTTAGTAGAGACAGGGTTTTACCATGTTGACCAGGATGGTCTCAATCTGTTGACCTCATGATCTGCCCACCTCAGCCTCCCAAAGTGCTGGCATTACAGGCGTGAGCCACCATGCCCGGCCCTACCTTAGATATTTCCACTGTGAATTCTCTGATATTTACATAGACTTATTTTGGATTAAATGTTTTAAATATATACTGCATCTGCAAAAATATATCTCAGTATGAACCCTCTGGTGTTGTCTAAGTTGTAGTTTTGGAAAACTTTTTTTTCAAATTTATTACATTTGCAGGGTTTTTCTCCAATCTGAATTCCCTGATGTTGAACAAAGTTTAAGTAACTGCTTCAGGGTTTTCTCTAGTACAAAATGTGTACAATAAGATCTGTGATACAAATAAAGGTATTACAATCCTCTTTTATTTGTAATGTTTGTCTTCAAAATAAATACTTTAAAAGCTTATATTTTCTGAAATACTTTTTGACAGTAATTAAATTTATAATACTTTTTTTAAGTACTCTCTGATGTTGAGTAAGATGTGAGCAGACATTAATGGCTTTTTCACAGTCTTTATATTGGTACAATTTTTCTCAAGTATAAATGCTTTCCTGGCAATAAGGTGTGAGTATTCATTAAAAATTTTGCCACATTCTTCACACTTGTAAGAGTTTTTCTAGTAAGAATTATCTTACCTACAATCAAGTGTGACAATCATTTAAAGATTTTGTCACATTTTTCGCATTTTTAAAGTTCCTCACCAGTATGATTTATTTTATGTTTAGAAAAGTTTGAGGTGTTGTCAGAATTACTGTGATGTCTTCCAGCTTTGTAGTTTCTCTCCAGTTTAAGTTTTTTTATGTTTAGTAAGATTTAGGGACCAGTTAAATGCTTTGCCACATTCTTTACATTTGTAGGGTTTCTCTCTAGTATGAATTATCTTTTGTTTCATAAGGATTAAGAGCCAGTTAAAGGCTTTGCCACATTTATCACATTTGTAGGATTTCTCTCCAGTATGAATTATCTTGTGTTTTAATAAAAGTTGAAAATACACTAAAGGATTTGACACATTATTTACATTTGTAGGGTTTCTCTTTGGTATGAATTCTCTTATGTTTAGTAAGGTTTGGGGACTGGTTAAAGGCTTTGCCACATTCTTCACATTTGTAGGGTTTCTCTCCAGTATGAATTATCTTATGTTTCATAAGGGTTGAGGACTGGTTAAAAGCTTTGCCACATTCTTTACATTTGTAGGGTTTCTCTCCAGTATGAATTATCTTATGTGTAGTAAGATGAGAGGACAGAATAAAGCTTTTGCCACATTCTTCACACTTATAGGGTTTCTCTCCAGTATGAATTTTTTTATGATTAGTAAAATTTGAGGAGTAGTTAAAAGTTTTGCCACATTCTTCACATTTGTAGGGTTTGTCTTCAGTATGAATTACTTTATGTTTAGTAAGGATTGAGAATATACTAAAGGCTTTACCACATTCTTCACATTTGTAGGGTTTCTTTCCAGTATGAATTACCTTATGATAAGTAAGAGTTGAGGACTTGGTAAAGGCTTTACCACATTCTTCACATTTGTAGGGTTTCTCTCCAGTATGAATTACCTTATGATTAGTAAGGTGTGAGGACCGGTTAAAAGCTTTGCCACATTCTTCACATTTGTAGGGTTTCTCTTCAGTATGAATTATCTTATGTTTAGTAAGGGTTGAAAATACACTAAAAGCTTTGCCACATTCTTCACATTTGTAGGGTTTCTCACCAGTATGAATCCTCTTATGTGTAGTAAGGTGTGAAGATAGGGTAAAGGCTTTGCCACATTCTCCACATTTGTAGGGTTTCTCTCCAGTATGAATTTTCTTGTGATTAGTAAGGTTTGAGGACTGTTTAAAAGCTTTGCCACATTCTTCACATTTGTAGGGTTTCTCTCCAGTATGAACTATCTTATGTTTAGTAAGGTTTGAGGACCGGTTAAAAGCTTTGCCACATTCTTCACATTTGTAGAGTTTCTCTCCAGTATGAATTATCTTATGTCTAGTAAGAGTTGAGGACTGGTTAAAAGCTTTTCCACATTCTTCACATTTGTAGGGTTTCTCTCCAGTATGAATTATCTTATGATTCGTAAGGTTTGAGGACTTTTTAAAAGCTTTGCCACATTCTTCACATTTGTAGGGTTTTTCTCCAGTATGAATTATCTCATGTTGAGTTAGTTGTGAAAGCATGCAAAATGATTTGCCACATTCTTTACATTTGAAAGGATTTTTTCCAGTATGTCTTATCTTATGTCTCTTTGCATTTGAATATTTATGAAAGACTTTCACGTATTTGTCACACTGAACTATTTTGCTCTGGGTAGTTGTCACACACCGGTTAAGTCCCTTGTGACCTCCTTTGTGCAACTTATGCTCATCCACACTTTTACAGCCTTTCTGATATCCACATTTTCCATATCTTCTCAGTATCACTTGTTGGAAAGAATTTTTTATATATTGCTCTGGCCTAAGGTCTTTGGCAAAATGAGAACACATAGCTGAAAGAAATAAAAATAACAAATTATTCCATTTACTCAACTCAGATTAATATTTACAAATCTAACTTATACCAACTATATAAACAAGATGACATAGCAAAATACTACAGATCCTAAATCCTTTATAGACATATAAATGTAACAAAAGCATTCTGACCAAAATACATTTGTAAAAAATTTATAAATAAGTAAAGTCTGTGCAGTGCCCCAGGTGATGACAATGCAAAGAGCCACATAGGAGAAAAAAGAAAAGTCTGTTACATTTACCCAACACACCTCTTTCTGCTGCCCAATATAACATAGCGCCTTCAGAAGTAAATTGCCAACTCCTGGTTTCTTTTTTAAAAGACTAAAAAAAATAGTGTCACATACATCTTTATTTCTGGCTCTTAGGGGCCTTTTCAGACACTGGTTTCTGTCTCCCATGACATAAAGTGCTAAAAGAAATGGTGGTATACTTTGGAATGACAGTTTGAGTCTGCTGAGACCAAAGTTAAGTGTTACAGCAGCAGAGACTGCAGTACCACATACAGGAAACAGGTTTAGCAAGTGATTACTGACTATTTAGAAAAAACACTAACATACTTCTTTAACTTAAAAAGCCCACAAAATTTCAGACAAGACACAATCTAAGAAAATGTTTGCGAGACTCCCAAAATCTCTAGCCAAGACAACTGGTTTCAAACTATCCCAGGCCTAAGGTACATTATAAAGATTGTGACAGGGCCGGGCACAGTAGCTCACAGCTGTAATCCCAGCATTTTGGGAGGCCAAGGCGGGTGAATCACCTGAGGTTGGGAGTTCAAGACCAGCCTGACCAACATGGAGAAACCCCATCTCTACTAAAAATACAAAATTAGCTGGGCATGGTGGCACATGCCTGTAATCCCAGCTACTCGGGAGGCTGAGGCAGGAGAATCGCTTGAACTCGGGAGGCAGAGGTTGTGGTGAGCTGATATCATGCCATTGCACTCCAGCCTGGGCAACAAGAGCAAAACTCCATCTCAAAAAAAAAAGATTGTGACAGGTAGCTTGTTTTTAATGTTTAAATCTCAATCAAAGATTAATGTACACAAAATATTAGGGCAGGATGACCCCATCAAAAACATTACTAAACTTTCAGAAAGCAACCATAGGAATATAAAGATGTATAAATTTTTCAATTTAAAATAAATTAAATACTACACAGTGAATGAAACAGGAACACAGACAACTACTGAAGTTCAGAAAAATGAGGATAACAATAAAAATATTAAAAATCTCAAAAAACATAAATTAGGAAGATAAAAATGTCAGACAAGAAGAGAATCTTGGGAGCTGCAAGATAAAGTAATGTATCATTTATAAAAATGTCTTATGAGATAACCAGTAACTTTTCAAAAAAAACTGGAAGGCCTGAAGAGAACTGGGTGATATAGTCAAAGTCCTGGGGAAAAAAAAAAAATCTGTCAAGTGAAAATAATGCAAGTAAAAAGAAGTGGCCGGGCACAGTGGCTCGTGCCTGTAATCCCAGCACTTTGGAAGGCCGAGGCGGGCGGATCACCTGAGGTCAGAAGTTCGAGACCAGTCTAGCTAACATGGTGAAACCCCGTTTCTACTAAAAATATAAAAAATTAGCCGGGCGTGGTCACGTGCCCCTGTAATCCCAGCTACTCAAGAGGCTGAGGCAGGAGAATCGGTTGGACCTGAGAGGCGGAGATTGCAGTGAGCCAAGATCATGCCATTGCACTCAAGCTTGGGCAACAAGAGCGAAACTCCTTCTCAAAATAAATAAATAAATAAATAAAAAAGAACTGTCCAACTGAATAAAAAGAAAGACCTTCCAAAATAACCTAATCCTGAAAAAGTATATTGGCACTTCATATGCCCTACATACCAAAGATGCTGAAAGGAGTTCATCCCACTGAAAATAACATGATGCAGGAAAACACATAATCATACAAAAATACATAACTTTCTGGGAAAGATATTTACATACACAAAAACAGAATTCCTTAGCATTTTAATAATCATGCAGAAAACATTATTAATTTTTCTCTAAAATTTAAAAGATAAAAGCATAGAAATGATTATAAACATCTGTTAATGTAACATAAAAATAAATAATTAGTGGCCAGGCACAGTGGCTCATGCCTGTAATCCCAGCACTTTGGGAGGCTGAGGAGGGCGGATCACCTGACGTCAGGAGTTCAGGACCAGCCTGGCCAACATGGTGAAACCCCATCTCAACTAAATATATAAAAATTAGCTGGGCGTGGTGGTGGGCAACTGTAATCCCAGCTACTTGGGAGGCTGAGGCAGGAGAATCGCTTTAACCTGAAAGGTGGAGGTTGCAGTGAGCCATGATTGCACCATTGTAATCCAGCCTGGGTGACAGAGCAAGACTGTCTCTCAAAAAAAATGAATAAATAAAAATTTAAAAAATATATATGTATATAATTAGCAACATCAGTAACAAAGTAGAGAGCAGATATAATGAGAAAGAATTTTTGTATGCAAATAAGGTATATATATATATATATATATATATATTTTTTTTTTTTTTTTTTTTTTTTTTTTTCAGATGGAGTCTCACTCTGTCGCCCAGGCTGGCATGATCTCAGCTCACTGCAACCTACATTTCCCGGATTCAAGCAACTGTGGTGCAAATAAGGTTAATTTTTACTACATTAAAATTGTTTTATTTTCTAAAGTTTTTATGTAATTCCCAAGGTACCACAAAGAAAATATCTGTATAGATACATAAAAGAAAATAAGAAAGAAGTGAAAGCATATTAATACAAAAACCAAAGGACACAAAAGAAGACAGAGGGAAAATGAGGGACAAAGATACAAGAATTAAACAATAGAATTAATAAAATTACATTAGTTACTCTTTCAGAAAATTATTTAAATATATATAAAATTAACTTTTCAATCTAGAGACATAATTTTCAACGAAATGATTTATTAAAATCTTTCAAATACCAAGATTCATTTGCCTTTTTGCAAGTCAGTTGAAACCTAATGATAAAAAAAGACTGAAAGTAGCAAGATGAAAGTAGAAATTTTATGTAAATATTAACCAAATGAGAGAAGAAGAGGTCAAAATAATATTACACAAGCTACATCTTAAGTCAAAAAGTGTCATATTTAACAACATGTACTTTAAGTGAAAACTCTGAAAAGAGAAAAAAGGACACTGAACAATAGTAGTTTCATTTACTGGGAACAAATGACTAGTGTGTGTGTGTGTGTGTGTGTGTGTGTGTGTATGTGTACAGACGCACATCTCACATGAGGGTTTCAAATATATAAAACAAATATTGACGGAATTGAAGAAACACACAGAGAGCAATATAATTATAGTAGAATATATTAAGACCCCATTTTCTTAATAAAAATAAAACAAGATGGAATATTAGCAAGGGAATAGAAAACTTGAAATCAGTATGGAACAATTATTTCTAACAGAGGTATAGAGAGCTGAACATCAGGATACACACCCTTCCCAATAGTTCATACAACATTCTCCTTGAAAGGACCATCTGTTAGGCCAAAAAAAATTCTTAACAAATTTTTTAAAACTGAAATTTTATGAATTACTTTCTGTGACCAAAATGGAATAAGATTATAAAACAATAATTTAAAAAACGGAAAAATTCACAAATATATAGAAATTGAACAACACACTTTTGAGTGTGCTGTTGTTCAAAGGTTGAAATAATTAATATTGTGTAGATGTCCATGCTGCTGAATGTAATCTAGAGATTTAATGTAATGTCTTTCAAATTTCTTATTGCACTTCTGAAGAAATAGAAACAGCAACCCCAAAAGTATATGGAATCTCAAGAGACTATACTCAACAATCTTCAAAAAAAGGAACAATGTTAGAGGTATCACAGTTCTTTACTTCAAAATACATGACAAAGCTACATAATAAAAACAATTTTGTGTGAATATAAAGATAAGAAAGTAGACTAATAAAATAGAATCCAGCACATGAACTTTCACATATATGGTCATATAAAGAGTCATTTGCTTACCCATAATTATTGCAGCACTGTTACTGAAAGCCAATAGGTAAAAGCAATGCAAATTTCTGTTACAAAATCATTTAGTAAATATAATTTGAAATATAAAAACGGAATATCACTCAGTTTGCAAACAGCAGAAAATATTATAACAACTATAAAGATAAATCTTAACATTATGCAAAATGAAACGAGCCAGTCACAAAAAGACAGAGATTGTATGATATGTCTAACAGTTACACTCTGAAACAGAACAAGAATGGTGTTTGAAAAGTGAGATGAAATGGGAATAATTGGTAGTTGTTTAATGTATATTAAGATTTAGCTTTACGGCCAGGCAGTGCTGTACTCCCAGCACTTTAGGGGGCCGAGGCGGGTGGATCACGAGGTCAGGAGTTCAAGGCCAGCCTGGCCAAGATGGTGAAACCCCGTCTCTACTAAAAATACAAAAATTAGCCAGGCATGGTGGCGGGTGCCTGTAATCCCAGCTACTTGGGAGGCTAAGGCAGAGAATTGCTTGAACCTGGGAGGCAGAGGTTGCAATGAGGCGAGATTGCACCACTGCACTCCAGCCTGGGTGACAGAGTGAGACTCTGTCTCATACACACACACAAAAAAACAGATTTAGCTTTGCAAGATAAAAACATTTTAGCATATGTTGCATACCAATATAAATATAATTAATATGAATAAACTAAATATTTAAAAATCTTTTAGGTGAGGCACAGTGGCTCATGCCTGTAATCCCAGCACTTGGAGAGGCTGAGACAGATGGGTCACTTGAAATCAGGAGTTCAAGACCAGCCTGGCCAACATGGTGAAACCCCATCTCTACTAAAACAACAACAACAACAATAACAACAACAAAAAATTAGCTAGGGGTGGTGATGCACACCTGTAATCCCAGCTACTCAGAAGGCTGAGTCAAAATAATTCCTTGAACCCAGGAGGCGGAGGTTGCAGTGAGCCAAGATCACACCACTGCACTCCAGCACAGGAGACACAGTGAGACTCCATCTCAAAAAAAAAAAAAAAAATTGTTTTTTTAATTCTAAATTTTGCTGTGTTTTTGACAAGTAAAAGTAAACAATAATACTTAGATAAAGTTATCATAGTTTTAAAAATATCTTTAAATCCAAAAATAATAGAGATTCACAAATAAATTGAATGTTAATATTAGAAGAATTTCTAACACTATTCACTTAGACAGGATTAAACAACTATTCACAACACACCTACACAACAAATACACAAGTTATAACAAAAATACATGGATAGGCTGGGTGCAGTGGCTCATGTCTGTAATCCAAGCACTTTGGGAGGAAGGCGGATCACGAGATCAGGAGTTCGAGACCAGCCTGACCAACATGGAGAAACCCCATCTCTACTAAAAATACAAAATTAGCCAGGCGTCGTGCCACTGCACTCCAGCCTGGGCAACAGAGCAAGACTCCGTCTCAAAAAAAAAAAAAAAATGCTGGGCACGGTGGCTCACGCCTGTAATCCCAGCACTTTGGGAGGCTGAGGCGGGCAGATCACATGAGGTCAGGAGTTGGAGACCAGCCTCAACATGGAGAAACCCCATCTCTACTAAAAATACAAAATTAGTCAGGCATGGTGGTACATGCCTGTAATCCCAGCTACTCGGGAGGCTGAGGCAAGAGAATTGCTTGAACCTGGGAGGCGGAGGTTGCGGTGAGCTGAGATCGCACCATTGCACTCCAGCCTGGACAACAAGAACGAAACTCTGTCTAAAAAAAAAAAAAAACAAAACAGGGATAATATTTACACAAGCAAACAGAGATAATTATATTGGCAGTAGACATATGGCTGATTCATATTTAATTTTGCTTGACATTGTCTTAAATTGCATTGAGTTAATCATTGTCATATACAATTTATTATTATTATTTATTATTATTTTTTGAGACAGAGTCTCGCTCTGTCTCCCAGGCTGGAGTGCAGTGGCACCATCTCGGCTCACTGCATGCTCCACCTCCCAGGTTCATGCTATTCTCCTGCCTCAGCCTCCCAAATAGCTGAGACTACAGGCACCCACCACCAGGCCCAGGTAATTTTTTGTATTTTTAGTAGAAACAAGGTTTCACTGTGTTAGCCAGGATGGTCTCTAACTCCTGACCTCACGATCCACCTGCCTCGGCCTCCCAGAATGCTTGGATTACAGGCATGAGCCACCATGCCCGGCCTGTCATACACAATTATAATACAAACTCAAATATCAAAACACAATTTATTGGTGTGAGGTGGCATAACCTAAAAAATATAACTCAAAAATATAAAATTGCAAAACAAAATTAAAATATGAAATGTAAAACTTATTGGACACTATCAAGTAGATTAATATATTCATGAAAGAAATCCTAGAAAAAGAATACAGAGAAAAAGTAATATGAGGACATTTCAAGATAAAAACAACCTGAGAGCCAGGCACGGTGGCTCACCCCTGTAATCCCAGCACTTTGGGAGGCCAAGGTGGACATATCACTTGAGGTCATGAGTTCAAGACCAGCCTGGCCAACATAGTGAATCCCGATCTCTACTAAAAAAATACAAAAGTTAGACAGGGTGCGGTGGCTCATGCCTGTAATCCCAGCACTTAGGGAGGCCAAGGCAGGTGTTTCACAAGGTCAGGAGTTTGAGACCAGCCTGGCCAAGATGGTGAAACCCCATCTCTACTAAAAATACAAAAAAAATTAGCCAGGCATGGTGGCAGTCCCCTGTAATCCCAGCTACTCCGGAGGCTGAGACAGGAGAGTTGCTTGAACTCGGGAGGTGGAGGTTGCAGTGAGCCAAGATCAAGCCACTGCATTCTAGCCTGGGCGACACAGCTAGACTCCATCTCAAAAATAAAACAAACAAACAAACAAAAAAAAATTAGCTGGGCATGGTGGCACGTGCCTGTAATCCCAGCTACTCAGGAAGCTGAGGCAGGAGAATCACTTGAACTCGGGAGGTGGAGATTGCAGTTAGCCGAGATCACATCACTGCACTCCAACCTGGGCAACAGAGTGAGACTTTGTCTCAAAAAAGAAAAGAAAAACCTAAGAACTTTCCAAATGTTGATGTGATAAAAAAATATTTCTAACCAATAATACTTGATCCAAAATTATTTTACTTTAAAAACAAGATAAAAATAAAGACTCCATAATAAAAGGTGTGGGTGTTCATCACTACAAGCACAGTCCTATGAAAAGTACTACATGGTGTCCAGGCACTGTGGTTCGGGCCTATGAATCCTACAGTTTTAGCAGGCCAAGGCAGCCAGATCACTTGAGAATAGGAGTTCAAGATCAGCCTGAGCAACATAGTGAGACTCTGCATATAAACAAAGAGAAATATTAAAATGAGTCCATTTTTTTGAAAATTAAAATGATGCTGGCCAGCATCATAAAACCATATATAAAATAAAGCTCTCTATTAAATGTAAATATACAGACACATATAGAATTATTTACTATCATAATGATGGTACACAAAATCCTTAAACTACTTCTATAGAATATGAAATATAAAATATAAATCTGTTAGTAGATGCATAGTATAAAATAATCTTCAATATCAATAACTACTGAAAAATATAAAGGTATAGCTTTTGTATTAAATTGAAGTTGTTACGAGATTAAAATATATCATTTTAGTTTTGGCTGGGTGCTGTGGCTCACATCTGTAATCCCAGTACTTTGAGAGGCTGAGGCGGGTGTATCACCTGAGGTCAGAAGTTTGAGACCAGACTGCCCAACATGGCAAAAACCCATCTCTACTAAAAATACAAAAAATTAGCTGGGTGTGGTGGCAGGTACCTGTAAGCCCAGGTACTTGGGAGGCTGAGGCAGGAGAATTGCTTGAACCTGGGAGGTGGAGGTTGCAGTGAGCCGAGATCATGCCATTGCACTCCAGCCTGGGTGACAGAGCAAGACTGTGTCTCAAAAAAATAAAATAAAATATATTATTTTCATATTAAAATGTTTTATGTAATCTCCATTTCTCAAGACAATTACAAAGATAATATTTATCGAAAGTATAAATAAGGAAATGGAAAAATAACCAAAGCATATCACTACATAGAATAAACAAAAATAAAAGCAGCACAACAAGAAATGAGAAAAAAAAATCTACAAGAAACACATAACAATAACAGTAAAACTGGTAATAGCAACTCTATTTTAAAGCAATCATTTTAAATACTAATTAATTAAACTACTTAATAGAAAGAAACATAATCCTAGGATGTTGTGAGGTCAAAGTGGGCTGATCACTTGATCCCAGGAGTTTGAGATCAGCCTGAGCAACATCTCAAAACCCTGTCTCTACAAAAAAAAATACAACAAAACTTGCTGGGTGTGATGGCAAATATTTGTAACACAGCTATTTGAGAGGCCGAAATGAGAGGATCATCAGAGTTTGGAAAGTTGAGGCTGCAGTGAGCCATGATCATGCCACTGAAAACCAGGCTGATTGACAGAGTGAAACCCTATTTCAAAACTGAATGAATAAATAGGCCAGGCATGGTGGCTCATGCCTGTAATCCCAGCATTTTGGGAGGCCAAGGTGGGTGGATCACTTGAGGCCAGGAATTTGACACTACCCTGGCCAACACAGTGAAACCCCAATTCTACTGAAAATAGAAAAAATTAGATGGGTGTGGTGGCACATGCCTGTAATCCCAGCTACTTGGGAGGCTGAGGCATGAGAATCACTTGAATCCAGGAGGTGGAGGTTGCAGTGAGGCAAGATCACGCTACAGCACTCCAGCCTGGGCAATGGAGTGAGATCCTTTCTCAAAAAGAAAAAAAATTAAAATAAATGAATAAATAAATAAAATTATAAAAAAGAAAAAGAAATAAAACATCTGAGTAACTGGAAAAAAGCATACAATATGCTGCCTACAAGAGACTGGTTTTAGCATTGCATTGAATAGACTGAAAGTAACGTAATAGAAAAAATTTATTTTTCATGCATATAGTAACCACAATTGGGTAAGGTAGTTATAATTATATTAGACATAATATGCTTTTAGTCAAGTACTAGCATGAGAACAAAATTGATATTATATAATAATAAAATAGGTCAATTTACCAGGAATCTATAACTATTATATCTCTCTCTATATATGTATGTATGTATAAAACATAAGAGCTGCAAAATATATAAAGCAAATACTGACAAAAGTGAAGAAATACTTAGCAACATAATAACTGTAAACATCAACACCCCATTTGCCATAATAAATAAGAAAATAAAAAACTCAGACATTATAGACTGTATTAATTATTTTACCTACAGAGGAATACCTGAGAGTAGATAATTTATAAAGAAAAAAGGTTTATTTGGCTCACAGTTCAGCAGACTGTACAGGAAGTGTGTGCCAGCATCTGTTTCTGGTGAGTAAGGGTCCTAGTAAGCTTATAATCATTGTGGAAGGCAAAGTATAAGTGGACACATCACACAGTAAGAGACAGAGTAAGTGTGAGGTGAAGAAGCCAGGTTTTTTTTTTTTTTTTAACCAACCAGCTCTCATTTGAATCAATAGAGCGTAACCTTTTTGATTATCAAAAGGATGGTGCCAAACCATTTATGAGGAATTTGCTCCCCCATGACCCAAACACCACCCACCAGGTCCCACATCAAACAGGAGGATTATATTGCAGCATGAGGTTTAGAGAAAATGGACATCCTCTAACCTTAGGCCAACCATATCATATCACCAACTAGGCTTAACAGATATGTACAAAACTTACCAGGCAAAAGCAAGAGAATACACACAATATTCTTACTTGCTCCTAGTGTGTTCTGTTACGACACATACCAAGTCTTATTAAATTTATGAATACTGGCTGAGTGCAGAGGCTCATATCTATAATCTCAACACTTTGGGAAAATCACATGGGGCAAAAAGTTTGGGACCAGCTTACACAACATAGTGAGACCCTGTCGCTACTAATAAATCAAAAAATTAACCAGGGGTAGTAGTGCATTTCTGTAGTCCCAGCTCAAAAATTTGAGGTAAAAGGATCACTTGAGCCCAGCAGGCTGAGGTTGCAGCGAGCCAAAATCATGTCACTGCACTACAGCCTGGGCAACAGAGTAATATCCTGTCTCAAAATAACAACAAATACATTTAAGAAGACCAAAAGTATACACTATGTTTTCTGACCAAAACTGAAAGAAACTAGGCATTAAAAGCCAAAGTAAAACTGGGAAATCCAAAAATATAGGAAATTAAAACACACTCTTCAACAGATTCTTTTTTTTTTTTGAGATGGAGTCTCGCTCTGTTGCCAGGCTGGAGTGCAATAGTGTGATCTCGGCTCACTACAAACTCTGCCTCCAGGGTTCAAGCAATTCTCCTGTCTCAGCCTCCTGAGTAGCTAGGACTACAGGTGCGTGCCACCACGCCCAGCTAATTTTTGTATTTTTAGTAGAGACAGGGTTCCACCAGGTTGGCCGGGATGGTCTCGATCTCTTGACCTTGTGATTCGCTCACCTCAGCCTCCCAAAGTGCTGGGATTACAGGCGTGAGACACTGCACCCAGCCACTTTTCAACATATTCTTGCTCCAGGGTCAAAAAATTTAATTTTTCAAAGACATTACTATGACCTAACAGTGGTGAATGAATTTAATATAATCTCTATAAAAACCCTAATCACACAGTTTTTTACAGAAATATAGTTTATTTTTTTATTTTTATTTTTTTTAGATGGAGTCTCACTCTATTGCCAGGCTGGAGTGCAGTGGCTGTAGTGGCCTGATCTCGGCTCACTGCAACCTCTGCTTCCTGGATTCAAGTGATTCTCCTGCCTCAGCCTCCTGAGTAGCTGGGAATACAGGCACCCGCCACCACGCCCAGCTAATTTTCGTATTTTTTTTTAGTAGAGACGGGATTTCACCATGTTCTCCAGGATGGTCTCTAACTCCTGACCTCATGATCTGCCCGCCTGGGCCTCCCAAAGTGCTGGGATTACAAGCGTGAGCCACCGGGCCTGGCCTAAAATTTTTAAATTTGATTACAAACTATAGATAAACACCCTTGAAAAAGAACAAAGAGGCATTATACTTTCTGATTTCAAAACATATTAAAAGCTACAACAACAAAACAATGTGGTACTGACACAAAGATAAACAGATGAAAGAACAGAGAGCCCAGAAATGAACTCTTCTGTATAAGATAAAATAACCTTCCACAAAGTTGCCATGAGCATACAATAAAGAAAAGATATTCTCTTCAAAAAATATTGTTGAAAACTGGAAAGCGACACTGATGAAATAAAGTTGGATCATTTCCTTGAACAAAATACAAAAAATATGGTTTAACTAAATACTTAAACATGAAAAGATAAATAACATCTCTTAGAAAAAACATAGGAAAAAGTCATGTCATTGGTCTTGGCACTATTTTTTTAGATATGACACTAAATGCATGAGCAACAACAACAACAACAATAACCATTAAGATTTAACTGCATTATACTTCAAAATTTCTGCACATCAAAACAAAAATTCAATAGACAATGCCTCCTAGAAAATGGGTGAAAATATTTGCAAATCACAAGAGATGAGTGATGAGTTAATATTCAGAATATATAAACAACTCTTAAAACTGAACAATAAAGCTGAATAACTTGATTTATTAATGAAAAAATAATTGAACTGAATTTTCATTTAAAAAGATACCCAAATGGGAAAAAGTATTTGAAAAGAAAAGCAAAATTAATAATTTATAGAGAAACACATAAAAAAGAAAAATGAAATCACCTCACACCCATTACAATGGCTACTGTAAATTTATGAAAAACACCAAATCTGTTGATAATGCAATGAAAATAAAACCCCTGTTGATTGTTGGTAGAAAACAAAAGAGCAGCTATTGTTTTAAAATGTTACAAATATTGGCCGGGCATGGAGGCTCAGGCCTGTAATCCTAGCACTTTGCGAGACCGAGGCAGGCAGATCACAAGGTCGAGAATTCGAGACCAGCTTGACCAACATGGTGAAACCCCATCTCTACTAAAAATACAAAAATTAGCCGGGTGTGGTGGTGCACACCTGTAATCCCAGTTACTCGGAAGGCTGAGGCAGGAGAAATCGCTTGAACCCGGGAGGCGGAGGTTTCAGTTAGCTGAGATCAGGCCACTGCACTCCAGTCTGGGCAATAACAGCAAAACTCCATCTCAAAAGAAAAATAACATAACATAACATAACATAACATAACATAACATAACATAACATAACATAACATAAAACATAACATAACATAACATACATAAAATAAAATAAAATAAAATATAAAATAAAATATAAAATAAAATAAAATATAAAATACAAAATAAAATAAAATAAAATAAAATATAAAATAAAAAATAAAATAAAATAAAATAAAATATAATATAAAATAAAATAAAATAAAATACAATAAAATACAATAGGAATTACAACTATCCAAGCCCCTTGTAACCAGCCAACTAAAGGTGGACCCCAGCACAGAAACTGCAGGCTTGAGACCAAGCTACTACCCCTCTCCACAAACCCAGAGGGCATCCCAGAACCCTGGCAGCCCAAAAAAGAAGATCTTGTCTGGGCGAAGTGGCTCATGCCTGTAATCCCAGCACTTTGGGAAGCTGAGGCGGGTGGATCACAAGGTCAGGAGTTCAAGACCAGCCTTACCAACATGGTGAAACCCCGTCTACTAAAAATACAAAAATTAGCTGGGCATGGTGGCACAAGCCTGTAATCCCAGCTACTCGGGAGGCTGAAGCACCAGAATCACTTGAACCCGGGAGGCGGAGGTTGCAGTGAGCCGAGATCACATGACTGCACTACAGCCTGGGTGACAGAGTGAGACTCAGTTTCGGAAAAAAAAAAAAATCTTTACCTTCTGAAATCAGTTTATCAGTTTATAAAAAGTTGAAGAGGCATTTGCATTTTCAAATTTACAGACACCAATGCCAAACTATATTGTGCCCACTTGTCAATGCTTCTCTTTTAACATAACACTGAAAATATGTGGCAGAAGAATTAGTCAAAAAATAAAAAACCCATTGAAATTGAAGACAAGTAAAATGTTTGTTTGTAGATCATAAAATCTTACATATAAAAATACATAAACAGTACATTAAAACCTATCTAATAAATACACTCAGTAAATTACCAAATATAAACTCAACTTATAAGTTATCATTCTATAAACCTAAATTGTCTAATAAAATAAAGGAAGAAAGCAATATTATTTATAATAGCATTAAAATAATATATTTCTGAGAACAAATTCACCCAAGAAAGTGAAAAAAATCTTTACAATAAAAGATATAAGATTTCAATGATGAAATCAGAGAAGACACAAGTTTTAAAATATTTAATATCTATGGATTTAAAGAATAAATATTGTTAAAATACCATATTATCCAAAGTGAGCTATAGATTCAAGAAACTCCCTACCAAAATTCTAGTGGCATTTTTTTCATAGTAATAGAAAATACAATCCCTAAATTTACATGAAACTATAATAAATCTTTTTTTTTTTTTTTTGAGATTGAGTTTCACTCTTATTGCCAAGGCTGGAGTGCAGTGGCACAATCGCAGCTCACAGCAACCTCTGCCTCCCGGGTTCAAGCAATTCTCCTGCCTCAGCCTCCAGAGTAGCTGGGATTACAGGCATGCACCACCACACCTGGCTAATTTTGTATTTTTAGTGGACACGGTATTTCACCATGTTGTTCAGGCTGGTCTTGAACTCCTGACCTCAGGTGATCCACCCATCTCGGCCTCCCACAGTGCTGGGTTTACAGGAGTGAGCCACCGTGCCCAGCCCAGTAAATCTTTTTAAGAGACAGGGTCTCCTTATGTTGCCCAGGTTGGTATCCAACTCCTAGGCTTAAGGGATCCTTCTGCCTTGGCCTCCCAAAGTGATAGGATTACAGCTGTGAGCCACTGCCCCCCCAGCCAAAACTACAAGAAACTGAATAGTCAAAGCAATCATGAGGAATAAGAACAAAGTGAACATCATACTTTTAAATTTCAAACTATATTTCAAGCCTGTAGTAATACAAATAAGATGAAATGTGCAGAAAAATAAAAAAAACAATGGAACAGAAACCACAACTCTTACACATTTCAGACATGATGCAAAAAGAGAACTTACAAAATAGTTTAACACAGAGTTTCTCAAAATTATGCAGATATTTCTGAGTCTCCAAAAACAATGGAAAAAAAAAGTCAGATTGTGCAATCTCTTATATGCCATGAAGAGGACTTTAGCTCACTGTAAACTTGAAGGAAGATCGCTGAAGGGAAAGTAGAATTTTTAAAGAATTTAAAAGCATAAGACAGAAGACGCCCCTATATTAAAGTTAAAAAAACAAAACAGCTGCCTAGAAACTTTGGAACACAGATTTCCAAGTCAAATTTTAAGGACTGGTTTTCTCTTTTACCTTTGGACCTCACATCTGTGTCATCTGTTGTGTTCACTCTCACCTACCTGGGGGTTTGGCTGCCATCTCGTGTCTCTTCATATTCCAGGGCTCTTTTCCTTGCTCCAGACAGGTGATCAGGTCTAAATTAGACACAGCAATACCTGTTTTATTAAAAATAAATAACGTGAATCTTGCTCATATTCTCCAATTACCAACCTAGTAATTTTCTCAGTAAAGAGAATGTAGGCCAGGCACAGTGGCTCATCCTGGTAATCCCAGCACTCTGAGAGGCCGAGGTGGGTAGATCACCTGAGGTCAGGAGTTCAAGACCAGATGGGTCAACATGGCAAAACCTTGTCTCTACTGAAAATACAGAAATTAGCTGGATATGGTGGTGCACACCTGTAGTCCTAGCTACTCGGGAGGCTGAGGCAGGAGAATCACTAGAACCCAGGAGGCAAAGGTTGCAGTGAGCTAAGATTGCACCACTGCATCCAGCCTGAGTGACAGAGCAAGACTCCGTCTCAGAAAAAAATATTTTAAAAAGAGAATGTAATAGAATATTCTAGTATATTAATCACAAAATATATTCTAGTAAATTAATCACAAAATACTAACTTATAACAAAATTTCTAAATATTAAGAAAATATTTTCAATTTGTATGTTCTTAATTTTACTACTCAGTGCTACTGAATCAAAAATTGGTGGTGGCAATTAGATTTTAAGGTGTGGGCAACAGTATTTTATGCCACTAAATTTCTGGAATTACCACTAATCTAGAGTGAAGGATACAGATCAGCTCAGAAACGTGGAAAGTTCAGGTCAGGGTGAAACATCTACACAGATAAATCCTACATTTTCTTAAAAACAGGTAGTTGAAACTCATTTATGTAAGCATAAATTGCCAAAAAAACACGCAACAAAAAAGAGAAATAAAACCTTTAGAGTATATTAGGAATTGTATATTAAAGTTATCCTCACCTTGCCGGGCAAGGTGGCTCACGCCTGTAATCCCAGCACTTTGGGAGGCTGAGGCGGGCAGACCCTGAGGTCAGGAGTTCGAGATCAGCCTGACCAACATGGTAAGACCCCATCTCTACTAAAAATACAAAAATTAGCCGGGCATGGTGGCACATGCCTGTAATCTCAGCTACGCAGGAGGCTGAGGCAGGAGAATCTCTTGAACCCTGGAGGCAAAGGTTGCAATGAGCCAAGATTGCGCCACTGCACTCCAGCCTGGGTGACAGAGTGAAACTCTGTCTCAAAAAAAAAAATAATAATAAATAATAAAAATTAAAAAAAAAAAAACTTATCCTCACCCAGGAATACCAGGTTTCTATAATTCTCTAACATGACATTCCTATATAAATTCTGCTGTGCTGTGTCCAGGCACTGCCACTCCTCCAGAGAGAATTCTATGGCCACATCCATAAATGTCAATGGTCCCTGAAAAACACATACACACACACATATTTACCAAGTGGTTATGGACAGAATTTTTAATTTGACTCAAGGTGAAATGAGAGAGTAAAGAGAACTGGTTCTGACTTATAGGAGTGACTGAAATTATCCAATAAAATAATTTTCAACACAGAAATATTCTCGAATGTATTCTCTAACTCTGAAAAAAGAGAGTAGTATAAGATCCACAAAATCAGTGTATATATGTTACTTTTCTGAATGATAAAGTATAAACTTAAGGGCATGAACAGAAACATGTACATTTTTTATTGCTATATATACATCATACAGAATGACTTGTGTATATTTTTCAGATGGAAAAGACATGTTGAGTTAGAAAGTGCTTCTCAAATTTTAGTCTGTAAAATAAACTGGAGATCTTGTTAGTGGAGATTATTTTTTCAGAAGATCTGGAATAAAGTCTCAGTTTTTAAATTTCTAACAAGCTCACCAATAATTCCAATGTTTTTGGCCCAAAAAGAATATTTTGTCAAACATCCCGTAAGTAAAAGGGCCTGTGTTTTTTTCAGTTTTACTTACCTGTACAGAAAGATAAGAGCTTTCATTTTCCAAAGACATATGTATACAAGGAAAACCTAAGAAAAAGTCAGCTCCCAGATAAAATATGATGATTTATGCACATTAGCTGCATAAAGATACTTAATAATGAACAGAAAAATAATTAACTCTATGGTGAAAAAATCTTTCAGAGAGCTCTTTAACCAAAAGACTTATTTTGTCTTTTTTTTTTTAACCGAAAGAATTATTAACATCAACTGCACTAGGACAAATTTTTATGATGTGCTAATGCATAACACAGAAGGACACAGCACCACTGCTGGAATATTCCCCCCAAAAGTGAATTATAGTCTGAATTTAACCATAAAGAAAACATCAGTTCTGTGCAAAGTTCAAGATAAACATATCTTTCCCGTTTTAATTTTTAATAATGATTTTAGGTAGACATCTTGAGAATATGCCTTTAAAGGTGTCAGCACCACCTGTTTACCTGATACCACCACATCCACAAGCAAAAAGATGAAGACTTGCAGAAAAAGTCCACCCATTTCTGTCCTTAATAACAGAAGAGATGCGGGAAAAACACGCTGCACCATGGAAATAAAGATATAAGTTTCATTTTTCCTGTCCTCAGGTGCCCTTCCCTTACATGGACACCAACAATTTCTGCTACAGTAATAAAAATATGGACCACACTGTCCTCTCCCTACCAAACCCAAACAGAAACAGCCCTATGGCCACCCTTTTAGTGCAAAGGTGAGACTTAACTCTTATGAATGTATCTGAACCCCTCATACTCAATTCTAGCCTCATGTTAAAATCACATGAGGCACTTAATTAAAACAACATGGGGCCAGGTGCGGTGGCTCAAGCCTGTAATCCCAGCACTTTGGGGGGCCAAGGGGGGTGGATCTTCTGAGGTCAGAAGTTCGAAACCAGCCTGGCCAACATGGTGAAACCCTGTCTCTACTAAAAACACAAAAATTAGCTGGGCGTGGTGGAACGCGCCTGTAGTCCCAGCTACTCGAGAGGGTGAGGCAGGACAATCGCTTGAATGTGGGAGGCAGAGGTTGCAGTGAGCTGAGATCGCGCCACTGCACTCCAGCCTGGTGACAGAGCGACACTCCATCTCAAAAAAAAAAAATACAAAAATTAGTCAGGCACGGTAGCATGCACGTGTAATCCCAGCTACTTGGGAGGCTGACTCAAGGAGAATCACTTGAACCTGGCAGGCAGAGGTTGCAGTGAACCAAGATCAAGCCACTACACTCCAGCCTGGGAGACAGAGTGAGACTCCATCTCAAAACAAACAAATACAACATGGATGTGTCCACCTGGAGCAATAAACAGAGCCTGTGAGGAGGGGTGAAGTACAGAGATTTCTGCAAACTGGCTGTGTAATCCTAATGAGAAGCCTGGGCTGATAACCACTTAGCCAAGCATTGCCTCTCAAGCTTTAGTGAGCTTAAAATTCACTTGGTAATTTTGGACCCACTCTACGTAATGGGATTCTGCAGGTTTGGAAAGGATCCATGGATAAATGTTTTAAACAAGACCCCTGTCAATGTTAATGTTGCTCCCCCGGGCTCATTATTAGCAGTAGTTAGAGAAAGCAGGCACAGCACAGAGTCCCTTACACTCAGCACTCTTGTCACAACACAAGTATTTCTGGTACAAATAAAGACAACCCATCTTCATCCTAAAGTTTCATATTATTTGCTGGCTCTTCAAAGTTTACAAAGGAAACAGAAGGCAGCAATGTCTGAATAAGTCTGCATTTGGAAAACAACATGTACTAATGCAAGGTGTATTAAGCAGGCGCTATGTGCTCTCAAGGGTATGCTACAGGCTGAGTGCAGTGGCTCATGCCTGTAATCCTAGGAGGCAGGTGGATCACTTGAGATCAGGAGTTCAAGGTCAACCTGGACAACATGGTGAAACCTCATCTCTACTAAAAATACAAAAAAAAAAAAAAAATTAGCCAGGTGTGGTGGCATGTGCCTGTAATCCCAGCTACTCAGGAGGCTGAAGTGGGAGAATCGCTTGAACCCAGGAAGAAGAAGTTGTAGTGAGCTGAGATTGTGTCACTGCACTCTGGCCTGGGTGACAGAGCAAGACCCTGTCTCAAAAAAAAAAAAAAAAAAGTATGTTACAGAGCACTGTGCTGGGAATAACATATTATATGATTTAACTCTCATAACATCATGCAAGTTGGTACTAAGTGTTTAATAATTACCAGGATTTAGATAAAGAGCCCAGCATTTTTAACTCTTCTACTGTTTCTCTGTCATTGGTTTTTTAAAAAATGTGTAGAAAAGCCAGGCGCGGTGGTTCATGCTTGTAATCCCAGCACTTTGGGAGGCCCAGGCGGGCAGATCATGAGGTCAGGAGTTTGAGACCAGCCTAGCCAACATGGTGAAGCCCCGTCTCTACTAAAAATACAAAAATTAGCTAGTCATGGTGGTGGGTGCCTGTAATCCCAGATACTCAGGAGGTTGAGGCAGGAGAATTGTTTGAACCCGGGAGGTGGAGGTTGCAGTGAGCCAAGATCATGCCATTGCACTCCAGCCTGGGCAACAGTGCGAGACTATGTCTCAAAAAAAAAAAAAAAAAAGTGTGTAGAATAAAAGCCTAATACAGACAGATGAGAGGATTACAGAAAGAGTTTAATGTAGTTTTGAGGAATTTTTACTGGGTTTATATTTACTTTTTTGTGACTTGTGGAACAACTACTGAATCTGCAGGAATAGAAAACAAGTTCCTAAATGGAATGTTTCTGCAACCTTGGTTTTAATAAAAAATTAAGAAATTAAGACCCTAAAATACATATTTTACTTTTCCCATTTATCTGCTTTTGGGTTTCAGGAAATTGGGAGCACCAGCTCTAGAGAGGCAGCAGAATTCAACAACCAAAACTCTGATCTCTTCTGATCAGTTCTGTGAGGCAAGACTCCAGGGCTGGGTGAGATCTAAACAAGGCCCTCAAGAAGGGTGAATCTGAACAGAACTGGGGAAGGGGAGACCCTCTGTAGAATTCTGTTCTCTATGCCACTGGGGTATTTCAAGTTCTGTTTTTTGTAAGCTTACCTAAGAGAAACTTAAATCCCAGCGTTTGCGTAATTTTAATCTTTTCTAGCCACTGCCCTGTCAATTTTATAACATATACTAATAAGCAATTTAAACAAATCTCTTAAGGTTTTCTAGGGTAATATTATTAGAAGATAAATATGTATTATTAGCAAGATAAAAGAAATCAAAAAATAATAATGCTTCTGTCCATAAATATCCCTTCAAGTGATGACATCAGAAGCCACAACAATATAAATAAAGTGGCCCAAATAAAGCTCACAATTTTTTCACACATCTATTTGCTATACCAACCATATGATACTTAATTCAACCATTTATTCAGTTGCTAGTCTAGACTAAGAGTTTCTGGATTGTAGAAACCATGACTGCTTCATCTATTTTTCTAATGGCCATATAAAATTATAGCAATCAGTTTATCTGCTTGAGTCTCCAGATCTCCTCCTTGTTTTTACCCAAGTACCAGAAAACTGGAGAAATTCATCTGGGTACCAATCAAAAACATCCCTTGTATAAGGGAAGGAACAAACACAGGATGACTCATTTCTCTTACACTGAGGGAAAAGCAGAATTAACCACTCTTGTCAGCCTGACACAATTCTGCTCTGGACATCCTCAAATGTCTCAAAAATGCCTACGTAATTGTGAGAGGGTTCCCAGTGACCCTGGGCTGATGGTCCAATAATAAGCCAGGCTAGAGAGAGTCATGCTGATTCTAAATAGAAAATGGAACTGCCCTGGTTGAGCTCCAGAATTACTTGTTCTGATTAACTAGCTTTTGGATAGAAGGAAGGACAAGAATATTGTACATAACATTTTACAGGCAGGTATAGTTGTGGTCATGGCTCCGGATACTTTGTGGTCTTGATCTCTCACTCCTAAGATGTTTATTTATATTTACAGAATTTGCCATCAGATTCTGTTTACATCTGGAGCCTCTCACGTAACTGTGGCAGACCTGCTACAAGATCTTACTGGACAAAATCTGAAAAGCTCAAAGAGCCACAGTCTCAAAGGGAGCTGTAGGATGTCTATGTTGACATCTCACAGTGCAGAAAATGCCTTCTATTGGTTTTCAGTACATTCCCAATTCAAAGTCTGGCCCTGTCTTGTAATCCCAGGCAGAAGCCAGATCTTATGTGCAGATTCTAAGTGGGATCAACCTGACTCTGCATCCTTAGGTGTTACAGAAAGCAAAGTACAATCAAAGGAGAGATCCCCTCAGAGGCCGCTCTGGCACGTTCCAAATGATGTTTACCTAAAAGGAAATAGCTGAGGAAACATGAATGTAAGTATACAATTTATTTGGGCCAAACTTGAGGATTGTAACCTGGGAGCAAATATTCAAGTTGCCTGGAATATATACTTTGATTAGCAGCAGTTACAATTGGATTGGAAAGACAAAAAGAGAGGCGCATAGAGTGGGTTGATACAAAGTTGTCTGTCAACATTTTTTTATTTACAAAAATAAATTGATTATTGATTGGATATACATTGTTAGGCTATAGGGTGTGGGTTATAGTGTCCAGTGTGGCATTTTTAGTTCAATTTATAGCTACTTGTGGCAATAGCAAGCAGTTTCAAGTGGTAACTACATAGCTCAAAGAAAAAAGAAAGACATAATTGTGGTCTCATTTTAATGTCTCTCTGAGACTTATAAAGAAAAGGATTATTAGCCAGGCATGGTGGTGCAGGCCTGTAATCCCAGCTACTGAGAGGCCAAGACAGGAGAATCACCTGAACCTGGGAGGCGGAGATTGCAGTGAGCCGAGTTCGTGCCATTGCACTCCAGCCTGGACAACAAGAGTGAAACCTGTCTCAAAAAAAAAAAAACCTTTTATATAGGAAATGCAAATCCTTTTCTTTTCTTTTCTTTTCTTTTTTCTTTTTTTTTTTTTTTTTGAGACAGGGTTTCGCTCTTGTTGCCCCTGCTGGAGTGCAGTGGCGCAATCTCAGCTCACCGCAACTTCCTCCTCCCGGATTCTCCTGCCTCAGCCTCCCGAGTAGCTGGGATTACAGGCATGCGCCACCACGCCTGGCTAATTTTTTGTATTTTTAGTAGAGACAGGGTTTCTCCATGCTAGTAAGGCTGGTCTCGAACTCCCGACCTCAGGTGATCCACCCGTCTTGGCCTCCCAAAGTGCTGGGATTACAGGAGTAAGCCAGTGGGCCCGGCAAAGTTTTCATTTTTTCCAAGCCTCAAGATCTAGATTCAGAAATTGGAGCTGCAGATTCAGATTCTGGATGGGTGGAGTAGCAGCAGGTATTACTTGCACATTTGTGGACATTTTAGCAAGAGGAGAAAAAAGGAATTAAAAATTCTCATGTCTACATATCTATTCAATGCACACATGTTATTCTGCTAGGGTTTTTGGGCCCCATGGTCTCTGAGTCAGCTTCAGGTCTGATGACAGGAGTCCCTGAGGCTGGGCACGGTGGCTCACGCCTGTAATCCCAACACTTTGGGAGGCTGAGATGGGTGGATCATGAGGTCAGGAGTTTGAGACCAGCCTGGCCAATATGGTGAAATCCCATCTCTCTTTTTTTTTTTTTTTGAAACGAAGTTTCGCTCTTGTTGCCCAGGCTGGAGTGCAATAGCACAATCTTGGCTCACTGCAACCTCTGCCTCCCAGGTTCAAGTGATTCTCCTGCCTCAGCCTCCCCAGTAGCTGGCATTACAGGCGTGTGCCACCACCCTCAGCTAATTTTTGTATTTTTAGTAGAGACGGGGTTTCTCCATGTTGGTCAGGCTGGTCTCGAACTCCTAACCTCAGGTGATCTGCCTGCCTGGGCCTCCCGAAGTGCTGGGATTACAGGTGTGAGCCACCGTGCTCAGCCTTTGGTGAAACCCCATCTCTACTACAAATACAAAAAAAAAAAAATTAGCCAGGCATGGTGGTGAGCATCTGTAATCCCAGCTACTTGGGAGGCTGAAGCAGGAAAATCACTTGAACACAGGAGACTGAGGTTGCAGTGAGCTAAGATCATGCCACTGCACTCCAGCCTGGGCAATGCAGTGAGACTCCATCTCAACAACAACAAAAAAGTCACTGAAAGAGGTAAAATGGTTGATTGCTGCCCTGTAAGGTTTGTAGAAATCTGATCTAGCCTCTCTGGAAGTGACTGTAGAGGACAATAGATACCAAATAGGCAGAGATGCAATTCTTCCTGCATATTTAGGGAAGAGCGTGCACTTTGCAGCACAATTGTGAGTTGACTGGAATCCTGAGAGGGAAAGGCCCTTCTAGAGTAAAGCTTGGTTGACACCTTATATATTTATATCACGTCTGGTAATTCTAGACTGTGTTTGGAAAATATAACAAGAGAAATTATCTCCAGCCCCAGAAAAACTTCACAATGATGGAAAAGAAAGAAAACTTTTATTACACAATTAAACCAGAATGTGACATGCATCACAATCAATCTGCTTAAGAGACTGCAAAGACAGAAAGATAGTCACCATAATTAGTCCACAAGTCGAAGAATTTACAGCACCATGTCATACAGAGCTCATCCTAAATTCACCTGGTCATTGGGGATGCCACCTATCTATGCTAATTGGTTATAATCAATGACAAAATAAACTTTTCACATCTTCATGACAGGAGGTAGTTTTGCAACTTGACACCAGGTGCCTGCTGAAGGTAGACTCTCAGTCTCCTACTACAATGGTTGAATAGGGTGCTATCTTTTTGGTTATTTACACTTTAAAGCAATGGCTCTCTATGTTCTGAGCACTCAGCTACAGCACTCCTGCTTGCCGTCTACTTATGGCTAGTGTCCTCTCTTGACCCCTACCATCTGCCAATGAGGCACAGCCCAAAGCACAGAGCTCACAGCTGGCAGCTTACATCTTAAGTGAGCCCCAATTGCCACAGCAGCACTCCAGTACCTCATCAGAGACTGAAGACTATGGTACAGGAGAGCCTACAGGATTTGGGGGTAGAATTGCACCTTCATAATAATGGGAATGGGAGTGGTGTTTCAGCCTCAGTTTCAATTTATTATGGTGACTTGAAAAAAATACTGCTGGATTTCCAGCATGAGTCCAGATAGAGATAGGATGGTTCTCCCTGTGAAAACCCACCTCTTTGTCAACACCAAGGGATAGCATTAGGGCTTCTAAAACAGACATCTGAAGCATTGAAGAGAAAAACAGCTCTTGGTCTGATTCTACTGCAAAAATTATATTGAGAGAAAAAAGAAGTTAAATGTATCTTGAGAAAAAACTCAGATTAGATATGATTGATCAAGTCAGTCAGAAAATATTCCCCTAAAAGGAATTTCTCTTAAAATACCCCTAATGCACAGCTACTCTTGGCATGAGAAACATGAGCATTATGAAGAAAAAAAGCATATTCTCAGCAGAATTTTATAAGGTTTCTCTTCCATCTCTGCTGCTCTCATCTCCTAGCCATTGAATGGGGGTTCCATATTGAAATACAACTGACAATTCACCAGCACTTTTTAAATTACGAACTGGAATCTGACTTTGTTCATATAGTAGAATATATGTGAGCTTGCCGCATAACTAACTGAAGGGCTATTATGGTTTTTGGGTGACCACATCACCTGTCTATTTGTCCTGGAATGGCAGCATTCCAATTTAGTAAAATGAAAGACACTAAAATTATGCTTACCTATAACTATCCCTATTGGATAAAACAATATGTATGTCAGACACATATCTACTGTAACAATTTGGTAGTATTTTTTGATATTAGCTATATAAATAAATATAAATAATTTTAATGTACTAGTCATAATGTATGTAGGATTTTTAAACATTGTCTATAACCATAATTCAGTTTAAACATTTTATATTTCAGAAGTATAAATAACAATATTAAAATGACTGCTTAGGAGATTCAAAGTAAATATTTTGATCTTATATTCATACTATTGTAGAAAATACTTTTTAATTTATATGAATGTATGTTGTCTAAAAACACTTCAGATAACTATGCTAATTGTTCTTAATAAATAGAAACCAAAGTACAACTACAGGCTCCACTTTTCAGTTTATACACTGAACTGTTCTTGTTTTTGCAGTGTAAGTACTTCAGCCTGCAAATATTAGATAATTACTTTGGATAATTAGTGTTCTGTAAAAGGAACCTAGTATGTTTTAGTCCTTATTATTCTGTATTGCTAAATTTACTCCTATCATTGTGTTCAATTTGTGTGTGCTCCTAATATGAGTTTTTTTTTTTTAATTTTTTGAGATGGAGTTTTGCTCTTGTTGCCCAGGCTGGAGAGGAATGGTGTGATCTTGTCTCACTGCAACCTCTGCCTTCTGGGTTTGAGGGATTCTGTATCAACCTCCGGAGTAGCTGGGATTACAGGTATGAGCCACCACGCCCAGCTAATTTTGTATTTTTAGTAGAGAAAGCCACGCGTGGCTGAACAGATGCTTTTCCAAACAAGACATACATGTGGCTAACAAGCATATTTTAAAAATGCTCATCACTAATTATTAGAAAAATGTAAAAAAACACCCAATGAGATACCATCTCACACCAGTCAGAATGGCTACTGTTAAAAAGTCAGCAATAGATGCTGGCAAAGTTGCAGAGGAAAGGAAATGCTTATACACTGCTGGTGGGAGTGTAAATTAGTTCAACCACTGTAAAAAGCAGTGTGGCGGCCAGACTTAGTGGCTCAAGCCTGTAATCCAAGCACTTTGGGAGGCCTAGGCAGGCAGATGACCTGAGGTCAGGAGTTCAAGACCAACCTGGCCAACATGGTGAAACCCCATCTCTACTAAAAATACAAAAATTAGCCAGGTGTGGTAGCGGGCACCTGTAATCCTAGCTATTCAGGAGGCTGAGGCAGGAGAATCGCTTGAACCTGGAAGGCAGAGGTTGAAGTAGGCCAAGATCATGCCACTGCACTCCAGCCTGGGTGACAGAGCAAGACTCAGTCAAAAAAAAGCAGTGTAACAATTCCTCACAGAACTACAGAACTAAAAGCAGAATTACCATTTGACCCAGCAACCTCATAACTTGGTATATACCCAAAGAAATATAAATTAGTCTCTTAAAAAGACACACACATGCACATGCATATTTATTGCAGTACTATTCACAATAGCAAAGACATGGAATCAATCTAAATGCCTATCAATAATAGACTGAATAAAGAACATATGGTATGGTCGGACAAGGTGGCTAACACCTGTAATCCCAGCACTTTGGGAGGCTGAGGCAAGTTGATTGCCTGAGCTCAGAAGTTTGAGACCAGCCTGGGCAACATGGCAAAACCCCGTCTCTACAAAAAAATACAAAAAGAAACATTAGACAGGCATGGTGGTGCATGCCTGCAGTCCCAGCTAATTGGGAAGCTGAGGTAGGAGGACTGCTCAAGCCCAGGAGATTGAGGCTGCAATGAGCAGTCATCGCACCACTGCACTCCAGCCTGAGTGACAGAATGAGACCCTGTCTCCAAAGAAAAATAAAATAAAAGATCTAATAAAAACAAAATATGGCACATAAACATCATGAAATACTCTCTGGCCATTAAAAAAAAAAAAAAAAAAAGAACAGCATTATATCCTGTGCAGCAACATGGATAGAGCTGGAGACCATTATTGTTAGAAAAGTAATGCAGAAGGCTGGGCGCGGTGGCTCACGCCTGTAATCCCAGCACTTTGGGAGGCCGAGGCGGGTGGATCACGAGGTCAGGAGATCGAGACCATCCCAGCTAATGTGGTGAAACCCCGTCTCTACTAAAAATACAAAAAATTAGCTGGGCGTGGTGGCGGGCGCCTGTAGTACCAGCTACTGTGGAGGCTGAGGCAGGAGAATGGTGTGAATCCGGGAGGCGGAGCTTGCAGTGAGCAGAGATCGTGCCACTGCACTCCAGCCTGGGAGACAGTGAGACTCATCTTAAAAAAAAGAAAAGAAAAGAAAAGAAAAGAAAAGTAATGCAGAAACAGAAAACCAAATGCATGTTCTCATTTATAAGTAAGAGTTAAATAATAAGAACACATGGACACAAAGTGGGGAACAACAGTAACTGAGGCCTACTTGAGGGTGGAAGGTGGAAAAACAAAGAGGGTGTGGGCATTGTGGCTCACGCCTGTATGCCACCACATTGGGAGACCAAGGCAGATGAATCACTTGAGGTCAGGAGTTCGAGACCAGTCTGGCCAACATGGTGAAACCCCATCTCAACTAAAAATACAGAAATTAGCCTGGCATGGTGATACACAGCTCTAATCCCAGCCACTCAGGAGGCAGGAGAATCGCTTGAACCTGGGAGGCGGAAGTTGCAGTGAGCCAAGATCATGCCACTGCATTCCAGCCAGGGTGACAGAGCAAGGCTTGAAAGAAAAAAAGGGAAGAGAAGGGAAGGGAAGGGAAGGGAGAGGATGGGGAGGGGAGGGGAGGGGGAAGGAGGGAGGGAGGTGAGAGAGAGAGAGAAAAGAAAAAAGAAGGAAACAAAGAAAGAAAGAAAGGAAGGAAGGAAGGAAGAAAGAAAGGGAAAAGGAAAAGAGAGAGAAAATTAGAAAAAAATACCTATTTGGTGCTATGCTTAGTACTTCAGTGAAAAAATAATTTACACACCAAACATTCATGACACGATTTTACCTATATTACAAACCTGCACATGTACCAATGAATCAAAAATAGAAGTTAAAAGGAAAAAACTCCATGGATAAGGGAGAGTGCAATATAGATGGAAGGACTGGTTTGTGCCTGGGTGGGGCTGTACTCTAATTTATTTCTCTGTTCATACAGGCAGGTGAGATTATGAACAGGTGGTCCAGAACCCTAGGTTGGTGGAGAAAACAGGTTGCTGGTGCAGATTCAGTGTCTGGGGGTGCGGATATGCCAGGAGACTTGTAGACATGTTTGTGAGTTTGTAGCAAGAAACACCAGGATCAAAAATGCTGTGGTAAAATTCCTGAGGGTGGTGCCTAGTCCTGGGAATAAGTGTGGACACGTCAATGTCTAATGGGTATGTTTGTGAGTGGCTGGGAATCCTGTGGTGGCAGCTGTGGGAAAAGGGGGTCTGTCATCAGAGCTCATATTCTTTTTTTTTCTTTCTTTCCTTTTTTTTTTCTTTTGAGACAGAGTCTAGTTCTGTCACCCAGGCTGGAGTGCAGTGGCGCAATCTTGGCTCATTGCAACCTCTGCCTCCCGGGTTCAAGTGATTCTCCTTCCTCAGCCTCCTGAATAGCTGAGATTACAAGAACGCACCACCATGCCCAGCTTATTTTTTCTATCTGTAGTAGGGACGGGGTTTTGCCACGTTGCCCAGGCTGGTCTTGAACTCCTGAGCTCAGGCAATCCACCCGCCTCGGCCTCCCAAAGTGCTAGGATTACAGGCGTGAGCCACGGCACCCGGCCAGAGCTCCTATTCTCTAATTTTTCAGTCCTCTCTCACCCTGGGAGAACTGAAATCACAGGACAATGGGCAGTGTGACAGCCTGTGTACAGGAGAGCAGAGCGTCCCATTCCCAGACATCCAGAGTTTTATTCCAGGTCAGGCCCCCGTATCTTTTTTCTGGCACCAAATCTGCAGTTTACTGAAAACCAAGCAATTCTCTAACACTAACTCATTGTCTAACATTTTATTTCTGACACCACCCAGTGTCAGCACAGGCCCTGACTCAGTCCCACACTGTCCTTACGGCAGATGCCAGGCACAAACTCCATGGGCCCATTTACATTTCTGAGCTACTGTTTAAAAATTGAGGACTCCCATAACCTTTTTCAAGTTCAATAATTTGATAAAGCTACTCATAGAACTCAGCAAATACTGTAGTTATATTTACCAGTTTATTATAAAAGATACAACCCAGGAAAAGTCAAATGGCAGACATGTATAGAACAAAGAAAGGTGGGGAAAGATGACACACATAGACAATCCAGATAAATAACTGTGATTAATAAAATTCTTCATTGTTTGTGTTCTCCAGGAACAGTTTATCGAAAGAAACACCCTTCCCATTATGACTTAGATGGTGCTCTCTTTTCTTATCTATCACATAGCAGACACCGACTCTGCACATTTTTTTTCTTATTGAAAAATCAGTTGAATTTGACTTCAGTGGTGAAAATAAAATACTTCTTAAGGAAACTTTACTTAAGTTTGTCTTTTTCCCCAAGGCTTCTGAACTTTACAAACCCATTTTATGTAACTCCAAAGAACAGGCTGACTTCAGTGTGAAACATTCTCTGATCTAAAATCTGATTTTTTCACCCTGCATTTGCCATTCCCCTTCCACCTCCTTTCTAATCTTGTTTGTTCCTCCTTAGGAAAGGAAGCCTTTGTCTGCCTGAACTTTGCAATTCTTAAAGACCTTGTAGTTGGTACTTCTGTTGCAATATTTCTTTGGAAGTCAAAATTTTTATGTAAATTCAACCTTGTTTTATTTTCAAAGTCTATAAACTGCCTCAAAACAAGAACAACTTCATCTTCAGTAAGACCCTCCCAATCCCCTTTCATTTTAACATCAACTGCATCCACCTGTGGGTCCCCAGCTTTCCAGGGCTCTGTAGCTTCTCCCAGGATAAAGACTTCTATGGCTGGGGTGAGCAGGCTGGGATATCTACAGAGGAGACTCCCCAGAAAAAACTAACTGGGCCTTTAATAAAATTTTTTTGCAGGCTCAATATTAGCCTTAGCTCTGAGCCAGTGGGCTAAAGCTTTAATTTCCATGTCAAGAGTTATTCACTTGGTCTTTGAAACTTAAGTGTTTAGCCGGGCGCAGTGGCTCACGCCTGTAATCCCAACACTTTGGGAGGCTGAGGCGGGTGGATCACAAGGTCAGGAGATCAAGACCATCCTGGCTAACATGGTGAAACGTTGTCTCTACTAAAAATACAAAAAAAAAAATTAGTCGGGCGTGGTGGCGGGCACTTGTAGTCCCTGCTACTGGGTAGGCTGAGGCAGGAGAATGGTGTGAACCCGGGAGGTGGACCTTGCAGTGAGCTGAGATCGCGCCACTGCACTCCAGCCTGGCTACAGAGCAAGACTCCGTCTCAAAAAAAAATAAACTTAAGTGTTTAAAAAATCCAGCGTTTCTTGGCTGGGCGCAGTGGCTTACGCCTGTAATCCCAGCACTTTGGGAGGCCGAGGCGGGCAGATCACCTGAGGTCAGGAGTTTGAGACCAGCCTGACCAACATGCAGAAACCCCGTCTCTACTAAAAATACAAAATTAACCAGGTGTGGTGGTGCATGCCTGTAATCCCAGCTACTCAAGAGACTGAGGCAGGAGAATAGTTTGAACCCAGGAGGCGGAAGCTGCAGTAAGCCGAGATCATGACATTGCACTCCAGCCTGGGCAATAAGAGAGAAATTCCATTTCAAAAAATAAAAAAAAAATCCAGCAGTTTCTCAAACACAGTGTTGACATAAGAGAAGAAAATTTTAGGGTGCTTATATTTCATATCTCAATAAGAAAAGCAAAAGTGTCCATTCCTTTCAAACAATAAATGCATTATTTTATTATTTCCATTAAAAGTCATATAGTAAACAATTAGTCATATGGAAACATGTCTAGGAGGTACCAAGTTTCAAATAAAATTTAGCTTAAAACTAGGAAATCAAGATAACAGGATTTGAACAGAGATATTCACTGTCACAAATTTACCCTGCAAAAAGAGGAGCTGATGCTTTCATGAATCTATGTAACTCAGCAATTATCTACCACATTTTCTTGTGAAAATGTACTCATTTTCTACAGCCAAAATGGGAAAGACATTTCCCCTATTCTTTTTCTTGGTAGCATTCTTAAACAGCCTTGAAATTTTATTGGAAATTACCAAGCCATAAAAAATACACCTGACACTGATGAAAGAAATCATAGATGGCACAAACAAATGGAAACAAATCCCACGCTCATGGATAAGTAGAATCAATATTGTGAAAATGACCATACTGCCAAAAGCAATCTACAAATTCAGTGCAATCCTTATCAAAATACCACCATAATTCTTCACAGAATTAAAAAAAATTCTAAAATTCATGTGGAACAAAAAAGAGCCTGCGTAGCCAAAACAAGGCTAAGCAAAAAGAACAAATCTGGAGGCATAACATTACCTGATTTCAAACTACACTATAAGGCCATAGTCACCAAAACAGCATGTTACTGGTTTAAAAATAGGCACATAGACCAATGGAACAGAATAGAGAACCCAGAAATAAACCCAAATACTTACAGCCAACTGATCTTCAGCAAAGCAAACAAAAACATAAAGTGGGGAAAGGACACCCTTTTCTACAAATGGTACTGGGATAATTGGCTAGCCATATGTAGGAGAATGAAACTGGATCCTCATCTCTCATCTTATACAAAAATCAACTCAAGATGGATTAAGGACTTAAACCTAAGATCGGAAACTATAAAAATTATAAAACATAACATTGGAAAAACCCTTCTAGACATTAGATTAGGCAAGGATTTCATGACCAAGAACTCAAAAGCAAATGCAATAAAAACAAAGATAAATATCAGGGACCTAATTAAATTAAATAGTTTTTACACGGCAAAAAGAACAGTCAGCAGAGTAAACAGACAACACATAGAGTGAGAAAAAATCTTCACAATCTATACGTCTGACAAAGGACTAATATCTAGAGTCTACAACAAACCCAAACAAATCAGTACAAAACAAACAATCCCATCAAAAAGTGGACTAAGGATATGAATAAACAATTCTCAAAAGAAGGTATACAAATGGCCAACAAACATATGAAAAAATCCTCAACATCACTAATGATCAGGGAAATGCAAATCAAAACCACAATGCGATACCACCTTACTCCTGCAAGAATGGCCATGATCAAAAAATCAAGAAACAGTAGATGTTGGCATGGACGTGGTGAACAGGGAACACTTCTACATTGCTGGTGGGAATGTAAACTAGAAAAGCCACTATGGAAAACACTGTGGAGATTCCTTAAAGAACTAAAAGTAGGATTACCATTTGATCCAGCAATCCCACAATTGGGTATCTACCCAGAGGAAAAGAAGTCATTATTCGAAAAATATACTTGCACACGCATGTTCATAGTGGCACATTTCACAATAGCAAAATCATGGAACCAACCCAAATCCTCATCAATCAATGAATGGATAAAGAAACTGTGGTATATATATACAATGGAATACTACACAGCCATAAAAAATGAATTAACAGCATTTGCAGTAACCTGGATGAGACTAGAGACTATTATTCTAAGCAAAGTATCTCAGGAGTTGAAAACCAAACATGGTATGTTCTGTTATGTGGGAGCTAAGCTATAAGGATGCAAAGGCATAAGAATGATACAATGGACTTTGGGGATTTGAGGGGAAGAGTGGAAGGGGGACGAGGGATAAAAGACTACAAATTTGGTGCAGTGTATAATGCTCTGGTGATGGGTGCACCAAAATCTCATAAAATAGGCTGGGCGCGGTGGCTCATGCCTATAATCCCAACACTTTGGGAGGCCATGGCGGGTGGATCACTTGAGATCAGGAATTTGAGACCAGCCTGGCCAACATGGAGAAACCCCGTTCTCTACAAAAAATACAAAAATTAGCTGGGCATGGTGGCACGCCCACCTGTAATTCTAGCTACCCGGGAGGCTGAGGCAGAAGAATTGCTTGAACCCGGGAGGCAGAGGTTGCAGTGAGCCAAGATTGTGCCATTGCACTCCAGCCTGGGCAACAAGAGCAAGAGTCCATATTAAATATAAATATAAATACATATATATTTGATTATATATATATTCACAAAAAATACATCTGAGAAAATTCCTAAACTTACTCTAAGAAAGGAAAACTTAAATGAGAATTTCTCACAAATAAAATACATGATTAATATTAATTTTTTCTGAAATCCACCTCTTTTATGCCCTCTGTTAATATTTTCTTACCTTCCAAGTCCTATTAATAAAATGCAATTTACAGTTAAATAATGGAAGTCAACATAAGTGAACAAATCTTTTCAAGGTGACAAACCCAGGGAGTGGTAGTGCTAATTAGAAAACAGATGTGTCTAGACCGGGCGCGGTGGCTCACGCCTGTATTCCCAGCACTTTGGGAGGCCGAGGCGGGCGGATCACCTGAGGTCTGGAGTTTGAGACCAGCCTGACCAACATGGAGAAACCCCATCTCTACTAAAAATACAAAAACATTAGCTGGGTGTGGTGGCACATGCCTGTAATCCCAGCTACTCGGGTGGCTGAGGCAGGAGAATCGCTTGAACCTGGGAGGCGGAGGTTGCGGTGACCCGAGATCGTGCCATTGCACTCCAGCCTGGGCAACAAGAGTGAAACTCCACCTCAAAAAAAAAAAAAAAGAAAAGAAAGAAAACAGATGTGTCTGACTGATATTCACCCACCCCATTCTGCTCACCTTAAGTGCTCAATAACCACCCTCTCAGGAGACATTACACTATGCCCCAGGTGCATTTTACTTTGTAAGTTCTTGCACCATCTCACTTGGGTCAGGTTTTTCTTTGTCTTTTGGGATACTTTTTTTTTTCCACAAAATTTAGAGAATTCAGGGGGCAGAAATTATTTCTGTGTTTTCCCCTCAATACCAGCATCTGATTGGCTGACCAGCACTGTGTCTCCAAGAAATGGAAGCTGGGTTGGGTGAAGACAATCTTAATGTCTCAAGGGGTTAGCTTTTCAAAGGAAGAGTATGCCAGGAGATGCCTCTCAGCCCCAGGGCATCCACCTGCTCCCTTGAGAAGCTACACTCCATACCTCAGGTTGTCCTCAGGGAGAAAAATGACCCAGGAGCTGATATTCACTAGACACTCTAGCAGAAAAAGTCATGATGTGTATCTTGGTTTACTCCAGACAGTACTGAAACCCAGGACCAGGAAAAAACTGAAGGGTGGCTGAAGACACATCACTCCGTAAAGTTTCCAAAGAAAAACCTTCACCTGAAAACAAACATTCTGATAAGATTTCTGTGCCTGAGGAAGATAAAAAAAAAAAAGCCATAGAAATTTCATAAAATACAGTGTCAGGGAATTATTTTTTGCTTTCTTCTCATGAGAAATATTTTCAACCAGAAAACAATTTTAAGTGCCATCCAATGCTTTGTCAAAAAATGATTAACTAAAATACAGTATCAAAAATGTACACTAAAGGAAAAACAGTTGAGAATGTGAATTAGGAAAGGCAAGCTGGCATTTGGAAATGTCAGAAGGAACTAGAAATTTAGTATTTTAGTTTATTTGCAGTTTAAATCTAACTGCAGGCCAGAGTTAGGCTGGAGGAATGGGGCTGGGAGGTACACTTGAGACCCCGCTTGGAACGCATGTGAAAAATGCAGGGGAAAATCAGTCCCCTGTGGAGTGTGAGAATAATTAAGTGGCAGGCAATTACACTGAGGAGGCTCTAGTCCCCGGCTTTCTACTTAACAGCAACAGCTACGTAAATGTACCTAACCGATTATTAAATATAGTTTTCTTCATCATGCACCTTATAAAAAGTCTTTCCTTCAAGCTCCTCCCATGAACCACAAACTACAAAACATACTTTTGTGCTCTACAATTATTGAATCACTCTTTGATTAAATTCTTTAATATTTTTTGCGATGACTGCCACAGATTTTTAATAGGAGAAAATAGGAACCGGGAACCCCACAGACCAAAGCTCTTCCCATTCATGAACCCGACCCCAAGTCAGGATTCTCCCCTGACCACCCTCCCATGGTCCCTGCACAATCTGGGAGAGGCGCGGCGCTGCCGGTGCAGAGCCGCCCAGAGAGGGCTGCAGGCCAGGGCACAGTCACTGCGCAGGGAAGAGACAGGACGCCCGGGGGCCCGGCTGTCGGCGCAGCCGCCATCTTATGGCTGAAGGGGACTGAGGCCGAGCTAGGCAAGGAGAACTCGGAGCGCAGATTGTGGAGATGACTGCGGGGAGTCCTGAGTCCCGCCACAGCCACTTCCCACAGGTTTCAACCAGCCCTTCCCCTCTCTCGGGATGTCGGACGGCACTCTCACCATTTCTAGGCTTCCAGAGGGTCCTGGAGTCTTAGCTGTGGATCTCCCAATACCTGCAGGTCACAGAGCCACAGAGTCTGGGCCTCTAGGAGCAGAGGACAAACAGCAGTGAAGACGAGACCGGAGCTCCGGCTGCAGCAAGAGACAAAGGCCGCGCCAAACCCGGAAGCCGCCCTGTCCGGTCCAGCTGCGTGTCTGAGTGAACTGTCCCCAGCTCAGAGTCCCTGATTGGATAATGTTAAAACCCGCCCCTTCAGGCCCTGAGGGACGGAAGATGTGATCAGATGCTGGGCTGAATGAAGTGTGACAGCCTATGCTGCAGCCTTTTCAGGCAAGGCTTCCTCCCTGAGCTGAGCCAGGCCCACCCGAGAGGGTGTTTGCCTTTAATCTTGTGTATAAGGTCATATGCCCTTATAAATAATATGCTATATGGCTATTCACAAATGAAAAGAATATAATAACCCAATTGTTCTAAAAAAAATTTTTTTTTTGAGATTGAGTTTCACTCTTGTTGCCCAGGCTGGAGTGCAATGGCGCGATCTTGGCTCATCGCAACCTCCACCTCGCGGGTTCAAGCGATTCTCCTGCCTCAGCCTCCCGCGTAGCTGAGATTACAGGCATGCGCCACCATGCCCGGCTAATTTTTTTGTATTTTTAGTAGAGACGGGGTTTCTCCATGTTGGTCAGGCTGGTCTCAAACTCCAGACCTCAGGTGATCCTCCCGCCTCGGCCTCCCAAAATGCTGGGATTACAGGCATGAGCCACTGCGCCCGGCCCAACTGTTCTAAAATTTTATATTTTGTGACCTTCCTGACTTCTGGTCCTTTGAGCAGGCAGCCTGAGATTTTAAAAAGGAGGCAATTCTCTGAAATAAAATGTGAGCCACAAGTTGGGCGCTGTACCTCACGCCTGTAATCCCAGTACTTCGGGAGGCCGAAGAGGGTGGATCATCTGAGGTTCAGAGTTCGAGATCAGTCTGGCCAACATGGTGAAACCCCGTCTCTAAAACAATACAAAAAAATTAGCTGGGCATGGTGGCAGGCGCCTGTAATCCCAGCTACTTGGGAGGCTGGGGCAGGAGAATCGCTTGATCCTGGGCGGTGGAGGTTGCAGTGAGACGAGATCACGCCACTGCACTCCAGTATGGACAACAAGAGTGAAACTCTGTCTCAAAAAAAATAAATAAATAAAATAAAATCATAAAATGTGAGCCACATGTAAATTTTAAATTTTCTAGTAGCCAAACTTTATTTTATATTTTTATTTTTTTAGACGGAGTCTCACATTGTTGCCTGGGCTGGAGTGCAATGGCGCGATTTCTGCTCACTGCAACCTCTGCCTCCCGGGTTCAAGCGATTCTCCTGCCTCAGCCTCCCAAGTAGCTGAGATAAAAGGCGCTGGCCACCATGCCCGGCTAATTTGTAGCCAAACTTTAAAAAGAGTTTAGCTCTATTTTTAAAAAGAAACAAAGAACAGGTGAAATTGATTGTAACAATTTAACCCAATATATCGAAAATATTGTCATTTTAATATGTGAGAAATATGTAATTATTAATGAAGTGTGTCTATATATATGGAACTAAACCTTTGAAACTAACTCGTATTTTACCTTTCTAGCACATCGCAGTTCAGACCAGGCGCATTCCAGGCAGCCAGTAGCAACACAGGGCCAATAGCTGCTACATTGAAGTGCAGCTCTGACATCAGGAGGGTGAACGACCTGAACATCCCTTTTCTGCCGGAGGTGAGGAGAGAGCCTCTCCCTACCAACATCTCTCTTCGGTTCTGAGGGTAGAACAGACAGTGGTCATAGACAGAGCAGAGGGCAGGCCGGGCGGAGTGGCTCACGCCTGTAATCCCAGCACTTTGGGAGGCCGAGGCGGGCGGATCACGAGGTCAGGAGATCGAGACCATCCCGGCTAAAACGGTGAAACCCCGTCTCTACTAAAAATACAAAAAATTAGCCGGGCGTAGTGGCGGGCGCCTGTAGTCCCAGCTACTTGGGAGGCTGAGGCAGGAGAATGGCGTGAACCCGGGAGGCGGAGCTTGCAGTGAGCCGAGATCCCGCCACTGCACTCCAGCCTGGGCGACAGAGCGAGACTCCGTCTCAAAAAAAAAAAAAAAAAAAAAAAAAAAAAAAAAAAAATTAGCTGGGCTGGTGGCGCATGCCTGTAATCCCAGCTACTCGGGAGGCAGAAGAATCGCTTGAACCTGGAAGGCAGAGGTTGCAGTGAGCCAAGATCGGGTCACTGCACTCCAGCCTGGGTGGCAGAGCGAGACTCCGCCTCAACAAAAAAAAAAAAAAAAAAAAAAAAAAGAGCAGAGGGCAACAGGAATAAAATAACCATAGGTAAACCACTGCTGACCACCTATTGCCCTCCTTCCTTCTAGAGATCAGACAGTGAACAAAGGATGATGGGGCCAAAGGAGAAGAGAACCCTATGTCTCTTCAGGCCCGTCCACACTCTTGACCTCCAATTTTTAGATATGAAAAAAAAATAGATTAAAGGCAAGCTTATCTTGCTATTTGGCCTTGGCCCTAATGGTCAGGCCGTGGTTGTCTATTTTCTCCTGTGGTATGAGGGACTGTGTGGGTATAGGCACCAATCACATGCATACAATGTCTACGTGTATTTCTGCATTACTCAATATTACCTTACAAGACATCCAACTCTAAATCAGAGGAAAAAATAGTACCTTTAGAGTGTCCACTGTGTGAAGGTAAGTAGTACTGAATCTGTCATTAAATCCTGGCATCCTGTCTGCACTGGGTGCATGTATTAGTTAGCTATTGCAGCATAACAAACCATCCAAAACTTATTAGCTCATAATTGAAATGGTCAGCCATTTGGGCTGGGCTCAGTGGGGCCATTTCTCTAGTCTCAGCTGAGCATTTTTAGACATGTATCATCAGCTGCTTGTTGACTAAGCAGCTGTGTTTCTGGGAGTGAGCTTCTGCTTCTGGAGCTGTCAACAGGGGCAACTTTTTTTCTCCTTTCCATGGTATCTTATTCTCTGACTGGCCAACGTGGGTTTTTCCCATGGAGATGGCAGCATTCTGAAATAAAAACAGAAGCATTCAAGACCATTTGAGCCTGGGCCCCAAACTAGCCCACTGTCATGTCCACAGGTTTCTACTGCCCTGAGCAAGTACGACCCGCCAGATCTAGTGTTCAGAAAACAGATTCTGGATCTCAATGGAACAACTGTAAAAGCACCTGGCAATGGGCAAGAATACAGGAGGATGAAAAATTGCTACCATTTTGGTAATCATTATTATTCTGCCCTTTTTAATGTATGTGGTTTATAGAACTCTTCCACAGAAAGAAATTTGTCCAAAGACTAACGGCTACTAAGTGGCTGAGCTGAGATTCAGAATAAATTCTGACTTCAAAGCCCATGCACCACCATAGATAACAATATTACAGAATCTGCCCTAGTCCTTTGAAATCCTGGAGAGTGGAACTTCTACAATAGAGGACAGAGGTCCTTTAGATTCATGCCCATATGGTACTGTTTATTATTGAGAATAATTCTCTCAAGAAATTCCAGAAGCAGACGGTGGCTTAAACCTGTAATCATAGTACTTTAAGAGGCTGAAATGGAAGAATCACGTGAGCTCAGGAGTTCAAGTGCAGCTTTGGCAACATGGTAAAATCTTGTCTCCATGAAAAAAAAAAGTTTAAATTAGCCAGGCATAATGGTGCATGTCTGTAGTCCCAGCTACTCAGTTGGCTGGGGCAGGAAGATTGCTGGAGCCTGGAAGGTCGGGGCTGCAGTGAGCCATGATGGGTTACACCATTACACTTCAGCCTGGGTAATAGAGTGAGACCCTGTCTCAAAATAAATAAATAAATACAATAAATTACAGAAGCAATTTGAAAGGACATAAAATAATTTGGAAAAATAGCTAAGGATTGAGTTTATGAAATCAAAGCTGGCAGGGCATCGTGGCTTATGCCTGTAATCCCAGCACTTGGAGATGCCAAGGTGGGTGGATCACCTGAGGTGAGGAGTTCGAGACCATCCTGGCCAATCATGGAGAAACCCCATCTCTACTAGAAATACAAAACTATCTGGACATGGTGGTGCTCACCTGTACACCCAGCTACTTGGGAGGCTGAGGAAGGAGAATCATTTGAACCCAGGAGGCGGAGGTTGCCATGAGTGGAGATCCTGCCATTGAAGTCTAACATGGGTGGCAAGAGCAAAGCTCCACCTCCAAAAAAAAAAAAAAATCAAAGCCCAGCAACACATTATATATTTTTCATCATAGAAAAAATTTGGGCTGGGCACAGTGGCTCACACCTATAATCCCGGCACTTTGGGTGGCTGAGGTGGGTGGATCACCTGAGGTTAGGAGTTTGAGACCAGCCTGGCTAACATGGTGAAAGCTCGTTTCTACTAAAAATACAAAAAATCAGCCAGGCTTAGTGGCAAGTGCCTGTAACTCAGCTACTCGGGAGGCTGAGGCAGGAGAATTACTTGAACCCGGGAGGCTGAGGTTGCAGTGAACCAAGATCCTACTATTGCACTCCAGCTTGGGCAACAAGAGTGAAACTCCGTCTCAAAAAAAAAAAAAAAAAAAAAAGCCGAACAACACATTATATATTTTTCATCATAGAAAAAATTGGAAAACTTTTAAAAGAAAAAAAACTTTAGAGAAATAAAATTAAATTTAACAGAGTTTAAGTGAGCAATGAATAATTTGCAAATCAGGCAGACTGTGGATCCACAGTAGGCTCAGTGAGACTCCAGCACAGCCACATGGTAGAAAAATATTTATGGACAGACAAAGCAAAGTGACATTCAGATAATGAAAGTGAGGTACAGAAACAGCAAGATTGATTAAAGCCAGGAATTTGCCTTATTTGAACATGGTTTGAACAGTTGATGTCCTCTTATTGGCAACAACACAGCAGTTGGTACAAAAATGGATTCCAGTCTATTTACATATCCAATTAGATTTCCATTTACTATATATTAAAAAACCTATTAACCAAAATTAAACACAATAGGAAACAGCTTTAGGCTATAATTTAATAATTTTTCCCTTTTGGACATCTTCTCAATGTTGAGAAATAGACCAGAACTTTAGATAATGATATCACTCTGTTACCATAAAAAAAATGTACTTATTTAGGCTGGGCGTGGTAGCTCATGCCTGTAATCCCAGCACTTTGGGAGGCTGAGGCAGGCAGATCACCTGAGGTCAGGAGTTTGAGACCAGCCTGGCCAACATGGTGAAACCCCATCTCTACTGAAAATACAAAACTTAGCTGGGCATGGTGGTGAGCACCTCTAATCCCAGCTACTCAGGAGGCTGAGGCAGGAGAATCCCTTGAACCCAGGAGGCAGAGGTTGCAGTGAGCTGAGATCGTGTCATTGCACTCCAGCGTGGGTGATAAGAGTGAAACTTCATGTCAAAAACAACAACAACAAAAAGTACTTAATTAGTCTCAAATTCCACTTTAAAATAGCAGAACTGTGGATTTTGAAAAGTGGAAACAAAGACTTCAGGTTATTAGTTTTTTAAAGGATTACAGTAGAGGGGACCTCCTTGTGTTCAAATCTGCTGTTTACAAAAGAAAAGCAAAACCTGGCCTGTAGATTCTAAAGATCTTCCTATTTCCTTAAATTTTCAGTTTGATTGTGTCACATTTACCATGAGTGACTCCATTTGGTTTGGTTTGGTCTGTTTGGGCCTAGTGCACAAGCTTGGTCCAGAATGATGGCCTTCAATAATTTTGTTTAAAACATTTTCTCCTTTAGGTTAAGTTCTCACATAGGTCAAAGTGCGACCAAAACTCAGGGGTCTTATTGCCACTCTCAGTTTTTATTATTTTGGGTTTTTGTCCTTATAATGTCATTCATAGGTTATGGTGTCCCCATGGTCACATATGTCTTTGAGTTTTTTTTAATGCCAGTTAAAGAGAAACCATTCGGGCTGGGTGTGGTGGCTCGTGCCTGTAATCCCAGCACTTTGGGAGGCTGAGGTGGGTGAATCACAAGGTCAGGAGTTCAAGATCAAGCCACTGCACTCCAGTCTGGGTGGCAGAACAAGACTCCATCTCAAAAAAAAAAAAAAAAAAAAAAAGAGAGAGAGAGACCATTTGACATTCTAGAGATGACTACATGCAAACATTTATAACTTTTGAGAGAATACACTGCAAAAGGGAGACACTATTTTGACTATCACAACACCACACCCAGCTAATTTTGTATTTTTAGTAAAGATGGGGTTTCTCCATGGTGGTTTGACTGGCGAGAGCACACCTGAACAAAGGAGGGAAGCAATTTTTATCAGAAAAATAATACCACAACTTTTAAGTATGCTTTTTGGCCAGGGTTCCCATGAATAACCAACTGAAATTAAATAGATCAAATAGTTAACTAGACAAATGGCCTACTCATTTCAACCAGGCAGACTGTTCATTAATCCCCAACAACCGAATCTCTGTAATACTCAATGTATTTCTCCACATGCAACTACAAGTATTAGCAACTGCACAGATACTTCTCTTTTTATCCAGTAAGTAATCTAGAGAAATTCTATTATTTAGAACAAACTTAGGCGGAAAATTTAAAGTCTATAAATGTTATAAGTAAAATGTTTATTTAGAAACAGAATGCTTGTTCCTTGGTACCGCAAGGAAAAATTAACATTCAGACAAAAAATTGTCTCAGCAAGGCAATTTTACTTTCTGCAGAAAGGGTGCTCCCCAGATGGAACAATGGCAAGAGCACACCTGAACAAAGGAGGGAAACAACTTTTATCCCTTATGCAGCTTGTCCCTGCTACTGCATCCTGTCTCCATTAGATGGAGCTGGACCACACAATCTAAGCTAACCCAACTGGCTAATAATTTAAAACTTTCCTAAATAGGTAAAGGCAAGGGAGAACAAAGGAAAGGAGGAAGTTGTTTATGCCAGATAGGGAAGGGGCATAGGCTGTGAGCTGGAACGTGCCTGTGAACATGTCCAGCACAAATATCTTGGTTAAGGTACAAGGACATAGAATGTACTATGTGCCTGTGAGCATGTCTAGCAGCTACATAGGATAGGGCTTAACAAAGAGTTATTAGCACAAAGCAAGGAGGCTTGAAGGAAGTTAGTCTTTAAAAGAAACTATTACTTTTAATACTTACAAATTATTCTTTAACAAGAAGGGAAACTTTGAAGAGGAAACTTTTTACTTTCTACAATAGAGTATCCGTAATTCTTAGACTAGAATCTGCTATAGAGCCCTATTATGGGGGATAAATTTCTAACCATTGTCTCATTTACTCTAAACCACGGAAAAGAATAACCTACCAAGTGTGCTCATTCAGAAGAACAATGGCCTCCTGGCAATGCTCTTTATCCTATTCTGAATAAGTTCTCTTTAACTTGTAAAGTAAGTTAAGAGCAATGAACCAATATTCTGTTTCTGATGTTATGAAGCAACAAATGTCCCATTAAAATGTCTCACCCACATTGGCCCTTTATCTTTAATCTATCAAGGCATAAGTTTGTTCATAGATAAGGTTGACTGCAAAATCCTCTACATATAAAAATAAAACCCATGAGTGCACACAAGAGATCCCTTTTTTCTTTTTCTTTTTCTTTTTTTTTTTTTCTTTTTGAGACATAGTTTCACTCTTGTTGCCCAGGCTGAAGTGCAATGGCACGATCTCAGCTCACTGCAACCTCTGCCTCCTGGGTTCAAGTAATTCTCCTGCCTCAGCCTCCTGAGTAGCTGGGATTACAGGCACATGCCCCCACACCCAGCTGATTTTGTATTTTTAATAGAGATGGGGTTTCTCCATGTTGGTCAGGCTGGTCTTCAACTTCTGACCTAAGGTGATCCACATGCCTCAGCCTCCCAAAATGCTGGGATTACAGGCATGAGCCACTGTGCCAGCCTTTTATTTCTTTTGTTTGCAGAGGCAAAAAAACCAAAAACAAAACAAAAAAAAAAACCAAAAACAAAAAAAAAAAAAACAGACAAACAACAAACAGTGAACTAAGAGTGTCATGATAGCAGAAATGTCTTGATTTTTGATTTCGTGAAAATAGCAATCTACATCAAGGATGACATCTCCTTTTGAGGAGAAACATTCCTAGTTAGCTTTACCTTAAGATCTCCAATGGGTATAAAATTGTAAGAGTTTGGAGGTCTGCTTCAGAGTTGTGAGATTATGAACCCAAGGTTCAAGGTCCTGAAGTCTTACTGCAGTGTAGATGGCAAGCAGATTTAATCTCTGGGTTGTAGATTATAAAGACTTACTGTCCTCAGTCAGTAGACTGTTAAAAGGCTTTCTTTACCTGGTGAAAATATGCTTCATCATAATACATTAAAATCTTGCTGCATTTAGTCATACTAGACTTCAGTAACAGAAGATACAAGAGGATCTATTTTTAGGTGCATAGGCCTTCACCTATAGTCCAGTGACTATGAGGGTCAACACTTTTTTTTCACTCTAAGTGTATATGATTGTCATCAATCTGCAATTATGAAAGCAATCCAGTCAATGTAGTTAGCTTTTCTCATACTATTGTATCCATTATACCTTATTTAACATTTTGAAAACTTGCCTAGTGAAATAAGTATCTTTATCATTAGAGACTTTTTCAGAAATGTCCCATGAGAGAAACATTTCCTTATATCCTTTTAGCTACTGGTATAACAGCAGATTTCTAACATCAGAAAGCTTTTCTACTTTAAGAAAACATGTGTTATAAGGGACAATTCAATAAAATTTCTGTGTAAATGTTTAAATGGCCCATGGGATAGCAGAAAACATGCAGTTTTGATTGTTTTCTCATGTTTATATGTTTGACAAAAGAAAAATGTCATAACCTATTTTAATAATTTAGAATAGTCACCCCCCAACACACACAAACACACACACTTATTTTTTATTTATGTTTGTCTGTTTATTTATTTATTTTGAGACGGAGTGTTGCTCATTGCCCAGGCTGAAGTGCAGTGGCATGATCTCAGCTCACTGCAACCTCCACCACCCAGGTTCAAGCGATTCTCCTGCCTCAGTCTCCTGAGTAGCTGGGTTACAGGCTCCCGCAACCACATCCAGCTAATTTTTTGTAATTTCAGTAGAGATGGGGTTTCATCATGTTGGCCATGCTGGTCTCGAACTCCTGACCTCAGGTGGTCCACCTACCTTTGCCAAGACCAGCTCGGCTGGGGAGACCCTAACCCAGTGGCGCTAGAGGAATTAAAGACACACACACAGAAATATAGAGGTGTGAAGTGGGAAATCAGGGGTCTCACAGCCTTCAGGGCTGAGAGACCCAAAGAGAGATTTACCCACATATTTAATAACAGCAAACCAGTCATTAGCATTGTTTCTATAGATATTAAATTAACTAAAAGTATCCCTTATGGGAAATGAAGGAATGGGCCAAATTAAAGGAACAGGTTGGGCTAGTTAACTGCAGCAGGAACATGTCCTTAAGGCACAGATTGCTCATGCTATCGTTTGTGGCTTAAGAATGCCTTTAAGCAGTTTTCCACCCTGGGCAGGCCAGGTGTTCCTTGCCCTCATTCTCATAAACCCACAACCTTCCAGCATGGGCTTTAGGGCCATTATGAACATGTTATAGTGCTGCAGAGATTTTGTTTATGGCCAGTTTTGGGGCCAGTATATGGCCAGATTTTGGGAGGCCTGCTCCCAACATGTCCCCCTTCTCTGATTTGCAAATCGATAAAAGCAAAGGCAGCTTTGTCACAGTGAGCTACTTCCCGCAGGAGTCAGGATCCACATCTGCAGACTATACAAAGACAAACAACACAGATGAAAAGCACAATCATCATTGAAGTCACAGAGTTTTCAAGTGTTTTTATCCATTTTCAGCTCCTTTAAGTACTCCAGTTCCTGGCATTAAGGCCAGGTGTGCCTGGGATGCTTTAAATATTTGTTCTTTTAATTTTAAATCCTTATGTTAAGCTCCTTGAGTGGGCCATATCATTTGAATTTGAGGTGCCACTATACTGCCATGGTTCCAGATAATAGGAACTCTTGCTGTACTTCTTATTATATCTACCATCTGACCATTTTGTTCAGACCAGCTGAACATAGTGTGGGCCTGGCATGCAGACTGAGAGGTGGAATTCAAGCTAAACATCCCCTTAGGGGACCAATTAATAATGATTCCATAGGAATCATTGTGCAGCACCTCTGCCTGCTCTGCAATGCAATCTTCCTAAACTAGTAGGTTCATTTTTTCTAACTGGGTCCAATCCTGTTTACAAATAGGTTTTTGAGGGTGGTATGCCTCAATTATAGGAGCAGATTTATTATGGTAAATACTGAGATCAGAAAGCATGTGTAACTGTGTCATAAAGTGATTGCATCCAGGCATTATTGCCAGCCAAGACTGATAAATATAACCAATAAGTATAATTGTTCTCTGTGTCAGCCCTTATTGAAGGAATACTCACAGCAGTGGTGATAACCACTATCATAGCTACCATTAAATTATTCGTTGTGACTGGTTGTCTCGCTTTTCTCAGGTTTTTTTCTGCCATTTATGACAGCTTCTTGATTTGTCCCCAGGTGGGTGGCTGTGTTCAATGGGTGTTGCTCATGACAGTTGGGGTCCTCCTCAGCATCACTCTCAACATGGCTGCAACCGGGGGGTCCTCAGGATCCTCCCAGAGTCTTTTCCTTGGCATCTGGCTCATGATAAGGTTTCAGATGTCTTGATGGTATCCAAATTGGCTGTTGATTCAGTCCTGGAGAAACACAAGCATAACCTCTACTCCAAGTTATTATTTTACCTATTTCCCAACTTTTTGTTATTGGATCTCTCCACCAAATCAGTTGTTCTGCTTCTGTCTTTGCAACTGGTTTCTGTAGATGCTGTTCAGCTGCTGATAACATCTGGCCTTTGGGTAGGCTCAAAAAATTTAAAGTTAATAATGCTAGATTCAATTGCATCTGTGGGGTTTCATATTCTCTGTCTCCCTCTTTCTGCTTTTGCAACTGCTGTTTTAGGGAGAGATTCATTCTTTCCACTATGGCTTGTCCCTGAGAATTGTATGGGATACCAGTAATGTGTTTAATATTCCACATAGAGAAAAATGTAGGTAGAGCTTGGCTAGTATAGTCTGGGGCATTATCTGTTTTAATAGAAGCTGGAATGCCCATCACCGCAAAACACTGCAAAAGATGATGTTTAACACAGGCAGAAGACTCTCCTGTTTGGCATGTAGCCCAGACAAAGTGAGAAAAGATGTCCACACATACATGTACATAAGCTAGTCTCCCAAACAAGGGAACATGTGTGACATCCATTTGCCAAAGAGCTATAGGTTCCAATCCTCAAGGATTAACTCCTCCTGTAAAAGAAGAGGAATGTACCATTTGGCAAGTTGGGCATCACTGGATAATAGTTTTAGCTTCTTTCCAGGTAATGCTGTATCTGCGTTTGAGACCAGAGGCATTAGCATGGGTTAAATTGTGAAAATGTCTAGCATTAGATATTGCATTAGCAACTAGGCAATCAGCTATCTGATTCCCTTTAGTCAAAGGTCCTGGAAGAGGTGTATGAGCGAGCCCTAATGTGAGTGATGTAAAAAGGATGCAGTCTATTCCTAACTGCTGTTTGCAATTGGGTAAATAAAATCATCAGGTGTTAATCTGTATGAAATCATAACTGAGCATTTTCAATTAACTGTGTGGAATGAACCACGTATGAAGAATCAGAAATCACATTAATAGGCATATCAAAAGCAGTCAATACCTCAATTACAGCTACAAGCTCTGCTTTTGAGCTGAAGTATAGGGCATCTGGAAAACTTTACTTTTCGAGCCAGAATAAGGAGCTTTACAATTACTAGACCTATCTGTAAAAACATTCTCAGCACCTTCAATTTGTTTAAATTTAGTTATTTCAGGGAGAATCCAATTAGTTAATTTCAAAAACTGAAACAGCTCCATTTTAGGAAAATGATTATTGAGAATACCCACGAAGTCAGCTAAATGAGTTTGCCAAGTAAGACTATTTATAAAAGCTTGCTGTATTTGTGCATTCATGAGAGAGACAATAACTTTTCCAGGATCATATCCATGTAATTTAACAATCCGAGTTCTCCCAATTCCTATCATAGTTGCAATTTGATCTAAATAAGGAGTTAGAGTCCATGAATTAGTATGTGGAAGAAAAAGCCACTCTACTAAGTCCTGTTTTTGGATAATAACACCAGTAGGTGAATGCTGAGTTGAAAAAATTAGCAAATCTAGAGTCTTCTCTGGATCTATTCTATTTACTTGAGCTTTATGGACTTGCATTTTAATTAGTTGTAACCCTTCCTTAGCCTGCTTTGTTAATTGCCAAGGGCTAGTAAGACTAGGATTTCCTCTAAGGATAGAAAACAGATTACTTGTGGCATAGGTAGGAATGCCTAGAGCAAGTCGTATCCAATTAATGTCCCCTAGAAATTTTTGAAAGTCATTTAATGTTTTTAGTTGATCCCTATGTATGGTTACCTTCTATGGCACAATGGTAGTGTCATTTACTAAGGTCCCCAAGTAGGAGTAAGGAGTAGTAGTCTGAATTTTGTCAGGGGCTATAATTAAACCAGCATGAGGAGTCAAATTTTGCAAGTGACCATAATATTGGAATAATATTTCTCAAGTGGGGGCAGCACAAACTACATTATCCATATAGTGAATAATGTAACACTGTGAAAAATATTTTATGAGTAGGTTCAATTGCTTACCCCACATACGTCTGGCAAATTGTAGGACTGTTTAACATGCCCTGTGGCAACGCTTTCCAATGATAACACTTAGCAGGCTGCAGGTTGTTTATTGCAGGAATTGTAAAAGCAAACCATTCACAGTCTTGCTCAGCTAAAGGCATAGTAAAGAAACAGTCTTTTAAATCTAGGACTACTAAAGGCCAAGTTTTTGGAATTATAGCAGGAGAAGGCAATCCTGGCTGTAATGCTCCCATAGGTTGTATAACTGAATTGATGGTTCTTAAGTCAGTTAACGTTCTTCATTTACCTGATTTTTTTCCTAATTACAAAAACTGGAGAATTCCAAGGAGAAAATGTTGGAGCTATGGGCCCATTTTCTAATTGTTCAGTAACTAATTTCTCTAAAGCCTCCAGTTTCTCTTTATTTAGCAGCCATTGTTCTATCCAAATTGGCTTATCTGTTAACCATTTTAAAGGTATAGGTTCTGGAGGCTTAACAATGGCCACCATCAAAAATGATATCCTAATCTTTGGCAGAAATTTTGTCTTCCACTTGAAGCCGTTCTTTCAAACCTTGCAAAATTTTTTCCAGTCCCATGCCAGGGACATACCCCATTTCATGCATTGTATGTTGACTTTGAGGGCTATATAATTTTTCTGGAATTAGAATGTGTGCTCCCCGTTGTTGTAATAAATCTCTTCCCCATAAAATTATAGGTATAGAAGTAATAATTGGTTGAATAGTCCCAGGTTGTCCATCGGGCCCTTCACAATGCAAAATATAACTACTTTGATATACTTCAGGGGCTTTACCAACTCCAACTATGTTAAATTGAGTGGGTTGAATTGGCCACAAGGATGGCCAGTGCTGTAGAGAAATGATTGAAACATCTGCTTCTGTATCTATCAAACCTTTAAATTTCTTTCCCTGAATAGTTATTTCACAGGTAGGACATTTATCAGTAATTTGATTTACCCAATACGCTGCTTTGCCTTGTTTATTTGTGCTTCCAAATCCTCTTTTTCATTTAGTTTCACTTTTTCCCATTCCCACATATGGCACAATCAGGAGCTGTGCTATACACTCTCCTGGCTCTGCTTTCCAGGGAACAGAAGTAGATACAACAATTTGAATTTCCCCATTGTAATCTGAATCAATGACTCCTGTATGTATTTGTATGCCTTTTAAACTTAAACTAGACCTTCCTAAAAGTAATCCTATTGTCCCCACTGGCAAGGTTCCACAGACTGCTGTTGGGACCTTTTGCGGGGGTTGCCCAGGCAGAAGGCTCACAGGTTTCATGCAGCATAAATCTACTGTGGCAGTACTGGCTATGGCAGGGGACAGACATTGTACGGGGGTGACGGAATGGCCTGAGCTGGAAATACCCCCTTTTAGAACGGGGCCTGGGAAGGGCCCCTCATGGCGTTTCCTGAAATTGGGTTCCCTTCTTTATCAAACTTAGAGTGACATTGATTAGCCCAATGTTTTCCTTTTTTACATTTTTGACATATTTCAGGATCAGCAATTTTCTTTTTTCCCCTATCTGGCGGCCTGACTTCTACATTCCTTTTTAGTATGACCATGCTTCCCACAGTTAAAACAAGCTCCAGAAAATGGATTTATTTCCTTTATCCACTCTCAGTCCTGCCATTGCCTGTTCTACCAGAGTAGCTTTATGCAGATTACCTCTAATACCATCACTGGCCTTGATATAATCAACTAAATGTGCTTTCCCTCTGATAGGTCACAGAGCAGCCTGGTAATCGGGATTAGCATTGTCAAAAGCTAATAAGTGCAACACTATATCCTGAGTAGCCAAATCTGCAATCATCTTTTTAAGAGACTCCTGTAACCGAGCTATAAAATCAATGTATGGTTTTCTTGGTCCCTGTTTTATAGCACTAAAGGAAGGGTATTTTTCCCCACTTGAAGTGATTTTTTTCCCAAGCTTTAATGCACACTCCTCTAAGCTGTTCTATGGCATCATCCTGCATGACCAGTTGTGCATCTAAACCAGCCCAGCCGCCAACCCCCAAAAGTTGGTCTGAGTTATATCAATTTGAGGATGGGCCTGGCCATTGTTAGCAGCCTGAATGGAAGCTTCATCTGCCCACCAAGTTTTCAATTGTAAGAACTGAGCAGGAGTTAGACAAACTCAAGTAAGAGTGTCCCAGTCAGTAGGAATCATCTGACTGGAAACAGCAACATTCTTTACAGTTGTTACATTACAAAACAGTCCCATTACAAAAGGAGAACCTGGTCCATACTGATTAATAGCTTCTTTAAATTATTTGAGTAATTTAAAAGGAAAAGGCTCAAATGTAGCCGTAATATTTCCCTGTTGATCTGGGGGGTGTATTCTAACAGGGAACTGCCAAGCCTCTAAATCAACCTCTCGTCTAGCTTGCTGAATTCCTGCCTGAATAGAACTAAGAGTGGTCACTCGAGGCGCTGTTTGAACAGTCACTGGGGCAACTACTTTTCATCCAGTGTCCTCTGGAAAAGAAAGATCTGGAGGGTCTTTTTCTTCAAAATAATAAGGAGGGTGTGCAGAAGGGTAGGGATGAACCTCTCCTTCCTTTGCCGCTTTCTCTTTAGCTGGTAAATAAACATGCTCTGTAACCTCTTCTGTTACTTTGCTGTACTCTCGTTCCTCCTCATTAGTGTGAAAAAGTTCCAAAGTGAAACGAACCAGACCCCACACCTGTCCTATTTTTACCCTGATGCTTCTGAGCTCCCCCTCTTACTCACCACGGGGATTGCTTTAAGAGTACTCAGGTGTCCTCCAGTTAGTTCTCCATTCCAAAGATTGCTCCAGTGACCCTTTGACCTGGATTCGAGCCCCAATGATGGATGCCACTTGCCGAGACCAGCTGGGTGGGGGAGACCCTAAGCCAGTGGTGCTAGAGGAATTAAAGACACATGCACAGAAATACAGAGGTATGAAGTGGGAAATCAGGGGTCTCACAGCCTGCTGAGAGCCCCAAACAGAGATTTACCACATATTTATTAACAGCAAACCAGTCATTAGCATTGTTTCTATAGATATTAAATTAACTAAAAATATCCCTTATGGAAAATGAAGGGATGGGCCAAATTAAAGGAACAGGTTGGGCTAGTTAACTGCAGCAGGAGCATATCCTTAAGGCATAGATCACTCATGCTATTGTTTGTGGCTTAAGAATGCCTTTAAGCAGTTTTCCACCCTGGGTGGGCCAGGTGTTCCTTGCCCTCATTCCGGCAAACCCACAACCTTCCAGTGTGGGCGTTAGGGCCATTATGAACATGTTATTTTGCTGCAGAGATTTTGGTTATGGCCAGTTTTGGGGCCAGCATATGGCCAGATTTTGGGGGGCCTGCTCCCAACATGCCTTGGCCTCCCAAAGTGCTGGGATTACAGGCATGAGCCACTGCACCCGGCCCTATATTTATTTATTTATGTTTTCTTTTTGAGATGGAGTTTCACTCTTGTCACCCAGGCTGGAGTGCAATGGTGTGATCTCGGCTCACTGCAACTTCCGCCTCCCAGGTTCAAGTGATTCTCCTCCTTCAGCATCCTGAGTAGCTGGGATTATAGGTGCCCACCACCATGCCTGACTAACTTTTGTATTTTTAGTAGACATGTGGTTTCACCATGTTTGCCAGGCTGGTCTCAAACTCCTAACCTCAGGTGATCTGCCCACCTTGGCCTTGCAAAGTGCTGGGATTACAGGCGTGAGCCACCATGCCCAGCCTAATTTATATTTAATTTAGATTATTTTATCTCATCTGTGATATGTAATGGAATACAGCACTTTCAATAACGGAAGCTATAAGAACTCAGGAATAAACAAGGGGCTGTTGGCTTTCTAGGTTTTCCATGAGTCCACACTTAACATAAAATTTATTTCCTCTTAAATACTAGGCTTTGTTTCTCCAATTTAGTTGCATTGCACTGATAACTGTCATAGGTAATTGACTTAAACCACAGGGTTTATTCAAATGACATATCTGAAAAATTCAGTACTAGCTGATTTACCATAAATATGAGACAGAGTATTTTCAAAATATTTAATTAATATTTATTTTGCCTGGGTTATAAATTTTATGAGTCAGTCTCTTCATTAGAACTCACATAATCCTTACCCAGTCCAAACAATATGATCCTCAAATTATCAGAAACCTGTACTCAATTTTTCTGGGCCATTTTTATCTTTTCATAAACCTTCTTAAAGACACAATACTCTAGAATTTTGCATGCTTTTGAAGTTTTTAGAAACTATATCAGAATTAACCTGTTAACTGTAGAAATGACTTGAAATGGTTATAAAGGAACAAATGAAAAGAAGTTCATTATATCTGTGGCCTACAATAATTTATCATAATAGCCATAATTATGACTAATAGCATATACTCAGGTATATTAGATTTTTAGAAATTGTAGGCCAGGTGTGGTGGCTCATGCCTCTAATCCCAGCACTTTGGGAGGTCAAGGTTGGTGGATCATGAGGTCAGGAGATCAAGACCATCCTGGCCAACATGGTGAAACCACATCTCTACCAAAAATACAAAAAAAAAATAGGTAGGCATGGTAGCATGCACCTGTAGTCCTAGCTACTTGGGAGGCTGAGGCAGGGGAATCGCCTGAACCCAGGATACAGAGGTTACAGTGAGCCAAGATTGCACCATTTCACTCCAGCCTGGGTGACAGAGCAAGACAAAAAAAGAAAGAAAGAAAGAGAGAAAGGGGGTAGGGAGGGAGGGAGGGAGGATGTATACAATTTTGGAATACATTTTTTTGTTTGTTTGTTTGTTTTGTTTTGTTTTTAGAGACAGAGTTTGGTTCTGTCACCCAGTCTAGAGTGCAGTGGCGTAATCTCGGCTCACTGAAAGCTCCACCTCCCAGGTTCACGCCATTCTCCTGCCTCAGCCTCCCAAGTAGCTGGGACTACAGGTGCCTGCCACCGCACCCAGCTAATATTTTGTATTTTTAGTAGAGATGGGGTTTCACCATGTTAGCCAGGATGTTCTCAATCTCCTGACCTCGTGATCCACCTGCCTTGGCCTCCCAAAGTGCTGGGATTACAGATGTGAGCCACCGCGCCTGGCCTTTTGGTTTTTATTTTTGAGACGGAGTTTTGCTCTGTCACCAGGCTGGAGTGCAGTGGCTCACTGCAACCTCCACCTCCTGGGTTCCAATGATTCTTCTGCCTCAGCCTCCCGAGTAGCAGGGACTGCAGGCATGCATCAACATACTCAGCTAATTTTTTGTATTTTAGTAGAGACAGGGTTTCACCATATTGGCCAGAATGGTCTCTATCTCCTGACCTCATGATCCACCTGCCTCAGCCTCCCAAAGTACTGGGATTACAGGCTTGAGCCACCACACCCAGCCTTTGGACTAAATATTAATAACATTTATTAAAATAAAAGTTTGATCAAACATTTTTAATTTAACAATGTTTTCCATTTAATTTACCATATCAGATAATTCTGTTCTTCACTCTTTGGGATGCTGCGTTGGCCCTCTGTAACATCCAAAACTTTGGGATTAAAAAAAAGACAATTTTTTAGCTGAAATGTGATTTTGTGAAGCTTGTCAAATATGTCAAAGGGTTGCCAGGCATGGTGACTCATGCCTGTAATCCCAGCAGTTTGGGAGGCTGAGGTGGGTGGATCATGATGTCAGGAGTTCAAGACCAGCCTGGCCAAGATGGTGAAACCCCATCTCTACTAAAAATACAAAACTTAGCCAGGCGTGGTGACAGGCACCTGTAATCCCAGCTACTCAGGAGGCTGAGGCAGGGGAATTGCTTGAATCCAGGAGGCATAGGTTGCAGCGACCTGAGATCATGCCACTGCACTCCAGCCTGGGTGACAGAGCGAGACTCAGTCTCAAAAAAAAAAAAAAAAAAAAGTCAAAGGGTTAAAATGCTTTACCAAAATAGGATCACATGGCACCATAAAATAATAGTCATTCACTTAAAAATGTGATAATAAAAGGATTTTAAAAAACAAAACCATTACCACTTGATATAAGAGATTGAGTTTTCCAATTAAAACACCTGAGAAAGACAGCATGAAAAAATTCTATCTCTACTTTCTTTGTTTTCAAATTTGTTCAAAAAGTGAACAAAAATATTTTACTTTGTCATATTATTAATACATAAGACTTTTGTTCCAGAGAAAATCAATTTCTAGTTTTGTATTAGTGTATTATCTATACTAAAGCTCATTTTAATAAAACTTTATAAATAAATCCACCAAATTTGTCACTTTTGACCACTCTAGATTTCCATACATGTTTTACAATCTTTTATAGTTAATTCTTTAACTTTTTATATTCTGTCTCTATTCTTTTTATTTTTTCATTTTTCAACAATCTCTAATTTCAAACTTATCGGGGGAACCAGCCCCCAATATTTCCATGTATGTTCTTTTCTATTTTCCTTAAGTGTCAGCCAGTCTGAGAAATAAACAGAAAGAGTACAAGGAGAGAAATTTTACAGCTGAGCCTCTGGGGGTGTCATGACATATTGGTAGGACTGTGATGGCGACCTCGAGCTGCAAAACCAGCAAGTTTTTATTAGGGATTTTAAAAGGGGAGAGGGTGTACAAACAGGGAGTAGGTCATAAGGATCACATACTTCAAAGGGCAATAAAGATCACAAGGCAAGGCAAATTAGAATTCCTGATGAAGGTCTATGCCCCACCGTGCACACATTGTCTTGATAAACATCTTAACAGGAAACAGGGTTCAAGAGCAGAGAACCGGTCTAACTAGAATTTAGCAGGCTGGAATTTCCCAATCCTAGTAAGCCTGAGGGTACTGCAGGAGAACGGGGCATATTTCCGTCCTTATCTCAACCACATAAGACAGACACTCCCAGACTGGCCTTCTATAGACCTACCCCCAGGAAGGCATTCCTTCCCCAGGGTTATCAATTATTAATATTCCTTGCTGGGAAAATAATTCAGTGATACTTCTCCTATTCACACATCTGTCTATAGGCTCTCTGCAAGAAGAAAAATATGACTGTATTCTGCCCAACCCCACAGGCAGTCAGACCTTATGTTTATCTTCCCTTGTTCCCTGAAAATTGCTGTTATTCTGTTCTTTTTCAGGGTGCACTGATTTCATATTGTTCAAACACACATATTTTACAATCAATTTGTACAATAGTGGTCCTGAGGTGACGTACATTCTCAGCTTATGAAGATAACAGGATTAAGAGATTAAAGTAAAGACAGGCATAAGAAATTATAAGAGCATTATTAGGGAAGTGATAAATGTCCATGAAATCTTCAGAATTTATGTTCAGAGATTGCAGTAAAGACAGGCATAAGAAATTATAAAAATATTAATTTTGGGAACTGACAAATGTCCATGAAATCTTAACAATTTATGTTCTTCTGCCTCAGTTCCAGCTGGTCCCTCTGTTCAGGGTCTCTGACTTCCCACAACACAAACTAGAGGAAACTTTCCCAATTTTTTTATCAAAAAGTAGTTTTTACTTGTCTATACATTCTATGCAGAGTTGTTTTTCTTACATCTAGTAGTTTTAATTACATACGTTAATTACATTAACTCTGAACAACCAAATTTTTAGTGAAATCTCAAGGAAGTAATTTTGAACAGTTTCATATCAGTATTTGTGACAAAAACAATTTTATATTTTTTAAAAAAGACGATTTTCTCAAATTTTCTGTTAACTAACAGATCTAAATCTATTTAGTTTTTTAAACATCATATAAAAATAAGATTCCAGTAAATCATGGTGTCTCACACTTGTAATCCCAGCACTGTGGGAGGTCAAGACATGAAGACTGTTTAAGCCCAGAAGTTTGAGACCAACCTGGGCAACATAGTGAAACCCACGTCTACAAAAGATACAAAAATTAGTTGGGCATAGAGCCCTCCACCTGGAGTACAAGCTATTCAGGAGGCTAAGGTAGGAGGATTGCCTGAGCCTAGGAGTTTGAGGCTACAGTGAACCATGATGGAGCCACTACACTCCCTCCAAAGTCACAGAGTGAGACACTTTCTTAAACAAAAAAATGCTAATGTATATAAACTTAAACTTATGGGTTTCTTTGCTCTTATTATTTTAATAGTTATTGGGGTACAGGTGGTGTTTGCTGGTGATTTCTGAAATTTTGGTGCACTCATCACCTGAGCAGTGTACATTGTATTCAATGTGTAGTCTTTTATTCCTCACCCTCTCCCATCCTTCTCCTCAAGTCTCTAGAGTCCATTATATAATTCATATGTCTTTACAGCCTCATAGCTTAGCTCTCACTTATAAGTGAGAACATACAATGTTTGGTTTTCTATTCCTGAGTTACTTCACTTGGAATAATGGTTTCCAACTCCATCCATGTTGCTGCAAATGCCATTATGTTGTTTCTTTCTATGGCTGAGTAGTATTATGTATACCACATTTTCATTGTTTACTCATTGGTTGATGGGCATTTAGGCTGGTTCCATATCTTTGCAATTGCCAATTGTGCTGCTATAAATATGTGTGTTATAAGTTTCATTTTGTTGTTGTTGTTTTTTTTTGAGATACAGTTTTGCTCTTGTTGCTCAGGCTGGAGTGCAATGGCGCGATCTTGGTTTACTGCAACCTCCGCCTCACCAGCTCAAGCAATTCTCCTGCCTCAGCCTCCCGAGTACCTAGGATTACAGGCATGTGCCACCATGCCTGGCTAATTTTTTATTTTTAATAGAGATAGGGTTTCTCCATGTTGGTCAGGCTGGTCTCTAACTCCCAACCTCAGGAGACCCACCCACCTTGGCCTCCCAAAGTGCTGTGGTTACAGGCGTGAGCCACCGTGCCAGGCCCACAAGTTTCATTTTTATGTGACTTCTTTTTCTGTGTATAGATACTCAGTAGTGGGACTGCTGAATAAAATATTAGTTCTATGTTTAGTTCTTTTAAGAATCTCCATACTGTTTTTTTATAGTGGTTGCACTGGTTTACATTCACATCAAAAGTGTAAAAGTGGTTTTTTTTTTAACCACATCCATGCCAATGTCTATTTTTTTGTTTTGTTTTAATTATGGCCATTCTTGGCAGGGCACAATGGCTCATGCTTGTAATCCCAGCACTTTGGGAGGCTGAGGTAGGTGGATCAATTGAGGTCAGGAGTTCAAGACCAGCCTGGCCAACATGGTGAAACTCCATCTCTAAAAATATATGAAAATTAGCCAGGTGTGGTGGTAGGTGCCTGTAATCCCAGCTATTCGGGAGGCTGAGGCATGAGAATTGCTTGAACCTGGGAGGCGGAGATTGCAGTGAGCCGAGATCGTACTGCACTCCAGCCTGAGCAATAGAGCAAGACTCAAGTCCCAAAAAAAAAAAGAAAGAAAGAAAGAAAGAAAAGGCTGGGCACGGTGGCTCACACCTGTAATCTCAGCACTTTGGAAGGCCGAGGCAGGTGGATCACGAGGTCAGGAGATCAAGACCATCCTGGCTAACACGGTGAAACCCTGTCTCTACTAAAAATAAAAAAACAAAAAAAATTAGCCAGGCGTTGTGGTGGGCACCTGTAGTCCCAGCTACTCGGGAGGCTGAGGCAGGAGAATAGCATGAACCCGGGAGACAGAGCTTGCAATGAACCGAGATCGCGCCACTGCACTCCAGCCTGGGTGACAGAGCGAGACTCCATCTCAAAAAATAAAAAATTATGGCCATTCTTTTTTTTGACATGAGGTTTCACTCTTGTTGCCCTGGAGTGCAATGGCATAATCTGGCTACTCTTACAGGAGTAAGGTGGTATTGCATCGTGCTTTTGATTTACATTACAAATCAAAGTCCCATTTATTTATCTTCACTTAATTGTATTTGCTTTTGGGTTCTTGGTCATGAAGTCTTTGCCTAAGCCAATGTCTACAAAAGTTTTTCTGATGTTATCTTCTAGAATTGTTAGTTACAGGTCTTAGATTTAAGTCTTTAATTCATCTTGAGTTGATTTTTCTATGAGAGATGAAGATCCAGTTTTATTCTTCTACATGTACCTTGCCAATTATCCCAGCATTATTTGTTGAATAGGGCATTCATTTCCCACTTTGTGCTTTTGTTTACTTTGTCAAAGATCAGCTGGCTGTTAGTATTTGGCTTTATTTCTGGGTTTGTTATTCTGTTCCATTGCTCTATGTGCCTATTTTTATAACAGTACCATGATGTTTTGGTAGCTACAGCCTTGTAGTACAGTTTTAAGTTGGGTATTGTGATGCTTCTAGATTTTTGTTTGTTTGTTTGTTTTGCTTAGTTTTACTTTGGCTATGCGTGCTTTTCTTTGGTTCCATAAGAATTTTATAATTGTTTTTTCAAGTTCTGTGAAGAATGATGTTATTCTGATGGGAATTGCCTTGAATGTGTAGATTGCTTTTGGTAGGTTGGTCATTTTTAAAGTATTTACTCTACCCATCCATGAAAGTCAGATGTTTTTCCATTTGTTTGTGTCATCTGTGATTTCTTTCAGTAGTGTTTTGTAGATTTTCTTTTAGAGACTTTTCACTTCCTCGGTTAGGTATATTTATTTATTTATTATTATTATTATTTTTTTTTTGAGATGGAGTTTCGCTCTCGTTGCCTAGGCTGGAGTGCAATGGCATGATCTCGGATCACCCCGATCTCCACCTCCCAGGTTCAAGCGACTCTCCTGCCTCAGCCTCCCAAGTAGCTGAGATTACAGGCATGTGCCACCATGCCCAGCTAATTTTGTATTTTTAAAAGAGACGAGGTTTCTCCATCTTGGTCAGGCTGGTCTTGAACTCCCGACCTCAGTTTATCTGCCTGCCTAGGCCTCCCAAAGTGCTGGGATTACAGGCATGAGCCACCATGCCCTGCCACGGTTAGGTATATTTCTGATTATTTTATTTTATTTTTTGCAGCTGTTGTTAAAGACTTTGTGTTCTTAATTTGATTCTCAGCTTGGTGGCTGTTGGTGTATAGCAGTGCTACCAATTTGTGTACATTGACTTTGTATCCTGAAACGTTACTGTATTTATTTGTCACATCTAAAAGCTTTTCGGGTGAGTCTTTAGGGTTTTCTAGGTATATGATCTTATCATCAGTGAACAATAACATCTTCACTTCCTCTTTACCAATTTGGATGTCCTTTATTTCTTTGTCTCATCTGAATGTTCTGGCTAAGACATCCTGTACTATGTTGGATAGAAGTGGTGAGAGTGGCCATCCTTTTCTTGTTTCAGTTCTCAGGGGGAATGCTTTCAGCTTTTCCTTGTTCAGTATATTGCTGGCTGTGGGTTTGTCATAGATGACTTTTATTCCCTTAAGGTATGTCTCCTCTATGCTGATTTTGCTGAGGGTTTTAATCATTAAGGGATGCTGAATTTTGTCAAAAGCTTTTTCTGTATCTATTGAGATGGTCATACAATTTTTGTTTTTAATTCAGTTTATGTGGTGTATCACATTTATTGACTTATGTACATTAAACCATTCATCCATCTCTGGTAGGAGATGCATTGTATCATTGTGTATTATCTTTTTAATATGCTATTGTATTTTGTTGGCTAGTATTTTGTTAAGAATTTTTACATCTATGATCATCAGGAATATTGGTGTGTAGTTTTCTTTTCTTGTTATGTTTTTTCCTGGTTTTGGTATTAGGGTGATATTGGCTTCATGGAATGATTTAGAAATAATTCTTTCCTACTCTATTTTTTTGAATAGTTTAAGTAGAATTGGTACCAATTCTTGTTTAAATGGCAGGTAAAATTCAGCTGTGACTCCATTTGGTCCCAGAGTATTTTTTGTTGGCAATTATTTCAATCTTGCTACTTGTTATTGATCTGCTCAGAGTTTCTATTTCTTCCTGGTTTACTCCAGGAGAATTGTATATTTCCAGAAATGTATTCACCTCTTCTAGGTTTTCTAGTTTGTGCATTTCATAATATTCATAGTAGCCTTAAATAATGTTCTGTGTTTCCGTGGGATTGCTTGTAATATATCCTGTTTTGTTTCAAATTGAGTTTATTTGAATCTTCTCTCCTTTCCTTGGTTAATCTCGCTAATGGCCTATCAATTTCATTTATATTATCAAAGAATGAACTTTTTTCATTTATCTTTTGAAATTTTTGTTTCAATTTCATTTAGTTCTGCACTGATCTTTGTGATTTATTTTTCTGCTGGGTTTGGGTTTAGTTTGTTTTTGTTTCTCTAGATTCTAGAGGTATGAGCTTAGATTTTTAAATTTGGGCTCTTTCAGACTTTTTGATATAGGCATTGTTATGAACATTCCCTTTAGCACTGCTTTTGCTGTATTCCAGAAGTTTTGATAAGTTTTGTCACTGTTATCTTTCAGCTCAAAGAGCTTTTATATTTCCGTCTTGATTTTATTGTTGAGCAAATGATTATTCAGGAAAAGATTATTTAATTTCCATGTATTTGTATAGTTTTGAGGGTTCCTTTCATAGTTGATTTCCAGTTTTATTCCACTGTGATCTGAGCGAGTACTTGATATAATTTCAATTTTCCTAAATTTATTGAGACTTCTTTTGTGGCCTATCACATGGTCTATCTTGGATAATGTTTCATGTGCTGATAAAAAATACACATTCTGCAGTTGTTGGGTAGAATGTTCTGTAAATATGTGTTAAGTCCATTTGTTCTAGGGTATATTTTAAGTTTATTGTTTCTTTGTTGACTTTCTGTCTTGATTATCTGTCTACTGCTGTCAGTGGAGTATTGAAGTCCCCTACTATAAATGTGTTGCTGTCTATCTCATTGCATTTTTTTCTTTCTTTTTTTTTTTTTTTTTTTTGAGATGGAGTCTCACTCTTGTTGCCCAGGCTGGAGTGCAATGACACGATCTCAGCTCACTACAACCTCTGCCTCCCAGGTTCAAGCAATTCTCCTGCCTCGGCCTCCTGAGCAGCTCGGATTTCAGGCACCCGCCACAACCCCCAGCTAATTTTTTTTTTTTTTTTTTTTTTGTACTTGAGATGGAGTCTTGCTCTTGTTGCCCAGGCTGGAGTGCCATGGCACGATCTTGGCCCACTGTAACCTCCGCCTCCTGGGTTCAAGTGATTCTCCTGCCTCAGTCTCCTGAGTAGCTGGGATTACAGGCACCCACCACCACGCCTGGCTAATTTTTTGTATTTTAGTAGAGACGGGGTTTCACCATGTTGGCCAGGCTGGTCTTGAACTCCTGACCTCAAGTGATCCACCTGCCTCGGCCTCCCAAAGTGTTGGGATTATAGGCGTGAGCCACCACACCCAGCCAACTAATTTTAGTATTTTTACTAGAGACGGGGTTTCACCATGTTGGCCAGGCTGGTCTCCAACTCCTGACATCAGATCATCCACCCGCCTCGGCATCCCAAAGTGCTGGGATTACAGTCGTGAGCCACCTCTCCCGGCTTAAAGTTTTTTTTCTTTAAAAGTTTTCAAACATTTGCTATGATGAAAAATAAATAATGTGCTGTTCAGCTTTGATTTTTTTTTTTTTTTTTTTTTGAGAGAGAGTCTCGCTCTGTTGCCAGGCTGGAGTTCAGTGGCACGATCTCGGCTCACTGCAACCTCTGCCTCCTGGGTTCAAGCGATTCTCCTGCCTCAGCCTCCTAAGTAGCTGGGACTACAGGCGCCCGCCACCACGCCCAGCTAATTTTTGTATTTTTAGTAGAGATGGGTTTCACCAGGTTGGCCAGGATGATCTCAATCTCTTGACCTCGTGATCCGCCCACCTCGGCCTCCCAAAGTGCTGCGATTACAGGCATGAGCCACCACGCCCGGCCTCAGCTTTGATCTTCTAAACTCATCCTTCATCTTTTCCAAAAATTATTCCATGTCTTTTCAAAATGCTTCTCCAGTTTTGTTTTTTTTTTTCTTGAAACAGGGTCTCACTCTATCACCCAGTTTTGCTTGCAATGGTGTAACCAATCATGGCTCACTGCAGCCTGGACCTTCCAGGCTCAAGCAATCCTCCTGCCTCTGCCACCTAACTAGCTGCAGCTACAGGCATGCACCACCATGGCTGGCTAATTTCTTCATTTTTGTCATGAAAACAAACTCTTATTATGTTACTCAGGTTGCACTGGAACTCCTGCGCTCACATAATTCTCCCATCTCAGCCTCCCAAAGTGCTAAAAATATAGGTGTGAGCCACTGTGTTCTTCTGCAAATTTTTTTTTTTTTTTAATACAGAGGCTGGCTCTGTTGCCCAGGCTGGAGTGCAGTGGCACGATCTCAGCTCACTGCAACCTCTGCCTCCCCAGTTCAAGTAATTCTCCTGTCTCAGCCTCCTGAGTAGCTGGGATTGCAGGTGCACACCACCACGTCTGGCTAATGTTTGTATTTTTAGTAGAGACAGGGTTTCACCATGTTGGTCAGGCTGCTCTGGAACTCCTGACCCCATGATCCACCCACCTTGGCCTCCCAAAGTGCAAGGATTACAGGCATGAGCCACTGCACGTGGCCTCTTCTGCAATTTCTTAAGAGGATTATTTCCAGTGATAAACAGTAGTATATGAACACAAACCTAAAAGGAATCTGACTTATTCTGTAGAAGTGTCACTCTCCAGGATTTCAAGGGTCTAGGGCAGGGCAGCTACTTTAGTAGTATGATCTATGGAGGTGCATGGGCTTTGGCGTCAGATAAAGTTGATCCTGAGTCTTATTCCAGTCACTTAGTACTCGTGGGTCTTTGGACATGTTTGTTGATGTGGAGAAGCTCTATATACCACATATGCAAAAAAGGTAGACTGATACTGATTGCAAAATGGCAGCAATTTTTCTGCCCTCTTGTATCTATGCCCATTGTCAGGTGCTTTTACAGCTGTTTCCATCAAGATCCAGAATCTGTCTTCTAAACCCTAGATCTGGCTGGCCTTATTTGCTCAGGGCAGTAGAAACTTGTGAACATGACAGTGGGCTAGTTTGGGGCCCAGGCTCAAATGGTCTTGAATACTTCTGTTTTTTGTTCAGAATGCTGCAATCTCCATGAATAAAGCCCATGTTAGCAAGCTTAAAAATAAGATACCATGAGGAGGAGAAGCAAGGTGCCCCTGTTGAGCCCCAGAAGCAGAAGATCACCCCCAGAAGTACAGCTGGCTAGTCAACAAGCAGCTGATGATACCAGTCTGAAAGAGCTCAGCTGATACCAGAAGAACGGCCCCACTCACCCAGCCTAAATGGCTGATCATCTTAATTATAAACTAGTAAGTTTTGGATGATTTGTTATGCTGCAATAGCTAACTAATACATGCACCAGTGCAGATAGGATGCCAGGATTCAGTGACAGGTTGATTACTTGTTGCCTTCTAACAGTGGGCACCCTCTAGGTACTGATTTCTTCCCCTAATTTAAAGTTGGATGTCTTGAAAGAGAATGTTGGGTAATGCAGAAATACTGGGAGACATGTATGCATGTGATTGGTGTTTATATTCGCACAGTCCCCACACCACAGGAGAAAACAGATAACCACAGCCTCGCAATTAGGGTCAAGGCCAAATAGCAAAATAAGTTTGCCTTTAATCTATTTTCTCTGTATCTAAACACTGGAGTCCAAGAATGTGGGCAGAACTGAAGACACAGAGTTTTTTTCTCCTAAGCTCCATCATCCTATGTTCACAGCCTAATCTCTAAAAGAAAGGTGGGCAACAGGTGGTAAGCAGTGGTTTACCTGTGGTTATTTTATTTCTGCTGCCCTCAGCTCTTTCTATGGCCACTATCTGTTCCAACCTCAGAACTGAAGATAGATGTTAGTAGGGAGAGGCCCTTCCTTCCCCTCTGGCCCTTCACACCATTGACATCAGAGCTGCCATGTGTGGCTCCTGGGTGCCTGGAATGTGCTTGGTCTGAACCGCGATATGCTAGAAAGGTAAAACACAGAGTTATTTTCAAAAATTTAGTTGCAAATATTTATATACTTCATTAATAATTACATATTCCTCACACATTAAAATGATATTTTGTATATATTAGGTTAATTACATTGTTACAATCAATTCAACCTGTTCCTTGTTATTGTTGTTGTTGTTGTTGCTGTTGTTGCAGTCTGTCACTAGGCTGGAGTGCAGTGGCGCAATCTCGGCTCACTGCAACCTCTGCCTCCCGGGTTCAAGCGATTCTCCTGCCTCAGCCTCCCCAGTAGCTGGGATTACAGGCATGCGCCACCACGCCTGGCTAATTTTTATATTTTTTTCAGTAGAGACAGGGTTTAGCCATATTGCCAGGAGGGTCTCAATCACTTGATCTCGTGATCCACCAGCCTCGGCCTCCCAAAGTGCTGGGATTACAGGCGTGAGCCACTGCGCGTGGCCTCTTGTTTCTTTATATTTTTCACCCCCCAAAACGGAGTCTCGCTCTGTCCGCCCAGGCTGGAGTGCAGTGGCGCGATCTCTGCTCACTGCAACCTCCTCCGCCTCCCGGGTTCAAGCAATTCTCCTGCCTCAGCCTCCTGCGTAGCTGGGATTACAGATGTCCACCACCACGCCCGGCTAATTTTTGTATTTTTAGTAGAGACGTGGTTTCACCATGTTAGCCAGGCTGGTCTCAAACTCCTGACCTCTTGATCTGCCCGCCTTGTACTCCTAAAGTCCTAGGATTACAGGCGTGAGCCACCATGCCTGGCCCCTTGTTTCTTTTTAATTTTCTAGTTTGGCTACCAGAAAATTCAAAATTCACGTGGCTCACATTTTATTTCAGAGGATTACCTCCTTTTTAAAATCTCAGGCTGCCTGCTCAAAGGACCGTAAGCCAGGAAAGTAAAAAAACCCTGAAATTTTAAAACATTTGTTATTATATCCTTTTCATTTATGTATAGCCATATGATATAGTATTTACAAATGCATATGACCTTATACGCAAGGTTGAATGCAAATACCCTTTGGGGTGGGCCTATCTCAGCTCAAGGAGGAAGCCCTGCCTGAAAAGGCTGCAGCCTAGGCGGTCACTCTTTCTTCATTCAGCCCAGCATCTAATTACATCTTCTGTCAGTCAGGGCCTGAGAGGGTGGGGTTTTAAACGTTATCCAATCAGCGACGCTGGGCTGGGAACTGTCCAATCAGGCACGCAGCTTGAGCGGAGAGGACGGCTTCCGGGATGTGGCGGGATTTGTCCGCTTCTTTGTCTTTGGCTGCCGCTGGAACTCCGGGTCTCGTCTTCACTGCTCTGTGTCCTCTGCTCCTAGAGGCCCAGCCTCTGGTCCTGTGACCTGCAGGTATTGGGAATCCACAGCTAAGACGCCGGGACACCCTGGAAGCCTAGAAATGGTGAGAGTGCGGGGTCCAACATCCCGAGAGAGGGGAAGGGCTGGTTGGAACCGGTGGGAAGTGGCTGTGGCGAGACTCAGGCCTCCCCGCAGTCAGCTCTACAATCTGCGCCCCGAGTTCTCCTTGCCCAGCTCGGCCTCAGTCGCCTTCAGCCATAAGATGGCGGTTGCGCCGACAGCCCGGCCCCCGGGCGTCCTGTCTCTTCCCTGCATAGTGACTGTGCCCTTGCCTGGAGCCCTCTCTGGGGAATCTCTGCACCCGCAGCGCCGCTTCTCTACCGGATTGTGCAGGGACCGTGGGAGGGTCGTCAGGGGAGAATCCTGACTTGGGGTGCGGGTTCATGAATGGGAAGAGGTTTGTTCCGTGGGGTTCCCAGTTCCTATTATCTCCTATTAAAAGTTAATGGGAGTCACTGCAAAAATATTAAAAGAATTTAATCAAAGAGTGGTTCTAGGCTGGGCGCGGTGGCTCACGCCTGTAATCCCAGCACTTTGGAAGGCCGAGGTGGGCGGATCAGAGGTCAGGAGATCAAGACCATCCTGGCTAACACGGTGAAACCCCGTCTCTACTAAAAATACAAAAAATGAGCCGGGCGTGGTGGCGGGCGCCTGTAGTCCCAGCTACTCAGGAGGCTGAGGCAGGAGAATGGCGTGAACCCAGGAGGCAGAGCTTGCAGTGAGCCGAGATCGTGCCACTGCACTCCAGCCTGGGCGACAGAGCGAGACTCTTGTCTCAAAAAAAAAATTAACTTATTAAATAATTTAATCAAAAAGTGGTTCTAGAATTGTAGAGCACCAAGCTGTGGTTTTTAGTTTGTGGTCTATGGGAGAGGCTTGAAAGAAAGTCTTTTGTAAAATGCATGATGAAGAAAACCAAATTTAGTAATTGGTTAGGTACAGTTACGTGGTTTTTTAATTTGTACATTAAAGGTGAAAATTTCCTGGTTATGTAATCGGAGCTCAATTGGCAGTTTATAGTAGGTGAAGCCTCAATTTTGTTTCTCTGAATTTAGTAATTAAAAATAATGCGCCTGAGTTAGATTTTTTAAATTGAAGTAGGAACCCAGGGACTAGAGAAACCTCAGTCTAATTGCCTGCCACTTAATTATTTTCACACTCCACAGGGAACTGATTTTCTGCTGCATTTTTCACCTGGGTCCCAATCAGGGTCTTAAGTCTAACCCCCATCCCTCATTACTCCAACCTCATTCTTGCTTGCAGTAAGATACTAAATTTCCAATTTCTTCTGGGGTTCCCAAATGCCAGCTTTTCCTCCCTAATTCACATTATCACGTATTTGTGTTTTTTTGTTTGTTTTGTTTTGTTTTTGAGATGGAGTCTCGCTCTGTCTCCCAGGCTGGAGTGCAATGGCGCGATCTCGGCTCACCTCAACCTCCGCCTCCCGGTTTTAAACAATTCTCCCACTTCAGCCTCCTTAGTAGCTGGGATTACAGGTGCGCGCCATCATACCTGGCTAATTTTTGTGTTTTTGTAAAGACGGGGGTTTCACCATGCTGGCCAGGCTGGTCTCGAACTCCTGACCTCAGGTGATCCGCCCGCATCAGCTTGCCAAAGTGCTGGAATTACAGGCGTGAGCCACCGGGCCTGGCCACTTATTTTGTAGTGTACTTTTTTATACCGTATTTTAATTAATTATTTTTTGGCAAGGCATTAAATGGTGCTTTTTTCTTTTCTTTTTTTTTTGAGACGGAGTTTCACTCTTGTTGCAAAGGCACATTCTCGGCTCACCACAACCTCCGCCTCCGGGTTCACGAGGTTCTCATGCCTCAGCCTCCCAAGTAGCTGGGTTTACAGGCATGCACCACCACGCCCAGCTGATTTTGTATTTTTAGAAGAGATAGGGTTTCTCCATGTTGGTCAGGCTGGTCATGAACTCCCGACCTCAGGTGATCCGCCCGCCTTGGCCTCCCGAAGTGCTGGGATTACAGGCGTGAGCCACTGCGCCCTGCATAAATGGTGTTTTGGGGGTTTTTTTGTTTGTTTTTTGTTTTGAGACGGAGTTTTGCTCTTGTTGCCCAGGCTGGAGTACAGTGGCATGGTCTCGGCTCACCGCAACTTCTGCCTCCCGGGTTCAGGCGATTCTCCTGCCTCAGCCTCCGAGTAGCTGGGATTACAGGCATGTGCCAGCCACCACGCCCGGCTAATTTTTTATTTTTAGTAGAGACAGGGTTTCTCTATGTTGGTCAGGCTGGTCTCGAACTCCCGACCTCAGGTGATCCGCCCGCCTCGGCCTCCCAAAGTGTGGGGATTACAGGCGTGAGCCACCACACCCAGACCAATGGTACTTTTAAGAAGGTTTGTTATCTGTTTGTAAATATTTTCCATGAAAAGAAAGCAAATAATAATCCCCTGACACTGTGTTGCAAAAAATCTCTGTGTGTCTTTTCCTTTTATCTTTCTAGGCACAGAGATGTTATCGGAATTTTTTTGGGTCAGAGTTCTGCTTTGGAAAATTTATGGGGTGATGTGTCCTCAGCCACCGTTTAGTTTTTTCCCGGTCCTGGGTTTCAGTATTATCTGGGGATAAACCGAGATATCTGCCATGGTTATGTCAGCTAGAGTGTCTAGTGGATATCAGCTTCTGGTTTATTTTCTCCCATAGGACGACCTGAGGTATGGAGTGTATCCTGTCAAGGGGGCAAGTGGATACCCTGGGGCTGAGAGGAATCTTCTGGAGTACTCTTATTTTGAAAAGGTAACCCCTTGATATGTTAAAATTGTCTTTGGGACCAGCTTGAAAAACATGCTCTACTAAAAATACAAAAAACTTAGCCAAGCATGGTGGTGCATGCCTGAATTTCCAGCTACTCGGGGTTGCTGAGGCAGGACAATCACTTGATCCCGGGAGGCAGAGGTTGTGGTGAGCCGAGATCCTGCCATTGCACTCTAGCCTGGGCAACAAGAGTGAAACTCCATCTAATAATAATAATAATGATAATAATAATAATAATAATAATAATAATAATAATGAATAAATTGTCTTCTACCAACCCTGCTTCCATTTCATGGAGACAAATTGCTTGTCAGCCAATCAGATGCTGGTAATGAGGAACAAACACAGTAATAACTTCTGCCCCCTGGATTCTGTAAGGGAGCAGAAGAATAGTGAAATAAATATAGTAAAAGAAAAAGAGTAAAAAACAGTGAAAAATATGTGACCAAAAAAATAGTATCCCGAAAGACAAACAACAAAAACAACAACAAACTGACTCCAGTGAGATGGTGTAAGAACTTGCAAAGTAAAATGCACCTAGGGCAGTCACCGAAAAATAGTGCAGTGTCTCCTGAATGGGTGGTTCTTGAGCACATAAGTGAGCAGGAGTGGGTGGAAGGATCTCTCAAGTGATTGAATGGCCTGACTTGAAACGTGAGTCAGACACATCTGTTATTTAACCAGCACTGCCATTCCTGGATTTGTCACCTTGAAGAGATTTGTTCACTTATTTTCACCTGTTTTTTAGCTGTAAGGTTACATTATATTAGTAGGGCTTGAAAGGTAGAAAAATATTTACAAAGGGCATAAAAGACGTGGGATTCAAAAAAATTAATCATATATTTCATTTGTTAAAAATTTTCACTTACCTTTTTCTTTCCCAGAGTGAGTTTACAAGTTTTCTCAGGTGTAGCTTTTAATGGCTGGGTGATTTCAAACAGAATTTCAAGCTTAGCTTTCAGAATGCTACCAAGAAAAAGAAGAGGAAAAATGTCTATTCCATTTTTGCCGTAGAAAATGAATACGTTTCCACAAGAAAATGTGGTAGATAATTGGTGAGTTACATAGATTCATGAAAACATCAGTTCCTTTTTTTGGCAGGGTAAATTTTTGACAGCGAATATCTCTGTTCAAATTCTGTTATCTTGATTTCTGAGTTTTATGCTAAATTTTATGAGATGAAACTTGGTATTGCCTGGAAGTGTTTCCATATGACTAAATGTTTGCTGCATGATTTTTAATGGAATTAATAGAATAATACATTTATTTTCTGATAGAAATACTTTTGCTTTTCTTATTAAGGTATAAAATGTAAGCACCTTAAAATTTTCTTCCCTTATAGGAATACTGTGTTTGAGTAATTTTTTTGGATTTTTCAAACAACTTAGTTTCAAAAACCAAGTGAGCAACTCTAACATGGAAATTAAAGCTTGAGCCCAGTGACTCAGAGCTAGGGCTTATATTGAGACTGTAAAAGTAGGTTATTAAAGGTCCAGTTAGTTTTTTCTGGAGTGCCTCTCCTGCAGATGTTCTAGCCTGCTCACTCCAGTCATGGAAGAAGCCTTTCTGATGAGAGAAGCTAGAGTCCTGGAAAGCTACAGGCAGATGAGTTAAGGTTAAGACAAAAGGGGACTGGGAGGGTCTTACTGACCGTGTAGTTGTTTTAAGGCAGTTTCTAGACTTTGTAATATGTTATAAAGTTAATTTCTGTTAAAAAATTTGAATTCTAGACCCAGGCACGGTGGTTCATGCCTGTAATCCCTGCACTTTGGGAGGCCAAGGTGGGCGGATCACCTGAGGTCAGGAGTTTGAGACCAGCCTGACCAATATAGTGAAACCCCATCTCTACTAAAAATACAAAAATTAACTGGGCGTGGTGATGGGTGCCTATAATCCAGCTATTCTGGAGGCTGAGACAGGAGAAATGGTTGAACCCAGGAGTCGGAGGTTGCAGTGAGCCGATAACGGTCCCACTGCACTCCAGACTGGGTGACAGTGAGACTCCATTTAAAAAAAAAAAAAAAAAATTGAATTCTAGAGCCCGGCATGGTGGCTCATGTCTGTAATCCCAGCACTTTGTGAGGCTGAGGCGGGCATACCACCTGATGTCAGGAGTTCGAGACCAGCCTGACCAATATGGTGAAACCCCGTCTCTACTAAAAATACAAAAATAATCCAGGCGTAGAGATGTGCACCTGTAGCCCCAGTGACTTAGGAGCCTGAGACAGGAGAAATGTTTGAACCCGGGAGATGGAGGTTGCAGTGAGCCGAGATCATGCCACTGCACTCTAGTCTGGGCAATAGAGCGAGAATCCGTCTCAAAAAAAAAAAAAGAATTCAAAAAGAGCATTGCAACAGGAGGAATACCAATTATAAAAATTTTAAGGAATGCAATTTTAGGTAGACAAGGGCTTTTTTTCATAGAGTGGAGCCTACAAGATTAGAAAGAATGGAGGAGAATGGCAAACGGGGGGTTAAAAAATCAGATTTCAGATCAGAGAATGTTTTATCCTGAAGTCAGCATGTTCTTAGGAGGGATATAGAATGAAATTGTATAATGGCTCAGATTGAGGGTAGCTCAAAGTTCAGTAGCCTGTGAAAAATTTTATTTAGACCACTGAAGACAAATACAGCTGACTCTTTTAATAAGAAAAAGAAGAAAAGGTGCCAAGTTTTTACCAAAAAAGGGTCCCAATCCAAACCCCAAGAGAGGGTCCTTGGATTTCATTCTAGAAAAGAATTCTGGGTAAGTTCATTGAATAAAATGAAAGGAAGTTTATTAAGAAAGTAAAGAAATAAGAGAATTGCTTACTCCATAGGCAGAGCAGTCCGGAGGCCTACTGGTTGCCCATTTTATGGTTCTTTCTTTTTTTTTTTTTTTTTTTTTTGAGAGGGAGTCTTGCTCTGTTGTGAGGCTGGAGTGCAGTGGCATGATCTCGACTCATGGCAACTTCTGCCTTCTGGGTTCAAGTGATTCTCCTGCCTCAGCCTCCTGAGTGACTGGGACTACAGGCATCCACCACCATACCCAGCTAATTTTTTTTTTTTTTTTTTTTTTTTTTTAGTAGAGACAGGGTTTCACCGTGATGGCCAGGATGGTCTCCATCTCTTGACCTCATGATCCACCCACCTTGGCCTCCCAAAGTGCTGGGATTACAGGCATGAGCCACTGCACCCAGCCAGTTATTTCTTGATTATATGCTAAACAAGGGGTGGATTATTTATTCCCATTGTAGACCATATAGGGTAACTTCCTGATGTTTCCATGGCATTTGTAAACTGTCATGGCACTGGTGGGAGTGTAGCAGTGAGGATGAGCAGAGGTCACACTCATTGCCATCTTGGTTTTGTTGGGTTTTATCCTGCTCCTTACTGCAAGCTGTTTTGCCAGCCAGGTCTTTATGACCTGTATCCTGTGCTGACTTCCTATCTTATCCTGTGACTTAGAATGCCTAACCATCTGGGAATTCAGCCCAGTAGGTTTCAGCCCTATTTTACCCACCCCCTATTCAAAATGGATTTGCCCTGGTTCAATATGCCTGACATTTCCTCCCTCTTTTGTACAAAAAAACCCCTTAATCATAAGGGTTACAGAGGAATGAAAATTCATCTTCTGTAACTACTTCATGCTGTATAGGGGCGATGATATTCTTGCTTAACTATTAGAGTCTTTTGTATTTGAGGTAGAGAGGAGCTCAATCGGAACTCATCAGTATGTGAGGGCCATTCATAACTGTTGAGTTTCAAAAAAGGGGTTATCTCAAAGATTAGTAAGTGTTTAATTTAAGAAAACATCTAGGCTGGGCGTGGTAGCTCATGCCTGTAATCCAAGCACTCTGAGAAGCCTAGGCGGGTGGATCGCTTGAGGTCAGGAGTTCAAGACCAGCCTGACCAAATGACGAAACCCTGTCTCTACCAAAAATACAAAAAATTAGCCAGGCATGGTAGGGCGCGCCTATAATCCCAGGTACTCAGGAGGCTGAGGCAGGAGAATCGCTTGAACCTGGGAGGCAGAAGTTGCAGTGAGCCAAGATCGCGCCACTGCACTCTAGTCTGGGTGACAGAGGGAGACTCCATCTCAAAAAAAAAAAAGAATAGGAAACATCCAGAAAGTTTATCCTGCATTTCTACACACAGAGTACAACTGCAATATATTTTACAAGTTCAGGCAGCCGCTTCTTGGTAGCAAAAGGGTCGTTTCCAGAAGTCCTGTCAGCTCTCAAGTTTCCCCTTTTGGAGGGGAAAGAGCTCCCCATGTCCTAATTCTGTCACTCATAGACACCAGCAAACAGTGCAAGACAGATTAATCCAAAAAGAATAGCAATTAACATCCAGTGGTGTGAAACCAGTTCTTAGTTGAGACTTTACTGAGAGCGGTCTCTAACCTACATCTTAGGAAGGACTATAACCTTCCTAAGTTGGGTCTTGAATCCAAGTACAGTCAAGCATCCTTGCCTTGTTTTAGAGGCTCCTTTAACCCACGCTGTCTTAGGAGAGACTCTGACTTTCCTAAGTTGTGCCTCCAACCTAATCTCATCCTTTACCCAGGTATATGGACTCAAAGTCAGCCAATTGGTATCCACAGATAATTTTTCTGGGGGAGGGACAGAAGTCTCTTCAGTATAGTCCTTTTGTGGTTGCCAGGAAAATGTTACTAGAAAGAAGTCTTGATCCATACCCCAAGAGAGGGTTCTTGTATCTTGCTCAAGAAAGAATTCAGGGCAAGTCATAAAGTGAAAGCAAATTTATTGAGAAAGTAAAGAAATAAAAGAAATGGCTTTCTCCATAGGCTGGTTGCACATTTTTATGTTTACTTTTTAATTATATGCTAAATAAAAGGTGGATTATTTATATATCTCCTTTTTAGACCTTTACGATGTAACATCCTGATGTTGCCATGGCATTTGTAACCTCTCATGGCACTGGTGGGAGGGTAACGGAGAATGACCAGAGGTCACTCTCATCACCATCTTGGTTTTGGTGGCTTTTATCCCACTTCTTTACTGCAAGCTATTTTATCAGCCAGATCTTTGTGACCTGTATCTTGTGCTGACCTCCTATCTCATCTTGTGACTTAGAATACCTAACCATCTGGAAATGCAGCCTGGTAGGTCTCATCCTTATTTTACTCAGCCCCTATTCAAAATGGATGCTGTGTACCTCTGACAGATTCTGTGTCTGGATGTGTAATAAATAAGGAAAGAGAGCACCATCTAAGTCATAATGGGAAGGGTATTTCTTTCTATAAACTGTTCCTGAAGAACACAAAGGATGAAGAATTTTATTAATCACAGCTATTTACTAGGGTTATGTATGTGTTTCATCTTTCTACATCTTTTTTTGTCCTATACATTTCTTCTATTTGACTTTCCTCAGTTGTATATTTTATAATAAACTGGTAAACATAACTACAGTGTTTTTCTGAGTTCTGTGAGTAGCTCGATCAGATAATTGAACTTGAGAAAGGGCTCAGGAGTCCCCAGTTTTTAAACAGTAGCTCAGACACATAGATGGGCCTATGGGGTTTGTGACTGGCATCTGCAGTGAGGACAATGTTGTGAGACTGAGCCCTGAATCAGGGTCTGTGCTGACTCTGGGTGGTGTCAGAATTCAAATGTTAGACATTGAGTTGGTGTTAGAGAATTGCTTGATGTTCAGCAAATGCTACAGATTTGGTGCCAGAAGAAAGATATCACAGACGCCTGGCCTGCAGTGGAACTCCAGGTGTCTGAAAATGGAAGGCTCTGCTCTCCTGTACACAGACTGTCATACTGCCCATTGTCCTGTGATTCCAGGTCTCCTCTTAGGGTGAGAGAATGAAAACTCAGAGGAAAGGAGATCTAATGACAGACCCTCTGTCTCACAGCTGCCACCACAGGATTCCCACCCACTCACAAACACACCCACTAGACATTGATGTGTCCACACTCCTCCCAGGACTAGGCACCACCATCAGGAACTTCACCACAGCATATTTGATCCTAGGGTTTCTTGCCAAAAAGACGCAAAAGTGTCTACAACTCTCCTGGCATATCCCCACTGTATCTGCAGCAGTAACCTGTTTTCTCCATCTACCTAGCATTATGGAGCACCTGTTCATAATCTCATCTGCCTGCATGGACACAGAAATAAATCAGAGTACAGCCCCACTGGGACCACTATCTGCAGAACAAACAGTTCTTTCCAGTTATATTGCACTCTTCTGCACGCATGGGTTTTTCTTAACTTTTCTTTTTGGTTCAGGCATACACGTGCAGGTTTGTTATATAGGTAAAATTGTGTCATGGGGGTTTGTTGTAGATTATTTTGTCAGTGAGTTCCTAAACATAGCACCAAAGAGGTATTTTTTTCTGATCCTCTTTGTCCTTTTATCCTTCATCCTCAACTAGGCCTCCATGACTGTTCCTTCTTTATGTCCATGTGTTCTTATTATTTAGCTCTTCCTTATAAATGGTGACATGCATTTGGTTTTCTGTTTTGCGTTAATTTTCTAAGAATAATGGTCTCCAGCTCCATCCATATTGCTGCAAAGGACTTAATCTTGGTGTTTTTTGTTTGTTTGCTTGTTTTTTGAGACAAACTCTTTTTTTTTCTTTTTTTTGAGACGTAGTTCTGCTCTTGTTGTCCAGGCTGGAGTGCAATGGTGCTATCTCGGCTCACTGCAACCTCAGCCTCCCAGGTTCAAACAATTCTGCCTCAGCCACCCGAGTAGCTGGGACTACAGGTGCATGCCACCAAGCCCTGCTAATTTTTGTATTTTTAGTAGAGATGGGGTTTCACCATGTTGCTCAGGATGGTCTTGATTTCCTGACCTTGTGATCTGCCCACATCAGCCTCCCAAAGTGCTGGGATTACAGACAGAAGCCAAAGCGCCCAGCCAGACAAATTCTTACTCTGTTGCTCAGGCTGGAGTACAATGGTGTGATCTCTGCTTACTGCAACCTCCACCTCCCAAGTTCAAGTGATTCTCCTGCCTCAGCCTCCCGAGTAGCTGGGATTACAGATACTTGCCACGACGCCCAGCTGATTTTTTGTATTTTTAGTAGACACGGGGTTTTAGTATATTGGCCAGGCTGGTCTTGAACTCCTGATCTCAAGTAATCCATCTGCGTCAGCCTCCCAAAGTGTTGGGATTATAGGCATGAGCCACAGTGCCTGGCTTTGTGTTTTTATATGGCCACATGGTCTTCCTTGATTTTTATGTACCATATTTTATTTTGATTAAATCTTTATTTTATTTTTGGAGACAGTGTCTCACTCTGTCACATAGGATGGAATGCAGTGGTGTGATCTTGGCTCACTTCAGCCTCAACCTCCAAGGCTCAAGGTTTAAGGAATCCTCCTACCTCAGCCCCTTAAGTAACTGGAACTATAGGCTCACACCATCACGCCTAATTTTTCTTTTTTTATTTTTTGTAGAGATACGGCTTTGCCATGTTGCCCAGGCTGGTCTTTAACTCTTGAGCTAAGGCATTCCACCTGCCTTAATCTCCTAAAGTGCTGGCATTACAAGCGTGAGCCACCTCATGCTACCATATTATATTTTTTCAATCTAGTCTACCATCAATAGGCAATTAGGTTTATTCCGTGTCTTTGTTATTGTGGACAGTGGTGAAATGAACATGCATGTTTTAAGTTTTGCATTTAAGTCTTCAATTCAGGTTGAGTTGATTTTTATATATAGTGTAAGGAAGGGGACCAGTTTCAATCTTCTACATAGTGCTAGCTAGTTATTCCAGCACCATTTATTAAATACAGAATTCTTTTCATATTCCTGTCAGGTTTGTCAAAGATCAGATGGTTGGAGGTGTGTGGCATTATTTCTGGGCTCTCTATTCTGTTGCATTGTTCTATGAGTCTGTTTTTATGCCAGTATAATGCTGCTTTGGTTACTGTAATGTAGTTTGAAGAGGGGCAATGTAATGCTTCCAGCTTCATTCTTTTTTTTTTTTTTTGAGACATAGTCTCGCACTCTCTCACAGGCTGGAGTGCTATGGCATGATCTCAGCTTACTGCAACCTCCACCTCCTGGATTCAAGTGATTCTCCTGCCTCGCCCTCCTGAGTAGCTGGGATTACAAGCACACACCACCATGCCTGGCTAATTTTCGTATTTTTAGTAGAGATTGGGTTTTACCATGTTGGTCACACTGGTCTTGAACTCCTGACCTCATGATCCGCCAACCTCGGCCTCCCAAAGTGCTGGGATTACAGGTGTGAGCCACCATGCCCATAATGGTTGAAAGCTTTTTAAACATCTATTGAAATGACTTTGTGGTTTTTATCTTTAATTGTGTTTACATGATGAGTAACATTTATTAATTGTATGTTGAACCAACCTTTTATTTCAGAGATACAGCCAAGTTGATCATAGTGCATTAGCTTTTTGATGTTCTCCTGGATTTGGTTTGCCAGTATTTTGTTGATATTTTCATCAATGTTCATTAAAAATATTGGCCTCAAGTTTTCTATTTTTTGTTTTATATTTGCCAGATTTTGGTATCAGAATAATGCTATTTTTATAGAATAAGTTGGAAAGAAGTCCCCTTTTCTCAATCTTTTGAAATAATATTAGTAGAAGTGGTACCAACTCTAATTTTTACATCTGGTGGAATTCAGCTGTAAATTTTTCTGATTCTTTGTTGTTTTTGGTGGGTAGGCTATTTATTTCTAATTCAATTTTGGAGCTCGTTATTGGTATATTCAGGGATTCAATTTCTTATTTGTTCAGTCTTTGGAGGATGTATCTTTGCTCCAAGTTTACAATCCTCAAGCTTGGCCCAGATGAAGTCTCTACTTATATTCATGTTGCCTCAGTTTTTTTCTTTTAGGTAGACATATTACTTAGAATGTGCTAGAGCAGCCTCTATGAAGGGATCTCTTCTTTGACTGTACTCGGCTTGCTGTAATGCCCAAGGATGCAGAGTCAGGCTAACCTCACCTAGAACCTGCACATAAGTTCTGGCCTCTGCCTGGGATTTACAAGACAGGGCCAGACTTTGGGTTGAGAATGTACTGAAAACCAACAAAAGGCATTTTCTGTATTGTGAGATGTCAGTGTAGAAATCTTAAAGCCCCCATTTGAGAATGTGGCTCTTTAAGCTTTTCAATCTTGTTCAGTGACCTGCTACAGTATGTGAGAGGCTCCTGGTGTAAATAGAATCTGATGATAGAATCTGTAAGTGTAAACAAGAATGAGAGATCAAGGCCACAAAGTATCCAGAGCCATAACCACAACTATACCTACCGGTAATTGTGATATTGGAGTAAAGTATTCTCGTCCTTCTTCTTACCCAAAAGCTAGCAAAAATCAGGATAGGTGACCCAGGTTCTGGGGCTCCACCAAGGCAGTTCCATTTTCTATTTAGAATCAGCCTGAGTTTCTCCAGCCTGGCTTATCACTGGGCCATCAGCCCTGGGTCACTGGGAATCCTCTCCTAATCACCTGGGTGTCCTTAAGACATTTGAGGATGTCAAGGGTAGAATTATGTCAGGCTAACAAGAATGATTAATTATGTTTCTGTCTCGTTGTAAGAGAAAGGAGACATCCTGTGTTTTTTTCTCCCTCATACAAGAGATAACTTTGGTTGTTACCCAGATGAGAGTTTCTCAAGTTTTCTGGTACTAGGGTGAAAGACAAAGAGGAGGTCTGGTGACTCAAACAAACTAATTGCTTCCACTTCATATGGTCATTCAAAAAATAGATGAAGCAGTCAAGGTCCCTACCATCCAGGAAATTTTAGTCTAGACTAGCAACTGGATACATGGTTGAATTAAGCATTATATGGTTGGTACAGTGAATAGAAGTGTGCAAAAAAACCTTGGTCCACTTCTTTTTAATATTGTTGTGACTTCTGAAGTTATCACCTGAACGTATATTTATGGACTGAAGAGTTATTATTATTTGTGTTTCTTTTACTTTTCTAAGAATACATATTTATCTTCTAATAAAATTATCCTAGAAAACTTTAAAAGATCCATTTAAATTGCTTATTAGTATATGTTATAAAATTGACAGCAGTGGCAAAAATAGATTAGTGTTACATAAACTCTGGGATTTAACTTTTTTTTTCTTTTTTCTTTTTTAGACGGAGTTTCGCTCTTGTTGCCCAGGCTGGAGTGCAATGGCGCGATCTCAGCTCACCTCAACCTCCGCCTCCCGGGTTCAAGCGATTCTCCTGCCTCAGCCTTCCGAGTAGCTGGGATTACAGGCATGCACCACCACCCTGGCTAATTTTGTATTTTTAGTAGAGATGGGGTTTCTCCATGTTGGTCAGGCTGGTCTTGAACTCCCGACCTCAGGTGACCTACCTACCTCGACCTCCCAAAATGCTGGGATTACAGGCATGAGCCACCGTGCCAGGCTGGGATTTAAGTTTTTCTTAGGTAAACTTAGGAAAAACAGAACTGGAAATACTCCAGTGACATAGAAAACAAATTCTACCTAGGTTCTTTTCCCTGCCCCAGTTCTGATCAGATTCACCATTTTTGGAGGCCTTATTTAGGTCTGGCCTCACTCTGGAGTGTTCCCTTACAAAACTGATTTATAAAGATTCAAGTTTTTGGGGGTAAATCCTGCTGACTTTCTAGAGCTGCTGCTCACAGTATCCTGAAACCCAAAAGCAGATACATAAGAAAAATAAACTATACATTTTAAGATCTTAATTTTTAAATTTTGTAGTAAAACCAGTGCTTACAGAAACGTTCCATTTAGCAGATTTTCTGTTCCTGCAGATCCAGTAGCTGCTCTACAAGTCATAAACAAGTAAACATAAACACAAAAAAATTTCTCTAAACTACATTCTAAATCCTGAGAATTATTGAACACTTAGTATGAACTTTCAAGGTGTTAGTAGGACATAATAACAAATAATAACACATAATGTGTTATTCCCAGCACAGTGCTCTGCAACATACTATTGAGCACATAGTACCTGCTTAATAAACATTGCATTAGTTCATGTGTACATGTTGTTTTTTAAATGCAGACTTATTTAGACATTGCTGCCTTCTGTGTCCTCTGTAAACTTTAGAGAGCCAGCAAAGAATATGAAACTTTACATTTTTTGTCTTTATTTGGGTATCAGAAGTATTGTATTGTGACAAGAGTGCGGCATGTAAAGGACTCTGTGCTGTGCCTGCTTTCTCTAACTAATGCTAATAATGAGCCCAAGGGGAGCAACATCAGCATTGACACGGGACTTGTTTGAAACACCCATCCATGGACCCTTTCCAAACCTACAGAATCACATTACATAAAGTGGGACCAACGTTACCAAGTGATTTTTGAGCTCATTAAAGGTTGAGAGGCAATGCTTAGCTAAGTGGTTATCAGCCTAGACTTCTCATTAGCATTACATGGCCAATTTGCAGAAATCTCTTTACTTGTACCCTTTCCACAGGTTCTGTTTATTGTTCTAGGTGAAAGTATTCATGTTGTTTTAATTGTGTCTCATGTGACTCTAAGGTGAGGCCAGAATCAAGTGTGTGGGGTTCAAGATACATTCATGAGAGTTAAGTTCCACCTTTGCACTAAAAGGTAGTCACAGGGACCGTTCTGTTTGGTTTTGATAGGGAGAGGTCAGTGTCACCCATATTTCCATTACTGTAGCAGAAATTGCTGGTGTTTGTGGCAAAAGCAGGCACCTGAAGACAGAAATAGAGAAACATATTTTTATATTCATTGAGCAGTTCATTGTTCCTGAATCTCTGCTGTTATAAAGGACAGAAATGGGTGTGCTTTTTCTGCAGTTCTTAGTTCTTTTTTCTGTGGGTGTGAGACTAGCAGGTAAACAGGTGGTGCTGACGCCTTTTAAGGAATTTTTTCAAGACACAGGTGTAACTTCTCCAGAGAATGTCATCTGAAAAGCATTTCCAAAGAAGACAAAAGAGGAAAAATGGCTTTTTTTTTTTTTTTCAGCTAAACATGTGTCAGATGAAGAGCTGTGTCCACTCTGCCTCCTGGAGTGCGATGCATTTAGTCCTTGCAAACATTTACTTCTCTACTTGTGTTTCTTTCCCCTAATGAGTTTAACTACTATAAAAAATTCTTGTGGTAGTCAAGGGTCTCTGCAAAGTATCTCTCTCCTATATCCCAGAGCCTTCTCTACACTCTCTAAATCATGGCTTCTTATACGCCATGCAGAATTCTTACCAGGAATTTTTGATCTGCACTATTAAAAGTGTTTCCCTTGTTGCTGTTGAACGTGGAAAGATGTGGATACTCAAGATTCCTATTGGGGGAACGTCCTTAGTAAGGATGGAGAACATGTAATGTTGAGGTTTCATATGTGTTCTTCATTAGCTCTGTTCAGAACAGGATTAAGAAAATGCTTATTTAAACTGGATGGCATTTATTACTCTGAAAGTTCTGAAAAAAAAATTATTGCGAGATACCCGCTTTCTAGGGTGCTAAAGAAAGACTACTTTAAATTGTTATTAAAAATTACAGAACATAGAAGATATCTGCATCTTGAACTCTGCATAAAACTGATTTTTCTGTGTGGTTAAATTCAGACTATACTTTTTGGGGGGCAATATCTCAGTAATGATGCTGTGTTCTTCGGTGTGCGTCAGCACATCACAAAAATTTGTCCTTGTGCAGTTGATTTTAAAATTTACTTCAAGAGCTCTTGGAAATATTCATTTCACTGTAGAGTTAATTATTTTTCTCCTCATTATTAAGTATCTTTATGTAGCCAAAGAAGAGCTGTGCATAAATCATCACATTTAATCTGGCAGCTGCCTTTCTTTCTTAGGTTTTCTTTGCATATGTCTATCTTTAGAAAATGAAGACTCTTATCTTTGTTTACAGGCCAGAAAAATGGGGTAAAACACAGGCTCTTCCACTTACTGGATGTTTGACAAAATGTTCTTTTTGGGCGAAATACATTGGCATTACTAGTGAGCTTGTTAGAAATTCAGAATCTCAGACTTTATTTCACATCTTCTGAAAAAAAAAAATCTGCATAAGATCTCCAGTGTATTGTACACATTAAAACTTGAGAGGTGCTGTCTAACTCAACATGTCATTTTTGCCTAAAAAATATGCACTACTCATTCTTTGTGATGCAAATATAACACTAAAAAATATACATGTTTGTGTTCATGCCTTTCGTTTTTATACTTTATTGTTCATAAAATTATCATATATACAGCGGTATTGTGGATCTTATACCATTCTCTTCTCTCAGAGTTAGAGAATACATTAGAGAATATTTCTGTGTTGAAAATTGTTGGATGATTTCAGTTATTCCTGTAAGTCAGAACCAATTTTCTTTACTCTCTCATTTAACCTTAATTCAAATGATAAATTCTGCCCGTGGACACTTGTAAATATGTGTGTGTGTGTGTGTTTTTCAGGGGCCGTTGACATTTAGGGATGTGGTCATAGAATTCTCTCAGGAGGAGTGGCAATGCCTGGACACTGCTCAGCAAGATTTGTATAGGAAAGTGATGTTAGAGAACTTCAGAAACCTGGTGTTCTTGGGTGAGAATAACTTTAATACACAATTCCTTATATACACTAAAGGTTTCATTTCTCCATTTTTGTAGAATAATTTTTGGTAGTTTATGCTTTGCATAAATGCGTTTCTGATCCCTGTTTTCAAAAAATTGCGAGGAATTATCCATGCAGAAAAAAATTTCCTCAAGATGTTTTATCTTAGCCTGAACTTTTTGCATTCCTGAGCTGGTCTGTACCCTTCACTCTAGAGTAGTGGTAATCTCAGAAATTTAGTAGTATAAAATATTGTTGCCCATAGGTTAAAATCTATTTGCCACCACTAATTTTTGATTCATGAGCACTGAGTAGCAAAATTAAGGACCTACAAATTTAAAATATTTTCTAAATGTAAGAACTTTCTGTCATTAAATAGTATTTTGGGATGAATTTTCTAGAATATTCTATTACCTCCTCTTTACTAAGCACAGTAATAGGTAGGTAATTAGAGAATATGAGCAAGATTCATGTTATTTATTTTTAATAAATCAGGTATTGATGTCTCTAAGCCAGATCTGATCACCTGTCTGGAGCAAGGAAAAGATCCCTGGAATATGAAGAGACACAGTATGGTAGCCACACCCCCAGGTAGGTGAGAGTGAATAAAACAGTTGACATAGATGAAAGGTTGGAAGATTACAAAAAAAAAAAAGCAGTCCCTATAATGTGATTTGGGAAGCTGTGTTCCAAAGCAAATAGATTCTGGGAAGCCTGAGGTGTGTGGTTTTTTTGTTTGTTTTCTTTTTGTTGTTGTTACTGTCACATAGGGCCATCTTCTGTCTTAGGCTTTTAAATTCTCTAAGGATTCTACTTTCCCTTCATTGATTTTCCTTCAAGTTCACAGTGAGAGCCAGAGTCCTCTTCATGGCATATAAAAGACTGCACAATCTGACTGCATTTCCATTGTTTTGGGGGACACACAAATATCTGCATGATTTTGAGAAACTTTATGTTAAACTATTTTTTTAGTTCTCTTTTGCATCATGTCTAAAATGTGTGAGAGTAGTGGTCACTGTTCTATTGGTTTTTATGTTAATTTTCTGCACATTCCATCTTTTTTTATTAGTATATTCTTGAAATATAGTCTGAAATTATAAAATATAATGTCTCTCTGCTTTGTTCTTTTTCCTCAAGATTGCTTTGGCTATTCAAAGTTTATTGTAGTTTTTTTGTTTTGTTTTGTTTTTTGTTTTGAGATGGAGTTTCACTCTTGTTGCCCAGGTTGGAGTGCAAAGGCGCCATCTTGGCTCATCGTAACCTCTGCCTCCAGCGATTCTCCTATGTCAGCCTCCCGAGTAGCTGAGACTACAGGCATGCACCACCATGAGAGTTTTTAGTAAAAACTCATGTTTTTATAAAAAGTTTTATTAAAAAATTGGATTTTTAGTATACTTGCCTTGGCCTCCCAAAGTGTTGGGATTACAGGCGTGAGCCACTACACCCAGCCTTTTTTTCTATTTTATACTTTCATTCCATTTTGGTCATAGGATGTAATTCATAAAATGTCAAATTTAACAAATTTTTATGACTCCGTTTTTGGCCTAACAGGTGGTCTATCAAAGAGAATGTTGCATAAGCTATTTTGAAGGATGTGTTTCCTCATATTCTTGAGGACTCTTCTCTATTTCTCTGTTAAAAATAATTGTACAGGCTGGGCGCAGTGGCTCATGCCTGTAATCCCAACACTTTGGGAGGCCGAGGCGAGCGGATCATCTGAGTTTGGGAGTTTGAGACCAGCCTGACCAACATGGAGAAACCCCATCTCTACTAAAAATACAAAATTAGCCAGGTATGGCAGCACGTGCCTGTAGTCCTAGCTACTCAGGAGGCGGAGGCAGAAGAATCGCTTGAACCCAGGAGGCGGAGGTTGTGGTGAGCTGAGATCGTGCCATTGCACTCCAGCCTGGGTAACAAGAGCAAACTCCATCTAAAAAAAAAAAAAATTGTATTATACTGCCTTCAGTTCCTCTCTTCACTTACTAATATTCTGTCTTGTTTTATTTTTATTACAGAAAGTGGGGTATTGAAATTTCCTACTATAATTATATTGCTGTCTAGGTGTTTCTTCCAGTCTGTCAATATTTGCTTTATATATTTGGAACCTTAGTGTGACATACACACAGACACACAGACGTGCACACACACACACACACACACAAAATTTGTCATAGGTTCCCAGTTAATAAATCTATTATTGTTTAATGTCTTTCTTTGTCTCTTTGCAGTTTTGACTTAAAGTACTTTATGTAAGATATGACAGTTTTTGACTTAAGATGTGGCTTTTGTAATACTATTTTGACCTCTTCTGCTCTCATTTGGTTAATATTTGCATGCAATGTCTAAATCTATCTTGCCACCTTCAGTATGTTTTTAATCATTAGATGTCAGCTGACCCTTGTAGAAAGGCAAATTGGATCTTGGTTTTTAATAATTTTAAATAAATTTCTTTATTGAAAGTATGTCTCTTGATTGGAAAGTTTTCTGAAACAAAGAGACTTACTAATTTTTTTTGTTGTTCTATTTGATTCTTGCATCTTTGTCCCACATTTTCTCTCTTTGTTTCTCTCTGTGGCTGTTTTATTTTTACTTTGATATGCTTTTACTTCTTTCTTATGTTGTTTTCTGTGTCTATACAGGCATATTCTTTGTGGTACGTGGGGGATTACATAAAACCTTTAAGAGATACAATGTATTTCAGTCTAGTTAAAAATGAACTTTTGTTGCATGCAAAAATTTTTTCTCATTACATATGTTCTCAGATTTGTTCTTGATGTTGCTAATTATATTTTTATATGTATATTTATTAACATGTTTATAATGATTTCTATGCCTTTATCTTTCAAATTTTGGGGAATAATTAAAAATTTCTTCTGTGCCATTATGATAATGCTAAGAAATGTATTTTTGTGTATGTGCGTATCTTTCCCAGAAAATAATGTGTTTTAATATGATTTTGTGTTGCTTTGTTAAATCATCTTATTTTCATTGGAAGCAACTGTTTTCAGCACCTTTTATATGTAAGGAAGTACCAATATACTTTTTAAAATTTGGTTATTTTTGAAGTTTGTTTTCTTTTTATTTAGCAGGACAGATTTGGTGATGGTATTATACTCACTTGATAACTATTTTCTTCAGATTTCACTATATCACACAGTTTTCTTCTGTCCTGAAAAATTTTTGTTGAGAATCCACTGGCTATCTCATAAGAGTATTCTTGCAAATAATATCACTTTTTTTTTTTTTTTTTTTGAGATGGAGTTTCACTGTTGTTCCCCAGGCCGGAGTGAAATGGCGCGATTTCACCTCGCTGTGTCCCAGGTTCAAGCAGTTCTCCTACCTCAGCCTCCCGAGTAGCTGGGATTACGGGCATATGCCACCACACCCAGCTAAGTTTGTATTTTTAGTAGAGACAGGGTTTCTCCATGTTGGTCAGGCTAGTCTCGATCTCCTGACCTCAGGTGATTCACCCACCTCAGCTTCCCAAAGTGCCGGGATTACAAGCTTGAGCTACCGCGCCCAGCCAACACATCACTTTTATCTTGCAGCTCCCGAGATTCTCTTTTCTGTGACTTTTAAAATTGTGCTTACATATGTGTTTGATATAAATATCTTTGTATTCTAGTTTGTTTGTTCAGCTTCTTCATTTTTACATCACTTTTTAAAAGATTTCTGTTATTTTTTATATTTTTTTACCTCCATAATTTCTGTTTTTCCAATATTTTAAATATTTCTGTTCTTATTTCCAGTTTTCTGATTTTCTGTAGTTCTCTGTGTTCATATTTTACTCATTGAGTATTCAATTTATTTTGTTTTTAAAATTAATGTATACATTTTTTATTTCTTTCTGAAAAATTTATAATAATTTTGTTGGTACTACATTGCCCTGTTTTGTATATATTCTAATCTTTTATTAAAATTTGCACATTAAAAAAATGTTACCTGTCCCAGTCTTTGTAATGTGGCTTTCTCCTGGCATACTTTGAACAATTGTCTGGGTTAGAGATTCTGAGAGTCTCTCAGACATATTCTTACAATGTGTCTTGCCTGAAATTTTGTGTTTATTTTTTAGTTAAAGGAAATTATTCATCTTCTTTGTTAATACTCAGTAATCACTCACTGCACCTGTTTTCTTTCTGTGGTCCTGCAGTCTCTTCACTGCTTTAACATTTACCTTTGATCTCAGCAGACACAAACTGTCATTCCAAATTATACCACCATTTCTTTCAGCACTATATGTCATGGGTGACAGAAACCAGTGTCTTCAAAGGCCCCTACAAGCAAGCAATAAAGATACATGAGCCAGTATTTTACTTGTGTTTTTTAAATTTTTTTTTTTAAGGCCACATTTTTTTAATTGACACCTCAATCTCTACATACATACAGTATTGCACGAATTATAAGTGGATCAACAATTATATTATTGATACAAACTCATGAGCATTTACATAAAACTACCGCTCTAGGTTTTGGTGTGTTTTGTGCCAGCTACTTTAGTGAATAAAAGAAACATAAAGGAACTCAACTACTTGAATTCATGAGAATCAGCTTTCAATAAAAGCATATGTGTCATCTCATAGAATACTTAATATGTCAAACCCAGGAAAATCAGTAACTAAGTAACAAAAGGAACACTTATTAAGAAAATTTGATGATAAAAATGTTAGGCTAAAATATTAAGAACTTTAGCAACTGGACTGAGGAACCAGAAAGTATATGCACACTGGGAATTTTAAGAAAAGATCCCCATATTCTCCTGCACAATGAGGACCACATTCCAAAAACATAATTCTGGGTTGTTACAATGTCTTCTCTGCTACAAACCATAGTTTCAAAGATGAAAGAAACAAGTTCACATAAAAGGGTTTTAAAATTCTTCCCACTCAAAATAAAATAAAAATAATATGATCTCCATCAAATTATAAAGAAATTCTATCAAAATGGTGACCAAATAAAGAAGTCAGACCATTTGCCTTCACTGACTGCCTCAGAGGGCAGAGCATGTGTCACCTACAAGGAAGGGGAGATGGGGGTAGAGTCCCCACTCTCCCCTGGCCTGTGGAGTGGGGGTGGACAGGAGCCCTTTGGCTTCCCTGGGGTTTTGCTTCCTCACATAGGGAATTGAGGGAGGTGGGCTAGATGGCTTTAAGAGACCCCTCAACTAAAAGAATCAAAGTCAGCTTGAGATCCTATCTCTGAGCAGGCACATAAGGTGGCAAAAGAAATGGATTAAAAAACAGATGGATGATGTCTTTCTCACCTTTTAATACCATCACTGAGAACTAATCTGTACTATAGTTGAAGAAAATCTTTGCCCGGTACTATTATAGGGTACTCAATGAGGCATCTGACAATGAAATTTTTCATACAAATGTATAAAAAGGCTATATTAAGTTTGGGTGGGAAAACAATGCACCACCATGTTACTACCAGCAGTCAGGACGTCCTGTCTCAGATTTTAGGAGTCACCGATCTGTTTGGGAGAAATGCTGAGGGGGATGCATGTTCAAGCCATTCAGTAGAGAGCTAAGGAGGGCACACTGTTCAGGAAATGGATAAACAGGTGCCCAGGAAGGCAACTTTAATGAAACTGTTTCTAAAACAAAGGATATAAGAGACCTAAATGATCCAAGGAGAGTGATGGCTTCTCATTTTCTGTCCCCTAATGAGAATACAAATATTTCTTCTGGGATCTAACACACTAGCTTCATTTTCAAGATGCATCACTTTATTTTCCTTACAAGGCAGCAGCACATTAAGCACGTGAGAGTCACATGATTTCTGCAGTGAGCACCAAGGCTTCCAGGAGTTTTCTTGGAACCTACAGCCAGAAGAGTCCTGAGATTTCAAATATTAAAGCTTTCTCTACAGCCACACGTCCCTTTGATGTTTGGGTTATTGAACACAAACTCACTGGATAATTTGTCTTCAACATAGTCCATTTCCGCTCCTAAAACTGTTAGCTTTGCTTTCTTTTTGATGAATACTCTGACTCCATCTTGAATAACTTCTTCATCAGAATCTCCTTTTGTCTTTGTATATTCTAGAGTATAAGAAAGGCCATTACAGACCCTGGTTTGGACACCAACTTTTACACCTACAAGCTCAGGCTTACCTTTTTCTTTTTCTTTTTTTTTCGAGATGGAGTCTCATTCTGTCACCCAGGCTGCAGTGCAGTGGCGTGATCTCAGCTCACTGCAAGCTCCGTCTCCCGGGTTCACGCCATACTCCTGCCTCAGCATCCCGAGTAGCTGGGACTACAGGCACCTGCCACCATGCCTGGCTGATTTTTTGTATTTTTAGTAGAGATGGGGTTTCACTGCGTTAGCCAGGATGGTCTCGATCTCCTGACCTCGTGATCCACCCACCTCGGCCTCCCAAAGTGCTGGGATTACAAGCGTGAGCCACCGCGCCTGGCCAGGCTTATCTTTAAGAAGTTGTTTTACTTTGGTTACTGCTGAAGGTGTCAGGGTGAGGGCGGCCTGGGTGGGCTGCAGCTTCCTCTTGCTCACAGCCTGGACAGTTGCCTGGACTAAGGAAGCTGACATCTTCACCATCCCAATGCCCCAGTGCCTCAGGCCAGAGCTCGGCTGCCTCAGCCTGTCTCCATGGACATGGCAGGTGCATTCTACTTGTGTTTTTTAAAATACATATATAAAATGTTGGCAATTTACTTCTTTTTTTCTTTCTTTCTTTTTTTTTTTTTTTTTGAGATGTAGTCTTGCTCTGTTGCCCAGGCTAGAGTGCAATGGTGTGATTTTGACTCACTGCTACCTCTGCCTCCTGGGTTCAAGCAATTCTCCTGCCTCAGCCTCTTGAGTAGCTGGGATTACAGGTTGAGCCACCACGCCCGGCTGGCAATTTACTTCTTTTTGTTTTTTTTTTTGAGATGGACTCTTGCACTGTCACCCAGGCTGGAGTGCAATGGCATGATTTCTGCTCACTGCAACCTCTGTTTCCTGGGTTCAAACAATTCTGCCTCAGCCTTCTGAGTATCTGGGACTACAGGCACACACCACCATGCCCAGCTAATTTTTATATTTGTAGTAGAGACGGAGTTTCACAGTGTTGGCCAGGATGGTCTCAATCTCCTGACCTCATGATCCACATGCTTCAGCCTCCCAAAGTGCTGGGATTACAGGTGTGAGCCACCACATCTGGGGCAATTTACTTCTAAAGGCATTATGTTATATCGGGGAGCAGGAACAGCTGTGTTGGGTAAGTGTAACAAACTTTTTTTTCTTCTGTGTGACTTTTTGCATTGTGCTCACTTGGGGTACTTTAAACATTTAGTTCATTTATAATTTTTTCTCAGATGTATTTTCGTTAGTATGTTTTTGTTACATATATATGTCTATAAAAAATTAGGGCCTTTGGTATTTTGCTATATCATCTTGTATATGTAGTTTGTATAATGTCATAGTTTAGATTTGTAATCTATATTTATCTGAGTCTAGTAAGTGGAGTAACTTGATATTTTTATTTCTTTCAGTTACATATTCTCATTTTGCCCAGGACCTTTGGCCACAGCCGGGCATAAAAGATTCTTTCCAAAAAGTGATACTGAGAGAATATGGAAATTATGGACATAAAGATTTACAGTTAAGAAAAGGCTGTAAAAGTGTGAATGAGTGTAATGTGCAAAAAGAAGGTTATAATGAACTAAAAGAGTATTTGACAACTACCCAGAGCAAAATATTTCAATGTGATAAATATGTGAAAGTCTTTCATAAATTTTTAAATTCAAATACACATAAGACAAGACATACTGGAAAGAAACCTTTCAAATGTAAAAAATGTGGCAAATCATTTTGCATGCTTTTACACCTAGGTCAACATAAAATAATTCATATTAGAGAGAATTCTTACCAATGTGAAGAATGTGGCAAAGCCTTTAAATGGTTCTCAACCCTTACTAGACACAAGAGAATTCATACTGGAGACAAATCCTACAAACATGAAGAATGTGGAAAAGGTTTTAACCACTCCACAACTCTTACTAGACATAAGGTAATTCATGCTGGAGAGAAACACTACAAATGTGAAAAATGTGGCAAAGATTTTAAACAGTCCTCACACCTTACTAAACATAAGACAATTCATGCTGGAGAGAAACCCTACAAATGTGAAGGATGTGGCAAAGCTTTCTGCCAATTCTCATACCTTACTAAACATAAGATAATTCATACTGGAGAGAAACCCTACAAATGTGAGGAATGTGGCAAAGCTTTTAATTGGTACTCACACCTTACCAGACATAAGATAATTCATACTGGAGAGAAACCCTACAAATGTGAATAATGTGGCAAAGCCTTTAATGTATTCGCAACCCTTACTAGACATAAGATAATTCATACTGAAGAGAAACCCTACAAATGTGAGGAATGTGGCAAAGCTTTTAAACAGTCCTCAAACCTTACTACTCATGAAAATTCATTCTGGAGAGAAACCCTACAAATGTGGAGAATGTGGCAAAGCTTTCTTCAGATTCTCATACCTTACTACACATAAGATAATTCATACTGGAGAGAAACCCTACAAATGTGAAGAATGTGGCAAAGCTTTTAACTGTTACTCCTACCTTACTGCACATAAGTTGATTCATACTGGAGAGAAACCCTACAAATGTGAAGAATGTGGCAAAGCTTTCTACCGATTCATTTACCTTACTACACATAAGAGAATTCACACTGGAGAGAAACCCTACAAATGTGAAGAATGTGGCAAAGCTTTCTACCGATTATCTTATCTTACTACACATAAGATGATTCATACTGTAGAGAAACGCTACAAATGTGAGGAATGTGGCAAAGCTTTTAACTGGTACTCACGCCTTACTACACATAAGAGAATTCATACTGGTGAGAAACCCTACAAATGTGAAGAATGTGGCAAAGCCTTTAGTGTATTCTCAACCCTTACTAAACATAAGATAATTCATACTGGAGAGAGACCCTACAAGTGTGAAGAATGTGGCAAAGCCTTTAATGTATTCTCAACCCTTACTAAACATAAGAGAATTCATAATGGAGAGAAACCCTACAAATGTTTAGAATGTGGCAAAGATTTCTACCAATTCTCATACCTTACTACACATAAGATGATTCATACTGGAGAGAGACCCTACAAACATGAAGAAAGTGGCAAAGCTTTTAACTGTTCCTCACAAATTACTAGACATAAGATAATTCATACTGGAGAGAAACCCTACAAATGTGAAGAATGTGGCAAAGCTTTTTAAAAATCCTCAAACCTTACTAATCATAAGATAACTCATACTGGAGAGAAACCCTACAAATGTGAAGAATGTGGAAAAGCTTTTAACCAGTCCTCAACTCTTACTAGACATAAGAGAGTTCATACTGGAGAGAAACCCTACAAATGTGAAGAATGTGGCAAAGCTTATAACTGGTCCTCAAACCTTACTAAACATAAGAAAATTCATACTGGAGAGACACCCTACAAATGTGAAGAATGTGGCAAAGCTTTTAACCAATCTTCAACCCTTACTATACATAAGATAATTCATATTGGAGAATAACACTACAAATGTAAAAAATGTGGCAAACCTTATAACCAGTACTCATACTTTACTACACATAGGAGAATTCATGCGGAAGAGAATTTCTACAAATGTGAAGAATGTGGCAAAGGCTTTGACTGGTCCTCTACCCTTACTAAAGATAAAAGAGTTTGACTGGGTGCGGTGGCTCATGCCTGTAATCCCAGCACTTTGGGAGGCTGAGGCAGGCAGATCACCTGGTCAATGGTCCTCTACCCTTACTAAAGATAAAAGAGTTTGACTGGGTGCGGTGGCTCATGCCTGTAATCCCAGCACTTTGGGAGGCTGAGGCAGGCAGATCACCTGGTCAAGAGTTCAAGACCAGCCTGGCCCATATGGTGAAACCCCATCTCTACTAAAAATATAAAAAATTAGCCAGGTGTAGTGGTGCACACCTGTAGTCCCAGCTACTCTGGAGGCCTAGGTGGGAGAATCGCTTGAACCCAGGAGGTGGAGGTTGCAGTGAGCTGAGATGGCTCCACTGCACTCCAGCCTGGATGACAGAGAGAGACTCTATCTCCAAAAAAATAAATAAATAAATAAAAAAAATAAGAGAGTTCATACTAGAGAGAAACCCTGCAAATGTGAAGAATGTGAGAAAGCTCTTAACCAGTCCTCACACCTTACTGCACATAAGAGAAATCATACTGGAAGGAAACCCTACAAATGTAAAGAATGTGAGAAAGCTTTTAACTGGTACTCATGCCTTACTGCACATAAGATAATTCATACTGGAGAGAAACTCTACAAATGTCAAGAATGTGGCAAAGCTTTTAACCGGTACTCAACCCTTACTACACATAAGGTAATTCATGCTGGAGAGATACCCTACAAATGTGAAGAATGTGGCAAAGGTTTTTATTGATTCTCATACTTTACTAAAAATAAGGTGATTCATTCTGGAGAGAAATTCTACAAATGTGAAGAATGTGGCAAAGGCTTTAATTTGTCCTCAACACTTACTAAACAGAATTCATAGCAGAGAGAAATCCTACAAATATGAAGAATGTCACAAAGCTTTTAACCACTTCTCAACCCTGATGACACATAAGGTAATTCGTGCTGGAGAGAAACCCTACAAATATGAAGAATATCTCAAAACTTTTTATAGATTCTCATACCTTATTAAACATAAAATCTTACAGGAGAGAAATTATACAAATGTGAAGAATGTGGCAAAGCTTTTAAGAAATCCTCATCCATTACTAAACAAGATAATTTGTACTGGAGAGAAAACCTACAAACGTGAGGAATGTGGCAAAGCCTTTAATGGTCCCCTCAACTTTCTGCACATAAGATAATTTATACTGTGGAGAAGCCTTACAAATGTGAAAAATGTAGCAAACCTTTTAACTAATCCTCAACCCTTACTACACATAAGATAATTAATGCTGGAGGGAAATCCCACCCATGTGGCAAAGCTTTTAATCAATCCTCAAACCTTACTAAACATAAGATAACTCATACTGGAGAAAAATCTTAGAAATGTGAAGGATGTGGTAAAGCCGTTATCCAGTCCTCAACTCCCACTAAACATAACATAATTCATACTGGAGAGAAACCTCACAACTGTGAAGAATGTGGCAAAGCTTTTAACCAGTCCTACAAACCTTTTTGAACAAAATAATTCATACAGGAGAGAAACACTACAAATGTGAGGAATGTGACAAAGCCTTTAACCAGTCCTCAATTCTTACCAAACATAAGAAAATTCATATTGGAGATTAACCTTATGAGTGTGAAAAATATGGCAAAAGCTTTAACTAGTTCTCAGTTATTATTATTATTTTTAGAGATGGAGTTTCACTCTTGTTGCCAAGGCTGCAATACTGTGGCATGATTTCAGCTCACTGCAACCTCCGTCTCCCAGGTTTAAGCAATTCTGCCTCAGCCTCCCGAGTAGCTGGGATTACAGGCATGCACCACTATACCCATCTAATTTTGTATGTTTAGCAGAGATGGGGTTTCTCCATGTAGATCAGGCTGGTCTTGAACTCCTGACCTTGTAATCTGCCCACCTCAGCCTCCCAAAGTGCTGGGATTACAGGCATGAGCCACCACGCTCAGCCACTAGTCCTCAGATCTTAACACACATAAGATAATTCATACTGGAAAGAAACTCCACAAACCAGAAAGATGCAATAATGCTTTTGACAACACCTCAAGCTTTTCTAACCATAAAAAGAATCATATTGGTGAGAAATCCTAGAAATGTGAAGAATGTGACAAAGTCTTTAAATGGTTGTCATACTTGACTTTTTTCTTTTTTTGAGATGAAGTCTCACTCTTGTCCCCCAGGCTGGTGTGCAATGGCATGATGTCGGCTCACTGCAAACTCCGCCTCCCAGGTTCAAGTGATTCTCCTACCTCAGCCTCCCAAGTAGCTGGGATTACAGGCACCTGCCACCACGCCTGGCTAATTTTTGTACTTTTAGTAGAGATGGGGTATGACCATCTTGGCCAGGCTGGTCTCAAACTCCTGACCTCAGGTGATCCGCCCACCTCGGGCCTCCCAAAGTGCTGGGATTACAGGCATGAGCCACCACTCCCTGCCTTACTTGATTACATTCAATATAATTCATACTGGAAAGAAATCCTACAAGTGAGAGCAATGTGGCAAAACTTAACCACCTTATTGCACAGAAAAGCATTTATGTTTGAGAAAAATTATACAAATACAGACTGTGAAAAAGACATTAATATCTGCTTACATCTTAACACCAGAGAGTTCATACTTAATAAAAGCAAGATAAGGGCAATTACTGTCAAAAGGTCTTTCAGAAAAATATAACCCTTTAAAGTGAAGAAGAGAATTTATATTGAAGATGGACATTACAAACATAAAGAGGGTTGTAGTACCTTTACTTGAATCAAATTTTATTGTACACATTTTGTACTAGAGGAAAACTCTGAAGCAGTTGCTCAAGCTTTGTTCAACATTAGGGCACTTATATTGGAAAAGTGTCTTGCAGATATAATAAATGTGGAAAAACACTTTTTCAAAAACTACATCAGAAAACACCAGAGTTTATACTGAAGAATATTTTTGAAGATGCACTAAAAATGAAAAAATATTTAATCCAAATTAGGGCTATGTAAATATCAGAATTTATAATAGAAATATATAAGGAACTGACACTGCAGATATACTAAGTCAAGAGTTCTGAGTATAGAAAATAATCTAAAACTAAAGTTGATAGAAAAAGTATTTGTATATAAATTTAAGAGGAGTAAAAGATTTTTTGCAGAGTAATAACTACATTCTAAGTATACTTTATTTCTTGAAAAAATTACAGACTTTGAAAGCAAATGATGTAATTCAACACTCATTTTCTGGTGTTTCTTCATTCTTATTCACTTGTGAAAGCATGTGATAATTGTTGCATCAAAGGTATGAGAGATTCTTTTCCATTAGGTGGGCATTTATGATCTTTTCTATGGACAAGTAAGGACATTAGAATGTAAGATGCATGATGAAAAAGTGGAGAGGTTCTTTGTGGTTAACTTATACTCTTGAGTGATATATGAGGTAGGTGTTAAGAGTATTGTTCTTTTGCATTATGAGAAAACTAGTAGTATATTATTAGTATATTATTGTACTAATTGTACTTTTATATAATAAAATGCAGCACATTTTTAAAATTTTACATTATGTGTGAAGTTAATGGTTTCAACATTTTTAACATGTTAATCTCTTGCCAGTGGCTTTAAAGTATAGATAAATTAAATAATAATATTCCTGTTGGGTAAATATTTATTCTTATTTTAATCAATTAAATTTATTTTTCTTAATTTTTGTGGGTATATGAGTATATATACTTATGCCATATATGGCATATTTTGATACACAAATATAATACATAATAATCATGTGCTAAATGTGGTATCCGTCACCTCTAGCATTTATCCTTTGTATTACTGACAATCGAATTCTACACTTTTACTTATTTTAAAATGTACAATTATGGCCAGGCACAGTGGCCTCACACCTGTTATCACAGCACTTTGGGAAGCTGAGGCGGGCAGATCACCAGGTCAGGAGTTCAAGACCAGCCTGGCCAACATGGTAAAACCCTGCCTCTACTAAAAATAGAAAAATTAGCTGGGCATGGTGGCAGGCACCTGTAATCCCAGCTACTCTGGAGGCTGAGGCAGGAGAATCACTTGAATTCGGGAGGTGGAGATTGCAGTGAGCCGAGATCGTGCCGCTGCACTCCAGCCTGGGTCAGAGAGCAAGACTCCATCAAAAAGAGAAAGAAAGAAAGAGAGAGAGGAAGGAAGGGAAGAAAGAAAGAATTGGTCTCTACTCTTATGAAACTTTCAGTATAATTTCATAAAATCCTCATGCATTCCTGAGAAGTGGATACCTCTGAAGTTTCCTAAAGCCCTACTAACCCAAAGTAACCAGTATCTGAATTTTGTATTATCATTTACTTTATGCAATTTTATCTATAAACAATATACGTTTCAGTGTTGCCAGATTTTTGGCTCTAGATAAATTCTACAATTTTTCATCTGTGACTTGCTTTTTTATTTACAATTGTTTCCTTCTATTTTTCCATGTTGCTTTGCATAGCTACAGTTGTCCATTTCACTGCTGCATAGGGTGAATATACATCAATTTTTAAACCAATTCTATAGCCAGTGGTTATTTGTGAATTCCAATTACTCTATATTTTACCAACTCTTGGAATTACTAGACATATTGAGGGGTGAAGCCAGCTGGACTTCCTGGGTCAAATGGGGACTTGGAGAACTTTTCTGTATAGCTAAAGGATTGTAAATGCACCAGTCAGCACTCTGTAAAAATGCACCAATTAGCACTCTATGTCTAGCTAAAGGATTGCAAACACACCAATCAGCACTCTGTAAAAATGCACCCATCAGCACTCTGTGTCTAGCTAAAGGATTGTAAATGCACCAATCAGCACTCTGTAAAAACCCACCAATCAGCACTCTGCGTCTAGCTAAAGGATTGTAAACACACCAATCAGCACTCTGTAAAATGGACCAATTGGTGCTCTGTAAAATGGCCCAATCAGCAGTACGTGGGCAGGGCCAAATAAGGGAATAAAAGCTGGCCACCAGGAGCCAGCAGCAGCAACCTGCTTGGGTCCCCTTCCATGCTGTGGAAGCTTTGTTCTTTCACTCCTCACTATAAATCTTGCTGCTGCTCACTCTTTGGGTCTGCACCACCTTTAAGAGCTGTAACACTCACCACGAATGTCCACAGCTTCATTCTTGAAGTCACCTAGACCACAAACCCACCAGAAGGAAGAAACTCTGGACACATTGGAAGGAACAAACTCCAGACACACCATCTTTAAGAGCTGTAACACTCACTGCAAAGGTCTGCGGCTTCATTCTTGAAGTCAGCGAGACCAAGAATCCACCAGATGGAATAAATTCTGGGCACAATATTTTTTGACAAAGTGGAGAATCAGAATGGTATATCATTTATAGTTTTAATTAGCATTTCTATAGTTACTAATGAAGTTAGCATTTTTAGAAGTTAATTGGTCAATTGTGCTTTAAGATGTGCCATCTGTCTATTTTTAATGTATTTCATTTCTTTTTGTATTCATACTCTATAAGGTATATTGTCTAAATACTAATTTTTTGTAATATGCGTTTTTGTAGATTTTTGTCCTAGTTATGATTTGCCTTTCCACCATCTATATTTAAACATGTTTTTATAAGTTCTTAATCAAAAATTCTTAGAATTTGGTCTAATTTATAATGTGCCATGTTTAAGACATTGTTTTACCCCACTGTTATAACAACAATAATATCCTGTATTTTCTCCTAAAAGTTTTAAATTCTCAATCTATGTGAAAAATTGTTGTGTCAGTTGCTGTGCAGGAATCCAATCTACCCAGCTAGAACCAATTGTTTAGGTACTAGCTTATTGACTTGTTCTACTTTGCCAGTATTACTGTAATACTGAGCTCTCATTTTAATCTATTGGCTGGGACCATAGATGCAATATTTAATAAAAATGTTGATAGCAGCATCCTTATAATGTTTATGACATCAAAAGACAAGTTTTCATGGTTTATCATGTACATTTGCTGTAGTACATTTTAGATACCTTCTATATTTAGAAAATAAAATTTCCTTTTATTTTTAGTTTGCTAAAAGGTTTTTACCAAGCCCTTTTTCTGTGCCTATTGTATATACACATATAGATTTTACAAAGTTTAACTTACCTTGTACTCTCGAGATAAACTTATTCATGGTTTTACTTTTTTTTTTTTTTTTTTTTGAGATGGAGTCTCGCTCTGTCATCCAGGCTGGAGTGCAGTGGTGCAATCTTGTCTTACTGCAACCTCTGCCTCCTCCTGGGTTCAAGTGATTCTCCTGCCTCAGCCTCCCGAGTAGCTGGGACTACAGGTGTGTGCCACCATGCCTGGTTAATTTTTATATTTTTAGTAGAGACGGAATTTCACCATATTGGCCAGACTGGTCTTGAACTCCTGACCTCATGATCCACCCAACTCGGCCTCCCAAAGTACTGGGATTATAGGCGTGAGCCACCGCTCCCAGCCGGGTTTACTTATTTTATACAGAGCAAGATTCAGTTTGTTAGCAAATGCTTTAAAACTTTAAAATCTGTCTTTATGAATGATACTTTTATAGTTATTCATGTTTTGTCTCTGTCAATCTTTGGTATTAACTCTCAGAAATTGAGTTGTGCAGTGTTTTTACTTCTTCTGTTTTTTGAAAGGTTAAATAATATCAACAGTATGCTTTTCATTTTTAAACTTTAAATGTCTGAAAGACTTACCTGTAGAGTTTTCTGACATTGACATTTTTTGCATATGTGTTAATTTCATCTGCTCTCATCTAGTTTACTAGTTCTGTCTAGTGCACCTAAGTTCAAATGTGGTTAGTGAGTTCTTTTAGTTATTGTATTATTCATTCCACAACTTAGTTACTTTTTAAATTGTTTTATAGTTTCTAATGCCCTGTAGATACTTTCATTTGTCTTATTTAAATATGTTAAGCCTAGTAGTTTTTAATATTTTTGTCGATAAATCTAATATTGGATGTCTTTGCAGGTTTGTTTCTGTTATTCCTTCTTCTGGTGTCTTTCACACTGTCTTCTTTATTGTGAGTTTTGCCATCTTTGGTTGCTTGCTAGTCACTGTTCATAGAAAATTACTTTCAAGTTTCATCAAGGACTGGATGAGATGTTACCTTCTTTAAGAAAGTTTGCTTTTGCTTCTTTCAGTTTTCTGAAAATTTTACAATGTGGAACAATCATTTGGACAACTTTAAGTAATGTGGTTCATTCAAAATTTATATAACTGATGGAGAAATTTATGTAAGATCAATGTGTGGTGACAAGATTGTAGAAATTTCTTTCTCTTTTGAAAATTTTTCTTTATCACCTGCCCTCAACCTCAAGACAATCTTGTATGCCATTCCTCAGTGTTGGGAAGAAAGGGACTGTTTGGGTCATACCTAGCCTTTGAACTCCCAGGTTAATTTTGAGAAGGTTTTTAAATAATTTCCAAGTGCTAAACATCCAAAAGTACATAATAAATATTAGGTAACATCATTATACTAGTAATCCTGAACACAATATTTTAAGTGTTCAGCTGCACTATTGTGTTCTATGAAAAGAAGGTTTTTGTTTAGAATATTTTCCAATAGATTGATTACGTGTTATAAATTGCAAATATGTTTGTAGTTTGTATAAGGCAAAGAATGAGATGTTTGGATTCAAGGATGCATAAGATCAAACACTAAGACAATTTTCTATGTAGTTGAGGAGAAAGAGTGGGTGTTGAAAAAGCCAATGCAGCTCATGGATTGCAAGTTTCTGCCTCCTGCTCCCACCTAATCTGGCTGTGCCTGGCTGCCAGCAGCCAAGATTTGCTTTAAAATACTGAAGAAAAAGTATTAAGAAAGCCAACCCCATAGTCTGTTTACATACACAAATATAAAGCAATGTTCTTCTCTAATGTGAGGAATATGTTCAGGAAAGCTAAAATGATTTCAGAGTAAGAAAGTAAAAAGTTGGCAGCATGAGCACATCTAGCCCTACATACTGAGTTGCTTTTGGAGTGAAGAGCTAACATGAAAGGCAAGAGAAAAATTAGAAAATAATAATTTTGCCATTGAGTACTTTATATTTTTTATATTTCCATGAATTCCATAAATAACAAAATTGTATGAATGCATTTTTTCTGTAAACATTATTTTGGATATAGTGTCTGACTCTGTTGCCCCGGATGGAGTGCAGTGGTGAGTTTACAGCTCACTGCAGCCTCGATATACAGTGCTCAAGTGGGTCTTTCACCTCAGCCTCTCAAGTAGCTGGGACTACAGGTGGGTACCACCATGTACAGCTAATTTATTTGATTTTTAGTTTTGATAAGATCTCAATATGTTGCCAACACTTGTCTTGAACTCCTGAACTCAAACAATCTTTCCCCCTCATCTTTCCAAAACAGGATTACAAACATAAACAAGCACACTTTACCCATATAAGTATTTTTAAATATTACAGACAGCACTTTGGGAGGCTAAGACAGGAAGATTGCTTGAACAAAAGAGTGTAAGATCTGCCTGGGCAATGTAGCAATACCTCATCCCTACAAAATGAAACAACAACAACAAAGAGAATGCTGGTATCATGTGAAAATCACTACACTCAACCTCAGTGCCCTTTTGCAGACAAACTCTATATAAGTTTGTTTTATCTTTACAAAGATTTGCATGTGTATGTGTGATTTTATGTACCTTTCGAAGTAGTATTGCATGTGTGTTTCCTTGGGTGAGATAGTGTGTTTGATGGTTATAAGAGCAGGCTCAAAGTACCTGTAAAACCTTGGGCAAGTTGTTTTTGTTTGTTTGTTTGTTTGTTGTTTGTTTGTTTGTTTTTGTTTTTGAAATGGAGTCTTGCTGTGTTGCCCAGGCTGGAGTGCAATGGTGCAATCTCGATTCACTGCAACCTCTGCCTCCTGGGTTCAAGCAATTCTCCTGCCTCAGCTTCCCAAGTAGCTGGGATTACAGGTGCCTTCCACCACACCAGGCTAATTTTTGTATTTTTAGTAGAGACGGGGTTTCACCATGTTGGCCAGGCTGGTCTCGAACTCCCGACCTCAGATGATCTGCCCTCCTTGGCCTCCCAAAGTCCTGGGATTACAGGCCTGAGCCACCTCTCCTGGCCGGGCAAACTTCTTAACCTCTCTGTCTCATCTATCACTTGGGAATAATAACATGGCCAGTAAAATCAGTGTTGTTCTTTGAACATATTAATAAAGTAGAAAAAGTTATTTTAAGAGCAATAAAAATATTAAACACAAAAGAGGATATTTATAGATAAAGTCAAGATTTTAAAATGATATTGTAGGGAGGCTGAGGCAGGAGAATGGCGTGAACCCGGGAGGCAGAGCTTGCAGTGAGCCAAGATCACACCACTGCACTCCAGCCTGGGCACACAGCGAGACTCCGTCTCAAAAAAAAAAAAAAAAAAAAAGTTTGCCTTTAATCTATTTTCTTCATGTCTAAACATGAAAGCTCAAGGCTGTGGACAAATTTGAAGACATGGAGTTTTCTTCTCATGTAGCCCTATCATTTTTTTGTTTTGTTTTGTTTTAAGACAGAGTCTTGCTCTGTTGCCCAGGCTGGAGTGTAGTGGCGCGATCTCGGCTCCGCCTCCCAGATTCTAGTGATTCTCCTGCCTCAGCCTCCTGAGTAGCTTGGGATTAAAGTCACCCACCACCGTGCACGGCTAATTTTTGTATTTTTAGTAGAGATGGGGTTTCACCATATTGGCCAGGCTGGTCTCGAACTCCTGACCTTGTGGTCTGCCCATCTCAGCCTCCCAAAGTGCTGGGATTACAGCCTCCCAAAGTGCTGGGATTACAGGCGTGAGCTACCATGCCCAGGCTTTTTTTTTTTTTTTTTTTTTTTTTTTTTTGAGACGGAGTCCCGCTCTGTCACCCAGGCTGGAGTGCAGTGGCAAGATCTGGGCTCACTGCAAATTCTGTCTCCCAGATTCTAGCGATTCTCCTGCCTCAGCCTCCTGAGTAGCTTGGGATTAAAGTCACCCACCACCATGCACGGCTAATTTTTGTATTTTTAATAAAGATGGGGTTTCACCATATTGGCCAGGCTGGTCTCGAACTCCTGATCTTGTGATCTGCCCACCTCAGCCTCCCAAAGTGCTGGGATTACAGGCGACAGCTACCGTGCCCAGGCTTTTTTTTTTTTTTTTTTTTTGAGACGGAGTCCCGCTCTGTTGCCCAGGCTGGAATACAGTGGCAAGATCTGGGCTCACTGCAAATTCTGCCTCCCAGGTTTAAGTGATTCTCCTGCCTCGGCCTCCTGAGTAGCTGGGATTACAGGCATACGCCACCACGCCCAGCCAGTGTATATATTTTTAGTAGAGACCGGGTTTCACCATGTTGTCCATGCTGGTCTCGAACTCTTGACCTCAAGTGATCCGCCCACCTCGGTCTCCCAGAGTGCTGGGATTATAGGCGTGAGCCACCGCGCCTGGTGGCCCTATCATTCTTTGTTCACTGTATGATCTTTAGAAGAAAGGTGGGCAACAGGTGGCCAGCAGTGGTCTACCTGTGGTGATTTTATTCTTGATATCTTCTGACCTTTCTATGGCCACTATCTGTTCCACCCTCGGAACAGCACAGAGACTTTGGTAGAGAGAGGCTGTCCCCTCACCACTGGCAGAATATGGACGTTCAGACCCTTCACCTTCCTGACGTCAGAGCTGACACATTCAATACAACAGCTATTGGCCATGTATGGCCGGCTACTGGGTGCCTGGAATGTCGCTGCAATTTGCTAGAAAGGTAAAATACAGAGTTAGTTTCAAAGATACAGTTCCAAATATATATATACTTCATTAATCTTTACATATTGCTCACATATTACAATGATAATATTTTGGATATATTGGGTTAATTAAATTGTTACAATGAATTTCACCTGTTTCTTCTCCTTCTTTTTAAAATTTTTTTATTTTTGAGATGGAGTCTTGCTCTGTTTCCCAGACTGGAGTGCAATGGCGTGATCTTGGCTCACCTCAACCTCTGCCTCCTGGGTTTAAGTGATTCTCCTGCCTCAGCCTCTCTATTAGCTGGGATTACAGGCACCTGCCATCATACCCAGATAATTTTTGTATTTTTGTAGAGACGGGGTTTCACCATGTTGGCTAGGCTGGTCTTGCACTCCTGACCTCGGGTGATCCGCCTGCCTCGGCCTCCCCAAGTGCTGAGATAACAGGCATGGGACACTACACCCGGCTTTCTTTTCTTTCACTTTTATTTTCTTTCTTCTCTTCTCTTCACTTTTCTTTCTTCTTTTTCCTTCCTTCCTTTTCCTTCCTTCCCTCTTTCCTTCTCTCTCTCTCTCTTTCACTCTTTCTTTCTCTCTCTCTCTTTCTCTCTTCTTTTTTTTTCTTGAGATGGAGTTTCACTCTTGTTGACCAGGCTGGAGTGTGCAGTGGGGCGATCTCGGCTCACTGCAACCTCTGCCTCCCTCCACCTCCCGGGTTCAAGCGATTATTTTGCCTCAGCCTCCCGAGTAGCTGGGATAACAGGCGCCCACCACCACGCCTGGTTATTTTTTCTTATTTTTAGTAGGGACGGGGTTTCATCATGTTGGCCAGGCTGGTCTCAAACTCCTGACCTCAGGCGATCCACCCGCCTCGGCCTCCCAAAGTGCTGGGATTACAGGCGTGAGCCACTGCGCCCGGCCCTTCTTTATTTTTAAAGTCTGGCTACTAGAAAATTTAAAATTCACATGTGGCTCACATCTTATTTCATAAGATTGGCTCCTTTTAAAAATCTCAGGCTGCTAGTTCAAAGGACTAGGAGCCAGGAAGGTCATAAAAGCTGAAATTTTAAAATAATTATTTTTTTAAATTTGTGAATAGCCATATATTATTTATAAGTGCTTATGACCTTATACACAAGGTTAAGGGAAAATACCCTCTAAGGTGTGCCTGGCTCAGCTCAGGGAGGAAGCCCTGCCTGAAAAGGCTGCAGCCTAGGCTATCACTCTTTCTTCACTCCGCCCAGCATTTGGTCATATCTTCTGTCACTCAGGGCCTGAAGGGGCGGGCCCTTAAACCGTATCCAATCAGACACGCAGAACTGGGAACCGTCCAATTAGGCACACATTTGGAGCGGCGAGGACGGCTTCCGGGATGTGGCTGGGCCATTGTTTCTCTCTGCTGCCGGAGCTCCAGGTCTACCCTTCACTGCTCTGTGTCCTCAGCGTGTGTGGCTTCGTGACCTGAAGATACTGGGAAATCCATAGCTAAGATGCCAGGACCCCCTGAAAGCCTAGACATGGTGAGAGTGCTGGGTCCGACATCACGAGAGAGGGGAAGGAGTTGCTCGGAACCGGTGGGAAGTGGCTGTGGCGGGACTCAGGCCTCCCCGCAGTCAGCTCCACAATCTGCTCCCTGAGTTCTCCTTGCCCAGCTCGGCCTCAGTCTCCTTCAGCCGTAAGTTGGCGGCTGCGCCAACAGCCGGGGCCCCGGGCGTCCTGTCTCTTCCCTGCACTGTGACTGTGCCCTGCCTGGAGTCCTCTCTGGCAGTTCTGCACCCGCAGCGCCGCGTCTTTCTCAGATTGTGCGGGGACCACGGGAGGGTCATCAGGGGAGAATCCTGACTTGGGGTGCGGGTTCATGAATGGGAAGAGCTTTGGTCCGTGGGGTTCCCAGTTGCTATTTTCTCCTATTAAAAATTTATGGGCGTCACTGCAAAAATATTAAAGAATGTAATCAAAGAGTGGTTCTAGAATTGTAGAGCACCCAGCTATGGTTTGTAGTTTGTGGTCTGTGGGAGAGGCTTGAAGGAAAGTCTTTTATAAAATGCATGATGAAGAAACCAAATTTACTAATTGGTTAGGTACAGTTACATGGTTTCTTAATATGTGCGTTAAAGGTGAAAATTTCCTGGTTATGTAATCAGAGCTTAATTGGCAGTTTACAGTTGCTGAAGCCTGAATTTTGTTTCTCTGAATGTAGTAATTAAAAATAATGCACCTGAGTTAGATTTTTTTTTTAAAGTAAGAATTCAGGGACTAGAAATACCTCAGTCTAATTGCCTGCCACTTAATTATTTTCACACTCCACAGGGAACTGATTTTCTGCTGTATTTTTCACCTGTGTCCCAAGCAGAGTCTTGGAACCAATCCCCCATTTCTCCGGCCTCACTCTGGCTTGCAGTAAGATAATTTCCAGTTTCCTCTGACGTTCCTAAATGCCACCTTTTCCTCCCTAATTCACATTATCGCCTATTTGTCTTTTACTGTACTTTTTTATACCATATTTTAATTATTTTTTTGGCAAAGCATTAAATGGTTAAATGGTGCATTTAAAGAGATTTGTTATCTGTTTGTAAATATTTCCCATGAAAAGAAGGCAAATAATAATACCCTGACACTGCATTGTAGTAAATCTCTGTCTCTTTTGCTTTCATCTTGTCTAGGCACAGAGATGTTACCAGAATGTTTTTGGGTCGAAGTTCTCCTTTGGAAAATCTATGGGGTGATGTGTCCTCAGCCACCCTTTGGTTTTTTCCTGGTCATGGGTTTCAGTACTATCTGGGGATAAACCAAGATAACTGCCATGGTTATGTTAGCTAGAGTGTCCATTGGATCTCAGCTTCTGGTTTATTTTCTCCCATAAGATGACCTGAGGTATGGAGTGTATCCTCTCAAGGGAGCAAGTGGATATTCTGGGGCTGAGGGGAATCTTCCGGTGTACTCTTATTTTGAAACGGGTAACCCTTTGAAATGTTAAAATTGCCTTCCCTCAACCAGGCTTCCATTTCTTGGAGACAAATTGCTGGTCAGCCAATCAGATGCTGGTAATGAGGGGAAAACACAGAAATAATTTCTGCCCCCTGGATTCTCTAAGGGGGCAGAAAAATAGTGAAATTAATATAGTAAAAGAAAAAGAGTAAAAAAAAAAAAGTGAAAAATTTGTGGCCCAAAAAATAGTATCCCAAAAGACAAACAACAAGAACAAAAACAAAACTGACTCCAGTGAGATGGTGTAAGAGCTTGCAAAGTAAAACGCAACTGGGACAGTCACCAAGAAATACTGCAGTGTCTCCTGAATGGGTGGTTCTTGAGCACACAAGTGAGCAGGAGTGGGTGGAAGAATCTCTCAAGTTATTGAATGGCCTGACTTGAAAGGTGAGTCAGACACATCTGTTATTTATTTATTTTTTATTTTTTATTTTTTTATTTTTATTTTTTTGTCTCACTCTGTCGCCCAGGCTGGAGTGCTGTGGCCCGATCTCGGCTCGCTGAAAGCTCTCCCTCCCGGGTTCCCGCCATTCTCCTGCCTCAGCCTCCCAAGTAGCTGGGACTACAGGTGCCTGACACCATGCCCGGCTAATTTTTTGTGTTTTTAGTAGAGACAGGGTTCCACTGTGTTAGGCAGGCTGGTCTCAATCTCCTGACCTCATAATCCATCCGCCTCGGCCTCCCAAAGTGCTGGGATTACAGGTGTGAGCCACCATGCCCGGCCCACATCTGTTATTTAACCAGCACTGCCACTCCTGGATTTGTCACCTTGAAGAGATTTGTTCACTTATTTTGACCTCAGTTTTTTAGCTGTAAATTGCATTATATTAGTAGGACTTGAAAAGGTAGAAAAATATTTACAAAGGGCATAAAAGATTTGGGTTTCAAAAAATTATATCTAATCATATATGTCATTTGTTAAAAATTCTCATGTACCTTTTTCTTTCCCAGAGTGAGTTTTTGAATTTTCTCAGGTGTGTTTTTTTTATAGCTGGGTGATTTCAAACAGAATTTCAAGGCTTAGCTTTTAGAGTGCTGCCAAGAAAAAGGAGAGAAAAAATCTCCATTTCATTTTTGCTGTAGAAAATGAATACATTTCCATGAGAAAATGCGGTAGGTAATTGGTGAGTTACGTAGATTCATAAAAACGTAAGTTCCTTTTTTTGCAAGGTAAATTTTTGACAGTGAATATCTCTGTTCAAATCCTGTTATCTTGATTTGTGAGTTTCATGCTAAATATTATGAGATGAAACTTGATACTGCCTGGAAGTGTTTTCATATGACTCATTGTTAACTGCATGATTTTTAGTGGAATTAATAGAATAAGACATTTATTTTCTAAAAGAAATAGATACTTTTGCTTTTCTTATTAAGGTATACAATATAAGCAACTTGGCCGGGCGCGGTGGCTCATGCCTGTAATCCCAGCACTTTGGGAGTCTGAGGCGAGTAGATCACAAGGTCAAGAGATCAAGACCATCCTGACCAACATGGTGAAACCCTGCCTCTACTAAAAATAGAAAAATTAGCTGGGCATGGTGGCACGCACCTGTAGTCCCAGCTACTTGGGAGGCTGAGGCAGGAGAATGGCTTAAACCTAAGAGGTTGAGGTTGTAGTGAGCCAAGATTGTACCACTGTACTCTGGCCTGGTGACAGAGAGAGACTCCATCTCAAAAAAAAAAATGTAAGCACCTTAAAATTTTTTTTCCCGTATGTGAACACTGTGTTTCAGTAATTTTGCTGAATTTTTTAAATACTTAATTTCAAAAACCAAGTGAGTAACTCTAACGTGAAAATTAAAGGTTGAGCCCAGTGACTCAGAGCTAAGGCTAATACTGAGCCTGCAAAAGGAGTTTATTAAAGGCCTAGTTAGTTTTTTTTCTGGAGAGCCTCCCCTGCAGATGTTCCAGCCTGCTCACTCCAGCCATGGAAGAAGCCTTTCTGCTGACAGAAGCTACAGAGTCCTGGAAAGCTACAGGCAGATGCAGTTAAGGTTAAGATAAAAGGGGACAGGGAGGGTCATACTGACCATGTAGTTGTTATTGTACATCAGGGATGCTATGATTTAGTATCCTGAAACTTTGCTGAAGTTGTTTATTAGTTTAAAGAGCTTTTCTACTGAGACTGTAGGGTTTTGAAGATACAGAATCCTGTCATCTGCACACAGGAATAGTTTGACTTCCTCTCTTCCTGTCTGAATGCCTTTTATTTCTCTCTCTTCCCTGATTGTTCTGGCCGAGACTTTGAATTCTATGTTGAACAAGAGTTTTGAGAAAAAGCATTCTTTTCTTGTGCCAGTTTTCATGAAGGAATGCTTCCAGCTTGTGTTCATTTTGTATGTTGGCTGTAAGTTTGTCATACTTAGATAACTCAGTATTTTGATGTATGTACCTCCAATGCCTAGTTTTTTGAAAGTTTTAAACATGAAGGATGGTAAATTTCATTGCAAGCTTTTTTAACATCTACTGAAATAACCCTGTGGTTTTTGTCTTTAGTTCTGTTTACTTGAGGAGTAACATTTATTAATTGCATGTTGAACCAACCTTTTATTTCAGAGATACAGCCAAGTTGATCGTAGTGGATTAGCTTTTTGATGTTCTCCTGGATTTGGTTTTCCAGTATTTTCTTGAGGATATTTTCATCAATGTTCATTAAAAATATTGGCCTCAAGGTTTCTATTTTTTTGTTTTATATTTGCCAAATTTTCATATTAGAATAATGCTGTTTTTACATAATGGGTTGGAAAGAAGTCCCTTTTTCTCAGTATTTTGAAATAATCTTAGTAGGAGTGGTACCAGCTCTTACTTTACATCTGGTAGAATTCAGCTGTAAATTTGTGTGGTTCTTTGTTTTATTTTTGGTGGGCAGGCTATTTATTTATTTATTTATTTTATTTTATTTTATTTTTTGAGACAGTCTCACTCTGTCGCCCAGGCTGGAGTGCAGTGGCACAGTCTCAGCTCACTGCAACCTCCACCTCCTGAGTTTAAGCAATGCTCTGCTTCAGCCACCTGAGTAGCTGGAATTACAAGTGTGCACCACCACACCCAGCTAATTTTTGTATTTTTAGTAGAGATGGGGTTTCACCATGTTGGCCAGGCTGTTCGCTGTTCTTGAACTTCTGACCTCGTGATCCACTCGCCTCGGCCTCCCAAAGTGCTAGGATTACAGGAGTGAGCCACCATGCCCGGTCAGCTATTTATTTATCTACTTATTTATTTATTTCATTTTATTTATTTATTTATTTTTGAGATGGAGTCTCGCTCTGTCACCCAGGCTGGAGTGCAGTGGCACGATCTCGGCTCACTGCAACCTCCACCTCATGGGTTCATGCCATTCTCCTGCCTCAGCCTCCCGAGTAGCTGGGACTACAGGCACCCGCCATCACGACCGGCTAATTTTTTGTATTTTTAGTAGAGATGGGGTTTCGCTGTGTTAGCCAGGCTGGTCTCGATCTCCTGACCTTGTGATCCACCTGCCTTGGCCTCCCAAAGTGCTGGGGTTACAGGCATGAGCCACCATGCCTGGCCCTGGCCAGCTATTTATTACTAATTCAATTTTGGAGCTTGTTACTGGTCTATTCAGGGATTCAATTTCTTATTTGTTCAGTCTTTGCAGGATGTATCATTGTTCCAAGGTTATAATCCTCAAGCTTGGCCCTGACGAACTCTCTAATTATATTCATGTTTCCTCAGTTTTTTCCTTTTAGGTAGACATATTAATAGAATGGGCTAGAGGAGCCTCTATGAAGGGATCTCTCCTTTGATTGTACTCTGCTTGCTGTAACACCCAAGAATGCAGAGTCAGGCTAACCCCACTTAGAATCTGCACATAGGGTCAGGCCTCTGCCTGGGATTTACAAGACAGGGCCAGACTTTCAATTGTGAATGTAATGAAAACCAACAAAATGCATTTTCTGCATTGTGAGATGTCAACATAGACATCTTAAAGCCCCCCTTTGAGAGTGTGGCTTTTTAAGCTTTTCAGATCTTGTTTAGTGACCTGCTACAGTTATATGAGAGGCTCCAGGTATAAATAGAATCTGATGACAGAATCTATAAGTGTAAACAAGCATCTTAAGAGTGAGGGATAAGGCCACAAAGTATCCAGAGCTATGACCACAACTATACCTACCTGTAAATTGTAATAATGGAGTAGAGTATTCTTGTCCTTCTTACCCAAAAGCTAGCACATCAGGATAGGTGATCCAGGTTCTGGAGTTCCACCAAAGCAGTTCCATTTTCTATTTAGAATCAGCATGAATCTCTCTCAGCCTGGCTTATCACTGGGCCATCAGCCTTGAGTCACTGAGAACCGTCTCACAATCACCTAGGTGTCTTTAAGACATTTGAGGATGTCAGGGACAGAATTGTGTCGGGATTACATGGCCAATTTGCAGAAATCTCTTTACTTGTGCTCTCTCCACAGGTTCTGTGTATTGTTCTAGGTGAAAGTATTCATGTTTTAATTGTGTCTCATGTGACTCTTAAGGTGAGGACAGAATTAAGTGTGTGGGGTTCAAGATAGATTCATGAGAGTTAAGTTTCACCTTTGCACTAAAAGGTGGTCACAGGAACTGTTCCGTTTGGTTTTGATAGGAAGAGGTCAGTGTCACCCATATTTTCATTACTATAGCAGAAATTGCTGGTGTTTGTGGCAAGGGCAGGCACATGAAGACAAATAGAGAAACATATTTTTATATTCATTGAGCAGCTCATTGTTCCTGAATCTCTCCTGTTATAAAGGACAAAAGTGAGTGGGCTTTTTCTGCAGTTCTTCTTTTTTTCTGTGGTTGTGAGGCTAGCAGGTAAATAGGTGGTGCTGACTTCTTTACAAGAATTTTCTCAGGATGCAGGTGTAACTTCTCCAGAGAATGTCATCTGAAAAGGATTTCCAAAGAAGGCAAAAGAGGAAAAATGGCTTTTTTTTTCAGCTAAATATGTCTCAGATGAAGAGCTGTGTCCACTCTGCCTCCTGGATTGCCATGCGTTTAGTCCTTGCAAACCTTTACTTCCCTACTTGTGTTTCTTTCCCCTAATGAGTTTGTTTTAACTACTTTAGAAAATTCTTGTGATAGTCAAGGGTCTCTGCAAAATATCTCTCTCCTATATCCCAGAACCTTCTCTACACTCTCTAAATCATGGCTTCTTATACGCCATGCAGAATTCTTAAAATGAATTTATAATCTGCACTACTTAAAATGTTCCCTTTGTTGCCATTGAACGTGGGAAAATGTAGATATTCAAGATTCCCATTGGCGGAAAGCTGGGGTCCTTAGTAAAGATAAATAACATGTAATGTTGTGGTTTCATCTGTTTTCTCCATTAATTCTATGCAGAACAGGATTAATAAAATGCTTATTTAAACAGGATGGTGTTTATTACCCTGAAAGTTCTGAAAAAAAGTTATTGAGAGATACCTGCTCTCTCAGGTGCTAAAGAAAGACTACTTTAAAATGTTATTAAAAATTGCAGAACATAGAAGATATCTGCATTTTGAACTCTGCATAAAACTGATTTTTCTGTATGGTTAACCTCAGACTATAATTTACTTTTTGAGGGGCAATATCTCAGCAGTGATGATGTCTTCTTCTGTGTGCATCAGCACATCATAAACATTTGTCCTAATGCAGTTGATTTTAAAATTTACTTAAAAGAGCTCTCTGAAATATTTATTTCACTATAGAGTTAATTATTTTTCTCTTCATTATTAAGTATCTTTATGTAGCTAAGGAAGAGCTGTGCATAAACCATCACATTTAATCTGGCAGCTGCCTTTCTTTGTTAGGTTTTCCTTGCATTTATCTGTCTTTGGAAAATGAAGACTCTTATCTTTGTTTACAGGGCAGAAAAATTGAGTAAAACACAGGATCTTCCACTTACTGGATATTGACAAAATATTCTTTCTGGGCCAAACACATTGGCATTACTAGTGAACTTGTTAGAAATTCAGAAACTCAGAGTTTATTTCAGATCTTCTGGGAAAAAAGAATCTGCACAAGATCTCCAGTTTACTGTTCACATTAAAACTTGAGAGGTGCCTTCTAACTCAACATATCTTTTGTCTGAAAAATATACACAACTCATTCTTTGTGTGGCAAATATAGCACTAAAAAATGTACATGTTTGTGTTTATGCCTTTAGCTTTATACTTTACTATTAATAAAAGTATATATACAGTGGTGTTGTAGATCTTATACCATTCTCTTCTCTCAGAGTTAGAGAATACATTAGAGAATATTTCTGTGTTGAAAATTGTTGGATAATTTCAGTCATTCCTGTAAGTCAGAACGAATTTTCTTTACTTTCTCATTTGACCTTAATTCAAATGATAAATTTTGCCCACGTGTAAATGTGTGTGTGTGTGTGTGTGTTTGTGTGTGTTTGTTTCAGGGGCCGTTGACATTTAGGGATGTGGCCATAGAATTCTCTCTGGAGGAGTGGCAATGCCTGGACACTGCTCAGCAGGATTTGTATAGGAAAGTGATGTTAGAGAACTACAGAAACCTGGTCTTCTTGGGTGAGAATAACTTTAATACAAAATCCCTTATATACCCTAAAGTTTTCATTTCTCTGTTTTCATAGAATAATTTTTGGTAATTTATGCTTTGCATAAGTGAGTTTCTGGTGCCTGTTTTAAAGAAATCTTGAAGAACTGTCCGTGTGGAAAAAAATTTCTTCAGGATGTTTTATCTTGGCCTGATCTTTTTACATTTCTGAGCCGGTCTGTATCCTTCACTCTACAGTAGTGGTAATTTCAGAAATTTAGTAGTATAAAATATTGTTGTCCATATGTTAAAATCTATATGCCACCACTAATTTTTTATCCATGAATACTGGGTGGCAAAATTAAGCACCTACAAATTTAAAATATTTTCTAAATGTTAAGAACTTTCTGTCATTAAATAGTATTTTGGGATAAATTTTCTAGAATATTCTATTACATCCTCTTTACTAAGCATGGTACTAGGTAGGTAATTAGAGAATATGAGCAAGATTCATGTTATTTATTTTTAATAAAGCAGGTATTGCTGTCTCTAAGCCAGATCTGGTCACCTGTCTGGAGCAAGGAAAAGATCCCTGGAATATGAAGGGACACAGTACGGTAGTCAAACCCCCAGGTAGGTGAGAGTGAATGAAACAGTTGACATAGATGAAAGGTTGAAAGATTTAAAAAAAAAAAAAAAAAAAAAAGCCAGTCCTGGCCGGGAGCAATGGCTCATGCCTGTAGTCCCAGGACTTTGGGAGGCCAAGGCAGGTGGATCACCTGAGCTCAGGAGTTCGAGACCAGACTGGCCAACATGGTGTAAACTCTGTCTCTACTAAAAATACAAAAATTAGCCAGGCGTGGTGGCAGTTGCCTGTAATCTCAGCTCCTCCGGAGGCTGAGGCAGGAGAATTGCTTGAAACCGGGAGGCAGAGGTTGCAATGAGCCAAGATGGTGCCACTGCACTCCAGCCTGGGGGACAAGAGTGAGACTTCATCTCAAAAAAAAAAGGAAAAGAAAATAGTTATCAAGTGAATATAATACCATCACCAAATCTGTCCTGCTGATTTGGGAAGCTATGTTCCAAAGCAAAGAGTTTCTCGGAAGCCTTTGGCATTTTTTTGTTTTTTTTTTGTTGTTCTTTTTCTCACATAGGGCCATCTTCTGTCTTATGCTTTTAAATTCTCTAAGGATTCTACTTTCTCTTCATTGATACTCCTTTAAGTTTACAGTGAGAGCCAAATCATCTTCATGGCATATAAGAGACTGCACAATCTGACTGCTTTTCCATTGTTTTGGGGGACACACAAATATCTGCATCTGCATGATTTTGAGAAACTTTATGTTAAACTATTTTATTAGTTCTTTTTTTGCATCATTTCTAAAATGTATGAGGGTAGTGGTCTCTGTTCTATTGGTTTTTATGTTAATTTTCTGAACATTCCATCCTGTTTTTATTAGTATATTCTTGAAATATAGTTTGAAATTATAAAGTATGATGTCCCTCTGCTTTGTTTTTTTTTCTCATAATTAATTTGGCTATTCGAAGTTTATTGTAGTTTTTTGTAAATTTTAAAATCGTAGTTTTCATTACTATAAGAAAAAAATGCCACTGGAATTTTGATAGGTCGTTTGCTGAATCTATAGATTACTTTGGAGAATATGGTACTTTAACAGTATTTATTTTTTCAATCCATAAATATGAAATATTTGTAAATTTATTTGTGTCTTGCCTAATTCCTTTTATTGATTTATATCTTTTATTGTTAACATTTTTTGCCTCGGGTTAAATTTGTTCTTAGAAATTTATTATTTTAATTATATTTTTAAAAAGATTGCTTTCTTGGCTGCACGGTGGCTGGGGCCTGTAATCCCAGCACTTTGGGAGGCTGAGGCCGGTGGATCACTTGAGTTCAGGAGTTCGAGACTAGTCTCGCCATTATGGTGAAACCCCGTCTCTACTGAAAATACAAATAATTAGTTGGGTGTGGCTGTGGGCACTTGTAATCCCAGCTACTCAGGAGGCTGAACCAGGGGAATCACTATTATTAATCTTAAAAAATTATTATTATTATTTTTTTTTTGAGATGGAGTCTCACTCTATCGCCCAGGCAGGAGTGCAGTGGTGCCATCTCTGCTCACTGCAAGCTCCACCTCCCGGGTTCTTGCCATTCACCTGCATTAGCCTCCCGAGTAGCTGGGACTACAGGCACCTGCCACCATGCCTGGCTAATTTTTTTGTATTTTCAGTAGAGACGGGGTTTCACCGTTTTAGCCAGGATGGTCTCTATCTCCTGACCTCGTGATCCGCCCGCCTCAGTCTCCCAAAGTGCTGGTATTACAGGCGTGAGCCACCATGCCCAGCCTAATAAAAATTTTTTTATTTCTATTGTATCCAATAGCTTGTTTTAAGTGTGTAGAACAATAACTTACACTTTTATGTTAATTTTATATTTTGTTAATTTACTGACTGTATTATTAGTTTAGACAAATTTCAATGTACTGTGGTTTTTTATGTGTAAGATTATATGTTCCTCAAACAGCAACTTTTTACTTATTTGTCTTCAGTTTCAATGGCTTTAAAAAGAATTCTTTTTTCATTATTCTGCCACATGCTTCCAGTGCTATGTTAAAATAGAAACATTGACAAAGGGCACAATAGAGTTTACTATTGGTGTCTGTGAATTTGAAATGGCAAACAACTCCTTAAGTTTTTATAAGCTGATTTCAGGAGGTAAAGATCTTCTTTTCTTGTGTTCCCCAGGGTTTTGGGATGCCCTCTGGGTTTGTAGTGGAGTGGGGTTGTAACTTGGTTGCAAGGCTGCTGGTTCTACATTAGGGTCCATATTTAGTTGTCATGTTACAAGAGGCTTGGGTAGTTGTACTTCCCAATTTTTTTTTTTTTTTTTTTTTTTTTTTTTGAGACAGGAGTCTCGCTCTGTCGCCTGGCTGGAGTGCAGTGGTGTGATCTCAGCTCATCAAAACTTTTGCCTCCCTAGTTCAAGCGATTCTCCTACCTCAGCCTCCTGAGTAGCTGGGATTACAGGTGCCCACCAGCACGCCCAGCTAATTTTTTGTGTGTTTTTAGTGGAGACGGGGTTTCACCATGTTGGCTAAGCTGGGTCTCGAACTCCTGACCTCAGGTGATCCACCCGCCTTGGCCTCCTGGGTGCTGGGATTACAGACGTGAGCCACCACCCCCGGCCACTTGTTTCTTTTAAATGCTTATTAAAAGTTTCTCATCAGAATATTTTATTTATAATTATACTGCATATTCTCTGAAATTTTACTGCCAATTTTTCAAAATACCTGCTTTTGATGAGTACAGTTACAGTCAAATACTGTAGTTAGACAAATTCTTTTTTAATGGTATATTAATGTTGCATACCAAATTGTATGAGTTAAACGTCTCTTCCTGTGCAGTTTCATATTAGTGGTGTTTTCAGTGTAGGTATCTTAATATCAGCTTATCGTGGTTTTTGGTTATGTATTATAATTTTAGTCAATTTGCAATTCTGTCTGTATACTTTATGTCAATGTGAGGTTGAATTAAAAGATAGCCATATGTCTATCACAATCATATATGTGTGTGTGTTTATCTATAAATATGACCCCAATATTGGTTATGGCTTATCTTGTATATATTCTTTCTTTCTTTCTTTTTTTTTTTTTTTTTTTAAGGTGGAGTCTCGCTCTGTCGCCCAGGCTGGAGTGTGCAGTGGAACAATCTCGGCTCACTGCAACCTCCTCCTCCCGGGTTCACGTCATTCTCCTGCCTCAGCCTCCCAAGTAGCTGGGACTACAGGCGCCTGCAACCACGCCTGGCTAATTTTTTGTATTTTTAGCAGAGACGGGGTTTCACCATATTAGCCAGGATGGTCTCGATCTCCTGACCTCGTGATCTGCCTGCCTCAGCCTCCCAAAGTGCTGGGATCAGAGATGTGAGCCACTGCACCCTGCCTCTTGTATATATTCTTTCTTAGCTGGTTTTCAGTGGTTGTTTTATCTTGTCTAAATGTGTAGTCATGTAAATATTTTCACCATTTCTTATTTTCATGATGTGTTTAATCATGAATATATATTCCCTTTGTGTAAGAGAAACACTTCTGGGATTTGAAGGTAATTTTTGAAAAGATTTATAATTCTTTATTTTTTTCAGTTTTTCTGTTAGAAAATTAATTGTTGTAAAAACACATAAAATTTAGCATCTTAAATCTATTTAAGTGTACATTTCATGGCCCAACATGTGGGTGGCTCACATCTGTAATTTCAGAAATTTGGGAGTCCAAAACAGGAAGATCACTTGAGCCCAAAAGTGTCAGACCAGCCTGGGCAACATATGAAGAGTCTCTCTTTACAAAAATTTTTTAAAAATAGCCAGGCGTGGTGGTATGCACCTGTGGTTCCAGCTACTTGGGAGATTGAGAGGGGAGGATTACTTGAGCCTGGAAGTTTGAGGCTGAAGTGACCCTTAATTGTGCCACTTCATGTCAGCTTGGGTGACAGAGTGAGACCCTGTCTCAAAAAGAAGCTGTATATTTCAGGCATGTTAAGTATATTCACATTGTTATGCAAAAGACTTCTAAAAGTTTTACATCTTGTGAAACTAAAACCCAGTACCCATTAAGTAACAACAACGCATTTACCCTCTTCCCAGCCCTTGGCAAACACCCTTCCAATTTCTGTTTTTATAAGTGTGACTACTTAAGATATATAAGCGGAATCATACAGTATTCATCATTTTGTTTCTGGCATATAGGTGACATAATATTTGCAAAGTTTATCTTAAAATGTGACAATATTTTCTTCTTTAAGACTGAATAATATTTCATTGTGTGTATATATATATATATATATATATATATATATGCAACACTTTTGATGTGTTTATAAATCAAGAGACATCTGAGTTGTTTCAGCCCTTTGGCTTTTGTGAATACGGGTACAATAAACATGGATGTTCTAATAGGTCTTCCAGGTCTTCTGTTGCATATTTTGACTATAAATTCATAAATGGGATTGCTGTATTTGATGATAATTCCATTTTTAATTATTTGAGAAACATAACATTTTAAAATAATGATTGTATCTTTGTTTTCTACTAACAATCAACATAGGTTTCATTTTTATTGCATCATCAACATATTTGGTGTGCTTAAAATTTTATAGTGGCCATTGTAATGGGTGTGAGGCAATTTTTTCATTGTTATTTTCGTGTGTTTCTCTACAAAGTATTAATTTTCTGTGTCATTTCAAATGCTCTTTTTCTATATGTGTATCTTTTCTGATGAAAATTTTGTTCAATTATTTGCTCATCTATAAATTAATTTAGCTTTATTGTTCAGTTTTAAGAGTTCATATGTTATGAATATTAACTACTATCACATATGATTTTTGAATTTTCTTAATGTGCGGAAATTTTCAAGTATAGTGTAGTTACATTTTTCTGTTTTTTTCTTTGTTGTTCATGCATTTAATATCATATCTAAGAAAATGGTGCCAAGACTCATATTATTTCTTTTTTCTAAGAGATTTATTACTTTTTCATGTCTAAGTTTTTTTGTTTTTGTTTTTGTTTTTGTTTTTTGAGATGGAGTTTCACTCTTGTTGCCTAGGCTGGAGTGCAATGGGATGATGTTGGGTCACGGCAACTTCTGTCTTCCAAGTTCAAGCAGTTCTCCTCCCTCAGCCTCCCAAGTAGCTGGGATTACAGGCATGCATCACCATACCCAGCTAATTTTGTATTTTTTGTAGAGACGGTTTCTCCATGTTGGTCAGGCTGGTCTGGAACTCCTGACCTCAGGTGATCCACCTGCCTTGGCCTCCCAAAGTGCTAGGATTACAGACATGAGCCACCACCCCTGGCCTCATGTCTACGGAATTTTTTTGTAAATTTTGTGAATATAGTTTTTAAAAATGATGTAACTGTATTTCATCAGTGTTGATGTTTTTAACATTATTTTTTGAGAAAATTATCTTTTCTGTATCGTGTGCTCATGGCAACTTTGCAAAAGATCATGTAATCATATACAGAAGGCTTCATTTCTGGGCTCTCTGTTCTGTTCTTTCATCTTTTTATCTTTGTGTAAGTATCACACTTTTTGTTATTGTAGCTTTTAATGTGTTTTGAAATCAGAAAGTATAATGTCTCTCTGTTCTTTTTTATGAGTGTTTTGCTAGTTATAGTTTATAATCAAATTATAAAATGTTAAGCAGGTTGGGTGCGCTGTCTCACACCTGTAATCCCAACAGTTTGGGAGGCTGAGGCGAGCAGATTGCCTGAGCTCAGGAGTTTGCAACCAGCCTGGGCAACAAAGTGAAACCCCGTCTCTACTAAAATACAAAAAATTAGCAGGGTGTGGTGGCGTGCGCCTGTAGTCCCAGCTACTTGGGAGGCTGAGGTGGGAGAATTGCTTGAACCCAGGAGGCAGAGGTTGCAGTGAGCTGAGATCCCTCCACTGCACTCCAGCCTGGGTGACAGAGTGAGACTCCATCTCAAAAAAAAAAAAAGTTAATGTTTTTGCAATAAAACTGTGCTATTGTAATTTTTTTTTTTTTTGAGATGGAGTTTTGCTCTTTCACCCAAGCAAGAGTACAGTGGCTGAATCTCAGCTTACTGTATCCTCTGCCTTTTGGTTTCAGGCAATTCTCCTCCCTCAATCTCACATTGCATTAAATCTGTAGATTACATTGAGCATTATGGACATCTTCAAAATATTTCAAATTTTGAACAGGAGCATGCTGAAGAGTGTGTTGTTTAATTTCTATGTATTTGTACATTTTTTTTCTCTATCTTATACTGCCGAGACCAGCTCAGTCGGGGAGACCCTAACCCAACGGTGCTAGAGGAATTAAAGACACACACACACAGAAATATAGAGGTGTGAAGTGGGAAATCAGAAAAGGTTTGGAGCTGAGAGCCCCAAACAGAGATTTACCCACATATTTATTAACAGCAAGCCAGTCATTAGCATTGTTTCTATAAAAGATTAACTAAAAGTATCCCTTATGGGAAATGGAGGGATGGGCCAAAATAAAGGGATGGGTTGGGCTAGTTATCTGCAGCAGGAGCATGTCCTTAAGGCACAGATGGCTCCTGCTATTGTTTATGGTTTAAGAATGCCTTTAAGTGGTCTTCCACCCTGGGTGGGCCAGGTATTCCTTGCCCTCATTCCGGTAAACCGACAGCCTTCCAGCATGGGTGTTATGGCCATCATGAACATGTCACAGTGCTGCAGAGATTTAGTTTATGGCCAGTTTTGGGGCCAGTTTATGGCCAGATTTTGGGGGGCCTGTTCCCAACATGTCTCTTCTTTGATTTGCAAATCAATAAAGGCAAAGGCAGCTTTGTCACGGTGAGCTACTTCTCGCAGGAGTCAGGATCCACATCTGCAGACTATCAGCACAGATTAAAAGCACAATCATCTTTGAAATCACAGAACTTCCAAGTGTTTTTATCCATTTTAATGGGTTACTAGCTGCTAATCTGTCTGCAGCTCCATTAAGCACTCCAGTTCTTGGCATTAACATCAGGTGTGCTTGGGATGCTTTAAATATTTTAATTTTGCAATATCCAAAAACAACTTTGTAGAGTGTCTTTCTAGATGCTTTTTTATTCTTTCCCAAATTTTGATCTTATTAAGAACTATTAATAGTGTCCACAAATCCTTGTGTTTAGCTCCTACAGCAGGCCTTATCATTTGAGGTCGAGGTGCCACTATACTGCCATGGTTCCAGATAATAGAACTCTTGCCATACTTCTTATCATTTCTATCATCTGACCATTTTGTTCAGATCAGCTGAACACAGTGTGGCTGTGGCACACAGACTGAGAGGTGCAATTTAAGCTAAACATCCCCTTAGGAGACCAGCTAATAATGATTCCATGGGAATCATTGTGCAGCACCTCTGCCTGTTCTGCAATGCAATCTTTCTAAAGAAGTACATTCATTTTTTCTGGCCAGGTACTATTTTGTTTACAAATAGGTTTTTGAGGGCGGTATGCCTCAATTATAGGAGCAGATTTATTATGGTAAATACTGAGATAAGAAAGCATGTGTAACTGTGTCATAGAGTGATTACATCCAGGCATTATTACCAGCCAAGATAGATAAATATGCCCAATAAGTATAATTGTTCTCTGTGTCAGCCCTTGTTGAAGGAATACTCATGGCAATGGTGATAACTGCTATCATAGCTACCATTAAATTGCTCATTGTGACTGGTTGTCCCACTTTCTTCAGGTTTTCTTCCGCCATCTGTGACAGCTTCTTGATCTGTCCCAAGGTGGGTGGCTGTGTTCGACGTGTGTTGCTTGTGACGCTTGGGGTTGTCCTCAGCATCAATCTTGACATGGCTGCAACGAGGGGGTCCTCGGGATCCTCCCAGAATCTCTTCCTCAGCATCTGGCTCATGATAAAGTTTCAGGTATCTTGATGGTATCCAAATCAGCTGTTGATTTTGGCCTGGAGGAACACAAGCATAATCTCTACCCCAAGTTATTTTACCCATTTGCCAACTTTTTGTTATTGGATCTCTCCACCAAATCAGTTGTTCTGCTTCTCTCTTTGCAGCTGGTTTCTGTACATGCTGTTCAGCTGCTGATAACATCTGGCCTTTGGGCAGGCTCAAAAAATTTAAAGTTAATAATGCTAGATTCAGGAGCATCTGTGGGGTTACATATTGTCTATTTCCCCCCGTCTCCTTCTGCAACTGCTGTTTTAGGGAGAGATTCATTCTTTCCACTATGGCTTGTCCTTGAGAATTGTATGGGATACCGGTAATGTGTTTAATATTCCACACAGAGAAAAATGTAGCTAGAGCTTGGCTAGTATAGCCTGGGGCATTATCTGTTTTAATAGAAGCTGGAATGCCCACCACCACAAAACACTGCAAAAGGTGATGTTTAACTAACACAGGCAGAAGACTCTCCTGATTGGCATGTAGCCCAGACAAAGTAAGAAAAGGTGTCCACACATACATGTATATAAGCTAGTCTCCCAAATGAGGGAACATGTGTGACATCCATTTGCCAAATAGAGTTAGGTTCCAATCCTCGAGGATTAACCCCTCCTGTAAAAGATGAGGAATGTACCATTTGGCAAGTTGGGCATTGCTGGATAATAGCTTTAGCTTCTTTCCAGGTAATGCTGTATCTGCATTTGAGACTAGAGGCATTAACATGGGTTAAATTGTGAAAGTGTCTAGCATTAGATATTGCGTTAGCAACTAGGCAATCGGCCATTTGATTCCCTTCAGTCAAAGGTCCTGGAAGAGGTGTATGAGCGAGCCCTAATGTGAGTGATGTAAAAAGGATGCATTGTACTCCTAACTGCTATTTGCAATTGGGTAAATAAAGTGATCAGTTGTTCATCTGTATGAAATCGTAACTGAGCATTTTCAATAAACTGTGTGGAATGAACCACGTGTGAAGAATCAGAAATCACATTAATAGGCATATCAAAAGCAGTCAATACCTCAATTGCAGCTACAAGTTCTGCTTTTTGAGCTGAAGTATAGGGCGTCTGGAAAACTTTACTTTTCCAGCCAGAATAAGAAGCTTTACCATTACTAAACCCATCTGTAAAAACATACTCAGCACCTTCAATTGGTTTACATTTAGTTATTTTAGGGAGAATCCAATTAGTTAATTTCAAAAACTGAAACAGTTTTGTTTTAGGAAAATGATTATCGAGAATGCCCACAAAGTCATCTAAATGGGTTTGCCAAGTAAGACTATTTATAAAAGCTTGCTGTATTTGTACCTTCGTGAGAGAGACAATAACTTTTCCAGGATCATATCTGTGTAATTTAACAATCCGAGTTCTCCCAATCCCTATCACAGTAGCGATTTGATTTAAATAAGGAGTTAGAGTCCATGAATTAGTATGTGGAAGAAAAAGCCACTCTACTAAGTCCTGTTCTTGGACAATAACACCAGTAGGTGAATGCTGAGTTGAAAAAATTAGCAAATCTAGAGTCTTCTCTGGGTCTATTCTATTTATTTGAGCTTTATGGACTTGCTTCTCAATTAGTTGTAACTCTCCCTCAGCCTCCTTTGTTAATTGCTGAGGGCTAGTGAGACTAGGATTTCCTCTAAGGATAGAAAACAGATTACTCATGGCATAGGTAGGAATGCCTAGAGCAGATTGTATCCAATTAATGCCCCCTAGTAATTTTTGAAAGTCATTTAATGTTTTCAATTGATCCCTACATATTGTTCCTTTCTGTGGCACAATGGTAGTGTCATTTACTAGGGTCCCCAAGTAGGAGTAGGGAGTAGTAGTCTGAATTTTGTCAGGAGCCATAAGTAAACCAGTGCAAGAAATCAAATTTTGCAAGGGATCATAACATTGGAGTAATATTTCTCAAGTGGCGGCAGCACAAAGTATATCAACCATATAATGAATAATGTAACACTGTGAAAATATTTTATGAGTAGGTCAATTACTTGCCCTACATATGTATGGCAAATTGTTGGACTGTTTAACATGCCTTGTGGCAACATTTTCCAATGAAAACGCTTAGCAGGCTGCTAAGCGTTGTTGTTTACTGCAGGAATTGTAAATGCAAACCATTCACAGTCTTGCTCAGATAAAGGGATAGTAAAGAAACAGTCTTTTAAATCTATGACTATTAAAGGCCAATTTTTTGGAATTATAGCAGGAGAAGGCAATCCTGGTTGTAATGCTCCCATAGGTTGTATAACTGAATTGATGGCTCTTAAGTCAGTTAACATTCTCCATTTACCTGATTTTTTCTTAATTATGAAAACTGGAGAATTCCAAGAGGAAAATGTTGGAGCTATGTGCCCATTTTCTAATTGTTCAGTAACTAATTTCTCTAAAGCCTCCAGTTTCTCTTTATTTAGCAGCCATTGTTCTATCCAAATTGGCTTATCTGTTAACCATTTTAAAGGTATAGGTTCTGGAGGCTTAACAATGGCTGCCATCAAAAATGATATCCTAATCTTTGGCGGGAACTCTGTTTTTCCGCTGGAAGTGGTTTTTTCAAACCTTGCACATTTTTTTTCTAGTACCATACCAGGGACATACCCCATTTCATGCATTGTATGTTCTTTGAGGGCTATATAATTGTTCTGGAATTAGAACTTGTGCTCCCCATTGTTGTAATAAATCTCTTCCCCATAAATTTATAGGTACAGAAGTTATAATTGGTTGAATAGTCCCAGGTTGTCCATCGGGCCCTTCACAATGTAAAATATAACTACTTCGATATACTTCAGGGGCTTTACCAACTCCAACTATATTAAATTGAGTGGGTTGAATTGGTCACGCGGATGGCCAATGCTGTAGAGAAAAGATTGAAATGTTGACTCCTGTATCTACCAAACCTTTAAATTTCTTTCCCTGAATAGTTATGTCACAGGTAGGACGTTTACTAGTGATTTGATTTACCCAATAAGCTACTTTGCCTTGTTTATTTGTGCTTCCAAATCCTCCTGTTCGTTTAATTTCACTTTTTCCCATTCCCACTTATGGCACAATCAGGAGCTGTGCTATGCGCTCTCCTGGCTCTGCTTTCCAGGGAACAGAAGTAGATATAACAATTTGAATTTCCCCATTGTAGTCTTGAATCAGTGACTCCTGTATATATTTGTACCCCTTTTAAACTTAAACTAGAACTTCCTAGAGCTAACTCCTATTGTCCCTGCTGGCAAGGGTCCACAGACTGCTGTTGGGAACTTTAGCGGGGGTTCCCAAGGCAGAAGGCTCACAGGTTTTGCAGCATAAGTCTACTGTGGCACTACCAGCTGTGGCGGGGGACAGACATTGTACAGGGGTGAGGGAATGGCCTGAGCTGGAAATGCCCCAGTTTAGAACGGGGCCTGAGACAGGCCCCTCATGGCATTTCCCAAAATCAGGTTCCCATCTTTATCAAACAGAGTGGCACTGATTAGCCCAATGTTTTCCTTTTTTACATTTTGGACATATTTCAGACTCAGTAGTTTTCTTTTTTCCCCTATCTGGTGGCCTGACTTGCTGATTTTTTCTACATTCTTTTTTAGTATGACCATGCTTCCCACAGTTAAAACAAGCTCCAGGAAATGGAGTATTTCCTTTATCCACTCTCAGTCTTGTCGTTGCCTGTGCTAGCAGAGTAGCCTTACGCAGATTACCTCCAATACCATCAAAGGCCTGGATATAATCAACTAAATGTGCTTTCCCTCTGATAGGTCACACAGCAGCCTGGCAATCGGGATTAGCATTGTTGAAAGCTAGTAACTGCAACACTATATCCTGAGCAGCCGAATCTGTAATCACCTTTTTAAGAGACTCCTGTAACCAAGCTGTAAAATCCATATACGGTTCTTTTGGTCCCTGTTTTATAGCACTAAAGGAAGGGTATTATTCTCCACATGAAGTGGTCTTTTCCCAAGCTGTAATACACACTCCTGTAAGCTATTCTGTGGCATCATCCTGCATGACCAGTTGTGCATCTAAACCAGCCCAGCCGCCAACCCCCAAAAGTTGGTCTGAGTTATATTAATTTGAGGATGGGCCTGGGTATTGCGAGCAGCCTGAATGGAAGCTTCATCTGCCCACCAAGTTTTAAATTGTAAGAACTGGGCAGGAGTTAGACAAGCTCAAGTAAGAGCATCCCAGTTAGTAGGAATCATCAGACTGGAAACGGCAACATTCTTTAAGAGTCTTATTACAAAAGGAGAACCTAGTCCATACTGATTAATAGCTTGTTTAAATTCTTTGAGTAATTTAAAAGGAAAAGGCTCAAATGTAGCTATAATATTTCACCATTGATCTGGGGAGTGTATTCTAACAAGGAACTGCCAAGCCTCTATATCACTCTCTCGTCTAGCTTGCTGAATTCCTGCCTGAATGGAACTAAGAGCAGTTGCTCGAGGCACTGCTCGAACAGTCACTGGGGCAACTACTTTTCACCCAGTGTCCTCTGGAAAAGAAAGATCTGGAGGGTCAGGCCACTCTTTTTCTTCAAAATAATAATGAGGGGGTGTAGAAGGGTAGGGATGAACCTCTCCCTCCTGTGCCTCTTTAGCTTTCACTGGCAAATAAACCTGATATGTAACCTCTTCTGTTACTTCATTACACTCTCCTTCCTCCTCATTATCAGTGTGAAAAAGTTCCAAGGTGGAATGAACCACAGCACACACTTGTCCCATTGTTACCCTGATGCTTCCAAGCTCCCCTTCTTACTCATCATGGGGATTGCTTTAAGAGTACTTGGGTGTCCTCCGGCTTAGTTCTACATTCTCCAACCATCACTCCACTGACCTTCAACCTGGATTCGAGCCCCCATGATGGACGCCACTTGCTGAGACCACCTCGGTCAGGGAGACCCTAACCCAGCGGCACTAGAGGAATTAAAGACACACACACAGAAATATAGAGGTGTGAAGTGGGAAATCAGGGGCCTCAGCCTTCAGAGCTGAGATCCCTGAACAGAGATTTACCCACGTATTTATTAACAGCAAGCCAGTCATTAGCACTGTTTCTAGAGATATTAGATTAACTGAAAGTATCCCTTATGGGAAACGAAGGGATGAGCCAAAATAAAGGGATGGGTTGGGCTAGTTATCTGCAGCAGGAGCATGCTTTTTTTTGTGGTTTAAGAATGCCTTTATGCAGTTTTCCTTCCTGGGTGGGCCAGGTGTTCCTTGCCCTCATTCTGGTAAACCCACAACCTCCCAGCGTGGGCGTTATGGCCATCATGAACATGTTACAGTGCTGCAGAGATTTTCTTTATGGCCAGTTTTGGGGCCACTTTTTGGCCAGATTTTGGGGGGCCTGTTCCCAACATGTAAGCTCAGTGCTTTGCTGAGTTCTCTGAGTAATCTTTCAAATTATTCAAATTATTGAACTTGAGGAGGAAGATGTGGAAGACCTTGGCTTGTTAGCAGTAGTTCAGAAATAGATGGTTATCCAGAGCCATGTGACTGGCATCTGTAGTTGCGACAGTGTTGTGGGACTGAGCCCTGAACTTGTGGATTCTGTGTTGACTCTGGGTGGTGTCAGAATTGAGTTGTTGGACAGCCAGTTGGTGTTGGATAATTGATTGGTGTTCAGCAAACTACAACTTTTTTTGTCAGACGAGATCTACCACAGGGGCCTTGTATTAGGGTTCTCTAGAGGGACAAAACTAATAGGATAGATATATATGTATAAAGGGGAGTTTATTTAGTTTTAACTCACATGATCACAAGGTCCCACAACAGGCCGTCTGCAAGCTGAGGAGCAAAGAGAGTCAGTCTGAGTCCCAAAACTGAAGAACTTGGAGTCTGATGTTTGAGGGAAGGAAGAATCCAGCACGGGAGAAAGATGAAGGCTAGGCCAATGTAACCTTTTCACATTTTCCTGCCTGCTTTTGTATGCTGGTTGTGCTGGCAGCTGACTAGATGGTGCCCACCCAGATTAAGGGTGGGTCTGCCTTTTCCAGCCCACTGACTCAAATGTTAATCTCCCTTGGCAACACTCAAAGATACACCCAGGATCAATACTTTGCATCCTTCAATCAAGTTGACAGTATTAACCATCATAGGCCTGGGCTGGAGGGAGACTTCAGATGTCTGAGGGAAGTGAGGGTTTATTCTGCACACAGGCTGTCACATTGTACATTGTCCTGCTATTCTGGGTCTCCTAGGGTGAGAGGGAAGAGAGAGTAAAAATGTTCTGAGAACTTATTCCCTCTCCCCACTTTGGTGCCAACCCCCACATGATTCTGACCCACTCTTGACCATACCCACTAAAAATTGACACGGCCACTCCTCTCCCAGGACAAGGTTTTACCCTCAGGAATTATGCCCACAATAGCTTTGCCCCTAGAGTTTTCTGCCAAGAATATACACAGGTGCCTAGAAGACTTCTGGCTTATCTCAACCCCAGACACTGAATCTGTAGCAGGAACCTGTCTCCTTCACCAACACAGGCTTCTGGACCTCCTGATTATAATCTCTTCTGCCTGTACAGACACAAAGTTTTCTGAAACAAAGAGATTTACTAATGTTAATTTATTGTTCTATTTGATTCTTGTATCTTTGTCCCACATTTTCTGTCTCTTTGTGTCTTCTTTATTTTTATTTTATATGCTTTTACTTCTTCCTTATTTTGTTTTGTGTATCTATATAGATGTATTCTTTGTGCTAAGAAATTTATTTTTGTGTATGTGCATATCTTTCCCAGAAAATAATGTATTTTAATATGATTATATGTTGTTTTGTTGAGTCTTGTTATTTACATTGGAAGCAACTGCCTTCAGCGCCTTTTATATATAAGGCAGTGCCAATATACTTCTTTAGAATTCATTTATTTTTGAAGTTTTTTTTTCTTTTTATTTAGCAGGACAGATTTTGTGATGGTATTATACTCACTTGATTATATATATATATATATATATATATATATATATTTTTTTTTTTTTTTTTTTTTTTTTTTTTTTTCAGAACTTTGACTATATCACACAATATCCTTCTGGCCTGCAAAATTTTTCTTGAGAATCCACTTGCTATCTCATAAGAGTATTCTTGCAAATAACACTTTTTTTTTTTTTTTTTGAGACGAAGTTTTGCTATTGTTGCCCAGGCTAAGTGCAATGGTGTGATCTCAGCTCACTGCAACCCCTGCCTCCTTTGTTCAGGCAATTCTCCTGCCTCAGCCCCCCGAGTGGCTGGGATTACAGGCAGGCACCATCACACAGCAAAGTTTGTATTTTTAGTAGAGATGGGTTCCCCCATGTTGGTCAGGCTGGTCTTGAACTCCCGACCTCAGGTTGTTGGCATGCCTTGGCCTCCCAAAGTGCTGGGATTACAGGCATGAGCTGCTGCACCCAGCCAACACATCACTTTTATGTTGCAGCTCCCAAGATTCCCTTTTCTGTGACTTTTACAATTTTGCTTACATATGTGTTTGATATAAATATCTTTGCTTGTATCCTAGTTTGTTTGTTGAGCTTTTTTATTTTTACATCATTTTTCAAGATTTTTCAGGGTTTTTTTATATTTTTTTACCTCCCTAATTTGTTTACTAATGTTTTAAATATTTTTGTTCTTATTTCCAGTTTTCTGATTTTCTGTAGTTCTCTGTGTTCATATTTCACTCATTGAGTGTTACTGAATTTATTTCATTTTTTATTGTTTCTTCCTCAAATTTTTATTTTATTTTATTTTTGAGATAGAGTTTTGCACTTGTTGCCCAGGCTGGGGTGCAATGGCATGATCTCCACCCACCACAACTTCCACCTCCCAGGTTCAAGCAATTCTCCTGCCTCAGACTCCCAAGTAGATGGGATTACAGGTGCCTGCCACCATGCCAGACTAATTTTGTATTTTTAGTAGAGACAGGGTTTCTCCATGTTGATCAGGCTGGTGTCAAACTCGTGACCTCAGGTGATCCACCCACCTCAGCCTCCCAAAGTGTGGGATTACAGGTGTGAGCTACTGCACCTGGCCACATTGTAATCTTTTATAAAAATTTGAACATTAAAAAGTTACCTGTCACAATCTTTGTAATATGGCTTTCTCCTGGCATACTTTGAACAATTGTCTGAGTTAGAGATTCTGAGAGTCTCTCAAACATGTTCTTTGAGTGTGTCTTGTCTGAAATTTTGTGTTTATTTTTTAGTTAAAGGAAATTATTCATCTTTTTTTTTGGAGATGGAGTCTCAGTCTGTCATGAGGCAGGAGTGCAGTGGCACGATCTCAGTTCACTGCAACCTCCGCCTCCCAGATTCAAGCAATTCTCCTGCCACAGCCTCCTGAATAGCTAGGACTACAGATAAGTGCCACCATGCCCAGCTAAGTTTTGTATTTTCAGTAGAGATGGGGTTTCACCATTTTGGCCAGCATAGTCTTAATCTCTTGAACTCGTGATCCACCCGCCTAGGCCTCGCAAAGTGCTGGGATTATGTGCATGAGCCACTGCACCTGGCCCCTAGTCATCTTTTTTCTTAATACTCAGTAATCACTTGCTACACCTGTTTTCTTTCTGTGGCACTGCAGTCTCTCTACTGCTGTAACATTTACCTTTGGTCTCAGCAGACTCAAACTGTCATTCCAAAGTATACCACCATTTCTTTCTGCACTATATATCATAGAAGACAGAAGCCAGTGTGTGGAAAGGCCTGGACAAGCAAGTAATAAAGAAATTTGAGCCAGTATTTTACTAGTCTTTTTTTTTTTTTAACAAAATCAAAAGTTGGCAAGTTACTTCTTTATTTATTTATTTATTTATTTATTTATTTATTTATTTTTATAATTTTTTTTTTTTGAGATGTATTCTCACTCTGTTCCCCAGGCTGTAGTGCAATGGTGCAATCTTGGTTCACTGGTACCTTAGCCTCCCAAGTAGCTGAGGTTACAGCTTGAGCCACTGCACTTGGCTGGGAATTTACTTCTAAAGGCATTATGTTATATTGGGAAGCAGGAATAGCCATGTTGGGTAAATGTAACAAACATTTGCTTTTCCCTTCTGTGTGACTTTGTGCTCACCTGGGGTACTTCAAACACTTAACTCATTTATAATTTTTTCTCAGATATATTTTGGTTAGTATGTTTTCATTACATATAAAGAATTAGAGCCTTTGGTATTTTGCTATGCTATCTGGTTTATGCAGTTTGTATAATATTATAGTTTAGATTTGTAATCTATATTTATCTGAGTCTAGTAAGTGGAGTAATTTGATATTTTTATTTCTTTCAGTTATATGTTCTCATTTTGCTGAAGACTTTTGCCCAGGGCCAGGCATTAAAGATTCTTTTCAAAAAGTGATACTGAGAGAATATGTAAAATGTGGACATAAGGATTTACAGTTAAGAAAAGGATGTAAAAGTATGAATGAGTGTAATGTGCACAAAGAAGGTTATAATGAACTAAACCAGTATTTGACAACTACCCAGAGCAAAATATTTCAATGTGATAAATATGTGAAAGTCTTTCATAAACTTTTAAATTCAAATAGACATAACACAAAACATACTGGAAAGAAACCTTTCAAATGTAAAAAATGTGGCAAATCATTTTGCATGCTTTTACACCTATGTCAGCATAAAAGAATTCATATTAGAGAGAATTCTTACCGATGTGAAGAATGTGGCAAAGCCTTTATCTGGTTTTCAACCCTTACTAGACACAGGAGAGTTCATACTGGAGAGAAATCCTACAAATATGAATGTGGCAAATCTTTTAACCAGGACTCAAACCTTACTACACATAAGAGAATTCATACTGGACAGAAACCCTACAAATGTGAAGAATGTGGCACATCTTTCTACCAATTCTCATACCTTACTAGGCATAAGCTAATTCATACTAGAGAGAAACCCTATAAATGTGAACAATATGGCAAAACTTTTAACCAATCTTCAACCCTTACTGGACATAAGATAATTCATAATGGAGAAAAACCCTATAAATGTGAAGAATGTGGCAAAGCCTTTAGTATTTTCTCAACCCCTACTAAACATAAGATAATTCACACTGAAGAGAAATCCCACAGATGTGAAGAATATTGCAAAGCTTATAAGGAGTCCTCACACCTTACTACACATAAAAGAATTCATACTGGAGAGAAACCCTACAAATGTGAAGAATGTGGCAAAGCCTTTAGTATTTTCTCAACCCTTACTAAACATAAGATAATTCACACTGAAGAGAAATCCCACAGATGTGAAGAATGTGGCAAAGCTTATAAGGAGTCTTCACACCTTACTACACATAAAAGAATTCATACTGGAGAGAAACCCTACAAATGTGAAGAATGTGGCAAAACCTTTAGTGTATTCTCAATTCTTACTAAACATAAAATAATTCATACAGAAGAGAAACCCTACAAATGTGAAGAATGTGGCAAAGCTTTTAAACGATCTTCAACCCTTACTAAACATAGGATAATTCATACTGAAGAGAAACCCTACAAATGTGAAGAATGTGGCAAAGCTTTTAACCAATCTTCAACCCTTAGTATACATAAAATAATTCATACTGGAGAAAAACCCTACAAATGTGAAGAATGTGGCAAAGCTTTTAAACGATCTTCAACCCTTACTATACATAAAATGATTCACACTGGAGAAAAACCCTACAAATGTGAAGAATGTGGCAAAGCTTTTAATCGGTCCTCACACCTTACTACACATAAGAGAATTCATACTGGACACAAACCCTACAAATGTAAAGAATGTGGCAAATCCTTTAGTGTATTCTCAACCCTTACTAAACACAAGATAATTCATACTGATAAGAAACCCTACAAATGTGAAGAATGTGGCAAAGCTTTTAACCGATCTTCAATCCTTAGTATACATAAGAAAATTCATACTGGAGAAAAACCCTACAAATGTGAAGAATGTGGCAAAGCTTTTAAGCGGTCCTCACACCTCGCTGGGCACAAGCAAATTCATAGTGTACAAAAACCCTACAAATGTGAAGAATGTGGCAAAGCCTTTAGTATATTCTCAACCCTTACTAAACATAAGATAATTCATACTGAAGAGAAACCCTACAAATGTGAAAAATGTGGCAAAACTTTCTACCGATTCTCAAACCTTAATACGCATAAGATAATTCATACTGGAGAGAAACCTTGCAAATGTGAAGAATGTGGCAAAGCTTTTAACCATTCCTCAAACCTTATTAAACATAAGCTAATTCATACTGGAGACAAACCCTACAAATGTGAAGCATGTGGCAAAGCTTTTAGGCGGTCTTCACATCTTAGTAGACATAAGATAATTCATATTGGAATTCATACTGAAGAGACTGTACAAAAGTGAAGAATGTGGCAAAGGCCTTTACTGCTCCTATTCCCTTACTAAAGAATGTGGCAAAGCTTTTCACCAGTACTTTACCCTTAATACACATAAGATAATTAATGCTGGAGAGAAACCCTACAAATGTGAAGAATGTGGCAAAGATTTCTATTGATTCTCATACCTTACTAAATATAAGATAATTCATATTGGAGAGAAATTCTACAGATGTGAAGAATGTGGCAAAGGCTTTAATTAGTTCTCATCCCTTACTAAACATAAGAGAATTCATACCATAGAGAAATCCTACAAATATGAAGAATGTGACAAAGCTTTTAACCACTTCTCAACCCTGCCTACACGTAAGATAATTCATACTGGAAGGAAACCCTACAAATATGAGGAATGTCTCAAAGCTTTTTACTGATTCTTATACCTTACTAAACATAAAATAATTCATAAAGGAGATAAATTATACAAATGTGAAGAATGTGGCAAAGCTTTTAACAAATCCTCATCCATTAGTAAACATAAGATAATTCATACTGGAGAGAAAACCTACAAATGTGAGGAATGTGGCAAAGCCTTTAGCCTGTCCCTCCAATTTACTGCACATAAGATAATTTATACTGGAGAGAAGCCCTACAAATGTGAAAAATGTGGCAAACCTTTTAACCAATCCTCAACCCTTACTACACATTAGATAATTCATGCTGGAGAGAAACCCTACAAATGTGAAAAATGTGGCAAAGCTTTTAACCAATTTTCAAACCTTACTAAACATAAGATAACTCATACTGGAGAAAAATCTTACAAATGTGAAGAATGTGGCAAAGCCTTTATCCAGTCCTCAACTCCTAGTAAACATAATTAATGATGGAGAGAAACCATACAACTGTGAAGAATGTGGCAAAGCTTTTAACCAGTCCTCAAACTTTATTGAACAAAATAATTCATACAGGAGAGAAACCCTACAAATGTGAAGAATGTGACAAAGCCTTTAACCAGTCCTCAATTTTTACTAAACATAAGAAAATTCATACTGGAGAGAAACCCTATGATTGTGAAAAATATGGCAAAGGCTTTAACTAGTCCTCAGTTCTTAACACACATACGATAATTCTTACTGCAGAGAAACTCTACAAACCAGTAAGATGTGACAGTGCTTCTGACAACATCTCAAACTTTTCTAATCATAAAAGAAATCATATTGGTGAGAAATCCTAGAAATGTGGAGAATGTAACAAAGTATTTAAATGGTTGTCACACTTGATTATAGGTAATATTCATATTGGAAAAATTTCCTACAAGTAAGAACAATGTGGCAAAGTTTTTAACTAATACACCTTATTGCACAGAAAATCATTTATATTTGAGAAAAATTGTAGAAATATAGACTGTGAAAAAGACGTCAATATCTGCTCACATCTTACTAAACACCAGAGAGTTCATGCTTAATAAAAGCATGATAAGTGCAATTACTGCCAAAAGATCTTTCAGAAAATATTATCCTTTAAAGTGAAGGAGAGTATTTATATTAAAGATGAACATTACAACCATAAAGAGGGTTGAAGTACCTTTACTTGTATCAGATCTTATTGTCCACATTTTGTACTACAGAAAAACTCTGAAGAGGTCACTCAAACTTTGTTCAACATCAGGGAATTTATATTGGAGAGCTGTCTTGCAAATGTAATAAATTTGGGAAAACAAATTTTCAAAAACTACAGCTTAGAAAACACCAGAGTTTATACGAAAATATATTTTCAAAGGTGTAGTAAAAATAAAAAAAATTTTAATCCAAATTTGTCTATGTAAATACCAGAATTTATAGTAGAAATATATGAGGAAGCGACACTTCGAATATTCTACTAAATGAGAGTTCTGAGTATAGAAAATAAAACTAAAGTTGGTAGAAAAATTATTTGTATATAATGTTAAGAGGAGTAAAAGATTTTTTGTAGAATAATAACTATATTCGGATTATACTTTGTTTCTTGAAAAAATTACAGATTTTTTGAAAAGCAAATGATGTAACTCAACTCATTATTTTCTGCTGTTTCTTCATTCTTATTCACTTGTGAAAGCTTGTGATCATTTGTTGCTGCATCAGAGGTATGAGAGATTCTTCTTCATTAGATGGGCATTATTTATGATCTTTTCTATGGATGAGTAAGAATATTAAAATGTAAGATGCATGGTGAAAATCTAAGTGGAGAGGTTCTTTGTGGTTAACTTATACTATTGAGTGATGCACAAGGTAGGTGTTAAGAGTAATATTCTTTTGCATTATGAGAAAACTAGTATATTATTCATATATTTTACTAATTGTACTTTTTTTATTATACTTTAAGTTTTAGGGTACATGTGCACAATGTGCAGGTTAGTTACATATGTATACATGTGCCATGCTGGTGCGCTGCACCCACTAACTCGTCATCTAGCATTAGGTATATCTCCCAATGCTATCCGTCCCCCCTCCCCCCAATTGTACTTTTATATAATAAAATGCAGTACATTTTAAAAAATTTTAAATTCTGTGTGAAGGTAACTGTTTCAACATTTTTAACATGGTAAATATTATTGTGCATTCAATAAAGTGTTGTTATGCCACAAAGATTAACATTTTCCACCTTACCAAATGGCATACGTAAAAGATGGTAACAATATACTATTTGGTAACATCATGGACTAACATCTGTAGTCATCTCTTTTGCCAGTGGCTTCGAACTGCAAATAAGTTAAAGAATATTGTTCTTATAGGTTAAATTTTTATTTTTATTTTAATCATTTAAATTTATTTTTCTTAATTTTTGTGGGTACATGAGTTTATATACTTATGCCATATATGGCATATTTTGATACACAAATACAATATGTAATAATCACATTGGGATACGTGTGGTATCCATCACCTCTAGCACTTATTTCTTTGTATTAAAAACAACCCAATTCTACACTTTTACTTATTTTAACATGTACAATTATGGCCAGGTGTGGTGGCTCATGCCTGTATCCCACCACTTTGGGAGGCCGAGGCAGGTGGATCACCAGGTCAGGAGTTCAAGACCAGCCTGGCCAACATAGTGAAACCCTGTCTCCGCTAAAAATACAAACAATTAGCTGGGTGTGGTGGCAGGCACCTGTAATCCAAGCTACTTAAGAGGCTGAGGCAGGAGAATCAAGGGAACCTGAAAGGTGGAGGTTGCAGTGAGCCAAGATCATGCCAGTGTACTCCAGCCCAGGTGACAGTGTGAGGCTCTGTCTCAGGAAAAAATATATATATACAATTGTTATTGCCTACTGGTTTATTTTTATGGTTATAATAAAAATTATTTTAAAATGTGCAGTTATGGTTGGGTGCAGTGGCTCACGCCTGTAATCCCAGAACTTTTGGGAGGCCCAGGCGAATGAATCACCTGAGCTTAGGAGTTCGAGATGGCCAGGAACCTGGGAGGTAGAGGTTGCAATGATCTGAGATCGTGCCACTGCACTCCAGCCCAGGCGACATTACAAGACTTCGTCTCACGAAAAAAAAAAAAAAAATGAACAGTTAAACTGTAATTGACTAATGGGTTATTTTTATGGTTATAAAAGAAATCATATACAAGTATAAATAAAATACATACACTTCTGAGTCCTGAGTAGATATCTTAAAATTTTATACATATATATATATTTGAACATGTGTCCTGTCTGCATGGAAACACATACCGACTTAATTTGGGTTAAATATACATTACTCTAAAAGATAAACTTTAGGCGTAAGGAAATTATAAAGTAAGTGAGTTTGTGTGAGTAGAAGTTTGTACTTATTTTCAGAAGAAATATTGGGGAAAAATTATTTTAACAAGGTGACTAGTATAAAACTAAAAGCCTCAAAAATGCTGAAAGCAAATGTATACTCTGCTTTGTATTGAATTTATTACTAGAGTTATTGTATATGAAAGTGTTTCTTAATTTTCATTTTGAGATAGTTGTTAAGGCATAGGAATGCTACTGACTTTGATGTTGCTTTTGTATTTTGAAAGTTTAATAAATTTGTTTAGTAAAATCTTAGGCTTTTCTTTTTTCTTTTTTTTTTTTTCTTTTTGAGATTGAGTCTCTCTTGTCACTCAGGCTGGAGTGCAGTGGCATGATCTTGGCTCACTGCAACCTCTACTTCTTAGGTTCAAGCAATCCTCCTGCCTCAGCCTCACAAGTAGCTGGGATTACAGGTATTGTGCCACCAGGCCTGGCTAATTTTTTACTTTTTTTTTTTTTTTCTATTTTTAGTTGAGACTGGGTTTCACCATGTTGGCCAGGCTGGTCTTGATCTCCTGACCTCAGGTGATCCACCTGCCGCAACCTCCCAAAGTAGTGGCATTACAGGCGTGAGCCACTGCGCCCAGCCAGTCTTACTTAGGTTTTTCTATACTTCAGATTATGCATAGGGATAAAAGATAATTATACAGGAATAATTAACTTCCATTTGTCCTATCTGGATGCTTTTGATTTTATTCCCTAATTCCTTTGTCTTGGATTTGTACTATGTTTAGCAAGACTGACTTTAGTAAGGATGAGTGGGCATCCTTGCCTTATACTAGCTCTTAGAGTAAAATCTTGCAAGGTATCCCTGTTTAATATGTTGTTAGCTGTGTATTTTTTGCTAATATGTGACATTTATTGGCTGAGGTGCCAATAATTTGATCTATAATTAGTTTTTCAGAGATTATCATAAGGGAATGTCAAATTTTGTCAAACTTCCATTGTGCATCTATTCTTTTGTACTCTGCATCTATTTACATGTTAGAGATGTAAAATCACAACTAATTTTACATATATACAAAAAATCATCAGAGACTACTATGAACATCTTTATGCATGCAAACTAGAAAATTTGGAGAAAATGAATAAACTCCTGGATACACAAAACTTTCCAAGATTGAACCAGGAAGAAACAGAAGTCTAGAATGGGCAAAAATGTATAAAACATATGATGAAATTAAATTAGTAACAAACCTACCAACTGTAAAAGCCCTGGATTATGTAAAATCACAGCCAAATTTTACCACATATACAAAGATGGGCTTGTACTACTACTGAATATACTCCAAGAAATCCAGGTGGGATTCCACCCTAACTCATAATATCAATATTATCTTAATTCCAAAATATAGTGAAGGCACAACAAAAAAAGGAAACTGCAGGCCAATATTTTTGGTAAACATTGAAACAAAAATCCTCCATGAAATACGAGCAATCTGAGTTCATAAGCAAATCAGAACGTTAGAATAAAAATAAGACAAGAATATCCAGTCTAACACTCCTATTCAACATAATTCTAGAAGTCCTAGTCAGAGCTATCCAACAAAATAAAGAAATTAAAAGCATCTAAATAGAAAAAAAGGAAGTTAAATTATCTTCACGATGATATAATGCTCTACCTAGGAAACCTTAAAAATTTCCAGAAATATTTTAATTTTAAAATGTAAATTATGACTGTTTACCTTCATTTCTGTGCATTTTTTGGTTAATATTATGGCTGATTGACAACATGTTTTAAGAAAACTTCTTGGACCAAAGCCATTACTTTATTAACGTAATTTGAGACAAAATAGCAATGAAAGTCAACATTGATGAGTGAAACAGTTACGATCTAGTCCCTGATAATCATTTCCTCTCCCACCCAACATGCAAGCACCATCTTTGTGTCATCTCTCCCAGTTCTAAGTGTTGCAGGATGCAGAGGACTAGAGAGACCAGTATCGGTGAATACAGGAGCATATTTATTTTAAGGTAGGCACCAGCTCAGTGGATTCACATCCAAACTTAAAAAGCAAAGACTGAGCTCAAAGACTGAGCAAACATACAGAAGCAAAACAAAGGCAGTTAACTATATAATGACAGGTCACGTAATTTATAGCATAACTGATGACTTGGCATAACTTGTGGCTTGGCATAGCTGGTAGCCGTGGAGCTGCGTTGAAAGAAAAAAGAACTGGCTAATATAGACATTTGTTTGTTTGTTTGTGTCCTTCACCCTTGCTTCGGAGGGGACTGTCTGGAGCCTATTTCTTTGGTTTTGCCTTCTTGAACAAGGTTATCTTCTAATTTTCCTTGAAGTGAGATTGCTAGGCAGAGGAAAACTTTTCTTTTTAACCCCTGCCTTGCCACATTCTGGGCTTTGGCTTTTACTTTTCTTGGAGTTAATGAATGCAGTACTTATTATTTTAAATTTCTGCCTCAGTTTCTCCCCTTTGATGCTTTTTATAAACAAAATTTTAATAGAAAGCATCACTATTACTTGATTCATTAAGAGACAGCAGGTTTTCTTCTTTAGGAACAGGTTGATATTTATGCAGAGCATTAGGTGAGTGGTAGTTTGCCTAGCTACAATTGTCTCTATAGTTGATTGAATGCTCCTAATAAGGAAGGATTAAAGGCAAGGAAGTATCAAACAACCTCCTAGTATGGTTAGAACTAGTCCTTTTAAGGTTTTGAATCCATCAAAGGAGGAAAACCAGCCTCCAAAGAGGGAATCAGGAGTCCACCCTTTCCAGGTCTGGACTGAAATATGGGCTAATTTTTTCATTCTTGCAGTTATTTCTACAAAGCTTTCTCATTGTTATCAATTTTTAAGCAGCAATTAGTTAGATTAAACTTTTCACATATTCCTTCTTCCTGGGCTAGGAGATAGTCTAAAGCCAGGCTATTTTGATAAACGGCCTTTCTCATTTTTGTGGGCTGCTGGGCAAAGAAGTCTAATGCATTTGTTGTTTCATTAGTGATAATTTCAAGGACTGCCTGCAACCTTATGATGCAGTTAAGCATGTAAATTGAGGTGCAGTACCCCCATGACCCATTTTGTGCCTAGGTAGCTGGCCCACATTATTGAATCCTTCTTTCAGTGGCCAATCTGTATCCTTCAAATCTCCTTTTTTTTTTTTTTTGAGACAGAGTCTCGCTCTGTCACCTAGGTTGGAGTGCAGTGCCACTTGGCTCACTGAAAGCTCCACCTCCTGGGTTCACGCCATTCTCTTGCCTCAGCCTCCCGAGTAGCTGGGACCACAGGTGCCCATCACCATGCCTGGTTAACCTTTTTGTATTTTTAGTAGAGACGGGGTTTCACCATGTTAGCCAGCATAGTCTCAATCTGCTGACCTCGTGATCCACCTGCCTCAGCCTCCCAAAGTGCTGGGATTACAGGCATGACCCACCATGCCTGGCCCCCAATCTCCTATTTGTATGTCTTTTTTTATGTTTATATTTCTTTTGTTTCTTCTTTTAATTTCATCATAGACAGGATACCCTAAGGTTTTTCCTTGTTGCAGTGGGAGTAAAAAGAAATATGGCTTAATTGTCTTGAATATACAAGCCCCTATCTATTTTCCTTGTAACTGTTGGTAGGCCCATGGCCCACAGATCCAATCAAGACCAGAGGGTGCTTGTCAGGTATTTGGAGCTTCAAGCTGATACCAGGTGTGATTTAGAGAACAGAAACAGGAGAACGGATTTGGATGAGGTGATTTGGAGTCATTTCTGCCCCGCCACAAAGTTTTTCTTAGTGTTTCATTATAATATTGCTGTTCTAAGCAGGTTAGTTCTCTTACTGGGTTTGTAAAAGCCTTTCCCCAGCGAGCAACACAGTATCTTCCAATGACAGAAGTTTTTCAGAGCCAGAGACTTGAACTTACAGGCATTGGTTCAGGGGAATTGTCAGTTAAAGTAAAATTATCTTGTGGCATTAACGTTTTTGCTTTTCAAGGCCACTGGTCTCCCATGTTCCTCTGTAAACATAACATGAAGAAATGCCTAGGCTGCCAGCAATGTTTTGAGCCAGCTGAGCAAACAGGTTCTCAGCTAAAGGAAGAGACTCTGGTAACTTCTAGTTTACATGCTTATAGAATGATTTAAAGACTTCGGATTGTTGCTGAGCCAGACAGGTCCAGGTTTCTTTTTTGATAACATATAGTTAGGTTGCTGGGTATGTATTTATGTAGACATGTAAGAGTAACCTGTAGTCCACATGGGTAAGTCTGACTTTAGAATGGTGAAGTTTACAGGATTACAGGTTTTTATTTTGCAATCTGGTTTTACTGGCATTTTGGTAAGCATAATTGGCCTCTGTTGTATGCTAAGGTGCCATGATATGCAGTACCAACAATCCTTTTTTGGGATCCCAGCGGAACAAGGAGGAGTTACTCTTGGCATGCATATATATTTGTAGTTATTTCTATAGTATTTAAGGGTAAGTTACCACAGACGGGTGAGTCTAGTATGCTGCCTGATAGGCATCCAAGTACAGAGAAACAGGCCCTTGGTAAAAGGGAGGGACCTTGGTTTGGTTTAAGAGGAAATTTTCCTTTGACATTGCACGAATCTTACACCATTCACCAGGCGAAAATTTAGAGTCAGAGAATACATAAGGTTTGTTATTTTCTGGGCCACAAATTGAGCAGGTAGTCTGATTATAAGTACAAGTTCCTAAGTGAGTCCCTGTACACTTATAACTATGGTACAATAGAGTTTTAGTTATACCAGTCCCTGACCAGGTAGTATGTGTACAGTGGGGACACCCTTCTATAGGTGCTTCTTCTAGCATGGTTAAGGGGGTAACAACAGCAAAACAATATACAGCTTATTTATATTCAGCAAGGACGGAAGAGGTCTTTATTTGGGGGAGGAGACTGAGCACAGTGACAGAACAATAGGAAAACAGTATTACAAGGAAAACTACTACTTTTAGGATTTTTAACCACATTTACTTGCTTGACAAGTTCTTAAGCTTTGGCTGTGCATAGACTAGTCAGATTCCTGTGTGTGACTAGAGTAGGGCTTGTTGTCTTCTTATGCTTCCGCCATTCATAGACTGGTCAGCTTCCAGAATGACCAGAGCAGGGCAGTTGTCTTTAGCAGCAGCTTGCTCTCGTCTCAGGATCAGCCGGGTTGGATGATCTGGGTCCTGCTGGCTGGCCCACTTGTCTTGGGCTGCTGGTTTTAGCCAACTGTGGTGGATCCAAGACACAACACCTGAAACTTTAACAGCAGTGGGAGTGGACTAGATTACAGTATAGGACCCATCCTATATGGGTCCTAGAGAAGTTGGATTCAACTTTTTAAACCAAACAGTCTCCAGGTTTAAAGGGGTGTACTGGGTCTGTCAGACTTACAGGTTTTTTTTAATGTACCAAGTAATGGACACTTTGCATAGCTATCCGTAGAGCCTGCATTTGCTTTTTAAAGTTAATTCCCCTAGTTCCTGGAGATCAACTTTTATTTCGCTTATGATTGGGGGAGGCTGACCGAACAAAATTTCACAGGGCAAATACCCAGTTTGTTTGCTGGGGGTGCAACTGACTCAGAGGACGACCATAGGCAAGACTTGATTCCATCTTAGATGAATTTCCTGATATTTTTTAAGTAGCTGCTTGAGTGTCCTGTTCATACATTTCACTTTTTCTAAACTTCATGGCCGATAGGCTGTGTGTAACTTCCATTTTATTTTTAATAGTCTTGTTAAATCTTGCACTATTTCAGCCACAAATGATGACTCATTGTTTGATCCTAAAGTTAAAGGCAGTCCAAACCTGGCGATAATGTCTTTTAAAAGTACTTTAGTTACTTTTCATGCTTTTTCTGTCCCGGTGGGGAAAGCCTTAACACATCCTGAAAAGGTGCAAACAAGCACTAGCACGGACTGGTAGTCCACAGCATGGACAGTTCTGTTAAGTCTGTAACCACGCTTTTACAAGGCATGGCTTCTACTTCCCGAATTCCTGGGGGCCAAGTGGGCCCCTGTTGCGGGTTGTTTTGAGCACAGGTTAAGCACTGTTTACAAATGGCTCAAGTGATGGCAGAGAGCCGTGGCACATAGAAATGGCATTTTAGTAACGTTTCTAGTGCCATTTTTTCCATGAGTTCCTTGATGAATTTGCTTTACAAACATATGAGCTTAAATCTTTGAAATGGCTAATCTCCCATCGAAGAATTTCCACCACCCTCCTTGAATATATTTTTCAGCCTCCTGGGCAAACCAGGGTCTTTCATTTGGTGTATAACTTGGGTTTTCTTGGAGAGGAGGTTCTGGGAGGAGAGCCATAGCTAAGGCTTCCTCTGATTTAAAAAAAAAAAAAAATGCAGCGTAATTATTGCTATCTGTTTTGCCTCTCTGTCTGCCTTTTTGTTTCCTTTGGTTTCCCGTGTTCCTGCCTTTTGGTGCCCTCTGCAGTGTATTACAGCTACTTTTTCTGGAGCCCATACAGCCTTTAGGAGCTGTAGAATCTTTTCGTTATACTTTATTTTTTTTTCTCCAGCTGTTGAAAGCGTTTTTTATTTGCTTTTTTTTTTTTATAGCTCCATGAATATGCAGTGTGGTAAAATCAAATTTAAAGCCAGTGTAAATATTGACCTTCTTATCTTTTGCCAACAACAGTGCTCTTGTTAGGGCTATTAATTTTGCTTTTTGAGCTGATGTTTTGACATTCGGGTTTCTGAGGGGTTGGTTTATAAAATTTATCCGACTGGAGGATACCTTATCTGTGGTTTTGACGCAGTTATGGAGAGGAGCTCCCGGTGTGATGGGAAGCAGAGTAGCCAGATTTAGGTGTTTACTTTTTTTTGAGACAGAATCACACTCTGTGATCTCAGCTCACTACAACCTCCACCTCCTGCCTCAGCCTCCCAAGTAGCTGGGGCTACAAGCACGTGCCACCACACCAAGCTAATTTTTGCATTTTTAGTAGAGACGGGGTTTCACTATGTTGACCAGGCTGGTCTCGAACTCCTGACCTTGTGACTTTCCCTCCTCGGCCTCCCGAAGTCCTGGAATTCCAGGAATGAGCCACCACACCCAGCCTGGATGTTTACTGTTTTTAAAATAATGTAAGAGTTTTTACATAGAAGCCCTTAGTACTGAGTCATTCTTGGGTTTGATAACCAATGATGCCCTCTTTGATCCATTGAAGTTATAACTGAGTGTGGCACCTGGATGGTTAGCTGCTGTCCCAGAGTTAATTTACTAGCCTCTTGTGTTAACAAAACAGTGGCAGCTAAGGTTTTAAAGCAAGAAGGCTTTCCTAGCACCACGGAGTCTAGTTGTTTGGATAAATATGCCACTGGGTGATGCTGTGATCCTATAACTTAGAGTCAGAACCCCGTAGCAATTTCCTTTTGTTCTTGAATATATAGAAAGAAAGGTTTACTTATATCTGGTAGTCCTAAGGCTGGGGCCTGAATTACAGCCTCTTTGATTTGTTTGAATGCTATTTCCTGATTAGTTTCAGGGGTTGGAAGCGCACAAATGGACTGCTATTCCTTATACCTAAGCTGGCATTCCTTGTGGCTTACTATGAAAACTAGACATTTAACCTCTTCATGGCAAATTTAGGCTTTCTTTTTAAATACTTAGTAACCTGCTTTCAATAAGAGATGGAGGTGGTCTCGGGTTTTATGATAACAGTCCTCTCGGGTTGGGGCTGCCAAAAGAAGGTTGTCCATGTACTGTAACAAGGTGCACTTATCATTTGGCATGGTATAGGCCTTAAGGTCTGAGGCCAACGCTTCCCCAAAGATTGTGGGAGAGTTTTTAAACCCTTGCAGGAGCCTAGTCCAGGTGAGCTGTGTAGCTTCTTTGTCCCACTGAAATGCAAAGATAGGCTGACTAACTGGTGCCAAGCAGATACAAAAGAAAGCATCCTTCAAGACTGTAAACCAGGCAGTACTTGCTGGAATGAGTTCCATTAAAGCATACAGGTTGGGTACCACTGGATGGATAGGTAACATGGCTTGGTTCACAGCACACAAGTTCTGCACTGGTCTATACTTATTAGACCCTGGTCCTGGCAGCAGTTTTTGTACAGGCAAAAGTGGAATATTGTACGGCAACTGGGACTGGACTAAAATCCTATGTTTATGGAGCCACTCTAAGTGTTTGTAAGCGCCCTGTACAGCCTTTTGGGGGAACTGGGTACTGATGAACCCGAACAGGAGTTGCTCCTGGTATTAATTTTACTACTACTGCTGCATGATTTACAGCTAACACAGGTCGGTTGTCCTCATCCCACACTCCAGGAATTTCTTTAACTAACTGAAATAATAATTTTTCTTTTACATAGAAGCCCTTAGTACTGAGTCATTCTTGGGTTTGATAACCAATGATGCCCTCATTGGTTATGAGGGCATATGAGGTTGCATTGGTGCTTGCGATTTATTTTTATAAAGTCTCCACTCCTCAACCTGTGGGATGGTAAGGGTTAACACCATGGCCTTTGGGTGAGTCAGATTTAAAGTCATATCTCCCTGTGGGCCAAAAGTAATTTGTGCTTGCAGTTTTTGGAGTAGGTCTTTTTCTAACAAGGGAACTGAACAATTTTGGAGGTACAGAAAATCATGCTGGACTTCTCGTCCTTCTATAACACACCTCTTTGACCAACAGAACAGCCTCTTCTTTGAGACACCAGTAGCCTCTACAATCGTTGTATAGTTCTTGGATAGTGGCCCTATGGGTCAAGTTACTACAGAGTATTCAGCCCCAGTATCTACCATAAAGTCCATTAATTGGCCTCCCAACTTCTAATGCAACCATAGGCTCCTGGAGGCCCAATGAGAAGGAGCCCAGTTTGTCCTAGTTCTCATATCTTTTAGCCCCTGCCAGCCCGATTAGATCAGTATTGCATTGCTTTAGGGTTTGGCAGCCCCTCACCGATGGCCTCTCTGTCACACGGCCTTAGCCATTTCCCTCATTGCCTTCTGGACATTCATCTTTACAGTGTCCTTTCTTTTTGCATCATGCACATTGATCCTTCTCTAACCTTGGTTGGCTCTCGAATCCCTGTCTAACTTGACCTCTTCCAGGTCCATGTCTGCATCCTCTCACATTAATAGTTTCTCTCTCTATGAGGGCTGCTGCTTATAGATTGAGTTTTTTTTTTTTTTTTTTTTTTTGAGACGGATTTTCGCTCTTGTTGCCCAGGCTGGAGTGCAATGACATGATCTTGGCTCACTGCAACCTCCGCCTCTCAGGTTCAAGTGATTCTCCTGCCTCAGCCTCCCAAGTAGCTGTGATTACAGGCATGCACCACAATGCCTGGCTAATTTTTGTATTTTTTTAGTAGAGACGGGGTTAAGCCATGTTAGTCAGGCTGGTCTCAAACTCCCAAACTCAGGTGATCCACCCGCCTCGGCCTCCCAAAGTGCTGGGATTACAGGCATGAGCCACCGTGCCCGGCCTTGATTGGCTTTTTTTAAAGCCTCTGTTCGACTTCCTTCTTTGCCCCCTGGTCATGGTTAACATACACTTTGGTGGCTACTTTTATAAGCTGGGTGGCATTCATGGCTGCAAAACCTCCCAGTGTCTGAAGATTTTGCTTAATATTACTGTGGGCCTGTCCTACAAATGATGTATTTACCATATGCTGATTTTCAGCAGCCTCAGGGTTAAACGGGGTTAAAAGCTGGTATGCCTCACAGAGTCCTTCATAAAACTGGCTAGGGATCTTACTTCCCTGAAGCACCTCTGAGATCTTTCTTATATTGATAGCCTTTTTTCCACCATCCCTTAGCCTTTGCATAAGTGCCTTTTGGTACCTCTGCAAATGCTGAAGCTGAGTCGCATCTTCTGAGTCCCAGTTGGGATTTTGGTCTGGGAACTGGCCCTGAGCATATGCCTGAGCATTTTCTTTTTTTTTTTTGAGATGGAGTCTCGCTCTGTCACCCAGGCTAGAGTGCACTGGCACCATCTCGGCTCACTGCAAGCTCTGCCTCCCAGGTTCACACCATTCTCCTGCCTCAGCCTCCCAAGTAGCTGGGACTACAGGCACCCGCCACCACGCCCAGCTAATTTTTTTGTATTTTTAGTAGAGACAAGGTTTCACCATGTTAGCCAGGATGGTCTCGATCTCCTGACCTCGTGATCCACCTGTCTCAGCCTCCCAAAGTGCTGGGATTACAGGCATGAGCCACCGCAGCCAGCCTGCCTATTTACTGCATCTGCTCGTGCATGGGCTTCTAGCCAGCAGAGAGCTGTCTAGGTTACTATCCTGTGCTCCTTAGTGTTATACAGCATGAGAAGCAGCTGCCTGCAGTCTGGTCAGGTTGGATTCTGTGTCAGAAAGATGGACTGCATCAGATCTATAAGAGCTTGGGGCTTCTCCATATAGGAGGGAGTATGGTGTTTCCAGTTTAAGAGATCAGTGGTTGAAAAGGGCTGACAGATGAAAGTCCATTCCCACCCTTGGACTTGGCCTTGGTTATCTTAATAAATGGGTCCTCGTGTCTCCCTGAGAGGCATTTGCATATCTCAAGCACAACCAGATCTGAGATGGCCTGCTTGACTATCTTGACTTCTTTCCCTGACCTCTCAAGTCTCCAGTCTTTCATTTCAGGGTGAGAGTTGGGGTGTGCTAGCACCTGAATCTGGTTCCCAGGGGGCTGCTGGCCTTGGTAAAGTGGGGTAGGCTGTGACATATGGAGTAGGAATCTTTATTCCCTCTGGTGGCTCCTGCAAAACTGGCTTTTCTTGCTCCCTCTGGGCCTTCTTCTTTAACTCTGTATCTGCTAGCGAAGCTGCTCTTACTTTCATTTTTTGGCTTGGCTTAGGCCACAAGTGTTTTGCAATAAGCTGCTAAACAGGGCTGGATTCAGGCTGGTCTTGTTTGTGCTAGATTTAACCATGAGTCAATATAAGGAAACTGATCTGGATGCCGAGGCTGTCCTCTGACCTGTCACCACCTTAAATACACGGCCAATTATTTTCCTATCTATAGTTCCTTCAATCAGTCATCCAACACTAAAAGAAGGCAGTTCTAATTCACAGAGAGTTCTTAACCTCTGGGGGGTTAGCTTAACTCCATAATTCCCTGTAAAACCTTCTTTAAAGTTCTGTAACATGCGCTCCAATGGAGTGGACTTTGATGACTTTACTCCCATTTCCTCCCTTTACTACGCAGCACACCCACTCTTCCTTTTGCCTCAGACTGACCAGACCATCCCCAATTACGGGAGTTTTCAGATGCTGCTTGGCTTTGGAGAGGTCCTTATTCCCACCACAACTCTGAGCTGTGGGGCAACTCCTATTGGACGTATACAGTTCACCACTAGTCCAGGGCAGCCCCATACTTTGCTCGGAGCACACAGTCAATGCTAAGAGATCTGTGACTCCCCACGTCACTCCTTGCATTGTATTCTCCTGGAACCATCTTTCACACACTTTTATATACGTCCCTGTTCCCAGTTCCTGTGTTCCTAATTGGGGTGGCAAGCAACTCTCACCACCTCCAGTTTCCTTTACCTAACCAACTAAGCAAGCCACTCTCGCATCCTGTGTTGGTTGAGGTGTGAGATTCTTCTGAATTGGCAAGCCCCTCTTGCCGCCCCAAGCCTCTCTGGGTCGGACTACTAGTTACACCCCGGGAGGTGATCAGGCTCCCCTTCCGTCCTTACGGGACGGGTCCTGCCTTGGTCCCCAATAACTTACCGTGGTTCCTAAAGTGCGCTATTTCTGGAATCATCCTGTAGCCCTTCTCAGGCTCCGTTGCACTGCTGGGTAGGGATGCCGGGTCATGGGAGAGCTGATTTCCCCTCCGGGCTGAAGTTCTCCCGGCGGTGCCTGGGTCCCAGGTTTCCCTTGAATCAAGGCTCCAGCCCCGATTTTCCCTTGAATCCGGGGCTCCAGCCCCGATTTCAAGGCAAAGGAGACAGTCTCTGCTCCTGGCTGGCTCGCCAAGAAATGTGGGACACAGAGGACTAGAGAGACCAGTATGAGTCAATAAAGGAGGATATTTATTTTAAGGTATGCTCTGGCTCAGTGAATTCACATCCAAAAAGCTGAGCCTTGAACAAAGACTGAGTGAGATTTTAATAAGTAAACTTACAGAAGCAAAACAAAGGCAGTTAATTATATAATGACCAGTTTATGTAATTTATAGCATAACTGAATTCTTGGCATAACTTGTGGCCTTTAATAGCTGGTGGCCTTGTAGCTGCATTGAAAGAAAAAACAAGAACTGGCTAAATACAGACGTTTGTTTTTCTTTGTTTCCTTCACCCTTGCTTCGGAGGGGAGTGTCTGGAGCCTATTTCTTTGGTTTCAACTTCTCAAACAGCATTATCTTATAACTGTCCTTGAAGTGAGCTTGCTAGGCAAAGAAAAACTTGTTCTTTTCTTTTCAACTCTTGCCTTGCCACATTCTGGGCTTTGGCTTTTACTTTTCTTGAAATAAATAAATGCAGTAATTATCTCATTGAGAGGCTTCTGATCAAATTGATCAGCAAGTCAAACTCTCTGCTTAATCAGCAGTAACTTTATTTTCACTCTTCAAAGGCATTTTACCTGCCTGAAATGCAAAGGGGCAGTTCAAGTGACTGTGCTGAGCTGGTCCTCTCCAGTGTCAGTCTATTCACATTCACACAGGTGATCTTCTGGTGTAAGGGGGTGCACTTCAACAGCATTATCACAGCAATGTGGAACAGATGTAACAGAATAAAAGAGGAATCACTGCCTTCCAGGAAAAGGAGTTAATCTTATTCATTTTGTGTATGAGTACGTGGAGAATAAAGTTACAGAGAACGCTTTACATTAGTAGTGCAGTGCAGATCCTATGCAATCTTCTTGTTTGTCAAACATACCCTGAATGGTTTTATTAAGTACTATGTTTCTGGATCCACCCCTTATTTGATTCTGATAATTTCTACTTTATCAATTTAAATATTCACTCAACATCATCCAGATTTCTGTCCTTGATGCTTAAGTCCTCAGACATAAAATATTATTGATAAAAACATGAGCCTTTATTTTACTACAGAGCATTTCTTTAGCTTGGAAAGCCAAATTTGGTCAAAATGAAATATAACAATGAATATAAATCATTTTGGAAGTGAATTCAAATTATTTAAAATATTAAATTTGATAGATATATGTGTCAGAATTTTTAAAAAATTTGAATACATAAAGCTGAAACTTGAAAAATATACATACATGCTTTTAAGACAAATCACTTTAAAAGCATGATCATTTAAGTTTTTAATTTAGCAGTTTTGGCTATGTTGAAAATGTAAATATGAAATATCACATAAAATAATGTTAAGAAAACAAAACAAAGCACAATAGTCCTGAAGGCTGTTGTGAGACCTCGGTTCTTAGTTTCAAAAATTTAAACGAGACGCAAAAAAATGAGGATGCAGCATAGATAGATTTATCGCAAAGTAGAAACACTATTTTAAAAGTGCGGTGCAAAACACCCCTGAGAGAAAAGCAATTCAGGATGGGCTGCTTATAAGAATGAGACAGCAAAGACTGGAAATAGAGAGACTCCATTTATCGGAGTCTTACATAATTATTTACAAAGAGTTAGAAAGTGGTGTTATTAGTAAGCATGTTCTGGGTGGTCCTCTTGGTGCACATACACAGTGGCTGTACATGCTTGTTTATATGTCACATATCTCATTAGCATATGTCACATATCTAATTAGCATCTCATTAGCAAAAACTCCACTCACGTGTGTGTTTTTTAGTATTACGATGAGTAAAAGGTCAGAGGACAAGTAAAATCAAAATGTGCATGCTCTTTATGGGGGAATATCCCTACTAGAGAGCTTTGCTTGAATGAGCTGAAACGCAATGCAAATGTTGGGGTTTATTGTGTTGATAATATGCTATCACCAGGAAATCGCCATGGCTGCTGCATCCTGAGGACATGGTGACCTTCTTGGCTAGCTAGCCAGCTTCAATAATACTTATCTTAGTTTATTTTCAACTATCAACTCTGAGACAAAGATTTACCTGTTATGTCAATATTGTCAAAAGTGAGAAAATGACAATTTTAAAATCAAACATATTTGAGCTTGATTTGGGTCACTAGCTGTGTACCCAGGAGAAATTATTTTACATCCCTGGAGCTTCAGTCAATATGTATGCATTGGTGTATGTTTGTTTTTTTGGTGTAGGTTTTTGTCCGTTTACATTTTTAAAGATATTTTTTCCTACTTTATGCTGATGTTAAGCTACACAAAACTTACCAAGAGCTCTATTTTACTACTTTTTTTTTTTTTTTTTTTTAGTATTTATTGATCATTCTTGGGTGTTTCTCAGAGACGGGGATTTGGCAGGGTCATAGGACAGCAGTGGAGGGAAGGTCAGCAGATAAACATGTGAACAAGGGTCTGTGGTTTTCCTAGGCAGGGGACCCTGCGGCCTTCCACAGTGTTTGTGTCCCTGGGTACTTGAGATTAGGGAGTGGTGATGACTCTTAACAAGTATGCTGCCTTCAAGCATCTGTTTCACAAAGCACATCTTGCACCGCCCTTAATCCATTTAACCCTGAGTGGACACAGCACATGTTTCAGAGAGCACGGGGTGGGGGGTGGGGGGTAAGGTTATAGATTAACAGCATCCCAAGGCAGAAAAATTTTTCTTAGTACCGAACAAAATGGAGTCTCCCATGTCTACTTCTTTCTACACAGACACAGCAACAATCTGATCTCTCTTTCCTTCCCCACATTTCCCCCTTTTCTATTCGACAAAACCGCCATTGTCATCATGGCCCGTTCTCAATGAGCTGTTGGGTACACCTCCTAGACGGGGTGGCGGCCGGGCAGAGGGGCTCCTCACTTCCCAGACGGGGTGGCCGGGCAGAGGCACCCCCCCACCTCCCTCCTGGACGGGGCGGATGGCTGGGCGGGGGCTGCCCCCCACCTCCCGGACGGGGCGGCTGCCGGGCGGAGACGCTCCTCACTTCCCAGGCGGGGCGGCTGCCGGGCGGAGGGGCTCCTCACTTCTCAGACGGGGCGGCCAGGCAGAGACGCTCCTCACCTCCCAGACGGGGTGGCGGTCGGGCAGAGACAGACACTCCTCAGATCCCAGACGGGGTTGTGGCCGGGCAGAGGCGCTCCTCACATCCCAGACGGGGCAGCGGGGCAGAGGCGCTCCCCACATCTCAGACGATGGGTGGCTGGGCAGAGACGCTCCTCACTTCCTAGATGGGATGGCGGCCGGGAAGAGGCGCTCCTCACTTCCCAGACTGGGCAGCCGGGCAGAGGGGCTCCTCACATCCCAGATGATGGACGGCCAGGCAAAGACGCTCCTCACTTCCCAGACAGGGTGGCAGCCGGGCAGAGGCTGCAATCTGGGCATTTTGGGAGGCCAAGGCAGGTGGCTGGGAGGTGGAGGTTGTAGCGAGCTGAGATCACGCCACTGCACTCCAGCCTGGGCAAGATTGAGCACTGAGTGAGCGAGACTCCGTCTGCAATCCCGGCACCTCGGGACGCCCGGGCAGGCAGATCACTCGCGGTCAGGAGCTGGAGACCAGCCTGGCCAACATGGCGAAACCCCGTCTCCACCAAAAAATACAAAAACCAGTCAGGCGTGGCGGCATGCGCCTGCAATCCCAGGCACTCGGCAGGCTGAGGCAGGAGAATCAGGCAGGGATGTTGCAGTGAGCCGAGATGGCGGCAGCACAGTCCAGCCTCGGCTTGGCATCCGTATTTTACTACATTTTTCAACCAAAAGGTTAAATACTTAAATATTGAAAGTGACATTCTGGATTATCCTTTTCCACGCAGACTACATTGCAGTTTTTCCTTATGTGGTGCAAGGTTATAAAAATGCCATTCAGTTGATTTCTTAAGTAAAAGTAGAACGTGTTTTCTCAGACAGTAGCATGAGAATTTTTGACACACTACCATTAGACATAATGAAAGCAAATGAATAAATGTGTTGAAATTTGTCTTTATTCACGAGATCATTAGAGGCTAAGTCATGGCAACACGTGTAGTTCAATTCAATTTTTTTTGTGTAAAATTTTGTTGAGCTGCATCCATCTGCATATGTAACACTAATTTGGTAACAGCTTCTTTATACTAAGCCAGAATTAATTTGTCCTCATGGTTTTGTTTTAAATGTGTGAGCTGTATTATATCACATTTGAACAAGTAATATAGAGAATATAAATTTAGTTTAGAGAAAGAAAAGTACAGGCACACTAAAAATGAATTAGAATCTGGCAGCTGACACTGATTAACAGGTTGAGCAAATTCAACTAGACCTAAATCTCTGTAAACAATTTTGAAAGACAGAATTCTAACTAAAAACATCTTCAACAACATAATAAACCTACGAGATTAAAAAAAAAAGTTGGTTTACCCATCATCAATCAATACTAGGTTAAATTAGAAAATTGTGAACACATCATACAAAAAGTAAAATTACTAAACTATCCTCAGACTTCATCTGATTAAAACAAGACTTCTGGGTATTTGAAAGCACCAAATTATTGATGAAAAATATCTATTCTGAACAGATCCTTGATCTTATATACATATTACTACTAAGTAAAACCTAATACAGCTTTGATTTCTGAAATATTTGTGAATGTCTGTCACTGCACTCAAAAATCAAGAAATTATTTCATCTGTCTAAATTTTGAGGAAAATATTTGCTATTTTAATTGAATGCCAGTAGTGTGTGAATTCATGTAGTGTGGCAAACCACCCATTTCTTTAGTATTCTGCTATTTTTATAAAATAAGCCAGAATTTGTGGAGACATTTGTAAACAAAAAATCTTTCCTAAAAGTTAGACATCAGAAAATAGCGATATTAATGTTACGTTATATACACAGTTTGCTAAACCCTACCATAATCTGTAAAGTTTTTGTGTACAACAATCTTAGATTACCGAAAACAAAATAAAATTTTTCTTTTTTTTTTTTTTTCAGACAGAGTCTCACTCTGTCACCAGGCTGGAGTGCAATGGTGTGATCTCGGCTCACGTCAACCTCTGACTCCCAGGTTCAAGCCGTTCTCTTGCCTCAGCCTCCCTAGTAGCTGGGATTACAGGTGCCTGCCACCACGCCCACCTAATTTTTTGTATTTTTAGTAGAGACGAGGTTTCACTATGTTGGCCAGGCTGGTCTCAAACTCCTGACCTCAGGCAATCCACCCACCTCAGCCTCCCAAGGTTCTGGGATTACAGGAGTGAGCCATCATGCCCAGCTAATGAAATTTCTTTCTTATGTTATGCTTAACATATATACATATATATATCCGGACAGACAGGAACTATGACTGCCACTTTAAAAAACAAATATTTCAGCACAATACAATGTTTTGTGTATGTACAGAAGGAAAACCAAACTTTGAAGTTTTCAAATCATAAACAGAAGCATTATTTGTGATTCTAAGCTTTAAATATATAAAACAAATATTTATTCTTCTTTTTATTATTATACTTTAAGTTCTGGGTTACATGTGAAGAACATCAGTTTTATTACATACGTGTACACATGTGCCATGGTGGTTTGCTGCAACCATCAACCCGTCACCTACATTAGGTATTTTTCCTGTTATCCCTCCCTTAGCCCCCCAGCACCTGACAGGCCCCAGTGTGTGATGTTCACCTCCCTGTGTCCATGTGTTCTCACTGTTCAACTCCCACTTATGAGTGAGAACATGCAGCGTTTGGTTTTCTGATCTTGTGCTAGTTTGCTGAGAATGATGGTTTCCAGCTTCATCCATGTCCCTGCAAAGGACATGAACTCATCCTTTTTTACACCTGCACAGTATTCCACAGTGTATATGTGCCACATTTTCTTTACCCAGTCTATCATTGATGGACATTTGGGTTGGTTTCAAGTCTTTGCTATTGTGAATAGTGCCACAATAAACAGACGTGTGCATGTGTCTTTATCATAGAATGATTTATAATCCTTTAGGTATATACTCAGTAATGGAATTGGTCAAATGTTATTTCTAGTTCTAGATCCTTGAGGAATTGCCACACTGTTTTCCACAATGGTTGAACTAATTTACACTCCCAACAGTGTAAAAGTGTTCCTATTTCTCCATATCCACTCCAGCACTGTTGTTTCCTGACTTTTTAATGATTGCCATTCTAACGGGTGTGACATGGTATCTCATTGTGGTTTTGATTTGCATTTCTCTAATGACCAGTGATGAGCATTTTTTCATGTGTCTGTTGGCTGCATAAATGTTTTCTTTTGAGAAGTGTCTGTCCATATCTTTGCCCATTTTTTGATGGGGCAGTTTGTTTGTTTCTTGTAAACTGTTTAAATTCTTTGTAGATTCTAGATATTAGCCTTTTGTCAGATGGATAGATTGCAAGAATTTTCTCCCATTCTGTAGTTGCCTGTTCACTCTGATGAGTTTCTTTTGCTGTGCAGAAGCTATTTAATTTAATTAGATCCCATTTGTCAATTTTGGCTTTTGTTGCCACTGCTTTTGGTGTTTTGGACATGAAGGCTTTGCCCATGCCTATGTCCTGAATGGTACTGCCCAGGTTTTCTTCTAGGATTTTTATGGTCTTAGGTCTTACATTTAAGTCTTTGATACATCTTGAGTTGATTTTTGTAAAACGGGTAAGAAAGGGGTCCAGTTTCAATTTTCTACATATGGCTAGCCAGTTTTCCCAACACCATTTATTAAATAGGGAATCTTTTTCTCATTGCTTGTGTGTGTCAGGTTTGTCAAAGATCAGATTGTTGTAGCCGTGTGGTGGTATTTCTGAGGCCTCTGCTCTGTTCCATTGGTATATATCTCTGTTTTGAATTCTGCATTTCCACTTTACAAATCCCACAGTTCTGCTATTTCACAGTAGGATTTGACACTAAATAAGTATTTTTTGATGGTGACAGAGTGATATCAATTTCTGAGGCCCTGTTCTGTTCCACTGGTCTACATATCTGTTTGGTACCAGTACCATGCTGTTTTGGTTCCTGTAGCCTTGTAGTATAGTTTGAAGCCAGGTAGCCTGATGTTTCCAGCTTTGTTCTTCTTGCCCAGTATTGTCTTGGTTGTGCAGGCTCTTTTTTGGTTCCATATGAAGTTTAAAGTAGTTTTTTCCAATTCTGTGAAGAAAATCAATGGTAGCTTAATGAGGATAGCATTGAATCTATAAAATTACTTTGGGCACTATGGCCATTTTCACGATATTGATTCTTCCTATCCATGAGCATGGAATGCTTTCCCATTTGTTTGTCTCTTCTCATTTCCTTGAGCAGTGGTTTGTAGTTCTCCTTGAAGAGGTCCTTCATGTCCCTTGTAAGCTGTATTTTCCTAGGTATTTTATTCTCTTACTAGCAATTGTGAGTGGGAGTTCACTCATGATTTGGCTCTCTGTTTGTCTGTTATTAATGTATAGGAATGCTTGTGATTTTTTGCACATTGATTTTGTATTCTGAGACTGCTGAAGTTGCTTATCAGCTTAAGGAGGTTTTGGGCTGAGAAGATGGGGTTTTCTAAATATGCAATCATGTCATCTGCAAACAGAGACAATTTGACTTCCTCTCTTCCTATTTTGATACGCTGTATTGCTTTCCCTTGCCTGATTGCCCTGGCCAGAACTTCCAATACTGTGTTGAATAGGAGTGGTGACAGAGGGCATCCTTGCCTTGTGCCAGTTTTCAAAGGACCGTTTATTCATCTTAATTTAAAATACAGTGGTTTTTGAACAATTCAAGTAGCATTAGACTATTAAAAACATCATGAGCCACACAAGTGTCAACTGCATTTTCAGAATTATGAGAACTTAGAAAAAGTAAACCAAACACCTTTAGTTTAGTTAAAAACATACTAAACTACTTTGTATTTGCCCTTGTGATGAGAATCATCTTTATTCATTTTGGAACAAACAGGAAATGCTGTGGTGGTAACTTGCTGGTGGTGACTGTGATGATATTTACTGTCTTAGGGATGATGGGATTCAGTGGACCAGAATCGTCAGGACCTTACTATGGTCACTGCTGTTTAATTCTCTTCTGTCATTCATTTTCCAGACTCCTTCATCAATTTCATTTCTATCATTGAATGAATGATTTTGCACTGCTTTAGCATCTGCCTTTGATTTCTGCTAATTTTCTTTGTTCATTTTTCTTGTCCATCTCTGGTGGCTGCTTTGCTATTCAACTTTGAGGAGTTTGTGCTGCTTCACCCTCAGCTGCTCCAACAGTCCATCCATTTGCCTCAAGCTCTCTGGCAGGGTCTCCAGGTTCTTCTGTGTCTGGTGTCTGAGATTTATCAGCAGGAGCTTGTTTTCAATGACCACAGCTACCGCCGTCTCCTGCCAGTGGGGTGGTTTCTACAAGAGCCAAAGTGCCCATGCCCGGAGACACCTTGGTTATAAACCTTGGTCATGGCCCAGTTTGGTGCGCAAAAACCCAATGTCAACCAGAGCATTTCGCACAGATGGGTGAGCTTTCCTTGGCACATGGGGCAGTTCCCCCATCATCTCTATGCTGCCACCTCCCCTTACACAAAGGATGGTGTAGGGGCCTGAAGACACCGTGGAAGAGTCCAGGGAGTTAGGAGGGGCTGGGCCAGGCAGCCTCAGGCCCAGAGGATGGCAGCACCCCCTCACACCTGAGCAGACATCAGCCACTGCCACCTCGGGGAGGACAGAGGAGCCCAGGCTCCCCCAGCCAGCCTCACTCTAAACCAGCAGAGGAAAAAATTATTGTTATTATTTTTTAAAGTGAGATGGAGTCCCGCTCTGTCACCCAGGCTGGAGTGCAGTGGCACAATCTAGGCTCACTGCAACCTCTGCTTCCCGGGTTCAAGTGATTCTCCTGCCTTGCCTCCCAAGCAACTGGGACTACAGCCGTCCACCACCACGCCTGGCTAATTTTTGTACTTTTAGTAGAGATGAGGTTTCACCATATTGGCCAGGCTGGTCTCGAACTCCTGACCTTGTGATCACCCCGACTCAGCCTCCCAAATTGCTGGGGTTACAGGCATGAGCCACCCCGCCTGGCTGAAAAAAAATTATTTTCTAAAAAACAAAAAATAGTATAAAAAATAATATGCAGAAGAACTTGCATATCTAACCTGATCAAATTTTTATTCTTTTTCTTTTTATTTCTGCCTTTTCCTCTTAAATTGTGCTCTCCTGAAGTCATGTTCCATCCTCATGTGGGAATTTAAAAGTAATTATAATGGTCACAAATTTAGAAACTAAAAAATTTTAATATATTTTTGCCCACAAGTCCTGGTTTAACATTAAACTTTCAATAGTGCTTTCTGAATTCTACACTTTATTTTCTATTTGATTCTGTTAACTAAAATATAGGAAGTAAAAATATAATCTTGATTTGCAGTTTCAGTTTACAAAGAATATGTATTCATTCTTTTAACCTAAATGTGTGTTGAGCACACATGATATGCCAACAATTTGGTAGCCTTAGAAAATAGAAGCCAGGCAGGGTGGCTCATGCCTGTAATCCCAGAATTTTGAGAGGCCAAGGTGGGAGGATCACCTGAGGTCAGGTGTTCAAGACCAGCCTGACGGGGTAAAACCCCGTCTCTACTAAAAATACAAAAATTAGCTGGTTGTGGTGGGGGGCACCTGTAATCCCAGCTACTTGGGGGGCTGAGGCAGGAGTATCGCTTGAACCCAGGAGGTGGATGTTGTAGTGAGCCAAGACCATGCCATTGCACTCCAGCCTGGCAACAGAGTGACACTCCGTCTCAAAAAAAAAAAAAAAAAAGATTTAAACATAATATTGTTTTAAACAATTTTATGTCATTATATTTAAAAAATTAGATACAATTATTATTTTTCCAGAAAGGTATGTGGCAAAAAGTGACTGAAGAAGAAATAAAAGAGAGCCCAGGTGTGGTGGCTCACACATGTAATCCCACGACTTTGGAAGGCCAAGTTGGGAAAATCACGAGGTCAGGAGTTCAAGACCAGCCTGGCCAACATGGTTAAACGCTGTCCCTACTAAAAATACAAAAATTAGCTAGGCATGGTGGTGGGCGACTGTAACCCTAGCTACTCAGGAGGCTGAGGCAGAGAACTGCTTGAACCCGGGAGGCGGAGTTTGCAGTGAGCCGAGATCATGCCACTGCACTTCAGCCTGGGTGACAGAGCAAGACTCCATCTCAAAAAAAAAAGGTAAATAAGAAATCTAAAATTTATGTTTTTAATTTTACAAAAATAAAAAATACATCTATTATAAGAGAACAGCTTGAGCCGGGCATGCTGGTTTATGCCTGTAATCCCAACGCTTTGGGAGGCCAAGGCAGGTGGATCACAAGGTCAGGGGTTTGAGACCAGCCTGGCTAACATGGTGAAACCCCATCTCTACTAAAAATACAAAAATTAGCTGGGCATGGTGGTGGGCACCTGGGATTACAGGCATGAGCCACCACGCCTGGCTGACATCTGCTATTCTTAACTGCTCTATAAGCCTGCTGAATCACAGGGCCATAGAGCAATCACTGTTGTTTACATGCTTTTTGTCAGGCAGTTCTTATGAGCCTGCAAATGTTATATTATTCCCAACCACTGACATCAACATGCATTTTTTTACTTTTTATTCAATAGGGAAAAGCCCCACGTTTTTGCTTCCAACCATCACAGTCATAAAGAAATAGTCCCAGTTCCCTGGTAACTCTGCTTTCCCACCCCTACATGAGACAGCCTTTGTGAGGCACGCCCCCATGGCTTGCCTTGCTCTTGTTTCTGGTGCAAGTGTATTAAACACCTTTTAATGGCATTCAACTTTCTTTTATGAATTAAGATCCAAGCAAAATTCAAATCGTGTTGCTGTGCTTTGTTATCAGAAATAATATGGGGTTGGGATGGGTGTGGTAGCTCATGCCTGTAACCCCAGCAAAGGGTGGTGGGAGGCTGAGGCAGGTGGATCACTTGAGGCCAGGGGTTCAAGACCAACCTGGTTAACACAGCAAAACCCCCTCTCTACTAAAAATACAAAAATTAGCCAGGTGTGCTGGTGGGCAACTGTAATCCCAGCTACGTGGGAGGCTGAGGTACGAGAATCACTTGAACCTGGGAGGTGGAGGTTGCAGCGAGCTGAGATTGCACCACTGCACTCCTGCTTAGGCGACAGTGCAAGACTCTGTCCCATTTAAAAAAAAAGTAATTGACAGTTTCATAAAAATAATACTTAATTTGTAGGCTGATCTAGGAAGCATGGATATTTCATATTCATTCCTCAAATCCATAAGCATAAAATTTTTTTTATTTATTTGCATTGTCTCTGATTACTTTCAGTAATGTTTTGTAGTTCTTTTTTTTTATTTATTTATTTGCATTGTCTCTGATTACTTTCAGTAATGTTTTGTAGTTCTTTTTTTTTTTTTTTTGAGACAGAGTTTCACTCTTGCTGCCCAGGCTGGAGTGCAATGGCGTGATCTCGGCTCACTGCAACCTCCGCCTCCGCCTCCCATGCTCAAGCGATTCTCCTGGCTTAGCCTCCCAAGTAGCTGGGATTACAGGCATATGCCACCACGCCCGGCTAATTTTGTGTTTTTAGTAGAGACGGGGTTAATCCACGTTGGTCTGGCTGGTCTCAAACTCCCAACACACTTACTCCATAATTTTCTTACACCTAAGGTTTGTCTTTAGATTAATAAATATTTAACTCTATGTAAATCAAAACTAAAAGTCTTATGTGTTTGCAGGCAGACAGGCCACATGTTCCAAGAAAAATATATAAGAAATTTGAAAAAATATTAAGAATTTAACAATGAATTTTATTTATACTCATATATAATTTTTATTATGACCATAAAAATAACCCTGTAGTAAATAACAATTTAATTGTACATTTTAAATTTAAAAAAAAGTGTAGAATTGGATTATAAAACATAGGATAAATGCTACAGGTGAAGGATGCCTCACTTAATGCTGATATTATTATTATATATTGTATTCCTGTATTAAAACATGCCATATATTGCATAGATACTCATGCAGCCACCAAAATTAAAATAAATTTAAATGATTAAAAACAGAATAAAAATTTACCTACAGAAACAATATTCTTTAACTTATTTGCAGTTGAAAGCCACTGGCAAAAAAAAAAAATCACTAGAGATGTTAATCTATTATCTTACTAAACAGTATATTGTTACCATCTTTTACCTATACCCTTGAGTAAGGTGAAAGAGGTTAAAGTTTGTGGCATAATAACGCTTCATTGAATGCACAATAGTATTTAACATGTTAAAAATGTTGAATTAAACTATTAACTTCACACATAATCTAAAATTTATAAATGTACTGCATTTTATTATATAAAAGTACAATCAGGCCAGGCTCGGTGGCTCATGCCTGTAATCCCAGCACTTTGGGAGGCCAAAGTGGGCAGATCACCTGAGGTTGGCAGTTCAAGACCAGCCTGACCAACATGGAGAAACCCTGTTTCTACTAAAAATTCAAAATTAGCCAGGCATGGGGGCACATGCCCGTAATCCCAGCTACTCAGGAGGCTGAGGCAGGAGAATCACTTGAATCTGGGAGGCAGAGGTCACAGTGAGCCAGAGATCGTGCCAATGCACTCCAGCCTGGGCACCAAGAGCAAAACTCTGTCTCAGAAAAAATTAGTACAATTAGTACAATAATATACTACTCATTTAATTTTAAATAAAATTAAACATGTTTTCTTCTCATGATAATGCAGATTACTCTGAACACCTACCTGATGCATCACTCAATATTATAGGTTATAAGAGCCTCTCCACTTAGATTTTTATTATGCATCTTACATTTTAATGTCTTTACTTTTCTATAGAAGAGGTAATAAACAACACCCCCCTAATAAAAAAGAATGCCTTGCCAGGCATGGTGGCTCACACCTGTAATCACACTTTGGGAGACTGAAGCGGGCAGATCATGACGTCAGGAGTTTGAGACCAGCCTGGCCAACATGGTGAAACCCCATCTTTACTAAAAATACAAAAATTAGCTGGGTGTGGTGGCAGGCACCTGTAATCCCAACTACTCAGTAGGCTGAGGCAGGAGAATCACTTGAAACTGGAAGGCGGAGACGGAAGTGAGCCAAGATCATTCCACTGCACTCCAGCCTGGGCAAAAGAGCGAAATTCCATCTCAAAAAAACAGAAAACAAAACAAAACAAAAAGAATCTCTCACATCTTTGACGCAGCAACAATTGATCCTATGCTTTCACATTTGACTCCAATAGGAATGAAGAAACAGCAGGAAATAATTTCAGAGTTGAATGACATCATTATTCACTTTTCAAAAAATCTGTATTTTTTTCAAGAAATATACTTTGAATGTAATTATAATTCTGCAAAAAACCTTCTGATCCTCTGAAAGTTACATACAAATAATTTTTCTGCCAACTTTAGTTTTAGATTTCCTATACTCAGCACTGATTTAGAATACGTGAAGTGTGTCAGTGCCTTATATATTTCTACCATAAATTCTGATATTTGCATAGACTTAATTATGGATTAAATATTTTTTTACATGTACTGCATCTGCAAAAGCATACTCCAGTATGAACTCTCTGTTGTTTTCTAAGCTGTAGTTTTTGAAAAAGTGTTTTTCCAAATTTATTACATTTGCACAATTTTTCCCCGATGGAACTTTGTTCCACAGAAGGAATCTCAGATAATACTTTTTAAAAGCCAACCCCAGACATGGATTTGTACCATCAAATACCTGAGTTGGGTGAATTTATCTCCTCTTGAGGCTCCAAGATAAACCTGGGGTTCCTGAGTTTGTCAGAAAGTGACCTTCAGGATTTCTGACCTGTGGTAAGTAAAAATGTCATAGTACAGGGAATATGTAGACAAGATTTGAATCCAGTTTTCCCGAGGGGCTTTTAATTGGCTCCATAAATCAAGTTTGATTCCTTAAAAAAGGAACACCATTCCAGTCAAAGTGTTGGTAAAATAACCAGTTTCTCCAATTGTGTCCTGTTACTTATAAAAACCAGATTCTTGGCAGGGCGTGGTGGCTCATGCCTGTAATCACAGCACTTTGGGAGGTCAAGATGGGTGAATCATGAGGTCAAGAGATCAAGACCATAGTGGCCAGCATGGTGAAACCCTATCTCTACTAAAAATATAAAAAATCAGCTGGGCATGGTGGCGCTCGCCTGTAGTCCCAGCTACCTGGGAGGCCAAGGCAGGAGGATTGCTTGAACCCAGGAGGCAGAGGTTGCAGTGAGCCAAGATCGGGCCACCACACTCTAGCCTGGCAACAGAGTGAGACTCTGTCTCAAAAAATAAATAAATAACACAACAAAACAAACAAAAAAAAACATTCTTAATGCACTTATGCAAATAAATGTATTGCCATAAGTTAAGAATACTCACAAATAGTTTCCAAATTCTAGAGAAATCAAGTAGAGAGAATTAAATATGCTTTAAATTTTGTTCACAGGAGTATACTAACTTGTTAAAAGCTGTAAATAGATCAAAAGGTAGGTTTCCTTGACTCAGAAAACAAAAGAAAGGATCAGCAACATTTTAAGTAAAAAGTCAAAAAGATCAGCTGGTCTCGGTGGCTCACGCCTATAATCCCAACACTTTGGGAGGCCAAGCAGGCAGATCATGAGGTCAGGAGTTTGGACCAGCCTGACCAACATGGTGAAACCCCGTCTCTACTAAAAATACAAAACTTAGCCAGGTGTGGTGGCATGCATCTGTAATTCAGCTGAGATCACACCACTGGACTCCAGCCTGGAAGACCGAGTGAAACCCCGACTCAAAAAAAGAAAAAAAGATTACTTCAGTCTTCTAATAGTTCAATGCATGCACTTAATCCTTGTTCTGCTTAATATTCATGAACATTTCAGCTCTCCATGAGTTCTGAATTTTTTTCCTCTACTCTGATGTCACCATCTCCAAAGTTATCAGAAACTTGCATTCAAGACCACCTGTTAAGAGTTTTATAGCTGATTATAAAACCACCTTCTAAAGAGGACCAAAACAATACAATTGTCTGTGAATGACAAAAAGTTTTAAGGCAACCAAAGTCAAAGATACAATTGACAAGGAAATTTGTTACCTCTGTGGCAATATAGCAATTATAATTACTGCTAATAATGTACACTAAGTCATATAAGAATTATAGGAGTTTCCCATAATTTTAGAACAAATACCAATAATATACTTATACAAACACAGCCCAAAAAAACCAAACACCATTTCATATTCAACAACGTTCTCTGTATAATTTTTATAAGAAATAAGCAAAATTATGTCATTTTTAAACTTTAGGGAACATAATATTTTAAAGGATTAGGTAAGAAAAATACATAATTTATAATTTGATTTTGGAAAGTTTGATGGAACTTTGTTCCACAGAAAGAATCTCAGTCAAATATCAAAGATTTAAAACACCTGATGTCACAGGTCATTGTAAAATAAGTCATTAATTTGACCAAAGTAATAAAGATTTCAAAAACAAAAAAAGAAAAAACCTTCATTCTTTGGGAGACAAGACTTAATTTTCCAAACAATAATCTTCAATAAAACAGCATAAAGCCAATTAAATTTGTTTTTCAAAATGTTATGAACAATCTATAAAATTCTAATCTTGACCATGAGATATAACTTCTATAAGCCTTTATTAAGGAGTCAGTTAATGCTTCAAGAAAACCTTGTTAATCTAACACTGGGGCCCCTATTCTGGTCTTGCATTAGTGTGCCTTTGACATTAATGATTAATGTATAGAAAAACTGAACTTATTTTATCTCTCAAAATCAGTTCTTACAATCTCACATGCCCACCTCTTTTGTGATAGTCTCTGGGCCTTTAGGAGTTGAAGAGCTTTAATTTCATCTCATCTGCTTCGAAGGTGGCTCATGGTTGGGCTATCTTCATCTAGGAGAGTATTCCAGGCCAGACCCTACTTAACCTAAAATAATTAAAAAGGTCAGAATTTGAAAATAATTTATTTAAGTTCAAATATTAAGGATAGCCACCAAATAACAGATTTAAGTAGCCCTGAATATATATTCCAATTAGTAGCCATTACAAGCCGGTTTTTTGGAAACAGTGCGAAGGCAGTTTCTAAGTTGTTTACCAAGAATTGACATTAAAATTATTGGTAAATTGATTGGGTATTGATTGGCTATATATATTTGTTTTACATATTTTATGAAAAACGAAATAATGGTTGAGACAGCTAGTCAGAAACAAAATGTCTTTAAACAATTGCCCCTGTGCACAGATGTGGGGTAAGATTGAAGTCTCATACTCTCATCTTTCTGGGCTTGATAAATTGTGCAGAACTCAAAGAGCGGAGACTGCTCTGAGCTACTTTTCTCACCGCCTTGCTCAGGACACATAAACCCCTTAGGTGGGCAGATCACCTAAGGTCAGGAGTTTAAAACCAGACTGGCAAAGATGGTAAAACCCTGTCTCTACTAAAAATAAAAAAAGGCCGGGCACAGTGGCTCATGCCTGTAATCCCAACACTTTGAAAGGCTGATGCAGGTAGATCATGAGGTCAGGAGTTCAAGGCCAGCCTGGCCAAGATGGTAAAACCCTGTCTCTATTAAAAATACAAAAAATTAGCTGGGCATGGTGGCAGGTGCCTGTAATGCCAGCTACTTGGGAGGCTGAAGCACAGAATTGCTTGAACCCAGGAGGGGAAGGTTGCAGTGAGCTGAGATTGCGCCACTGCACTCCAGCCTGGGTGACAGAGCGAGACTCCATCTCAAAAAAAAAAAAAAAAAAAAAAATTAGTTGGGCATGGTAGTGTGTGCCTGTAGTCCCAGCTACTTGGGAGGCCAAGGCAGGAGAATTGTTTGAATCTGGGAGGCAGAGGTTGCAGGGAGCCAAGATCATGCCACTGCACTCCAGCCTGGGTGACAGAGTGAGACTCCATCTCAAAAAAAACCAAAACAAACACAAAAAAATTAGTCGAGCATGGTAGTATGTGCCTGTAGTCCCAGCTACTTAGGAGGCCAAGGCAGGAGAATTGTTTGAACCTGGGAGGCAGAGGTTGCAGCGAGCCAAGATCGTGCCACTGCACTCCAACCTGGGTGACATAGTGAGACTGTCTCAAAAAAAGAAAAAGAAAAGCAATAGTTGTGTTGTGGGATTCAGGAGACTGGAGAGACCAATGGGTGAGACAGGAGAATTTCATTAAGGTGGCCACTGGCTCAGTGGATTCAAATCCAAAAGGCTGAGCCCCAAACAAAGATGAGGCTTGGCTTTTAAGCATGCAGTGGCATGAAACTCAGGGGCGGGCTTAGCATCCTACAGAAGCAGAACGAAGGCAGTTAATCAAACAGTGAAAGGTATGTGACTCAAACATATCTAGTGACCTCTGCTGGGCTGATCATCAGACTCTCAGCAGATGGTAACTATCTTAGGTTTGCTCAGGTATGTCTTGTGACCTTCGCAGTGTTGCACTGATGGAAAATAGGAACTTACAAAATCTTTACAAACTTACAGAAATAGTTAAAAAATAGTTATGAGAGCAGAGCAAAGAAATGCTGGTCTGGGAAGGAATCTCAAGAGAGGGAAGCTGATAAGAACTTGTTATTCTCATCCCTGTTCCTGGAGTCCATTCCTTCTGGGCTCTGCCTGGCTTTGCAGATAACATTATCTTAGTCCTCGCAGGCCCTTGGAGTGAGTCAACCCAGTACAGGGAGGAACTTAGGTTTTTCTCCTTTCAATTTCTGCTTTAGTTGAACACAGAATATTATTTTATAAATAACGACTTAGTAATTATATAGAAATCACTAATCACTTTACTAATACACTGCATGTATTGGTGTTTTGTTTTGTTTTGAGATGGAGCCTCACTCTGTTGCCCAGGCTGGAGTACAGTGGCGTGATCTCAGCTCACTGCAACCTCCACCTCCCAGGTTCAAGTGATTCTCCTGCCTCAGCCTCCCAAGTAGCTGGGATTACCGGCACCTGCCACCACACCCAGCTGATCTGTATTTTTAGTAGATGTTGGCCAGGCTAGTCTGGAACTCCTGACCTTAAGTGAGCCACTGGTCTCGGCCTCCCAAAGTGCTGGGATTACACGTGTGAGCCACCATGCCTGGCCAGTTTAGAACTTTTACAAAATGAAATAATAAAACTGAATTAATTTATTTTAAAACAATATGAACAAGTATAATAAATATTACAAGTCCCCATTCAGATAAAGTTTATTTATTTATTTATTTATTTTGAGATGGAGTTTCACTCTGTCACCCAGGCTGGAGTGCAGTGGTGCCATCTTGGCTCACTGCAACCTCCACCTCCCCAGCTCAGGTAATTCCCTTCTCTCAGCCTCCCGAGTAGCTGGGACTACAGGCACATGCCATCACGCTCAGCTAATTTTTGTATCTTTATTAGAGATGGGGTTTCACCATATTGGCCATGCTGGTCTCAAACTCCCAACCACAGGTAATCCACCTGCCTCAGCCTCCCAAACTGCTGGGATTACAGGCGTGAGCCACATTGCCCGGCCCATTCAGATAAAGTTTTATTAACTCTATGAAGATTTGATAAATGGCAAATATGACATTTTCAAATAGTTTTGTGATGACCAGAAAAAATAATCTATTAGGTATTTTTATAACAAAATAAGACAAAATGATACTAGTGATATTATTACAAAATATTTTCATTATTTCATATAGTATATCATAAATTTAATCTTAAAATATTATAAATATGCTAGAGGTTCTCAAAACTAAAAAAAAAGCAAAATAACTAAATCATTCAAAATTGGCTTTTTTTGTTGTTTTAAAAATAAAGTTTAAGGCTAGGAGCGGTGGCTCATGCCTGTAATCCCAGCACTTTGGGAGGCCGAGGCGGGCGGATCATGAGGTCAGGAGCTCGAGACCATCCTGGCTAACACAGTGAAACCCCGTCTCTACTAAAAATACAAAAAAATTAGCCAGGTATGGTGGCGGGCAACTGTAGTCCCAGCTACTCCGGAGGCTGAGGCAGGAGAATGGCGTGAGCCGGGGAGGCGGAGCTTGCAGTGAGCCGAGATCGTGCCACTGCACTCCAGCCTGGGGGACAGAGCGAGACTCCGTCTCAAAAAAAAAAAAAAAAAAAAAAAAAAGTTTAAGGCTAATCATATGGGTAATACAACTAGACCCCTACCTGTATTAATACAATTACAATTTGACATGAGATTTGGGTGGGGATTCAGAGTCAAACCACATCATTCTGCTCCTGGCCCTCACAACAAACCTCATGTCCTAGTCACATTTCTTTTTTTTTTTTTAAGATGGAGTCTGACTCTGTTGCCCAGGCTGGAGTGCAGTGGTACAATCTCTGCTCACTGCAACTTCCACCTCCCGAGTTCCAGCAATTCTCCCACCTCAGCCTTTCAAGTAGCTGGGATTACAGGCATGTGCCACCATGCTTGGCTAATTTTTTGTATTTAGTAGAGATGGGGTTTGGCCATGTTGGTCAGGCTGGTCTTGAATGCCTGACCTCAGGTGATCCACCCACCTCACCCTCCCAAAATCCTGGGATTACAGGTGTGAGCCACCATGCCCAGCCTCCTAGTCACATTTCAAAACACAATCATCCATTTTCAACAGTCCCTCAAAATCTTTTTTTTTTTTTTTTTTTTAAAGACAGAGTCTCACTTTGTCACCCAAGCTGTAGTGCAATGGCATGATCTCGGCTCAACACAACCTCCACTTCCCAGGTTCAAGCAATTCTCCTGCCTCAGCCTCCCAAGTAGCTGGGATTACAGGCACCCACCACCATGCCTGGCTAATTTTTGTATTTTTAGTAGAGACAGGGTTTCATCATTTTGGCCAGGCTGGTCGCGAACTCCCGACCTCAAGTGATCCGCCTGCCTCAGCCTCCCAAAGTGCTGGGATTATACGAGTGAGCCACGGTGCCTGGCCTGCTCCCCCAAATTCTTAACTCATTTCAGCATAAACTTAAAAGTCCAGTCCAAATTCTATCTAAGACAAGGCAATTCTCTTCCACCTATGAGCCTGTAAAATCAAAAACGACTTAGTCACTTCCAAGATACAATGGTTATGCAGGCATTGGGTAAATTCTCCTGTTCCAAAAGGGAGAAATTGGCCAAAGCAAATGAGCTCCAGGTCTTATGCAACTCCAAAACCCAGAAGGGCAGTCATTAAATGTTAAAGCTCTAAAATAATTCCCTTCAACTCCATGTCTCATATCTAGGCCACCATGATGCAAGGGGTGAGCTCCCAAGGCCTTAGGCAGCTCCACCCCTGTAATCTGCAGAGTACAGCCCCTGCAGCTGCTTTCACAAGCTGGCATTGAGTGCCTATGGCTTTTCCATCCAACTCATATAAACTTACTTAACCTTAATCACTTTCTAAAATTGTTGTTTTCAAATAGAATCACATTGGAGGTTATGGCTTACCATATGAATTTTGATAGAAAAGTCAGTCTAAATCATGGGAAATAACCATATAGAGGTAATATTTTATATCTCATTGGAATTAATATAAATATGTTTTTATTTTTTATTTTTTGAAACGTAGTCTCACTGTGTCCCACAAGCTGCAGTGCAGTGGCGCAATCTCACCTCACTGCAAACTCCGCCTCCCGGGTTCATGCCATTCTCCTGCCTCAGCCTCCAGAGCAGCTGAGACTACAAGCACCTACCAACACACCCGGCTTATTTTCTGTATTTTTAGTAGAGACAGGGTTTCACTGTGCTAGCCAGGATGGTCTTGATCTCCTGACCTCGTGATCCGCCCGCCTCGGCCTCCCAAAGTGCTGGGATTACAGGCGTGAGCCACCGCGACCAGCTGAATTAATATAAATATGAAGCAGATTCTGGTAAGTTAAGATGTATATTATAAGGCCTAGAGAAACAAGTTAGTAACTTTAAAAACATGAACAATCACTATAGAAATCTAAATATTACATGGAAAGTATCTAATATAAAAGAAAGCACTTAAGAAAGACTAGCCCGGGCCTGGTGGCTCACGCCTGTAATCCAGCACTTTGGGAGGCTGAGGCAGGTGGATCATGAGGTCAAGAGTTCAAGACCAGCCTGGCCAAGATGGTGAAACCTCATCTCTACTAAAAATACAAAAATTAGCTGGGTTTGGTGGCAGGCGCCTGTAATCCCAGCTACTTGGGAGGCTGAGGCAGAGAATTGTTTGAATCCGGGAAGTAGAGGTTGCGGTGAGCCAAGATTGTGTCACTGCACTCCAGCCTGGGTGACTGAGTGAGACTGCATCTCAAAAAAAAAAGAAAGACTAAAGACAATTCTAAAACTAGAAAAAGACTAGAGTGTGGTTGAGGACACATGGCCCAATAAAGTTTCCAAAGGAAAACCTCAATTCAAAGATGTCTGGGCAAGGCATTTGTGCCTGTGGAAGATAAAAGGAGAAAAAGCGGGAAAATTTTTGACAGTGGAATGTAAGGGGATTATTTTTTACCTTTCTCTCATGTAAAATATTTACAAATAGAAAACAAGTATTTTTAAAAGTGTCATCCAGTGCTCTGTGACAAAGTGATTAATTAAAATACTGTTTCTGAAATGTACAATAAAGGACAAAAATAGTTGATAATGTTGTGAATTGAAGGGGAGAAGTTGGCTTTGGGGAATGTTGGAAAGAAACTGGGAATTTAAGATTTTACTGCAAGCCTGGCAAGGATTTTACTGGCAAGGCTGAACAGGACAGAGTAGTGGATTTGAGACCCTGCTTGCCACACATGTGGAAAATACAGGGTGACACCAGTGCGTCTGATTAAAGTCAAAATAATTAAATAGCAATATTTGGACTGAAGTGGCGTTAGTGGTCTAGGTTCCTATGTAACAACAACAACAACAATAAAATCTAGCTCAAATGTATTTTTTGTAAGTTACTACCTTAAGAGAAAACAAAATTCAGGTTTAATCAACCACAAATCTCCAATTAATCTGATTACATAACGAAAGAATTTTCTCCTGGACACTGCAAATGGACTACCTAACTGTACCCAATCGATTAATTTGCTTTGCTTCATCACACACCTTATAGAAGCCTTTTCTTCAAGACCCTCTGGTAGCCCCAAAACCACAAACGTCGGGCGCAGTGGCTCACGCCTGTAATCCCAACACTTTGGGTGGCCCAGGCAGGCGGATCATCTGAGGTTGGGAGTTCGAGACCACCCTGACCAACATGGAGAAACCCCCGTCTCTACTAAAAATCAAAAGTAGCCGAGCGTGGTGGCGCATGCCTGCAATCCCAGCTAAGTAGGAGGCTGAAGCAGGAGAATCGCTTGAACTCGGGAGGCGGAGGTTGCGGTGAGCCTAGATCGTGCCATTGCGCTCCAGCCTGCGCAACAACAGCGAAACTCCCATCTCAAAACAAAACAAAAGCCCCCACAAACCATGTCTGGGGACTGTCCCATTGATTAATCACTGTTTGTGCATACTAAGTCTTTTTTTTTTTTTTTTTTTTTTTTTTTTTTGAGACGGAGTCTCGCTCTGTCGCCCAGGCTGGAGCTCAGTGGAGCGATCTTGGCTCATTGCAGCCTCCGCCTCCCGTATTCAAGCGATTCTCCTGCCTCAGCCTCCCGAGGAGCTGAGATTACAGGCATGCCACGCCTGGCTAATTTTTTTTGTACTTTTAGTAGAGACCGGGTTTCTCCATGTTGGTCAGGCCGGTCAGGAACTCCCGACCTCAGGTAATCCGCCCACCTCGGCCTCCCAAAGTGTTGGGATTACAGGCGTGAACCACCGCGCCCGGCCATATTAACTCTCTAATGGTGCTTCAGTTTATTTTTGAACAGGGTAAAGTAGGAACTGGGGACCCCACAGACCGCAGCTCCTTCCACGCAGGAGACCCGCACAACCAGTCGGAGTCTTTCCCTGATGACCTCACAACCTGGGGAAGATGACGGGCTGCGGGCGCAGAGCTGCGCAAAGAGGGCTACAGGCTGGGGCTAAAGCCGCTGTGCTGAAACGGTAAAGGACGCCCCGGGGTCCCTGCACCGGAGGAGAGTGAGGGCTGAGCTGCGGGGCACTCAGGCTCACAAGACCGTCCCGCCACCGCCATTTCTGGCGCGTCCCAAAGAGGCCTCCCCCGTCTCCAAACGCCCTGCCCCGCACACTCACCTTTTCTCGGCTTCAGGAATGTCCTGGAGTCTATGAATCTTCCAGCACCATCAGTTCACCGCGTGATGGAGGCTGAGGCTGTGGCCGAATCACCGAGACCCTTGGAAAGAAGACACAGGGCAGTGAAGAGCTAACCTCGAGCTCTGGCTGGAGCAAGAGACAAAGGCCCCGCCAGGTACCGGGAGCCACCCCTTCCTCTCTGACTGTGAACCTGATTGGACAGTTCCCACCCCAGCGCCCTTAATGGATAGAGCTCCAGGCTCCGCGCCCTCAGGCCTTGAGTGACAGAAGACGCGATCAGACCTTGCACTGAATACCGCGAGCGTGACAGGCTCTTGGCTCCAGTCATTTCAGGAAGGGCTATCTCTGGGTTGGGCCCACATGTGCCCAGGGGTTATTTTAAATCTTGTGTATAAGGTTATGTCCATTTATAAATTTTATTCATACACACATATATGTTGTTCACAAATGGAAACACTATAATAACAATTATTTTAAAATTTAACATTTCATAAGCTTTCTGGCCTTTAGTCTTTTGAGTAGGCAACCTGGGATTTTAAAAGAAAAACAGGGCCGGGAGTGGTGGCACCAAGAAGAAAAAAAGTTTATAGAATCTCAAAAAGAAATAAGAAAAAGGCGGGGCATGGTGGCTCACGCCTGTAATTCCGGCACTTTGGGAGACCGAGGCGGGCAGATCACCTGAGGTCGGGAGTTCGACACCAGCCTGGCCAACATGGTGAAACCCCGTCTCTACTAAAAATACAAAAATTAGCCAGGCGTGGTGGCAGGCGCCTTAATCCCAGCTACTTGGGAGGCAGAAGCAGGAGAATCGTTTGAACCCGGGAGGCGGAGGTTGCAGTGAGCCGAGATCGAGCCATTGCACTCAAGCCTGGGGGACAAGAGTGAGACTTCTCTCAAAAAAAAAAAAAAAAAGAAAAAGAAAAAAAACTCTTTAACTTAAACACACACACAACTTCAGAGAAAACGTATCTGAGAATGTGAAACACCCAGCATTCATAGCCTGGCTGATTACTGTCAGTATCTCCCCTTTACTAAGCCGGTCTTTAAATGCTGGATTAGATGGCTGTTGTATAAATCCTCAGATATCACTTAAAAAAAAAAATCACAGGGCATAGAGAAAAGACAGGAAATATGTCCCACTTGAAGGAGCAAAATAATATCCAGAAATTGAATCTTAAGAAATGAAGTTTTTGCATATCTGATAAAGAATTCAAAATATTTGGCCGGGCACGGTGGCTCATGCCTGTAATCCCAGCACTTTGGGAGGCTGAGGCAGGTGGATCACAAGGTCAGGAGTTCGAGACCAGCCTGGCCAATGTGGTGAAACCTGGTCTCTACTAAAAATACAAAATAATAGGCCGGGCGTGGTGGCTCACGCCTGTAATTCCAGCACTTTGGGAGGCCAAGGTGGGCAGATCACGAGGTCAGGAGATCGAGACCATCCTGACTAATATGGTGAAACCTCGTCTCTACTGAAAAAAAATACAAAAAATTAGCCGGGTGTGGTGGCAGGCGCCTGTAGTCCCAGCTACTTGGAGGGTGAGGCAGGAGAATGGCGTGAACCTGGGAGGTGGAGCTTGCAGTGAGCCCAGATCGCACCACCGCACTCCAGCCTGGGCGACAGAGCGAGACTTCCATCTCAAAATAAATAAATAAATAATAATCATCATCATCTTAGAATGCTCAATGAACAAAAATAAAACACAAATAGACAACTAAATGAGATTTAGAAATAATGAGCGAAATATCAAAGATATAAAAACTTTTTTAAATTTTTAATTAATTTATTTTTTTTAGATGGACTCTCGCTCTGTTGCCCAGGCTGGAGTGCAATGGTGCGATCTCAGCTCACTGCAACCTCCGCTTCCCGGGTTCAAGTGATTCTCCTGCCTCAGCCTCCCGAGTAGCTGGGATTACAGGCACCTGCCACTGCGCCTGGCAATTTTTGTATTTTTAGTAGAGAAAGGGTTTCACCATCTTGGCCAGGCTGGTCTTGAACTCCTGACCTTGTGATCCACCTGCCACGGCCTCCCAAAGTGCTGGGATTACAGGCATGAGCCACCATGCCCAGCCAGCAGGCAGGTTTTCTTGTAGACGGAATGAAAGCAAGGAAAGCTGGAATGAGCTCAGCCCTATCAGGCACCCTAAAGGCTGCCTGGGGTTGCCTGCAAGGCCATCTAGCCTTCTGCTTCCTGGCAGGCTGGTCAAGCACTTATTCTGGTCTCTTTGAGACTTTGATTTCCTGGAAGGAGAGGGCCCTCCTTTCCACTGGACTGAGTGGCCAGGGCCATCCAGCTTCCCACCCTCCACTAACAACCATGGGGTGCCCTCCTGAGCACACACTGCCCAATTATGGCCCTTCTTAGGCAGGAGCTCATTTGTCTTACACTTTCAGCCTGCTGGGGCTTAGAAGTTATCAGTGCTGTTATTAAGATAGAGAAATGAGGGGGGAAAGTTGCTTTAAAAATCTTCCATAATCTTATTATGGAAATCACCAGCGCAGATGCCAGCACAGGTGGGGCTCCTGAGGATGCTGGGGGAGAGTTCCCAGCCTGTCCTGGCAGCCGGTCCTTGCCAGGGATGGCTCATGCCCCAGCTCCAGAGAGAAGCAGGTAGACATCTCTGCAAGGAGCTGCGGGCTGCAGCTCAGGACAGCCAAGCCCCACTGGTGGTGGAGTGGGGCTACATCCCATCAGGCTGTGTCTCTTCCACAGCAGACCCTTGGAGCCAGGAGGTGATTTACAGTGTGTGCAAGGCAGTAAGCTCCATCAGCTGCATGGCCTTCAGCACTCACTTCAACATTCACTTCAACTCTGATATCTCGCCACAGAAGCAGTGGGGACTGGCCTGTGCAGAAGCCCTGAAAGTGGGACAGAGCCTCATGTGGCCGGGCGGCAGGTGGGGCAAGGAGGGGTTCTGAGTCCTCGGTGCTGGTTGGCCTGTCTGCCCATCTGAGCACTGCTCCCTGGGAGTGTGCTCTGCAGGCCTCCTAAAGGAGGGCTGTGAGCTCATCACTGAGGCCCTGAGCACCTCCTTGCTCCTCCCCACTACATTACCGGTGACTATGCTGAGGTGGGCCTCGAGCACCCTCTGGGCTGTGTCATCAAACGTCTTTGGACCTGGCCTGGCAAATGAGGGATGGCAAATGAGGAGTCTGGAGTTTCATTGTCACCCTCTATGGTAGCAGGAAATGGGAGAGTCCAGGCCTGCAGGACTGGAACCCTATCGAGGGAGTTAAGAGGCTGTTCACTTCCCCTCCGGGCCCCATGTGGAGGAGTGGATGGAGTCTAGGGAGACACTGGGGAGTCACTTGTTTTGTCTGGGCTTCCCCTAGTTCCACCCTTTGTTAACCATTTCCTTGGGAGAGTTCAGGAAACTCCTGTGCTCTAGTGAGGCGGGACCTCCCCTCACAGGGTATTGGTGAGGAGGCGTTCTGAGACTCTGAGTGAGAAGCTACCACAGTGCCTGACAAGTACCTGTGGGAGCTGTCATCCTCTGTAACCACCATGTGGCCTTGTAGTGTTCAGGCTGCCTGTCCTGTCCTAAGGCTTGGTGGGGCTTTTGGGGGGTCAGCTGCTTTAGGGTCCCACTCTCTCCTCAAAGTGGCTGTTTTTGTGTTTGTTTGTTTATGGGTTTTAAAACACTTAATATTTCATTTATAGTAGTTTCAGGCTTGCATGTGTGTATTTGTATAGATTTTATTAGAAAGAAAAGGACTTAAGACAACATTTTTAGAAGGTCTCCGTGGCGCATAGAGTTCCATGTCACAACAGCTGATGTTGACCTCCTTCTGTTGCCTTTGTGCAAAGTATAAATAGAAAGTGCAAGCCAGAGGTGCCGAGGCTCAGTGTCTAGAGCTGAGCCACTTGGGCTTGCTTGCTGGCCTGCAGCCACGTGGACTCTGGGTGTGAGGTGTTGCCCATCCTGGATCAACAGCCCCCACCCCTCTCCCCAGGTCCTGAGTAACCAACACAAGGCAGTGCTAATGAGCAGGTGAGAAATGGACATCGAGCACCCCAATACCACCCAGGAAGATTTGAATGGCATTTGGACTCAGGCTGTGTGGGGGTAGGGGCTGTGTGGGGGTAGGGGCTTGTCATGGTGCCACCCACAGATGCCCCTGCCCTATGCTGCTTCCCCAGCAGCCAGCTGTCCATGGCCCTGAGCCTGTCACACCATGCCTGCTACCTCACGCTGTTCATGTTTGATGAAAACCATCCCAAGATGGTGCTGCTGGATGTGAGTGCTGGAAAGGGGGCAGCACCATTGTCCTAGGAGATTATGAGCTGACCAGATCCCTACTGACTGCCCCCCAGGACAAGTGGGGGCTGGTGCTGCATTGAATGATGCCCCCCCCAGGAGATGTGTTTGCATTGGCTCAATGAATATACAATGCAGAGGCATAAATGAAGACATGTGAATGGTGTATGTGGACATCAGCTTGCAGCTGGGAAAAAGGTGCCTCTCAGGTCCCTCATTCTTCCCAGCAACTGTAGAATGTGTCCATGCCAATGAGTGTATAGATCTGTCCTTCTTAACTTGTACACAACTCCAGGTCAGTTCCGAGTGAATGACATGCAGATGGGATTTCTCGAGTCATTTGTATGCTTCATATTATGGCTGCTGCTTTTGCTGCCACTACCCCCAGACCCAACCTGGTTTGAAGTTCAGGCTTTAAGTAAAAAAGATCGAGGGCCTCCTTGTGTTCTGGGATGGAAAGTCAGAGACCTGTGGTAGGGCTAGGGTTTTGGGTACACTTTAGTTTTGTGGCAGGATGAGAACTGCAGTGATTATAATTGTGATTGGCCTGGCCTGATTGTAACTCTGGGTGACAGGGAGGGAGTCAGCAGTGGTGGTCCCCCAGACATCCATGTGCCTAGGCCTGGCCTGCCTGCCCTCAGTACCAGCAAAAAGGCAACACCACAGGCTCTGACTTGCCTCCCTACTCCCTGCACCCCAGATGGGAATACCTTGGAGGCTACAATCTGAATGTATTATTCTCCCTGTCTTAACCAGACCTCCCTAACACACACTGAGGGTAGAGTAGGTTTGGGGCCTGGGGAGAACCAGAGCTGAATCATGAATCCCGGGGGAATGTTAAAGATACAGGAGTGGTTGTCACCGCTCTGTTGAGCCCAGCTTCCTACCTGGTCCTGGCCACACAGCCCCTTAAACGGAGACTAGCTCTGGGGGTAGTTAGGGACCCTATAGGCCCAGGCTGCTCTCTGTCCCCACCTGCCGGTGCTACTTCTCTTGCCTACTGTCAGAGCCCTAACATGGAGAAGGAGGTTGCCACCCTGTGAGCCTGAGGGAGCTGTGTCTGACTGGGGCTTCTGCCTGGGATTTTGCAAAAAGATACCTATGAATATGGTTTGCCTAGATATCTTGTTTTTGGTTTTTTGTTTTTTTTTTTTTTTGGAGACGGAGTCTTGCTCTGTGCCCAGGCTGGAGTGCAATGGCGTGATCTCAGCTCACTGCAAGCTCTGCCTCCTTGGGTTCACGCCATTCTCCTGCCTCAGCCTCCCCAGTAGCTGGGACTACAGGTGCCTGCCACCACGCCCGGCTAATTTTTTTTTTTTTTTTTGTATTTTTAGTAGAGACGGGGTTTCACTGTGTTAGCCAGGATGGTCTCGATCTCCTGACCTCGTGATCCGCCTGCCCAGCCTCCCAAAGTGCTGGGATTATAGGTGTGAGCCACCGCGCCCGGCCGATATCTTGTTTTAAAGGGAGTGGCCATAAGCTAGCAAGTGGAGCATCCCCACCACTGATTAATAACATTTTCTTGTTTTTAACCCATCATATTTTCATATCACATTAGAATAAAGTAAGTTTTTATAAACTACTGCTCCAGCCTCACCCGTGTGTTTTGTAACCCAGTCTGATTTGATTGTGAGGACTGTTGTCAGAAATGTTGCTAAGAGAGAAATATGTATAAATTAGATCATATTTAAGGTTATGCTTATAATGCCACTTGAGTGGGAAGTAAGAGTGTGGAGTCACAGGGACTCAGCTGGGGTTTGCCCACACCACTTACTAGGCTCATGAAAGTGTGGCACAGGTGAATATCACCTGTCATTGGTGACAGAAGAAAAAAGGCTAAGGCCAGGCGCAGTGCCTCAAGCCTGTAATCCCAGCACTTTGGGAGGTCGTGGTGGGCTGATCACCTCGATCAGTAGTTCAAGACCAGCCTGGCCAACATAGTGAAATCCTGTCTCTACTAAAAATACAAAAATTAGCTTGGCATGGTGGTGTGAGCCTGTAATCCCAGCTACTTGGGAGGCTGAGGCAGGAAAACTGCTTGAACCCCAGAGATGGAGTTGTAGTGAGCCAAGATCATGCCACTGCACTCCAACCTGGGCAACAGAGCAAGCCTACATCTAAGAAAGAAAGAGAGAGAAAGGAAGGAAGGAAGGAAGGAAGGAAGGAAGGAAGGAAGGAAGGAAGGAAGGAAGGAAGGGAGAGAGAAAGGAATGGAAAGGAAAGGAAAAGAAAAAAAGAAAAGAAAAAATCCTGGAGGGAAGGCCAGGGGAGGAGAGATGCTAGGCTGTGGGGCTGAGCACTGGGCATGCTGGACCTGTTAGGTCACTGAACATCTAACTGCCAAGGCACTTGCCCTTGTCAGGTCAGTCGAGGTAAGGAAATTAGGCAGCACTCTCCAGAAGTCCCACTGTACTGGGAGAATGGAGGAGGGTCTACAACTTGCCATTCTAGGGTAGGTTTTAGAGCAAGCTGGGCTCTCTTGGAGAGCTAATGAGATGGGAGGAAGGCAATATTCCAGACCTGAGGGACAGAGCCTGTGAAGTAAGAGGGGGTATGTGGAGGTGGCCTGACCCTATAAGAGGGGGAGTTCACAGTTATTATAGCTGGTGGCTGTTGCTCAGCCATCCCTCTCCAGAGCAGACACACACACACACACACACACACACACACACACACACGTGTATATTTCACTCTGTCACCCAGGCTGGAATGCAGTGACTGAATCATGGGTTACTGCAGCCTCAACCTCTTAGGCTTAAGTGATCTTTCCACCTCAGCCTCTCAAGCAGCTGGGACTATAGGCATGCAACACCACACCTGGCCAATTAGCCTCATGTATAGCTAAATGCCCTTTGGAGTGTTTGGAGAGTCCTTCATGTCTTAGAAATTCTGAAAAAACAAACAAACAAAAATATTCCAATCCTAATGTCTGTTAGTTCCTCTGAGCCAAGTGGGAAAAGATGTCCTTCACCTTGAAGTTTTAAGTGATACCCAAGGATAGCCACCAGTGTCTTGGCCATGGAAGCCTCCTGCGTGCTTCCTGCCCCCAGTTTGATTTGCAGCCTCATGGTTGTGTTGTCCTAAACATGCTTTCCTCTGGCCTTGTCCAGTGAATATGGTTCACGTGGGGAACACCACTTCTTGAGGGCGACACCATGTAAAGCTGAGAATGGATTGGGTTTAGGTACATTGTAACTCCTTGTCACCTGAGAGGCCCATTTTTCCTGATTGATTCCTTAAGTGTATTAGTGCTGTCAGACACCTTTGGACAAATCAAATAACAAGGGGCTGTAGTTTTATAAAGGAAACAAAGTCTTTAAATATCAAATCCTCTTTTTCTCCTCCATGTTTTTTTTAGGTGAAATATTTCAATTTTTCTTTTCTTTCTTTCTTTTTTTTTTTGAGACAGAGTTTCGCTCTTGTTTTCTAGGCTGGAGTGCGGTGGCATGATCTCAGCTCACTGCAACCTCTGCCTCCTGGGTTTAAGTGATTCTCCTGCCTCAACCTCCCGAGTAGCTGGGGTTACGGGCACGTGCCACCATGCCGGGCTAATTTTGTATTTTTAGTAGAGACGGGGTTTCACCATGTTGGCCAGGCTGGTCTCAAACTCCTGACCTCAGGTGATATGCCCACCTAGGCCTACCAAAGTACTGGGATTATAGGCATGACCCACCGTGCCCGGCCTCAATTTTTCTTTAAAAATGGGTAAATAGTGGTATGTCAGCAGGCTTAGTGTGAGAATTGGCATGTGGCTGGGAGTGGTGGTTCATGCCTGTAATCCCAGCACTATGGGAGGGTGAGGCAGGCAGATAATTTGAGGTCAGGAGTTTGAGACCAGACTGGCCAACATGGTGAAACCCCATCTCTACCATAAAATACAATAATTAGCCAGGCATGATGGTGGGCACCTGTAGCCCCAGCTACTTGGGAGGCGGAGGTAGGAGAATCGCTTGAACCCAGGAGGCAGAGGTTGCAGTGAGCCCAGACTGCACCACTGCACCGCAGCCTGGGCTACACAGTCAGTCAGACCCTGTCTCAAAAAAAAAAAAAAAAAAGAGAGAGAGAGAGAATTGGCATGAGCTAGGTGATGGTTCCTGTGTGGATGGGCAGTTTTTCAAAATAGAAAACCAAGTCTCACCGAGTTGCAGGAGCCACTTTTCTTTTTTTTTTTTTTTAATCTATTTTTATTTTTTTGAGACAGAGTTTTACTTTTGTCGCCCGGGCTGGAGTGTAGTGGTGTGATCTCGGCTCACTGCAACCTCCGACTCCCGGTTTCAAGCGATTCTCCTGTCTCAGCCTCCCGAGTAGCTGAGATTACAGGTGCCCACCACCATGCCCAGCTAATTTTTGTACTTTTAGTAAAGACAAGGTTTCACCATGTTGGCAAGGGTGGTCTCAAACTCCTGACCTGAGGCGATTCCCGCCCACCTTGGCCTCCCAAAATGCTGGAATTACAGGTGTGAGCCACCGCACCCAGCCCACACTCACCTTTCTTCACATACCCCCACCCCCAAGGTCTTTCACTTTTTTTCTGTGCTTGAAATTTTTTTAACATACATATTATTTTTAAAAATAAATTATATAACACACACACACACTCAGAGGTCTCACTCTGTCACCCAGGCTGGAGTGCAGTGGCTGAATCATGGGTTACTGCACTCTCAAACTCTTAGGCTCAAGTGATTTTTCCACCTCAGCCTCTCAAGTAGCTGGGACTATAGGCATGCAATACCACACCTGGCCAATTTTAAAATTTTTTTGTAGAGACTGAGGCTTAAAATGTTGCCCAGACTGGTCTTAAACTCCTGGGCTTAAGTGATCATTTCACCTTGGCCTGCCTCCCAAAGTGTTTGGATAACAGGTGTGAGCCATCAAGCCCAGGCAAAAAAAAAAATTTTTTTTTTTTTTTGATACAGAGTCTCGCTCTATTGCTCAGGCTCGAGTGCAGCTGCACGATCTCGGCTCACCACAACCTCTGCCTCCCGGGTTCAAGCAATTCTCCTGTCTCAGCCTCCCAAGTAGCTGGGACTACAGGGGCCTGCCACCATGCCCAGCTAATTTTTGTATTTTTAGTAGAGACGGTGTTTCACTATGTTGGCCAGGCTGGTCTCAAACTCCTGACTTTGTGATCCGCCCACCTCAGCCTCCCAAAGTGCTGGGATTACAGACGTGAGCCACCATGCCCGGCCTCAAAAATATATATTTTAAAATTTTTATTTCTTTTTGAGACGAAGTTTTTCCCTTGTTGCCCAGGCTGGAGTGCAATGGCATGATCTGGGCTCACTGCAACCTGTGCCTTCCAGGTTCAAGCGATTGTCCTGCCTCAGCCTCCTCAGTAGCTGGGATTACAAGCATGTGCCACCACGCCCGGCTATTTTTTGTATTTTTAGTAGAGGTGGGGTTTCACCATGTTGCCCAGGGTGGTCTTGAACTCCTGACCTCAGGTGATCCACCCGCCTCGGCCTCCAAAAGCGCTGGGATTACAGGCGTGAGCCGCTGCAGCTGGCCCTCAAAAATATTTTTTAAAGAACTGTTACAACCAAATAATGAGCTATGATGTGCCACTGCACTCCAGCCTGGGCACCAGAGTGAGACCTTGTCTCCAAAAACAAAACACAAAAACTTATAACAAAATTGAACTAATAAGGTTGTGTCATCTGTGTCCCCTCCCTACCCTCCAAGCTATCACTGTTAAATATAATGGGTATTGAGAAAACTGTTAGATATTATTAAAGAATTCCTATGTATCCTCCAGTTGAAAAGGTGTTCTGATGTGGCTCAAGTGCTTTCTGACCTCTACCTCCAGGGTCTAAACTAGCAAATCAAATCAGGACACCTACAGAAAACCGTTGGCCATTTTCTTTTCTTTCTTTCTTTTTTTTTTTTTTGAGACGGAGTTTCACTCTTGTTGCCCAGGCTGGAGTGCAATGGCGCGATCTCGGCTCACTGCAACCTCCGTCTCCCAGGTTCAAGCAATTCTCCTGCCTCAGCCTCCTGAGTAGCTGGGATTACAGGCGTGCACCACCACGCCTGGCTAATTGTATTTTTAGTAGAGACGGGGTTTCTCCATGTTGAGGCTGGTCTTGAACTCCTGACCCCAGGTGATCCGCCCGCCTCGGCCTCCCAAAGTGCTGGGATTACAGGCGTGAGCCACAGCGCCCAGCCTGGCCATTTTCAAATAGAAAATGAAACACACCCGTTAATGAAAGTAATCCAGTGATTTTCAAAAGGAGAAGTCAGACTGAGATGCAGCGCAGTCAGGGCACAATTACCCCAAGGATAGACGCTTCACACAAAATGCCTGAGGAGCCTTTCTAAGATGAGCACATTTGGCCAACGTAATTCATGCTTACCCATTCTCAGCCCCCTCTGCCCACCTCCCCCCCGCCCCATTCCTAATGGCCATCCCACGATGTGGTCAGCAGTGTGGTACAGCATGGTGAGAGAGGGGCTCAGGGATGGGATGAAGGTTTTTCCTGCATTATCAAAATGATTAAAAAGTTGTTAAAAAGGTGTCCAAATTTTCTTTTTACCCTAAAATAACTACTCAGATGCATTATACAAGTAGACCCAGGTAAGGGAAAGAGCAAGCGCATTTCAAGCCTCAGCTCACTTCTTAATTAGCTGTAATTCCCTGAGCAGGTGACCCTGCCTACTTCAGCCTGTTTCCCTGCCCATAAAATGCACTAATGCTGGGGAAGCCGCGCTGGGAGGTGGGTCCTGAAGCTTTATCCAATCAGTGGCGCTGGCGCGGGAACCGCCCAATCAGGCGCGGAGTTGGAGAGGAGGGCGTGGCCTCCGGCATTTGGCGGGCCCTTTGTCTCGCTCCTGCCAGAGTTTTAGTTGCCTGTCTCTGCTATTCTGCGTCCTCCACCTCGGGAGCCCCAGGTGACTTTGTCACAGCCGGTGGGTGTGCGGGTTGAGCATCCCGAGATGGGAGAGCGGCCTGTGAAACCGGCTGGACCGGCCTCCCCACAGTCCGCTCCTGGGTCGCCGACCTGAGTCCCCGCTGGCACAGCTCCGCTCCAGGCCACTCTGGCCGCAAGATGGCGGCTGGACTCGCAGCCAGGACCACAGCGTCCCGCCAGTTTCTGCGCGGCGCCAGTCCGGGGCTCTCTGGGCAGCTCTGCACCCGCAATCCCGAGTATTTCCCGGGTTGTTCAGGGAAGACAGGCGGGTCATCGGCAGAATCCCCACTCGGTGTATGCGTTGGAGGGGCTGCTGCCCGTGGGGTCTTAAGTCTTTTCTGATTATTATTATTTTTTTGTGAGACGGAGTCTCGCTTTTGTCTCCAGGCTGGAGTGCAGTGGCATGATCTCGGCTCACTGCAACCTCCGCCTCCTGGGCTCAAGCGATTCTCGAGCCTCAGTCTCCCGAATATCTGGGATTACAGGCACCCGCCACCATGCCCGGCTAATTTTTTGTATTTTTAGTAAAGACAGGGTTTCACTATGTTGGCCAGGCTGGTCTTGAACTCCTGACCTCAGATGGTCCGCCCCCCTCGGCCTCCGAAAGTGCTGGGATTACAGGCGTGAGCCACCGCGCCCGGCCACAAAGAAATTTTTCCGCCGTCCTTTTCGGCCACAAATAAATTTTTCCGCCGTACTTTTCGTATTTATTAAATTTTCTCATTAGAGCCTATTATTGATTGTAATGCATTTTTCTGTGAAATTTTGCTGCCATTCATTGAATGCCAATGATTCAGAATGCCTGCTCTGCAAGAGTACACACAGCTAAAAACTGTAGATATCTAAAGAATTATTTTTAATATCTATGTTGTATTCAGCATATTATGCGTTAAAATCTCTCTTGGCCGGGCGCGGTGGCTCACCCCTGTAATCCCAGCACTTTGGGTGGCCAAGGCGGGTGGATCACCTGAGGTCAGGAGACCAGCCTGGCCAACATGGTGAAACTCCTTCTCTACTAAAAGAAAAATACAAAAATTAGCCAGGCTTGGTGGTGGGTGCCTGTAATCCCAGCTACTCGGGAGGCTGAGGCAGGAGAATCGCTGGAATTCGGTAGGCTGAGGTTGCAGTGAGCCAAGATCACGCCACTGCACTCCAGTATGGGTTACAAGAGCGAGACTCCGTCTCAAAAAAATAAATAAATAAAATCTCTCTTATTTTTATTTCTACATTAGTGTTTCTTTTCGAGGGGGTATGTTTTTTTAGATCAGTTAATTGTATTTTTGCTTTCAAAGCTTGATATTATGAATTGAATGATAATTTTCAACTCTGTACAATTTTAGACAATGTGATGCTTAATTTATATATGAATTAGCCGTATGTCATCTATAGAAATATCGATGTGTTTTTCATCTGTGTTGCCACTACTTCGTTTATGACATACTCTTTCCATGGTTTTCAATGATTATTCTGTCTAGGTGAGTAGTCGGGAAAATAATCCTAAATTCACAATCTACTTATATTTTGAATCTGTATAATTATGTGAGAAGAACACTCTTTATTTGAAGGTAATGTTTGAAAAATGTCGTAATGTCTCTTATGTAGTCTTTAATTTTTTTTTTTGAGACTGAGTCTCTGTCGCCCAGGCTGGAGTGCAGTGGCGCGATCTTGGCGGGACTCCATCTCAAAAAAAAAAAAAAAGAGCTTCTGCACAGCAAAAGAAACTATCAACAGAGTAAACAGATAACATACAGCATGGGAGAAAATTTTTGCAAACTATGCATCCGTCGAAGGTCTAATGTCTAGCATCTATAAGAACTTAAACAAATTTACAGTAGAAAAACAACAACCCCGGCTGTGCGTGGTGGCTCATGCCTGTAATTCCAGCACTTTGGGAGGTCGAGACGTTTGGATCACTTGAGGTCAGGAGTTCAAGACCAGCCTGGCCAACATGGCGAAACCCTGTCTCTACTAAAAGTACAAAAATTAGCTGGCTGTGGTGGCATATGCCTATAATCCCAGCTACTGGGGAGGCTGAGGCAGGAGAATCGCTTGAACCCAGGAGGCGGAGATTGCAGTGAACCAAGAGTGCACCACTGCACTCCAGCCTGTGTCAAAGAGTAAGACTCTATCTCAAAAAAAAAAAAAAAAGAAAAACACCAACTCCATAAAAAAGTGGATGAAATAGGGCCAGGCTCAGTGGCTCATGCCTGTAATTCCAGCACTTTGGGAGGCCAAGGTGGGTAGATCACTTGAGGTCAGGAGTTCAAGATCAGCCTAGCCAACATGGTAAAACCCCATCTCTATTAAAAATACAAAATATCGCTGGGCACAGTGGCTCATGCCTGTAATCTCAGCACTTTGGGAGGTCAAGGTGGGCGGACCACCTGAGGTTGGCAGTTCGAGACCAGCCTGACCAACATGGAGAAACCCCATCTCTACTAAAAATACAATTAGCCGGGCATGGTGGTGCATGTTTGTAATCCCAGCTACTCTGGAGACTGAGGCAGGAGAATCACTTGAACCCAGGAGGCAGAGGTTGTGGTGAGCCAAGAGTGCACCATTGCACTCCAGCCTGGGCAGCAAGAGCGAAACTCCATCTCATGATGGTGGACACCTGTAATCCCAGCTACTAGGGAGGCTGAGGCAAGAGAATTCCTTGAACCTGGGAGGCAGAGGTTGCAGTGAGCTGGGATCCAGCCTGGGTAACAGAGCAAGACTGCCTCTCCAAAAAAAAAAAAAAAAAAGTGGGGGAAGGACATGAACAGACGTGTATCAACAATCATATGAAAATAAGCGCAACACCACTGATTGTTAAATAAATGCAAATCAAAACCACAATGAGATACCATCTCATGCCTGTTAGAAAGGCTATTTTTAATAAGTTACAGAAATAACAGATGCTGGCGAGGTTGTGGAGAAAAAGAAATGGTTATATACTGTTGGTGGGAGTGTAAATTACTTTAGCCATTGTTGAAGACAGTGTGTTGATTTTTTTTTTTTTTCTCCTGAGACAGAGTTTTGCTCTTGTTGCCCAATCTGGAGTGCAATCACACGATCTCAGCTCACTACAACCTCCACCTCCCGGGTTTAAGCGATTCTCCTGCCTCAGCCCCCTGAGTAGCTGGGATTACAGGAACGTGCCACCACACCCAGCTAATTTTTGTAGTTTTAGTAGAGACAGGGTTTCGCCTCATTGGCCAGGCTGGTCTCAAATTCCTGACCTTAGGTGATCTGCCCGCCTTGGCCTCCTAAAGTGTGGGGATTACAGGTGTGAACTGCCATGCCCAGCCTAGTGTGATGAGGAATCCTATTACTGTATATACCCACAGGAATATAAATTATTCTATTATAAATACACATGCACATGTATGTTCACTGCAGCACCATCCACCACAGCAAACACATGGACTCAACCTAAATTTCCATCAATGATACACTGGACAAAGAAAAATGTACATATATACCATGAAATACTATGGAGTCATAAGAAAAATGAGATCATGCCCCTTGCAGAGATCTGCATGGAGCTGGAGGCCATTATCCTTAGCAAACTAACACAGGAACAGAAAACCAAATACTACTTGTTCTCACTTATGAGTGACAAGTAAATAATGAGAACACGGACACGGGGGGGAATGACACACTGGGGTCTTTCAAAAAGTGGAAGGTGGGAAGAGAGGATCAGGAGAAATAATGGTACTAAGCTTAATACCTGGGTTATTAAATAATCTATACAACCCCATGACACAAGTTTACCTATGTAACAAACCTGCACTTGTACCCTAACACTTAAAAGTTTTTAAAAAGACCTATTTGTACCTTTTAAAGAGGAATCAGCCAGTAATTTCAAAGATGATTTTGTTTATAAAACATAATCTTCCACTTGTCCAGTAAATGCTCTTCATTTATTTATTTATTGGAGACAGACACTGTCTCCCAGGCTGGAGTGCAGTGGTGCAGTCTCAGCTCACTGCAACCTTTGCCTCCCAGGTTCTAGCGATTCTCCTGCCTCAGCCTCCCGAGTAGCTGGGATTACAGGCCTATGCCACCACACCTGGCTAATTTTTTATTGTTATTAGAGACGAGATTTCACCATGTTGGCCAGGCTGGTCTTGAACTCTTGACCTCAGGTGATCCACCTCCCTCAGCTTCCCAAAGTGCTGGGATTACAGGCTTGAGCCACCACGCTCAGCCAGAAGCTCTTTAACTTAATTAGATCCCATTTGTTAATTTTTCCTTTTGTTGCAATTGCTTTGGCATCTTTGCCATGAAGTCTTTGCCTGCGCCTGTGTCCTGAATGGTACTGCCTAGGTTGTCTTTCAGAGTTTTTATAGTTTGGGTTTTACATTTAAGTCTTTAATCCATCTTGAGTTATTTTTTGTGTATGGTGTAAGGAAGGGATCCAGGTTCAATTTCCTGCATATGACTAGCCAGTTCTCCCAGCACAATTTATTGCAAATTCTTTCCCCATTGCTTCTTTTTGTCAGCTTTGTCAAAGGTCAGATGGTTGCAGGTGTGCAGCTTGATTTCTGGCCCTCTATTCTGTTCCATTGATCTATGTTTCTGTTCTTGTACTAGTACCATGCTGTTTTGGTGCTGTAGCCCTGTAGTATAGCTGGAAGTTGAGTAGCGTGATGCCTCCAGCTTTGTTATTTTTGCTTAAGATTGCCTTGGCTATTCAGGCTTTTTTGGTTTCATATAAATTTTGAAATAATTACTTTAAATTCTATGAGAATGTCAGCGGTTGTTTATTGGGAATAGCATTGAATATATAAATTGCTTTTGGCAGTATGGACATTTTAATGATATTGATTCTTTCTATTCATGAGCATGGAATGTGTTTTGTTTGTGTCATTTCTGATTTCTTTGAGCAGCAGTTTGTAGTTCTCCTTGAGATCTTTCACCTCCCTAGTTAGGTGTATTCCTAGATATTTTATTCTTTTTGTGGCAACTGTGAATGTGAGTTTGTTCATGATTTGGCTCTCGGCTTGAGTGTTGTTTGTGTATAGGAATGCTGGTAATTTTTGCACATTGATTTTGCATTCTGAGACTTTGCCAAAGTTGTTTATCAGCTTAAGGAGCTTTTGAGCTGAGACTATGGGGTTTTCTATATATAGGATCATGTAATCTGCAAACAAGAATAGTTTGATTTCCTTTCTTCGTATTTGGATGCCCTTTCTTTCTTTCTCTTGCCTGATTACCCAGACCAGAACTTCCAGTACTATGTTGAATAGGAATGATGAGAGACGACATTCTTGTCTCATTCTGGTTTTCAAGGAGAATGCTTCTAGCTTTCGCCCATTCAGTATAATGTTGGCTGTGGGTATGTCATAGATGGCTCTTATCATTTTGAGGTGTCTTTTTTTTCTATACCTAGTTTATTGAGAGTTTTTAACATGAATAGATGTTGAACTGTAATGAAAGTCTTTTCTGCATCTATTGAAATAATCATGTGGTTTTTGCCCCTAGTTCTGTTTCTGTAATGAATCATATTTATTGATTTGGATATGTTGAACCAAACTTGCATCCCAGAGATGAAGCCTACCTGATCATGGTGGATAAGTTTTTTGATTTGCTGCTGAATTTACTTTGCTAGTATTTTGTTGAAGATTTTTACATCAATGTTCATCAAGGATGTTGACATGAAGCTTTCTTTTTTGTTGTATCTTTTTCAGGTTTTCATGTCAAGATGGTTGGTCCTGGCCTCATAGAATGAGTTTAGGGAGAGTCCCTTCTCCTACATTTTTTGGAATAGTTTCAGTAGGAACAGTACCAGCTCTTCTTTGTACATCTGGGAGAATTCAGCTGTGAGTCCACCTGGTCCTGGACTTTTATTGATTGGTAGGCTATTTATTACTGCCTCAATTTCAGAACTCACTATTGTTCTGTTCAGGGATTCAGTTTCTTCCTGGTTCAGTCTTGATAGGGTGTATGCTTCCAGAAATTTTTCCATTTCTTCTAGATTTTCTAGTTCATGTGCATCGACTTGTTCATAATATTCTCTGATGGTTCTCTTCTCTGAGGTCAGTGGTAATATCCCCCTTATTGTTTCTGATTATGTTTATTTGAATCTTCTCTCTCTTCTTATTAGTCTAGCTAGTGGTCTTTTTAGTTATTTTTTCCAAAAAAATACTTCCTGGATTTGTTGGTCTTTTGAATGTGTTTTCATGTCACTGTCTTGTTCAGTGCAGCTCTGATTTTGATTATTTCTTGTTTTCTTCTAGCTTTGGGATTTGTTTGCTTTTGGTTTTCTAGTTCTTTTATTTATTTATTTTATTGTATTTATTTATTTTTTGAGATGGAGTCTCGCTCTGTTGCCCAGGCTGGAGTGCAGTGGTGCAATCTCGGCTCACTGCAACCTCCGCCTCCTAGGTTAAAGCGATTCTCCTGCCTCAGTTTCCCAAGTAGCTGGGATGGACTACAGGGATGTGCCACCACACCTGGCTAATTTTTTGTATTTTTAGTAGAGATGGGGTTTCACCATGTTAGCCAGGATGGTCTCGATCTCCTGACCTTGTGATCCGCCCGCCTCGGCCTCCCAAAGTGCTAGGTTTACAGGCGTGAGCCACCGTGCCTGGCCTTGTTCTCTAGATCTTTTAGTTGTGATGTTATGTTGTTAACTTGAGATCTTCCTAACTTTTTGATGTGAGGCTTTAGTGTCAGAATGTAGTGAGATCAGATGTATTAAGTAAGGCCAGGCGTGGTGGCCGATTCCTGCAATCCCTACACTTCTGGAGGCCAACACGGGAGAATCACTTGAGCCCAGGAGTTTGAGACCAGACTGGGAAACATGTGGAAAACTTGTCTGTACCGAAAATACAAAAATTAGCCAGGTGTGCCAGCACACACCTGTGATTTCAGCTACTTGGGAGGCTGAGGTGGGAGGATCATCTAAGTCTGGGGAGGTTGAGGCTGCAGTAAGCCATGATGGTGCCACTGCACTCCAGCCTGGGTGACAGAGTGAGACCCTGTCAAAAACAAACAAGCAAGCAACAGATATTTTATGCCCTTCTCTGGGTAGGAAGCAAAATGAACAGAACTCAGCATTTTAAAATTTAAATTTTATTTTTGAATTTTAATCTATTTATTTATGTATTTTGAGATCAGGTTATGAAACTGGCTAATTTTTGTATTTTGGGTTGAGATGATGTTTTACCATGTTGCCCAGGATGGTCTCGAACTCCTGGGATGAAGCGATGCACCTGCCTTGGCCTCCTAAAGTACTGGGATTACAGGCGTGATTCATTGCCAGGTTGCAATTTTTTTTTTAATCTCTTGTCTTTCTGAGAGTTTCGTGGCAGAGAGTTTGGTTCATTTAAGTTCATTCTAAATAGACATTTAGGACGTTAACTTCTGGCCTCATGGACTCTGAGGTTACAAGTCCCCTGGTCTATCACAGGACCATACACATAAGAAATAAAAAAAAATCGGCTGGGCGTGGTGGCTCACGCCTGTAATCCCAACACTTTGGGAGACTGAGGCGGCTGGATCACCTGAGGTCAGGAGTTTGAGACCAGCCTGGCCAACATGGCGAAACCCCGTGTCTACTAACAATAAAAAATTAGCCGGGCGAGGTGGTGCGTGCCTGTAATACCAGTTCCTCAGGAGGTTGAGGTACTAGAATCGCTTGAACCCGGGAGGCGGAGATGGCAGTGAGCCAAGATTGCCCCACTGCACTCTAGCCTGGGTGACAAAGCAAGACTCCGTCTCAAAAAAAAAAAAAAAAGACTCCAATCAAAAAGCAAATAAGTAAATAAACAAACATAACGTTTATAATAAGTAATTGTGTTACAAAGAAATATAGTTATGTCCCCTAAACCAAGGTCTCACAGAAAAGGAAGCCTGTGCACAGACTGGGTCAACTGTGTCTTCTCTACTGTCCCTACCTCAAAGTTGGCTTCTTCCTTGTTGCCTAGAAAATCGTCGCCCTGACTGGGTATGATTGTTCTTTGATCAGTATATGCATATATATGTATTTTTTCATTCTTTCCTGGCTGATTATTGCGTGGGTGGTTGTTTGGCGCCTCCTAGCGGCCGGCTAGCAGTACAGGCCTCCTCCAGAGGCCGCTTGGGCTGACGGCACGGCTTGTGGCCCACAGGGGCGGCCACCTTTCTAGAGTTCTCTTGTCCTCTGGAGCTCCAGTGGCAGCTGCCGAGGGAGGGACAGCCCCCGCTGTGAGCTGAGCAGAGCTCGGGAGTCCTGCAGACTTCAGCAGAACAGTCCCGATGGTGCCAGAGCTCTGGCGCGTCCCTTGTGAGTCATAGCTCTGGCGTGTAGGGCTGTGGAGGGGAGGCTGTTACCGTGCTCCCGGCATGAGCTTAGTGTGGGGCTGCCCGGGCTGGTCCCCAGCTCACCGCAGCTGCGGAGGCCCGACCCTCGGAACCCACCAGGCATGATGCAGGGGGCCGGGGACACCCCCCAGGCCCGGTTGCGGGCCCATGTGTGTCCTGGCCGTTTGAGGCTCTGGCCGATTTCTTTTCCCAAGTCCCCATGGAGAATCAGGGACCGTCCTGTGCCATCTTCCGAGAGCCTGGAAGGGTCCGCCCGTGGGCTTTCCGAGCGCCGAAGGGGCCACATGCTGCTCTGAGGGTGCCGCAGGTTCGTGGGGCTCCCTTGCTTGGTGTCCACCCCCTCTGGTTTCCTCCTCTTCCCACCCTGCGGGTGGCTCGTCGCCCTGGCTGGGACGCCGCTGTGGGAGCGTGGTGGGATGGCTGAGGCGCGGGCGTCAGAGGGTGTGGCCCGGCAGCCCCCGTTTCAGGGGTGGCTGTGTGGTCTGGAAGTGGCGGTCCAGGTCCTGGGCCTCTCCCACTCAGCAGCGGGGAGGAGGGGTCGGCGGGGAGTAGGGGCCGGTCGCCCCCCCTTGAGCTCTTCCCCGTCTTAGTGGACCAGCAGACAGTGTGGGAGAGCGCTGGGAAGGAAGGTTGGCGGAGTTATACTCCAGACGGACGGGCTCAGGCCCCGCGCGCCACACTCGGCCACACTTGGCGCGTAGTGTGGACCCGGTGGGCCTCTGCCCTCGCCACCGGCTGGCTTCTCTGTCCAGCCGCTGGGTCGACCAGATGTCAGCCCCAAGGTTAGGGTTTGGCCTCCAGCTTGAGATGTTTAAGACGGACTAGATAGCTCTCGCCCGCGGCAGTACCGCTTAGGTCCAGCAGAGGGTGCGATTACGGCTCACGCGCCCTCCACCTGCCCGGACTCACCCAGGTCATCCTCCCTTTTCTTTTTTCTTTTCTTTTCTCTCTTCTCTTCTCTTCTCTTCTCTTCTCTTCTCTTCTCTTCTCTTCTCTTCTCTTCTCTTCTCTTCTCTTCTCTTTCTCTTTCTGTCTGTTTTTCTTTCTTTGAGTTTTCGCTCTTGTTGCCCAGGCTGGGGTGCAATGGGGCAATCTCGGCTTACTGCAACCTCCACCTCCCGAGTTCAAGCGATTCTCCCGCCTCAGCCTCCTGAGTAGCTGGGATTACAGGCGTGCGCCACCACACCCAGCTAATTTTGTATTTGTAGTAGAGATGGGGTCTCCATGTTGGTCAGGCTGGTCTGGAACTCCCGACCTCAGGTGATTCGTCCACCTTGGCCTCCCAAAGCACTGGGATTACAGGTGTGAGCCACCATGCCCGGCCCCATCCTCCTGTTTCTGCCTCCAGAGTAGCTGAGGCTCGGGATCTTTCTGGGTTTTTTTTTCTTTTTTTCTAGCCCCACTTTGAGTTTGTTTCCACGGTACATTGAGTTACTATTGTTTTGTTTTGTTTTGTTTTCTCTCTTAAGCACCTTCCTGCACACTGAAGTTGCTGTTTTAAATTTCTTCTTTCATACGTGTGTGTGTGTGTGTGTGTGTGTGTATGTTTTTTTAAATGAGGTCTTCTTAGTCACCCAGGCTGAAGTGCAGGTGTGTGATCACAGCTCACTGCAGCCTGGACCTCCTTGGGCTCAGGGGATCCTCCGTCTTAGTTCTCCCAGTAGCTGGTACTACAGTCACGTACCACCACACTGGCTCTTTATTTTGCATTTTTTACTTTTTATTTTTGTAGAAATGAGGTTCTGCCATGTTTCTCAGACTGGTCTCGAACTCCTGTGATCAAGCAATCCACCAGCCTTGACCTCCCAAAGTGCTGGGATTACAGGCATGCACCATCCTGCCTGGCTGGCTGGCTATCTATCTATCTATCTGTCTATCATCTCTCTCTGTCTGTCCAGCTCTGTCTATCTGGCTGGCTCTGTCTCTGTCTTTCTGATCTATCTATCTATCATCTTTTTTTTTTTTTTTTTTTTTTTTTTGAGACAATCTCACACTGTCACCCAGGCTGGAGTGCAGTGGCATGATCTCAGCTCACTGCAACCTCCACCTCCTGGGTTCAAGTGATTCTCCTGCCTCAGCCTCCCGAGTAGCTGGGACTACAGGTGTGCGCCACCACGCCCAGCTAATTTTTGTGTTTTTAGTAGAGATGGGGTTTTACAATGTTGGCCAGGATGATCTCGATCTCTTGACCTTGTGATCCGCCCACCTCAGCCTCCCAAAGTTCTGGGATTACAGGCGTGAGCCACTGGCACCCAGCCTGTATCATCTTTTTAGTAGAGATGTGATCTTGCTATGTTGTCCATGCTCTGGATATATATTTCTTTTTTAACTTTAATTATTATTTTTTAATAGAGATGCTGTCTCACCATGTTGGCCCCGGATAGTCTTGGACTCCTGGGTTCCAGGTATCCTCCGTGGCCTCCAAAAGTGCTGGGATTACAGGTGTGAGCCACTGTGCACGGTCTGGTCATGTTTTTGATGTGTTGATTCTTTCCAGTCCAGATGCATAATCTCATGTCTGAACATTCCTGCTGGTGTCATTATGACATATGACTTTACCCAGCACCAGAGTGATTTGGTGCCCCTGCCCTGGCCTAGCCCATGGAAGGGATTGTGACATATCCCTGGACCCAGTACCGAGGTGGTGTGACTATTCTACTGCCTTGGCACTACCCACAGGGGACATTTTGACATCACTACATCTTGTACCCAGGTGGTGTGAATCTTCTCTCCAGCCTTGGCTCTTCCACAGGGGACATTGTGTCATATGGCTGGGCCCCACACATAGGTTATATGACTCTCCTGCCTGTGCCCTGCCCATGTGGGCCACTGTGACTTTTGCTGAGTCCAACACCCAGGTGATGTAACTCTACTGCCTAGGTCCTGCCTACAGAAGATCTTGTGACATATCCCTGCACCCATCACACAGGTAATATGGCTCTCTTCTCCTGCCTGGCTCCTGCTTACAGAAGGGATTGTGATGTATTACTGGGCTCAGCACCTAGCTCACATGACTCTCTGCCTCTTTCTTTCTAGGTTCTGCCCAAAGAGGATATTGTGACATGTCACTGGGCCTAATACTATGCTGACATACTCTTTTTTTTTTTTTTTTTTTTTTTTATTGATCATTCTTGGGTGTTTCTCGCAGAGGGGGATTTGGCAGGGTCATAGGACAATAGTGGAGGGAAGGTCAGCAGATAAACAAGTGAACAAAGGTCTCTGGTTTTCCTAGGCAGAGGACCCTGTGGCCTTCCGCAGTGTTTGTGTCCCTGGGTACTTGAGATTAGGGAGTGGTGATGACTCTTAACGAGCATGCTGCCTTCAAGCATCTGTTTAACAAAGCACATCTTGCACCGCCCTTAATCCATTTAACCCTGAGTGGACACAGCACATGTTTCAGAGAGCACAGAGTTGGGGGTAAGGTCATAGATCAACAGGATCCCAAGGCAGAAGAATTTTTCTTAGTACAGAGCAAAATGAAAAGTCTCCCATGTCTAATTCTTTCTACACAGACACAGCAACCATCTGATTTCTCAATCTTTTCCCCACCTTTCCCCCTTTTCTATTCCACAAAACCGCCATTGTCGTCATGGCCCATTCTCAATGAGCTGTTGGGTACACCTCCCAGACGGGGTGGTGGCCGGGCAGAGGGGCTCCTCACTTCCCAGTAGGGGCGGCCGGGCAGAGGCGCCCCTCACCTCCCGGACGGGGCGGCTGGCCTGGCGGGGGCTGACCCCCACCTCCCTCCCGGACAGTGTGGCTGCTGGGCGGAGACGCTCCTCACCTCCCAGACGGGGTGGCTGCCGGGCGGAGGGGCTCCTCACTTCTCAGACGGGGAGGCTGCCGGGCGGAGGGGCTCCTCACTTCTCAGACGGGGCGGTTGCCAGGCAGAGGGTCTCCTCACTTCTCAGACAGGGCGGCCGGGCAGAGACGCTCCTCACCTCCCAGACGGGGTCGCGGCCGGGCAGAGGCGCTCCTCACATCCTAGACGGGATGACGGCTGGGCAGAGACGCTCCTCACTTTCCAGACTGGGCAGCCAGGCAGAGGGGCTCCTCACATCCCAGACGATGGGCGGCCAGGCAGAGATGCGCCTCTCTTCCCAGACGGTGTGGCGGCCAGGCAGAGGCTGCAATCTCTGCACTTTGGGAGGCCAAGGCAGGCGGCTGGGAGGTGGAGGTTGCAGCGAGCCGAGATCACGCCACTGCACTCCAGCCTGGGCACCATTGAGCACTGAGTGAACGAGACTCTGTCTGCAATCCCGGCACCTCGGGAGGCCGAGGGTGGCGGATCACTGGCGGTTAGGAGCTGGAGACCAGCCCGGCCAACACAGCGAAACCCCGTCTCCACCAAAAAAACACGAAAACTAGTCAGGCGTGGCGGCACGCGCCTGGAATCGCAGGCACTCGGCAGGCTGAGGCAGGAGAATCAGGCAGGGAGGTTGCAGTGAGCCGAGATGGCAGCAGTCTATGCTGACATACTCTTATGCCTTGACACTGCCCCTAGAAGGCATGGTGATTGATTGCTGGGCCCAGAACCAATGTGATGTGAGTCTCCTGCCTGGACCCTGCCTACAAGGTGCATTGTGACATATCTCTGGGACCTTTAACTATTTTATGTGACTCTCCTCTCTTACCTGGATGTTGCCCAAAAAGAGATTGTGACATAAATTTGGGCCCAACACATAGGTGATGTGACTCTCCTCTCCTGCCTCTTCCTTGCCCACTGAAGAGTGAATGACTTATTGCTGAATTCAGCACACAAGTGATGGGATTCTTCTGCCTGCTCACAGAAGTCATTGTGACATATATCTGGGCCTATCACTGAGGTTATGTGACTCTTTTCTTCCTGGAACCTGTCCACAGTGGGGAGTGTCACATGTTGCTTGGCTCAGAACCTACATGATGTGATTCTCTTCTTATGCCTGGGCCCTGCCCACTGGAGTGATTTTGACATGTAGCTGGGCCCAGCCCCAAGGTTATGTGACTCCACACATCTTCCTGAGCCCTACCCACAGGGGGCATTGTGTCATATCTCTGAGACCTTCAATGAGGTGATGCGACTCTTTTGTTTGGGCCCTCTTCTCAGGATATTGTGACATTGCTGAGCCCAGCATCTAGGTGATGTGACTCTTCTCTACTGTTTGGTCTCTACCCAAAAAGGGATTGTGACATATCACTCTGTCAAGAACCTAGAAGAGGTGACTCTCCTCTCCAGCCTGGGACCTCCATACAGTGTGTATTGAGACATATCACTGGGTCCAACACCTAGATAACGCAACTCTCCTGCATGGGGCCTGCCCATAGGGGTATTATGAGCCATCTTTCTATTAATCACCTAGGTGATGTGACACTCCTCTTTTGCCTGGGCCCTGCCAAAAAAGTATTGTTACATATCACTGAGCCCAGCAGCTAGGTGATATGACTCTTCTCTCATGCATGGGCCCTGCAAACTGGGGTGTTTGTTACATATAGCTGGGCCCAGCCCCTAGGTCATGCGATTCTTTTTTTTCCTGAGCCCTACCCACAGTGAAAACTTTGACATATTTTTGGGCCCATCATTTATGTGATGTGACTCTTGCATGGGCCCTCCCCACAAGGGGTAGGGTGACATATTGCTGAACCCAGTACGTAGGTGATGTGACTCTCCTTTATGGATTGGGCTTTGCCCAAGCAGGGATTGTGATGTATTTCTGGGCCCACCACCTAGCTGTTGTGATTCTTCTCTTCTGCCTAAGCCCTGCATACATTGTGTATTGTGACATATACCTGGATTCAGCACCCAGGTGATGCAACTTTATGTCATGAGAACTGCCTACAGAAGTATTATGACATATCTCTTTTTCTTTTTCTTTTTTTTGAGACAGAATTCGCTCTTGTTGCCCAGGCTGGAGTGCAATGGTGTGATCTTGGCTCACGGCAAACTCCACCTCCCGGGTTCAAGTGATTCTCCTGCCTCAGCCTCCCGAGTAGCTGGGATTACAGGCATGTGCCACCATGCCCAGCTAATTTTTTATTTTTTTTTAGTAGAGACGGGGTTTCTCCATGCTGGTCAGGCTGGTCTCAAACTCCCAGCCTCAGGTGATTCGCCCACTGTGGCCTCCAAAAGTGCTGGGATTATGGGCATGAGCCACTGTGCCTGGCCGACATACCTCTTTTTCATCACCTAGATGATGTGACCATTTTATTTTCCATGTCCCTGGCATATTTTGGGTATAGTGACATATCATTGAGTTCAACACCCATTGGATGGGGTTATCTGGGAGATTTAATTCCCCTCTTCTGTCTGCACCCTGACCACTAGGGATTGTGACGAATCACTGGTCTCAGCAATCAGGGGATTTGTTTTTTTTGCCTGGTCCTCGCCCACAGAGAACATTGTAACATATCTCTGGTCTCAGCACTCAGGTGATGTGACTCTTCTGACTGTATTCTGCTTTCAGGAGGGGATTGTAGCATATTCCTAATGGAGCACCAAGGTGATGTGACACTGCTGCCTGGTCCCTGCCCTCAGAGAAGATTGTGACATATCACTGCCCCGAAACCCAGGTGATGTGAGTCTACTGGTCGGTCCCTATTCACTGGTGGGATTATGATGCATATCTTGGCCCAGCTTACAGGTGCAATGATTGCTTTCATACCTTGAAACAACCAATAGCAGATACACTGTCTCTCATAGCCAGAGTTAGGAAAATGGGTAATATCTTGGGTCTCCTCTTCGTGTGAAAGTCATGGAGAATCTCTCACATACTGTGTAAAGTTGTCAAAAGGTACAGCGGATGTCCTAACAGAACTCAGCACACAGGTGAGGTTGTGACACTCATATGTATGACCTGCCAACAGTAAATATTTCATCCTTCCATATAAACATAGCTCACAATTCAGATTCTGAATATCACACCCAGAGGCAGTCAAATGTTGGAAAATGGAATCTCATATGTGAATTCGCTCCATGCGGGGGTTGGCATCTTTCAGACCAAGATTCGGCACACCTGTGAGTCTGTGACTCCACTAAGGGGACACAGTTTGCAGGAGGGATTGAGGTTCTTATACATGGATCCAGACCATCATTGAGATTGTGACTCATTTACTTAGACTCAACATACAGGAAGTGTTAGATCTCATACCTAGAACAAGAAAATGTGTGGAATTGTTAATCTTATGCTTCGACCTTCATGCAGGTGTGATTGTTACATACACCTCTGCCCAGCACCTGAGTGATTTGACTCTTCTGCTTGGGCCCAGCGTACAGATGGGATTGTGCCGCATTGCTGGACCCAGCACTTAGGTGATGTGAGTCTATTCTCTTGCCTTATTGCTTTTCACGGAGGGCATTGAGACATCACTGGGCCTAGTGCCCAGGTGACGTGACTTTCCTCTACTTCCTGGGCTTTTCCCAAGAAGGGATTGTAATATATTGCTGGGACCAGAACCTAGGTGATGTGACTCTCCTCTCCTGCCTGGTTCCTCTTGCACATATTGTGACATGTGGCTGGTCCTGATACCTTGGTGATGTGACTCTCCTGCATGGGACTTGCCCACAGAGGTATTACAACATATATTTTCATTCATCATCTAGGTGATATAATTCTCCTCTTCTGCCTGGCCCTGCCAAAAAGTGGGAGATTATGGCAAATCACTGAACCCAGCACCTAGGTGATGTGACTCTCTTGTTTGGCCTGGGCCTCTCATGTTTTGGGTATTGTAAAATATCACTAGGCCCACCACCTATGGGATTGCATGCTCCTACCTTGGCTTTGCCCACAGGGACCTTGTGACATATATCTGCACCCATGACCTAGAAGATGTGACATTTATTTTTTGCCTGCACCCTGCCCTGCACAGGAATGATTGTGACATATCCTTGGAACCAGACACCAGGTGATGTGGCTCTTCTGCCTCTGTCTTGCCCACAGGGAGCATTGTAACATAGCGCTGAGCTCAGCACCCAGGTGATGTGACTCTGTTGCCTGTGCTGTGCTTTCAGGACAGAATTGTAACATATCCCTGGCTGAGCACTCAGGTGATGTGACACTCCTGCTTGGCTTCTTCCCTCAGCAGATTATGAGATATCCATGGCTGAAATCCAGGTGATGTGACTCCCCTGCTAGCTCCCTTCTTATAAGTAGAATTGCGACATAGGCTGTGGTCAGCTTACAAGTGTGATGATGACTCTCATGTCAGCTTACAAATGTCATGATGACTCTCATGCCTCAAGTCAGCTATTAGAAGAAATACTGGCCAGGCACGGTGGGTGGATCACCTGAGGTCAGGAGTTCGAGACCAGCCTGACCAACATGGAGAAACCCCTTCTCTACTAAAAATACAAAAAAAATTAGCCGGGCGTGGTGGCGCATGCCTGTAATCCCAGCTACTTGGGAGGCTGAGGCAGGAGAATCGTTCCATTGCACTCCAGCCTGGGCAACAAGAGCGAAACTCTATCTAAAAAAAAAAAAGAAGAAGAAATACCTTTCATAGCTCAGAAAAATGAGCGACATCCTGGGTCTCTCTTTGTATGAAGGTTATAAAAGATTGCCACACCCCCACACGTAGTATAATGCCCTCAAGTGTTAGAGTGTGTCATCACAGGGCACAGCAAACCTCACCAACCATTAGTATTATCACCCTCACACATGGAAAGAGCCCGCTGCTGAGGTCTTGAATCTCACATGCAAACAGTCCACAGTTGGAATTGTGACTGTCATATGTGAGCATCCAGCCACAGTTGGGATGGTGACACATTTCTAAACTCAAAATCATAGGCAGATGAGGTCTCTACTATTTGGATCCAGCCAATTGGAGAAATGTTGACTCTCACACCTGGGCTTAGGGCCACAGGTATGGTCATGGGGGCATATAAACATGAAGGGGTCAGAGTGAATTGTGACCCACATTCATACTACATAAAGCCCCTTGGGTAGTATAGAGAGTGTATTAACAAGGCCCAGCACACAGGGGAGATGTTGACAGTTGTATGTACACCCACCCAACAGTATACATCATCATTTCCCCACATGAACACAGCCCACTTCTGGGGTTCTGAATCTCACACCTATAGGCAGTCAAAGGCTGGAAACTTGACTCTCATGTGGATTCAGTCCACAGGTGGGTTGGTGACATTCAGAGCAAGATTCAGCACACCTATGTGGCTGTGACTTTACTATTTATACGTGGCGTGCAGAAGGAGTTGAGGCTGTTGTGCACAAGTTCAATCCACCGTTGAGATTGTAACTCCTGTTCTTAGACACAACATATAGGAGGTTAACACCGGGACATGTGTGGGATTGTTAATGTCATCCCTGGACCTTCCTGCAGTTTTAACTGTGACATTTTTCTTTTCTTTTTTTTTTTTTTGAGATGGAGTTTCACTCTTATCACCCAGGCTGGAGTGCAATGGCACAATCTTGGCTCACTGCAACCTCCGCCTTCCGGGTTCAAGTGATTCTCCTGCCTCAGCCTCCGAGTAGCTGGGATTACAGGCATGTGCCACCACGCAGGGCTAATTTTGTATTTTTAGTAGAGACAGGGCTTCTCCATGTTGGTCAGGCTGGTCTCAAACTCCTGACCTCAGGTGATCCACCCGCCTCGGCCTCCCAAAGTGCTGGGATTACAGGCGTGAGCCACCGTGCCCGGCCCAATTGTGACATTTTTCTATGCCAGGCACCTGAGTGATCTGACTGTCTTGTCTGGGACCAGCCCACAGGTGGGATAGTTCTGCTGAACCCAGAACTGAGGGGATGTGACTCTTCTTCTGTCTTGGTGCTGCTCGTAGAGGACATTGTGACATCTCACTGAACCTTGCACTTAGTTGATGTGAGTCTCCTCTCCTGCCTTGGCACTGCCTACTGGGGCATTGTGACATATCTCTGGGCCTACATCCAGGTTATATGACTCTCATGCCTGTGCCCTCACCACATTGTGACATATTGCTGGGTCCAACACCCTGGTAATGTAACTCTACTGCCAACAAGGAACATTGTGGTATTTTTTTCACCCATTACCCAGGTGATGTGACTCTCTTCTTTTGCGTTGTTCTGCTCACAGGGGGAATTGTGACATATCACTTGGCCCAGTACCAAGCAAGTGTGACTGTTCTATTCATCATAAGTCCTGCTTTCAAGGGAGATTGGGACATATTGTGGGGCTCAACACCAATGTGACATTACTGTTTTGCCTTGGCCCAGACCTTAAAGGCACTGTGACGTATTGCTCGGCTCAGCAACAAGGTGACGAGAGATCCTGTGTGGACATTGACAACAGAGAGCATTGTGACATATCTTTGGGAGCATCAGCTATTTGATGTGACTCTCCTTTTATACCAAGGCTTTGCTCATAGGGGAGACCGTGATGTATCTTCTGGCCCAGAAATCAGGCGATGTGTTTCTCCTGCCTGAGCTTTGCTCACAGGGAGCATTGTGACATATCACTGAGCCCAGCACCCAGGTGATGGGACTCTACTGCCTGTCCCCTGCTTTCAGGAGGAAATTGTAACATATCTCTGACCAAGCACCCAGGTGATAAGTCTTCTGCCTGGTGCCTGTTCTCAGGGAAGATTGTGACATATCCCTGGCCCAGCAACCAGATGATGCAGATGACGTATCTCTCCTGCTCACTCTCTATCCACAGGTAAGATTATGACATATAATCACGCCCAGCTAATTTTTGCCTTTTAATAGAGAAGGGGTTTCGCCATGTTGGCCAGGCTAGTCTCGAATTCCTGACCTCAGGTGATCTGCCCACCTTGGCCTCCCAAAGTGCTCAGATTACAGGCGTGAGCCATGGTCGCTGGCCTAGGGAGTGTGACTTTCTTTTTGCTGCCTGTTCTCTACTCAACGGGGTAATTGTGACATATTGCTGGTCCCAGCTCCTAGCTGATGTGACTGTTTTCTTTTTCCTAGGTTCTGCCCACAAAGGAGATTGTGGCATACTGCTGGGCCTAACACTAAGGTGATGTTACTTCTCTGCTTTGGCTATGTCCTTAGAAGGCATTGAGACACACTGCTGGGCCCAGCACCAAGATGATGTGAGTCCTCTGCCTGAACCCTGACCACAGGGAGCATTGTGACATATTTCTTGACCCACTGCAATCTCTCCTATGGACAAAGCCCAGGTAAATGCCCTATTTTACCTATGTGATGTGACACTCCTCTTCTGCCTGGGCCAAGCACACCAGTGATGTAATTATTCTGCCTGTTCCCTGCACACAGGAGTCACTGTGCTATATATTTGGGCCCATCACCTAGATGATATGACTCTCCTCTTCCAGGGTTTGTCCTCAGTGAGAATTGTGATATATCGCTTGACGTAGCTTCTATGTGATGTGGCTCTTCTCTCATGCCTGGTCCCTTCCCTCTGGGGTGATTGGAACATAAAGCTGATCCCCACAGCTACGTAATGTGACTTTCCTGTTTATAAGCCCTACCCACAGGGGGCATTGTGACATATCTAGGCCTCTCACCTAGGTAATATGACATTTATGCCTAGGGGGTATTGTGAAATATTACTGGACCAAGAACTTAGGGGCCCACAGGAGGCCTTTGTTACATATCTGTGCATCCATTACTTTGGAGGTGTGACTCTCTTCCATCTGCACCATGCCCATACAGAAAATTGTGACACATCTCTGGGTTCAGCAACCAGGTGGTATATCTTTTGTGCCCAGGCCTTGCCTGCAGAGAGACATAGCTGGGCCCACTACCCAAGTGATGTGACTTTGATGACTGTGCCTTGCTTTCAGGAGGGAATTTTAGGGCAACAGAACCCTGGCCAGGCAACCAGGCGATATGCCTGGTTTCTTCCCTGGAAAAATTGTGATATATTCCTGACCCAGCACCCAGGCGATGTTATTCTCTCATTTGCTTTCTACTCACAGGTTGGATTGTGACATATACTTTAGCCCAGCTCACAGTTGTGATAATGACACTCATACTGACAAATCAGTCAGTAGGAGAGATACTGGCACTTGTAGCTAAACTTAGAGAAACAGGTAAATTATTGGGGTCTTCTCTAGGTAAGAACATTATAAAGCATAACCATTCTTTCACAGTTTGTATAAAGTCTTTGGATGGTACAGAGTGTCATCACAGGGTCAAGCACACAGGTGAGACTGTGTTTCTCATATGAACAACCTACCAAATGTTGGCAAACCTACCAACACCCTCACACATGGACAGAGCTCACTGGAAAGATCCTGAATTTCACACGTGGATGCAGTCCACAGTAAAAATTGTGACTGTCATATGTGATCATGTGACCACAGTCAAGATGTTGACTCATTTCAAAACAAAGCTCATAGGCAGATGAGGACTCTTCTCTCTGGTCCTAGCCAATTAGAGAGATGTTGACTCTAACACATGGGCTTAGGTCCATAGCTACGATTATCAGTTCATACTAGAACAGAATTCTCAGAGCAAATTGTGACTATCATGCATATTGTATAAAGCCCTCAGATGGTAACAGAGAGTTTTGTAACAGGGCCCAGCACACAGGTGACATTGTGATACTCATACACACACTCAGCCAACAGTAAAGATTGTCATCTTTTCATATGAACACAGTTCATTGTTGAAGTTCTGAATCTCACACCTAGAGATAGCCAAAAGTTGGAAAATTGACTTTCACACATGGATTCAGTCCACATGTGGGCTGGTGACTCTCAGACCAAGATTCAGCGTATCTGTGAGGCTGTGAGTCCACTAAGGGGACACAGTCCACTGCAAAGATTGAGGCTGTCATGCAGGTATCCAGTCCACCATTGAGATTGTGACTTGTGTATTCAGACTCAACATACAAAAGGTGTTGACTCTAATACCTAGAAATGGGACATGTGTGGAATTGTTAATTTTTTTTTTTTTTTTTTTGAGACGGAGTTTCAATCTTGTTGCCCAGGCTGGAGTGTAATGGTGCGATCTCGGTTCACTGCAACCTCTGCCTCCTGGGTTCAAGCGATTCTCCTACCTCAGCCTCCTGAGTAGCTGGGATTACAGGTGCCCACCACAATGCCTGGCTAATTTTTTGTATTTTTAGTAGAGATGGGGTTTCACCATGTTGGCCAGGCTGGTCTTGAACTCCTGACCTCATGTGATCCACCTGCCTGTCTCCCAAAGTGCTGGGATTACAGGTGTGAGCCACCACACCCAGCAGGATTGTTAATTTTATCCCTACCTTTTCCTTCAACTGTGACTGTAACATACACCTCTGCCCAGCACCTGAGTGATTTGACTTTTCTGCTTGGTGCCTAGTCCACAGATCAGATTGTGATACATTGCTGGACCTAACACTAGGTGGTGCGACTCTGTACTTTTGCCTTGGCACTGCCCACATGGGACATTGTGACATATCACTGGGCCCCTCACCCTGGTTATGTGACTCTCCTACCTGTGCCCTGCCTTCATGGGTCATTGTGACATATTGCCATTTGCAACATCCAGGTTATGTAACTCTCCTTGCTGGGTCCTGCCTACAGGAAGCTTTATGATCTATCTGTGTATTCATCATCCAGGTAACGTGACTCTTTCTCCCAGGTCCCTGTTCAAAGAAAGGATTGTTACTTATCAATGGGCCCAGTGCCTTAGCTGATATGACTCTTCTACCTATATTCTGCTTACAGTGTACATTGTGACATACTGCTGGGCTGAACACCAAGGTGATGTTACATTTTTGCCTTGGCGTTTCTTTTCATCAAGCATTGTGACATATTGTTGGGCTCAGAACCAAGGTGATGTGATCCTTCTGCCTGAACCTTGCTCAAGAGTCAACACCTTTTGCCCAACAAGAATAGTGACATATTTGTGAATCCATCGTCTATGTGATGTGACTCTCTTACTTGGATTTTTCCTATAGGAGAGATTGTGACATATCACAGGGCCCAGCATCTAGATAATGTGACGCTTCTTTCCTTCCATGGCCATGCTCCCATAAAAGAGAGTGACTTATCCCTGGGATCAGCCCACAGGCTATGTAATTGTTCTGCCTAGTCCCTGTCTACAGGGGTTATTGTGACATATCTCTTGGTCCCGTTCTTCTTCTCCCTGGGACTTGTCCACAGTGGGAATTGTGACATATCACTTGGCCCAGCACCTATGTGATGTGACTCTTTTCTCATGCTTTGGCCCTGCCCACTGGTTGGTTGTGATATGTAGTTGGGCCCAGCTCTTAAGTCAGGTGATCTTTCTCTTCCTCCTGAGCCCTACTCTCCCAAGACCAGCTAGGTCATGGAGACCCTAACCCAGCGGAGCTAGAGGAATTAAAGACACACACACATAGAAATATAGCATGTGGAGTGGGAAGTCAGGGGTCTCACAGCCTTCAGAACTGAGAGCCTCAAACAGAGATTTACCCACATATTTATTGACAGCAAGCCAGTGATAAGCATTGTTTCTATAGATTACAGATTAAAAGTATTTCTTGTGGGAAATAAAGGGATGGGCTCTGGCTAGTTATCTGCAGCAGGAACATGTCCTTAAGGCACAGATCTCACAAGCTATTGTTTGTGGTTTAAGAACGCGTTAAGCAGTTTTCTGCCCTGGGTGGGCCAGATGTTCCTTGCCCTCATTCCAGTAAACCAACAACCTTTCAGCATGGGTGTCATAGCCATCATTAACAAGTCACAGTGCCGCAGAGATTTTGTTTATGGCCAGTTTTGGGGCCTGTTTATGGCCAGATTTGGGGGCCTGTTCCCAACACTACTCACAGGGGACATTGTGACATATCTCTGGGGCTCTCATCTAGATGATGTGACTTTTCTGCCAGGGCTCTTTTCTCAGAGGATACTGTGACATTTCTTGACCTAGAACCTAGGTGATGTGACTCTCTTCTGCTTGGGCTCTGCCTGAGATGTGACTTTTTTTTTTCCCCTGGGCTTTGCATACATTGTGTATTCTGATATATGACTGGGTCTAAGACCCAGGTAATATGACTCTAACTCATGGGTTCTGTTCAGAAGGGTATTATGACATATCATTTGTTCCTCACTTAGGTGTTATGACTCTCGTCTTTTCACTGGAACCTGCCAAAAAGGGTGATTGTGACATATCACTGGACCCAGCACCTTGGTGATGTGACTCTCCTCTCCTCCTTAGGCCCTGCTTACATTGTGTCTGTTGAAATACGGCTGGTCCAACACCTAGGTAATGTGACTCTCCTGCATAGGCCTTGCTAATAGGGGATGTATGACATATGTTTTGTTTATCACTTAAGTGATGTTACTCTCCTTTTCTTCCTGAATCCTGTAAAAGGTGGGGGATTGTGACCCTATCACTGGACCCAGCACATAAGTAATATGAGTTTCCTGCATAGGCTCTGTTCAGAAGGGTATTATGACATATCTTTTTGTTCATCACTTTGTGACTTGTCTTTTGACTGGAACCTGCCAAAAAGGGTGATTGTGACATATTGCTGGACCCAGCACCTAGGTGATGTGGCTCTCCTTTTTTTCTGGGCCTCACATATTTTGGGTATTGTGATGTATAGCTGGGCTCAACACCTAGCAGTTGGGGAGCTCCTTTCTTGACCATTCCCACAAATGACATATCTCTGCTATGACCGCCTATGACACATGACCTAAATATGTGACCCTTCTTTTCTGCCTGTACCCTGCTAACAGAGAAGATTGTGACAAATTGCTAAGTGCATTGTATCTTGTGCTAACCTTCTATCTCAGCCTGTGACCAAGAATGCCTAACTGCCGGGGAATGCAGCCCTGTAGGTCTCAACCTCAATTTGCCCAGCCACTATTCAAAATAGAGTCACTCTGGTTTAAATGCCTCTGACATTAAGATACACTGTAAAATTATGAAAAAAGTTGATTTGAATTTTAGCAAATGAGAAATGAAATAATTAGAATGGGCTATTCTGAAAGATATAGCATTAGTTATATTTGTGTTTGAGTTTTCTATTAACCTATATTTGTTACTTATGAATAGATACCTTGTTTTATTCTGTCTAAACAGATACACTAGGTGGGGTGCGGTGGCCATGCCTGTAATCCCAGCACTTTGGGAGGCCGAGGGGAGTGGATCACCTGAGGTCAGGAATTTGGGACAAGCCTGACCAACATGGCAAAACCCTGTCTCTACTAAAAATACAAAAATCAGCTGACCATGGTGGCGGGTGCCTGTAATCCCAGCTACTTCAGAGGCTGAGGCAGGAGAATTGCTTGAACCCGAGAGGTGGAGGTTGCAGTGAGCCAAGATCATGCCACTGCATTCCACCCTGGGTGACAGAGCGAGACTCTGTCTCAAAAAATAAGAAAAAATAAGCGGCCGGGCATGCTGGCTCACGCCTGTAATCCCAACACTTTGGGAGGCCGAGGAGGGTGGATCGCAAGGTCAGGAGTTCAAGACCAGCCTGGCCAAGATGGTGAAACCCTGTCTCTACTAAAAATACAAAAATTAGCCACGTGTGTTGGCAGGTGCCTGTAATCCCAGCTACTCGGGAGGCTGAGGCAGAGAATTGCTTGAACCCAGGAGGCAGAGTTTGCAGTGAGCCGAGATCTCACCATTGCACTCCAGCCTGGGTGACAGAGGGAGATTCTGTCTCAAAAAAAAAAAAAGGACATAAATTTAATGTTAAGTGTGGACTCATAAAGAATCTAGACAGCCACCAAGCCATTTGTTTATTCTTGATTTCTTAAAGCTTCCATTATTAAAAGCTCTGCATTCCATTACTCATCACAGAAAATAATCTAAATTAAATATGAATTAAGTTTGTGTGTGTGTGTGTGTGTGTGTGTGTGTGTGTGTGTGTGTGTGGTGATTATTCTAAATTACTAAACAGATTAAGGCCAATTTTTTTATGTCAAACATATAATTCTGAGAAACAATCAATACTTTATGTACATTTCTGTTACCTAATAGGCTATTTAAGCATTTATACAGAAATTTTATACAGTTGTCATTTTTAATGCATGTTTTCTGATAGTATAAAAGCTTTCTCATGCAAGAAGGCTGATGTTATAATAGTAGCTAAAAGAATATTAGAAAATATGTTTTTTTTTCATGGGACATTTCTGAAAGGTCTCTAATGATCAAGATACTTATTTCACTAGACAAGTTGTAAAACTGTTAAATAAGGTATTGTTCCTGGACCAAACTGAGAGTTGGGCTGCTATTTCTCATGGCCCAATAACGAGATGCAGATGAACTGGGGAGGAAGAGAGTTTTATTTCTGCAACCAGTTACAGGGAGAAGGCCTGGAAATTATCACCAGACCAACTCAAAATTACAACGTTTTCCAGAGCCTATATACCTTCTAAGCTATATGTCTACATGTAAGTGTGCATTCATCTAAAGAGATAAGTGATTAACTTCTTTTATTTAATCTGTAACTAAGGTCTGAGTCTTGAAGACCTTCCCCTGCAGCCTCAGTAAATTTACTTAATCTAAATGGGTCCAGGTGCTGGGGTAATTACCCTTATCTTGTCTCCTGCTAAATCACAGTGGTTTGGTGAATTCCTTCAGACCTCCAATAAACCTGTTTGTAGAGGCCTGGGGAATTTCTTCAGACCCCCAATAAAACTTGTTTAATCCTATAAGGCCCAAGAAAGGCCTAGGCGAAACTCTTGATGGGCTTTTGTTACATCCCAGCCTTTGTATAAGGTCACTGGCTTTTTTTTTTTTTTTAATTGAGACGGGGTCTCACTCTGTCACCAGGCTGGAGTGCAGCTGTACAATCTCAGCTCACTGCAAACTCCGCCTCCAGGGTTCAAGCCATCCTTCTGCCTCAGCCTCCCAAATAGTTGGGACTACAGGCACATGCCACCACGCCCAGCTAATTTTTTTGTATTTTTAGTAGAGACGGGGTTTCACCATGTTGGCCAGGATGGTATCGATCTCTTGACCTTGTGATCCGCCTGCCTCGGCCTCCCAAGGTGCTGGGATTATAGGTGTGAGCCACTGCGCCCGGCTGGTCACTGGCTTTTAATATTTAACTTAACCACTCAGTCAGTACTGAAACAGTTGTTAGTGAGGTCTGGCCTGCCACAGTATTACAGGTACAATAGTATTGAGCAAAGCTAACTAAATTGACTGGATTGCTTTTGTAATTGCAGATTGATGACAATCAGATTCACTTAGAGTGGAAAAAGTATGTTGGCCCTTATAAAATAGTCATTAGAAGGCCTATGTGCGTAATAGAACCTCATGTGTCTTCTGCTACTAAAGTCTAACATTACTAAATTCAACAAGGCTTTAATGCATTATGGCAAAGCACATTTTCACCAGGTGAGGAAAGCCTTTACTAGTCTACTGACTGAGGAGAGTAAAACCCTTTATAATCAAGAACCCAGAGATTGAATCTGCCTGCCACCTACACTGACGCAAGACTTCAAGACCTTGAACATTGGATTGATAATCTCACAACTTAGAAGGGCCCCTCCAAACTCTTGAAATTGTAAACCCATAGGAGATTTTAAGGTAAAGCTAACCAGGAAAGTTTGTCCTCAAAAGCAGATGGCCGTCTCCATGTAGATAGCTTTTTTCACAAGATCAAAAATCAAGACATCTCGTTATCATGACACTCTTAGTTCACAGTTTGTTTATGGTTCTACAAACCACAGAAATTTTAAAAAGTGGTCTCTTGTGTGCACTCATGGGGGTATACTTATATGTAGAGAATTTTGCAGCCAACATTATGTATGAGGAAACTTATTCCTTGAAAGGTAAAAGAAGAAGGGCCAATGTAGGTGAGAAGTTTTAATGAAACATTTGTTTTCTCACAATATCAAAAACAGAATATTGGTCCACTGCTCTTAACCTATTTCATAAGTTAAAAAGAACTTATTCAGAATAGGTTAAAGAGCATTGCCAGGAGGCCATTACTCTTCTGAATGGGTATCACTGTTTAGAGTAAATGAGGCAATGGTTACAAATTTATCCCTCTCAATAGGGCTCTATAGCAGATTATACCATAAAAACTATGCTTACACAATAGACTTTAAGTTTTCTCACAAAGTTATGCTAAATATAATTTCTTTTGATTACTTACTGGATAAATAGATATCTGTGCAGTTGCTAATAGTTGCCCATGGAGAACTACAGCCGGTATTACAGAGATGCAGTTGTAGATGATTCATGAACAGGCTGATTAGATGAAATGAGTAGATCATTTATCTAGCTAACTATTTGATCTATTTAACTTTAATTGGTTGTTCATGGGGACCCTGGCTAAAAAGCATGCTTCAAACTCTTGGTATTATCCTCCTGATAGTCAAAATGGTAATCTTCCTACTGCACTGTATTCTCTCAAAAGATGTAAACGTTTGAATGTAGTCATCTGTAGAATGTCAAATGGTCTCTCTTTAACTGGAATGACAGAAACTCAAAGACATATGTGACTATGAAGACAGCACAACCTATGAATGACATGCTAAGGACAAAAAACAAAAATAATGGAAACTGAGAGTGGCACTAAAGCCCCGAGTTTTGGTTACACTGTGACCTATGTAAGAACTTAACCAAACGGGGAATTTTTTAAAGAAAACTATTGGAGGCCATAATTCTGGACTGAGCTTATGCACTAGGTCCAAACAAACCAAACCAAAATGAGTCACTCATGCTGGATGTGACATAATTAAACTAAAAATTTAAGGCAACAGGTAGATTCTAAAACTGGCCAGGTTTTGTTTTTCTTCTCTAAATAGCAGATTTCAACACAAGGAGGTCCCCTGTACTCTAACACTTTAAAAAACAAATAAAAATAATTTCAAAATAATAAGCTGAAGTTTTTATTTCCACTTTACAAACCCACAGTTCTGCTGTTTCACAGTGAGATTCGAGTCTAAATAAGTACATTTTTGATGGTGACAAAGTGATATTAATGTCTAAAGTTTTGGTCTCAAACTTGAGAAGATGACAAAAGGGAGAAATTGTTAAATTAGTTGTAGCCTAAAGCTTCCCTCTTATGTTTAATTTTGGCTAATAGGATTTGTTTTTTGTTTTTTGTTTTTTTACATAGTAAACTTAATGTTCAAATGGGACATATCTTAAGCTGTAATAAATCTGGCTGTTTCTGTACCTCACTTCCATTTTCTGTATGTCATTTTGCTTTTCTGGTTCATAAAAATTTTACCAACATGTGGCTGTGTTGGAGTCTCTCTGAGCCTACTCTGGATCCATAGGTTACCCGATTTGCAAATCATGATTTGCTCATTTAAACTGTTAAATTTAATTTTTCTAAAGTTTTCTTCTTTTACAAATTTTCAAATTTTTTATGATGAAAATAAATAATGTTATTGAGCTTTGATTTTCTAAAATCATCCCACAGCTATTTTCCCAAATAATAATAATATAATAATAAATAATAATACAATAATTTCCCAAATAATAATAAAAATAGTGAAAAGGCAGCTGATGATACATGTCTGAAGGACCTCAGTTGAGCCCAGCCTAAATGGCTGACCATCTCAATTACGAGCAAATAAGTTTTGGATGGTTTGTTATGCTGCAATAGCTAACTAATACATGCACCCTGTGCAGATGGAATGCCAGGATTTAATGACAGGTTGATTACTAGTTACCTTCTGACAGTGGACACCCTAAAGATACTGACTTTTCTTTTCTTTTTTTCCCGATTTGAAGTTGGATGTCTCCTAAGACAATGTTGAGTAATGCAGAAATACAGGTAGACATGTATGTGTGTGATTGGTGCTTATACTCACACAGTACCCCACACCACAGGAAAAAAACAGATAACCACAGCCTGACCATTAGAGCCAAGGCCAAACAGCAAAATAAGTTTGCCTTTAATTTATTTTCTTCATATCTTTTTTTTTTTTTTTTTTTTTTTTTTTCCGAGACGGAGTCTCGCTCTGTCCCCCAGGCTGGAGTGCAGTGGCGCGATCTCGGCTCGCTGCAAGCTCTGCCTCCCGGGTTCAAGCCATTCTCCTGCCTCAGCCTCCAGAGTAGCTGGGACTACAGGCGCTCGCCACCACGCCCGGCTAATTTTTTCTATTTTTTAAGTAGAGACAGGGTTTCACCGTGTTAGCCAGGATGGTCTCGATCTTCCGACCTCGTGATCCGCCCACCTCGGCCTCCCAAAGTGCTGGGATTACAGGCGTGAGCCACCGCGCCCGGCCTTCTTCATATCTTAAAGTTAGAGGTTAAGACTGTGGACAGACCCAAAGACATAGAGTTTTCTTCTCCTGTCTCCTGTGGCCCCAGAATTTTTTGTTCACTGTCTGATCTCTGGATGAAAGGTGGACAACAGGTGGCAAAGAGTGGTCTACCTGTGGTTATTTTATTTGTGCTGCCCTCTGCCCTTGCTATGGCCACTATCTATCGCACCCTCAGAACCGAAGATAGATGTTAGTAGAGAGAGGCTGTCTCCTCACCTCTGGCAGAAAAGGGATGTTCAGGGCCTCCACCCACCTGACATCAGAGCTGCACTTCAACGTGGTGGCTGTTGGCCATGTGTGGCTCCTGGGTGCCTGGAATGTGCCTGGTCTGAACTGCAATTTGCTAGAAAAGTAAAATACAGAGTTGGTTTCGAAGATTTAGTTCCAAAAATATATATAGTGCCTTAATAATTACATATTGCTGTGACCCCAGAAAATCTGAGACATCAGTTAATTTAGAAAGTTTATTTTGCCAAGGTTGAGAACACGCCTATGACATAGTTTCAGGAAGTCTTGAGGACACCTGCCCAAGGTGGTCAGGGAACATATTGGTTTTATACATTTTAGGGAGACATGAGACATCAATCAATATATGTAAGAAGTACATTGGTTCAGTCTGAAAAGGTGGGACAACTTGAAGCAAAGGCAGGAAGACACGAAGCTGGAGGGAGCTTCCAGGTCACAGATAGGTGGACTCAAATTCTTTTGAGTTTCTGATTGGCCTTTAGTTCCCAGCTTGAGTTTTCCTTAGTAATTTTGGGGGCCCAAGATATTTTCCTTTCACATTGCTCACATATTAAAATTATAATACTTTAAACATATTGGGTTAGTTACATTATTACAATCAATTCCACGTGTTTCATGTTTCTTTTTAAAGTTTGGCTACTGGAAAATTAAAAATTCACATGTGGCTCACATTTTATTTCAGAGGACTGCCTCCTTTTTAAAATCTCAGGCTGCCTGCTCAAAGGACCAGAAGCTAGGAAGGTGATAAAAGCTAAAATTTAAAAGTAATTGTTATTATATTCTTTTCATTTGTGACTAGCCATATAGTATATTTATAAATGCATATGACCTTACACACAAGGTTCAATGCAAACACCCTCTAGGGTGGGCCTGGCTCAGCTCGGAGGAAAGCCTGCCTGAAAAGGCTGCAGCTAGGCTGTCACGCTTCATTCTGCCCAGCAACTGATCACCCTCTGTCACTCAGGGCCTGAGAGGGCGGGTCTTAAACATTATCCAATCAGGCACGCAGCTGGAGCGACAGGACGGTTTCCGGAATATGGCGGGGCGTTTGGCTCTTGCTGCAGCCAGAGCTCCAGGTCTCGTCTTCATTTCTGTGTCCTTTGTTCTTAGAGGCCCAGCCTGTGTGGCCCTGTGACCCGCAGATATTGGGAGATACACAGCTAAGACTCCAGGACCCCCTGGAAGCCTAGAAATGGTGAGAGTGCCGAGTCTGACATCCCCAGAGAGGGGGAGGGGCTGGTCGGAACCGTGAGAAGTGGCCGTGGCGGACTTAGGTCTCCCGGCAGTCAGCTCCACAATCTGCGCCCGGAATTCTCCTTGCCCAGCTCGGCTTCAGTCCCCTTCAGCCATAAGATGGCGACTGTGCTGACAGCCGGGCCCCGGGCGTCCTGTCTTCCCTCCGCAGTGACTGTGCCTGACGTGTAGCCCTGTCTGGGGAGCTCTGCACGCGCAATTCCGCAGTCTCTCCCAGATTGTGCAAGAACCATGGGAGGGGCGTCAGGTGAGAATAGTGACTCGGGATGCGGGTTCATGAGCGGGAAGAGCTTTGGTCCGTGGGGTTCCCAGTTCCCATTCTCTCCTATTAAAAATCTATGGGAGTGGCCGGGCGCGGTGGCTTATGCCTGTAATCCCAGCAGTTTGCTGGGAGGCGGGCAGATCACTGAGGTCCGGCATTCGAGAACAGCCTGGCCAACATGGTGAAACCCCCTCTCTGCTAAAAATACAAAAATTAGCCGGATGTGGTGGCAGGCATCTGTAATCCCAGCTATGTGGGAGGCTGAGGCACGAGAATCGCTTAAACCCAGGAGACCAAGATTGTGCCATTGCACTCCAGGCTGGTTGACACAATGAGACTATCTCAAACAAAAAAAAAAAAAAAAAAGGGGAGTCACTGCAAAATATTAAAGAATTTAATTAAAGAGTGGTTCTAAAATTGTAAAGCACCCAGCTGTGGGATGTAGTTTGTGGTCCTTTGGAGGAGCTTGAAGGAAAGACTTTGCGCATGGTACAAAAACGCAAATTCAGTTATTGGTTAGGTAGGGTTACGTAGTTTCTTAATTTCCATCTTCAGCTTACAAAATTTCCTGGTTATGTAATCAGAGCTTAATTCCAGTTAATAGTTAACCCTGTATTTGTTTTCCCCAGTGTAGTAATTTACAAAAAAAAAAGCATTTGAGTTAGTTTTTTGTTTTTTTTTTTTTTTTTTTGAGATGGAGTTTCCCTCTTCTTGCCCAATCTGGACTGCAGTGGCGCGATCTCGGCTCACTGCACCTTCCGCCTCCGTGTTCAAGTAATTCTCCTGCCTCAGCCTCCTGAGTAGCTGGGATTATAGGCAGGCACCACCACGCCCGGCTAATTTTGTATTTTTAGTAGAGACGGGGTTTCTCCGTGTTGGTCAGGCTTGTCTTGAACTCCCGACCTCGGGTGATCCGCCCATCTCGGCCTCCCAAAGTGCTGGGATTACAGGCGTGAGCCACGGCTCCCGGCTTGAGTTAGATCTTTTAAAAGTAGGAATTCAGGGACTACAGCCACCTCAGTCGAATTGCCTACCACTTAACTATTTTCACTCCCTACACAAAACTGATCTTCCCCTGCATTTTTCACAGGTGTCCTAAGCAGGGTCTCAAATCTACTCCCACGCCCCCCATTCCTCCAGCCTAACTCTGGCTTGCAGTAAAATACAAAATTTCCATTTCCTCCTGACAATCCCAAATGCCAACTCCCACTACTCCCTAATTCACACTATTAACTATTTGTCCTTTAGTGTACATTTTTGATACTGTATTTTAATTAAACATTTTTTGACAAAGCATTGGATGGCACATTTAAAAAGATTTGTTTTCTGTTTATAAATATTTTCCATAAGAAGAAAGCAAGGAATAATCTTCTGACACTGTATTGTAAAAAAATCTTTGTCTCTTTTCCTTTTATCTTCCCTAGGCATAGAGATTTTATGAGAATGTTTTGGCATCAAGGTTTTTCTTGGAATTTTTGTGGGGTGATGTGTCCTCAGCCACCCTTTAGTTTTTTTCCTGGTCCTGGGTTCCAGTACTGTCTGTGAATAAACCAAGATATCAGTCATGGCTATGTCTGCAAGACTGTCTAATGAATATTAATTCCTGGGTCATTTTCTCCCATAGGACAACCTGTGGTATGGAGTGTAGCCTCTGAAGGGAGCAGGTGTATTCCCTGGGGCTGAGAGGAATCTCCTGGTGTACTTTTCGTTTGAAAAGCTAACCCCTTCAGATGTTAAGACTGTGTTCACCCAGCCCGACTTTCCTTTCTTTGGGCCACATTGCTGGTCACCCAATCAAATGCTGGTATTGAGTTGAAAACAAATAATTTCTGACCCCTTGATTCTCTACAATTTGTGAAAAAAGACTAGTATCTCTGCCAGGCACGGTGGCTCACGCCTGTAATCCCAGCACTTTGGGAGGCCAAGGTGGGCAGATCACCTGAGGTCAGGAGTTCGAGACCAGCCTAGCTAACATGATGAAATTCCGTCTCTACTAAAAACAGAAAATTAACCAGGCGTGGTGGTGCATGCCTGTAATCCCAGCTACTCAGGAGGCTGAGGCAGAAGAACTCGGGAGGCGGAGGTTGCGGTGAGCCGAGATCGTGCCATTGCACTCCAGCCTGTGCAACACGAGTGAAACTCCATCTGAAAAAAAAAAAAAAGGTGATATCTCAAAAGACAAAAGAAACCCTGACCCCGGTGAGATGAGGCGAGAAATTGCAAAGTAAAATGCACTTGGGACACTTACTGGAACATAGAGCAGTCTCCTGAGAGGGTGGTTATTGAGTACTTAAGTGACTTAAGTGAGCGGGATGGGTAGGAGAATCTCTCAAGTGATTGAACTTGACACATGAGTCGGACACATCTGTTTTCTTATCAGCACTGCCACTCCCTGGGTTTGTCACTTTGAAAAGATTTGTTCACTTATATTGACTTCAGTTTTTTAACTCTAAATTGCAATTTTTTAGTAGAGCTTGAAAGGTAAGAAAATATTTACAAAGCGCATAAAAGAGGTGGGCTTCAGAAAAATCTATCTTTTTTTTTTGTTAAAAATTCTCATGTACCTTTTTCTTTCTTAGAGTGAGTTTAGAAATTTTCTCAGGCTTTTTTTTTTTTATGGCTGGGTGATTTCAAACAGAATTCCAAGGCTTAGATTTTGGAATGCTACCAAGGAAAAGAATAGGGAAAAATCTCTTCCATTTTGGCTGTAGAAAATGAATGCATTTCCAGAAGAAAATGTTGTAGATAATAGGTGAGTTACATGAATTCATGAAAACATCAGTTGTTTTTGCAGGATAAATTTCTGACAGTGAATATCTCTGTTCTATATCCTGTTATCTTTATTTCAGAGTTTAATGCTGTATTTTTTAGATGAAACTTGGTGCCTCCTAGAAGTGTTCCCATATGACTAATTGTTTACTACATTTTTTTTTTTTTTGAAATGGAGTCTTGCTCAAGGCTGGGGTGCAGTGGTGCGATCTTGGCTCACTGCAACTTCTGCCTCCTGGGTTCAAGCAATTCTCCTGCCTCAGCCTCCCGAGTAGCTGGAACTACAGGCGCACACTGTCGCGCCAGCCTATTTTTGTATTTTAGTAGAGACAGGGTTTCGCCGTGTTGCCCAGGCTTGTCTCGAACTCCTGAGCTCTGGCAATCTGCCCCTCCTAAAGTGCTAGGATTACAGGCATGAGCCACCTTGCCCGGCCTACTACATGATTTTTTAATGGAAATAATAAAATAATACATTTATAAAGGAATAGATACTTTTGCTTTTCTTATTGAGGTATGAAATGTAAGCATTGTAAAATTGCCTTGTTTTATATGAACATTGAGTAATTTTGCTGGATTTTTCGAACACTTAGTTTCAAAGACCAAGTGAATAACTCTGACACGGAAATTAAAACTTGAGCCCAGTGACTCCAAGCTAAGGCTAATATTGAGCCTGCAAAAGAAGGTTATTTAAGATCCAGTTAGTTCTTTCTGGGGAGCCTCCCCTGCAGGTGTCCCTGCCTGCTCACCCCAGCCATGGAAGGAGGCTTTATCCTGAGAGAAGCTACAGAGCCCTGGAAAGCTGGGAACCCACAGGCAGATACAGTTACAGTTAAGGTGGAAGGGAACTGGGAGGATCTTACTGAAGATAAAGTTGTCCTTGTTTTGAGACAGTTTTTAGACTTTGTAAAGTAGAACAAAGTTAGATTTGTATAAAAAAAAGAAAATTGAATTACCAAGGAGTATTGCAACAGGAGGAAATACCAACCATAAGAGCTTTAAGGATTGCAAAGTTTAGGCAGACAAAGCCTTTCTTTTCTTTTTTTAATAATTTTTTTTTTTTTGAGATGGAATCTTGCTCTTGTTGCCCAGGCAGGAGTGCAGTGGCACGATCTCTGCTTACTGCAACCTCCACCTCCCGGGTTCAAGCAATTCTCATTACTCAGCCTCCCAAGTAGCTGGGATTACAGGTGCCCGCGACCATGCCCGGCTGACATTTGTATTTTTAGTAGAGGCGGGGTTTCACCATGTTGGCCAGGCTGGTCTCGAAGTCCTTACCTCAGGTGATGACAAGGGCTTTCTTTCATAGGGGTGAGCAAACAAGATTAGAAAAAAGATGGGAGGGGAACGGCAAATGGACGGTAAAAACATCAGATTCTAGATCAGAGAATGTTTTATCCTGAGGTCAGCATGTTCTTAGAAGGGAAGTAGAATGGGGTTGTATGTTGGCTCAGACGGAGGGCAGCCCAAAGTCCAGGAACCTCTGGGAAGGAGATAAATTTCAGCGAGGTCTGATATGGAAGTACAGGAAAGTGGTCCCAATCCAGGCTCCAAGATAGGGTTCTTTGATCACACGCAAGAAAGAATTTAGAGTGAGTTCATAGAGTAAAGTGGAAGCATGTTTATTAAGAAAATAGAGGAATAAAACAATGGCTACTTCACAGACATAGCATCCCAGAGGGCTGCTGGTTGACCACTTTATGGTAATTTCTTTTTTTTAATTTTTTAATTTTTTTTTATTGATCATTCTTGGGTGTTTCTCACAGAGGGGGATTTGGCAGGGTCATAGGACAATAGTGGAGGGAAGGTCAGCAGATAAACAAGTGAACAAAGGTCTCTGGTTTTCCTAGGCAGAGGACCCTGTGGCCTTCCGCAGTGTTTGTGTCCCTGGGTACTTGAGATTAGGGAGTGGTGATGACTCTTAACGAGCATGCTGCCTTCAAGCATCTGTTTAACAAAGCACATCTTGCACCGCCCTTAATCCATTTTACCCTGAGTGGACACAGCATATGTTTCAGAGAGCACAGGGTTGGGGGTAAGGTCATAGATCAACAGGATCCCAAGGCAGAAGAATTTTTCTTAGTACAGAACAAAATGAAAAGTCTCCCATGTCTACTTCTTTCTACACAGACACAGCAACCATCCGATTTCTCAATCTTTTCCCCACCTTTCCCCCTTTTCTATTCCACAAAACCGCCATTGTCATCATGACCCGTTCTCAATGAGCTGTTGGGTACACCTCCCAGACGGGGTGGTGGCCGGGCAGAGGGGCTCCTCACTTCCCAGAAGGGGCGGCCAGGCAGAGGAGTCCCCCACCTCCCGGATGGGGCGGCTGGCCGGGCGGGGGCTGACCCCCCACCTCCCTCCCGGACGGGGCGGCTGGCCCGGTGGGGGGCTGACCCCCACCTCCCTCCCAGATGGGGTGGCTGCCGGGCGGAGACGCTCCTCACTGCCCAGATGGGACGGCTGCCAGGCGGAGGGTCTCCTCACTTCTCAGACTGGGCGGCCGGGCAGAGACGCTCCTCACCTCCCAGACAGGGTCACGGCCGGGCAGAGGCGCTCCTCACATCCCAGACGGGGCAGTGGGGCAGAGGCGCTCCCCACATCTCAGACGATGGGTGGCCAGGCAGAGATGCTCCTCACTTCCTAGATGGGATGGCAGCCGGGAAGAGGCGCTCCTCACTTCCTAGATGGGATGGCGGCTGGACAGAGACGCTCCTCACTTTCCAGACTGGGCAGCCAGGCAGAGGGGCTCCTCACATCCCAGATGATGGGCGGCCAGGCAGAGACGCTCCTCACTTCCCAGACGGGGTGGCGGCCGGGCAGAGGCTGCAATCTCGGCACTTTGGGAGGCCAAGGCAGGCGGCTGGAAGGTGGAGGTTGTAGCGAGCCGAGATCACGCCACTGCACTCCAGCCTGGGCACCATTGAACACTGAGTGAATGAGACTCCTTCTGCAATCCCGGCACCTTGGGAGGCTGAGGCTGGCGGATCACTCACGGTTAGGAGCTGGAGACCAGCCCGGCCAACACAGCGAAACCCCGTCTCCACCAAAAAAATACGAAAACCAGTCAGGCGTGGCGGTGCGCGCCTGGAATCGCAGGCACTCGGCAGGCTGAGGCAGGAGAATCAGGCAGGGAGGTTGCAGTGAGCTGAGATGGCAGCAGTACAGTCCAGCTTCGGCTCAGCATCAGAGGGAGACCATGGAAAGAGGGAGAGGGAGACCGTGGGGAGAGGGAGAGGGAGAGCGGTAATTTCTTGATTATATGCTAAACAAGGGGTGAATTATTCATGCCTCCCCTTTTTAGACCATACAGAGTAACTTCCTGATATTGCATTGGCATTTGTAAACTGTTATGGCACTGATGGGAGTGTGGCAGTGAGGACAATCAGAGGTTACTCTCAGGGCCATCTTGGTTTTGGTGGGTTTTAGCTGGCTCCTTTACTGCCGTCTGTTTTATCAGCAAGGTCTTTATGACCTGTATCTTGTGCCAACCTCTTATTATGCGACTTAGAATGCCTTAACTGTGGGCCATGCGCGGTAATTTCAGCACTTTGGAAGGCTGAGGCGGGTGGATCACCTGAGGTCAGGAGTTCGAGACCAGCCTGACCAACATGATGAAACCCCATCTCTACTAAAAAAAAATATAAAAATTAGCTGGGCATGGTGGCGGGCGCCTGTAATCCCAGCTACTTGGGAGACAGAGGCAGGAGAATCACTTGAACCGGGGAGGTGGTGGTTACAGTGACCCGAGATCACGCCACTGCATTCTGCCTGGGCGACAGAGCAAGACTCCATCTCAAAAAAAAAAAAAAAAAAAAAAGGAGGAAAGAATGCCTTAACTGTTTGGGAATGCAGCCCAATAGGCTCTGGTTTAAATGCCTCTGACAGAAGTATTTTATTTTTACCACTGAAGTCAAATTCAGCTACCATTTTTATGAGAGCAAGAAGAAAATGTGCAGAGTCTATGTCTGGCTTATGTGACAGGTAAGAATAGAGAGCACCATCTAAGTCTTTTTTTTTTTTTTGAGATGGAGTCTCACTCTGTCTTGCACGCTGGAGTGCAGTGGCGTGATCTCGGCTTACTGCAAGCTCCGCCTCCTGGGTTCACACCATTCTCCTGCCTCAGCCTCCCAGTAGCTGGGACTACAGGCGCCTGCCACCATGCCCGGCTAATTTTTTCTATTTTTCAGTAGAGACAGGGTTTCACTATGTCAGCCAGGATGGTCTCGATCTCCTGACCTCATGATTCACCCGCCTCAGCCTCCAAAAGTGCTGGGTTTACAGGCATGAGCCACTGCACCCGGCCCTTAGTCTTAATGGTAATGGGGTTTCTTTCCATAAACTGTTTCTGGCACACAAAGGATAGAGAATTTTATTAATCACAGCTGTTTTCTCGGATTATCCACGTGCTTTTTATTTTCCCACCTCTTTTCTTTGTCCTATACATTTCTTCCATTTGACTTCTCCTGGATTTTATCTTTTATAATAAACCAGTAAACATAACTACAGTGTTTGCTGAGTTCTCTGAGTAGCTCTGTCCAATTATTAAACTTCATAGAGGTTATGAAAGTCCTGAATTTTTAAACAGCTCAGAAGCATAGATGGGCCCATGGGGTTTGTGACTGGCATCTCCAGTAAGGACAATGTTGTGGGACCAAGCCCTGAATCTGGGTCTCTGCTGACTCTGGGTGGTGTCCAAATTCAAATGTTAGACATTGAGTTGCTGTTGGAGAATTGCTTGGTGTTAAGCAAACTCTACAGATTTGGTGCCAGAAGAAAGATATCACAGAGGCCTGTCCTGGAATAAAACTCTTGGTATCTGGAAATGGGAGGCTCTGCTCTCCTGTACACAGGCTTTCACACTGCCCATTGTCCTGTGATTCCAGGTGTCCTCTTAGGGTAAGAGAGGATGAAAACTTAGAGGGAACGATCTCTGATGACAGACTCCCTTTTCCTGCAGCTGCCACCACGTGATTCCCACCCACTCACATACACACCCACTAGACATTGACATGTCCACATCCCTCCCAGAATGAAGCACCACCCTCAGGAACTTCACCACAGCATTTTTGATCCCAGTGTTCCTTCCCAGAAATGCACAAAAGTGTCTACAAGTCTCCTGGAATATTCCTACTCCCAGACACAATCTGCAACAGCAACCTGTTTTTCTCCACCAACTTAGGGTTCTGGGCCACCTGTTTGTAATCTCATCTGCCTCCATGGACCTAGAAATAAATCAGTACAGCCCCACCTGGACCATTATCTGTAGCACAAACCAGTCTTTTCACCTACATAGTACTCTCCCCCAACTAATGAAGTTTTTTCCTTTTAACTTTTATTTTTGGTCTAGGGGTACACATGCAGGTTTATCATATAGATAAAATTGTGTCATGGAAGTTTAGTGTAGATTATTTTGTCACTGAGGTACTAAGCATAGCATCAAACAGGTATTTCTTATTCTCTTTGTCCTCCTACCCTCCACCCTCAACTAGGCCTCAGTGCTTGTTGTTCCTCTCTTTGTGTCCATATGTGCTTGTTATTTAGCTCTTATAAATGAGAACATGCATTTGGTTTCTTTTTTCTGCATTAGTTTTCTGAGGATAATGGGCTTCACCTCCATTCATGTTGCTGCAAAGGACATGATCTTGTTCTTTTTTTTTTAAATAACCACACAGCATTCCGTGATGTTTATATACCATGTATATTTTATACACACACACACACATATATATATTTTTTTATTTTATTTTTGAGATAGAGTCTAGGTCTGTTACCCAGGCTGGAGTGCAGTTTTACAATCTGGGCTCACTGCAACCTCCACCTCCCAGATTCAAGTGATTTCTCCTGCCTCAGCCTCCCAAGTAGCTGGGATCACAGGCACGCACCACCACACCCAGCTAATTTTTGTATTTTTAGTAGAGACGGGGTTTTGCCATGTTGGCCAGGCTTGTCTCGAACTCCTGACCTCAAGTGATCTGCCCACCTCAGCCTCCCAAAGTGCTGGGATTACAGGCATGAGCCACTGTGCCTGGCCACCATATATATTTTTATTTTTTTAAATTATTTTATTTTGTTTTATTTCATTTTATTTTTTGAGATGGTGTCTCACTCTGTCACCCAGGCTGGAGTGCAGTGGCGTGATCCCCGCTCACTGCAGCCTCCACCTCCCAGATTCAAGTGATTCTCCTGCCTCAGCCTCCCAAGTAGCTGGGATTACAGGCATGCACCACCACGCTTGTCTAATTTTTGTATTTTTAGTAGAGACAGGGTTTCTCCATGTTGGCCAGACTGGTCTCGAACTCCTGACCTGAAGTGATCCCCGTACCTTGGCCTCCCAAAGTGCTGGGATTACAACTGTGAGCCACTGTGCCTGGCCTTTTTTTTTTTTTTTTTTTACTTTTTTATAGTAGCCATTCTGACTGGTGTGAGATGGTATCTCATTGTGATTTTTCTTTGCATTTCTCTACTGATTAGTGATAAGAAAGAAATACTCATCAAATGCTTGTTAGCCACATGTATATCTTCTTTAGAATGGCATCTATTCATGTTTTTTGCCTACTTTTTAATAAGGTTGTTTTTTCTTGTAAATTTGTTTAAGTTCCTTTTGAATTCTGGATATTAGACCTTTGTCAGAAGCATAGTTTGCAAATATTTTCTTCTATTCTGTAGATTGTCTGTTTACTCTGATTTTTTTTTGTGTGTGGTGTTTTTTGTTTTTTGTTTTTTTGCTGTGAAAAAGCTCTTTAATTAGGTTGCATTCATCAAATTTTGCTTTTGTTGCAATTGCTTTTGGTATCTTCATCATAAAACTTTGCCAGTTCCTATGTCTAGAATGGTATTTCCTAGGTCATCTTCCAGTATTTTTTAAGTCTTTACTTAATCTTGAGTATATTTTTGTATATAGTATAAGAAAGGGGTGCTGTTTCAGTCTTCTACATAATGTTAGCTAGTTATTCTAGCACTATTTATTAAACAGAAAATTCTTCTTACGTTCCTCTTGTCAGCTTTGTCAAATATCAGATGGTCGTAGGTGTGCAGCATTATTTCTGGGCTCTCTATTCTGTTGCATTGGTCTATGAGTCTGCTTTTGTACCAGTACCATGCTGCTTTGGTTTCTATCACCCTGCAATATAGTTTGAAGTGGGGTAAAGTGATACAGTGCCTCCAGCTTTGTTTTTTGTTTTTTTGTTTTTTTAAATTTTTTTATTTTTTTTATTTTATTGAGACCTAGTCTCGCTTAATTCCCCAGGCTGGAGTGCAGTGGAGCAATCTTGGCTCACTGCAACCTCTGCCTCCTGGGTTCAAGCAATTCTCCTGCCTCAGCCCCCCAAGTAGCTGGGACTACAAGCATGTGCCACTATGCTCTGCTATCATCATCATTATTATTATTATTATTGTATTTTTAGTAGGGACGGGGTTTCACCGTGTTAGCCAGGATGGCTTCAATCCCCTGACCTTGTGATCCACCCGCCTCAGCCTCCCAAAGTGCTGGGATTACAGGTGTGAGCCACCATGCCCAGCCGCTTTGTTCTTTTTGCTTAGGATTGCATTGGCTCTTCGGGCTTTTTTTGTTGTTCCATATGAATTTAAAAACAGTTTTTAGTTGTGTTAAGAATGTTTTTGGTAGTTTGATAGAAATGGCATTATTTCTGTATATTTCTTTGAGCAGTATGGTTATTTTAATGATACTGATTTTTTTCTGTCCTTGAGCATAAAGTAGTTTTTGATTTGTTTGTGTTAGTTCTGACTTCTTTAAGAAGTGTTTTGTAGTTCTTGTCGTAGAGATTTTTCACCACCCTGGTTAGCTGTATTTCTAGATATTCTATTCTTTTTGTGGCAGTTGTGAATGGAATTATGTTTTTGATTTGGTTTTTGGCTCAGATATTGTGGATGTGCAGAGATGCTGCTGATTTTTGTACATGTATTTTGTATCCTGAAACTTTGCTGAAGTTGTTTTTCAGTCTAAAGAGCTTTTGCACCAAGACTATAGGGTTTTCTAGATATAGAATCATGTCATCTGCAAACAGGGTTAGTTTCCTTTCCTCTCTTCCTGTTGGGATGCCTGTTATTTATTTCTCTTGCCTGATTGCTCTAGCCAGGACTTCCAATTCTATGTTGAATAAAAGTAGTGAGAGAAGTCATCCTTTTCTTGTGCCAGTTTTTAAGAAGAAATGCTTCCAGCTTGCGTCCATTCAGCAGGTTGGCTGTTGATTTGTCACAGATATCTTACTATTTTGAAGTATGTACCTTCAATGCCTGGTTTGTTTAGGGTTCTAAACATGAAGAATGTTACATTTTATTGAAAGCTTTATCTACGTCTATTGAGATAATCTTGTGTTTTTTGTCTTTAGTTCTGTTTATGTGATGAATCACATTTATTGACTTGTGTATGTTGAACCCACCTTGCATCCCAGGGATAAAGCCTACTTGATCATAGCAGATTAGCTTGTTGATGTGCTGCTGGATTCAATTTTACAGTATTTCATTGAGGATTTTTGCATCAGTGTTCATGAAGAATTTTTGCCTGAGTTTTCTTTTTTTTGTTTTATGTTTGCCAGGTTTTGGTATCAGAATGATGCTGTTACTATATAATGAGCAGGGGAAGAGTTTCTTCTCAATTTTTTTAGTAGTTTTAGAAAGTATAATACCAGCTTTTCTTTGTACATCTAGTAGAATTCAGCTGTGAATCTGTGGGTCCTAGGCTTTTTTTGGCTGGTAGGCTATTTACTAATTCAATTTTAGAGCTTGTTATTGTTCTGTTCTGGGCTCCAGTTTCTTTCTGTTTGGTATTGGGAGAATGTATTTGCCCAGAAATTTATCCATTTCTTTTAGATTTTTTTTTTAGTTTGTGTGCATAGAGATGTTTATAGTAGACTTCAGTAGTTATTTGTATTTTTGTGGGGTCAGTAGTAATGACCCTTTTGTCATTTCCTTTTTTTTTTTTTTTGATATGGAGTCTTGCTCTGTCACCCAGGCTGGAGTACAGTGGCTCGATCTCAGCTCACTGCAAGCTCCGTCTCCCAGGTTCACGCCATTCACCTGCCTCTGCCTCCTGAGTAGATGGGACTACGGGCACCCGCCACCATGCCTGGCTAATTTTTTTTTATATTCTTAGTAGAGACAGGGTATAGCCAGGATGGTCTCTTATCTCCTGACCTTGTGATCCACCCACCTCGGCCTCCCAAAGTGCTGGGATTACAGGCATTGTCATTTCTTATTGTGTTTATTTGAATCTTCTCTTCTTACTTCACTAAACTTGCTAGTGGTTTATCTTATTGATTTATTTAAAAGATTTAACTCCTGGATTTCTTGATCTTTTGTATGACTTCTTATGTCTAAATCTCCTTCAGTTCTGATCTGATTTTGGTTATTTCTTGTCTTCTGCTAGCTCAGGGGCTGGTTTGCTCTTGCTTCTCTTATACTTTTATTTATGATGTTAGGTTGTTAAATTGAGATCTTTCTACCTTTTTCATGTGAGCATTTAGTGCTGTAAATTCCCCTTTTAACCTCACATTAGCTGTGTTGGAGAGATTCTGGTGGTGTGTTGTATCACTGTTCTCATTTGTTTTAAAGAACTTCTTGATTTGTGCCTTAATTTCATTATTTACCCAAAAGTCATTCAGATGAAGATTGTTTAATTTTCATGTAATTGCATGTTTTCAAGTGTTTTTCTTTGTACTGAATTATATCTTTTTTTTTCTTTTTTTGAGATGGAGTCTTGCTCTGTCGCCCAGGCTGGAGTGCATGGCACCATCTCGGCTCACAGCAACTTCCACCTCCCGGGTTCAAGTGATTCTCCTGCCTCAGCCTCCTGAGTAGCTGGGACTACAGATGTGCACCACCACGCCCAGCTAAATTTTTATTTTTTTATTTTTAGTAGAGAAAGGGTTTCACTGTGTTAGCCAGGATAGTCTCGATCTCCTGACATCGTGATCTGCCCACCTCAGCCTTCCAAAGTGCTGGGATTACAGGCATGAGCCATCGTGCCCAGCCCTGTATTATATCTTTATCTTTATCAAGTTGTGGTCTAAGTGAGCATTTGGTATGATTTTGGGATTATTGAATTTGCTGAGGATTGTTGTGTTTCTGATTGCGTGGTCAATTTTAGAGTATGTGACACATGGTGATGAGAAAGATATATATACTATGTTGGTTTCAGATGAAGAGTTTCATATATGTTTATTAGAATGATTTGGTCAAGTGTTGAGTTTAGGTTCTGATATCTGCTAATTTTCTGCCTCAAGGTGGGAAATTAAAGAAAATAAAATTAAATTAAAAAGAGAAAGAAACAAGGTTTCCTGTATTAGGCTGACTTATCCTAGAGGCAGTAACAGGCACAGCCCACATCCAGGAAAAGTTTTGATAACACTATTTAAGAAGCCAGGGCTGGAAAGAATGTGCTCTGGAGACTCTCCCAGCATTCCCTCAACATAGGGAGAAGAGAAACAAATTTTCCTTTCTCTTATGATTCCTGTTTTTCATTTAAGCAGCACATTGAAGGTCATGAGATGCCTGAGCAGGCCTGGATTGCAGCCACCTAGGCACCATAGTGAAGGTTATAAGATAAGCCCATGCAAGGCACTAGAGCAAGCCTAGGTAACAGCCATCTGGGCCACATAGTAAGAGTCATATGTAAGTCTGAGTTATAAACCTGTCATAGTATGATTAACTGCTTTTGTTCTGTTTCTGTATCCTTGCTTTCACATCACTACACTTTGTGCCACTGTAGGCTTGTTTCAAGTTAGCCCACCCTCTTTAGAAGTGTATGTAAAAGTTAAATGCTGTCTTTGTCCTTGGCCCAGTCTCTGGATGTTAATCCACTGGGTCTGAGTGCACTCAATAAAATCCTCCTTTTCTACCTATCGGTCTTTCCAGTCTCCTAATTCCCACAACACAGTGATCTAAGTGTCTGCGGAGTGTTGTAGTCTCCTATTATTGTGTCAGAATCTACATCTCTTTATAGGTCTTCTAAGAACTTGCTGTATTCATGTGCACCCATGAATTTTTTTTTTTTTTTGAGACAGTTTCACTTTGTTGCCCGGGCTGGAGTGCAGTGGCATGAACTCAGCTCACTGCAACCTCCTGGGTTCAAGCAATTCTCGTGCCTCAGCCTACTGAGTAACTGGGATTACAGGCACCTGCCACCATGTTTGGCTGGTTTTTGTTTGTATTTTAGTAGAGATGAAGTTTCACCATCTTGGCCAGGCTGGTCTCAAACTCCTGAGCTCAGGCAGTCCACCTGCCTCAGCCTCCCAAAGTGCTAGGATTACAGGCATGAGCCACTGTGCCCAGCCAACACCCATGGATTTTTTTAGAACACCTTTTTCTCTTCTGCTTTTTCCTTCATAAACATTCTTTCAAGTGTACACAGGGTGCCCAAGGCTACACCTTAGATACCTGAATCCAGTGTCTCCTAAAATTCAGATGTCCAAGGGTTCAGGGACATGTCCAGAGACTTGGTTGTTGTAGGAGAAAATATAAATTAGAAATAAGAGGCTTTATTCTCCTACCTGAAAATAATGGAAGATATTTTGTTCTTTTTTCTTAAAGCATTTAGATTATATGTAGATATTTTTCTCTGATTTTTGGAAATATATGTAAATCATAGTAACAGCTAAATAAACCATTTGTCATTTTTTTTTGACTCAAGGTTGTCTTTCTCTAGGACCTCATAACCATTGCTTTGTTTTTGCTTTGGGAAAGGTTTTATTTTATTTTTTCATTTTTAGTCTTGTAAAGTAGACACAGAGTTGTTTAGATTAAAGCTCATTTTAAGAGTACACAAAAGTTGAGCACAAAGATAATAAAGACTAGAAAATACTAAGTTCCTTTGAGAGAAAACTGATTATCCAGGGTAATTATCTGATATTTGCAGTCCAAAGTACTTACACAGAAAAAGCAAGAGCAGTTCAGTGTATAAACTGAAAAGTGGAATCTGTAGTTGTACTTTGGTTTCTATTTATTACTTCAGAACAATTAACATAGTTATTATGTGTAGTGTTTGTCAACAACCTGCACTCATATTAATAGCATTTTCTATAATAGTATGAATATAAGGCCACAATATTTACTTTGAATACCTTAAATAGGCACTTCAATATTGTTCTTTTTACTTTTGAAATATAGTGTTTTAACTGAATTATGGTTACAGACAATTTTTAAAAGTTCTACAGACATCATGACTAGTACACAAAAATTATTTATACATAGATATTTGTATCTAACATCAAAGGAAAACTCACTACAAAATTGTTACAGTAGATATTAGTCTGAAATGCTCATTAGTTTCCCCAAAAGGACTAATTATATGTGAGCATGGTTTCAGTGTCTTATTTCACTAAATTTGAATGCTGCTATTACAGGACAAATCAACATGATGAGTGATGTGGCCACCCAAAACCATAATAGCTCTTTAGTTAACTATGTTTCAATCTCAGATACATTCCACTATATAAACAAAGTCAGGTTCCAGTTCTTATCAAAAAGCTCTAGTGGAAGTTGTCACATGTATTTCACAATAGATCCCCCATTTGATGGCTAGGAGATAAAAGAGCAACAGACATGAAAGAAAAACCTTATGAAATTCTACTGAGAATATGCCCTTTTTCTTCATAATGCTCATGTTTCTCATGCTGACAATAGCTGTGCATTTTGGGTGTTTTCAGAGAAATTCCTTTTAGGGGAATATTTTCTGGCCTACTTGATCAATCTTGTATCTAATCTGAGTTTTCTTCTTAAGATGCTTTTAACTTAGTTTGTTCTCAGTAGAATCTTGCTGAGATGGAGAGCTGCTTTTCTCTCTCATGCTTTGGTTGTCTGTTTCAGAAGGCCTATTCATATCCTGTGGTTTGTGTGAATTAGGTGGGCTGTCACAGTGAGAACTCTTGGAGCATCTGCACTTATCCTGGAAATCCAGCAGTATTTTTTAATGTCACAATTATAACTAGAAACTGAGGCTGAAACACTGCTCCCATTCCCATTATTATGAAGGCACAATTCTATCCAGGAGGCCTACAGGATCTCCTCATGCAGCTCAGGCTTTACTCTCTGATGTGGCACTGGAGTGCTGCTATGGCAATTGGGGTTCATGTATGATGTGAGCTGCCAGCTGTGAGCCCTGTGCTGTGAGCTGTGTTTCAGTGGCAGATGGTAGGAGTCGAGAGGACACTCGTCATCAGGAGAGGGTAAGCAGGAGTGCTCTAGCCCAGTGCTTAGGGAGTAGAGGAGCCATTGCTTTAAAATGTAAATAGCCAAAAAGATAGCACCCCATCCAGCCATTTCTGCAGGAGAGTGAGAGCCTACCTTCAGCAGCCACCTGCTTTCAAGTTGGAATATTACCTCCTGTCGTGAAGATAGGAAAAGTTTATTTTGTCATTGACTATAACCCACTGGCATGCACAGATGGCCTCTCAAATTACCAGGTAAATTTAGGATAAACTCTGTATGACATGGTGCTGTAAGTTCTTCCACTTGTGGACTAATTATAATGACTATTTTTCTGTCTTTGCAGTCTCTTAAGCAAATTGACTGTGGTGCATGTCACATTCTGGTTTACTTGCATATAAAAACTCTTTTGTTCTATCATTATGGAGTTTCTCTGCAGCTGGATACAATTTTTCTTTTAATTATATTTTCCAAACACTATCTAGAATTACCATACATGATATAAACATATTAGGTGCCAGCCAGGCTTTACTCTAGAGGGTACTTTTCCTCTCAGGCTTCCAGTCAACTCACAGTTGTGCTGCAAAGTGCATGCTGTCACTGGGCATCTCTAATCCCAGCACTTTGGGAGGCCAAGATGGGCAGATCACCTTGAGGTCAGGAGTTTGAGACCAGCTTGGCCAACATGGTGAAACCCTGTCTCTAAAAAAATACAAAAATTAGCCGGGCATGATGGCAGGTGCCTGCAATCCCAGCTACTTGGAGGCCGAGACAGGAGAATTGCTTGAACCCAGGAGGCAGAGGTTGCATTGAGCCAAGATCATGCCATTGCACTCTAGCCTGGGCAACAGAGCGAGACTCTGTCTCAAAAAAAAAAAAAAGTGTATACTGTCCCGTAAATATGCAGGCAGAATCATGTCTCTTTGTTATCTATAGTCCTCTACAGTCACTTCTAGAGGGATTAG